>NC_000005.10:122609807-123859807 GCF_000001405.40 Homo sapiens | reverse complement strand
AGACATGAGAAGCCAGGAAGAAAGACTTCATCTGGGAACCAAATGGTCACAGCACCATGATCTTGGACTTCTAGCCTCCAGTGCTGTGAGAAATAAATTCCTGTTGTTTAAGCCACCCAGTCTATGGTATTTTGTTATAGTAGAACTAACTAAGATATGTGCCTTAAGATGTTCCCCATAAGATGTGTAGATCAGGACAGTTGCAGTGGCTCATGCCTGTAATCCCAGCAGTTTGGGAGGTCAAGGCGGGAGGATCACTTGAGGCCAGGAATTCAAGACCAGCCTTGGCCACATAGTGAGACCTCATCTCTACCAAAAATAAAATTAGCCAGGTATGGTGGTGCGCACCTGTAGTCCTAGTTATTCAGAAGGCTGATGCAGGAAGATCATTCAAGCCCAGAAGGATACAGTGAGCTATGATCACACCACTGCACTCTAGCCAGGTTAACATAGTGAGACCCTGTGTGAAAAAATAAATTGTTTTAACGTTTTAGAAAAGATGTGTAGGGCATATGTATATGCTCATAATATAGGCCAGTAGGGAGTCTCTGCTAAGAAAGAAAACACTGAAAAGAGAAAGCACTGTGAAAAATAGAACTGATATAGCTTTTTCTTTATTAGTAATAAAGGCTACCAACATCTGGAACATCTCACTTATGGGTAAATGATTGCCAATAGCAGCCTAATACCTTCCAGCTTATCTTGTAATTTAGAAATAAAACATGGAAATTATCAAAATTAACTAACTGATTTTTAAATAAAACATTCAAAACTTCTAAACATTACATGAAGGCAGCTTTTATTCATTGTTGATGTCATGATCCATAAACAATCTATATTTCATTATGGTTTTAATCTCTAAGCCAAAAATGATATAATGTTTATAAATTTACATATTGCCAAATCATGATTTTTCTTATTTTTTTGTAGTAAATTCAACGTGTGATATTTGTTAAATGGACAAAAATTAATTGTTATACATTATAAATGTAATCAAAGATTATAAACATTAAAATTACACCCTATAATATGGCCATTAACTTACACTCATCTAACAAAGTATTTTAGAATTAAAAAAATAAATTATGTGAAAATGAAAGAATAATTACAATAATCTTTAATAGAGTCACAAGTATTTAATCTTGTGAAAAGGATAGATGGACCAGAAACAAAAGAAAAGTTGTAAAATGCTAGTATAGTAGAAATAGTATGAATTTTGGAGAGTGACTTACTTTCAGACAGCTGAAGTATTATATCACCTATGAAATAAGAATGATAGTTTCATTACAGGAACTTTGAAAGAGTTCAATGAATTGGTTAACTGACCTATCCTCAAGATTCCAACTGGACATCACTCTCTTCTAGTACTAGTTTCTCGGCATGCCCTCCCCTCCCTACCTCCTCTTCCTCACCACCCAGCTCTCATATGTGCTACCATAGCCCACAACAGATCTTATCTATCAATACGATTAGTATCTCTTATTCCTACCTCTCTAATAATTTATATATCTCCAATGCAGAGAAAGGCTTTTTGGAAGTGTTATCTCTAAGCTGGTACTAGAAAGAAGAATAGCAAAATTGTAATGGTTTTTCAGCATCACCTAGCAAATTTTAATTGCTATGTTGTTTTCATTCCTTCTGGGAACAGATGCAAAAAAGAATGATGTTCAAGGGATTTTTTTCCTTGCTACTTGGCACTTTTAAAGGACCACATGTAAATTGTCACTTAAGGTGTCTTTTGATTAAGATGATGGTCTCTAAACAGAGCATATCGATTAGAAAGGACTCTTGTCATTATTATGAGGAAATGTCCTCAGAGCCCGTTGTCCCTCTGTTTCTGTCATTAAATGTGAATGACCATTTTAGTTCATCTTCAGGATCTCTTTGATTACTTAGGGGCAAATTTAGCTTTGGAAATTATTTGCTTATCACAAATTACTTTTGAATTAACATAAGAGAAAACTCATTTTTCATCTTTGTGAATGCATAACCAACAGGTATTTATTTAATCCAACACATATTTGTTTAGCCTCTCCTCTGTGCCAGGCACTATGGCCACAGCAGTGAGAGAACAAAAGGGATGTGGTCTCTGCCATCATGGGGCTCTCAGACTAGTGGGAAAGTATATTAGTTAATGAGATGAATGATTTTACATACGTTATCCATTTAACCCTGCAAATGACCACTAGAGGTGTTTTCATAGTCTATTTTTCAGATATCAAAAATGAGAATCTGAAAAATACATGTAACAGAAGCTCCTCTTCTCTTTTCTCCAGCAGGTCTCCTAAGACCAGGGTACATCCCTATGTCCCCGTCTTCCCCTTATGTCTCCAGCTCTCAATGAGACCACAGGAATAGGCTGGGGACAGTGCCATGACTCCTGGGAGCAATTTACCTAAGGACTCTGCATAAGGCCCATCAGAAAATTAAGATGGGAAAAAAAGCTGCCTTTTTCAAGGATATTTTTAGTCTATAACAAATATTTAATTTTATATTGTACTGTAAGAAAAAAACTAGATTATATGGTCATCCTTTTCAATTTGCCTGTGGATTCATTTCCTTCTCCGGCAAAAAACTACCAGAATTTTAATAGTGAGCCTGTTCTATTTCTTGAGAGGGTAGGAGTAGAAAACTTACCTTGCAGCTCCACAAATGGCATATTTCCCTACATTTACTCATTTGAACTTTGTACAGGTCTTCCTGAAAACTTCAAGTCCCTTTCATCTCCATTTATCCTTGGTTAGATTTTTATTTTCTGTTTCCTCATAAGCTCTTCATTTCCAGCCCCATCATTTTTCCCCACAGCCTGCAATTCTTTGTTCTTTTATGCACTTGTGACAACCAGAGACACTGCTTTCTCCTGGCTGACAGCCACAGGATTTGCAATACTTTTTAGCAAAGGCTCTTGCAATTTCTACTCTTGTCATTTTCTTCACATCTGTGGCTGATGTGGAAAGAACAAAGCTCAGGCAATTTACTTCTGCGATTGGCTTATGGCAATGTCTTCCAAATTTTAACTTAGCCTATCCACCTCCCCAAATGCTGCTAAGTTGCTTCCATAGCCTGGACAGTACTGCTGCACTAATTGGAGAACTGACTTCCTAAGCTTTCAAGGATTTTTAGCCTAGCAAATATAACTTGATTCAAAACAGGTATTTTAGAGTTTTTCAAGCAGAAAATCGTATGCATTTTATACAGTTGGTGACTATGAGCTAAATAAATAATAGTTTAGTGTGAGAGATATCTGAGTTGGAGTCCTCATTCTGCAGCTTACTAGCTGTGAGACTAGGGATGGGATTGTTTTAACTCTTCAAGCTTTACTTTGTTGAGGTTTGTCCACTTGTACAAAAGGAAGAATAGTTCATACCTTATGTTACTGTGAGAATTAATTGAGATAGTACTCATGCCTGGCACATAATAATTGTTCCATAAATGTTATCTAGTATTACTTAAAGGCAGTAATTAATGTATAGTTCATTCAACAACCATGAACAAGACCCATGAGAGGAGTAATATGAAAGAAGAAGGAGGTAAGATCTACTGAGTACCCATTATATGCCTGGCAGTTTCAGATATGGATTCTTATGTAATCAGATAAAGTAAATAGTTCTTGTCTTCGCACCACTTATAATGGCATGTGTGCTGCAACTTACACTGCAAAATGGCTCTGGGATGTGCTGTAATCAAATGGCATCATGAGGAATTCCACTGGAAGAATGGTGGGAATAAGGTTGAGCCTCATGGACCCTGCCTTACTCAATATTTGTATCCCAACTCCAGGTGCAGGATCACATTTGAAGTAGGCACCCAGGGACTGCCATATCAACTAGAAAGATGTGCTCTATACTCTCCAGGACTCTTTAGTTACCAAGTAATAGAAATCTAACTCAGACTGGCATTCAGCCAGAAAAGGAATTGTTTGGCAGACAAAACTAAGAAGTTGTGGGTGGAGGCAGGACCAATCTTTAGGCATGGCTGCATCCAGATGCTCCAGTGATGCTGGGAGAAATATGATGCTTGGCTCTGCTTTCCTCTGGGTTGGCTTCATTCTCAGGCAGGCATTCACCCTGTCTGAGCTGACAGCCTCATGGTTCAGCAGGTGCTACTGAAAAATTGCTCTGGGAAAAATCCAGGATTCAGTCTCAGTGAACAAACTTGGGGCATGTGCTCACCCTTGAACTAGTCATACTAGCCAGGAAGATAGACTATGCCAACTGGCTAAGTGTGGGTCCCTTGATCACCTTAAAATGGAGTCTAAAGTTTCCCCTACCTGAAGCCTCTGGATAGATTGTTAAGAAGGTGTGGTTTCTCAAAAAGAAAATCAGGCTACTGGCACCAGACCAGGGGTCTTGGATATGGCAAAAGCAAGAGAACAAATCTGCATTTCATGGCTTTAATTATGAACCTTGAATGGGTAGGATTTAGATGAGCATAGATGGAATAAAATATTACTAAGCTTTATGTGGAGAGAGTGAAAGACAATAATAATTGCTCAATGTGAATATGGCAATGCATGAGTGATGGAGCATCAGAGATTTAGACTAGAAAAGTAGGTTAATTCTAGGGGTCAGTGAATACTGAGGGATAAAGGAATGTATATTTGGCTTGGAAGAAATATGGAGGTCATTCAAGTTTCTATTGCTATATGAAAATCCACACCAAAATGTAATGAGTTGCTTAAAGCAATGGCATTTGTTTTGCTCACCAATCTGCAATTTGGTCAGGGCTTACTGGAGACAGCTCATTTCATCTCCAGTTGGTGTCAGAAGGGGTACATCAAAGCCTGAGGCCTGGAATCATCTGAAGGCTCACTCACTTACATGTCTGATTGTTGATGCTAGCTCTTAGCTGGGCTTTAGTTAGGACTAGACCTAGTACACATTCAGGTGGCCTCTATGGTTGCTTGACTTCCTCATATCATGGTGTGTGGGTTCCAAGAGTAAGTGTCTCATGGTATGAGGTGGAATCTACAACATCTTTTATGACTTAGTTCCAAGGGATTTGTTCTTGATACCATACTCCAGTACTGATGTGTACTGACTACTAATTTGTCATCCCTTTAACGTTGCATTTTGCCTAAACTCTCTGCAGATGTCAGGGTAGATTCAGTTCTGCCTGAGAGGTCGGACAAATACTAAACTCAAAAACCAATGAAAACAGGATTTACAAAATGTTAGTAAAAAATAGTAAATGATATTTGTGAATAAGATGCTATGATTTGATAATAGAGAAAAAATACAAGAAAACATTAAATGACACCTGATCCCTGCTTTCAAATGCAGTATCTAGGAAGTTACAACATAATTGTAAGTGTTGAGGTTATTACTATTTATACATGCTAGTTAATTTAATGAAGAATGGATTTTTTTGTTAAAATAAAAGACATCAAGTGATCAAGCTACAGATAACTGAAATAGAAACAAGATCATAGTCAATGAATTTTATAATTTACCACTGTAATATTTTTAAATAAATTCTGTATATAATCCCATACATGTATATTAGTACATACACCTAAATCTGTTTTTTTAAATAGAACTGAGGTCATTCTTTAAATAAGATTATTTTTAAATTGGGTTTCAGTGTCCCTTAGGTGATTTATAAACCTTTGAAACCAATTCAACAATCCTTATGAAAGTCTATCTAGGAAAAAGACCATACCTCCAATCAAATTATCACCTTAAATGTAGTGTTATATGTTTCACTTGTTAATTTTGGTTACATCATAAGCATTTCCCACAGCACTTGTTCTTTTCAAACATGATTTTAAATAAATGCATAAGATCCCTCTAAATAGATGAACCATAAGTTAATCATTCTTCTATTATTGGATCTTTAGATTATTTACAGTTGTTTTCCCTTGTGAATTATAATGTAGCAAACATCCTTCCTCAAAAATTTTTTAGTGTACCACAATATCTAGGAGAAATCCCAAATATTACTAAAAGATTATAAAGACCTGGTATAAGAGTAGTTTCTTGTTGCTACTGT
Source organism: Homo sapiens (assembly GCF_000001405.40). Classification (NCBI taxonomy): domain Eukaryota; kingdom Metazoa; phylum Chordata; class Mammalia; order Primates; family Hominidae; genus Homo; species Homo sapiens. Next base: position 123,853,816 of record NC_000005.10, on the reverse strand, counting down.
AAAAATTACCACTAATCAGTAGCTCAAAACAATACAAATTTATTATTTTTCAGTCCTGAAGGTCAGAAGTCTAAATAGTCTCACTGGGCTAAAATCACAGTGTTGGCAGGACTGCATTGTTTCTGGGAGCTCCAGGTATCATTTACTTTTTTATCTTTTCCACATGACCCCCTTCCTCCATCTTCAAAGCCAGAAATGTCATGCCAATTTCTTCTCACACTACCATCTCTCTGGTCTTCACTTCTATCAGTTTATCTCCCTCTCTAACTCACTCTTCTGCCTCCTTCTTCCATTTTTAAGGACCATGTGATAACATTAGGACCATCCAGATAATCTCTCTGTATCGAGATCCATGAGTCAATTATATCTGCAAAGTTTATTTTGCCATGAAAGGTAACATATGCATAGTTTCTTGGTTCTATGCTTATAGGGAAATGCAAAATGTTTGGTTTTAAGAGTAACTATATTAAAAGTAACTTTTAAAGTTATTTTTAAAAGGGTGACTGTTACATATTTAACCATATCTGTCTGGATCATGTTTTAAGATATGAAATTATTTATAAGGAATGATGTCAGCATGATGGTGGAATAGAAGGTAAACCACTAATATCCCCCTCCATAACAATAAGATTTCTATACCCATTCACAATCAAAAGTCTTTCTACAGTAGCCTCAGGATTCAGGTAGGAGTTTATGAAGCTGTGGTGGGTTCCAAGACCTTGGAGGGTTGTTTGAGAATGCACACCAAAACCCAGGTGACTGATCCACTGAGCTTGCTCTCAGATTCAAGGCCAGAAATGGCCCAATCCTCCTAGGGGCTTGGCTAGAGCCCTGTTTGGCCTTGAGCCTGTAACCAAAACCACTGTCTGCCAAGGGGTCTAGAAGGAATCCAACACACTAGTGCCTTTGTGGAAAGGCTCCTTTACCTGCTGATATTGTTCTTCGCATCGAACCTAAAAGTTCCCCCATGGCTTTGTTCCAGCCTCCCTTTATTGAGGTCTAAGCTCATAGCTGCTTGTACAAGGACCTAGAAGGAGACTCACCTATATCTCTAAGCCCAGGAGTCTGAGCCTCCCTAATGGGCTCTCTAGTCTCCATCCCACAGCAGATCCCAAGGGTATACAGTCCCAATGGTGGCCCTTTCTGCTGCGGTCAAGGAACTATCCCACATGCAAAGGGATGTGCTGGGAGATAAGCCAACCAGACTGGGCTCTCCAAGTTCTACCTCACAGCAAATCCCAGAGTCGCACTCTCATCTCCAGCCCCTCCTGCTGCAGACCGGGAACTATCCTGTCAATGAAGAAACTTACTAGGCAAAAGACACTTCTCTGAGCCAAAACTAGACTCTCCAGCCTCTGTCCCACAGCATATCCCAGTGGGGCTCAATCTCAGTTCTGGCCCTCTTGTTGCAGTCAAAGAACTACCCTCTCTATGCAGGGCCCTTTGGGTGACACATGAATGTCTGAGCCAATGAGACAGACCCACCAGCCTCCTACCCACAGGAGATCCCAAGGGGGCCCAGTATCAATTCCAGTCCATCTCCATAAGGTTAAGGTCTCATCTCATCTGTGCAGAGACCTGTTGGGAAGCCAACTTGTCTGAGCTTCCAGGACAGTTTTCTGGACTTAGGTGCCTAGCCAGCATTCCCACATAGCCCTAGTACCCTTCTTGGGTCTTTACCAGGTCCATCTGGGCCAGAAAGTCACATCAACCTTGGAGTCCTCACAGGACTCATAGCAAGTGGGGCTTAGAACAACCCCCACTCCCCCAATGCTGAAATGGCTGCAGTAGTCATAGACTTAGGGAACTCAGCAATTAAGTCTGCTTAGATTCCTGGGAAGGCCCTCTGAAGAAGGGTAGGCATAAACAAAGCCAGTCTGTGAAGACGAAAATAAATACTCAATGTACAGACATCATTGCACATTCACAAGCATCATGAATATTCAGAGAAATATGATCTCATCAAATAGACAAAATAAGGTGCCAAAGATGAACCCTAAATGAGTAGAGCTGTGTAATTTCTCAAAGTATTTGAAAAAAAGCTGTTTTAAGGAAACTCAGTGACATTTTTAAGAAAACAGAGAATTCAGAAATTCATCAGACAAATGTTAGCAAGGATTAAAATAATTTTAAAAAATCAAACAGAAACCTTGGAGCTGAAAAATACAATTAGTCGATTGAAAAAAATGCAATAGAGAACATTAAGAGCATACTTGATCAAACAGAAGAATCAGTGAGCTCAAATATAGACCATTTGAAAATATACGGGCAGAGAAGAAAAAAGAAAAACAAGGAATAAAGAAAGTTTATGAGATTTATGGAACAATATCAAAAGAGCAAATATTCAGGTTATTGGAGTTAAAGAGGTAACTGAGAAAGACAAAGGGACAGAAAGCATATTCAAAGAAATAATAACAGAAAACTTTCCAAACCTGGAGAAAGAGGCAAATACTCAGGTACAGGAAGGTCAAAGATCACCAATCAACCCAATTAAGAATACCCTAAGACATATTGTAATAAAACTCTCAAAGGTCAAAGACAGGCTGAGCATGGTGGCTCATGCCTGTAATCTCAGCACTTTGGGAGGCCAAGGCAGGTGGATCACCCGAGGTCAGGAGTTCAAGACCAGCCTGGCCAACATGGTGAAACCCAATCTCCACTAAAAATACAAAAAAATTGGCTGGGTGTGGTGGTGGGTACCTGTAATCCCAACTACTCGGGAGGCTGAGCAGGAGAATCGCTTGAACCTGGGAGGCAGAGGTTGCAGTGAGCCGAGATTGCACCATTGCACTCCAGCCTGGGCAACATGAGCAAGACTCCATCTCAAACGAACAAACAAACAAAAAAAGTCAAAGACACAGAGAGAATCCTGAAAATAGTGAAAGAAAAAAAGCAAAAACATGTAAGGGAGATGCAATATGCCTGGCACCAGGATTCTCGGTAGAAATATTACAGGCTAGGAGGGAGTGAGATGATATAGTTAGAGGAATGAAAAAACAACAACAACAACAACAACAAAAACTAGCAACGGATAGTACAGTACCCAGCAAAACTATCCTTCAGAAATGAAGAAAAATAAAGACTGTCCCAGACAAACAAAAGATGAGAAAATTTATCGCTACTAAACCTTTCCTACAAGAAATGCTAAAGGGAGTTGTTCAAACTGAAAGAAAAAGACACTAACATAATTGTTACACTAATATTGTAGTTGTGATGTGTGGACCATTTCTTTTTACTAAGACTACTAAAAGACAAAACTATTAAAAATAACTACAACAATTTGTTAAGAGATGGGTAATACAAAAAGTGGAGATTGTGACATCTGCAATTCAGAACGTGGGAAGAGAAGGGAGTTAATGTATACAGGATTTTTTTGTTTGCTTGATTCCTTTTTTTTGCCACCAAAATTAAGTTGGTATCCATTTTAAATAACTTGTTATAACAATACTATGTTTTTAATAAGCCTTATGGCAATCACAAAGGAAAAACTTATGCTATTAATAGAAACACTAAAAATAAAAAACAATGAATTTGAAACACATTACCAGAGAAAATCACTTAACCAAAGGAAGATTGTAAGACAAGAAAAGTTACAAAACAAATAGAAATCAAAGAACAAAATGACAGTAGTAAGTTCTTACCTATCAGTATAATATTGAATATAAATAAATTATCCAATTAAAAGACATAGAATAGCTCAATGGATAAAAAAACAAGACCCAACTATACGCTGCCTACAAGAAATTCACTTCACATCTAAAGGCAGCCATAGACTAAAAGTGAAGGAATAAAAAAGATATTTCATGTAAATGGAAAGCAAAAAAGAGCCAGAGTAGCTATACTTATATCAGATAAAATAGACTTTAAGTGAGAAACTATACAAAGAAACAAAGACAGTCTTTATATAATGATAAAAGAGTCCATTCAGGAAGATATAACAATGGTAAATATATATACACTCAACATCAGAGCACTTAACTATATTAAGCAAATATTAATAGAACTAAAGGGAAAGATAGACCCTAATATAATAACAGAAGGGGACTTCAACACCTCACTTTTGGCAATAGACAGATCATCCAGGCAGAAAAAGAACAAAGAAACATTTAAGTTAAACTGTACTCTAGACCAAATGGACTTAACATTTACAGAACATTTCACCCAACTGCTTCAGAATACATATACTTTTCATCAGCACATGGAACATTCTCCAGGAAAGACCATATGTTAGGCCACAAAACAAATCTTAACTAATTTATAAAAATCAAAGTCATATCAAGTATCTTTTCTGAGCACATGGAATTAAACTAGAAATCAATAACAAGAAGAACTTTGGAAACTGGAGAAACACATGGGTTCAACAACATGTTCTGGAATGACCAACGAGTCAAGGAAGAAATTATGGAAATCAAAAACTTCTTGAAACAAACGAAAATAAAACACAATATATCAGAGCCTATGGGATATAGCAAAAGCCAAACTAAGAGGGAAGTTTATAGCAATAAATGCCTCCATCAAAAAATTAGAAAGACTTCGAATAAACAACCTAACAATGCAATGCACCTCAAGGAACTAGAAAAGCAAGCAGAAGCCAAACACAAAATTATTAGAAGGAAAATAAATAAAGATTAGAGCAGAAATAAAGGTAATGAGACAAGAAAAGTAGTAGAGAAATCTGTACTACTACCATGCTTATTGCAGCTCTATTCACAACAGCAAAGATATGGAATCAACCTAAGTGTACATCAATAGATAAATGGATAAGAAAATGTGGTATATATACACAATGGAACATTTTTCAGCCATTAAAAAAGAATTAAATCCTGTCATTCGCAGCAACATGTATGAAATTGAAGGTCACTATGTTAAGTGAAATAAGCAGGCACAGAAGGATAAATATTGCATGTTCTCATTCATATGTGGGAGTTAAAATATTGAATTTCATGGAAGTTGAGAGTAGAATGGTGGCTACCAGAGGCTGGGGAGAAAAAGGGGAGGGGGAATAAAAAGAAGTTGGTTAAGGTGTACAGAAATACAGTTGGGCCAGGTGCAGTGGTTCACGCCTGTAATCCCAACACTTTGGGAGGCCGAGGTGGGTGGATCACGAGGTCAGGAGTTCAAGACCAGCCTGGCCAAGATGATGAAACCCCGTCTCTACTAAAAATACACAAAGTAGCCGGGCATAGTGGTGGGCACCTGTAATCCCAGCTACTCAGGAGGCTGAGGCAGGAGAATTGCAAGAACCTGGGAAGTGGAGGTTGCAGTGAGCTGAGACCACGCCACTGCACTCCAGCCTGGGTGACAAAGCGAGACTCTGTCTCAAAAAAAAAAAAAAAAAAAAAGAAAAAAACAGTTGGATAAAATGAATAAGTTCTAGTATCTAATAGCACAGTAGGGAAATTATCGTTAACAACAACTTATTGTATATTTCAAAATAACTAGAAAAGAAAAATTACAATATTGCCAACACAAGAAAATAAAAGTTCAAGGTGATGGATATTTCAGTTATCTTGATTGTACAATATACAATCATTGCACATTGTATATAAGTATCAAAATATCACATGTACCTTCAAAATATGTGCAACTATTATATATCAACAAAATTTTCTATTTATTTATTTTATTACATTAAACTAAAATGAGGAAATTAATGTACCGCTACTTCTATGAAAAATATGAAAATCAATGGGTTGTCCAAAATTTTGACCTTAATTGACAATTGGTTAAAATTCTCAATTGGATGATCAGTTGTAAAGGAAATAAATGTATAGAATGCTGGGAAAAGTTCATTGTGTCTACATTATTTTATATTGCTCTTAGCTCCAGGAAACCAATCAACTATGATTCATATTGTCTAAGTCTCAATAATAATGAAAAACAGTTTGTAAGTTACTTGCTTTCTTAACTCACTCAGTTTTCTTTTCTTCATCAATGCTTATTTCTTCAATGTATTCTCTGGCCATTCTTTAATTCAGGTAAATTTTCTCAAATATTTTTTATCCAGATGGAAATGATAATGAGAATGGTATTAGGCCACTATTACCATCAACAACTTTTGCTGAACTCTAAGAAAATCATTCATTCATTAAAAATTTACAACTAATTCAGAATTTCAGAGTGGTCAATAGCCAAGTTAATCAAAATATAGATTCCCTGTCAAATTGTTCCAAATTTGATTTCATATTTGATTCCAGATATGATTCTGATTCCATGTAAATTCACCTAGGGAGTTTCTAAAAATACCAATGTCTGTGTATACCCATAGCATTTAAATCACAGCTTTCTTTTTAGGTAAGTCTTTCTCAACTGGAGATAATTTTGTCCCCTAAGGAAGGCCATTTGGCATTATCTGAAGATATTTTGATTATCACTATGGGGAATGGGGGGAAGGATGTACTCCTGGTATCTAGCAGGTAAGGGTCAGGGATGCTACTAACCATCTTACATTGCATAGGATTACCACCAATATCAAAGATTACTGACTGAAAATATCAGTGGTACTGGTTTGAGAAATTCTGCCTTTGACGATTCTAATATGCAACGAGAATCAAAAACTACTGCTCTGGATTTCCCTCCTTCAATAATTCTTCATTGCCTTAATGAAATACAACTTTAAACAAAGCTCTGTGATCAAAACCAAGACTAAAGACCAAGAAAGGAAAAGTGAGACGATTTGATAAATGATAACATTTAGAATTTTTTTCTTTCATGTTTTATAATTGGGCTTAATCAACCTCTTATCACTGGGCCTTAAAGATTAACAATAATATTAATCATAATTGGATCTATGTACCAAGTGATATGTACACACAATCTCATTTAATCCTTATGATTACCAGGTGAAATATGTATTACCCTCATTTTACAACTGAGTGAGATATAGGGTACCTAACATCTCAAGGTCACACTAGTGGTAGGTGAGAAACCTAAAACCTATTTTCTTGTGAAATATTACAATACATTGATACACATCCTTTCTGTCTCTGTGTGGTTTGTAGGATTCAATAGACCTATTTCTTCAACCTAAGGAGAGTTGAAGCATCATGTGGTTATCAAACGAGAGGCAGAAAAGAAGCTAGCTAGGCAGGAAGAGTAAGAGAGGTCTAGTGCCTCTTCTGCCAATGGGCCTCCAAATGATTGACAAGCAATCAGCGAGCCTTTTAATCTCACCATTTTACCTACCTTCACATGAAGCCACATTGCTTAAGGCTTTGTCTACTCATGTAGATATTTTTTAAGTGCTACACAAGTTTATGCAGGAAATGCATATTATCTTGTCATGTTTTCAAATTTAGAGAAAATACAGGATAATATGACAACCATGTTAAAATTCAATATTAAGTATTGTTTATGCTATGTAGTCATTTTTCTTGTTTAATTTCAGTGGATCCTTTAGTCTTCTTTCTTGAATCTTCAACCTATTAACTGGTTATTTTCCATCTCTAAAGAAAGAGTTTTATTTAATCTTTTTTCTATTTCTCTTCATCCTTATCTTCAATAAAAGTAACATTCCAATTTATCATGACTCCTAAACTAGGCTTGCATATTTTATGCTACAGTTAATCATCCAATCACCTATTTTTCTCTGTTTATCTTTTGCAGTTAACCTTCAATTTTTATAGCCATGTTGAAATGTAGCATTGTTTTATATACCCTAAGAAATAACATTTTGACTTTCTTTTGTGATAATTTATCATTTTTTCTTTACACTGTCTATCTGGCACTTTTGCATAAGGTATCAATAAAGCGATAATGAAAACACATGTTTTAGATGCAAAGATTTAATTTCAAAAGGAAATCCCAAGGTACTTTCCAGAATACCAATTAAGTATGAAACCCTGGCAATTAACCAGATCCTCTAACAAAATGTAGCAGAGCTCCCTTGACCATATACAAACCCCATGACTGTCAGTTTTATCAGAGGTGAACATAGAGGAAATGAGAGCAGAAAATCAAATATAGGGGGAATTTATAGGTCTAAACGTAAGTCTGAGGTCCAACTCCAAAAAACATCAAATTTGTAGAACTTAACTTGCAGTGTGTATGTGTGTGAGTGGGTGTACATTTGAATTTTCTTCCTTCTCTCTTCAGTTCACATCATCACCAGTTTTGGTTTTGATATGTAATCAATAAATTTATCGCATTCTGTGAGTTTAAATAACTGACAAAGACATCTCAGAAACTCCAAAAATCCACCCACAGGATTCCAGCTTTCACATTTCCTGGTAAGAGTCCTCACAGTCTCTGCTGATTCAACACCTCTGCGGTGGTCGCATGCCCAGCGGGGTAGGCATTCCCAAACTTTTACCCCTTACTTCTAGGCCCAGTCTTTGCTACATGATATCTGATTCTGCTGCCCAGGAAAAGCCTTCCACCTGCTAAATGGTTGACTGCCTGTCATACACAGCCTGCCCTTTCAGTTTTTGCCCCAAACTAGCACCCTGCTAATCTATCACCTTCTTTCTACACTGCCTGCAGGTTCCCTGACCAGGGGTCTTCCTCCAGATTTCTGCTGTCTTCTGAACCCACTCAGAGAGGTAGGAAACCCAGAATCAGGCTGGGGGATACCCCATGGGAGCCTGCATTCATTTCCTAGTGATGAGGTAACAAATACCACAAACTGAGTGGCTTGAATAGCAGAAATGTATTGTCTCACTGTTCTAGAGGCCAGAAGTCTGAGAGCAAGATATCAGCAGGGAAATGCTCTCTCAGAAGGCACTAGAATAGGGTCTGTTTTAGGCCTCTCTCCGAGCTTCTGGCAGCTCCTTGACTTGTGACAAAATAACTTCCTTCTGTCTCCATGCAGTATTCTCCCTGTGTGTCATTGTGTCCAATTTTTCCCTTTCATAAGGTCACCAGTGATATTAGATTAGAGGCCTACCCTACTCCAGGATGACCTCATCTTAACTAATTACTTCTGCAACAACCCTATTTCCAAATAAGGTCACATTCTGAGGCACTGGAGGTTAGGACTTCAACATATGAATTTTGAGGGACACAGTTCAACTCCTAGCAGAGCCTCAGAACAGGTAACTCATTCAACATAGATGGGTGCTAAAGACTGAATGTTTGTGTCCCCCAAAATTCATATGTTGAAATATAATCCCCAATTTCAGAGTATTTGGAGGTGGGGCCTTTGGGAAGGAATTAGGTCATAAGGGCACAGCCCTCATGAATGGGATTAATGTCCTTATAAAATAGGCTCCAGGGAGTTCTCTTGCCCCTTTCTGCCATGTGAGGATGCTGAAAGAAGATGGTCATCCATGAACCAAGACACAGCAGATACCAAATCTGCCAGGTACTTCATCTTGGACTTCCCAGCCTCTAAAATCATGAGAAATAAATTTCTGTTGTTTATAAGCTACCCAGTCTATGGTATTCTCTTATAGCAGCTTGAATGAACTAAGATATGGGAAATCCAGTCTCTCCACTTTCACACATAGCATTCCAGAAACTGTCTCCCTCAGTCCTCTGGTCTGACTCCTGCACAATTCATTCCATATACCACTCCCCACTCTCTGCACTCATTTGCCTACTTACCAACCAACCGGAGTGACCAAGACAAAGTGTTTGGTATCGATTTTACTTAGCCTTAACATGTCATTTGCTCCAGTACATTTCTCCACTTTAGCCTGTTTATTAATTCTTTTCAAGAATAAGTTTGTGTAATTCGGGTTTATTTCAGTTAAGTTCAATTTGCTTTCAACAGACCTTGATAATTTGCCATCTCTTAATCTGCCTTTAGAGGTTTTCTTTTTGTTTGTTTAGAGAGGAAGTCTCGCTCTATCCCCCAAACTGGAGTGCAGTGGCATGATCTTGGCTCACTGCAACCTCTGCCTCCCAGGTTCAAGTGATCCTCCTGCCTCAGCCTCCCGAGTAGCTGGGATTACAGGTGTGCACTACCATGCCTGGCTAATTTTTGTATTTTTAGTAGAGACGGGGTTTCACCATGTTGGCCAGGCTGGTCTCGGAGTCCTGACCTCAGGTGATCCGCCCACCTTGGCCTCCCAAAGTGCTGGGATTACAGGCCTGAGCCACCGCGCCCAGCCTAGGCTTTCTTTTTAAAGCTTACGGTCTTAAGAGATTTCTCAGCCAGACTGTAACTCACATTTACCCTTCAAAGCTCCCTCACACTAGCTTTCTACTCTCAGCACAGGTTACTCACTGCCCCTTGACTCTTATGTTCCTTCAGAATAATATGTTCCTTCAAAATAATAACTCCAAGGACCATTCATAGGATAAAATTAAATACAATACTATAGTTACAGAGTCTCTATAATTTGGCTACCTGTCAGGGAAGCTAACACTGAATTTACTGCCCCACTATACTTACCAAAATTCCATCTGAGAGGTATATTATTTATGGAGAATTACCCAAAGGATATTCAGTCCCTCCATTCTGCCTATCCATTTGCTAAAAACCATAAAATCTGCCCTTACATTAAGCTAGATTATCAGACAGCTCTGTGCCTGCTTGCACCACAGTGGCCTTACCCATCTACATTTGTTTCTAGAATTCCATTTTGGCATGATGATGTCAGCCCACATTGAAAAACACTGCCAAGTGAGAGACCTACAAAAACCTACAGCTCATTTGCTGTAAGGATGCTGCTGAGGATTTTGCTTGGGATTTTACAGCGTCCTCTTTAAGAGGATCCAGAAGAGAAATCTTTCTAGTGGTAGGAATAGCTTTGCTTTTTCTGAGCAAGTGGTTTGTATTGTTTTATGGACATTCTAAGACATTAAGCCAATCATGTTTTGCTTTAGTGCTGGATCCTGGAGAGCTGAGAGTTGTGTGTGCTCCATCTCTGGTGAACACGTACATGTACATGAACATGTACATGAACTATAGATTACTAATATTCCTTACACTTATTTGTCTCATTGTCTCATTTATTTATTTTTTGTTTTTTGACTTTTAACTTTTAGGTTCAGGGGTACATGTGCAGATTGTTATATAGGTAAATTGTGTGTCATAGGGGTTTGGTGTACAGATTATTTCATCGCCCAAGTAATAACCATAGTACCCAGTAGGTAGTTTCTTTATCTTTACCCTCCTCCCACCCTCCATCCTCAAGTAGGCCCTGGTGTCTATCGTTCCCTTCTTTGTGTCCATGTGTTCTCAATGTTTAGCTCCCACTTCTAAGTAAGAACATGCAGTATTTGGTTTTCTGTTCCTGCATTAGTTCACTTAGGATAATGACTCCAACTCCACTGACGTTGCTGAAAAGGACGTGATCTCATTCTCTTTATGGCTGTGTAGTATTCCATGATGTATATGTACCATATTTTCTTTATCCAGTCTACCATTGATGGGCATTTAGGTTGATTCCATGTCTTTGCTATAGTGAATAGAACTATTATGAACATGCACATGCACTGCTTTCCACAGGGGCTGAACTAATTTACATTTCCACCCACAGTGTATAAACATTCCCTTTTCCCCACAGCCTCCCCAGCATCTGATATTTTTTGATATTTTAATTATAGTTATTCTGACTGGTGTGAGATGGTATCTCATTGTGGTTTTGATACGCATTTATGTGATGATTAATGATGTTAAGGGTTTTTTAATATATTTTTTGGCCACTTGTATGTCTTCTTTTAAGAAGTGTCTGTTCATGTCTTTTGCCCACTTTTTAATGGAGTTATTTGATTTCTGCTTGTTGAATTAAATTCCTTACAGATGCTATATATTAGCTTTTTCTTGGATGCATAGTTTGTGAATATTTTCTGCCATTCTATAGGTTGTTTGTTTACCCTGCTTGTAGTTTCTTTTGCTGTGCAGAAGCTTTTAAGTTTAGTAGCATTCATCAATTTTTGTTTTTGTTGCAATTGCTTTCAGTGTCTTCATTATGAAACCTTCACCTATGTCCAGAATGGTATTATCTAGGTTATCTTCCAGGTTTTTATAGTTTTAGGACTTACATTTGAGCCATTAATCCACCTTGAATTAATTTTTGCATATGGTGTAAGAAAGCGGTTCAGTTTCAATCTTTTGTATATGGCTAACCAGTTATCCCAAGACTATTTATTGAATAGGGATTCCGTTCCCTGTTGCTTGTTTTTGTCTACTTTGTCAAAGATCATATAGTTGTAGGTGGGCAGCTTTATTTCTGGGATCTCTCTTCTTTTCCATTGGTCTACATGTCTGTTTTTTGTACCCGCACCATGCTGTTTTGGTTACTGTAGCCTTGTGTTATAGTTTGAAGTTGGGTAATGGAATGCCTCCAGCTTTGTTCTTTTTGTTTAGGTTTACTTTGGCCATTCAAGCTCTTTTTTAGTTCCATATAAATTTTGAAATAGTTTTGTCTAATTCTGTGAAGAATCTCATTGGTAATTTGATAGGAGTATCACTGGATCTGTAAATTGCTTTGGGCTTTATGGCCATTTTGACAGTATTAATTCTTCCTATCCATGAGCATGGAATGTTTTTCCATTTGTTTGTGTCATCTCTGGTATCATTCAGCAGTATCTTGTAATTCTCATTGTAGAGATCTTTTACCTCCCTGATTAGCTGTATTCCTAGGTATTTTATTCTTTTTGTAGCTATTGTGAATGAGATTGAGTTCTTGATTTGGCTCTCAGCTTGGACATTGTTGGTGTATAGAAATACTATTGATTTTTGTATATTGATTTTGTATCCTGAAACTTTGTGGAAGTTACTTATTAGATCCAGGAGCTTTTTGAGAGGGATTATGGGGTTTCCTAGGTATAGAATTATATCATCTGCAAACAGAGATAGTTTGACTTTTTCTCTTACTATTTGGATGTGTTTCATTTCTTTCTCCTGCCTGATTGTTCTGGCTAGAACTTCCAGTACTATGGAAGAGAAGTGGTGAGAGAGGACATCCATGTGTTGTTTCAGCTCTCTAGGGGAATCCTTCCAACTTTTGCTCATTCAGTATGATGTTGGCTCTGAGTTTGTCATAGGTGGCTCTTATTATTTCTAGGTATGTTTCTTTGATGCCTAGTTTGTTGAGGGTTTTTTAAATGAATGGATGTTGAATTTTATTAAAAGCTTTTTCTGCGCCTATTGAGATAGTCACATGGTTTTTTGTTTTTAGTTCTGTTCACGTGATAAATTACATTTGTTGATTTGTATATGTCAAAATGACTTTGCATCCCAGGGATAAAACCTACATGACTGTGGTGAATTAACTTTTTAATATGCTGTTTGATTTGGTTTGCTGGCATTTTATTGAGGATTTTGCATCAATGTTCATCAAGAATATTGGCCTGAAGCTTTCCTTTTTCGTTGTAACTCTGCCAGGTTTTGGTGTCAGAATGATGCTGACTTCCTAGAATGAGCTGGGGAGGAGTCCAACCTCCTCACATTTTTGGAATGGTTTCAGTAGGAATGGCACCAGCTCTTCTTTATGTATCTGGTAGAATTTGGCTATAAATATGGTCCTGGGTTTTACGTAGTTGGTAGGCTTTTTATTACTGATTCGATTTTGGAATTCATTATTGGTCTGTTCAGGGACTCTATTTATTCCTGGTTTAATCTTGGGAGGCTGTATGTTTCCAGGAATTTATCCGTTTCTTCTAGGTTTTCTAGTGTGTTTGTATAGATGTGTTCATAGTAGTCTCTGAGGGGTTTTTGTATTTCCGTGGGGTTGGTGGTAATGTTCTGTCATTTTTTATTGTGTTTATTTGGATCTTTTCTTTTTTTTTTTTAATTAGCCTAGCTAGCAGTCTACCAATCTTATTTATTCTTTCAAAGAAGAAACTCCTGGATTCATTGATCTTTTGTAAGTCTGTTTATGTCTCAATTTCCTTCAGTTCAGTTCTGATTTTGGTTATTTCTCATCTCTGCTAGCTTTGAAATTGTTCACTCTTGTTTTTCTAGTCTCTCTAGGTGTGATGTTAGGTTGTTAATTTGGGATCTTTCTAACTTTTTGATGTGGGTGTTTAGTGCTATTAACTTTCCTTTTAACACTGCTTTAGCTGTGTCCCAGAGATTCTGGTATGTTGTATCCTTTTTCTCATTAGTTTCAAAGAATTTCTTGATTTCTGCCTTAATTTCATTATTTACTAAAAAGTCATTCAGGAGCAGGTTGTTTAATTTCCAAGTAATTGTAGGGTTTTGAGTGATCTTAGTATTAATGTCTGGTTTTAGTGTGCTGTGGTCTGAGAGTGTGATTAGTATGATTTCAGTTGTTTTGAATTAGCTGACAATTGTTTTATGGATGATTGTGTGATCAACTTTAGAGTATATACCATGTGCAGATGAGGAGAATGATGAGAAGAAAATGCACAGAAAACAATATTCTTTTGTTTTCCAGTGGAGAGTTCTGTAGATATATGTTAGATCCATTTGGTCAAGCGTCAAGTTCAGGTTGCAAATATCTTTGTTAGTTTTCTCCCTTGATGATCTGTCAAATACGGTCAAGAGGATGTTTAAATTTCCCACCATTATTATGTGGTTATCTAAGTTTCTTTGTAGGATTCAAAGAACTAAGAACTTGTTTTATAAATCTGGGCACTCCTGTATTGGGTGCATATATATTTAAGATAGTTAGGTCTTGTTGAATTGAACTTTTAACCATTATGTAATGCCCTTCTTTGTCTTTTGTTATTGTTGCTTTAAAGTCTATTTTGTCTGAAATTAGCTTAGCTTTTTTCTGTTTTCTGTTTGGTAGATTTTATTCCATCCCTTTAATTTTTTAAATTAAATTTTTCTGGGTACAAAGGAGGTGTATATATTTATGAGGAGGTGTATATATTTATGAGATGTTTTGATACAGGCATGCAATATGAAGTAAGCACATCATGGAGAATGGGGTATCCATCCCCTCAAGCACTTATCCTTTGAGTTACAAACAATCTAATTACATTATTCTAAAATGTATAATTATTATTGACTATAGTCATCCTGTTATGCTATCAAATAATAAGTCTTATTCAGTTTATTTTTTGTACCCATTAACCATCCCAACCTCCTCCCTAGGCCCCCACTATTATTCCCACCCTCTGGTAAACATCGTTGTATTTTCTATGTCTATGAGTTCAATGGATTTGATTTTTAGATCCCACAAATAAGTAAGAGCATGCAATGTTTATCTTTTTGTGCCTGGCATATTTCACTTAACTTAATGACCTCCAGTTCCATCCATGCTGCTGCAATTGATTGGATCTCATTACTTTTTATGGCTGAATAGTACTCCATTATATATACGTATCACTTTTTTTTATCCATTCATCTGTTGATGAACACTTAGGTTGCTTTCAAATCTTAGCTATTGTAAACAGTGCTGTGGCAAACATAGGAGTTCAGATATCTCTTTGATATACTGATTTCCTTTCTTTTGGTATATATCTATCAGTGTTCCATCCCTTTAATTTGAGCATATTGATACCATTGCAAGTGAGATGGCCTCTTAAAGACAGCATACAGTTATCTAACTTGCCACTCTGTACCTTTTAACTGGGGGCTTTTAGCCCATTTACTTTCACGGTTAATACTGATATGTGCAGATTTGATCCTGTCATGTTGTTAGCTGGTTATTATGCAGAGTTGATTGTGTAGTTGCTTTATAATGTCAACGGACCACTTACTTGTGTGTTTTTGTGGTGGCCAGTAATCGTCTTTCTTTTCCATATTCAGCATGCTCTTAAGGACATCTCATAAGACAGGTCTTGTGGTAATGAATTCTCTTAGCATTTGCTTATCTGACAAAGATCTTTTACCTTATTTCTCCTTCACTTATGAAGCTCAGTTTCACTGGATATGAAATTCTTGGTTGGAATTTCTTTTCTTTAAGAATGTTGAATATAGGCCCCCAATCTCTTCTGGCTTATGGGGTTTCTGCTGAAAGATCCACTGTTAGCCTGTTGGGATTCCCTTTGTAGGTTATCTGCTCCTTCTCTCCAGGTGCCTTTAACATTTTTCCTATCATTTTGACCTTGGAAAATATGACGACTTGTGGATGGTTGTCTTGTATAATATCTTGCAGGAGTTCTCTGCATTTTCTGAATTTGCATGTTGGCCTCTCTAGTGAGGTTGGGGAAATTCTTATGGACAATATACTGAAATATATTTTCCAAGTTGCTTGCTTTCTTTCCACTGGTGTCTTTCAGGGACACCAGTGAGTTGTAGATTTGCTGTCTTTACATAAGCTCCTATTTCTCATAGGTTTTGTTCATTTTTTAATTATTTTTTTCTTTAATTTTGTCTGAATTATTTCGTAGAACTGGTCTTCAAACAAATTTTTTCCCTCAGCTTGGTCAATTCTACTGTTAATACTTGCAATCGTATTATGAAATTCTTGAAGTGAGTCATTCAGCTCTATCAGATTACTTTGGTTCTTTCTTAAAATGGCCATTTTGTCTTTCAGCTCCTTTATCATTTTATTATATTCTTTATATTCCTTGGATTGGGTTTTGACTTTCTCCTGAATCCCAATGATCTTCATTCCTAATCTGTATTCTGAAACCTATGTCTGTCATTCCAGCCATTTCAGCCTGATTGAGAACTCGTAGGGAACTAGTGCTGTCATTTGGAGGTAAGAAGACACTCTGACTTTTTGAGTTGCCAGAGTTGTTGTGCTGTTCCTTTCTTGTCTGTGTGGGCTGATGTTCCATCAATCTTTAAAGTTGCTATCTTTTGGATAAGGTTATTTTTCTTTTATCTTAGTTGATGTCATTGGGGGTTTAATTGTGATATAAAGGAGAGGGGGTGTTTTGTTGACTGGCTTCATTTCTAGAAGATTTTAGGGAGCCAAGTCTCAGTTCAACACTCCTAGGCTTCATGCTCCAATTCTGGGTGGTTGGTACCAGGCCCTTGGCTTTGTTTTCTAGCCCCTTGAGATTAGCAACCTGCTGTGCTGGAGGCACTTATCCATTCCCAATCCACTGGCCACAACACTGAAGGGGGGTGCCAGCCAAAGTGCTTCAGCAGGACAGTGGCAGCAGGATGTGTGCTCAATCATTCCAGCAACTATAGCAGCATGGTGGGGTACATACATGTCTGCTGGGGAAGGGCAATGGCAAGAGCAGAGTGGCAGCATTCTTGCATGCACTTGCACCAGCAGTGGCAGTGATGTCGCAGGGGCATGACACTGGTGGGGCATGGGATTGACAATGTCTGTGCACATGTTCGCACTGCTGTTATTGTCTCATTTAATTTTTCCAATTTTAAATGTATTTTTTTAATGCTTCCTTAAAATATTTGTTAAAGTAAAGGGGGAAGATAAATGACTGGACACACAAATGCATGCAGACACTTAAAACAGGGCTCAGCTTCCATTTGCTTCTCTCACATATTTCCTCATCCCCCACCTGAGTTTGGAAGAATTTCATATGGCTTAAGAGAAGACAAAAATAACTGAGAGTAGCCAACTTCAACATCAGCCCTCTCCAGCTATGGAGATCTTGTGAAGTAAGAAATCTCTAAAAACCTTGACTATTCTCAGGCCACTCAAAGGAAACACAGAATGGTGAAATCAAAGATAGATGTGAGTACTCCCATACCCAAAGCATCAGGAGCTTCAAATAATAGTTATTGTGTGTTCTGATGACTAAATTTAAAAGCAAATTACATCAGATTGCCTCTTAACAATCCAGTCTCTATTAAGTTATTTGTGGTTCATAAGTAAACTAGCCTCTTTGCTGTTTCTACCTCCAAAATATGATATTAACTCCAGAAGCCTCCACTCAGCTAGATGCTGCCATCCTACATGGCTAATTGCCTCCTGAAAGTGTCAATTTAGATATGCATATTTTTTCAACACTAATTTTACCTCTCATAAACAGAAGATGCTATTTTCTTTTTTTATACCAAACATATGGCTTCTTATTGTATGAAAATACTGGAGTTGTTCTGTGTCCTACAGACTTACTCTAAGAAAGTTAAACAGTTTTTTTTTTATTGTCCATGTGAGTCTTCTATTTACAATTAGCAGTGACTTTTTCCAATATTTAAACAACAGTATTAAAAGAATGGTTAACAGCTGTGTGCAAAATCACTACATACTTTTAGGCTTAAGGTCCTGACAAAATCTAATCAGCATCAAATTGCATTTTGTCATACTCATATAAAATTTTAGGGCTTTGTGTTTCTTTAAATAGTTCTGAAATTCAGAAATAATCCCCTGAGAGACTGGCATAATAAGGCTGTCTACCAACCACAGACTTTCTGGCACGCAATGAAATTCAAAAAGGGTAACACTATTGTTTTTCTCCAGCCTTCTCACCTCCAGATAAACAATCTGGCCATTCAGAAGCAAAAAAATACCCAGGGCACTAAGTTCACGACAGGGTTATTCTGAAGCTCGAGCAATCCCAAGGCAGAAATGCCCTGATTTTGACCCAGAATTAAATACTGGGCCTTGGTAGACTTACACGACAGACCTCCTTCAGTCACTCTGGAGTAAGGTCATACCAGTTTTTCTGTCAACAAAGCAAGTTAACAGATAAGCTTAAGAGCTCATGATGATACAAAATATAATTCAACATGTGAATTTCTGATTTCTATCAGCAAAGAGTCTAAGACCCAATGGTGTGTTGATAAATACTTAACAATCAGTTCTCTGGGAGAATTATTCAAAAGCAAACTCTGATTTGCATCATTTGCCTATTTCCACACCATGAACACTAAATACTTTCACCATGGCTAATTTCAAGCTACCAACATGATCTCACTGAATGTGGAGATGGAAAGAGATATGCACAATTAGCTCTCACCTAGACCACCTCCAGTAGTCTGCTCTGGTGGGACCCACCCCACCCAACGGACACATAGAAGTTTTACTTACCCAGCCTGCTTAGTAGAGCCCCTCTGTTTTTTTTTTTCTTTCCTTACAAGACTATATGCTGTCTCTTTCTACCTGCTTCATCTTGCCTCCAATAATCAACCAATTTTTATTTTCTTGTTTCCAGTAGGGTTAGAATCAACCAAATTCTTACTTCCTACAAGAGTACTTCTGCTGGTCCACATTGAATTCTGAGATCATTACCTTCTCAGGAAGACTTCCCTACTTTCGTGTCACTTCTTTATCCTGGATGCATTTCCTAGTCTCATACGCACTAACCCAGAGGCATTGGGAACAAGAGTTTCAGGGGAAGATGCATCTGATCCCTCTGAGGGGTAAATACAGGCATATAACCCTCATGAAAAGTTAGGAAGCCATCAAGTCCCATTTGCCCAGTATTGTCACTCCCTGCCTCTCTCCGAATCATTGTCCAACTCCCATTCTCTCCTTAATGGGGGGAAGTTCAGGGAGGAGAAAACATCATATCTTTGCTGAGCTACATCATTTTTTTTTTATTCCACCAGCTTCTTAATATAGCTCTGTTCCTTGGCTTTAATCAATAATAAATTCTAATTTTATTCCCTTAGTGTGGGCACTCAGTGCTGTCTTATTGCATGTGGCATCTAGAGCAAACATATTTCAGCAGAGGTTTTACCAGACTTACTTGAGAGGACACTTCATCAATATACATACAATATACAAAATGTATCTCTATGTAATTATGTATTTGTATTATTTTGTATTGTATGTATTTGTATATATTGTATTTGTGTTTTGTCTTTTATGTATACTACATGTATCTGTATATCTGTACATATATATGTATGCTGGATGTATATGTATATTGTGTATATATTATATGTATACACTATGCATACTCCTAAAACTACACCAGCACTAAACACTCAAGTTTAAAATGGGATATATGGTCTCATGTCTGAATCTCCAGGCTTCCTTTCCCAGATTCAACTCTCCATAATATAGTTCAATTTCTCAGCTTTTGAAACATCTCAATTCCGTTCATGTTTCTAGTTAATTTTAAAGGTCATTTTTTTCTTTTCCTAGCAGCAATTTTATGCCACTCTAAAATAACGTTGAGATTTCAGTAAATGGAAGTACCCAGTACAACCTGCTTCCATTGCTTCCCCTAAACTACTAGACCAAAGACCTGATGTAAACAGGAAGATGGTTTGGATCCTCCCCACAAATCTTCCACATGGAGTTTCCATCTCCAGAAGCCATCCAACTTCCTTTAATGTCCCATGAGTTATAAATAAGCAACCAAATAATGTATCACCCAAATTAGGACACTGTTGAAAGTGAAAGAAGGCACTGAAGATACATAAATAACTAATCTACAGCAGGCATGTATTGAGACTGCCCTAGGAAACGTAGGGTCTCCTTAATTATAATTTTCTTGCCATGGGATAACTTTACTTGTTATCTCATGCAGAAAATTCCTGCTGGAATAAGCCTGATGGGTTCACACAGTAAAGCAGATTCTTGGCTCTCTGGTTGAAACTTCTATTTTTTAACTTATGCTCTCTCAGGAACTCTAATACCACACTCCTGTCTCCACACACTCTTTTGTTGGTTGTTCATGCCGTGGTACAATAGTCTTGGAATCTAGGCATGCCATCTGTCTCTGACTTTTCTATGTTTCTGCTGTTCCCGAGTGCCAATTCCACTCCAGAGGCATGTTGCAAAAGCACAGAAATGTTGGTGACTATAGTCCTGAGTTCCATTGTAGAGGAGCCAAGGATTGTAGCCCTTTCTGGAAGAGGCCATATAATAATACAATCTACATTCACTGGGATGAGAAAGACTGTAGGAGAAGCATTTTTGTTAACTATGACCTGGAGTTCAGTTTAGAAAATGTTAGGAAATGACAGACATGTAGAAGATACGTCTAGGCTGGAGATATAAGTTTAGAAGTCACCAACACATAAAAGGTTTTTAAAGTCTTAGAAACATAGGACAATATATAAGATTTGTTAAACACTCAAAAATTTATTAGTGTAATTCATCACATCAACAAGTTAAAGAAGAAATATCGTATGATCATATCAACAGATGCAAAAAGAGCATCTGACAAAATCAAACACTCATGGTAAAAACTTTAGTAAACTAGGAATAGAGCAGAACTTCTTGATCTGGATCAAGAACATATACCCCCCAAAGCCCCCACACCTAACATCATACTTGATGGTAAAGCAAACAGAAAACCACTATTTTCCCTTTAATTTCAGGAATAAAGGAATGATGCCCCTTCTAGCCATTCCTATTCAACATGCTGGAAGTCCTAGCTAATACAATAAGACATGAAAAGAAAAGTATACAGATTGGGAAGGAAGAAATAAAACTGTCTTTGTTCACAGATGGCATGATTGTCTATTAAGGAAATCCCAAAGAATCAACAACAACAAGAACAAAAACTTTTGGAACTAATAAGTGGATATAACAAGGTTGCAGGATAAAAGGTTAGTATACAAAGTAAATTGCCTTCTTATGTACCATCAATCAACAATCAAAATTTGAAGTTTAAATTACTATACCATTTACATTAGCACCAAAAATTTAAATACAGTTGGGAACCACAAAATGATGTTTTAGTCAATAAAAGACTGCATGTATGTCAGTGGTACCATAAGATTATAGTGGAGTTGAAAAGTACCTATTGCCTAGGATTTACTTACTATGTTTTATATTGTTATTTTAGTGTGTACTCCTTCTACCTATATAAGAAAAGCAAACTGCAAAGACAGCCTAAAGCATGTCCTTCGGGAAGTACTCAAAAAGAAGGCCCTGTTATCATAGGAGATGACAGCTCCATGCATGTTATTGGTCCTAGAGGCCTTCAGTGGGACAAGATGTGGAGGTGGAAGAGAGTGATATTGATCATCCTGACCCTGTATAGGCTTAAGCTAAGGTATGTGTTTGTATCTTGGTTTTTCTTTTTAATTTGTACAACTCTATGGGGTACATGTGAAATTTATATATATATATTTTATATATATTATAATATATTTATATATAATATATATATTATATATAAATATATATTTTATATATATATATTATATATATATTTAGGGTATTTAGGATGCCCATATCCTGAGTACAATACATTTTGTTAACTTCTGTCACTTTATTCTGCTATCAAACATTGACTTTATTAGTTCCACCTAATTTTAACTTTGTACCTTTTTTTTTTTTTTTTTTGATATGGAGTCTCACTCTGTCACCCAGGCTGGAGTGCGGTGGCACGATCTCAGCTCACTGCAAGCTCCACCTCCCAGGTTCACGCCATTCTCCTGCCTCAGCCTCTCAAGTAGCTGGGACTACAGGCACCCGCCACCACGCCTGGCTAATTTTTTGTATTTTTAGTAGAGACGGGGTTTCACTGTGTTAGCCAGGATAGTCTCGATCTCCTGACCTTGTGATTTGCCCACCTTGGCCTCCCAAAGTGCTGAGATTATAGGCATGAGCCACCGCACCTGGCCATGTTTGTACCCTTTAACCCACTTGCCTTCATCCTTCTCCTGCCCTCTACTCACCCTGTTCAGTCTCTGTAATGTATCTTTCCATTCTCTACCCATGTGATCAAACTTTTTAGCTCCAACATATAAGTCAGAACATGTAACACTGATCTCAACTTCCAGCTATGTTGCTGCAAATGACAGGATTTCATTTTTTATATCCTGATACATATACACACTGCGTTTTCTTATCAGTTCATCCATTGATGAACACTTAGGTTGATTCCATATCTTTGCTCTTATAAATAGTGCTACAATAAACATGCCAGTGCAGATATCCCTTTGATATGTTGATTTCTTTTCTTTGGTGTAGATACTTAGTAGTGGAATTAATGGATTGAATTGTAGTTTGCTTTTGTTTTCATTTTTGTTTTTTTTGAGAAATGGCCATACTATTTTCCATGGTGGCTATATTAGCTTACATTCCCACAACAGTTATAAGAGTTCCCTTTTTTCCATATCCTCACCAAGCTCTACATTTTTTTTTTTGGTCTTTTTAATAACAGCCATTCTGAAAGGGGCAAGATGATATCATCATGGTTTTGATTTGAATGTCCATGATGATTAGTGATGTTGAGCATTTCTCATATACCTGTTGGCCATTTGTCATATCTTTTGAGTGTCTATTCATGTTCTTTACCTACCGTTTAATGTGATTATTTGTTTTTTACTTGTTGTTTGAGTTCCTTGTATATCCTAGATATGAGTCTCCTATTGGATGAATAGTTTGCAAATATTTTCTCCCATTCAACAGGTTGTCTCTTCACTCTGTTGCTTATTTATTTTGCTCTGCAGAAGCTCTTTAGTTTAATTAAGTTTTATTTGTCTATTTTTCCTTTTTGCTGCCTTTGCTTTTCAGGCCTTAGTCGTAAGTTCTTTGCCTAGACCTATATCCAGGAGAGTTTCCCCTAGGATTTCTTTTAATATTATAGTTTTGGGTCTTATGATTAAGTTCTTCAACCCAGTTTGAGTAGAGTTTTGTATATGGTGAGAGACAGAAATCCAGTTTCATTCTTCTGCATGTGGCTATCCAATTTTCCCAGCACTGTCTATGGAAGAGGGTGTTTTTCCTTAACATAAGTTCTCATTGGTTTTGACAAAGATGAATTGTGGTAAATACATGGCTTTATTTCTGGATTCTCTATTACGTTCCATTAGTCTATGTGATTTTTTTATATTAATATCATGCTGTTTTGGTTACTGCAGCCTTGTAATATATTTTAAAATCAGGTAATGTGATGCTTCCAGCTTTGTTCTTTTTGCTCAGCACTGCTTTGGCTATTTGAGCTCTTTTTTGGTTTCATATGAATTTTAGAATTTTTTTAATAATTCTGTGAAGAATGATGTTGACATTTTGATAGAGATTGCTTTGAATCTATAGATTGCTTTGCACAATATGGTCATTTTAATGATGTTAATTCTTCCAATCCATGAGCATGGGATGTTTTTCCATTTGTTTATGTCATTTTCAATTTCTTTTATCAGTGTTTTGTAATTTTCTTTGTAGAGATCTTTCACCTCCTTGGTTAAATTTATTCCAAGATATTTTCATTTTCTTCTGTAGCTATTATAAATGGGACTGCATTCTTGATTTCTTTCTCTGCTAGGTTATATTGGTGTAAAAACTTTTACTAATTTTTATAGTTGATTTTCTATCCTGCAACTTTACTGAATTCATTTATCAAATCTAAGAGTTTTTTGGTGAAGTCTTCAGGGTTTATCAGATTTATATCTGATCATATCATAAGAAAAGAGGAACAATTTGACTTTCTCTTTTTCTATTTAGAGGCCTTTTATTTATTTCTCTTGTGTGATTGCTCTGGTCAGAACTTTCAGTACTATGTTCCAGTCAGTAAACTAGAAAAGGCAGACCCTCCCTCAGTCTGGGTTGGCATCATCTAATCAGCTGCCAGAGCTGCTATAATAAAGCAGGCAGAAGAAGACTGAAAGGGCAGACTTGCTGAGTTTTTCATACTTCATCTTTTTTTCTTTCCATGCTGGATGCTTCCTGCTCTCAAACATTAGACTCCAGATTCTTCAGCTTTTGGACTCTTGGACTTACACCAGTGATTTGCCAGAGGCCCTTCAGGCTTTGGCCACAAACTGAAGGTTGCACTGTTGTCTTCCCTACTTTTGAAATTTGGGGACTTGGACTGACTTCCTTGCTCCTCAGCTTGCAGACGGCCTATTGTGGGACTTCACCTTGTGATCATGTGAGCCAATACTGCTAATACACTCCCCTTCATATATACATCTACCCTATTAGTTCTGTTCCTCTAGAGAACCCTGACTAATACAGATTTTGGAGTGGTGAAAGTGGTCATACTTATCTTGTTCCAGTTCTTAGAGGAAAGACTTTCAATTTCTTACCATTTACTATGATGTTAGCTGTGAGTTTGTCATATACGCTGTTGATGTGATGTATCACATTTACTGATTTGTGTATGTTGAACTGTCCTTGCATTCCCAGTATGAAAGTCACTTGATTGTGGTGTATTACCTTTTTGATGTGCTGTTAGACTCAGTTTGCTTGTAATCTGTTGACAATTTTTGTGTGATATTTATCAGGGATACGAACTGCAGTTTTTTTGTTGTTGTGTCCCAGTCTGGTTTTGGTATCAGAGTGATGCTGGTCTTGTTGAATGAGTTAGGGAGAGTTCCCTTCTCTTAAATTTTTTGGAATACTTTCAGAAGGATTCGTATTAGCTCTTTGTACATTTGACAGAATTCAGCTGTGTATTTATCCTGCCCTGGGCTTTTCTCTGTTGGGAGTCATTTTATTACTGATTCAATTTCACTAGTCATTATTTCTCTGTACAGGTTTTCTATTTCTTCCTGATTCAATCTTGGTAAATGGTATGTTTCCAAGCATTTACCCATTTCCTCCTGTGTTTTCCAGTTTATCAGGGTATTGTTGTTTATAATAGTCTCTGATAATCTTTTGTATTCTGTGGTATCAATTGTAATGTCTTCTTTTTCATCTCTGATTGTATTTGGGTCTCCTCACTTCTTTCCTTGCTTAGTCTATATAGCAGTTTCTCAATTTTGTTTATCTTTTCAAATTACCAACTCTCAGTTTCATTGATCTTTTGTATTATTTTTCGTTTCTATTTTGTTTAGTTCTGTTCTGATCTTTATTATTTCCCTCCTTCTGCAAATTTTGAGCTTGGTTTGTTCTTGCTTTTCTAGTTCCTTCAGGTGCATTGTTAGGTTGTTAATTTGTAATCTGTTTTTTGATGCAGGCATTTATTGCTATAAACTTCCCTCTTAACACTACTTTTGTTGTATCCCACAGGTTTTGATATGCTGTGTTTCCATATTCATTTGTTTCACAAAATTTTTTTATTTCCATCTTAATTTCTTCATTGACCTAATGGTTAATCAGGAATATATTGGTTAATTTCCATGTATTTACATAGTTTTCAAAGTTCCTCTTGGTATTGGTTTCTAGTTTTATTCCACTGTGGTCTGAGAAGACACTTAATATGATTTCAATATTTTAAACTTTGTTGAGACTTGTTTTGTGGTTAACATACGGTCTAGCCTGAAGAATGTTCCATGCGCTAATGTAAAAAAAAAAAAAAAAAAGGTAATTCTTCAGTTGTTGGATGGAATTTTCTCTAAATATCTATTAGGTCCATTTGGTATCAAGTTAAGTTTAAATCCAATGTGTTGCTGTTGTTGTTGTTGATTTTCTGCCTAGATAATCTGCCTAATGCTGACAGTGGGGTGTTGAAGTCCCCCACTATTATTTTATTGCAGTTTCTCTCTCTCTCTTTAGATCAAATAATATTTGCTTTATGAATATTTGTGCTTCATTGTTGAGTGCATATAAATTTAGAATTGTTATATCTTCCCGCTGGATTGATTCCTTTATCATTACATAATAACCTTCTTTCTCTTTTTTATTCTTCTTGCTTTGAGGTGTTTTTATCTGATATAACTGCTCCCGTGCACTTTGGGTTTCTGTTTTTATGGAATAGCTCTCCGTCTCTTTTCTGTCACATATGTCTGGTAAGATAAGTTTCATATAAGCATCTTATAGTTGGATTATGTTTTTCTATCCATTCAGCTGTGCTATATCTTTTTAACCGAGGTTTAAGGTTATTGTTGATACGTGAGGCTTTGTTCCTGTCATTTTGTTCATTGTTTTCTGGTTGCTTTAGATATTATTTGTTTCTTTTTTCTTCTCTTTTTGCCTGTCAATATGGTTTTGTGGATTTTGGTAGTGTTACCATTTGAGTCCATTCTCTTCTTCCTTTCTGTGATTGCTTTACCAATGAGTTTTATACATTCATGTATTTTCATGATGGTAAATATTGTCCTTTTGCTTCCAGGTTTATAACTCCCTTGAGCATTTCTTGTAGCACTGGTATAGCGGTAATAGATTTCTTTGATACTTACTTGTTTAAGAAAGACTTTATCTCTCCTAATTATAAAAGTAATCTTGTTAGATATAGTATTCTTGGGTTTGTCTCTTTCAGAACTTTTAATATGTTACCCCATCCTCTTCTGGCTTACTAGGTTCCACTGAGAATTCCACTGTTAGTCTGAAGGTGTTTCCTTTATAGGTGACTAGATGCTTTTCTCTGGCTCTTTTTATGATTCATTCTTTATCTTTGACTTTAGACAGTGTATTAGTCCATTCACATGCTACTACAAAGAACTGCCTGAGATTGGGTTATTTATAAAGGAAAGAAGTTTAATTGATTTACAGTTCTCCAGGGCAGGGGAAGACTCAAGAAACTTACAATCATAGCATAAGGCGAAGGAAACACATCCTTATTCACAAGGCAGCAGGAGAGAGAGAAGTGCCAAGCAAAGGGGGAAAAGGCCTTTATAAAACCATCAGATATTGTGAGAACTCACTCACTATCACAAGAACAGCATGGGTATAACTGCCCCCCATAATTCAATTACTTCCCACTGGGTTCCTAATGCTGACAGTGTAGAGGTTATAGAAACTAAAATTCAGATGAGATTTGGTTGGGGACACAGCCAAACCATACCATTCCACCTCTGGCCCCTCCCAAATCTCATGTCCTCACATTTCAAAACACAAGCATGCCTTTCCAACAGTCCCCCAAAGTCTTAGTTCATTCCAGCATTAACCCAAAAGTCTGAGCCCAAAGTCTCATCTGAGAAAAGGCAAATCCCTCCCACCTATGAGCCTGTAAAATCAAAAGCAAGTTAGTTACTTCCTAAATGCAATGAGGGTACAGACATTGGGTAAATACGCCCATTCCAAATGGAAGAAATTGGCCAAAACAAAGGGGTTACAGGACCCATGTATGTCTGAAATTCAATGGTGTAGTCATTAAACCTGAAAGTTCCAAAATTATCTCCTTTGATTCCATGTCTCAAATCCAGGTCACACTGATGCAATAGGTGGGCCCCCATGGTCTTGTGAAGCTGTACCCCTGTGGCTTCACAGAGTACAGTTCCCCTCCCAGCTGCTTTCACAGGCTGGTGTTGAGTGTCTGTGGCTTTTCTAGGCAAACTGTGCAAGCTGTTGGTGGATCTACCATTCTGGTGTCTGGAGGATAGCGGCCCTCTTCTCGCAGCTTCTCTAGGTAGTGCTCTAGTGGGGACTCTGTGTGGGGGCTCCAACCCCACATTTCCTTTCTACACTGCCCTAGCAGAGGTTCTCCATGAAGTCTCTGCCCTTGCAGAAAATTCTTCCTGGACATCTAGGCATTTCCATACATCTTCTGAAATCTAGGTGGAGGTTCCCAAACCTCAATTCTTGTCTTCTGCATACCTGCAGGCCCAGTACCATATGGAAGCTGCCAAGGCTTAGGGCTTTCACCCTCTGAAGCAATGACCTGAGCTGTACCTTGGCCCCTTTTAGCAATGAACGGAGCAGCTGGGATGCAGGACACCAAATCTGGAGGCTACACACAGCAAGGGGTGCCCTGGACCCAGTCCACAAAACCATATTTGCCTCCTAGGCCTCTAGGCCTGTGGTGGCAGGGGCTGCCATGAAGGTCTCTGACAATGCCTTGAGGCATTTTCCGCATTGTCTTGGTGATTAGCATTTGGCTCCTCATTACTTTTGCAAATTTCTGCAGCTGGCTTGAATTTCTACCAAGAATATGAGTTTTTCTTTTCTAAATGTATCATCAGGCTGCAGATTTTCCAAACTTTTATTCTCTATCACTTCTTGAACACTGCCATTTAGAAATTTCTTCTGCCAGATACCCTAAATCACCTCTCTCAAGTTCAAAGTTCCACAGATTTCTAGGGCAGGATCAAAATGCCACCAGCCTCTTTGCTACAGTTCCCAAGAAGTTCCTCATCTCCATCTGAGACCACTTCAACCTGGACTTCATTGTCTGTATCACTATCAGTATTTTGGTCAAAACCATTCAACAAGTCTCTAGGAAGTTTCAAACTTTTCCACGTCTTCCTGTATTCTCCTGAGCCCTCCAAACTATTCCAACCTCTGCCTGTTACCCAGTTCCAAAGTTGCTTCCACATTTTTGGGTATCTTTATAGCAGCACCACACTCTCTGTGGTACAAATTTACTGCATTAGTTCATTCTCATGCTGCTATAAAGAACTACCCAAGACTCGGTAATTTATAAAGGAAAGAGGTTTAATTGACTCACAGTTCTCAAGGGCTGGGGAGGCCTCAGGAAACTTACAATCATGGTGGAAAGGGAAGCAAACATGTCCTTCTTCACAAGGTGGCAGGAGAGAGGGAATTTCTGAGAAAAAAGGGAAAAACCCCTTATAAAACCATCAGATCTCATAAGAACTCACTATCGTGAGAACAGCATGTATGTAACTGCTCCCATGATTCAATCACCTTCCACTGGATCCTTCCCATGACATGTGGTGATTATGGGAACGACAATTCAAGATGAGATTTGGGTGAGAACACAGCAAAACCATATCAGACAGTCTGACTATAATGTACCCTAGAAAAAGCTTTTTGCATTATAACTACCTGGGGAACACTGAGCCATCTGTATCTGAGTGTCTACATCTCTAGCTAGTCTTGGAAAGATTTATTATTTTTTAAATAAGTTTTTTAATCCCTTCATTTTCTCTATGTCCTCAGTGATACAAAAAAATTAAATATTCAGTCATTTTATGTTGTCCCAAATGTCCCAAAGGCTTTGTTCATTCTTTATTTTTCTTGGCTGGATTATTTCAAAAGATTTGTCCTCAAGTTCTGAGATTTTTTTTTTCTTCTGCTTGATCTAATCTATTGTTGAAGCTTATATATATATTTTTTTGTATTTCCTCCAAAACATTTTTTGTTCCAGAATTTCTATTTGATTCTTTTTCAAAATAGCTATCTCTTTGGCAAATTTCTCATTCAAATCCTGAACCGCTTTATAGATTTCATTGTATTGTCTTACAGAATTCACTTGTATCTCACTGAGCTCCTTTAAAATTTATATTTTGATTTCTTTTTCTGGGATTTAAAAATTTTCTTTTTGATTAAGATATATTGCAGGAGAGTTATTGTGTTTCTTTGGAGGTGTCATATTTCTTTGCTTTTCTGTTTCCCATGTCTTTATGTTGATATCTGCACCTCTGTTGTAACAGTCACCTCTTTCTATTTTTTAATTTTTACCTTCATAGGAGAGGACTTTTTCTTGAAAGTGTATTTCCTGTGTTGGTTAGATAGGGCACTTTGGCTTTGAATTCTAGGTGCATTCAGTAGTATTGTTTCTGTATGATTTCTTTGGCAGTAAACAGCATTAGTGGTATCTATAATTTCCTTTTTGAGGGTACAGTTAAAGTGGAGGCTGTGGTAAAGTTGCGCTGGGTACTGAGATGCCAGGTAGGCCAGTCTTCAAGCCCCAGTGGAGAAGTGGCAGGCTGAGCATGTCTATCCTTGTGACCCATGGTGGTTTACAGTGGCACTGATGTTGGTAGATACCAGCAGCCTGATTATTGGGCATCCAGGTGGCTTGCTTGGATGCCAGTAGTGCCAGCAGTGGACTGAGCAGGTGGGCAGGTTCTCAGGCCAGCATGGTATGGGCAAAGGCAGTAACAGTGGTGAGATGACTCTCTGGGTCCCAAGAAGTATGTATTGCTTTTGACAGTGGCTGTGATGAGCTGGGCAGGCCAGTCTTCAGACCCACAGATGGCATTCTCAGGTAGATGCCATCTGAGGTAACAGTAGCCAGGAGTTTAGGCCCAAACTCAAACCCCTTGGGAGGAATGCTCAGGTTCCCTGGATAGTGGATTGTGTTGGGCAATCCCCAGAACCCTAGGCTATGTGCTCCATCTTGGAGTGAGGAGGGGGGTTGGTGATGAGTATGGGGATGTAATACCAAAAGTATAATTCATGAAAGGAAAAATTAATAAGTTGCACTAAAACTTCTGCACTGTTGAGAGACTAAAGAGACAGGCCACTGATTGGGAAAAAAAGATACTTGTAAACCACATATCTGATAAAGGACTTGTGTACAAAATATCCAAAGAACTCTTAAAATTCAACAATAAGAAAGCAAATAATCCAATTACAAAATGGGTAAAAGAGCTGAGCACATACCACACCAATGATAAATATACAACAAATAAGCATATGACAACATGCTCAACATCACATGTTATTAGATGGCTGCAAATTAAAACAATGAGGAGATACCACTTATACAATTATTAGAATGGCTAAAATCCATAAAATTGTTAATACAAAATGCTGGCAAGGATATAGAGTAATAGGGATACTTATTTTATTGCTGGTACAAATGCAACATTTTATACTTTGGATTAGAGTTTGGTAGTTTTTTACAAAGCTAAACATTGTCTTATCACATGATCCAGCAATCAAGCTCCTAATTATTTGCCTGAGTTGAAAACACATCTACCCAAAAACCTGCACGCAACCCTTCATAGCAGCTTTATTCACAATCATCATAAACTGAAAGTAACCAAGATGTCTTTCAATAGCTGAACAGGTAAATAGTGGTATAACTACATTATGAAATATTATTCAACATTTAAAAGAAATGAGCTATCAAGCCATGATAAGACATGGAGGAACTTAAACATACATTACTAAGTGAAAAAAGGCAATCTGAAAAGTTCTGTGATTCTAGTTATATGACATCCTTGAAAAGGCAGAACTATGGAGGCAGTAAAGAGATCAGTGATTGCCAGGAACTTAAGGGGAGGGAAGCATTAATAGGTAGAGCAAGGGGATTTTTAAGGCAGTGGAACTATTCTATATGAAACTGTAATGGTAGATCCATGGCATGCATTTGTCAAAACCCATAAAACTATATGACACAAAGAGTGAATCTTAATGAAAACTGTGGCCCATAGTTAATAATAATGTATTGGTTTGTTAATTATAACAAATATACTACTAATGCAAGATATTAGTAACAGGAGAAACTATATGGGGGGGTAAGGAGGTTGGGGTTAGGTATATAGAATTCTGTGTACGATCTGCTCAATCATTCCGTAAATCTAAAACTCTACTAAAAAAAATTTAGCAATGGTAAATTTAGCAATTTTAAAAACTAACTAAATAGGACCAAAGCACCAAAGAAGTAACTGTTGACAGAAGAGAAGGGATTCAAATGATTTTCCAAGGCACATTATTATTTGATGTTCACAGAGATGAAAAAGAACTATGAAAGAAGAGACCAGCAAATTGAGAAGAAACTGGGTAGAACGTGGTATCCTAGAAGCTAAGTGAAGAAATAGCTCAAAGGGGTGGGAGTAATAAGTCATATCAGACACTGATAATGGGCTAAGTACGATGAAGACTGAAATATTCCAGTATATTTAGCAAAGTGGAAATCGTCATCAGTGACCATTAGTGGAGTCTGGGGGTGTGGTGGGGGAAAAGCCCTGATCCTATGGTTTTGAGAGAAATAGTGAATACAGATAAAGCTTTTCAGGAATTTTTTGCTACAAAGGGAGCAAAGAAATGGGAAAAACCTCGAAGGGATACGGCATTGAGAGAGAGGTTTTTAAGATGAGAAAATTTACAAAATACGTATGTGCTGATGGAAATTATCCAGTAGAAAGGGGAGAAATTATGATTCAAGAGAAAGAGTGAGAGAATCCTGAAATGATGAAGGATAAGAAATGGGATCTAGTCCACAAATGGAAGGACTAGGGTGTGTGGACAATTCACCCAAAATAGTGTGGAAGGAAGAGTATATGGGCACAGATCCTGATAGGTGGGATGACAGAGTAGTCACAGCTCTTAGAAATTCTCTGCTTCTATTTTCTCGGATAAATTAAAAACTTGCTTAACAGCTGAAAGTGATAATGGGGAAGAAGGTATTGGAGCTTTGAGGAAAAGAGGGAAGATATAAAACAGCCATCCAAAAAGTGGGAGAATGAAATGTTATAGGATTGCCAAGTAGCACTGAGAGCCAACCTGGGGTGGATGGCATAAATGTAAACTGACAATAGTATGCACAGTTACCATTTTGTTCCAGCCATGTTTAGCTGACAGGCACAGACTGGGATTAGTCAGAGTTGTATTTAACCAGGATGGGGCTTTGCTAGTGTGAAATAAGGTGTAGGGAGTTGAGCATGTATGTAAAGGAATGATTATAAGGGTGGACCATAGAACCTAAATTGAGTGAAGAAGTAAATTAGGACATAAAAGGGAAAGTGAGGGATAAGCAGAAATAGTGAATAATATAGATCCTGGGGAGGCTGGAAATATTTTTCAGAGTCATAGTACTAGAAGGAGTGATATTAAACCTTGTAGATCATAGTTGGGGAGGGACATACTTCAAATTGAGTTGGAAAAGTTTTAAATATTGATAATGAGAAGTTCTCAGGTGTCCCCATTGGATTGAATTATTGTAATGTCTTAGTTTGTGCTGCTGTAACAAAATACCTCATATTGGGTAATTTACAAAGAACAGAAATTTATTTCTCACAGTCTGGAAGCTAGAGGTCCAAGATCAAGGCACTAGTAGGTTCAGTGTCTGGTCAGGACCCAGTTTCTCTCCTTCCAAGATGGCAACTTGTCTCTGTGTTCTCTGGAGGGGATAAACACTGCCATCCTCACATGGTGGAAGGCCGAAGAACAAAAAGGGCAAATGTTGTGTGAAGCCTCTTTTATGAGGCATTAATCCCATTCACCCACTCACAAACACAGAACTCTAACACCCTAATCTCTTCCTAAATCCCACCATCTAATAACTGCTGCATTGGGGACTAAGTTTCAACATATGAATTTTGGAGGGACACATACATTCATACCGTAGAGGGTGGTCAAGATAATTAGAGGAGAGGAGGTTATGGAACTAAGAGACTAGGGTATTGGAAAAGGTCATCTGTTGTCTGCATGAATACAGATATAGAAATCGCCAAGAACTGCTGCTGCTCCATTGGCTGATGGTGTGAGTTTACATTGACTTGCTCATATGAAAGCTATTAATATAGACACTTTCAACTCCTTGCAGATGCCATTTCAGTCACATACGTTTCAGAATTCCTGCGGCTTGGCTGCTACTGGGAAGCAGATACATTTTGCCTCATGTGCTATGCATTTCATGAGCAAACAAAAATGATGACGCATTTCACAGGGAAACAGGACCAGGATCAAGGTTATGGAATTCAACAAATGTGAACTGTCAGAAGCTAGAAGACTGGCTTAGTAGTAGAGACCTCAGGGTCAAAATACTCAAGTTTCCTTGGAACCAGAGATTCCAATCTCAAATGTTTCAACTCTGTCCTTCACCCTTTGAAGGCAGGTAAATTGGGTAGCACAGAATTGATTGGACAGGGTCTTTCAGATGACATCTTAAGACCAAAAGCTGCATCTGCTTTCTTAGGACATCAGGTAATTCGTGGCTTTTTTTTTTAGGAACAAGGACTGACATTACAACACTTGGCCAATACTAAAGTATAGACTGAAAAAAATGGAGACATTGATTTTACCCTGGAATGTATTCACATATAAGTCACCCTCCAAAAGTAAACAGAGAGAACAGTAATATGATATCAAAGCAAAGAAGTTCTGTGTTTCTGGTTCGCTCAATAATTCACTCTCCAATGTGCATAACATACATACCCAATTCTAATGGAGTGAAACGTCAACTTTGAACAAGTGAGATAAGTTTTTAAGGAAAGGACAAACATCTGACTTTAATAAACAGAATTATCTGAGATGTTTTCAGAGTTGTTATTGGTTATCATTCTATTCTAATAAATCACTGTAGGGAAGCAAAAGGAATTGGTTGTCATAGGTATTTTTCAACATGGTCTCAAAGTAAATTAATCAATTGAAGCAAATCTATAATCCTTAATGAATATAATTTAGAGAATCAGGAATTCAAACTGCTTGCCTAGGCATCATACCTGATTAATATAAAATCAATCACCTTCAAGTAATCATCACTGCAAACATTTCAAGGTACTAAACAAGTTCAAAACATACAAGAAAAAAAGTATATCACTTCGTTACTAAGCAAATTTTGCACTTATAAAACAATATACTTGGTATTAGGCAAGTCATAGGTAAACATCATTTGTGATTGCTATGTTGCAGCATCGGGAAAATGTTATAGATTGTGGACAAGAAACTGTAGTCAATAATGGCTTATCTTGTACGTGGCTTTGTTCATGTTTGAAATACACTATAAGACATGAACCAATACACTGTATTTGCAGAGGCTTTCTTTCATGAGTTTCTGTCATAAAAGTAGAACCAGGTTTCCAAGTAATAGCTTCAGGCCTGTAAAATGCTTGAACAGTTACTGAATATGTTTAATGATGTCAAATGTAGTTGTCTTCTTCCAAAATTCCTGGTCTAGACAAGTTTATAAAGCAGGTATGCAAATTTTGCAATGAGAACATTTTTTCCCCCAGTGAAGGAAGATTAAATGGTGATCTTGGTTCAGTGCTGCTAACTGACCAGTTAAAGATGCTCTGCCTTTATTCTGATTTATATTTGGCAATGTGACTGAATTCACAGCCTATAGATTAAATGTTATTTTAGAAAGTTGAAATCTGTCAAGAAGTGGTAGTTATCACATTATATACCATTTATGAAACCAATAAATGCTATTTCTATCAGGAAAAAGCATTTGTGGATGATTAACAAAGAAAACACAAAACCAGAGCAAGAAAGATGTATTTCCATCCTTATAGTCATATACAACTATTCAAGATATTAATTGTAACTTTTGCTCTAGTGCAATCTCAGGCTGTCACATAAGCCCTAAATTCACACTAAATAAACTTGGCAGTGACTGGGTGACCTTTAAGATAAACTAATGTCTGAGTCTATCCAGTACAAGCAATGCTGTGCTTCATAGTCAATTATCATTCAACTTAATTCTCTATTTTTCAAATGCTAACTCACTACTCCCATCACAACACATCCTGCACTGAAATTCCCCTTGGTATGGTCCTATCCCCACTTCTGATTGAAGAGACTGGGGAAAGATAAGGGACTTAATTAACATGTTGATTCATTATTGAAAGTCATTGGAGTGGTCCTCAGGAGCAATGTTTCCAAGTAAGGTAGAGGAGGAATTTTATTCCCCCAGTGCCAGTTTTAGAATCTAGTTAGAACTATTACTTCTATTCTCCTAGGGCATAGTTCCCCTTTGGTGTCAGAGACAGACACAAGAAGAATAAAAGATTCTGTAGTCATTGATTATCTTTAATTTGAAGTTACAATTATTGTCAAAGGCCAATTTATTTTCCTAACAACCATGAAGTTATGGGAAGGTAATATTAAGCCAAATTTTATGAATGGGAAACTGAAAATTATAGCATTACTGGAACTAAGCCTAAGCTGAAAACACACTTAAGGTCTTCCAAACCCCTTCCTTGTTCTTTCAACCAAAGAGTCAAAATAAGGTGTTATTTAGCTCAAATTTAAGTAACCATATGTAATATATACCTACTATGTACACTCACAAAAATTTTTAAAAATAGATAATAAAGTGCCACACATTTCTCTCAAAAAAAAAGAAAAAAACAAATAATCATATATTTTCTTAGGAAGGAAAGGTGAATTATTTGAACTGGCCTTTTAAAAAAATTACTGATAAAACACTCAGATCAGTGCCAAATCTATTTCCTAGAATATTTACCCAGGCCAAGGCTGAGTTAATAGCATTCTCCAAGCTTTCTTGCTTCTGAGATATACTTGATCCATCTCACGGCAACTATTATTAGTGAAATATTACTGTCAATGCCCAGTCGGGAGCTCTCTAGCTGCATATTAACTAAACTTGGGCATTTATAAAACTAACATTATCACAATATAGTTATTAACTAAACTTGAATCACTTTAAAAAGAAGTAAAATTTAAGGAAACATCAGTTGTAGTTTCCTGAATTTAACCTAGAAATTTGATATGAATAGGATACTCAGTCAATAATGATAGATATAGATAGATAGATAGGTAGATAGATAGATAAATAGATATACACACACATACACATACCTACACATAGTGGCAGAGATAATGTTTACCTGACATTAATCAGATAAACATGGGAAAAAATGCAAAGCAACAAGTGTGAGAAGACCTCAGAAGA
Source organism: Homo sapiens (assembly GCF_000001405.40). Lineage (NCBI taxonomy): Eukaryota > Metazoa > Chordata > Mammalia > Primates > Hominidae > Homo > Homo sapiens. The sequence goes on along the minus strand of NC_000005.10, from coordinate 123,817,021 downwards.
AAATGATGAACCCTAAGATGATATGGATTGGTTTCCCCAAGTCGATGGAGTTGGGGAAGTTGGCATGAGGAAGATAGTTTTGACCCAAGTTCAACAGAATGAGAGACTAAGTAGATAAAGATGGTAAGAAAGGGACAGAGGCCAGCTTGGAGGTGGTTAAAGATGGGTTAAAGCTGAGAACAGCAAAGATTTGGTTTTCTCACAATGAACCCAAGAATATGTTTCTTCAATCACTACATCTTGTTTAGTACTATAGATATTTTTATTGATTATTACTATAATACTAAAAAATATTATTTAATATTGTAAGCAATCACTACTTATAAGGACTCATCAGATCACAGAACTAATCTAAAATATGTTCATTTATGTACAAGAGAAAAGGAAACTGGGGTACAAGTAAACAGACTATGCATTTCACCAACTGGGCCTCAGTTTCCACCATAAAATAAAGGTATGTCTTCAAGTTAAAAGTACTGGAAAATAGTCACAGAATGGCTTAAGCAAGCAGGGAAAATATTGGCTCACTCATTTCTCTGTCTCTCTTTTCAGTTTTTCTCTGCATCGAATTTGTTTTTTGACAAGCTCTTTCGACCTGGGGTCAAAGACAGCCCATGGCAGCTCAGAGCACTAGAGCTAGCAGTCCTCAATGACACGGAGCCCTCTTTCAAAAGCTCCAGTAATACTCTCAGGAAATGTTCGAATGGGCCTGTTGGGTCACATGTCCGTACCTGACTCAATCACTGTAGCCAGGGGAATGGTGTACTGTGATAGCCAGGCCGGGTACCATGCCCATTCCTGGGGCATGGGATAGGGGGCCATGTGGTTTCTAGCCTCCCTGGATAAGGGAGGAACAACTACTGAAAGGAAAAGATGCTGTTGAAACAGATAAAATGCGAATGACCACTGCAGTGAATTATTTAACATTTTTAAAAATTAATATTCTACTACCCTAAATTTACTGACAAAACAGAGGCAATATGCATATTCTAAAACTCTTTACAAGGCGTATGTTTTGATTTCCTGAGAAAGCTCTAATGGCCCTTGCCAACACACTAAATGGCAGTTTGCATTGCCTGTGTGTTCTGTCATAAACATAACGTGCTTCACGTCTCTCCTCGGTTTATACATCTTCATTTTTAATTGGCCACTAATGTTTTCTGAATGTCTTCACATTCTCGCACAGTGCACTATAAGAAGGTAGATTCTACCCACATACACTCTCATAAAGATTTCAGAACCTTAGAATACCTCATCGGTTTGCACTGCTAGAAACGCTAGGTTTCCAAAGGGACACAACCAAGATCAAGAGGGAAGAAAGGAGTACTATCCCTGGCTGAACTCCAACTTTGGCCAAACATAAGCAAATAAGTAAAATTTGTCTTTGGTGTTTGCCTCCATCTAGGTTTCTATCTCTCAGAGCCCACAGAGCCAAAGCTTTTTCAAGATAACCCTTACTTCCCCAGACACACTTCTAGGCTGCTGCTAAAACTGAAGTTCCCTGAGAAACAAAAGAATGAGAACACAAAAAAAGCATTCAATGGTTTATTTTACATCATAAAGGGAATTCATATCAATAACAATAAGTGATAATTAATTAAAATTGAAAAAATTGTCCTTGTTCTGTGTTGCTTCCACTGAATAATTTATCACCGCATCACCAACCAACCCAAACATGGCCACGATATAGAAGGAGCAGTCTCTCTCCTTCTGCTTTTAATTTGGCTCTCCCAGCCTCACGTCTACCCCCAACAACCTTCTCACTCCCCACCCCTTGAATCCTGTGGCTTCATAGACATTTTAATGCTAATCACCATGGTGTTTAGCAGTTCCCTCTAAATCCTTGTCTAACCAAGGTGAAATTTGGTATTTTATCGGCTTTAAGCAACTGCTTCACAAAAAAGAGACCACATGACTTTGTTTCTGAAGAAGAGCAGATCATCCCGACACAACCTGAGGAATCTACAGAAAAACTACTCCTGACGTCTGCTCTGCATTAAGTCTCACTCCATGGCTTTGTTATTTTTGGACAGTGAAATTACAGAGTTGCATGCCAAGCTCTTCCCAACAGCAGGTTAATTTAGCTATGTCGGCTGCTAAGTTCCTATTTTATCCTGCTTGCCACTTAGTCGCTTAAGGACAAGTCTGGGTCTTTATCTCCTCCCAGGATGGCCTCCTAAGTGCTGCTTGTTAAAAATGACACAATGCCAATATTATAATAAAGATACAGCTTAAATATTTGAAGTAAACAACAAGGTTATTACCAACTAACTGCCAAATACAGGCTACTTCTGATAAGTCTTTCAAAAAAACAAATCAAAACAAAAACCCACATGGTTTTCATTTTTCACACACAGATAGGGTCATTTTAATATAACCAGAGATGGGGGGACACATTATGCAAATGTAGTAACAAATGTAAAATGATAAATTAGCAAGCAACTGTTTAATTATTACTGTGAGTAATTCCTGTAGATTGTGCCACAGCTAATGAACCTGAACTTGTCCTGGTTGACTGCAGTGTTCTGTTGAAACATTTCCGTTTGGTTTGTTTGCTGCCTCTGCAGCTCAGTGAAGTAGATAGCATCTGTTTAATGAGCTCCCACTTCATTACAGAGCTGTACTACTTACTGAGTCATTCTCCTTAAGCATGCAGGCTGTGTACTCTGCTGTTGTTTTAAAGCAAATACTAATTTATGATTACCTGTCACATTAGGCCATCGAAAATTGTACTCACACTGGCTCACATGAGCAGAATGCTAATGAGCTGATTACGGTCTGTGGTAGTGTCCCTTGCTTATAATCCACGGACATAAATTCAGATCCCAGTACAATATGGGCTCCAGAACAATAGATGCTGTTTGAGGGGAAGGAGAGGGAAGGAAAGGGGGGTGAAATCATCACATGTAAATGCACAGACTCTCTCAAAGCCGACAAACTCAGCAATGACCTAATTCAATGTGCACGGATCGTCAGAAACACCCGTTACACTATGTCACGTACAGAGGAAGATGAATGACTCTCTGGCTATTCACTCCCTGGCATGGTCATTATCTAATTGAAGTCTGATGCCCAAGCAAGGCGGATCCTGACACGGTGACTGCAAGCCTCTATTGTATGGAATAAATCCTATAGATGCGTCCTAAAATGATGCTTGCAGAGAAAATTCCAATCAATAACACTTTTCCAAATTGTAGCTTTTCATCTTAAAGCCTAATATTTACCTGCAGGCTTTAGCACAATGCTCTTTTACTAGTTTTTTTTCCCCCTCTGTCTTCCCTTACAAGCATGCCATTTGCACTTTCAAATACAATATTATGCAAAATACTTCACTAAATGTCTTTTATTTTTAGTTTATCCCCTATAATTTGCCCTCATAAATTAAAACTATGGGAAGATGTGATTTTTGCCTTTTTATTGGCAGTCTGCTCAGTTTGGTTTTTTGTTTGTTTATTTTAACAGTCCTTACTTTATTCTGCATGGGGACACCGTGGTTTGCGTCAGAGAGCTTGCTGCCCTTGCTGGTTCAGGGAGATCCACAAATACCACTTTCTTAGAAATGTGTGCACCAGTCATAATCTGTGGTTACAAATACTGCTTGAGACATCAAACGTGAGGATCAGCAATGATAGAGGTGGCCAAGAAACATTCATAATCACACTCACATCTAGAATATTGCTGCCCTTGCTAGTTCAGGGAGATCTACAAATATCACTTTACAGATGCCATGGGTTCCATCTATATTAGTCTCTGCAATGGAGATTAGAAAACCTAACCAAGGTAGCTTATATGATACACGAGAATACAAAGATTAGTCTTCTACATATCAGCCCCCAATACTCACTCTCTTTAATCCCTCTCCTCCTTTTTCTCCTCCTCCTCCTCCTTCTCCTCTTCCTTCTCCTTCTTCAAGACCACCTACTTAGAGACTACAACTTTCCCCCTAATAGAACTTAATATTTTTCAAATTTTCATTTTCCAGTGTTTCATTGTTCAGGACTTGCAACTGGGCTAATGGAAGGCAAGAATAAAAAGAAAAAAATGTCTACCTTTGATACTGTTAAAAGAGAAAACAGGTGACAATAAGCATGAGTCATACCTATGTATGCTCATTATACATTTTAAACTAAACCCTAAACCTTATAAACTTATATCATATAGTATCTAGCAGTTCTGGATATCATCTCTTTCAATAGGTGGCTATTTTATGCCTCATCTCTTTCTCACTACAGTGAGTGGAGTAGGCCCTAAACTAAAATGAAGCAAACCTGAATTCTTTTGTCCAAGAACTACACAGCACTCTAAACTATAATTCTGAGTTTGACTGCTTCACAGGTCAAAATAACTGCTAAGATTCCTTTTAATTCTACTATTTTATAATTCCACTTTCTTAGCAATCATTAAAGGAGCCCTAATCAGTATGGGTGTCCAAGACTATTAAATTGCTAATATTAATTTTAACCACATTTCTGATTTACTCTCATAAGATGAAAACAGTTCTTAAAAATTAGCAATTTTCTTCAATGCACAAATGAAGTGATATGGCTTTTCATTTCAAATGATGCCAATTTACACCATGGCAACCCTGACCCACTGTTTCCTGAAAGAAACCAAGGTTTAATTCATCCTTGTGATGCACAAATCTGATTCTAACTACACACAAATAATAAATTATTGGGCAAATTTGCATATAGTTTTTTTAATGGATCTTTAAGAATCTAGTAACCCAGCTCATGTTATTATCTTAATATGAATCACAAGATTTCAAGTCACTCAACAGAATATTTTTCATAATACCTATGTTTAAACTGCAGAAAAATGGAAGCAAATTAGTTAATTACTGTCTTCAGCTGTATGGGTGCTAACAAATTCTTTTTCCTCACCTATAATGAACTCCCAATGCCAGCCAAGATGGGGGAGCCGTGAGCAGCGTTGCAGGTTTTTTTCTGCAAAAACAAATTGCTTTTCCTGATTTACATGGGAAAAAAAGACTGAGTGCCTATTTACACACTGGATAATCCAATTTGATTATTTTGCAAAACAGTCACTTTCCCCTTATTGGCAGCACTAAGTATTGTGCAGGCTCTCAACTGGAAGGAAAAAGGATATGCATTAGATACAAGGCCACACAATGACTGTGCTCAATTCAACAAGTAAAGTGAGTTTATTTTAAAAAGAAGGTGGAGAGGCAATGAGAAACATTTGGTTGTATGTCTACAAAAAGTATCTGCACTTGATATCCACAAAGAAGACTAATATGGGGAAATCTCACCAAGACTGAAAAAAAAGGAGAGGTTTTATTATGTACTCTTATTTGGTGTGTCTCATAGGATTTTGCACATTTGTCCAATTCTCAAGAACACATTCTTTTGGGGCCAGAATAGAGATAACAGCTATTAAATATTCTTTCATAGGATGAGCCAGATAAAATATATGAAGATTTATAGATACAGATAAAGATATAGAAATATCTGTAATTCAGTCAATAACCAACAATATTTAAAATAGCTGAGCAATACCAGCAGGAAAAGAACGGTGTGAAGGAGTGCTAAGGGAAGGTGCAAGATTGGTAGGGTTTATATGGGGGAGGGGGTGCTGCTTTAATTGGATTTTGTTTTCCATAGCTAATCAGAGAGGTCACATGCAAAATCTTTTCGTAAGTGTTAACCCATGGTCTCCCACCGCAGTAAGCTGGGAAAAAAGAACTACACCTATTTACAATGTGTTTTCCATAAGCAAGGCAAATCTGAAATTGTGAGGTTGGGTACATGGGGCTTTTACATAGGCAGTGAGCCTGCTGTCGGAGCCATCTTCATACCAGCCAAATCAGCCTCAAAGACAAAAAGAGAAAATGGAATGTGAAAAGACAAAAGTGACCAGCCTCTCAGCTCCCAAAGGGACCCTCCAAATAGCACAGCAACGGCAGCACTGTAACCTTCCTTGGCTGTCACAGGATCCTGTGAATAAAGAAAGTGACAAGCAAAACTAATTTGAGGCGGCAGTTGATGAACATTTGCCCATGTAAAAGCCACCACCAAGTGTTTCCTTTCCCAAGGACCTTAGAAAAAAAAAAAAAAACTAGGGTTCACTACCGGCTTCCTGTTTATTAGTGGGACTCAAAATGCAGAATATAAATGCATGTGCTGTCACACACGCATACACACACACACATTGTGAAATGGAGCGCTATCTTAACTCTGACATTTTATGTCTTTTCTGTATATGTAAGTGATATATAATACACGCATACATAAGTTAAAATGCCAAATTGGAAAGAGTCTGCTCAATCATGTCTTATGACATGATACTTCCTGGGAATAAAGCTTTCAGAATGTGACAATCAGACACGGTAATTAAAAATTAATACTGAAGCAGGTGTAGCAATATTTAGCATGTGTGCAGTGGAAGGTTGTAGAAGAGGTCAGTCACATGGTCTGCAAAATAGTCCAACTCTGTTGAAATCCCCGGCCCTAACCTCACCCTTTGCTTTGAAAATAATTCTTTAGCTGGTCAGCAGCATCTCAGTGTTTTCACTGACTTCAGAGGCAAAAGGCAAACATTTGCAGACACACCCTTGTCCCTCCATGAGGCCTGCAGTCCTTTCAGCTTTCTTTCCTGCTTCGCACATGAAAGAATGCCACCAGTCATATGACCCGATAATGACTGACTTCCATGCCACCCTCATCCAAGCAGAGTGACACCGGGGTCACAGGAGGTGCTTTTGCTGGGATGACAGCTCTCTGGCCAGTCAACCTCTCTCTTGATTTTTCCAGGACTATTATTTGGAGCAGTAGCAACAGAGCCAGAAAGAGAGAAAGAGACTTCAGATGATAAAAAAGTAATAATAATAACGAGAGTTATCAGGGAGAGAGAGAGAGAAAATAAAAGAGAGAGAGGAGGAAGCTGCTTCTATCTGAAATGTTCAGACATGCTGAAGTAATCATCCTGGCAACATGTTAGCAAAACATTAGAAACACTTTAGTAAGCAAATAATTTAATTACAGCCTTCTCGGAGGCAGTTTATATTGCTTGACCCCTGACCTCTTATATTGCTGTACCTAAACTCAGCCCGGAATTCACACTTCCTATTCTTGTCACAGAATCTCTCCATCTTGTACCATTTAATATAGTGTGCTCCAGGTGTTCTGTGGTGAATGAATAGTTATATTACTACCTGTCAGACACAATCACACTCTATTCATCATTCTCGCCTGGCTGCATGAGGCCCAGCTTCCAGCAGGCTCCCTCTCTATTTCCTTGTTCAAACGTCTGCGGTGCTTTTGGCCCATCTGTCAAGCCTGTCATTTAGAGGGAAAACAGTATCAGCGCTTTAAATATATGGAGTTCTCTATTGAAACAGTGCTGTGATTGAACTGTCAGCATTCTCAGTATCACAGACAGTAATTCATGACTGGTCAGGTCTCCACTGAGGTTGCTATTACTACGGTGACCCTGAAGGGTCACGCTGAGGGTTTTTGCTTTACAGTTTGGTCTATAAATAGTGCAATTAACCTTTCAAGAATTACAAAATGCTCTTGAATTCTCTTTATATTTGCTTCGTGCTTGCATAGTTTAAAGCAAGAGGAAGAAGAAAGAGAAAAAAAACTCTACAAAATTGCTGAAATATGTGCCATATGAGTAGAAATATACATATATATATATATATTGTTTTGAGAGTGAGCACTTCAAATGCATGAATATATTTTAAGCCATCGTTTGCTGTTTTGGAGCAAGATAACATATGCTGAGATTTCTGCTGAAATTAAAAGGTTTCTGAATCCGAAATAAAATATGATGGATGTGAATGAAAGGACTTCTGTTCATCCTTATGGAAAGGAAGTGAAGGTTTTCAGTTCTCCAAATTGTTACCTTTCAAAAACAGAGGGTTTCTCACTGTTTCCAGCCCCAATTTCTCAAGCAAAACACCTGCATTCCCAACTAAGCCCAGGGAAAACACTCTCAGGAGCCAAATGCTATCTCTAATCTTAGAACACAATCCCCAAAAGAAATAGAATGTTGGATGCTGATCAGGCCTCTGATGACTCCCTTGCATTTGAAAGCCTCACAGCACAGAAAGAGATTTTTCTGGTTTATTCTTGAGGAAATCAAAGCACTTTCTAAGGAAGCACGGAAGGTCAGAAGCAGAGCCTAAAATAGAAACCCAAATTCCAAATCTCAGCTTTCTGTAAAGTCAAGTCTATCAGGTCACCGCCTCCCCTTCCTCCCTGGAAACCATAATAATAAGAGTTCACTTTTCAGTATCTCTCTATAGACAATTACATGCTAAGGGATTCTGAGTAGTCACTGAGACTTGTTCTTGAATTATAGGGCCGGTCTCTTTTTTCCTTTAGGTTTCTGCTTCCCACGGATGTCTCATAACACAAAGAGTACAGATTCACGGTGCTGCTCAGTTGCCTCCCAGATGAATGTTTGATATGTTTTCTCCTCTGCAGGATTATTTAATGACTGCATTACGCCTGTTATTCTCACGGCTTATACAGCACAGATAATTTTTTTCTCCAAGTTGTTCAATGGACAAAGCCAACAAGCATTTTTAATTTGTGATACCAACATTATGTGGCTAAAAATAATTGTTAATTTCTATCACTGCATTTCCTTGCCTCAAAGGTAATTTTACCCAGTTTCTTTCTTAAGAGAAGGAAAGAGATGCTATTTTTGTGTTTGCAGGTCAGTGGAAGAAAGCCACAGATGCAGCAAACGGTCCTTTATGATAAATACTTACGTTGGCCATCTTCTAAAAGCAAAATAAAGCATCATTTCATTAAACGTCCTCCTCATTGGGGAAGGAGGATGAAGGCAATATTTCAGCCAGCTTAAAAGTTTGCAGGAGGTGAAAGAAGAGTAAAGAGACACAAACCTTCCCATTAGAGCTATTTGCTGGAAATGCTTCTCAAACCAATCCGTGGCTATGCAGAAGTAAAAGCCTCTGCTTATTACAGCCACTGAACAAGGGTAATTAAGAGGTAATCTCCTCCAGTTAGGGTGTGTTTTTCTTTTTGGAAACAATCATAAGAGGTACAGAGAGGTGCCCAACAACCCCATGTTGTCATTGGTGTTATCTTTTGTGACTGCTTCCTTCTCTTCCTGTCCTCAGTTGGAAAGCAAAAAGCCTTTGCTTATTATAGAGGCAGAATAAGTGCTAGTCTCATCCCATTAACTGTCATATTACCAGGCTCTGTGCCATCCCATTTGAGTTTCACTGAGCATTCAGAACCGCTTAATTATGTACAGTAAAGACAGTGTGCTGAGACTTTCCTTCTTGATTAATATGGGAGGGGGAGGGGAGGTTACGGGTCACCTACAAGCCTCACTCTTGCCTTGCACAGAACTAACTCTGTGACAAAGGCTTTTATGAGTTAAAAAATATATATAAATTAAAGAGTATTTGTAAAGAAAAATGCTGGCATCAAGGGATAAGGCTACTTTTGATTCTGCAGGCTAACAACAGATATTCCCCCTCTGTGTTGGCGTTAAACTGTATAGTGCATTCCTTATAAATTATACCACCCTATGTTAATTATAGTGTGCTGACAGTGCTTGTCATTACTAAGCCTGCTACAGGCTTTGTGTGCTCAGATTTTAATAGCTGTTTGTTCTGAGGAATGTGGCAGAGCTGCATAAGTGACTGAGCCCAGTCATTGCTAGCATGGCTTTCTTCAGTCTCTCACACTGGTTCTATTTTTACAACCTAAACACCTCGTCTTCTGGCTCCCTTGCTCATCCCCTCCCCCCGGGAAAGCAGATGTATAGGTTACTGTCTAGAAATGCCAATGCATTCATCCAGACACAATAAACTGAGGCTTGTATTGTGCTATACTCATTGTCAGCCTTTCCAAGCCTCTAGCTGAAATACTCCCTTTTCTCCTTTATCCAGCTTCTGTATAAAAACATGACTGCTCTAATCTAATGGGATATTTAGAGGTTCCCTCTCCAAATTCTAATTCGGCATTTTCCTCTCGGGCAGGAGTTCTATCAGAGACCTTATTCATACTCACAGAAACAGCCTGTGAAGGAACATGCTGCAATGATGAAAACAGAGTCAAAAACCTCAGCAAATAGTTTTTTGTTTTCAATAGTTATTTCTATCATCATCAACACATACCAACACAAAAATCACTCTTTCATCTTAAAAAAAAGAAACACTTAATGAGCACCTACTATATGCCAGGGGCAAAGTCTATATTCTGGAAAAACAAAGATGAGTAAAATATAGTTCCTGGCCTATAGAGTCTTACAGCATAGCAGTGGAGCAGATGTGTAAACAAGTAATTACCATTCCATGCACTGTGTAATAATAGAGGTGAAAACAGAATTTCTCTTGGTCTCACCAGCCTGTGGGTACAGATGTAGTCCCATTAGCAGTAGTAACTCAAATTTCTCTGCTTTGTGAACTCAGCAATTTCTGGGAGTCCCCAGACAGGGGCTTACATGTGCTCATAAATATTTCTGATCTGCTCACACCATGGCTGTTCCATCAGGCATTGGGCTTGGCATGGTCCCCGCTTCTGTCTCATCTGTCTTTTGTGGAATCCTCTGTTAGAGGGTTACCAGGGCAGTGCCACTTGAACCACATTGTTTTACAGAGTTTCTGGTAGAATAGCTCACTGTGCTTTCCAGAGGAGCCAGGAAAGAATCCATTAAGGGTTGGGCTGGGAGAAAGACCTGAGTAGAAAACATCACACTGTCCTCAGATTTGTCCTCTTCACCACTCTGTCTAAGCCTTTCTTACCATGCCAAGTTCCCTGAGCCAGGTTCCTTCCTCCCTGAGGATGAATTTTCACACAATATTCCTCTGTCTTCCTATCAAGAAGCTTCTGATGGACCTTACTCCCATAGTGTATAAGAAATTCCAGACACATCTGTATCTCCTAATCCAAGCTATAGTATAGATTTGTGCAAGATGTCTTTATACACTCAGGCACTCACCCCCAACACACACACATGGAAACATACATACACCAATACATGCTGCACATGCAAAATGAATTGTAAGAGACTGATATGGTTCAACTATCTATAAAAATTAGTTCTAAGGTAAATATGGTAAAACAACCAAGTAACTTATCGTCTTAAGGAGAAGAAATTCATCTTCTTTCCCTTTACCAAAAGAAAAAGAGAAAAAGAAGTATGTGCAGTGTCTTGGTCTGTTTTGTGCTGCTTTAATAGAATCTGAGACTGGGCAATTTATAATAAACAGAAATTTATTGGCTCACAGTTCCGGATGCTGGGAAGCCTAAGATCAAGGGGCTGGCATGTGGCGAGGGCCTTCTTGCTGCATCATCCAATGGCAGAAGTCAGGAGAAGGGCAAGGAGAGAGCAAGAGAGTGTAAAAGGGGACCAAATTCCCCATTTTATAACAAACTCACTCCCAAGATAATGAACCCATTCCCCATGATAATGTCATTAATCCATTCACTCCACCCATATGGCCTAATCACCTCTCATTAGGCCCCACCTAATAATTGCTCCATCTCTATTGCATTGGGGATTAAGTTTCCAACAGATGGCTTTTGAGGTATGCATTCAAGTCATAGCATGCAGGTAGACATAATATAAAGAACATTACTTCCAAAGTGAAACCAATTCAACTGAAAGTGTTTTTCTCAAAATAAAATGGAATTGCATCATATATTCCTTTCTTTTTTGCACAGACTTTGGAACCCAATGCCTGTGAGTTGAGATACCAGGATCTCTTTTAATTCTAGTCATAGCAAAAGAAAAGCTAATAATATTTATTAAGAGTACAGAGGCCTAGCCTGGCATGGTGGCTCACGCCTGTATTCCCAGCACTTTGGGAGGCCAAGGTGGGTGAATCATGAGGTCAAGAGTTCGAGACCAGCCTGGCCAACATGGTGAAACCCCATCTCTACTAAAAATATGAAAATTAGTCTGGCATGGTGGCGCGTGCTTGTAGTCCCAGCTACTTGGGAGGCTAAGGCACGAGTATCGCTTGAACCTGGGAGGTGGAGGTTGCAGTGAGCCGAGATCGGGCCACTGCACTCCAGCCTGGGTGACAGAGTGAGACTCCATCTCAAAAAAAAAAAAAAAAAAAAAAAAAAATACAGAGGCCTGGCATTAAAACGCAATGGAGTAAACTCTGCTAAAAAGCAGGAACTCCTTGAAATCATCCACCCATCATTCCACTGGGGACTTGAGACCTGTTTTTAATGGCTGCCCTGTATGTCAAGTGGAATGGTTTGAACACCCAAACACCAGCACGAAGTGCTTTCTTTGTCCTTTCTTCAGTCCACTTTATTCTAGACACACTTCAACTTTAGCATCCATAAGTGTTGATACAGAAACAAAATTGTACATACTGTTTTTATGAGTAACTTTAAAGTTTTCCGGGGTACATTTATTAATTCATGATTTCAGCTTCACTTGTTGGCTTTAGAACTTGATCCCAATATAAAAATTGCTGTGTGTGTGTATACACTCATTTATAGATTCTAAGATACAAATTGATGATTCCATACTATAGAACTTCACTAAAAGACAGAAGATTAAACAATACATGTTTAAAATGCTGTATGAAACCATAAGTAACATAGTTTTACCTCTTTCTTGGCTTCTGATGGCAAACTGACACACTTGAATCTCATCAAATTATCTTCCTACAAGTCTTACTTTGCACCAGCAACACACATTTCTTCTCTATCTACATATTTACCATATATTGTGCTATACACAAATATATATGAAATAAAGGGAAAGGAATCTTTCCCAGGAGACAAATAATTTTGTAGTCTTACTTTATACTCATCCCTCAGAATCACTGAACTTGAGTTTTTGTGAACTACTACCCTAGTTATTAAATATTTAAGTGAAATTTTCCTTTTGTAATTTTCCATCAAATGTATTATTAAATTTTAGCAGGGAATCTAATATTGCACTTGGTAGCCTCAAACAGCTAAAGCAAATTAGACTCAAATGTTTTCCCACATTAGAATTTTTTTCAAAGATCAAGATCAGTTTCCAAAGATCTATCCTTAGTTAGACCCATTTTTGAAATACACACACACACACACACACACACACACACACACACACACGTGCAGCTTTCTGGCTTAGCCTGCATTTGTGGTCTCAGCAGCCTATGTATCCCTCTGCCATCATCATGACCCCCAGCAGCAATGACAAATACTCTTTGGCCAGATAAGAATGCTCATTTGTACCATGTTTGGCACAAGGACCACTAAGCTAGAGCAGCACTTTCATTCCTACAGCTTTGCAAAACTGCTCTGGGAACCTCAGAGCCCATATTTCACAGAACTCCCCAGACATCTCTCCTAGCAAGCTCACTGCTCAACTTCACGTACAGTGTGAGAAGGGCCTGAAGGTCCCTCAGCCAGATCCACATGCAAGGACGCATCCTTCTTGTACTGAGCTGCTGTTTATGTCAAGGATTCTGTAACACACCTGGAGGGGAAGTTCTGACCTCCAGGTCTGAGTAGTATTACCACCTGGGCTACTGTAAGCAGCTACAGACAGACAAACAATTATCTTGGCATGCAAGCCTGGCAGTCATGGGCTCTGTGGTTTGTGAGATGGGGGCAGGTTTCTTTTCTAGGTTCATGGCTAAGGTACCTTATAACGAAAGGCAGATTAACAAGAGAAAAGCACATGAATGTATTTAATGTAAGTTTTATGTGACACAGGAGTCTTCATAAGGGATCGAAGGCCCAAAGAAAGAGATAACTTAAACTTTTATATTTTTATGCTTCTACTTGACAAGGAGTGGACGGTTGTGGAGAATTACGATTGAACAAAGAAAGTGGGATCTAATGGTAATAACATAGCGGGGGACTGAGCAAGGCCTGTTTGTTCAGATTCTTCTCTGTGTCCCTGTGTCTTCAGAGATAAGGATGTTCCTTTCCTCTGGGTATAAGACTGGCACTTCATGAGTGAGGGTCTTGTAACCTGCTTCAGGGGAGAAGGCCAAGGAGAAGGGAAGGTGAGGATGACCTTCCTGCTTCTGCCATTTTCTCAAATGCCAAGGTGCCATATTTTGGGGTAGTGTGCCCTAGCCCCAATAGTGGGAACAATAGCTGAAACAGGAATTCAGTCAAGAAGACTCAATGAGTCTTTTCAGTGAAAACCCAGAGCTAGAATTTAGTGACTCAAGGACAGGACCCCAACTGTGCCACAGTAAAGGGCCTTTGTTGGTGTGCTGATAACCTCACCATAAGCACAAGCCCACTTTCTAGGGAGGGGAAGTCCGATATGTTGAGGTCACTCGCTGAACTGCTCTGCTAACCCATAATGTTTAGAAAGACTAGCCCTTCCCAGTCTGTGGACACTGCTTCTCCACATGGGGCCTTTGCAAACTACTCAAGAATCCTAGATAAGTTTATCTGCATCCAAATGACCAACTCCACTATTTGCAACATGACAAAGAGAGATTTCAATCATTTCTTTTGCTCCTCCCAGGAGAAAACTGTGAATTCAAACTAAGTGTTTTTACATAATCAACTTGCTTGTCTGACAAGCACAGCCAAATGATATTCTTTTGAGCTTCAAACTGCTTTTAGCTCAACGAAGAGTGAGTTTTCATGTGTCAGGAAGACAGGAACAGTTATATACCATCAACGCAAGTAAATAAAACAAAGTATTCAATATAATACATGGTTTTAAAGGTTAACTTATTTTTCAGAAGACTTTAGCCTTTCAATATTTACAGAACATGTTCACTATTAAAAGGATAAAAAAGAAATCCTGACTCTTTTAAACAAGCAGCAATTTGCAATGCATTTTATTTTATTTTAAATATGTGCCCAAAGCTAAACGTATGATTATATTGGGATTGTTCTAGAAGGGGGTAGTGATGATGGAGAGGCTACAATTTTTATTTCGTGGCTATGAATTTAAACAAGTTGACAAGCACTGTAGGTTCTTTAAACTTGTTTCATATATCTGCTTGCTCAGGGGTGACCACCTGCACGGGCGTCCAACAAGCCCACACCGATGGGATGCACTCAGCCCTAAGGTGACTGGAAGCACCCCATGATTTGTGGAGCTCTAAATGCCAACAGTTATGGCCACTGGGAGAATAGAAGGCAAAACTAAACGCTTTCTAACAGAAGTAATCAGAGCTAAGCGGGAATAGCCAAAGAACTACCTATTTGCTAATAGGATTGTTTGTGCCTTCTTTGTGGAAACAGCTTCCTAAAAGGAAAACCAGGCATAAACAATTGTCTTTTTTCCCTATGAAGACTTAAGATGAACATCCTGGTTTTCTCATACCTATTGGAACTAGGATAGGGGGTTTTCTATATGGGAGGCAGGAAGTGAAGGCAGGCATGTCTAGTTAGAAAAAGTTCCCAGGTCATTCTAATAGTATAACTCTTTCACTGCCCTAGAGTAGGGTTCATGATTATATAGACCATAAGAATGAGCAATCTGAGAATGCTGAGAGAATAAGGTTCAAAAGATAAATCTAGTCAGAGAAGGAAAAAAGAGAAAATGAAACCGTAAAGGGTTATAAACTCAGAGACAAGGGGAAAGTCAAGTTTTTATAGATTTTCATAAATATGGAGGAAAAACTTAATGGAAAATTAGGAAGATATTCTTACCTAACTCTGGTCATTGGATGTGTCTTGTCTTTCTTATACTTTTATTTTCCTAACTTTACCATAGTAAAGCAGAGGAGTATACTTTGCTGTTATTACTTGCAAAGGGATTGAGAGTCTGAGTGAGACTTAGATTTAATGTTTCTAAGATAGAGGTTTCAAGAGAGTCCTTTTCTTTTTATTCAGCTCTGCCAAAAACTCCTTGGAGGATGGAGTAACATTTAAATTTGCCAGGTAAGATATTGGATGCCCAGTGAAATGTGAATTTCAGTTAAAAATAAATTTTTTTTAGAATAAGAATACCTCATTCAATCTTTAGGACTTAATTGTATTAAAAATTATTTGTTGTTTGTGTGAAGTTCACATTTAATTGGGCACTCCAAACACTTGTATTTGCTAAATTTGAAAACCTGAGGAAAATAAATCTGGAATGTAGCTGCTAGCACAAACCTTTAACTGGTGAGATTGTTCTTGGAATCCCTATGATACTAAACAGGAACCTGTTTCACCAAGTAATTTATGCCCTTCTATGTGGTCAGTCAAGTTTATGAGTGACTAATCAAACTCCTCTTTCTTAAAAAGAACCCAAGTGTCAAAAGTCATTTCCACTTTGATCTACGTTGGATGATACCCTTAATCAAAAGCTCCCTTCAATTTAACTGACAGGATGACAGCCAACAACACATTAACATGATCTGTGGCTCCTGGGCAGTGAATTTGCTGCCAGCAAGTTTCTGAGAACTTCCATCATTTTTGTCATGTTGCTGGAACATACTCTTGTCTAGTTTTCCCATTGCCATGACGTATAATTTTTTAAATGTGTTCTTAATCTGCATATATAATGACACTCATTAGAAAGAAACATATGATTCCTGTACCAGCTGTCAATAAATGGAGCACAGCATTATTTTGAAATGTTGTTTACCAAAGTTAGGAAAGTTTTGTTTCATGAAGGAATATGTAAATGAAAAGCCCTCACATAGACATTTGTTGATGTGGGCTTCATAGAAAAACAATTAGCAAAATTTTGACTCATGAAATATACGTTATCCCTAGCTCAGTGACTACACCAGTGATTCTCAACCCTTCATATACATTAGAACCATGTGGGGAGTTCAAAAAGCACGCCAATGCCTAGATTCCACTACAGATTCCCTAAATCCAGATTCAGTCAAGTGCTAGTGTACAGCCCGTGTTGAGAACCACAGGCCTGGGTAATACAACAAATACAAAACTGTTTGTTTAATTAGAACTTGAAAGAGGTTAGACATCCAACACTAACCATTTACAGCTACCAATCACATTATTAGAGTTACTGTTTATAAATTAATATTTAAAGAATATATTGATCAAATGAGGAAAACTAAACTCGGTAATCTTAAGTTTTAACATCTAGTAGGGTTTTTCCCTTCATAAAGTTTTCTGTCGTTGTTTTTTGTTTTTGAGACAGGGTTTTGCTCTGTTGCCCAGGCTGGAGTGCAGTGGCATGATCATAGCTCACTGCAGCCGCAACCTACTGGGCTCAAGCAATCCTCCTACTTCAGCCTCCCAAGTAGCTGGGATTACAGGCATACCCCAAGATGCCTGGCTAATTTAAAAAATTTTCTGTAGAGGCGTGGTCTCCTTACATTGCCAAGGCTGGTCTCAAGCTCCTGGGCTCAAATGATCCTCCTACCTTGGCCTCCCAAGGCCTTCATAAAGTAACCTACATTATCATTCCCTTTTAAGAAGTTTTTAATTTCACAGCTTCTAAATCTTAAGCCATATCTCATCTACCAAAACTTCTCAAGACATTCCTTCTATAACACCATCCTTTACCAAATAAAACCATATGACATATAATTTTTAGGAATCACTAAATCTTTGAATACTACCCTAGCTAAAATGGTTTTTTTTTTTTTTCTTCATCTAGATCCTGATTTGTACAAGTAAAGAAAATCTGCCTTCTCTAAGGTAGAGATTCTCAAAATGTGGTCCCTGGGCCAGCAGTATCAGCATCACTTAGATGGAAACTTGATGTAAATATGAAGTCTCAAGCTTCTCCAGACCTAATGTGTGGAAACCTGTTGTTTCCTAGCAATCAGTCATAGCCTAGAAATCTATCATAGCCTATCAATTTGTGTTTTAGCAAGCCCTTCAGGTGTTTTTGATGTACACTGACGTTTGAGAATGTCCATTCTTGTGTTCATACCACCTGACTCTTTTTTTCCTTTGACAGTTTTTCGCTGTCTTCCCACCTACTGGTTATGTCTGATTCAGTTCCAGCGACCTTGAAGTTGGAAGGAAAGCCTCTGCCCTTCAGACTTCTTCATCCCTGAGTTGAGTTTCATGGAAAAGCAGCCTCTGGGAGTAACAAGGTCTGTGCAAATTCCCACAGACCAGATGAGAAAAGAACATGTTAGATGAAGATGGATGTTTTAGAGAAAATAAAGCACAGTCACTCTGCAGATGTGGACCTGAGCACCACCTCTATAAAACAAAAGTGCAGGCCAGGCTGAAGGGTGATGTTTTCATGAAGCACCCTGTGAGATCCTTAAATTGTCATTTTCTAGCATTCTTTAAAAAGACTAAAACACTCCCCACTTCAAGAAAACACACACACACACACACACACACCATTTCTCTCTTCTTTGGACATACTATCTCCCTTTTTCTATTTGGTGGCCTCCTATTAATATTGAAGACTCCAACA
The DNA here is from genome assembly GCF_000001405.40 of Homo sapiens. Taxonomy (NCBI): domain Eukaryota; kingdom Metazoa; phylum Chordata; class Mammalia; order Primates; family Hominidae; genus Homo; species Homo sapiens. The sequence continues at coordinate 123,798,739 of NC_000005.10, read as the reverse complement.
CACCCTTCACTTTGAAGGCTTCTCTAAAGATCCCCGTCCTGAATCCATACCCACCCTCAGTAACATAAGGTATTCCCACTCATACTCACACTCACCACCTTTGTTATCCTTTTTGAAATTAAGAATGTCTGCCTCTACCACTAGGTTTCAAACTTCTCAAAAGCAGGGACAGTATCATAGCAGATAGTAGATACTCAGTAAATGTTATCTGAATGAATGAATGAATTACAAATGAGTAGTCAAAGATACTTTAGGGTGATGACTATAGCTAGTAACATTATCAATAGTCAGATACTAAAGTGTTATCCTCAGGGTTTTTTAGTCTTTACGTAAAAAAAAAAAAAAAAAAAAAAAAATTAGGGTACCAGAAGGAAGTGTATATAATTTCTAACAAATTTTGAATTTGTAATTCCTACCTTCTTTGTAATTCTCCTAGATATGGTATGACACATTAGTAATATTTATATTCAAAATTAGGCTTGAAAAATAAAATATAGAATTGCAAAAGACTACCAAATGCTAGCATTTGGTATGTTAAAGATGATTTTTAAAGAAAATTTCTCTCAACCATATGCTCAATCGCATCACATGAAATTTTAAATTTTTCTTCCATAACAGAACAAAGTTTCACAAGTCTGATATACTTGGTACATAACTGTGACTATCTTGAAATATATTGAAGAATATTTATATTCTTTTTCAGAAAGGATGACAGTAATAACCACTCTGAAAAAAGAAATAGAAAATAGGTAGAAAAGGAACAAAAGGGAGTTCCATTAAAGACAACAGAAGATTAACTCAGATCTGAAACTCTAGGGTAGATGATCAATTGTTTCTTTCTTTGAGACATTTTTAGTGTTAGAATTTTCATTTAAATTTTTTTTCTTTAACAGAGTCTTGTTCTTTGGTAAAATTATCTATCTTGTCATACATTTTTCTGAATATATTAATCAGAGTTGTGATATCATCTTTGCCTGATAATTCCAATGTCCAGGACATCTATGAGTCTATTTTTACCATTTGTTTTCTAGGTCTTGTTTTTTGATACACATGGCATTTTTTTATTAAGGGACTAATATTATGTATGAAATGTACATGAAATACAAATGAAAAATAATAGAATCTCTGGAAAATAAAGTCATCCTTCAGACAGAGCTTACCCTAGCCTCTGGTGAGCAGACAATATAAAGAATTTTCTTTTAATCCAACTAGAGACTGAGCTAACCTAGGCTGCATTACAGGCTTTGTAAGGTTTTGGTCTCTGGTTTGCCTTCATTGGTAGCATGAGTCTCAAGTGATGACCTAGAGCCCTTCCTCTTTGTCAGGTTATGATCTCCAACTTTTTCCCTTGCCAAAAATTTTATTCATTTTAGTCTCTCTTTCCTTGCAGCTTAATAATTGAGCAAACGCCTCAATGGGAAAACTTTTGAGTGCAGGTCTCCCTTTTTTGCACCTTATTCTCTCCATGTTCTTAGCCCTTCAAGTCCTGGCTGCCTGCGTTGCCCTCTCATTCCTAAGCAATTCTCTAGTGGCCTCCACATGAAATGTTTATGTATGTTTTATCGATTTAGCCAAGGGGTAAATCAAAACAAGGACATTAGAAATTATAAAAGGACTATTAATGAGCATTAACATAACATTTGATATAGATGAGCATCAATATAGAATTCAATGGGCATTCAGTATAGAACTCATACTAAAAAACTGTAGAAATTTTGATTACAGCAGAAAAAGTGACCTTAGTAGTATAATAAAAGTAAAACAAAGTTGAGAGCAGGGGGAGAAAAGGTATACAAAAGGAAGAATGCTGATTTATTCAACTTTCGTAACAAATAATCAATTAATGACTAAATTTGAAACAAAGTTTGAAAAAAATTACTTTAATTTCTGAATTTGTATACTCTTGCATCTTAATCTAGGGAGGTCTTTTAGAATTCTACATAATTTGCAATGCAAAAAACTAAAGTTCATCAATTCTTTGCTATCCTTTAGTTTTGCTTTACAAACTTAGATTCAAATAAAATTAAATTCAATAATTTTATTTACTTATTTATTTATTTATTTATTTTGGAGATGGAGCCTCGCTCTGTCACCAGGCTGGACTGCAATGACACGATCTCAGCTCACTGCAACCTCTGCCTCCCAGGTTCAGCCTCCCGAGTAGCTAGGACTACAGGCACCCGCCACCACACCCAGCTAATTTTTTTTTTTTTTTTTTTTGTATTTTTAGTACAGATGCAGTTTCACCATGTTAGCCAGGATGGTCTTGATCTCCTGACCTTGTGATCCACCTGCCTCGGCCTCCCAGAGTTCTGAGATGACAAGTGTGAGCCACTGCACCTGGCCAATAATTTTATTTTTAAACATGTAAGATTCTATCTCTGAATAATTAGTTAAACCTACTTATCTATCTATCTCTACCCAACCTTCTACTGTGTGTATTCACAGAGAGATTTACAGAGCAAGGGTCACCACCTCAGTTGACAACAACAGTTATTTCAGTGGTAGATTTTTAGGTGTGTTTCCTTTTTGCTATGGTTTGAATATGGTTTGTCTGACCTCACCAAAGCTCATGTTGAAATGTCATCCCTAATGTGGTGGTGTCGGGGGTGAGGCCTAGTGGGAGATGTTCGGGTCTTGGGGGCATATCCCTCCTGAATGGCTTGTGAGTGAGTTCTTGCTCTGGTGAAACTGGATTAGTTCCCTCAGAAATGGATTGGTTTCTATGAGAGTGGGTTGTTGCAAAACCAGGATTCCTCTTGGGTTTCGTCTGTTTGCGTTTTCCATTTCCACTCTGACCTTCTCCACCATGTTATGACAAGTACAAAAGCTCTTGCCAGAAGCCAGGGCCATGCCCTTGAATTTCCCACCCCGTAGAACCATAAGCTAAATAAACCACTTTCCTTATAAATGAGTCAGCCTTAGGTATTCTGTTATAAGCAACAAAAATTGGACTAGGACACTCTTTCTTCTATGTACTTTTCTTTAGTGCTATTTCATCTAAAGAACATGCATTATTTTGGTATTTGCAGAAATGGAAAATTATCTCTTCCTATTCTGAAGTATTAATAATTTATTAACAGTAAATGCCCCCAGTGGATTATGAGTTCCCCTTAAGCACTTGGATTTTTGTCTCATTCATTGATCTAGCACCAACTGCTAAAACAGGTGCAGCCCATACGTAGCAAGTACTCAGTAAGTACTAGTTACAGCACACAAATGTAGTTCATATACTTCATGTAAGATGAAACTCAAAGCCTGTGATATAGGATTACTATTATTCTCAATTACTGAGGAAGAATCAGGGCTCAGAGAAAATAAGAGATTGTAAAAGACTATACAACTAGTTCATATGAGGGTAGAAACACCAACTCAAGTTTTCTACTTCTGAAGCTCTTACCCCAAAACCTGTGTTACATCCATTTCAGTACAGATCTCTACTTCTATTTTTTCACATATTATGAAAAACATCTTTGTCAATTATAATTTCTCTTAGCTTTGGTTAGAATAGTTACTTATTAGTAAGGATCACTCATTTGCTTGTCTCCCTTCAATACTTCATCTCACTGTCTCTCAATGTCTTTTTAAAAGATCAACAGGAGAAAATACAAATCTGACTGAAGTCAGTTAACCAGCAAATGGAATTCCATGCAGGCACCTGACTCTACACTTAGGGACATAAAAACACTATAAATCAAAGAGCTAAAAGTACGCAACTGAATACCAAGTTGCAAATCTTAATCTCCAAGTTTATTTGAATATATCTACTTGGAATTCCTGGACAGAAGCAGCTCTGTCACCTGTTGGATGAGCATCAAGTACATGCACAAAACCCTTAAACTACTATGATGAGTCCAAAGAATCTGGCTTTTCCATGTGAAACAGCTCAGAACACCTACTACCTCTTCCTCTATCATCATTTAGGTACCATTCAAAAGTGTCCCTTTCTCTTTATAACACAGTAGTTCTGCCTCTTGAATTCATTGCTTTATTATTTCTCTCAACTAAGGAGCCTTTTTCTGAACAAGATCTTGTCTCTAAGATCACCACATTCAATGTAAAATTTCCCAGTGTCTATCTATTTCTCCAATCCTTGTTCAGAGCATTATTTCTATTTTCCCTTTGCTCCAACTACTGTTGGCTAGATCACTGCACTCCCACATCCATCTCCAGCTCTCAGAACTCCAGGCTAAAGGAAACCTAATGATCTTCATTCAAGCAACTCATCATTCCTTTCCTTGTAGAGGTAAGTAGTACAGATTTTAAAGAACAAAAGTTCAAAGGAAGTACTCCTAAAAATAGTAATGGAGGTCAGCTCGGAGTCACAAGATGAAGAATTAGTATCTACATGTCTGTGTATACTCTGTGTTTTCTGATTCACAAAGACACTGATTGTTTTTAAATAAAATGGTGAAAAGATATTCCATGCAAATAGTAAGTGTGAAAAAGCTAGTGTGGCTATATTAATATTGATAGACTCTAAGACAAGGAGCATTACTAGAGATAAAGAAGGAGTATTTCATAGTGATATCTTTTTGATATATTAATATAAATATATCAAGAAGCACAATAAATTAAATGTATATGCATCTAATAATAGAGACTAAAACTACATGAAGCAAATAATTACAGAACTAAACTGAGGCATAGAAACATTTACAACTGTAGTTGGAGATTTTATAACTATTATATAAAGTAATTAATAAAATGAGAAGAAAAAGTATCAATAAGGATAGAGAAAATATAAAATATCTGAACGTTATCAACCAACTTACTTAACTGACGTTTATAGAACATTACAGCCAACAACATTTTTCTGAGTACACATGGAAGGAAGACTCGCTAAGTTAATACATATGCTGGGGATAAAAAGTCCAATAAATATCAAGTTATAAATTTTGCAGAATATGGTCTCTAACAAAAATGGTAGTAAATTAGAAACTAATAGCAATATGATTTCTAGAAAAGTCCCAGATTTTTGGAAATCAAGCTATTTGTTTCTTAATAACCCTTGGATCAATGAAAAAGTCACAAGGGAAATAGGAATATATTTTGAACTTAATGAAAACATGATCTGTCAATTTGTGGAATGTGGCTGAAACAGTATTTAGAGGGGAATTTATAGTTTTAAAAGGAAAACATTTAAAATAACAATCTATATTAAGAAGTTAGAAAAAAGAAGAACAAACAAAACTTAATATAAATAGAAGAACAAAAATAAAAATTAGATCAGAGATCAATGAACTAGAAAGCAGATCATAGAAAAAAAATGAACAAAGCTAAAATTTGGTTCTTTGAAGTGTTTAATGAAAAAGATAGCCTTCTCACAAGACTAACGAAGAAAAAAAGGAAAAAACACAAAATACCCACATTTAGGTTGAAATAGGTACATTACTACAGATCCAACACATACAAAAGGGAAAAAAAAGAATAAAATTAATGCTAATTAATTGAAATAATTTATTAGAATTTTTTAAAAAAAATCTTACCCAAACCTTCACAGAAGACATTGAAAATATAAGTATCTCTAAAGGAAAACCTTCCCGACAAGAAAACTCACTAAGATTGTTTTACTAGGGATTTCTATGAAATATTTAAGGAAGAAATAATACAATCTTATACACAATCTTTCAAAAAAATAAGGTAAGAATATATTTACCAATTATTATGATGTCAGCATTAGCTTGATACCAAAATCAGACAAAGACATTTCAAGTAAAGGAACTCCCTATCAAAATACCTCATAAACATAGACATGAAAATCCTTAATACTAGCAAATTGAATTCAGCAGTATGTGAAAAGGGTAATACAACATGAGCTAGTGAGGTTTGTCCCAGGAATGCAAGATTGGCTTAACCTTTAAAAAAATCAATATAATTCATTACATTAAGAAAATAAAATAGAAAAACTATATTATTTTCTCAGAAAACACATCTGACAAAATTCAACATCCATTTGTGATAAAATGCTCAGTGAACAGGAATTGGATGAATATTCCTCAACCTGATAAATATCTTCTGCAAAACACATAACATCGCATTTAATGATAAAGATTAAATTATTTACTCCATATTGTATCATGAAGAAAAACGTACAAAAAATTTACTCAGATTTTTTTAAGTTGAAGGATTTTATCACAAGAATTATTCCAGATTTAAAACTGTTTTAAATAAAAATAAAATCATTGAAAATACTGAAATCAAATGCGGTTATTACCATGAATTACATGTGAAAAAGCCCTCACTAAAGATTAAGTGGAAAGCAGAACTTCTACAAAAAAAAAAAACAAGATCCAATTATATAAAAATGTCAAAGTTCTAAATGGCATAAACAAACAAAAAATAGAAAAAAATACTGAATGGCATGAAAATGGGGGAAATATTTGCAATTGTTGATTTTGTAAATCAGTAAAAAATGATTTTAAAAAGGAGCAAAAGGGCTGAGTGTGGTGGCTCCTGCCTGTAATCCCAGCACTTTGGGAGGCTGAGGCAGGCAGATCACCTGAGGTCAGGAGTTTGAGACCAGCCTGGCCAACATGGCAAAACCCCGTCTCTAGTAAAAATACAAAAATTAATCAGGCATGGTGTCTGGCACCTGTAGTCCCAGCAACTCGGGAGGCTGAGGCAAGAGAATCGCTTGAGCCCAGGAAGCAGAGGTTGCAGTGAGCCAAGATCGCACAACTGCCCTCCAGCCTGGGCGACAGAGTGAGATTCTGTCTCAAAAATAAAATAAAAATAAATAAAGGAAGAGAGGAACAGAAGAAAGAATAAGAATAGTCTATCTTATAAAAAAAATGAATGTACAATTTTAAAAAATGACAAACATTTTTAGAGATACTGAAGCTCAGTAATAGTAAGATAAATGAAAATAAAACAATTTGGGTTTTTTTGTTTGTTTTTTGTTTGTCTGTTTTTTTAGGAGCAGAGAGGAGCAGATGTTAGCTTGGGAAAGATTTAAACAGTTAAAGAAACCCAGTGAAAACAAGGTGTGTGTAATGGGCAGTTTTAAATTTTTGATGGAAATATAAATTTGTAAATCCTCTCTAGAAAATAGTTTTGCAAAATGCATCCAACAACACCAACAATAATAGCTAACACTTATGATTATTTACTACGCATCAGATCCTGAAAAGTATCGTAAGTGCTCTGCATTCATCATCTCATTTTTTCTTCACAATAAACTTATGATATTAGTTTTATCATCCCTATTGCTAAATTTAAAAACTAAGATGAAGAGTTAAGAAACATTACTAAATTAACACTGATGAAGTGGAGGAATTGCAATTCAAACCCTGCCTGACTGATTTCAGAATGTGTGATCTTCATTACTTATATACTTACATCCTACCTCAACGTTTAAATGCATGTAGTCTTTAACTCAGTAATGGTAATTCTATTTAAAAAAAAAGATTATAGTATAACTGAAAAAGGGAAGGGGTATACACAAAAAAGGTGATCAAAGCATTATTTATATCAGTGAAACCTGGAAGCAACTTATATGTCTATCCATATGGGATTAGTTGAATAGAGTTAGTTGAGACATACATTGCAATGTTACACAGCTTTTTAAATGATGGCATAGATATTTATGGAAAAAATATCTAACATATTATTTTTTGAAAAAGCAAGTTATAGGCAGGTTTATTAAGATCTAATTTATATGAAAATTCAGACTAGTAGTATAGGTATAGGCATGTCTCAGAGATATTGCATCTTTAGTTCCAGATTATTACATTTTAATTTTGGAAGGAGAAGGAACTCTTTCAGGCCATAAGGCACCCTGCAGAAATACATAATCTCCCATGAACCTAGATAAACATGGTTTACAGTGTTGACTTTTATTAAGCCATTTGCAAATTAGTGGAAATAATATATATCTTTTTAGAAGCTTTCTCATAATTATTAGAGAGAAAGTTGAAGGTGCAGGTGCCTTCCAACCCCTCCACCCAACCCCAACCCAACACACACACATCATCACCCAATCTTAGAAGATTTTGGTTATGATTATGGGCATACCTTGGAGATATTGTGGGTTCAGTTCCAGATCACCACAATAAAGCAAATATCACAAAAAAGCATGTCACACAATTGTTTTAGTCTCCTAGTACATATAAAAGTGATGTATACGGTATACTGTAGTCTACTAAGTGTGCAGTATTTTATTGTTACAAAAAATACTAACAATCATCTTAGCCTTCAGCAAACTGTAATTTTTTGCTGAAGAAGGTTCTTACCTCAATGTTTATGACTGTTGGCTGATCAGGGTGGTTGTTGCTAATGGTTGGGGTGTCTGTGGCAACTTCTTATCCTAAGACGACAGGGAAGTTTGCCACATCTATTGACTCTTTCATGAATGGTTTCCTGTAGCATGTGGTGCTGTTTGATAGCATTTTACCCACAGTAGAATTTCTTTCAAAGTTGGAGTCAATTCTCTTAAAGCCTGCTGCTGCTTTATTAACTAAGTCTATGTAATCTTTTAAAAACTTTACTGACATTTTTTAAATGTTCACAGAATCTTCACCAGAAGTATATTCCATCTAAAAGGAAAAAATCTCTTTCTTTGCTCATCCATAAAAAACAACTTCTCTTCCATTAAATGTTTATCATGAGATTACAGCAATTCAGTCACATCTTCCGGCTCCAGTTCTAACTCTAGCTCTCTTGCTATTTCCACCATATCTACAGTCACTTCCTCCACTGAAGTCTTGACACTTGAAAGTCATCCATGAGGATTGGAATCAACTTTTTCTAAACTCCTGGTTATGTTGCTATTTTGACATCTTCCCATGAATTCTAAATGTTCTTAATGGCATCTAGAATGGTGAGTTATTTCCAGAAGGTCTTCAATTTACTTTGCCCAGATCCATCAGAAGAAATGTATTTCATAAATAATCAGACTTCAGTGTCAATATTACTCCTTGATCCATGGGCTACAGAATGGATGTTGTGTTAACAGGCATGAAAACAACATGCATATCTCAGTACATTCCATCAGAGCTCTTGAGTAACTAAGTGTGTTATCACTGAGCAGTAATGTTTTGAAAGTAACTTCTTTCCTGAGCAGTAGGTCTCAACACTAGGCTTAAAATATTTAGGAAACCATGATGTAAACTGATGTGCCATCATACAGGCTTTGTTGTTCCACTTATAGAGCACAGGCAGAGTAGATTTAGCACAATTCTTAAAGGCCCTAGCATTTTTGGAATGCTAAATGAGCATTGGCTTCAACTTTAAGTCACCAGCTGCATTAGTCCCTAACAAGAAAGTTGGCCCATCCTTTGAAGCTTTCAGACCAGGCATGGACCATCCCTCTGTAACCATGAAAGTCCTAGATGGCCTCTTCCTTCCAATAGAAGGCTGTTTTGTATACATTGAAAATCTGTTGTTTAGTGGAGCCACCTTCATTAGTGATCTGAGCTAGATCTTCCGGATAACTTGCTGCAGCTTTTATATCAGCACTTGCTGCTTTACCTTGCACTTTTATGTGATGGAAACAGCTTCTTTCCTTAAACCTCATGAACCAATCTCTGCTAGTTTCAAACTTTGCTTCTGAAGCTTCCTCACTTCTCTCAGCCTTCTTAGAATTAAAGAGAGCGCCTTGCTATGGATTAGGCTTTAGCCTAAGGGAATATTGTGGCTGGTTTGATCTATTCAGACCACTCAAACGTTCTCTATGACAGCAATAAGGCTGTTTCACTTTCTTATCATTTATGTGTTCACTGGACTAGTACTTTTAATTTTCCTCAAGAACTTTTTCTTTGCATTCCCAACTTGACTGTTTGGTACAAGAGGCCTAGCTTTTGGTCTACCTCAGCTTTCAAAATGCCTTCCTCACTAGGCTTAATCATTTCTAACTTTTGACTTAAAGTGAGAGACATACAAGTCTTTTCACTCAAACACTTAGAGGCCATTGTACGACTATTAGTTAGCCTTATGTTGTGACTCAGGGAATAGGGTGGCCCAAGGACAGGGAGAGAGATGGAGGAACCTCTGGTCACTGGAGCAGTCAGAACACCCAACATTTGTCAGTTAGGCTCACCATCTTATATGGGTGCAGTTTGTGATGCTCCAAAACAACTGCAGTAGTAACATCAAATATTCCTGATCACAGATCACCACAACATATAATAATAATGAAATGTTTGAAGTATCACGAGAGTTACCAAAATGTGACACAGAGACACAAAGTGCACACGTCATGGGAAATATTGCACCGATGGACTTGCTTGACCCGAGATTGCCACAAACCTTCAATTTGTAAAAACACAGTATCTGTGGAGCACAACAAAGTGAAGGGAAATGAAGTGAGGTATGCCTGTATATATATGAATGGTGTGATGTCTGAAAACATGTTCACCAAAATATTATTAGTGTTATTATAGAGGATTGATTTTCTTTGAAATGCCTGGATTGTTTGAAATTTTTTACAACTTTTTCTTAATTAAAAGCTACAACAGTATGAATTTCAGAGTAAAATTTCAGTTCATACAATAGCCTGTGTCAGCAAGATTTAATCTCTTTAACCTTTAAATTCTTCCCTTATAAAATAGGGACAATAACACCTAATTCAGAGACCTGCTTTGAGAAATAAATTAACTAATATCCATAAAGTGCTAACATCATGTTCAAAAACTAAGTTCAACTAATGGTAAATCAATTTGCCTAGAAAGATTCTTCACACATCCTAGTCAAATTTCCAAGTGAAAATTTGAATATGAAGTTCATAAAAACTTCCAACATCCTAGTATCCTGCACAGGAGTCCAAGTAGAGAGACAGTGCCACAGCTATTTCTCACCAATGAGTTTAACATCTCCACATTCAGATCAAACAGGCCAAAAGCAGGGTGTATTATGCCTGCTCTGAACAGTGTACTGTGGGCTGGTGAAGCTGAGAAACATTCTTACAACTATCTGGCTCACATGTTTCAGTCTGTTGTCTATTATAGCTGAGCAATCTGTGTTCCTGTGTTCTGTAAGTCACCTAAAATACCTACATCACAAGTATGCCAAGTAATGAAATTTCCAGAGTATGCAAATTTAGCAATTTTAACAAGCACCAGCAGATCCTATTTCTTAGTAACCCACTGCAGTGTTAGGAGACAACATAACCATAAAAGAGAGAAATTCAGACAGTGCCTAAATGGATTAAGAGCAGTTGCAGGGCTGAGCTGGTCTCTGTCCTTAGTCAAAAAACTCTCATTAAAATAAATGAGCCTGCTCATTTGAGGACAAAAAAAAGAAGATTCTGGGCATCAAGTTGGAAGAGCAGTTCAATTTCTGCTCATCAAAAGGGAGCAGAAATCCTTATCCTGTAACACCCACAGCTGCAGATCAGATTCAACCCATCTCTTATTAATGTTCTTATTAAGTGTATTCTGTCCATCTGTGTTCAAGCTCATCTTTTCCTTTCTGAAACATGATTTTACTTTTCATGTATGAAGTAATTAAATTTGTTTATCTCTGGCTAATGCCAGGCTGAGTTGAAAGCAGAGGATAAAGATTTTGTTTATCGCTTTGTGCTCAACTAGCAAATGTTAAATTCTCCTCATACCCTAAACATTCTAGCTGTCTGTTGCTGTTCCTTTATTTCCAATTCCAAAGCTTCTGGTACTGTTCACATTTTTGGGGGCACTGCAGAGCACCACGTTAAGATCCGCTTGCAATGTAAGAACACGTGGAGAAATTATGTGTTTTTGTCACACCCTATTAAATGGTATTCAAAACACAATGCCCCAGAAACTAAATTGATTGTAGGTTTTATAACCCTTTTCAGGCTAATGGAAACAATTCAGGACCATGAAAGAAAGCACAGCTCGTACAGCTGTGGGAATCTTAGCTTGCTCAGTTCAGTAGTCCTGTCCTGGCTTAGGTACTTAAAAGTTCAGTTGGATTCCATTCTTCTAGATCTTCAACAGATCATTCCAGATTAATGGCTACGAAGTTTTCCATATTTGTTGTAAATGTTTCTTTGGACTGACTCTGACTTGTGTTTGAGGTTAGAAAGTGTCAACAGGTATTAAGGCAGTTTCAAGCCACTATGATGTTACTACACGTATAATATTTTTATGCTCTTTTTATATACCCAGCGCCAGCATTATGGTCAAAGCGCAAAAAAAGAGGAAGCACAGTTAAGGGAGACATAGCTTTTACTTCCCCATATGTATCATGCCAGTTTGACTCTTCCAGGATGGATATAAAGAACTACTTAAGCTGCCAGTCCGTGACTCAGTTGAAATGGAATCATAGGGCTGTTTTAATGTTTTAAAAATAAAAAGGAGCTTGTCCTCTTTCTGGTTGACCAGTAACCCCAACCTCTAAGTTGCCTGGCAAGGCAGTGACTTGATCCTGTCACCTATTGCAAGTGATCACTCACTCAGTCATTACCTGCACTACATGCTGCTCCATCAGAAAAACATCTGTGAACATTATTTGACAAATTGATCGCTAAATGAGCCATTAGCTGAAGGGGCTTTTGGATTGCCTCTAGGAAACCAGAGTGGCTGCAGAAGAAAAACGCTTACAGATGCAAAGCAGCGATCAGAAAGGGAGAAAGAACTTTTGTGGCGGTGCTCCTGGGAGGGTGAAGGGGGCTAGTGTGGGAAAAAGGGTGGAGAGATGGCAATAAACCATGTCCCAGAAGAAAATCCACCTTCTCTAAAGGAAGCTGTTTATTAGAAGCAGTAGTAAAACTGCTTAATTCCCTTGGTGCCTCTAGGGAGAAATCTAAGCCTTTGTGAACCGAATGAGAAAGAAACGTAGCCAGTGGTGTGCTTGTCAAGAAGAGAAAGCTAGGAAAACAATGTTAGTCATTTTACCATCCCTGCTTGCCAAGAGCCGACAGGTGTGCAGTTTACTATTGTTCTGACAGGCAGCCAGACACCACAGCTTAGTATTCAACCTCTCCTCCACTGTGTGGGAGAAAACAGCTGTCTCCCTGGCTCAGGATACAAGGAAAGAGAGAGAGAGAGAGGGAGAAACAGAAAGAGAGAAGAGAAAGATTCTTCTCCATTAGCATCAGTTGCACGGCTTTGTTTGATTCATCACTGAAAACACATGGTCTTCCTGAGAAATGCATTACATATGGGCAATTTCCTCACAGTGGTTCCAAAAATAGCCTATTAACAATATATTGAAACTTAAAAGTAAGTAAATGCAGAAAGATGTCTAGGTTAAATTATGTCAGACCAATGAGAAGTAATCACACACAACAGTCCTTAAGGAAATGCTTTTTATAAATCCTGCAGGTTTCATGTTGCTGACAGATGTTAGTGATTTAAAAAAATCCTTGAAAAAAGAAAGCAGGTTGTTTTGATCCATGATGATGTGTTTTTCTGTCTTGCATGGTATGGAAACTATTTCAGTGCCAAATTCCCTTGAGAAGAGAAGGAAAAGCCCACAGGACTCAAAGAGTACCAGATGCAGTAGCTGTAAGACTTTTAGACTGTAGTACTAAGTTTCCTTTTAGATTGAGGTATTAAAGGCTCATGGTTAGCACTGATGCAGTGTCACTAGCTATAGTACCGTGACAATTGATAAGAACCAGAAACAGACATCTGTGCTAAATCTAGGGCTTTCTGGATTGAAAATTTGGTGAATACCAATAAAATCTATGCTGCTTATATTTACAAGGGAGAAAAGGCATCCATTACTAACAACACATGAAACTCGAGAAATGCTGGCTCTTTCCCCAAAACCCAGATATTTTTCTAATAAAATAAGCAGTGAACTTCAAACAGCTCCAAAGTTATGACATAATGGTACAATCACATACATAACCCCTTAGGCTTACACTGTAACACACGAACCAATCCTGTAATAATCACATAAGCCAGAGGAATTGAATTACCCACCAAAACAAGCCAATTGCAAGTTAAGAGCAGAGGGTCTTCCATTTGAGGGCTTTTTAGGGGCAAAAAGTTTAATCCACTTACTTTCTTTACTAAACTGAGACATTATAATTCACATGCCTGATAAATATATTCTTAGAATTTTACATATTTTTTTCTCCATGTTCCAAGACAGAGCTGTGGGCAGTACTTCTACTGTTCACACAGATGTGGCTCAATTGGCTCTTTACATTCTTGTGTTTCAAGTCAATAAATCACTGGAAGAGATGAGAGAAAGGAGGAGCCATGAGGATAAAGGATGGTGAAGAGGAAAATTCTTTTTCTATGAAATGGTTACTTATTCTGTCTGTCTCCCTTGAACCCTGAGTGATGAAAATGAAAACAAGAATCTTTCTGTGTAATATCCCTTCATATGTAATTATTAGCAGATTGGTAAGAGAGTATAAATTATGAAAAAATATAAATTGGGGTAAATGCTAAAGAAGACATTGTCTTGTATGGAATAACCTTTCAGTTGGAAGCATGTACATGTTTTAAAACATAATCTGAGACTTCTGCTTTTGGCCATGATAGAGTAACCAGGACCAGGTTTATCCCCCTACCTGAAACAAATTAAAATACTAAACAAAATATAGGAAGCATCACACTTTAGGATTCAAATAATAAAGTCAAACAGTGGCAGGGAGAGAGAGTAAAGATGAAGATAATTAACTGTGTTAAAAGGAAGTCAATATTTGTTGTTATGATAAATATAAATACAACTCATCACCTAACACACTGTCTGACACACTGTCTGGCACACAGAAGGCACTCAACAAATATCTGTTGGTGGCATCAGTTAAATCAAATAGCTAAGAAAAACTAGACAGTGATGACATTAAGCTCTCTTGATAACCATCAAAACAGGGCAGTTTGATATGGGTCAGAGAAATCAAAGTATTCAGAGAAAATGATTATATTAATAACAAGTTAAACAGGTGGTTCAGAGCTGAGAGCTTAGATACATGATTTCCAGAGAAGTGAAAGTAGAGTACCGGGTGGTAATGATGGTTGAGCAGTTAAAAAAAAAAAAATGAGAGATCTGGAGAATCCACCAGGCAAAAAAGGAGACACATTTTGAAGCAAACAGGTAAAAATCAGCCAAGAAAAGACAAATATAACTAGGAGCACTTAACTAGAATTTTCCATTTAGAAAAGAGAAAAAGGATAATTCGGGACTAGGAATTCATAAAGTTATTCAATTGATTGTGAGAAGAATAGTTTGGAACTAGAGCCAAAGTATGACTAACTTAGGCAGAAAGTATGAATTTCTTTTACAAGTATGAAGAAGGCAGAAGACATACAGGCTATCTGACTTAAGTGAGGTATTGACAATAGCATGTTCCCATATTCTATTTTGATAAAATGGAAAATTTACCTGTCAAAACCCAGCCCTTCCACTTGTGCCCTGGGACCCCTCCCCTTTCACCTTCCCAAGGAATTTTCTCCAGCTTTCCTCCCATATGGTTAACTCTCACACCTTACACAGGATCATTTCCATCAAACATGTTCCTGTGTCTCCTCCTTTCAAAAATCCTCCCTTGACTCCAACTGGCCCTCTGGCAACCAACTGCTCCATTTTTCTATTTCCCTTCAGAGTCAATTTTCAAAAGCTTTTCTAAGCATGATGCTATCTAACCTCACCTCCTATTCACTCACCCACACTGGTCTAGTTGCTAAAACCAATGATCACCACTGTGTCTCCATTATATCCAACCTTTCCTGGCTACATTCTCCCCAGCAAGTATCATTCAGTTCAATATCTTAAATGTCACCAGTATGCTAATAATGCCCAAATTTTATCTTCAGTCCAAACCTTTCCCCTCCAGATATACTTATGTGCAACTGCAAACTTTACATTTCTTCTTGGATATCTGGTAGGTGTCTTAATTTTAACATGTTAAAAACTCTTGATTCCTTTGCCCCAACTCTATCATCCCCCAGTTTTCTCCAGTTCAGCAAATGGCATCATAATGCCTAAAACTGCTTCAACATCCTTAATTCTTCCCATTGGATAGACCCCCCATGGTCATTATATCTTTCAGTTCTGTCATTTCTATTTCCAGAATCTATCTTGAATTGGTTCCTTTCCTTCCACCCCAACTGTCCCCATCGGGTCCAAACTTTCTTTCTTCCTGCTCAGACCATTACCATGGCTCTAACTTGTCTTTCTCCTTTCACTCTTGACCCTTATCTGCTCCCCACCTTGTAGACAGAAAGATTTTTTACAATGCAAATTATGTTACTACAAGCCCTAAACCTTTCAATACTTCCCATTAACCTAAGAATAAATTCTGAACTCCTTAAAATAACTTAAAATAACAGGGGCCTGCATGATGGAGCTCCTGATTTCCTTTCCAATTTCAACTTGTACCACTTCTTTCTCTCGCTTGCCACACTTCTAACCATATGTCCTCCTTTCCATTCATAAAGTAACAATCTCTCACCTTTGCACCTGCCATTTCTTCTGTATGGTATGCCCTTCTCCTAAATCTTTCTATAACTGGCTTCATCTTATCTTTCATATCGCAGCTGAAATATCACCTACAGAGACCGTGTGTATTCAATGTGTATGTATTAGTTTGTTCTCACACTGCAATAAAGACATACCTAACACTGGGTAATTTATAAAGAAAAGAGGTTTAATTGACTCACAATTCCGTGGCTATACAGGAAGCATGGCTAGGGAGGTCGCAGGAAACTTACAATCATGGCAGAAGGTGAAGAGGAAGAAGGCATGTCTTACATGGGCTGAGAAAAAGGAAGAGAGAGAAGCGGGAGGTGCTACACACTTTTAAACAACCAGATCTCATGAGAACTCACTCACTATCACAAGAAGAGCAAAAGGGAAGTCTTCCCCTGATCCAGTCATCTCCCACCAGGCCCCATCTCCAACACTCAAGATTACAGTTTGACATGAGATATGGGTGGGGACACAGAGCCAAACCATATCAGTGTGCATTGCTTGCTCCCTGAGATTCCTAAAGATGGTAACCTACTTCTTATAACTTAATTAGATAATATGGTGTTCAAGTGAGCACAATAGAGAGACCACAAGAACATGAATTGTTTAGACCAGTCAGTCTCACCTCTGACTCTATATTAGAATTTACAATGCCCAGGATTCATCTAGACCAACTAGACAAGAATCTCTGGTAGGAGAGCATAGGAATCCATCTTTTTACAAGTCAAACCCCTTCCCCAGGTGAATCTAACATCCAGGGAGAGTGGAGAACCACTGGCTTAGTGAAGACCAGAATTCCCCTAATTCTATCCCCTTCTGATCAATTGCATGGTCTTCAGCCTCTGTACATTAAAAATAATCTAAGAAATATTTTAAATATCAGTTCTCAAGTTATATCCTGGGAAGTTAAGTCAGAATTTCTAAAGATGTGTCCTAGCTATTGATATTTTAGAAATCTCTCAAGTGGTTATAACATACAATCAAGACAGAACCACTGGCCTAAAAAGTAGCAAAATTAGTGAAGGTATTTTTGGTTTAAGGAATGTTTGGGGATGTCTTATCACATGTTTATCCACTTTGAGCATGTAGAATATAGGAGTGAGAAACATGCCAATCAAAATCTGTGCTTCCTCTGTAATGGAATCCATTCTCTCAGCTCTGACATCAAGGCAAATCTAACACAAGAGATCATCCATTTTCAGTATTTGAAAAACCATAATTACAGCTTTACTTATACTCCCTTTTGACCATCCCAATAGGATGGCTTTAGAAAAGGTTCTATGCCATAAATATCATTGTTTTTGCTGCCTCAGTTAAATTGTACAACATCAAGGGGACTCAACAGTAAACAACTCTGCAGGCCCACCCACATTGCTCAAGCCCTGCACATCCCAAATAAAGACCTGACTTCAAGAGGGCTGGCCCTTGACCAGCTCCTAAACATGACCTCTGAACCTTTGGAACATCCTGCCTAATAGAGTGTTTTTATATGCCTGAGGCCTTGGACATATCCAAGGCTGTATCAGTTTGACCAAATAGTTTCTGCTAAAATGTGACATGTGGTGAATGTGTGTTTTCATACGACTGAGGCCCTAAGACACATGTATAGGTTTGACTATTGTAGGACAGGAGACTGAGTGGTTCAGATTAATCACACAGGTGCTGCTTGCATATGTGACTGACCCCCAGTAAAATACCTGGACAGTAAGGTTCAGGTGAGCTTCTCTGGTTTGCAATAATTTACACATGTCATCATTCATCATTTCTGGGAGAAATCTCCATGTGATTCTACTGGGAAGGGACACCAAGAACCTAGTGCTTGCTTTCTTCTGGACTTTACCCATGTGCTTTTTCCCTTTGCTGATTTTGATCTGTATCCTTTCACTGTTATAAACCACAACTGTGAGTACAACAGCCTGAGACCTGTGAGTCCTTCTGGTGAAGCACTGAGCCTAGGAATGGTCTTGAGACTCCTGACACAAGGACATAAGGATATCTCATTTCTACCAGGTGGCCCTCAAAAAGCTTCTTCTTTGATTGATTATACATCACTCAGAAAATACTCAGAGAAACAAGGGCCTATAGAATAGTTACTTTCTCAGTATCTTTAAAAAAAAGAAATAAAATCTTATTTAAATCATCATGAAGTAGAATTTAATTTAATACACACTTCTCTTTCGAATTGGTCAACTTGCCTGTTACCATTTCTTTTTCTTCTGTTCTTACACTTCTTATACTTCATTCCCTAAAACAAATATATTGGCTCCATCAGGGATTAATAAAGCTGTGTTGGCAAGCTAATATGGGATCCTAAGCTTCTTTTCAAAAATATTATTTACAACATGATTTCTTTAGAAACATATATCCTGTAACAGACAAAGAGAAAGGAATACAATTCATCAAGGAACTCTTATCTCCACAGACCTCCCACCACAAATCTAATAACCACAAGACACCCAGCACCCATGACAAAGAAAGTGTCTTGCTTTTGGAGGAGTACACGGTGATGCCATCCGGTGAGGCTTCCGAGCATCACATATTAGCCTGTCTAACAGCAGAGATCATCAGTGAACAAGAAACAAAACTACTTCTCCACATCTTTCTTCCTCTTCATTCCTCCAAAACATACTCCTTTCTCCCAAGTTCTGGGCAGGTCTAAAGCACTCATTTTTATGTGCAGCTCAGATATTTGAGACTCAGATTTACCAGAAGATGTATCTCAAGCTCAACTTAATTTCAAAATATAAAGTCACTCTGAGGACTTTTCTTGTGATTAATTCACAATACTGAAGAAAATCAAAGTCCATACCCAAGTTTGAGGCATATATAAAGCTCTTGAGAGCCAGCAAAATGCCAACTTCTGAAATTTCCTTCTTATCCTATCCAAGCATCACCACTTGGGAACTTGGAACCACCTAACAATTCATATCCTAGAAAATTAAAAATATTGTTCACACTATGTACATAATGATATGGACAGGAGACAGGAAAATACTGACAAGAGGGTGGTTTGTCAGCAAAGGCCCAACCCTCAAGCCTTTGAAGACCCACGGCCCTAAATGAGGACAGACATTTCTGTTTTTGTGCCCGAAAAGTTGCCTTTTGGCCCACCACACCCCCAATTCTACCCCCATATAAACCCCAAACCCTAAACTCCAGATAAGACCTGCAAGCAAGGAGATGAGAAGGCAAGCAGACCAGTGGACCGGCACATCAGCAGACCAGTGATGGCAGAAAAATGCGGCAGAGAAAGAAGAGGAGGGATGTATGGATGCCGAGGGGAGTTTGGCTGGGGCAGTCAGAGAAGAGTCCAGCACTGGGTAGCCCAACTCCAGGAGAAGACCACTTTCCCACTCCATCCCCTTTTGCAGCTCCCCATCCATCTCGCTGAGAGCCACCTCCACCACTCAATAAAACCTTGCACTCATCCTTTGAGCCCACATTGGATCCAGTTCTTTCAGGATACTGGGCAAGAGCTTGGGATACAGAAGGCTGTCACAATGGCCCCCTGCCATTGCGATAAAGCAGACGGTCCATTAGGCTGATGAACACACAAGCTGTCTGCAGACAGCAAAGCTAAAAGAACACATAGTAACACACGCCCACTTGGGCTTCAGGAGTTGCAGACACCCACCCCTAGGCACTGCCATGGGGACAGAGCCCAGAAGCATTAACCTCGGTTCCTGCACCTGTCCATCTGCCTGCTCCCGGTCCTGTAAGGGGTTTGAGCTGTGGGGCGACCAAACAGTCGAGCGACATCCCTGTTGCACATTCTGTGAGGGGAATCTGGAAACTCTCCCATTTCATTAAGAAATACTGATTGCTCCAGTACCCTCTGACGGAAGCAGATATTGGAGTGATACACATTAAAAATGGAAGAAGGGACCTCACCCTCAGCTGCTTTAGAGGAAGCTCAGAAAGACAAAGAAACATTCTCTGTCAGAAGGATTCAGAAGGATTCAGCCCTGCTGACACCTTGACTTTAGCCCAGTGTAACTAATTTCAGATTTCTGTCCTCCAGAACTTTAAGAGAATAAATTTATGGTATTATAAGCCACTAAGTTTGTAGCAATTTGTTACAGCAAAATAGAAAACTAATATGCCATATTTATGGGCCCACAGGTGCTTCACTATGAGAAGCAGCAAGAAATTCTGGTGGGGGACTCCTTTCTGAATACATAGATTAACTTTATTCAAAAGCCATTTTACACACAGCATTCCTTTGTGCGGGCTTATCTTAAATTAGAGATAAAATATTACAGAAAGGAAAAAGATAGCATTTGGTAAATTTTTAAAATTGCAACTTATCCAAAAAGTACTTGCCATGGCTAAATAGAGTCTTTGTCGGGGAATTGGTCTTTAAATAGAGAAAATAATGATCCAAGTCTCAGATTCCTGCATTAGGGTTTATTACATGCAATGTCTAGGTTATATTAAACTCCTGGAAATCAGGGTTTATAATGGAATGGCTGACAGACCCTTAACTTTAATGGCCTTTCCAAGTACTGCAATAGTAAGCATTACTTTTTAATGTTATAAAATGATGGTTAAAACACTACAGAATTTTCTCAAGACAGATAAGCAGGTGTTCAAGAGAGCAGAACTATTTAAACTTCATTGATTTATGGTCTATCTTATATTGAAGGCCAAAAGTTTTATTGAATTTCCGCAGTTGATACTCTGAACTTGATTTTCCAAAATAGTACAACTATTTCAGCGTTCTCCATAATATTAATTTCTTCATTTTAACACGTGTGCTTCTGTATTCTTAAAGTTACTAGGCATAATGAAATAGAAACCATAGACAAAAATGTAAGTTATCCTATTTTTTCTTTTTATTGGCTGACTTTTCAAAGTACATCGTGTGTAATGAAACCCAATGTATAGCTACTAAATCATATAATCTCAGAACATAAGTCCCCAACTAGTTGCTTAAGCCATATTATATTTCTGTCACAATTTAGAATTGTGAATATGACCCAACTTCTTGTTTTAGTGTGACAGAATGTAAAACATTTCTCATAGCTCTTTTTCTCTCCAGGTATTCTTTCAACCCACGACCAACTCCGTATCTCCAATCTTTATGCTGTCTGACTGTAAGTAAGGTGGCCGTCAGAAAAACTCCAGTAAACTATCAAACATGCGATGTGATCTATAAGCCTTTTCTGCTGGTTTACATAGAAGTCAATACTCTTGTAACTATTGGACCCAACCCTAATGATTTAGTGAAACTGTTATTTACTGTGGAAAAAAATAGAAATGCCATTAGCTCTCAAAACCAAACAACATTAGAGAATGCTAGAAGCAAAATAATTACTATTATTTAGACATGCAGCTACCAAAGCATCTGCTATCCCAACTTTATCTTTAGTACTGACTGTAGTAACTTTAAATTCCTCTTGTGAGAGGCATGGCTGGGGAGTGAGTCAGGTAGTTGATGAATAGACACACACACATGGCTTACAGTGTACCACTTCTCTGGCATTCCTCTTCATGTTCCCAGGCTCTGACAATAAAATTAGTCAAACCCAGAAAATAAAGAGTGCTAGACCCATACTAAGTCTAAAATAACAACACAATGATCAAAAACTAAAAATCTTAGCTAGTAGTAGTTCAAAAAAACCTTAGAACACACCCAATTCATCAATATATCTCTGTAACTCCTATCCATGTGAACAACTAATTTTGTTAAAGTCTAAAAAAATGACCAAAGACATGTCTCTTTAAAATTAGTTATCAATATAAAGTTTTTTTAAAAAATGATGGACTTCAGTAACATCCAGTGCCAGAGTCTTCTTTGATACTCTTTCAATGAAATTGTTTATCTCATTTAGTAACATCAGTCTGCTCATTGAGATTTCTCACGCTGCATTCACTCAATTCCAAATGCCAAGCAATTGAGTTGAAATAGAAGCCTCAGTTTTTGAATAAATAAGGGAAGCTGCACAATACTGTGTAAGTTGCTTCTTAGATCTGTAAAATGTAAATATTGTTCATTTATATACAGTATGATTTTCATTGTTTATAAGACTGTAGGTTGGTTGTCTTTAAAAACATCATTCATTCAGGAGCATGTCAAACTGAACTTTCCTTCCACAAAAATAGCCATTTATTTGAGCATATTCACCTGAGCTTATTTTTCTCATCGCTTTATCAAATAAAAAGCACTTTTGTGCGGAACGAGAAGACTAAACTTAAGGGAAGCTGGAATTCTAGCCCTCTAAATCCTCATCTTCTGTTACTGAAAAACTCTGCAAGAAGGAAAATATAATTTTTGCCATAAAACAATATTCACTGTGACCTAAGACAACTTTTTCCATCTAACATGTCTCTCTTCTCTAGGCAATTTCTATATGCAACTTCCCTAAAGTAATCCTGCAGTTTCAAAATTGTGTTTGAATACTTATTGACAACAGGGAATTTTCTAACTTTGAACTACACAACACGCCTTTCCTCTGAAGTGAAGCTGGTTAACTTTCACCATATTTTCTTGTTTCTTTACCTTTAACTTTGAGCTATTAGGCATGGGAGAGGGAGAGGGTCTGGCTTACCCCCTCATTTTGAAAATACATGGGAGAAAATAATACATAGCCACATTTGTAATTTTCTAATTCAAAGGAGTATATAATTATGTAATAATTTTAAAATTAAATACTGAGACATGCATATGCTTTTAAAGCTTCTAATTAAAGTGGTGTCCCAGATAATCTGTACTAATAAAAGTATATTTTAATAGCAAGTATGTGACAAGGGTGATTTTCCTCTTTGGTATCCTTATGTAATATTTTGAAGATAGATAGATAGATAGATAGATAGATAGATAGATAGATAGATAGAGGTATAAATAAGGATACAGATAAAGATACAAATGTTGTAAACTGTGGCTATGATTGGAATCACTTGGCTAAAAAGCACTAAAGCATTCCTCTGAGAGAGACAATTACTTTTTTGCTTAGGAAACTACCTCAACAGCCTATTAGCATCTGAAATATGAGGTCCACTATCCAGATGGGAGAGGTTTAGAAAAAGAAGACTTATATTACTCTGTATAATGAAATGATGGAGTATTTGGAGTTATTCACCAGTGCTTTGAGAAAGGAATTGGGATCCTGAAAGAGGAAACTGGAAGAAGTAGCTAGAGGGAGAGAACCTCACAATGTGGCACATAGCCAGGCTACACAGAGGGACATGACTATACAGGCGTTGTAGATAACATTTCCAATAATGTTGCTATAATTTAAAGATGTTTCCTACCTATGCAACATGGTCTCTCCACTAATTCCTAAACCCTGTCCCTTTCAGGTAGGGACCATGGCAAAGCAAGCTGAGGCCCAAGGGAAAGCTGAAGTAATTCTTCCAGGAAACAGTGGAAATGGCTCCCTGGTCAGTGTGTCCTCAATCCCATTTTTAAAAGCATGTGGAACTCTGAGTCTCTTCTTTGTGCTCTACCAGATTCCTGACCAGTATAGTTTCTGGACCCCATGGTTTCTGCTGCTGGGGCACCTCATCCTTTGCCATCACAGGCCAGGGCCCACTGACTTTCAGCTCAACCAGCTTCCATATCTCTTCTGAGAACTCAGAATTGCTCAGAAAATAAACTCTGGCTCTTTCCTAACCATGCTGGCCCCCTGAGTTTACTTTGATGTTGTCAATTCCCAAATTGGTTCAGAAGGCTTTGGAACACATTCTTCTACTGCCCGGATCAAGGAACAAGCATTCCCTGTGCCTATTTAACATGATATCCCCAGGCCAGGGAAAGACTCAGAGAGTACAGATCAGATTATAACTCCTGCTCCCCACATCTCCCCTTTCTGTCTCCCCTATTCAGCAACCAACCCATGGGAACCAGAGAAGCAGGTTTGGGGCATTCACTTTCTCTACTTTTGCCCTATGTTAGGCATACAATTTTCTACAGTCTTATCTTCCAGGCCTGCTTCTTGATATATTCTTGAGATAGGTAAAGGAATTTGGAAAGTTTCTATCTGTCTCAGAGATTCCTGTCACTTTGCTTTGACTTCAAGTATCTCTTCATAAGTATTAGAAACTGAATATTGAATCTTCTTCTCTCTTGTATTTCTAATGTAAGAATTCTAACCCTACTCCCCAAGTCAAATGGATGCTTCAAGCTAAGCAGAGACAAGCTCATGTATATAGAATTGCAAAAGAGGAGAAAATACTAATATATTTTAAAATATAACCCTCCTTACATTAATATATTTCTTAGTAATCAAATATACTTTTTTGAGCTTTAATGTCTACCTCTGGGAGTACACCTGTGAAAGTGGGAAGCAAGAAGAGCCAATACAATTGGAATTTTTCTTGTGCCTCATTCTATGCATTAACATTTTACTGGAAACTCTTTGCATCATGGGGTATTACAGAGGTACCTGTGCCCGTACTCTGGACAAAGAATATCTCTTTGCCCAACAGTATTCCACTGGGTACAGAGGTTGTTTGCCAGTGTTCACAGCTACCATCACCTTTCTCTTCCTATCTGGGGTGCAACCAAGTGTGAAACCTACATGAGAAAAGTGATGGTAGCTGTGAATGGTGGATAACAACCTCTGCACCTGGTGGAATAGTGACTTCCCAAGGGATTCCAATTACAGGGGGTGCAATGTGGTAGCACAATAAGTAAGCCAGAGCAAAATCCAACAAACCTCTTCTTACGCACACATGGAGCAATATTTTGGCCTTAGAAATAACTAGGGGACATAGATATGTATTTCTGGCATTGGAGGAGATCAGGGTTGGTGACTTTGTTAGTCTGGAATGTATTCTATGCTCACTCTTCTTCCTAGATAGCTCACAAAGCCTACCACTTTGTCTTATCTCCTCCATCCTTATTATCATTCAAGCCTTTATTATTTCTCACCTTAATCAATGGGCTGTTTACCACTGTTTCTCAGCTCTATGTAAGCCACCTTCAATAAATGTTTATTAATGTGAAGGAATAAGTGAACGAATGACCACTGATTTTGTTTAACTAAAAACTATTCATGGTTCCCCATGTTCGGACCATCCTAGGCATCCAATAAAGAAAAATAATTGTCCTTATAAAACATTTCTTCAGTACTCAAAATTTTGTTACCCTATGACAAACGAAAAAATTCTACTTACTTGATACTACACATATTTTAAATCATGTTAGTATGTTTTCTAGCCATACACATGGCATTAAGACTTTTATTTACAGGACTTTCTCTGCAAGGTGGCCAAACAGAACCCACCAGTGATTGTCTCCACACAGGAACAACAAATTGAACATCTATCCACGCAAGAAAGCACCTTAAGAACCAAGAAATCAGGTAAGCAATTACAGTACCTGGTTTGAATGTAATACCAAGGAAAGAGGCATTGAAGAGGGTAGGAAAGACAGTCATTTCCTATACCACCCCTCCCCTAACCACAGGTGGAGCAGTGTGGAGCATCTGTGTGCTTAGGAGAGTGAGAGCAAAGTGAGTATGGAACTTTGCATTGGAACTGTTGCCCTGACACAGAGTAACAAGACATGGGGCAGAATTCTGCTAGTGCCCACAGAAGAAACATTTAGATCAGCCCTGGGCCAAAGGGGAATTCACCCCAGCAGCAAGAACCTGAGTCCTAGCCAGCTTCACCACTGGCTGACCAAAGTGGCCTGGGGCCTGGAACGAATTTCAGTGGCAGTCAGGTCACAAGGACTACAGTCCTCGGGCAAGCCCTGGTGCTGCACTGGTCTCAGAGGCAGTGGATTTGGGGTACAACCAAGTTTGAAACCAGGTGTGGCAACCAAGAGAGTGTCTGCATTATCCTCTCCCCAACTCCAGGCAGCTCCAGGGCAGACTCCCTCCACTTGGAGGAAGGAAAGGGAAGATAACAGAGGGTTTTTATCTGCAACTTGGGTACCAGCTCAGCCACAGTAAAATAAAACACCAAGCAGATTCATGAAGCTCCTGATTTCAAGTCTTTGCTTCTGGACAGCATTTCCAGACTCACCCTGGACCAGAAGGGAATCTCCTGACCTAACAGGACAGACCCAGTTCTGGTAGGATTTTCCATCCGTTGACTAAAGTAGTCTTGGGTCTTGAATAAACATCAGTGGCAACCAGTGGCGAGTAGTGGCCATGATGAGCGTTGAGTACAAGCCTTAGTACTGTAATGGTCTGCAAGGCTTTAGGTGTGATCCTGTGCAGTGCCAACTGTGGTGGCCACAAGACTGCCCACATCATCACTCCTCAAAACCCAGGCAGCCCATCATGGAGTGAGACTTCTTACTGAGGGGAACAGAAGGAAGAGAGCAAGAGACTTTGCCTGGTAACCCAGGGAATTCTGCCTTAGCTACCCCAAGACCACCAAGGCTGTCTTTGTAGGAATCTGCCAGAGTCACAGCATTCTTGGAATTAAGGCACCCTCTAGTGCTTAAATGGCTGCCAGAACTGCTGACATAGGTCACAACACTAAATCCCCTTTGATTTCTTGGAAAGCCCTCTCAAGAAGGATGAGTACAAACAAGCCCAGAGAAGACTGGAATCTATACATAACCCTTCAATGTCCAGACATCCACAAATGTCCACAAGTGTCAAGAACATCCAGGAAAATGACCTCACCAAATGAAATAAATAAAGTACCAGTGATTAATCCTGTATTGATAGAAATATGTGCCATTTCAGGCAGGAAATTCAAAATAGCTGTCAGGAAAAGTCAACAAACTTTAAGATAACATAAAGAAGGAATGCAGAATTCTATCAGAGAAATTTAACAAAGAAATTGAAATAATTTTAGAAAATCAAACAAATTCTGGAGCTAAAAATTTCAAGTAGCAAACTGAAAAATGCATCAGAGTCTCTTAGCAAAATTGATCAAGCAGAAGAAAAGATTTAATTATCTCGAAGACAATCTATATGAAAATACAGTCAGAGGAGAAAAAAGAATATGATCCAATAGGGCAATCCTATAAGATATAAAAAAAAATTGCCTCAAAAGAGAAAAACCTAAGAATTATTGGCCTTAAAGAGTATACATATAGATAGAGGTTGGGTTAGAAATGTTATTCAAATTAATAAGAACAGAGAATTTTGTACACCTAGAGAAATATGTGACTATCCAGGTACAAGAAGGTGAAAGAACACCAGGAAGTTTTAATCCAAATAAGACTACCTCAAGGAATATAATAATCAAGCTTCCAAAGGTAAAAGATAAAGGATCCCAAAAGCAGCAACAGAAAGAAAACAAGTAACCTATAAAGGAGCACCAATACATCTGGAAATAGACTTTTCAGTGGAAATCTTATGGGCCAGGAGAGAGTAGAATGACATATTTAAACTATTGAAGGGAAAAAATAACTTCCAATGTAGAATATTATATTCAGCAAACTTATCCTTCAAACATGAAGAAGAAATAAAGATTTTTCCCAGACAATCAAAAGTTGAGGGATTTCATCAACACCAGGCCTGTCTTACAAGAAATGCTAGATGACTTCTGAGGCTCAAGACCACCATTTTGGCCTGCTGGATCCAGGGAGTCTGGGCAGTCCAGAGCAGGAGGAATTCCCCACAGTGCAGCACAGCTACTGTGGCAGATCATAGCCAAACTGTTTCTTTAAGTGGAGACCCAATCTATCCCTCTTCACCTGGCAGGGCCTCCCTGTGGGAATTTCAGCAACTCCAGCTAGGGTTTTATGAACAGAATTCTGACCTCTCCCTGGAACAGAGCCACTGGGGGGAGGGGCAGCTACTGTATTTACAGCTAAGCTGACAGCCTTTCCCACCTGATGGCTCTGAAAAGTCCAGGTGGTGTGGACGAGGGGGGTTCCCCCCAGCACAGTGCACCTACCTGGCCAAGGGGCAGGCAGAGTGCTGAGAGTCTGAGTGATCCTGTACCTCCTTACTGGGTGAGACCACCCAGTAGGGATCTCCAGACACCTCCTACAAGAGCATTCCAGCAAGCATTAGGTCAGTGATCCCTGAGACAGACCTACCAGAGGAAGGAGCAGGCTACCATATTTGCTGTTTTGTAGCCTTCACTGGTGATACCACCTGGTGAGGGAGGGTCTGAGGAGACTAGGGTCTGGAGCAGACCCCCAGCAAACTGCAGCAGCCCTACGGAAGAGAGGCCTGACTGTAAAACAAACAAACAGAAAGCAACAACAACAATATCAAAAAAACCACCCCACAAAAACCCCATTGAAAGGTCAGCAGCCTCAAAGATCGAAGGTAGATAAGTCCACAAAGATGAGAATCCACACAAAAAGAACATTGAAAACTCAAAAAGCCAGAATGCCTCTTCTCCTTCAAACGATCACAACACCTCTGCAGCAAGGGCACAGAACTGGGCTGAGGCTGAGATGGATGAATTGACAGAAGTAAGCTTCAGAAGGTGAGTAGCAAAGAACTTTACTGAGCTAAAGGAGCATGTTCTAACACAATGCAAAAAGGCTCAGAATCATGATAAAACATTATAGGAGCTAATAACCAGAATAGCCAGTTTAGAGAGGAAAACAAACCAACCTGATGGAGTTAAAAAACACAACACAAGAACTTTACAATGCAATCACAAGTATCAACAGCCGAATAGACTAACAAGAGGAACAAATCTCAGAGCTTGAAGACTGTTTTTCTGAAATAAGACAGGCAGACAAGAATAGAGAAAAAAGAATGAAAAGGAATGAACAGAACCTCTGAGAAATAGAAAATTATGTAAAAAGACCAAACCTATGAAACATTGGGTACCTGAAAAAGAGGGGAGAATGGAGCCAAGTTGTAAAACATACTTCAGGATACTATCCAGGAGAACATCCCCAACCTAGCAAGACAGGACACCATTCAAATTCAGAAAAAGCAGAGAACCCAAGTAACAGAATACATGAGAAGATCAACCCCAAGACACATAATCGTCAGATTCTCCAAGGTCAAAATGAAAGAAAAAATGTTAAGGGCAGCAAGAGACAAAGGCAAGGTCACCTACAAACAGAAGCCCATCAGACTAACTGTGGACTTCTCTGTGGAAACCTTACAAGCTAGCAGAGATTTGGGGGCCAATATTCATCATTCTTTCTTTTTTTTTTTTCTTGAGACAGAGTCCCACTCTGTCACCCAGGCTGGAGTGCAATGGTGTGATCTTGACTCACTGCAACCTCTGCCTCCCACGTTCAAGCAATTCTCCTACCTCGGCCTCCTGAGTAGCTGCAATTACAGGTGTACACCACCACGCCTGGCTAATTTTTGTATTGTTAGTAGAGATGGTGTTTCACCATGTTAGCCAGGCTTATCTCAAATTCCTGACCTCAAGTGATCTGCCCGCCTCAGTCTCCCAAAGTACTGTGATTACAGGCACGAGCCATCATGCCCAACCCAATATTCAACATTCTTAAGGAAGAGAATTTCCAACCCAGAATTTCATATCTGGTCAAACTAAACTTCATAAGGGAAGAAATAACATGCTTTTCAGACAAGAAAATGCTGAGGGAATTCATCACCACCAGACTGCCTTGTAAAGCCTTCTGAAGGAAACACTAAATATGGAAAGGAAAAATCATTACCAGCCACTACAAAAACACACTGAAGTACACAGACCAGTGACACTGTGAAGTAACTGGATAAACAAATCTGCAAAATGACCAGGTAGTATCATGATGACAGGATCAAATTTATACACAACAATATTAACCTTAAATGTAAATGGGCTAAATGCCCCAATTAAAAGGCACAGAATGGCAAGCTAGATAAAGAGTGAAGCACAATCGGTATGTTGTCTTCAAGAGACACATCTCACATGCAAAAATACACATAGGCTCAAAATAAAGGGATGGAGGAAAATTCACCAAAGAAATGGAAAACAGAAAAGAGCAGGGTTGCAATCCAAGTTTCTGACAAAATGAAATTTAAACCAACAAAGATCAAAAAGACAAAGAAGGGCATTATGTAATGGTAAAGGGTTCAATTCAACAAGAAGCGCTAACTATCCTAAATATCTATGCACCTAATACAGGAGCACACATATTCATAAAGCAAGTTTTTAGAGGCCTACACAGAGACTGAGTCCCAAAATAATAGAGGGAGACTTTAACACCCCACTGACAATATTAGACAGATCATTAAGACAGAAAATTAACAAAGATATTCAGGACCTGAACTCAGCTCTGGATCAAGTGAACCTGATAGATATCTATAGAACTATCCACCCAAAACAGCAGAATATACTTTCTTCTCATTACCATATGGCACTTACTCTAAAATTGATCACATGATAGGAAGTAAAACACTCCTCAGCAAATGCAAAAGAACTGAAATCATAACAACCAGTCTCAGATCACAGCACAATCAAATTAGAACTCAAGATTAAGAAACTCACTCAAAACCACACAGCTACATGGAAATTAAACAACCTGCTTCTAAATGACTACTGAGTAATTAGTGATATTACGACATAAATCAAGAAGTTCTTTGAAACTAATGAGAACAAAGAGACAACATACCAGAATCTCTGGGACACAGCTAAAGCAGTGTTAAGAGGGAAATTTAGAGCACTAAATGCCCATATCAAACAGCTAGAAAGATCTCAAATCGACAACCTGATATCATAATTAAAAGAATGAGAACCATGAGCAAACAAACCCCAAAGTTAACAGAAGACAAGAAGTAACTAAGATCAGAGTAGAATTGAAGGAGATAGAGACACCAAAAATTCTTCAAAAAAATCAGTGAATCCAAGAGCTGGTTTTTTGAAAAAATTAATAAAATAGACCTCTAGCTAGATTAATAAAGAAGGAAAGAGAGAAGAATCAAATAGAAACAATAAGAAATGATAAGGGGGATATCACCACTGACCCCACAGAAAAACAAACAACCTTCAGAGAATGCTAGAAACTGTATGCACATAAACTAGAAAATCTAGAAGAAATTGATACATTCTTGGACATGTACACCTTCCCAAGCCTGAATCAGGAAGAAAGTGAATCCCTAAATAGACCAATAAAAAGTTCTGAAATTGAGGCAGCAATAAATAGCCTACCAACCAAAAAAAGCCCAGGACCACACAGATTCACAGGTTACTTCTACCAGAGATACAAAGAGGAGCTGATACCATTTCTACTGAAACTATTCCAAACTATTAAAAAGTAGGGACTCCTCCCTAAGTCATTTTATGAGGCCAGCATCATCGTGATTCCAAAACCCGGCAGAGATACATCAAAAAAAAGAAAACATCAGGCCAATATCCCTGATTAACATCAATGAAAAAATTCTCAATAAAGTACTGGCAAACTGAATCCAGTTTGCACATCAAAAAGATTATCCATCACGATGAAGTTGGCTTCATTCCTGGGATGCGAGGTTGGTTCAACATGCACAAATCAATAAATGTAGTTCATTATATAAACACAACTAAAGACAAAAACCACATGATTATCTCAATAGACACAGAAAAGGCCCCCAATAAAAATCAACATCCCTTCATGTTAAAAGCTTTCAACAAGCTAGGTATTGAAGAAACATACCTGAAAATAATAAGAGCCATCAATGACAAACCCATAGACAACATCATACTGAATAGGCAAAAGCTGGAAGCACTCCTCTTGAAAACCAGCACAAGACAAGGTTGCCCTCTCTCACCATTCCTATTCAACACATTATGGGATGTCCTTGCCAGGCAATCAAGCAAGAGAAAGAAATAAAGAGTGTCGGCCAGGTGTGGTGGTTCACGCCTGTAATTCCAGCACTTTGGGAGGCCGAGGCAGGTGGATCATGAGATCAGGAGATCGAGACCATCCTGGCTAACACAGTGAAACCCTGTCTCTACTAAAAATACAAAAAAATTAGCTGGGTATAGTGGCGGGCGCCTGTAGTCCCAGCTACTTGGGAGGCTGAGGCAGGAGAATGGCATCAACCCAGGAAGCAGAGCTTGCAGTGAGCCAAGATCGCACCACTGCACTCCAGCCTGAGTGACAGAGTGAGACTCCATCTAAAAAAAAAAAAAAAAAGAAATAGAGTGTCCAAATAGAGAGGAAGTCAAACTATACCTGTTTGCAGACAACATGATTGCTAGCATTCCTGTACATCAACAACAGACAAGTGGAGAGCCAAATCATGAATGAATTCCAATTCACAATTGCTACAAAAAGAATAAAATGCCTATGAATACAGCTAACAAGGGAAGTGAAGGACCTCTTCAAAGATAACTACAAACCACTGCTCAAGGAAATCAGAGAGGACACAAAGGGAAAAATATTCCATGCTCATGGATAAGCAGAATCAATATCATGAAAATGGCCAAACTTCCCAAAGTAATTTATACATTCAATGCTAATCCCATTAAACTACCATTGACGTTGTTAACATAATTAGAAAAAACTATTTTAAAATTCCTACAGAATCAAAAAAAGCCTGTATAGCCAAGACAATCCTAAGCAAAAAGAACAAAGCTGGAGGCACCACACTACCTGACTTCAAACTATACTACAAGGCTAGATTAATCAAAACAGCATGGTACCGGTACAAAAGCAGACACATGGACCAATGGAACACAATAGAGAACTCAGAAATAAGACCACACACCCATAACTATCTGATCTTTGACAAACCTGACAAAAGCAAGCAATAGAGAAAGGAATCCCTATTTGATAAATGGTGCTGGGAGAACTGGTTATCCATGTACAGAAAATCAAAACTGAACCTCTTGCTTACACCTTATATAAAAATCAACTCAAGATGGATTGAAGACTTAAATGTAAAACCCAAAACTACAAAAACTCTGGAAGAATATCTAGGTAATACCATTCAGGACATAGGCATGGGCAAAGATTTCATTAGAAAAATGCCAAAAGCAATTGCAACAAAAGCAAAAATTGACAAATGGAATCTATTAGATTGGTGCAAAAGTAATTGCTGGTTTTGCCATTAATTTTAATTACTTTTTAATGGCAAAAATAGTAATTACTTTTGCAACAACCTAATAATTAAACCAAAGAGCTTCTGCACAGCAAAAGAAACTATCATCAGAGTGAACAGACAATCTACAGAATGGGAAAAAAATTTTGCAATTTATCTATCTGACAAAGGCCTAATATCCAGAATCTACAAGGAACTTAAATTTACAAGAAAAACAAACAACCCCATTTTAAAGATGGGCAAAATACATGAAAAGACACTTCTCAAAAAGAAGACATTTTTGCACCCAACAAACATATGAAAAAAAGCTCAATATCACTGATCATTAGAGAAATGCAAATCAAAACCACAATGAGAAACTGTCTCATGCCAGTCAGAATGGTGTTTATTAAAAAGTCAAGAAAACTGATGCTGGTGAGGTTGCAGAAGAAAAAGAATGCTTCTACACTGTTGGCAGGAATGTAAATTAGTTCAACTATTATAGAAGACACTGTGGTGATTCCTCAAAACCTAGAGGCAAAAATATCATTTGACTTGGCAATCCCATTACTGGGTACATACTGAAAGGAATATAAACCATACTATTATAAAGATACCTGCATGCATATGTTCATTGCAGCACTGTTTGCAACAGCAAAGACATGCAATCAACCTAAATGCCCGTCAATGATAGACTGGATAAAGGAAATGTGGTTCATATACAACATGGAATACTATGCAGCCATGGAAAGGAGCAAGATCATGTCCTTTACAGGGTCATGGATGGAGCTGGAAGCCATTATCCTCAGCAAACTAATGCAGGAACAGAAAACCAAACACCGCATGATCTAACTTATAATTGGGAGCTGAACAATAAGAATACATGGACAAATGGCAGGCAACAACACACACTGTGGCCTGTTGGGGGAGCAGGGAGAGAGAGAGCATCAGGAAGCACAGCTAATTGGTGCTGGGCTTAATACGTAGGTGATGGGTGGATCTGTGCAGCAAACCACCATGGCACACGTTTACCTATGTAACAAACGTGCACATCCTGAACATGTACCCCGGAACTTAAAATAAATGTTGAAAAAAAAAAGAAATGCTGAAGGAAAATGTTCAGTCCGAAAGAAAAGAACATTAATTAGCAAAAATAAATAATCTGAAAGTATAAAATTCAATGGTAATACTAAGTGCACAAATACTGAAAAACTGAATGTTCTGACACGGTAATTGTGGTGTATAAACCACTTATATCTTTAGTAGAAAGATGAAAAGCCAAACCTATCAAAAATAATAACTATAACTTTTTAAGACACAGACAATATAAACAGATATAAATAGAGAACAAAAAGTCAAAAAGGTAGGGGGCAAGGATGGAGTTAAAGTGTAGTTTCTTTTTAGTTTTCTCTCTTCTTGCTTTTTCTTTTATTTATAATCAGAGCTATGCTTTCATTCATTTAAAATAATTGGTTATAGGATGTTATTTGTAAGCATCAAAATTCATAACAGATACACAACAATTTAAAGCAAGAAATTAAAAGATACTACCAGAGGAAATCACTTTTACACAAAGGAAGCAAGAAAAATGGGAGAGGACCAACAAATAAAAGAGTCAGGAAAAAAAAAAACAAAATGGCAGTATTAAGTCCTAAACTGTCAATAATAACATTGAATGCAAATTGACTAAATTGTCCAATCAAAAGACATACAGTGGCTGAATGGATTTTTTAAAAAGACCCAACCATATCTTGCCTACAAGAAACTTACTTTGCCTACAAAGAAACAGGTGGACTCAAAATAAAGGGATGGGAAAAGATATTTCATCGAAATGGAAACCAAGAAAGAACAGGAGTAGCTATATTCATAGCAGATAAAACAGATTTCAAGGCAAAAACTGTAAAGAGACAAAAGAAGTTCATTATATAATGATAAAGGGGTCAATTTAGCAAGAGGATATAACAAGTGTTAATTTGTATGCCTTGAACATGGGAGCATGCGGATATGTTAGAGCTAAAGGGAGAGATAGACCCCAATACAATGACATCTGGGGAATTCGACAGCCCAGTTCCAGCATTGGACAGATCACTCAGACAGAAAATCAACAAAGAAACTTCATACTTAATCTGTACTGTAGACAAATGGACCTAATAAACATTTACAGAAAATTTTCTCCAACAGCTGCAGGATACACATTCTTCTCCTCAGCACATGGAACATTCTCAAGGATAGATTATATGTTATCCACAAAACAAGTCTCAAAAAATTCAAAGAAATTGAAAACATGTCAAGTATTTTTTCTAATCAAAATGGAATAAAACTAGAAATCAATAACAAGAGGAAGTTTGAAAATTATAAAAACACGTAGAAATCAAACAGTATGCTCCGGAATGACCACTGGGTAAATAAAGGAATTAAGAAGAAAATTTAAAAATTTTTTGAAACAAATAAAAATGTAAATACAATATACTAAAACCTGTAGGATATAACAAAAGCAATACTAAGAGAGAAGTTTACAGCAACAAATGCCCACAACATTATAGTGGAAAAACTTCAAATAAAAACCTACAGATGCATCTTAAAAAACTAGAAAAGTAAGAGCAAACCAAATCCATAATTAGTAGGAAAGAAAGAAAGATAAGAGCAGAACTAAAGGAAATAGAGGCTTAAAATATACAAAAAAAAACAACCAAACAAAAGATTAATTTTGAAAAGATAAGCAAAGTCAACAAACCTTTAGCCAGACTAAGAAAAAAGAAGAAAAGACCCAAATAAAATCAGAGATGCAAAAGGAAACATTAAAACTGACACTACCGAAATTCAAAGGATCACTAGAGAGTATAGTGAGGAACTATATGGCAATAAATTGGAAAATCTAGAGATAATGGATACATTCCTAGACACACACAACCTAACAAGATTGAACCATGAACAGACCAGCAACAAGTAATGAGATAGAGGTAGTAATAAAATGTCTCTCATGAAAGTAAAGCCCAGGACCTGATGGCCTTACTTCTGAATTCTACCAAACATTTAAAGAAGAACTAGTATCAATCCGATTGAAACTATTTGAAAAAGTCAAGGAGGAGGTGATACTTCCAAACTCATTCTACAAGGCCAGTGTCACTCTGATACCAAAACTAGACAAAGACAGACACACACACACACACACACACACACACACACACAACTACAGGCCAATACCCCTGATGAACATAGATGTAAAAATATTCAAAAAATACTAGAAACTGACCGGGCACAGTGGCTTATGCCTGTAATCCCAGCACTTTGGGAAGCCAAGGTGGATGGATCATCTGAGGTCAGGAGTTTGAGTCCAGCCTGACCAACATGGAGAAACGCCATCTCTGCTAAAAAGACTAAATTAGCCAGGCGTGGTGGCACATGCCTGTAATCCTAGCTACTCAGGAGGCTGAGGCAGGAGAATCACTTGAACCCAGGAGGCAGAGGTTATGGTAAGCTGAGATCACGCCATTGCACTCCAGCCTGGGCAACAAGAGCAAAACTCCATCTCAAAAAAATAAAAAATAAAAAAATACTGGAAACTGAATTCAACAACACATTATAAAGATCATTCATCATGATCAAGTAGGATTTATCCCAGGGATGCAAGGATGGTTCAATATACACAAATCAATAAATGTGATACATCTTATTAACAGAATGAAGGACAAAAACTGTGTGATTATTTCGAGAGATGCCAAAAAAGCATTCAACACAATGTAATATCTTTTCACAATAAAAATTCTCAAACTGGGGGTTTAGTAGGAGGTTTAGTTAAGCTTGTCCTTAAAGTATACTTGAGGAGGGTGACAGGCAGTGTGTGCATGCTTTATGGCCTTATTCAATTAAGCACTCTGCTCCTAATTTACTGCTAAATCCTCCTTGGGCCCTTAGGTTTCATAAGGGTTGTTATGAGATTTTCTAGGAGTAGAAAATATAGCCCATTTCTTACCACACCTCGTGGGCTACAACTTGACCTAACGTTTTTACGTAGATATTTGTGCTTACTTTGCAGCCTTACTAGGGTTTGCTGAAGATGGAAGTATATAGGCTGAGCAAGAGGTGGTGAGGTAAATTGGAGTTTATCAATATATAGAACAGGCTCCTCTAGAGGGATATAAAGCACCGCCAAGTCCTTTGAGTTTTAAGCTATTGCTTGTAGTGTTCTGGTGAATAGTTTTGTTGATTTAACTATTGGAGTTTAGGGCTAAGCATAGTGGGGTATCTAATCCCAGTTTGGGTCTTAGCTATTGTGTCCTCAGAAATATTAAATTCACCTTCGTAGTTTATTTTATTTCAGCTAGGGTTTTTTACAACTTAGATGAAGCTTAGCTTTATTGAGAACAGATCTAAAACACTCTTTAAGCTGGGTTCTATTAGCTTGGGTTAATCGTATGGCTGCGGTGGCTGGCATGAAATTAACCAACGCTGGGTGTTAGTATAGTTTAGTTAAACTTTCGTTTATTGCTAAAGGTTTATCACTGCTGCTTCCTGTGGGGGTGTGGCCGAGCAAAGTGTTTTGAGCTGCATTTGTCTGTGCTTGATTCTTACTCCTTTTGATCATAATGATTTAGAGGGTATTTTCACTAGGATGGTGATACTTGCATGTGTAATCTTACTAAGAGTTAACAGAAAGGCCAGAACCAAACCTATCTGTTTATGGGGTAATAAGTCCGTCTAGACATTTTCAGTGTCTTGCTTTTAATAATTAAGCTACATAAACTGTATATACATTAAGTGAAAAATTGGAGCCTAGAAGAGACAAATATTATTCACAGTTTTACAGCTTAGGGGTTTAAAGTGGAGTTAGCAGGAGTTGGTGGGGTAGTTGTCAGTACTGTGAGTGGTTGGGGGAGTGGGGAGGGGGATAGGTGATGCTTTTGGGGGTGCATCAATTTAGGTTATGGGCTTAGTAGCGGATGAATATATGCATCAGATGAAGTCACTATAAAAATAGAATTAGATTTGGGAGGGTGATGGGGTGGAGTTTCTTAAAAAAAATGCATTAGTTGAGGGGTAGCTGTTGAGAATACCCATAGCTAAAATATAAATATTCAGGCTCTGGCTGAATTGGATTAAGACTTTTTTGTTTTTGGGGTTTGGCAAGGGTGCCTTTTTCCTGGGTTGGTGAGGTCAGAAATGGGTGAGGGGGGCCTTGCGGAATTTTATTCTAAGGTCTGGTATAGGGAGCGGTTGCAAGTTTATCCATTAATTGTTATTATGTCCTACAAGCATGAATTAATTAACACCTTATAGTATTATGCTCAGCCAGAATATTGAACGTAGGTGCAGTTAATAAGAGCGGGTGCCAGGAACCAAAGACAGGTCCGTCTGCAGCTAATGGAGAGGGGTATGGAAGAAACATATCTCAATGTGATAAAAACCATACACAACATATCTACAGCTAGTATTATACTGAGTGGGGTAAAACTGAAAGCCTTTCCTCTAAGATCTGGAACAATACAACCATGCCCCCTATTACCATTTTTATTCAACATAGTGCTAGAAGTCCTAGCCAGAGCAATGAGACAAGAAAAAGAAATAAAGGGCATCCAAATTGGAAAGGAAGAAGTCAAATTAGTGCTGTTTGCAGATCATATGATCTTATATTTAGAAAACCCTAAAGACTTCACCAAAAAACTATTAGGCTGATAAACAAATTCAGTAAAGTTGCAGGACACAAAATCAACATACAAAAATCAATAGCATTTCTATATACCAACAGCAGACAATTTGAAAAAGAAATCGAGAAAGTAATATCATTTACAATAGCTACAAATACTATAAAATAACTATGAATAAACTTAATCTAAGGAGTAAAATATATCTATGATGAAAATCGTAAACACTGACACTCAAAATTTTGAACCCTGAAATTTAACCTTGATAGAAATTGAAGAGGACACAAAAATATGAAAAGATATTCTATGTTCATAGATTAGAGAATCAATATTGTTAAAATGTCTATTCTACACAAAGCAATCTACAGATTATATGATTCAATGCAATCCCTATCAAAATATCAATGACATTCTTCACGAAATAGAAAAAAAATTATAAAATTTATGTAGAACACAGGACCCAGAATAAACAAAGCAATTCAGAGCAAAAAACACACAAACAAACAAAAAACCCTAGAGGCATCACATTATACTACTTGCCTTCAAATTGTACTACAAAGCTATAGTAACCAAAACAGCATGGTACTGGCATAAAAAACAGACACATAGACCAATGGAACTTTACAGTCAACTCATTTTTGACAAAGGTGCCAAGAATATACATTGCTGAAAGGACAGTGTCTTCAATAAATGGTGCTGGAAAACTGGATATTCATATGTAAAAGAATGAAACTAGACCTTTATCTCTCACCATATACAAAGAAAAAGTAAAAACAGTTTGAAGACTTAAATCTGACTTAAATCTAAGATCTAAAACTATGAAATTATTAATATTAGACAAAAATCTTGAAGAAACACTCCAAGACTTTGGTCTGGGCAAAAATTTTTTGAGAAAGACCTCAAAAGTGT
The DNA here is from genome assembly GCF_000001405.40 of Homo sapiens. Classification (NCBI taxonomy): domain Eukaryota; kingdom Metazoa; phylum Chordata; class Mammalia; order Primates; family Hominidae; genus Homo; species Homo sapiens. Next base: position 123,758,997 of record NC_000005.10, on the reverse strand, counting down.
AGGCAACCAAAGCAAAAATTAACAAATAGGATCACATCAAGCTAAAAAGCTTCTGCACAGAAAAGAAGAAATCAACAAGAGACAAACAACAGAATGGGAGAAAATATTTGCAAACTATGCATCTGACAAGGGATTAATAACCAGAGCATATAAGGAGCTGAAACAGCTTAACAGAAAATAAACAAACAATCCAATTTTTAAATGGGCAAAAGATCTGAACAAACATTTCTCAAAAGAAGACATACAAATATCCAACAGGTATATTTTAAAATGCTTAACATCACTAAGCGTCACAGACATGCAAATTAAAACAATGAGATATCACCTCACCCCAGTCAAAATGGCTTTTATACAAAAGACAGGCAATCATGAATGCGGGCAAGGATGTGAAGAAAGGGGAACTCTCATACTCTGTTGGTAGAAATGTAAATTAGTATAGCGACTATGAAAACGAGTATGGAGGTTTCTCAAAAAAAACTTAAAATCAAACTACCATATGATCCTGCAATCCCACTGCTGGGTATATATCCAAAAGAAAGGAAATCGGTATATTAAAGTGACATGTGCTGTCCCATGTTGATTGCAGCAGTATTTACAATATCCAACATATGGAATCAACCTAAGTGTCTATTATCAGATGAATAAAGAAAATGTGGTATATACACACAACGGAATATTATCCAGCCATAAAAAAAAAATGAAATCCTGACATTTGCAACAACATGGATGGAACTGAAGGACATTATGTTAAGTGAAATAAGCCAGGCACAAAAAGATAAATGTCACACGTTCTCACTCTAAGTGGGAACTAAAAAATAAAAAATAGATTAAAAAAACTTGAACTCGTAGAGATAAAGAGTAGAAGGAAGGTTACCAAACATTGGGAAGGGTAGTAGGTAGGAGAAGAAAAAGTGAAAATGATTAGTGGGTACCAAAATACAGTTAGACAAAAGGAACAAGATCCAATGTTCAGTAAGACAGCAGGGCAACTATAGTTAACTCTAATTTATTGTATATTACACAATAACTAGAAGAGTTGAAGTGGAATCTTCCTAATACAAAGAAATGATAAATGCTTGAGGTGATGGACAGCCCAATTGCCCTGATTTGATCATTACACATTGCATGCCTGTGTCAAAACATCACATGTACCACATAAATATGTAATATAACAACCATTGTGTGTCCATAATAATTAAAAATATTTTTAATTTACTTATATAAGAGTACAGAGATATATGTGTACTCATTTCCTGATCACTAACTCCTCCAAATAATTCATTTGACCAAATAACATACAATTCTAAAAAAGAAAAAATATATCCATCTAATTTTTAAAAGACCAAGATAAATAAAACAGCTGCTCCTGAAGAATTATAGTATACCACCCGAAAGGCTGCCATCTCGTTTTGAAATAAAATTATTTTTAAGTACTTGCTAGATAATGTTTCATAGGAATAGAAGGAAAATACTTAGAACTAGAAATAACTCAGCAGACTTTTAAGTAAAAATATACTTTGAAGTTGCCTTAGAAATTACTATTCCACTATAACCTGGAAGGGTGGGTTTGGGGAGTTGGGATTATTACTAATATTCCAGAATGAAACATATTTAGTCACCAGACTCTCTGGCAAGCAAGGTCCTGATTCTAGGACAGATATATGACCTTATTCAATCATTATTCACAGAATAAGTTGTTTTAAACTGCACTGGCAAAAAGTTTTTCATACTCTATTTAGTCTCAAAATAATACTTGACAAGTTGATTTTTTTTAATTCTGCTAGTATGATATTTCTTATATCTATAGGCCTCTTTAATCATCTTTTTTGCCAGCTTGGATATTAATGATTGTGTGTGATGTTTCATAGTTATCCCAAACAGTCAGGATAGCTGGCAATAACTCAAGAGTAATTTAGATGCTTTGAAATCTCTGACATATAAAACCATCAGTTCATCCAACTCTGACATCATTAAATAAGACTATTCTTTTTATCAGTGAAATCATTTGGTTCATTCCAACCTCTGCCCTCCTAACTTCTGTGTAAAGTGTTCTTTAAAATGTATAAATTATTACCAAGGGATATTATTAAAAAATAATTAAAGAGTAACTAGCAGGCTCTTATGCTCTGCCATGCATGTGAACCTATCCATTATTGAATTAAGATGTCTTTTTCATTTTTCTTGAATAGATATAAATGAAGCTGCCTCTTCTTCAGAGAGGAAAATCCACTTTAAAGCAATGACATTTGCTGATCAATATGTGGGTCAAAAAAAAAAAGAATCTAGGACTTAAAATATAAAAACTAAATAAACTAAAACCTAAAGTGGAAAATCATCTAAAAGTAGGAATGCTAATTCTTATTAAAGTCCACTAGGTTTAAAATGTGAGCTGAATCAGGTCGATTGTTGTAATTTCCTGAGCATTTGTCTTGAAAACTAATTAGAAAATCTAGAGATAGTACTTGGTATTCCTAACAGGACCGGGAAACCTTTGTGTTTGTTCTTTTGATTCCAACCTCCCATTTGGAAGCAGCCCAGAATCCAGCAATCAAACAAGTTTAACTAACCAAGATTCACATTCTCAAAGTATATCACTCAGTGAGAATATGAGAACAGTAACTTGGTATACTGTGTTACAGACAAAAACTAAGAAAAGCTAGTCTATTACAATAACACCAAAACAGCTCTCCATCAGTCTTACACATTCAGTCTTTATAAAACAAATGTGTTGTTTCTTTGCTTTTGTACACAGATATCTTTAAATATGCAAGAGAAACCACACAGAGTAACTGAAAGTCAATCATATCAGCATTATGCCCTGCTTATTTCTAAACCATTGGCTGGAATTCAGCTAACCTAAACTTAACTGAATGTTAATGTAACAGCTGGCAATATGAATTTTTTAAAAACGATTCCAAGAGTAATGAAAATGAAAATATAACACATGACATTGATCTAAGTTTTGACAGACGTTTTTGGTCAGCATAACATATGAGCTCAGAAATGAAGTGCCAGCCATGTACCTTTCAGGAAAGACTTCCTCTATACATAAAGTTGTTACAGAAAATGACTAGCAGCGTCATATCCTAAGCGTCTTGGCCAATAATAAATTGAACATTAATAGAAACTGACTATTTCTTACATGTCCCCATGAACTAATAGGCTAAACATCCAAGGCATCTGGAATTACTTGCTCTGCTATGGGCTGTCATACAGTTTATCATCCCAGGACCCATTTGACGTGGATGGTGCTCCTAAAAGCCCCAGGAATTCTGCTGCTGAACTGAAATTCCATTTTGAGTATCAGCAGCATTTGTTTATCAGGATAGCTAGGAAGGGAAGGTGCATGAAGAGAACTACTTATCATGCTCAAATGATATTCACAGAGAGAAGAATGGGACCAATGCATTATTTTTAAACTGTGTCTGGCCAGCATGTCAGTATTGATTGAAGAATCCAGCAGCAGTGAAAAGAGTCATGTCTGCATTCAGAGATGAAGAGGCAGTTACGTTATCCACTATCTTTCTTATCAACTGGTTAGATCAGTCCCTCATTTTTAGGACAAATAATAATAAAAATCGTGAACATCTTGCAGGACCTCAAAAGAAAATGTTGCTTCCCCCTCCCAAAAATCTAAAAAAAAAAAAACAAAAAACAACAACAACAACAACAAACAAGCTAATAGCCTTCCTACCCTTCATATAGAAAGGCAATTTGATGCGAAAATGTTTTCTCCTAAGTGATGGAATGTGCAGTCATGCACCAGCAACCCAGTGCTGAATATCAACTTGTCTGGATGAAACTGCTCTGGGGTTGGACAGAACACACTGTTAGAAACGGAGGCACTTCAATACACGAGGAGAGGCTGTGCACTCTATTTCAGAAGATGGAGGTTTATCTTCCAGTGGAGGGCTTTGATGTTATTCATATGCTAACAATATCACCATTTCCTCACAGCACTCAATACACAGAGAATAAAAGACATCATTTGCTGACATGGGGCTCAGCACTTTCTGTCCAGCATACTGATCAACAATCTGCATTCAGCTTCACAGCTAAGCCATCACATAACCTTTAAATTGTTCTTTTAACACTTTAAAATTCTGGTCAAAATAATTTACCATTTTATAGAATAAAATGATGAAACAAAGAACTCTAACTGTATTTTCCCTCTGCTCCTAAAATGTAGCTTCAGTGCCCCTGGGGCTCCTTTCATCTCATCTAAGTGCTGGCATATGATGTGATTGTTAACATAGCTGGCCACCAGATGAAGTGAATTATCTAAACTGCCAAGGTTCCCACTTTCTTTCCAATTTAAACATCAATTTAACACAGAAACTGAAGGGTATTATGAAAGCTTTAATATGAACCATTTCAGACATGAGAAAAAAATACTGGAAGGTTTTTTCAAACAGCCAAACAAACATGCAATTTTTTGAAGCTGCAGATGAGTCAGGAAAATGAATGTACCATCAGAGCACACGCAGTATGCACTTCAACCAACAGCAACAAAGAAAGGCCTCTTTGTCTTAAACATGCTTTTCTGAGCAGGGGAGGATTTCACTAAAGAAAATATCCTGGATGATCTTGTTAGGACATTAACTAAATACAAATTATCATCAACAAAGAAAACACTTCTTATTTTAAACATTTCAAAATGCATATCATTCATGTGGATGATACGGAATTTTTTGATAGTCTTCTCTGGATTATTAGTGTTCTTTTCATTATGTAACTTGCTTTTCTCATGGAAATGTTTTCTCCACTTGGATCACTAACTGCTAACAGAATGTGCAAGCATATGTCCTGCATATCTCTTTGAAAATGAGACCATTTCATAGCTAATTCATGACAATAAAAAGTGATGCTTTCTTACACAAAGTGGAGCGTTTCTTGCTGTATGCCATTTCAATTAAGGCATACGAGTTTGAATCAAAACAAAGTGAATTATTAGCAGGTATAATCTTTACCCTTTTTAAGCCTTCACAATATAAATGATATTAATATGTAAAATATATAAAGAACTACAGTCACAATTACATGTCCTTATGAAAATGTAAGATTTAAAGATATGAAACAAAATTTGAAGTTATATTTAACCAAGATTAAATAATATACAAGTTAAATACATATGATTTTGCTATCTGAAAGCATTCCTGAAAGTTAACAACATAAATTACAGATTTTCGTCTAGAAAATAATCTTCCTTAGAGTCAGTTAATAGTTTATAGAAAGAGAAAAGGAAGGAAGGAAGGAAGGAAGGAAGGGAGGGAGGGAGGGAAGGAGGGGAGGGGAGGGGAGAGGAGAGGGGAGGGGAGGGGAGAATGGAGGGGAGGGGAGAATGGAGGGGAGGGGAGAATGGAGGGGAGGGGAGAATGGAGGGGAGGGGAGGGGAGGGGAGAGAAGGGAGACGGGAATTTTATTATACAGAGCTATTCTAATTATTATTTTCTTCTTAAAGGTATATTTTGAGAAAGTGCAAGACTATAAAACACATATGAATAAATTATACAAATCATAAATGGCACCATATAAAGTAAAAGGGATATTACCATATAAGGACTGCATAGCTGTTCCCATATGGAATGCACAGGGAATATTATTGACAAATCCAGAACAGCCATATGTAACGCTCAGTGGCACTTCCAAATATAAAATACAAATACAATATGTAATACACTTACAGTATGTTGCATACCAAATGATCAAGCAATTTACCAAAGATTAGCATTTAAGAAACAAATACTACTACAAATAACATATGCACCTATTAATGATTTATTTTTACATTGGTGGTATTCATCAGATTTATCTTATGTTAAAAAGAAGTTTTCAGGGAATTTTCTGGCCCAAGGCTCTTTGTGGTAAACTAAAGGAAAATTATAGAACCATCTTGCCAAAAGAAACTTTAGAGATCATGCAGTCTTACTTTTAAGTGGGAAAATTGAAGCCCAGAAATGTTAAGTTGCTTGCTCAAGATTACAAAGCCCATTCATGGCAGAATTCCAGATCTCCTGGCTCTCAGACCAGACCCCAAATTAAAGCTATCCTAATTAGCTCCTTTTTACTGACAACACATATATATTTTAAAATCTTCATTGTCTGCTCTGTTGTCCAGTACAACAATCATCTGCAGAAACACGCAACTCTGGGTCTGACAGTGTAACACCACCATTCATTCCCAGTGTGATTTCATTGACTCTGACTCACACTTCCCTGGGATTTGCTGGGGAACAGAAGGAGATGTTGACCTCAATAAAAAAACAGCCATGACTCCATGAAAGTCATAACAGAGCCTAAAACTGTTTAATCCTGAAATAGGCGCCACAGAGAACGCCTTTGAAGAGGAGGTTTTGTTCTTCCTCCACAGCGCTTTAAGAAACACATTGAACGTGAGCCAAAGCCTCCTCTCCTCTACCATCAGCCATAACTGGAAGGCAAAAGGAAAAGGCCTGAAAATTAAAGCAGAATATGTGGCTCTCAACTGTACATTTCAATATTTTGTAACTTTCCACCCCTTCTCCCACCACTTCAGAGAAGAGCCTCCCCAACTCTACCCACTGTGGAAAACTGTTAAATCACTCAAGTGAAGTTCCAGATATATACCTAGAAATAAAATAACAACTTTAAGAAAATCTGGCCAATCACTAAACATGTATTTTCCCCCAACAGGACCTTGAGAACTCTCTGAATACTTAAATGTTAAACATCTAGACAGGTTCTAGTAAATTAAAAGAGTGCAATCACCGTTTCTCCCTGAATATCATCTTTTTCATTTCAAGGCAGACACAGTTCTAGCCTAAAAATTCCCTCGAAACCAGGATTATAATAGGAATTCAGTGTGTTTCAACTTGAAAAAATCATGCCAGAAAAATCATGTTTTCTTTGAGGGAGGGGTTCAGGGAGAGATTTAATTTTTTAATTACCAAAACAAGAAATTTTTGTTAGTCCTGGAAGTGCTTAGTCTTCTGTGGATTACTGAAATTGGGGATCCCTTATAAAACTAAGAGGATTTGTTAGTAAGTTTTAAAATCATTCCCCAACCATCAAATTTAATAATTCCACATTCAGCATTGTTCACAAGGTTCTGAGCACTGTAATTAACTAGACATAGAAAAGGACTCTGCTCCCAGATCAATCACTCTAATTCCTTCCCTGGCTCAGTAAATCCCCACTCTCCCATCTATCCAATTATAGTGAAAATTATCCTGTGTTATTTTAACTTTCAACACATTTCTAAATACATTAAATGTATTACATAGAAATATCTTTTTTTTTTTTTTTTTGCGACGGAGTTTCGCTCTGTCACCAGGCTGGAGTGCAGTAGCGCAATCTTGGCTCACTGCAATCTCCTCCTCTCAGGTTTAACGGATTATCCTACCCCAGCCTCCCAAGTAGCTGGGACTACAGGTGCGCATCACCATGCCCGGCTAAGTTTTGTATTTTTAGTAGAGACGGGGCTTCACCATGCTGGCCAGGCTGGTCTTGATCTCCTGACCTCGCGATCCGCCCACCTCGGACTCCCAAAGTGCTAGGATTACAGGCGTGAGCCACTGTGCCTGGCCAGAAATATCTGTATGAACCAAGCTGTTTATTAGCCATGTTTTCTTTTATTATTAGTTTCCTTAAAAAAAATCAATAAACCTGGATGTGTAGAAATTATATGACTAAAATATGTGCCAAACTTATCACTAATACAATGCAATAGCTACACAAACCAAATTTAATACTGAGATACTAGTCAGTTCACACAACAGGGGCAAAGCAAAAAGGCACTGCAGTCTAGGCACAGAGTTTTCACTGACCACTGATAGCTTGTTATGTCTCTTTTTGACATGGTATGTGATGTTACACTCTGGATTCTTTAAAATCAAAGTCTACAAGATGACAGTGAGTTTATGGGTCTGGGTTCAGCCACTTCGAATGCAGCAGGACAAGTGACATATGATGTCACCCTGATGGAGTTACCACTTGGATTCAGTCCCCTAGAGAAAGGGAAGGAGCTGTGCCTTCATTGAAGTTCAATTACAAATATCTGCACAGCGTATTCTCCAGATCAGTTTTGATACACCTTCAGATTAATTATACTGAGGATTTCCTTGCAGAAATAGTGACCAATAATCACTGCTTTGGCATGGAGAATTGGCAGTTTAGAAAAACTCCTGTGAAATAAGGTCCAAGAAGAGAGCTGTTGTGGATGTAGAGTGTTGATTCCCACCCTCCACTATGTTCATATCTACCTGTACTAGAGATTGAGTCATATGATTTGCATTAAGATAATTTCTTCTGAATATTGTTATAATAACCAATTTTTATTTCTGTAGACTGTAATAGGATAAAGAGGAGAATTTTTTTAATTCACCAAATTTCTTAGTGAAAGAAGAAAATATTAGGTAGCTTAAAGTGGTCAGTACATAATTATCTAGCACCTTGCTATTGACATGCATTCAGGGATTAGCACAATAGCCATCACCTGGGAACTTGTTGGGAATGCAGAATCTCAGATGCCACTGGACCTCATAAAGCAAAAGGTATATGTACCTTATATACATATTATATACGTATATTATATATGCTTTATATACATATTATATACATATATTATATATGCTTTATATACATATTATATACGTATATAATATATGCTTTATATACATATTATATACGTATATAATATATAATATATTCTATATATTAATATAATTCTATATATTCTATATATTAATATAATTCTATATATTAATATATAATATTCTATATATATAATATATAACATATTCTATATAATATATACGTATATAATATATACGTATATATTCTATAATATATACGTATATAATATATACGTATATATTCTATAATATATATTAGTATATATAGTATAGTCTATAATATATAAGTATATATAGTGTAGTCTAATATATTATATATTAGTATATATAAGTATATATTAGTATATATAATATATATTATATACTATACTATATTATATATCATATATATTATATATGACATATAGTATGTATGATATACTATATATCATATAAATGTTATATATGATATTATATATAGTATATACTATATATATTTTATATATGTATTACATATATACTATATATTAGTATATTATATATTAGTATATATAGTATATATTATATATTAGTATATATAGTATATATTATATATTAGTATATAGTATATATTAGTATATATTGGTATATATAGTATTATATATTATATATAATATGTATTTTTATATACCATATATTTTATATATAGTGTATATATTTATATACATATATGTATATTATGTCAGTATATATTATTATATATTATATATTAGTATATATACTATATTATACATACAATATATATTATATACTATATATAATATATATTAGTATATATAATATGTATTCATATATATAGGATAATATGTTATATATAAAATGTGTAATTATATATTATATTTTATCAGAATTTAATATACATACAAATCACCTTATATTCATAAAATATATTACACATAAGGTGATTTATATGTACATTAAATTCTGAGAAGCACTGATATAATTATCTTTAAGATGTTAAAACCAAAGAGAAGAATCGTAGCCAATATAGTACCTGTACCTCTTTCCTGTGGCCCCTAGAAAATGCCAACTTGCGTCTTATATAATTTTATAAAGTCTCAGGGCTAAAGAAGTAAAGGCCAATGGATTTCCTTGACACCACTTGAGAAATTTGTTTTCTCAAATCTCCAAATTATCTAATATTTTTAAATAGAAAATATAAGACTGAGAGCCAAGACATTCAAACACTAGCTTCAAACACCAGCCAGTATTTGTGTGTCGCTGGGTAAATCAGTCTACTTCTCTATGTCCACTCCGTGTTCGGGTTCTTGGGATTCAAAAGAGATATAGTCTCTTTTCTTCAGTTTCCCATCTATAAATGAAAGAGCATTTTAACAAAAACAAACTAGTACATATATATAAACTGTCATAGCACTTTTAAAGAATAATGAGTAACTGGACAGAGCGGAGCTGTCCACTTTGTTTAGAAGTCTGGTCTCTGGCTAAAGGAAGCCATCTCAAGTGTTTGAGGACAGGAGAGACATGAGAACTGAATTTTAGAACTATTTATCTGGCATTGGATAGAATTAACAAAAAACAGACTGAACACAGGATATCCAGTTAGGATGTTGAAGTTGTCCAGCGAAGAGATGATAAAAACCTGAAGCAGTAGAAGTGGCACAGACAGAGCTGGTAGGACTAAAACTCATGGAAGTGTGCACATGTGTGCATGCATGTGTATGTATGCATGTGCACACGCATGTGCTGTGTGATGAGGGGAAGAAAAGGAGTTGTGAATAACTCCTAAGTTTTTGTAGGGCAATTGAAGGAAATGGTGAGGCTACTGAGAGAGAAAACATGGTGGGAGGAAGTAGGTTTGGAACAAGGAAAGGAAAGAGATAATGAGTTTTACCTTGAGCACTCCAGATTTGAGAAGCCTGAGGACATTTAAGTGGTGACACCAATAGACAGGAAGGAATGAGGATCTGTTCCTCAAACAAGATGACACATAAAGGACAAACTAGTAAACCCGTAGTATCAGAATGGAAAGTGCTGACATTTTGAAAGCATATATATAGAAGGAAAAGCTTCTGATGATAATGTATACATACAGCCACTTCAGAAAGAGCATTTAGAAGTGCAATTAGCCTGGATTATTTTAATTCTAAGAAAAGTATGAAACTTTAAGACAGAGGAGACAAAATCAGAAGTATAGAGGGCCAGCAGCAGCAGCTAATAGCTACTCAGCAAACTGCAAAAGAACACAATATGTTCTACAGACATAAAGAGGGACTTATAGAAAGATTTTCTTATATCTAGATTCTGTTCAATAATGACCTTTTTTTTTTATCATTTCTAGACTTAAGGGGTATGTAATCACAATATGTCTCAGTTTTACAAGAGATCGTCTGTGATCTCTTGGTGTGAGGTCACAAGATATTAGTAAGTAATGAAACACGTTCAGAATGCTCAATAAACCCATTTTCCAGTAAAGTACCCTGACCATTAGCTCTTACTATGTTGATTAATACACATCTCTATGAATATTAAACACATATAAACTACACTAAACATCAATAACTAGAGAAAAATGGGAGAGAACACTACAAAGCGAGGTAAGAAGCTGTTCCAATCGCTGGCCCAGAAGAGGATTCTCCCTCATGTGTAGATGAGACAGGAGGGTAGACTATTAGAATACTTAGCCTATTTGATTTAGAGATTCAAAAGTAAACCCAGTTTAGATAATCTCACGTTCTTTCAGCTCCTAACTGCTTTCCCATTCACTGTCTTATGGTGAGTATTGAAAAGAGTTGCAGAAGATTTGAGCTAATAAAGCATTAAATGCAAAATCTTATTTAAAATGAGCACTATTGTAAGGAATCAATATTGTGTGTTTGCTTTCATAAATCCGCCACCTATATACACACGCTTGCTGAAGCAAGCATTGGAGCAGCAGGACTGCCCTGTCCCTCAGAGAATGTAAGGGACTCTCCCTGGGATATCGGATTCTGACTTCGAAGAATTGGTGCAAATAAGTGGCTTAAGTGGACTGATAGAGAAATATGCCTTGGCTTTATCTCTTGCTTACCAGCATTCAGGACCATCTTGAACTCTCAGGTGAGAAATGGATGTTTTGGCACCTACCACAAGCCCTACCAGAAGTACTGAGGATAACATTTCTGGAACATACTCACACACACACACACACACACACACACACTCACTCTCTCTCTCTCACACACACACACTCTCCCTCTCTCTCTCTTTCTCTCACACACACACACACACACACACACACACTGTAACGAGGAATTGGAACCATGGGAGGAAGTTCTGTAGGCACAATGTGAGTTTGCTGCTGTTGCCTTTTCTTCCTGGGAAGGAAGAGAGATAGGAAGTAGTAGAGAAGAAATGCAGGTTGAAAAAGCTAACAATACAGTGAAAGCAACTGGAAAAAAGAAGAGGAATGCAGCAATACCAGCAAACTGAGCCAGTAATTAATTCAGAAGCAAGAGGTCATTATGGATTTAGTGTGGAAGAAGAAAGTAGCTTGAACTCATTTAGATAAACACTGACTAAATGTGAAACAAAGTGCCAAAGTCAGCAACGAAACTGGCAGAAATCAATTCAACAGAGAACATTTTTCAGAGTCGGACATCAAGCTAAGCAGAGGCATCAAAAAAGTCTCCCTCCTGCTTTTCTGCTTTTGTCTTCCAGCAATCCTTGAAGACTAGTCTATTTCCAGCAGGAAAGAGGGGATGAGACAATGGTTGATGTTGGAGCATACTGAGCTGGCCTGGGATTCATGTTCAGATCCTAATTGTTAGTAAATAACTTAGCACTTGGCCTAATTTTCCTTGTTTGTAAAATAGAGATGATTATAGTATGTTCATAGTCGGTTTGTTGTGATATTTTTCACAAGAGATAAATAATATTTAGCCCATTTGTGGTGATAACATTAACTACTCAATAACTAATAAATGTTATTAAAACCATGGAAGTCAGAATTGGAATAATAGCTTACTTACAGAATTTACCTGGGTAAGTGCTTTATACGTATCAACTCATCTAATCTTTATAACAACCTTGTCACAGATGAGGACCCCAAGGCACAGAGAGGGTAAGTAATTTACTAAGGAACTGAACCTCAAGCAGTTTAGCTCCACTCTGTCCTTTAAAAACTATGCTACGTTACCAGAAGGGCCCTTGGAACAAATCTGTACAACTTTTATATTTCACAGATGAGAAAACTGAGGCTTACGATGGTGATGTTATTTATCCTGCATCACACAGCCAGCCAGGACCACTGGTAGAGGAATTTAAGAGCCTGTTTCTATTGGAATCACTTCCCAACCCCAAATGAATAATCTAGGGCCTGTCACTAAAGGTTAAAATGATTGTCACATTTTATCCAGCCACTTTCCTCTACAGAAAATGCAATGAAACTGTATTTATTTATATCACATTCATAGTGGAAAAGGTATATTTGTAACAAAAATTGATAAATCTGCAACTTGTGGTATTTGTTTTTATGATAAATGTTAAGGAATAGAGAGGACGGGAACCAACCTCTATTAAGTAACAGCTACGCTTTCTACTTCCTGTGCTATGAAAACAGTCAACATCTGATCCACACAGATACAGGATAGGTCCTGTGGCCAGGAGAGTCTAATTAGAGCTAGTAAAAATAAGATTCTCATTCTGAAGGTTATAAATAAAACATAAGCAGTTGTATTATCTGGTAACATTTAATTGACTGGGAGGAGGTAAACTATGTGTTTATACTGAAGTAGAAATCTGATTATCACAGCCTTTGGAATTCACTCAAAATTTGTTGAGTAGTCATTAATCTGGTAGGCGATGAGTAGCAAGCTTTCCTGGTACAACTTGAGCACCCCTAACTGGAAAATCTAAAATCTGAAATGCTTCAAACTCTGAAACTTGTTGAGTACCAACATGACACCACAAGTAGAGAATTCCACACCTGATCTCAGTGACAGTTTACAGCAAAATGTGGTCAAAACATTGAACTTTGTTTTATGGACAAAATTATTTAAAAGATTATATAAAATTACCTTCAGACCATGTGTATAAGGTGTATATGAAACATAAATAAATTTCATGTTTAGACTTGGGCCCATCCTCATGATATCTCATTATGTGTACGCATATATCCTTAAATCAGGAAAAATCTGAAATCCAAAATACTTCTGGCCCCAAGCATTTTGGCTAAGAGATATTCAACCAGTATATGGGCAACTTTCCTTAGACTAAGCATGCTGCCTCAAGCTATAGGAAATTCACTTCAAACTGGCATCCAATAAGGTTCTCAACTTCAGTACCAGAATCCACCTCAGGTTACGATGTAGGCAAAGGGGCAGAAGGAGGTAACAGCTCCATCTAAAGAGTTGTTTGTCCTAAAACTACCTTTGGACAAACAAATGCAAATAAAGAATTGTTCTCTTCTTCACACTTCTTCTCCCACCTCAATATGAATCAAGGCTACCATAATAGTGGTATTGAACTCTTTTAAATGAAAATAGTGATTTCCCAAGACAGAGACACCAAAATTCAACGTTAGAACCTCAAACGATTCTTCCTAAAATAAAGACTCCATGCTCTACAAACCAAATCTTTCATGGTGTCTTTACACTAATAACTCCTTTACCATTCATTCAGGTCCTAAAAGTGCTACAACTGTACAGTTCTGTTTACTAGTGTTGTTCAGTTTTTTCCGTGCACCTCAAGTGGACACTTTCTCTCCACTGAGCCATCCACTAGAACTTGTGGACTCCAACTTATGGGAAACAGCAAGGGTGTGGTAGAATCAAGGCTATTGGAATATGAGCCACCATTACCCCAGGCCCCCACTAATATAAAGGCAACAAGTATGTGTCTTGGCAAAGAACTCCTGCTTGGGTGAGAAGAACAGGAGGATGGCCTGCTCTTTCTGCACTCTTGCACCTTATGCCTCCTGTCCAAGATTGCTTGTAGTGATTCCAAGTGCTGACTCTGCTGAAGCTGAAGATCTCAGTGGGGCAAGTGTTATGGAGAGTGATTGATTGAAATTCAGAGCACTTCGCAGAATGATTTGTTTGACATTCCCAGTAGGAAACTCTTGTTTGTTGAACTTATTATTCATTCATGTATTCATGAAAAAAATACAATAAATGCATAATCTCTGCATAGTGCCTCAATGATCACATTGAAATGAACCCAGAGCTTCCCAGTGCTAAGCAAGGTCTTTAGTTTGCAACAGAACAGTTTTACATTGCAATATCATTAACTGTGTCTAGAGTTTACATTATGTTTATAAATCAGCAAGGGAAATTTAACCTGCATTGTAATTTAAGGTTATACAGAGAATCAGACATTAAAAATGCATATGCATAATAATAACTCCTTGTGTGACTTTTTTTCCTCCTACTGAGTGATTTAACAATTACCATGTTGAGACGTAACTGAGTCTGTTCAGCTAGTGTTTGTGTTTTGACTTTTTGACAACTAGAATGTAAGCCAGGGGAAATGCAGAAATTATTTCCAACATCCATGGGTAACTTGGGAAAATGGTTCTTTATATAAGCTATTAGAGTAGGGGAAAATATGCTACAGTATTTGGAAAACAACTGCTGTTAAATGCTGTTTTTTAGAATAACAGCTATTACTAGGCCTGAAACAGTAAGGTCAAAGTGTTATAATGGACTATTCTCGGTCTGGACCTTAAATGTTTACACATACAGCTGCTATAGTGATAGTTTTTGGTCTTCCTAGAAAGAGCCATTGCAGAAAATTCAAGAAAGGACCATCAGGGCATGGCGACCTCTTTTCAAAATTGAGTACTCCTGCAAGCATCAGAAGGCAAAAAGGAATTCCCGAATTATATTGTACATTCTCTTGCTTCTGAGTTTTGCCTGTAATAACCTCTTTGATTCTTAAGCACCCCTGGCGAAGGCTTCTATTATCTCCCAGCATGTTCTAAAAAACAATAATAATAATGAATTTACCTGATTTTTTTTTTTTTTTTTTTGGTGTTGGGGGGATGGAGTCTTGCTTTGTTGCCAGGCTAGAATGCAGTGGCATGGTCTCAGCTCACTGCAACCTCTGCCTCCCAGGTTCAAGTGATTCCCCTGCCTCAGCCTCGCGAGTACCTGGGACTACAGGCGTGCGCCACCACGCCTGGCTAATTTTTTGTATTTTAGTAGAAACAGGGATTCACCATGTTGGCCAGGATGGTCTGGATCTTCTGACCTCATGATCCGCCTGCCTCTGCCTCTCAAAGGGCTGGGATTACAGGCATGAGCCACCACGCCCAGCCACCTGATCTTTATCGTGCTCAAATTGTTAGACTCAACTGAAAACACCAGATTTAACTCTCATTTCAGGGTTGCAAAAAGCCAAGAAGAGAAACCTATCCACCTGAAAGGGCTTTTTGAAGCCTGGGGAAACCAGACCCCTGAAATCTTTGGTGACCCTCATCATGGTTTTATATTTTATTCATGTGTCTAGAATATCTGTAGAACATCTATTTAATATCGCATATCTATTATGTATCCTGAGCAGATACCAGCTTGCTACTTCCACTCTCTGTTAGGCAGCTCAACCCAATTTCTTTACCAACATTTATTAAACCACCATTTTTCAGCTCTCAAAATCTTACGACTTTGCAACATTCTCCTTTTTAAACTTTTCCTTACCATAACTTTTCCCACCGCTAAAACCACGCACATATTTCCAGAGTCAATATACACCATATTCTCTTCAATATTGTATTTTGGGTTCACATTTCATTTTTCCATTTTCAAAACAACTTATCTAAATCATCCTCGTGTTCTCTTAAGCCTTTCTGAGGCAGCATCCCAAGAAAAGCTCCCTGCCTTCAAAATTTGAGCATGTCAACATACCAAAGCTGCTGAAATAATTTTCTTCCAAGTCTATTTCAATTATATGCCCCTAAGCTTATAAACATGGCGTCATTTCTCATCATCAGCTGTTTCAACTCAGAAGTTATTTGCCTAGCCCTTAGGATATTCCTCAAGACTCTTCACCCCACCCCCCCTCTTCCATCTCATTATCCCACACACCTTTCCACACACATTCTTGCTTTGTCTTTATGTGTGTTCCTCTTCTTGTGTAATATAATGTTGTCTTCTCTCTTTAGCCCTCTCACTCCCTAAACTTCACTAAAAATACTCACACTCTTTGAAAATGTCAAAATGTATGATTTGAAAAGGCAAAATAGGTAAAAGTTTGGTGAATGCAACAAAGAAAAAAGATTACACAAACTTTAAAACAGAAGTGAGAAAATATCATATATAGGAAAAGGATAAGAATTTTCTGAATCATGAGGGAATTATAGGTATAAATACATACAACAAAATTTGAAAATTTAGATAAAATGATTAGGAAAATAAAAAGTCAAACAAGAAGAGGCAGAAGGCCAGACACAGTGTTTCACACCTGTAATCCCAGCACTTTGGGAGGCTGAGATGGGAAGATTACTTGACCCCAGGAGTTCAAGACCAGCCTGGGAAAGATAGCAGGACCCTGTCTCTATTTCAAAAATAAGAGGTAGGAAACACAAATATATCAATAATTATAAAAGAAATTTAAAAGGTACTCCAGAAATAAAATTATTCCGTCTATCTCCTAAAAAAAGATCTACTACAGATATTTTCATGAGAAATGTAAGATGAAAAGTATAAATTCTGTTTTTAGAACTACTCCAGAGCATTTTAAAAGTTTAACAACTTTCTAAATAAATGTATAAATTATCATAACTCTGATACTAAAGTCAGGGAAAAATAGGATTAAAGGATACTCCCAATCATCCTTACTTATGAATCCAAATACAAAAATTCTAATTAAAATATTGGTGAAACTACCTAAAAATGTATACATGAGTAACATATTTTGAAAAGTAGCTTCCAAATATCGATGTAATTATTAGCAATAAAATTCAGTATATTAATATAATTAAAAACTGGAAAAAGAACTTCCACTTCTTCAATGAGGAAGTAAGTGGCCCCAGACCTGTTCCTGCCACCCCGTAAATAAAAATAAAACTAGACAAATGTAAGAAGCAATGTTTTCAGACATTAGATAACAGGCCCCATATGACTGCAATCTTTGAAGATAGGTCAATGATTAAGGTAAGCCTTATGGTTGCTCTATCTTTTTGACTGAAGGCACTTTTTGGATCATGGTTAAGGAAGGTTCCAAGCAAATTACACTTAATGAGTAATGTGAACCTCTAAAAAGGCAAGCAACAAAGCACAATAGGAAAATGAATCTGAACAATTTCCAAGTTCACAGAGCTGAGAGATGTTCATGTTCTAATACATCATAGTGAAGGGACCTTATTAAAAGCCCAGCACATTGAGGGAAGATCCCAAAAGGGTCATGCTTAAATTATTTAAGGGTTATGCTTAAACAAGCAAACCAGATATTCCACAAAACATCTAATATCCAATAAAAAATTACTATACGTGTGAAGAAGCAGAACAATGTGACAAATAAATAGGAGAAAAGTCATTCAATAGAAATAAAACCAGAAGTGATAGGCATAATAGAATTCTCATACAAGGATTTAAAAACAGGTAATATAAATATGTTCAAGGATTTAAAGAAATACAAGAAGGAAGTGAGAAAAAATGGACACTATAAAATAAAATTATCAAATGGAGCTATACAGGTAGAAAACATGTTATCTGAAATAAAAATCTCAGTGAATAGGATTAGCAGCAATTTAGTTACTATAAAAGAAAAGATAAGTAAACTTGAAAATATGTGCTAATCGTCCAAATTGAAGCACAAAAAAGCCAGAGCCAATTATATGCTGTCTACAATAAATGGCTTTAAATAAAATTATACAGAGGTTGAAAATGAAAGAATGAAAACAAATATCCTAAGCCAATAGTACTAAAAATAGCTAGTATAGCTTTACTAATATTAGACAGAAATTTCAGCACAAAGGATATTACCAGAGATAAATAAGATCATTTTAAAATGACAAAGGAGACAAAAATCAAAAGGACGTAACAACTTTAAATTTTCATGTTCCTGATAATAGAGATTCAAAATATATGAAGCAAAACACACAGGACTGAAAAAGAGGTAGAAAAATTCACAACTATAGTCAGGGATTTCAACACACTTCTCTTGATAATGATAGAATAAGTAGGCAGAAAATCAGTAAGTATATAGGACATTTAACCACTGCCATAAACAAACTTAAACTAATAGATACTTAAGTAGCATTACATACAATAACAGCAGAATACACATTCTTTTCAAGTGTATACAGAATATTTACTAAAATAGGCCATATTCTGGGCCACAATACAAGTCTCAATAAATTCTAAAGGATTCAAGTCATGCAAAGTAAGTTTTCTGGTAACAGGGAATTGTATTAGAAATTGATGAGAGGAAATCTCAAAATATTTGGAAATCTAATGTGACGTTACTGAATAACCCATTGATCAAAGAAGATATCACATAGGAAATAAGATAGTCTGTACCTGAATGAAAATTAAAAAACAGGATATCAAAATTTGTATGTTGCAGTGCTTAAAAAGAAATGTATAACTTTAAATGTCTTTATTAGAAGTGAAGAAAGGGAGCCAGGCATCCACCTTAAGAAAATAAAAAAGAGGAAGAAATCTGCAGTTAGCTATAATTACACCACTACACTCCAGCCTGGACAATGGAATCCATTTGTGAAAGAAAGAAAAGAAAAGAAAAGAAGGAAGGAAAAGGGAAGGGAAGGGAAGGGAAGGGAGGAAGGAAGGAAGGAAAAGAAAAGAAAAGAATAGAATAGAAAAGAACAGAAAGAGAAAGATCAAACACAAAGTAGGCAAGTGAAAGTAAATTACAAAAATAAAGGCAAAAATCAATAAAATTGAAAACAGAAAAAACTAGAGAAAAATCAGTGAAACAAAGAGCTGTTTCTGTGAGAAGTTTAATACATCTAATAAGTCTTTAAAAAGAGTGATCAGAAAATAAAATTGATTTACCAACAGCAGGAAGACAGAGGAGACATAACCACAGATCCTACACATATTACAAAGATAATAAAGGAATATTATGAAGAACTTTATGGTAGTAAATTTCATAGTCTAGATAAAATAAATTTATTGAAACAAAGAATGCATGAAAGCTCACTTAGAAAGAATACATAACTCAAATAGCCTTTTACCTATTTTTTTTAAATATGATTTTGTAGTTAAGAACCTCTCACAAAGGAAACTCCAGGCCTAGGTGGCTTTGTTGATGCATTTTATCAAACTTTTAAAGAAGAAATAATACCAATTTTTTTTGCAAACTCTTTTAGAATACATATAAGAAGGTAATACTTTCCAACTTCTCCCATGAGTCCAAAAATACTCTATTACTAAAACCAGTAATCAAGCATCAAAAAGAAAAAGCAACTACAGAGCAATCATGAACATGGAAACAAACACTCTCAACAAAAAATTACTAAATCGGATCCAACATTATGTAAAAAGAATAAGAAATCATGATCAAGTGGGTTTTATCACAGAAATTCAGGGTTGGGTTAACAAAATACAACCAACCAATGTAACTCACTATATAAACAGATTACAACAAAAAAATGTGATCATCTTAATAAATGCATTAGAAGCATTTGACAAAATCCAAAATATCAAGTCATATTAACTAACAAGAAACTACAAAAAAGGAAACTTTTTAAACTTGATAACATCTATTGAAAATCTAAAGGTAACATCACACATAATGGTAAAACAATGAACTCTTTCCTTCTAAAAGGAAAGATGTCTACATTTCAGTGGAGGTCCCAGCAAGAACAATACAGCAAGAAAAAGAAATAATATGTATGGGTAGAAAAAGAAAAAAGTTAAAAAGAACATTCTTTGTGAATAAGATGGTTCTCTATGTAGAAAATCGTAAGTAGTCTACAAATGATGGCATGCGTGAAACACACATTAATTATATTGTTTGAGACCTTCTCAAAGAAGGGCCTGGGAGGTACTCTAGATGATGGGAAAGGCAGGGCAAGATCCTCAAGCAATAGGAAAAAAAAGTGACGTAAACAGAATAAGTATGTGAATGTAATATTTTAAACTGCCACGATAAGCTGATTATGCAATTTCTACCTAGTTAATCAAACAACTTTAAGAAGGGTCAGAAGTAATAAAAGGATTTAGTAAGATGACCAGGTGCACAACCATCATACAGATCAATAGCTTAGTGGTTCAAGAGCAGACTATGGAGAAATTCTTTGCCTTGTTTCACTCTGGCTCCACTTTTTCCCAGATATATTATAGTTGTCTCCATGTCTCAGTATCTTCTATTAAATCAGGTTAATAATGGCACAATCCTCAATGAGTTGCTTTGAGAATTAAATGTTTTTATACATGTAAGGCACTATGCCTGGCATATAGTAAAGTACATTTGAGTGTTAGCTCTTTTTTCTTATGTCAGAGCAATAAATAATTCAAAGATGTTATGAACAAAGGTACTCCTTACAATACCTGCAAATATTGTAATGTCGCAAGATTTAGTCCTCAGTGTTAGAGGTATGTGAGGAAAGTTATAAGATACATGAAGAAAACTATATTTTATGGAAGGACAAAGTAAAAACTGAACAAATTGGTAACTATATTTTAGATTTCAAGTCTTAACCTTATGAAGGTGCTTTATAAGCATTTAAGTCATGTAAAGTCAACTACAAATTAATCTATAATTAATCTACAATTCAGTGCAATCCCAATCAAAATCCCAGTGGGATAATTTATAGGACTTGATACATTGATTCTTAAGTTCACCAAGAAGAGCAAAGAAAGGAGACTTGCCCTACCAAATACAGTAATTACAATAATACAGCAATAATTAGTATGAAATTGGTTCAGGAATGGAAAAATAAAATAATAAAACTAAATAGAGAGTCTAGAAGCAGAGATAGTATCAACGAGAGTTAGATAATAAAAGTAACATTTAAAATCATTCAGGAAAACTCAATAGAATTTTAGCTATCCACTTGAAAAAAAATTAAGTTAAACATCTATCTCACATAATTCACAAAAATTCCAGATGGGTTTTTCCACAGTTTTATGTATGTACATTAAAATATAAAACAATTTTTATATTTTTGAGATGGAAAAAGCTTTCCTATGCAAGATATAAAATCTAGAAAGCTTAAAGGAAAGATTGAAAGCTTTGACTACTTAATTTTTTCAAAATAAATTATGTAATGAGAGATGGATAAATACATTTAAAAAACAAGAAAGACTGTGAAAAATATTTGCAACATATAGGCAAAGAACTACTAATTATTGAAAATAAGATAATACAATAAAAGTACAGAAAAATTATAAACAGGTAATTCACAAGAAATAAGCCTTCAAATTGCCAATAAGTATGAAAAAAGACTCAACCTCACTGGTCCTTTGGAAAAGCCAAGTTAAAATAACAATTATATTAAATTTCCACTTATTATTTTAACAGTAATTAAAAGAATTGTTAATAACCACAGGTGACAAGGCTGTGGGCAAATATGCATTTCCATAGGCCCAGAGTAAAGGTATAATTTGGTACTGTTTGAAGATCAATTTGGTAGTATCTACTAATGTTTAAAAATGCATATGCACTTTGACACAACAACCATACTTCTAGCAATCTATACTACAGAATAGTCTAATATGCACACAATAATAGGGCAATATTAAATTGAGATCAAGGACACTCAAAGACATTGTAGTATAAAGACTTTAGGTTCGAATGCTGCTTTTGACTCATTGGCTGTGAGATTATGGTCAAGCTGCAAAATCTCTGAGCCTCAATATTCTTATCTGTAAAATGGGAATGATTATGGGACCCAGTTTATAAATTCCTTGGAAAGGAACGATTAAATAATTCTTGGAAAGGGCTTAACATAGGGCATGGCACCTCATAAGCCTTTAGTAAAAAAAACTTTTCTTCATCTTCTGCAGTACTTTCTAGAACTTGAAATCGTACCTATCATATAACAAGAGCTTCATAAACACTTGTTGAAGGAATTTCATATTACTGTTTTTCCTGCAGGTTCATTTCCCCTGCAATACGATTTCCGTGGTGGATGCTGTCATCTCTGATGTGCCACTGAGGCCTCCTTCAAGATGCTATGAGTTCAGTCAGCAGCCAGCATTCCATTGCAGACCCCTTCAGGAATTATCTTAACTGAATAAAGCCACCTGGTTCAAGGACACAACGCCTTCCTAAGGTGGTCCACATTTAAGTGATTTATTGACATGAGGACTTAGCCCATCCCTCTTGTCCTAACTTGGTAGAGTTTTGAGAAGTCATTCTACCTCCAGAACTCCCCACAGGGTCACCTGAGGTTCCAGCTGAGAAAGCATTGCAGCTCAAACTCTCTCTCTCCTAAATCCTGCTTTCTTTTCCCTCCCAGGTGTTGGTCTTAAGAACGCACCCTAACAAACCCCCTAACTGCTAATCTCTTCTGATTGGCTTCTAGAGAAACCCAATCTGTGACCGTCTCTAACACCTGAATCTAATGTACAGGATCCTCTCTTGTAATAGCCTATTGTTATCCCTCATCACAATTTGTGAATAATAGCAATAATAATAATAATTTTGTATTTAATATCTCCTTAACTAGACTATGAGTTAGCTACAGACTCTGTTTTTATTTAAAATTCTCATATTTTATCATAGAACTTTTAATTAATTTTGACCTTTAAAAATATTGCATAAAAGTATTTATCATGATTACTAAGCTTTTTTGTGCCTCCTTAAATTTTGTGCCTAAGGTAAATGACTCATTCACTTCATCCTGGTCCCAACTCTAGCAGTAACCACATATTTTTGTTATCGTTGGTTTGTTGGTTGGTTGGCTGTGTGTGTGTTTTTTGTTCATTTTTGACACACCTAAGGCAATGCCTGATATATAGTAGTCACTCAATAAACATCTATCAACTGAATAAATAAATGAATTAACTGCAAGAATTTTCATTACAATGCTGTTTGTGATAGATGAAATGTAACAATAAATGAAAGTTTACATTATGATGTATGCTATATAAAATTTTTCAAAAAATATATACATAATACATATATATGCATGCTAACATGAGAAAATTTGTAATATATATTGACAAGTTAAAGAGAAAATTGCAGAATAATATATATAGTTTGATCTCATTCATGGACAAATACATAGAAAGAAAAATAGATGATAGATAATAGAGATAATCTGAATATAGCATATTATATAGCAAATGCTAACAGAAGTTACCTTACATAAGTGAATAGAATTGTAAGTTTGAGAAAGGATATAGAGGAAAACTTATATCCAGTACTATATGTACTTCTGAATTGTTTGAATGTCCAAAGAACCTACATGCATGTTAGTTTTATAAGGTTTTTAAATAAAATTTTTCAAAAATATTTACTAACTCCAGGAAGTCTTCTGTATTGGAATACTGCCGAATACCACTTTGTCGTGAGCCTTCTTACCACAGGGCACTGGCCTCCACTTGTTTGCATGATGCACCATAAGGCCCAAGTGATTCACATCTATGTGTATTCTGTCTCACTCACCAGATGGAAAAACTCCTTTAAGGCTGAAACTGATAGCCCTATTTCTTATGGCTTTCCAATAATATAGTTCAATAGTACTCTACTGTTGTATCTAAGGTTATTTCTGACCACCTTATAAATATGAGGCCATGTTGGTCTTTCTTATAATATTTGCATATTGCATACAAATCTGTTACTGTGAGATTTCTTTTATATGTATGCCTCATTTTACATGTATGCCTCTTTATATACATGTTAGAAATTATACTAAGCAGTAGGCTGAACCAAAGTTATAAAAAACAATTATGGGCCTGTTTTAGTTAGGGTTCTCTAGAGGGACAGAACTAATAGGATATATGTATGTATGGAAGGGAGTTTATTAGGGAGAATTGGCTCACACAATCTCAAAGCAAAGTCACATGATAGGCCATCTGCAAGCTAGGGAAGAAGGAAGCCAGTAGTGGCTCAGTCCAAGACCAAAGCCTAAAAAGCAGGGAAGCCAACAGTGTAGCCTTCAGTCTGTGGCCGAAGGCCTGAGAGCCCCCAGCAAAACACTGGTGTAAAATCCAAGAATCCAAAGGCTGAAGAACCTGGAGTCTGACATCCAGGGGCAGCAGGAATGGAAGAGAGCATCCAGCATGGGAGAAAGATGAAAGCCAGAAGACTCAGTGAGCCAGATTATCCCACCTTCTTCAACTTGGCTTTGTTCTAGTGGTACTGGTAGCCCATTGGATGGTGCCCACTCACATTGAGGGTGGGTCTTCCTCTCCCAGTCCACCAACTCAAATGTCAATCTCCTCTGGGAACAACCCTCATAGACACACCCAGAAACAATACTTTACCAGCCACCTAGGCATTCTTCAATCAACTTGACACTAATATTAACCATCACAGAGCCATACCTACATATTCTGCAGGTTTCCTTCCCATAGGAGTTTCCATGCACCAGTTTTACTTATGGTAAAACTAAAATAGTATCATAGGATAACAACTAAAATAGTATCATAGGATGTCAAACTTTAAGAGAAATGACTACAAAACAACAACCAATTAAGTATGTCATTAATCTCTATCATCTGTAAAACTTTCCAGAAAGTATTGAATCAGACAAAAGAGGCAACAATAACCCATGACAGATTTTTAGTAAAGTGTCTTATACTGTACTGCTGACAAAGACATACCCAAGACTGGGAAGAAAAAGAGGTTTAATTGGTCTTACAGTTCCACATGGCTGGCGAGGCCTCAGAATCATGGCGGGAGGTGAAAGGCACTTCTTACATGGCAAGAGCAAGAGAAAATGAGGAAGAAGCAAAAGTAGAAACCCCTGATAAACCCATCAGATCTCACGAGATCCATTTACTATCACAAGAACAGCACGGGAAAGACCGGCCCCCATGATTCAATTACTTCCCCCTGGATACCACCCAGAACATGTGGGAATTCTGGGAGATATAATTCAAGCTGAGATTTGGGTGGGGACACAGCCAAATCATATCATTCTGCACCCTGGACCCTTCAAATTTCATGTCCTCACATTTCAAAACCAACCGTGCTTTCCCAACAGCCCCCAAAGTCTTAACTCATTTCATCAGTAACTCAAAATTCCACAGACCAAATTTTCATCTGAGGCAAGGCAAGTCCCTTCTGCCTATGAGCCTGTAAAACCAAAAGCAAGCAGTTACTTTTTAGATACAATGGGGGTACAGGTATTGGGTAAATACAGCCATCCCAAATGGGAGAAATTGGCCAAAACAAAGGGGTTACAGGGCCCATGCAATCCCATAATCCAGTGGGGCAGTCAAATTATAAAGCTCCAAATGATCTCCTTTGACTGCAGGTCTCACATTCAGGTCACACTTATACACCAGGTTCTCATGGTCTTGGGCAGCTCCGCCCCTATGGCTTCACCGGGTACAGCCTCCCTCCCAGCTGCTTTCACTGGTGTGGGGTGTCTGCAGCTTTTCCAAGCACATGGTGTAAGCTGTCCATGGATCTACCATTCTGAGGTCCAGAGGACAGTGGCCGTCTTCTCACAGCTCCACTAGGCAGTGCCCCAGTAGGGACACTGTGTGGGGGCTCCAACCCCACATTTCCCTTCCACACTGCCCTAGCAGAGGTTCTCCATGAGGGCCCTGCCCCTGGGGCAAACTTTTGCCTGGCCATCTAGGCATTTTCATACATCTTCTGAAATCTAGGTGGAGGTTCCCAAACCTCAGTTCTTGACTTCTATGCACCTGCAGGCTCAACACTATGTGGAACCTACCGAGGCTTGGGGCTTCCACTCTCTGAAGCCACAGACCAAGTTCTACATTGGCCCCTTTCAGCCATGGCTGGAAGAGCTGGGACACAGGACACTAAATCCCTAGGCTGCACACAGCATGGGGACCCTGGGCCCAGCCCATGAAACATTTTTTCCTCCTGGGCCTCTGGGCCTGTGATGGGAGGGGCTGTCATGAAGCTCTCTGACATGGCCTGGAGACATTTTCCCTATGGTCTTGGGGATTGACATTAGGTTCCTTGCTACTTATGTAAATTTCTGCAGCCAGCTTGAATTTCTTTTCAAAAAATGGGTTTTTCTTTTCTACTATATCATCAGGCTGCAACTTTTCTGAACTTTTATGCTTTGTTTCCCTTTTGAAACAGAATGCTTTTAACAGCACCCAAGTCACCTTTTGAATGCTTTGCTGCTTAGAAATTTCTTCTACCAGATACCCTAAATCATTTCTCTCCAGTTCAAAGTTCCACAAATCTTTAGGGCAGGGGAAAAATGCTGCCAGTCTCTTTGCTAAAACATAAAAAGAACCACCTTTGCTCCAGTTCCCAACAAGTTCCTCATCTTCTTCATCTGAGACCACCTGACCCTGGACCTTATTGTCCATATTGCTATCAGTATTTTAGGCAAAGCCATTCCCATTCAACAAGTCTCTAGGAAGTTTCAAACTTTCCCACACTTTCCTGTCTTCTTCTGAGGCCTCCAAACTGTTCCAACCTCTGCCTGTTACCCAGTTCCAAAGTTGCTCCACATTTTTGGGTATCTTTTCAGCAACACCCTACTCTACTGGTACCAATTTCCTGTATTAGTCCATTTTCATGCTGCTGACAAAGATATACCCAAGACTGGGAAGAAAAAAGGTTTAATTGGACTTACATTTCCACATGGCTGGGGAGGCTTCAGAATCATGGCAGAAGGCAAAAGGCACTTCTTGCATGGTAGTGGCAAGAGAAAATGGGAAGAAGCAAAAGCAGAGACCCCTGATAAACCCATCAGATCTCATGAGACCCATTCATGATCACAAGAATAGTTGGGGAAAGACCAGCCCCCATGATTCAGTTACCTCCCCCTGGGTCCCTCCCACAACACCTGGGAATTCTGGGAGATACAATTCAAATTGAGATTTCGGTGAGGACACAGCCAAACCATATCATATACAAGGATTTTTTATTTTTTTTACTTTTAATTTTTGTGGGTACATAGTACATGTATATATGAGGTACATGAAATATTTTGATACAGGCATGCAATGTGTAATAATTACATCATGGCAAAGGGGTATCTATTCCTTCAAGCATTTATCCTTTGTATTACAATCAATCCAATTATTCTCTTTTAGTTGGTTTAGAAAATTACAATTAAATTGTTTTGGTTATAGTCACCCTCTTGTGCTACTAAATACTAATTAATATTTATTCTTTCTATTTTTTTAATTTTGTGGATACATAGGTAGGTGTATATATTTATGCAGTACTTGAGATGTTTTGATATAGGCATGCAATGTGAAATAATCACATCATGAAGAGTGGGGTATCCATCTCCTCAAGCATTTTGTGCTATCAAATAGTAGGTCTTATTCATTCTTCTTTTTTTTTTAACCCATTAGCAATCCCCACCTCCCATCTAGCCCTGCACTACCCTTCCCAGCCTCTAGTAACAATCCTTCTACTCTCGGTGTCCATGAATTCAATTGTTTAATTTTCAGGTCCCACAAATAAGTGAGAACAAATGATATTTGTCTTTCTGTGCCTGGTTTATTTTACCTAATATAATCACCTTTAGTTCAATCCATGTTGCTTGCAAATGACAGGATCTCATTCTTTTTGATGGCTGAGTAGTATTCCATTATGTTCTACATTTTCTTTATCCAGTCATCTATTGATACACACTTAGGTTACTCCCATATCTTGGCTATCATGAGCAGTACTACAACAAACATGGGAGTGCAGATAGTTCTTCAATATATTGATTTCCCTTCTTTTGAGTATATATCCAGCAATGAGATTGCTGGATTACATGGTAGCCCTATTTTTCATTTTTTGAGAAACTTCCAAACTGTTCTCTATAGTGGTTGTGATAATTTAAATTGCCACCAGCATTGTATGAGAGTTCCCTTTTCTCCCCATCTTTACCAGCATTTGTTATTTCCTGTCTTTTGGATAACAGCCATTTTAACTGGCTTTTATCATCTCTGGGGTGGGATATCTCATTGCAGTTTTGATTTCCATTTCTATAATGATCAATGATATCGAGCACCTTTTTATATGCCTGTTTGTCATTTGTATGTCTTCTTTTGAGACATGTCTATTCAAATATTTTGCCCATTTTTAATTGAATATTTTTTCTATAGAGTTGTTTGAGCTCCTTTTATATTCTAGTTATTAATCTCTTCTCACATGGGTTATTTGCAAATATTTTCTCCCATTTTCTGGGATGTCTTTTCATTTTGTTGTTTCCTCTGCTGTGCAAAAGATTTTTAACTTTATGTGATTAAATTTGTCCATTTTTGCTTTCGTTGCCTGTGTTTGTGAGATAATACTCAAGAAATTTTGCCTGAACCAATGTTCTGGAGAGTTTCTCCAAAGCTTTCTTGTAGTGGCTTTATAGTTTGAGGTCTTAGAATTAAGTCTTTAATTCATCTTGATTTGATTTTTGTATGTGGTAAGAGATAGGGGTCAAGTTTCATTCTTCTGCATATGGATATCCAGTTTTCCTAACCAAATTTATTGAAGAGACTGTCCTTTCTCCAATGTATGTTCTTGGCAACTTTGTTGAAAGTGAATTCACTGTAGGTGTATGGATTTGTTTCTGGTTTCTCTATTCTGCTCCATTGGTCTGTGTCTCACTTTTATGCCACACCATGAAGAATGGGGTATCCATCTCCTCAAGCATTTTGTGCTATCAAATAGTAGGTTTTATTCATTCTTTTTTTTAACCCATTAGCAATCTCCACCTCCCATCTAGCCTTGCACTACCCTTCCCAGGCTCTAGTAACAATCCTTCTACTCTCTGTGTCCATGCTGTTTTGGTTAATGTAGCTCTATATGGTACAATTAGAAGTCAGGAAATGTGATTCTTCAGTTTTGTTCTTTTTGCTCAGGATAGCTTTGCTTATTCTGGGTCTTTTGTGATTCCATATAAATTTAAGAATTTTTTTTTCTATTCTGTGAAGAATGTCATTGGTATTTTTATAGGGATTGCATTGAATCTGTAGATTACTTTGGGTAGTATGAAGATTTTAACAATATTAATTCTTCCAATTCATGAACATGGAATATCTTTCCCTTTATTTGTATTCTCTTCAATTTATTTCATCAGTGCTTTTATAGTTTTCATTGTAGAGATCTTTCACTTCTTAGGTTAAGTTAATTCCTAGGTATTTAAGTTTATGTGTGGCTACTGTAAATGAGATTACATTTTTAATTTCTTGTTCTGATTGTTCACTGTTGGCATATAGAAATGCTGATTTTTGTGTGTTGATCTTCTGTCCCACAATTTGTCCATTTCCTCTAGATTTTCCAAATTATTGGCATATCATTCCTCACAGTAGCCACTAATAATTCTTTGACTTTCTGTGGTATCAGTTGTGATTTCTCCTTTTTCATTTCTGATTTCTTTGGGTCTATTCCCCTTTTTATCTTCATAGTCTGGATAAAGGTTTGTCAATTTTGTTTATGTTTTCAAAAAAACAAACTTTTTGTTGACCTTTTGTATTGTTTTCTTCAATTCAAATTCATTTATTTCTGCTCTGATCTTTATTATTTATTCTAATTTGGGGTTCAGTTTGTTCTTGCTTTTCTAGTTCTTTAAGATGCATCATTAGGTTACTTATTTGAAGTTTTTCTTCTTTTTTGATGTAGACACATAGCTATAAATTTCCCTCTTAGTACTGCTTTTGCTGTGTCTCATAGGTTTTGGTATGTGTCTCATAGATTATGGTATCACTTGTATCTAGAAATTTTTCTATTTCCTGTTTAATTTCTTCATCAACTCACTGGCCATTCTGGAGCATTTTTATTTAATTTCCATGTTTTTGTATACTTTCCAAAATCCCCCTGTTGTTGATTTCTAGTTTTATTCCATTGTAATTAGAGAAGATGCTTGATATTATTTCAATTTTTTTGCATGGTTTCAGACTCGTTTTGTGACCTAACATACGCTCTATCCTTGAGAGTAAGCCATGTGCTAAAGAGAAGAATGTGTTCTACAGGCTTTGGATAAAATGTAATGTAAATAACTATTAGGTCCATTTGTTCTATAGTACCGATTAAATTCAATGTTTCTTTGTTGAGTTTCTGTCTGGGAGATCTCTACAATGCTGAAAGTGGGGTGTTGAAGTTTCAGCTATTATTGTCTTGAGGTCTATCTCTCTCTTTAGCTCTAATAATATCAGTATTTCCTTCATATATTTGTGTGCTGCAGTGTTGGGTGCATATATATTTAAAATTATTATGACTTGTTGGATTGACCCCTTTATCATTATATAACATTATATAATGACCTTTGTATTTTCTTAGTTTTTCTCTTGAAATCTATTTTGTCTAATATAAGTATCGTTACTCCTGCTCTGTTTGGGTTCCTTTTGCCATGGAATATCTTTTCCATTCTTTTACTTTCAGTATATGTATATCTTGATAGGTGAAGTGTGTTTCTTTTAGGCAATAGATTATTGAGACTTATTTTTTTAAATCCATTCAGCCACTCTAATACTTTCATTAAAGAGTTTAGTCCATTTACATTCAATATTATTATTGGTAAGCAGGGACTTCTGCAATTTTGTTGTTTTCTGGTTGTTTTATGATCTTCTCTTCCTTCTTTCCTTTTTTCCTGTCTTCCTTTTAGTGAAGGTGATTTTCTCTGTTGGTATGATTTAATTTCTTGCTTTTTGTCTTTTGTGTATCCATGTTGTTCAATCTGAAGTTACCATGAGGCTTGCAAATACTATCTTATAACTCATTATTTTAAACTGATGACAACTTAACACTGATTAAACAATTAAAACTCTACACTTTAACTTTGCCCACCTGCTTTATAAATTTTTTTCTCTTTATGTCTTATCGTACTGTATCTTGAAAAGTTGTAGTTATTTTTTACTGGTTTATCATGTAGTCTTTCTACTTAAGAATAGTTTACACACCACAATTACACTGCTACAATATTCTATATTTTTCTGTGTATTTACTATTACCAGTGAGTTTTGTTCCTTTGGATTCTTCCTGTTCATTAACATCCTTTTCTTTCAGGTTGAAGAGCTCTCTTTAGCATTTCTTGTAGGATAGGTCTGATGTTGATGAACTCCCTCAGCTTTTGTCTTGGAAGATCATTATTTCTGCTCTGTGACCGAAAGATATTTTCACCAGATATGCTATTCTAGGGTAGAAGGTTTTTTTCCTTCAGCACTTTAAATATATCATGCTACTGTCTCCTGGCCTGTAAGGTTTCCACTGAAAAGTCTGCTTTCAGATGTATTGGAGCTCTATTTTATATTATTTGGTTTTTTTTTCTTTCTGCTCTTAGGATCCTTTTTTTATCCTTGACCATTAGGAGTTTGATTACTAGATGCCTTAAGATGGTCTTCTTTGGGTTAAATCTGCCTGGTGTTCTATAACCTTCTTGTAAATGAATGTTTATATCTGTCTTTAAGTTTGGAAGGTTCTCTGATATTATCCCTTGGAATAAAGTTTCTACCCCTCTCTCTCTCTCTACCTCCTATTTAATGCCAAAAACTTAGATTTGCCCTGTTGAGGTTATTTTCTAGATCCTGTAGGTATGCTTCATTCTTTTTTCTTTTGTCTCCTCAAACTGTATATTTTCAAATGGTGTGTCCTCAAGCTAATTCTTTCCTCTGCTTGATCAATTCTGCTATTGGGTGACTCTGATGCATTCTTCAGTACGTCAACTGCATTTTTCAACTCTAGAATTTCTGCTTGATTCTTTTCAATTATTCAAATCTCTGTTATACTTATCTGATAGGATTCTGAATTCCTTCTTTTTATCTCTAATTTCTTTGTTTCCTCAAAATAGCTATTTTGAATTCTCTGTCTGAAAAGCCACATATCTCTATTTCTCTAGAATTGATCCCTGGTGCCTTATTTAGTTCATTTGGTGAGATGATGTTTTCCTGGATGATCTTTATGTTTGTAGATGTTCGTCAGTGTCTGGGCATTAAAGAGTTAGGTATTTATTGTAGTCTTCATAGTCTGGGCTGTTTGTGCCTTTTTTTTTTTTTTTTTTTTTTGAGAAGGCTTTCTAGGTATTCAAAAGGACTGCACCACAAGCCCAGTATCACTGTGGTTTTTACAGACTCATAGAGGTACCACCTAGGTGGTCTTGGATAAGATCTAGAAGAATTCTCTGGCTTACCAGGTAGAAACTTTTGTTCTTTTCCCTTACTTTCTCCTAAACAAACAGAGTCCTTCTCTCTCTCTCTCTGTGCTAAGCCACCCAGAACTTGAGGTGTGGTGATGCAAACACCCCTGTGGCCACTGCCACTGGGACTATGCTGGGTCAAATCTGAAGTCAGCACAGCACTGGGTCTTGCCCAAGGCCCAACGTAAGAACTACCTGGCTACCATCAATGTTCACTCAAGGCCCTAGAGCTCTATAATCAGCAGGTCATGAAGAGAGCCATGTTTGTGTCCTTTTCTTCAGGGTGTCAAGTTCCCCCAGGCCCCAGACAGATCCAGAGATGCTGGCTGGGAGCCAGGCATTGGAATAAAAAAACCTGAGAAATTTGCTGGATGTTCTATTCTGCTGTGACTATACTGGCACTCAAATCACAATATAAAGTCCCTCCCACACTTCATTCCCTTTTCCACAAGCAGGGGAGCCTCTCCCTGTGGGCACAACCACCCCCATCCCATGGTAGGGGAGTTCTTCTAGGCCACCACCAACATTCACTTAAAGTCCAAGGGCTCTTCAATCAGTTTGTGGTGAGTGCTGCCAGGCCTGGGACTCATGTTTCAGAGCAGTGGGGTCCTCTCTGGCCCAGAGCAGGTGTCTAGAATGCTGTCCGAGAGCCTTGGCCTGGACTCAGGGAACCCAAGAGCCTGCTTGCTGCTCTATCCTACTGTAGCCAAGCTGGTACCTAAGGTGTAACAAATTTCCCTTTACTTTTTCCTCTGCTTTTCTCTAACAGGTGTCTTTCACTGTAGCCACCACAGCTGAGAATGTGCTGGATTACTATAGTCAGTATATCTCAGAACCCGGAGTCTACCATATACTACCTGGACATTGCTGATGGTTATTCAAGGCCCAAGGGCCCTATATTCAGCAGGTAATGAATTCTGCTAGGATGGGGCCCTTCCCTGCAAGGCAACAGGTTCCCTTTTGGCCCAGGGTGTGTCTAGAAATGTCATCCAGGAGCTAGGGCCTGGAATGGGGACCTCACAACTCTGCCCAGTGCCCTATCCTATTGTGGCCAAGATGAAGATAAAGTCCTTTTTACTCTTTGCTCTCTTCTTAAGTGGAAGGAAGAAGATACTTTTATTCCTGTGAGCTTCACTGCCAGGTGTTGTGGGAGGGATGGTACAAGCTCTCCTTTAGCTGCCCAACTGGTACCTCCCTAAGTCACATGCAACCCTAGTCCTCTTGGCCCAGCTCAACACTAACAGTTGCCTAGAAATTGCAGTCCCTTTGTCCTAGACTGCTTTTGAAGATTTAGGACCCCAGAGCACTTTGGGGCTGCAATGGCAAGGCTTGCCAAGAAGCTCAAGCTTCAATTGATGGGATGGGCAATTCCTTTCTGGCTAGGTCGGGTCCAGATGCTCCCTCCATGCACAGACAGTGGCTGAGCCCAGCACATCTTTGATCTCCACTATGACAGAGCAGCAATGACTTCAATGGAAAGTCCCCCGGTCGCTGCACTCTCCCTCCCCCAATGCATAGACCCTCCATGCTGCATGGCCATTGCTGGGGGATGAGAGAGGGATGGTATTGGTAATCTGAGACTGTCTCTTCTCTCCCACCCTCCTCAATACCTCTTTCCATTATATGAAGTTAAAACCAGATGCTGTGATTGTTCACCTGATGTTTGGTTCTTGAGACAGTGCTTTTCTGTGTATTCAGTTGTTAAAATTTGATGTTCCTGCGGAAGGTATGAACAGTGCAGGTTCCTATTCCACCATCTTATTCCCTCCCCCTTATACAGTGGTTTTATCTTTCTTCTTCTAACTCTTGATTCTGGAGATGGTTCAACATGTTCTTCCAGATCCTGGAATTCCCAGGGGAGTGAATGGCTAGATGCTGATGGGCATGGCTGTGAAGACTTGGAGAAGACAAAATTAAATGATTTCCCAAGAACCAAGGTCACTGAGGTTTACCTTTATGTTTCTCTTAGTAAATGTCCTGCAGTTTCTACCTGTCTTAGATTACATTACAACATCGTTCTTGAAAGTTGACTTATGTTTGT
Source organism: Homo sapiens (assembly GCF_000001405.40). NCBI lineage: Eukaryota > Metazoa > Chordata > Mammalia > Primates > Hominidae > Homo > Homo sapiens. The sequence goes on along the minus strand of NC_000005.10, from coordinate 123,724,190 downwards.
GTACAGCCTAAAGTGAATAGAGTAGATCTAAACGTGAGTTTAAATCTCTGAATGCAGAGATATTCAATATAATTCATTCTTATTATATTTCCTGTTGACAACACATTAAATTTGGAGACCAATTGCATTTAAAATTTCATTGTTCCCATGTCTGCATTCAGATTTAGAATCTAACATTCTTATCTGCAGGCTGCAAGATTGTTTAGATTCTAAACTTTCTGTTGGAGGATGGCGAAGAATATATTTTAAAAAGTTAATGGGGAGATTTTTTTAAACCTGGCTTCTGACAGTTATAAATTTTAAAACCTCATTTTAGCTTCCAGTTAAAACTAATTGTCTTTATTTAATGCTCCAATTAAAAATGAATGTGAGCAACTGCAAATGTTAAGATTAGCACAGACACCTAAGAGGAAAAAAATAGTCGTAATTCTCTGGTTTATGTTGAAGTAAACATGCTTCAAATTCTTTTTTCTTTTAAATAAAGTCACTCAACGTTTACCACTTATTTGTTATCCATCATCACTTACTATTTCTCAACCAAAATTTTCTTGTGCATTTTATGCTTACTTTCCTGCATGTCATTGATAGTGCAGATAAATTAACATAATCATAAAAGCATACAGAAAACAGCATCTAACATGTCATTGAATAGCCAAGGCCCAATTTTACTTGGAACCCCTTATAATCAATGTCAGCTCAGAGAAATGCTGATTCCTTTTCATAAGAGTCAGTGCATAATCATAATCATAATCTGGAAAGACAGAAAAGTCATACCGGAAGTAAGTGCCAGATTTAGCGCACACTGTTGGAAGTCACACTTTTATCCTCAAATACAAAGGTTGAAAAGATCATGCTTTGGATAAATTCTGTCTTATAGGAGAATATTCATGTGTCTTAATTCTAGTTTAGGATTGAGAGTTGTTCTAAATTTTTCTTCTTTTCCCTAGAAAATTCAAAACAACAATTGAGATATTGAAGCTCTCCACCGACTGGGAAAATAGTAAGTTCAACAAATAAATTTATAAATAATATAGCCCAGAAAATTTTCCTAAAAATTTCTTCCTCCCTCCTTACAGATGCTTAACTTAAATGCCGAGGAGTATGGAGCTACTTCTTTCATTTCACCGGAAACTAATTGTAAATGCAAAATAATGTGCTTCTTGAACTGCAGCTCTACCTCTCCATTAACAGAATTGGCTCTGGAAACATGGTGTAACCAAGAATGAGTGAGGGCTTTGGCATCAGAAGAACATCAGGGTTTTGCTTTTTCTCTTCCCATTCTTCAGCCAATTATTTACCTTTTCTGAACCTCAGTTCCATCATCTATAAAATGGTCAAATGAATTGTCTACACAGTAATGCACGTAACACAATGACATGGTACATAAGGTTGCTCAGAGGGTAACTTTTTCCTATTGTTTCCCTTTTGTATGATTGTATCTTTTCACAGCATGGCCTATTTTCTTTATAGCAAGGGCACTAGCAGCATCTGCCATGCTGGGAACATTTCGCAAGTATTCAGCAGCATCCTGGATTACTAAAGGCACGAACTAGGACTCTGAATTACCAAAGAGGTGAACAAAATTATACACTTAGTGATGACTCAAGTCCTTGGGAGTGAATTAACATTTACCTGTTCTAACTAAATATCTCATTGGGTAAATTGTTGGCAGATGTTGAAAGAAAAAAAATTGCTATGAAACAAATATGATTTTATCAAATGAGCTAAGCTCTGATTTTTACTTTATGTTTTTGCAGAAATAAACATATCTATCACATCAGTGAATTTATGCTAGGCTTCTTAATATTAATATTCTATTTTAGAGATTTTTTTTTCAAGTGTTCCTTTTTTTTTTTTTTTTTTTTACAAAATCCTGATCTAGGCTTGCTGCTAAGAATACCAAAATGACATTTTAAAAAACATTGAAACTCTCCATCTATTGGGAATATAATAAATACCACCAATAAATTCATAAATAATACAACCTAGAAAACATTTCTATAAATTTCTTCCTCCCCCCATTCCCACTGAACCGGCAACTTATGTCCCTGAGGCATTCGAAAGAGTGACCAGAGTATTACAAATGAAAGTATAGCAAGGTAAGCAAAAAGGAGACAACTGATTCCTCTGGGAAAAAAAAGGTCAGCACTTACCAAAATATGTATCCCCAAGAGCACACAGAAAACCAAACCACTACAGCATTCTTGACTTCATAAATACCGAAAGAAAAGGGAAGAGAGCATGTGTTAACCACTCACACCCCCTCATTAAAAGGGGTTTGGCATATGAAAGATAAGCTATTGCCAAAGTAGCAAAAAAGACTTTTTCAGGCCCTACACCCAAAGTCTATCTGACACAAGGGGCCACAGCATGACACTAAAAATGATGTGCTTCCTGCCTAGGAAATGATACAGATGGCCGTGCCTGACTGAGTGCAACAGTAGTGTAATGGCAGGCTCTGAAGGCTGCTTTATTTGGTAATTGTTTGGGAATAGGTCTCTATACTAGCTACATAATTTCTCACAGGGATGCTATATCATCTGAGAGCTTCAATTCTATTCACCTGGAAAATATAATCTACAATGAGGAAAAAAAAAAGTGTACAACAGCATGACCATGTCGTCTCTACAAAGCGAAAATGCCTGCAGTAAAGAACGACACACTGATTTAAGCGCTGCTGTCAACATTTGCTTCCTGTGGGCTCCAAGGACCAATACACTCTTGCAGGGAAGCAAATTTGGGTCTTATAGACAGACAAAGCTCCTAGAACTGATTATTCAGTCAAGTCCCTAGGAACTCTTAACACGTTTCATATTTTTCAATTTGAAAGAATGTACTACTCATCTAGAAACCTCCTTTCTCCCAGAAATATAATCCATCAACAAAAATATGACATCGGCAAAAAAAAAGGAGAATTAAATGTCATCCTATTTACTATTACCTTTTGAGTGTCCTGCACATTGATGTATGTCTAATATCTAGCTGCCTGTCTAAAAATAATCATTACTCAGCAGTACCATTCTCACCCGTCACAGTGAATGACTCAGTAAAATGTTGCTGAGTAGGGATCTCAAACGCTACCAGTCCTGATAAACGGCATCACAACAAGGTTCATCCCAGGAAGTATGTATTTAGAGAATTGATCTAAGACAAATGCACTAAGAGAGACAGACCGACAAATCCAAATTGTTTAGATAGATCTTAGCTCTGGTGACAAGTTCTGATATATTAATAGATTTTCAATTTTCATCATGTCATTGGATATTATCACTTGGAAATTACCATTCATTTTAATGTTATAAATTGTCCTGACATTTTTAGCCAATGACTCAGACCAGGATAGAGCTAGGAGCCTTAAATACATTGTCACTCTTTAGAACTGACATTTATGCCTACCCTACCAATTTCTATAAACATTCAAACTTTTGAGGCAGATAAAAACAAACAAAAATGAAAAACCACCTGTACAAATTGGAATGAAAGGAAGCTGATTAATCATAGGCTGCTAGTGTGGGTCACACAAAAGTTGGTGTAGCCCACCTGAAAGATTCAGGAGACTAGAGCAAGTTTCCACTTCATTTCACTTCACAGTGTCAGCTCTTTTTTGGCTCCAGGCACTGTTCTAGGCCCATGGATAGAAAGGTGAGTAACACCAAATTCTTACCCTCAGCAACCTCTCAGTTTATTAACAGAGAAAAGATAAAACACAAACCTTTACAAAACTCATAATAAGAATATTTAAGAGGGTCATCTGAGGAGTTAAGAAGGGAGGAGGGAAACCTGATTCTTTCTTCAGAGGATACTGGAGGGATATGAAGAGTTAAGCAAGTCTCAAACACAGAGGAGCTCACACTTCACCATGGCATGTGATGAGGGAAGGTTCCTGCCTCAGAATATTGTTGAGGGGATCAAATAATGTCATTTGCTGCAATGGGTGGAACAAATTACTCACTGTTGACTTAAAATCTGTGAACATTATTTCTGTCATAATTATATTGCCTTGGAAGAAGATAGGTGCTCAGGGCTCTTCATGCCCAGTTCATCCTCTTCCCATTGGGTGGCCCCTCTAATGGGTACATCAGTGGCTGCAGCAGCAGCTTGACCTGCACAGTGAGATGCCTCTTTTTATGCTACAATGTACATGAAGGGATGTATATCCATATGTACCTAGAGGAAATGTAGCATTTAAACTAGTATGCTGTGGCTCCTCATAAAATGCTGATTTATCAGACTTCATGCCAGTGATCTCATTGGGTGGAAATGTTTGATTAAAACAAGTCTTTCCAACTGGATTATTTTTGTTTAAGGTATTTATGCCAAAACTTCCTTTATGCGTTCTCCTCAATGGACTGTGTTATATGGACCCATCACTGCTTTTTGTTTCTCCCTGTGATTTTATACCACTCAAAGAAGCCCGTAGCAAGTTCCAAGTAATGGAGTGTGAACTCAAAAACCCTTTGATTTTAGAACTGAATGAAGTCCTAGAGGACAGTGTCTATAGGCAATTTCATATAGGATTGTGACTGCCGCCATGCAGCAGACTCCTCACCCCATAGTTACCTCCCCAACTGCCAATCAGTTCCTTTCAAGACAACCTCTGTAACTATATTCCACAGAAATAGGGGGTGGAGGTAAAAGTCACTTAACATGTTCAACAGTGATATTTCATCTCTTATTCTCTCCCTTTCAGACCTGGATATTACCACATAATATTTGTTTTTAAATAACTATGTAATACAGCAGTCCCCGACTTTTTGGCACCAGGGACTGATTTCATGGAAGACATTTTTTCCGCAGATAGGGGAAGGAGGAGGATGGTTTCAGAATGAAACTATTTCACCTCAGATCATCAGACATTAGACTCCCATAAGGAATATGCAAGCTAGATGCCTCACATGCACAGTTCACAATAGGGTTTGTACTCCTGTGAGAATCTAATGCCACTGCTGATCTGACAGGAGGTAGAACTCAGGCAGCAATGCTTAAGTCATCCACCACTCACCTCCTGCTGTGCCGCTCAGTTCCTAACAGGCTGCAGACTGGAACCAGTCTGTGGCCTGGAGACTGGGGACTCTCGATGAAATGGATTCCATAATATCTATTACTTACCTGAAACAATTTTTCCTTTTTGCTAGAACACATGGATTCATGTGGCTGTTGTTCTTGTGTGAGGCATTCTAAGGTATCTGTGACCTTTCAGAGACATGGGCTGTCTCTTGGAAAGAAGAGAAAATAACACTGAACACTCTTAGCATGTCTCGATTAAAGTCCCTTTGTTTAGAAATCATGCTTACGTTCTGGTGTACACCAGAAACACCATTCACATTTTCATTAATTCACCAATAAATTTAAATAGCTACTATGTGCCAGGAACTGTCCTAGATGGTTGGCATACATCAGTGAACAAAATAGACCAAGACTCCTGCCATCATAGATCTCACATTCTAGCAAAATCATACTGGGTTAAGACAGAATGATATTATAGACAGAGAAAATGATGAACTAGTTGACAAATAGTGTTAGCTGTTCATCCATCTGGAATACAATAAAATTAGATTCCTACCTCACACTAGACATAAAAATCAATAACCAGTAGACATTTTCATAATTCAAAAAAAATTTCTAGAAACTTAATGTAGGAAAGAATTTTTTAAACAGGACACAAACCAAAATCCATATTGTTATAGTTGAGTATATAATAGTTAAAAGCTTCTGCAAACAACAATCAAACCACAGATTGTGAGAGGGCACACAGCCAGGAAAGAATTTTGTATCCAGGAAGCATAAAGCATTCCTAGAAACTAATGGGAAACAAAGATAAAAAGATCAATTCCTTAAATGGGCAAAAAATATGAGAACTAATTCATAGAAGAGAAAATTTGGCTAGTAAATAAACTTATGAAAAAACGTTCAACTCCTAAAGTTATAAGGAAAGTGCAAATTAAAACAGCAATGAGATACAATTTTACACCCATTAAGTTGGCAAACATCTTAAAGTCAGACAGTACAAAGTGTTGATGAAGATGTGGAATAATAGGACTTCTCATATACCACCTGGGAGAGAGAAGATTGGTACAGGTATCTTATAGAGCAATTAGGTTATAACAAGTAAACTTAAAAGATGTTGAGCTTACACTCTATTCCTCTGGAGAAACTTGCATGCATACACAAGCAGACCTGCTTAATAATGCTTCGCACAGCACTATGCAAGAGCAAAAAACGGGAAGCAAATTAAAGGCTTATTAACAAGGGACTAGATGTATCACAGAATATTCAACAATGGAAAACTCTGACTGTTAAAATGAATAAATTGGGGTCACATTAACATGGAAAGTCCTCAGAAACATAATGTTGTAAGAAAACATGAGTTGTAGAAAGACACATACAGTACAGTAACGGTTTTCAAAATCTGTAAAAAATACACCAATTAGGGAGTAGAGATTCATACCAAAAGTACTTTCAAAAACCATTAAAATAAAATACATCAAATTCAAATCCATGATAGTGGTTATTTCTGTATGGGGGACAGAGGAATAGGGCTGGGGAGCAATATTCAACTGTGAAAAGACAAAATTACAACAAATTTAGTTTAAGGATTTAATTGGCTTTTATTTGCAATTCTAGAATCGAGCGACACTCTATCTATAAAATAGAATGAATGGTCCAATGAGCCAAGCAGAGGTTGTCTTTATAGGCAGAAAAAGGGCTGAAGCAAGCAGAATCAAAGAATAAAAAGCAGATTGGTTGTTTTGAAGTTACTTTCCTAATAGGGTTAAAACAGGAGACTTCCTTATTATGCTGACTCAGGTGGAATGGAATCTCCAGCTGTCTGGAAAACTGGCCTGTTTAAAGTTCAGTTGGATTATGTGGTACATAGCATAAGTGACTCCACTGTGGTTTGGCATAGTCTGCTGGTGCCTAGTACAGGAGGCTACTCCAAAACAATAGCCTCTCATAAACTTTATTTAACACAGCAATCCTAAACTCTTACTGTAAAGATTTGAGATTTAAAAAAAAAAAATCTGAAGTGAATATGTAACATCTTAAGATTTAACAAATCTGATTGGTAGATATGTAGATGGCCACAATGTTGGCGTCTATACTTTCCCACAAACGTAAGAGTTTATAACATTATTGATTTTTAAATAAAATAAAATAAAATAAGATTAGATGAAATTTGTTTCATTGTACCTGAAATAAGGCAAATAGAATTTGAGAACATGGGCTCATACTACCTACTCTGAAGAAAGTAATTTTAAAAATCAGGCCATGTTCTATTTTCCACTTGTTCCTGCCCCCACTCCCAGAGTAGACCATTCACTGGCTATCCCTGCAGTTGGTGGCAGCTGGCTGCTGCCTGCATGAAAAACCCCTTTGCCATTGACCCCACCCGCCACTGCCCACAGACTGTTTGAACCTGTAGAGAATCTATTTTCAGGAAGGAGTGGGAAGAATAGGAAATCATCCTCTAATACTTGGTCTTGCAATCTATAGGGAAGAAACTGACACAATTCACTGGCCGTTCTCTATGTTTCATTTTCTTTGTAATTCCCATTTTGTTGCATTAAGAAAAAGAATCAAGGTATGACCTTTCCCAGACAGAACAGACATTGCCAATAGAAACACAAAGTACTAATAGTAAATCATTGCTTACCCTTCTTCAAACCTATCTTAAAGTTTTTTAAATACTGGCTTCATTTATTTGTTTTAATTTCCATAGCTAATAGGTTCATGTATCATCTTGTCTTAGGCACTGCACACCACTTCCTTTGTGAAATGACATCACCCTTATAAAGGCAAGCAATTTAGTATCATCTTTCTTTTCCACATTACACTCATCTCCCTAGTGAGGTAGAGAAGACAAGCATCCAGATTATATAAAAATCCCTAGCCAATAAAACCTAAGGCCTTTTATATCGTTGGGATGTTTGTCTCCTTCAAATCTCATGTTGAAATGTGATTTTCAGTGTTGGAGTTGGGGCCTGGTGGGAGGTGATTTGATCATGGTGGTGGGTGCCTCAAGAATGGTTTAGCACCATCGCCTTGATAAGTGAGTTCTCACTCAGTTCATGTGAGATCTAGTTGTTTAAAAGTGTACGGCACCTGCCCCCTTGCTCTGTTGCTCCTGCGCTTGCCATGTGACATTCTGGCTCCCTCTTTGCCTTCTGCCATGACTAGAAGCTTCCTGAGGCCCTCACCAGAAGCCAAGCAGATGACACCACCACACTTCCTGTATGGACTGCAGAACTGTAAGCCAACTAAATCTCTTTTCTTTATAAATTATGCAGCCTCATGTATTTCTTTATAGCAACGCACAGAAAAAGGCCTACTGCAGGTTTAAATACAAAGTTTTGTTTTATTACATTATTATATATCATATTCTTCAAAGATGGTTTTTAAAGCACTAAGATTTTTTGAATAGCTTTATATGTTTAACTGGTATCAATGGATACTTTTTTTTATAGTTAGACTTCTCCACGTTTTACTTTTTTCTTTTTATGTTTAATCAGCAAGGACTGTGCTTCCCAAACTTTAATGTATATATTAATCACCTGGAGATCTTGGGGTGGGGCTTGAGAGTCTGCATTGCTAGCAAGCTCCCAGGTGATCCTGATGCACTACCTTTGAGCAGCAAGAAGCTCAAGTACATTTTTCAAGGATGGGTAAATAGTAAATTACCCAAGTCTTTGCATATTTGAGAGTGTCTTTCTATTGTCTATATATATGAATAACACCTTCACTAGGAACAGAATACTTGAAGCATAGACTTTCTCCCTCAAATCTTTTTGGTTAGATGCTTTATTATCTTCCAGCATTCTGCGTTGCAGGGAATATTGAGGATTACTTTCTATGAGCCCCTTAGAATATAAGACCAATTATTTTTTCTGCCTGGAAGCTTGAAGGAGGGTTTTTTTAAGTCATATAAATTCAAAATTTTGTCAGAATATGTCTAGATATATTTCTACTTTCACTTAATTTGGTCACAAACTTAATTTTTAATTTGAAATTAATAACTTTTTCAAACTTATAAAAATCTTTCTATTATGAATATGTTGAAAGGACTAAAGAAAACCAGTGTATAAACAATTATAGGATACAAAGTGGCAAATATGTGAGATAAACAACTCAAAACATCTAATGTACAACATAAGGACTATAGTTAATAGTAGTGTATTATATTTAAGATTAAAGCTGTTTTGCCATGGGAGGAAGAATTGGTAACTATATGAAATGACACATATGTTAATCTGTCCCACTGTAGTAATCATTTACTATATGTATCTTATAGCATCATGTTGTGTACCTTAAATATGCACAATAAAATTTATTTTAAAAAATAATTAAAGCCAGAAAGTGAGAAGACAAGCCATAAACTGAGATAAAATGTTTGCAAAAGACATACCTGATAAAGGACTATTGTGCTAAATATACAAAAGTACTTTTAAAACTCAATAACAAAATGAACAACTAGACTGAAAAACATCCACACAGCTGAACAGGTATCTTCCAAAGAAGATACACTGATGTCAAATAATCATATGCAGAGACTTGACATCATACCTCATCAGGGAATTACAAATCAAAGCTGCACTGAGATACCACTATACATCATTAAATGGTGAAAATCCAAAACACTGACAACACTAAGTGCTAACAAGAATGTGCAACAACAGAAATCCTCATTCATTGCTGACAGAAATGCAAATAGTACAACAAGTTTGGCAGTTCTTACGAACTAAACAGATTCTTACTGTAGAAGCTAGCCATCGTACTCCTTGATATTTATCCATTATTTGAAAACATATATCTATATAAAAACCTGCACCCAGATGTTTGTGGCAGCTTTATTCATAATTGCCAAAACTCAGAAGCAACCAAGATATCCTTCGGTAGGTGGATGGTTAAATAAACTACAATATATATAGACAACAAAATATCAAACAACATTAAAGAGAAGTTAGCTGTCAAGCCATGATGAGACATGAAGGAACCTCTATTAGTCCATTCTCACACTGCTAATAAAGACATACCCAAGACTCGGTAATTTATTTTTTAAAAAAAAAAGAGGCTTAATTGACTCACAGTTTTGCAGGGCTGGGGAGGCCTCAAGAAACTTACAGTCATGGTGGAAGGGGAAGCAAACACGTCCTTCTTCACACGGCGGCAACAAAGAGAAATGCAGAGTGAAGTGAGGGAAAAGCCCTTATAAAACCATCGGATCTCATGAGAACTCACCATCACAAAAACAGCGTGGAGGTAACTGCCTCCATTATTCAATTACCTCCAACTAGGACCTTCCCACAACACCTGGGGATTATGGGCACTACAGTTCAAGTTGAGATTTGGGTGAAGACACAGCCAAACCATATCAGAACCTTAATTGCATATAACTAAGTGAAATCCTCACAACACGTGGGGATTATGGGAACTACTGTTCAAGATGAGATTTGGGTGAGGTCACAGTCAAAGCATATCAAAACATTAATCGCATACAAGTAAGTGAAAGAAGCTAATCTGAAAATAATTATATCTGTTTGGCTCCAACTTTATGGCATTCTGGAAATGGCAAACCTATGGAGATACTGAAAGAATCAGTGGTTTCCAGTTTCCTAGCAGGTGAGAGGAATAAATCAGAGCAGAGAAGATTTTTATGGCAGTGAAGTTATTCTATATGATACTGTAATCGTGAGTACATGTCATCATACATTTGTCAAAACCTGTATAATGTACAACACTATGAGTGAATCGAAACTAACTATGAGTGATATTTGTGTGTCAATGTTGGTTCATTGGTTACAAAAAATGTAATTACTCTGATGTGAGATGTTGATGGTAGAGGAGGCTGTGTGTGGGGAGGATTGTATATGGGAGCTCTCTGTACTTTCTGTTAAATTGTGTTATGAACCTAAAACTGGTCTAAAAAATAAGACCTATATATTCAAAAATTAAAGGAAAGAATGACAACAATTCTCACATAATGACAACAATGTCTCACAGAATAGAAAATATCAATAGAGAATTAGAAATTATAAGAGGAACAAGGAAATTCTGGAGTTGAAAAGTACAGTATCTCAAATAAAAAATGTATCAGAGGGACTCAACAGCAGATTTAACCTGGCAGAAGACAGAATCAGCAAACTTTAAGGTATGTCAGTTGAGGTAATCCAGTCTGAGAAACAGAAAGAATAATGAAGAAAAATAAATAGCGCCTCAGAGATCTTTGGGAAGCCATCAACCATACCAACATATGCCTAATAGAAATCTCAGATGGAAAAGAAAGAGAGAAAGGAATAGAAAGAGTATGGGAAGAAATAATGGCTGAAAACATTAATCTACAACCCAAGAAGCTCAGTAAACTCCAAGTAGAATAAATTCAAGGATATCCACACCTAGACACAGCATAATTAAACTCTTAAAGACGAAGAAAGAAAAAAATTTTGAAAGCAGCAAGAGAAAAATGACCCATAATATACAAGGGATTATCAATAAAATTAACAGCTGATTCCTCAACAGAAACTAGAGACCTCAAGAGAGTGAGTTGACAAAATCAACACACTGAAAGAAAAAGATAGGCAGCCAAGTATTCTATATGCAGAAAAATTATCCTTCAAAAATAAAGGAGAAATTAAGATATTTTCAAATAAACAAAATTGAGAGAATTTATCACTATCAGGCCCAGTCTTCAAGAAACACTAAGGGATTCCTTCAAGCTAAATGAAAGGACACAGGAGTACAACTTGAGTTCACACAAAGAAACAAAGGACACTGATAAAGTTAATTACATAGGTAAATACAGGACAGTACAAATATATTTTTATAATTTGTTCTTCTATCTGATTTACAGGACAGCTGTATAAAGCAATTATTATAAAACTATAGATGATTACAGTATGTAAACATGTAATCTGATAATAATCACACAAAGAAGTGGGGAGAAAATGAAGATATACTAAAGCAAAGTTTTGTGTACTATTGAAATTAAGTTGGTAATAATGCAAACTAGACTATTTTTAGTTAAGATATTAATTTTAATTCCCAGGACAATCACTAAGAAAACAACTCAAAAAATATAGTAAAAGAAATAACAAGAGAATTTTTCCCTAGACTCATTCATACCCAGAGTCTCACCCATACCTGATTAAGATAATTTAGAAGATGAGACTTGTAACTTTGAGTGGATGACATTTAGATGGGGCTGATGCTATGAGCTGAGGCTTTGAGGGATGTTGGAAGGAGCTCTATGTATTTTGCATGTGAGATGTTACGTGAATATCGGGAAGCCAGAGGACAAACTGCAGTAGGTTTAATAGTGGTCCCCCAAGAATTTATGTCTAGGCCCTAATTATCAGAACCTGGACATTATCTTATTTGGGTGGGGGGAAGGTGTCTGCAAATGTAATTAAGGATCTTGAGGCAAGTTCATCCTGGATTACCCAGGTAAGCCCTAACTCCAATGATAAGCGTGCCTAAAAGAAACAGAAGAGGAAGAGGGGCAGGGGAGAAGGAAACGATGGCAAACTCCAAAAGAAGGTGAATTAGAGATTGGAGTAACATGGCCACAATTCAAGGAATGCTGATAGTCACCAGTTGGAAGAAGCAAAGAACAGGTTTTCCCTTAGAGCTAGAGGGAACATGACCCTCTTAGATTTCTGATTTCTGGCCTCCAGAACAGTGATAGAATACATTTCTGTGGCTTTAAGCCACCAATTTGTGGTCATTTGTTCTAGTAGCCATAGGAAACTATTTCATATTCCAGTCGAAAGGTAGAGATTGGCAGAACGGATTAAAAAAGAAAGAAAAATCATGACCCAACTATATGAGATCACACTTTAGACCAAAGACACAAAAATGTTGAAAGTAAGAGGGTGGGAAACAATACAATACTATGCACGCAAGAACCAAAAGAGAACTAGAGTTACTGGCTATACTAATATCCAGTGAAATATACTTTAAGACAAAAATTGTTAGTAGAGACAAAGAAAGACATGATAATAAAATGGTTAATCCATCAGCAAACATGACAATTATAAATACATATGCATCTTACAACCAAAACCCAAAATGCATGTAGCAAAACTGACAGAATTAAAAAAAAACCAGACGATCCAAAAATAATAGTTGGAGACTTCAACACTCCCACTTTCAATAATGGATACAACAACTGAACAGAAGATCAATAAGGCTATTGAATACTTTAACACTATAAACCACTTAGACCTAGCAGACATCTACAGAACACTCCATGCAGCAATAGCAGAATACACATTCTTCTCAAGAGCACATGGAACATTGTCCAGGTTAGACAAGATGCTTGGTTATAAAACAAGCCTAACTAAACTTAAAAGGGCTGAAATTATACAAAATACATTCTCTGACTAAAATGGAAGTCAACAGAAATCACTAACAGAAGCAAACTTGGGAAATTCACAAATATATGCAAATTAAATACACACTCCTAAATTACCGATGAATTAAAGAAGAAATCAGAAGAAAAATTAGAACATATTTTTAATGAAATGAAAAACACAACATACCAAAACTTACAAGTTACAACTAAAACAGTGCTTACAGGGAAATTAATAGCTATAAATGCTCATATGGATAACTATGTTAGTGGGATAATACTTATGAAATATTAATTGATGAGTTGTTTCTAACTTCTATTATTTCTCCTTGGGTTTCCCAGCACTCACTTCTCAAGGTAGCCAGGGAAAATACATCATTATTTTATCCATATTAAATCATTTAATCATCACAACCCTAAGCTATAAGTACTATTATTATCTCCATTTCACCAGTGAGGGAAAGCACAGAGAAGTAACTTGTCCAAGATCACAGAACTTATAACTGAGAGACAGGGAATGAAACTTAAAATGTCTGGTATGTAAAGACAGGATGAACTCAGCTAAAGGACTCAATAGTTGGCTTCTGAGTTGCAAAATGAAAGTTTAAATTTTTTAGTAATATACCACAACTTGGCAAACCATGGCCCATGGTCTGTTTTCGTAGGGACCATGAGCTAAGAATGTTTTTTCAATTTCTAATTTGTTTTCCAAAAGTCCGAAGAAGAATATTTTGCGACCCATGAAAATTATATAAAACCATTGCTGGTGGTGTTTGTCTTGTCAGAATAGAAGCCAAATAGCCTCACTTATCATGCCATACAGCAGTTCCATGGTTTAGCAGTGGTAAAGTTTTATTCCTATTTTTTTGGTTCAGGGCCAAGACTGAAATTTTTCTAAGTGAAAACTGCCCTCAACTGTGATTATCAAACACTGAATGGATTTTGAAGTTAGTTTTGTTGAAGACTTGACAATATTTCTATACTTAAAAGTTTTCCTTCAGATTTCTAGCTCTGGCTGTGACAATGTAGATGATACTGGGCTAACTCTCATGCTGAATGCAATTAGGAAAGCTGAACAAAGTATTTAAAAATTACTTCAAGGCATTACAGAGCAGTCAATGCAGGCAGTATTTAGGGGACTGCATGTTCCTTGAACAAAAGGAAACACAGGAAATGAACTCTATAATCACTTTGGCTTTTTTTCCTAAAAACATTTCCCAATTTACAGAGCTGAAGAATAAATGGAGCCCTAGCAGAAGCAGTGGTCTCCCTGGGCTCACAAAGCAGATCTCCAAGAAAGGGCAGCCAAAGAGATTAGAATGTAAGGGCAAAGACTCAAGGAGCAGGGACCCGAGAGAAAAGAACCTCAAAATCTGCAAACAAATTCCTCTTTTGTAGTCAGCTGACACTAAATTGCATGTGCACAGGATTGTGCTACAGAAAGTCCAGAAGAGAACAGCAGCTGGGAGGTTAAAAACCTCAGCACCAGCTGAGCTGCCTCGTGGTGCTGGAGAGACAGGGGTAGAGTTCAAGGCCCCAGCCATGTTAGAGGGGCTGGAATTTCTGTGCACCCAAACGGTCACATCAAAGTATGAGGACTACATTCTAGGATTAAGAGAGAAATATGAACCCTTTAAAAAAAAGCCATTTACAGAATCAAAATGATTTGCTGTATTCATCCCTCTGTCAAAAAAAATCAACCCTCTTTGGTCTAGTTTTCCCCCAGCATATGGTCTATTTGGGGATGGTCTATTACCAGCTGTGAGCTGATAAATGTTGCAAAACCATCTTGGTGGTGGGAGGGCATATCCTGATTTATAGCATTTATTTATTTCCCTTGTGTAAATACTTCCACTATGACCAATTTCAAGTTAGCAATGTGACATCATGAACAGAGATTTGGGAAGGGATGTATACAATTGAGTCTCACCAGCGGTGTGCACCAGCTCCAGAACACAGCTATAATCACACACCTAAACCCTGTATTTCACATCTTCAACCCAAATAAAAAGGAAAGAATGACCATAAACCCAAATCTGTGTAATAATTTATCATTTGTTTTAATATTTGGAAATGTTGAATTCATTTGAATAACTCCCTTTTCAGAGATTTTCTTTTCTATAAGGTGAGACTTAGAAGATAATATTATTCTTGAACATAATTTCTTCCCTAGGCTACAGCCTGAGTCTCTCTCTTTCAAAGACAAACAAAAGAAGTGACTTGGACACCAATGAATAATTTTTCCATTGATTTGCCTTAAACAGATGGTGATTAAACATAGTTCAATTCAACAAATATTTATGGAATGTGTACTCTATTTAAGTCACTCTGCAATGTAATGAAGGGTTTCCCATGTCTTCAATTATTCTTATCAAAACGAATATTCAACAGCCTAAAAGAAAACTTGTAAGGAAATATTTATTTCTAAAGATTGCAGAAAGGAGGGGGGAACCTACCCAAAGCAAAGAGCAGGGATATAACAGCATACATGATGAGTTGGAAAGACCAGAAAATGAAAACATTGTGACTCCAAGTCTTCATTTGTTGTCCTTCTGTGGCACATGACTCAGCTTGAAATCATTCCCACCATGACCCATGCCAAAAAGAGACAACGCTTACATTTTGATTTCATTAATCTGGGACCTTATTATCTTATTTTTGGCTCTCCTCCACTATCAGGGAAGAACCAGACAAGTCCTCTGGGGCAGTTCATGTATGCCTAACTCACTTGTTTTCCAACACTTAGGAAAATCATCCGGCCAGGCATGGTGGCTCACTCCTGTAATCCCAGTAATTTGGGAGGCCAAGGTAGGCAGATTATATGACGCCAGGAGTTCAAGACCAGTCTGGCCAACATGGCAAAACCCCGTCTCTATTAAAAATACAAAAATTAGGCAGGCATGGTGGCACACACCTGTGGTTATGCCACAGCTACTCCGGAGGCTGAGGCATGAGAATCACTTGAACCCCAGAGGCAGAGGTTGCAGTGTGTCGAGATCGTGCCACTGTACTCCAGCCTGGGCAACAAGAGCAAGACTCTGGCTGGAAAAAAAAAAAAAAAGGAAAGGTATCCTTGCTCTTCTTGAAACCCTGGCCTTATAATGCATTTTCTCCACAACACAGTCTTTCTTTGAGGAAGAATGATCCTATTGATTCTCTAGAAGTGATGGCTTGATGTCCCTTTGCGACTTGATGTAGAAAAACATATTCTAATATTAAATTATCTAGCCTGCTGAAATGGAGCCACTATGTTTTCCCTGGCTTATGTGATCCCACTTGTGCCAAATTCTACTTAGCTTTGTTATGTTTAGTTTATCTGTCATAGTAATGTGGAAAAGTGTATCAGTTCCCTACTGCTGCTATAACAAATTACCACAAATTTAGTGGCTTAAAACAACACAGACTTATCTTACTGTTGTGAATATGAGAAATCTGAAATTGGTCTCACTGGGCTAAAATGAAGAAGTCAGTACGACTGAATTCCTTCTGGAGTCTGTAGAAGGGAATCATTACTTACCTCTTCCCACTTCTAGAGGCTGTCTGCATTTTGTGGTTTGTGGCCCTTTTCTCTACCTACTAAGCCAACAGTGACCAGCCAAGTCTTTCCCACCTCACATCACTCTGACACTGACTCCCCTGCCTCCCTCATTTACTTATAAGGACCCATCTCAAATAATCTCCCCATCTCAAAGTTATCTGACTTAGCAATCTTAATTCCATCTGCAACCTTAGTTCCCCTCTTGCCATGTAACATGGCACATTCACGAGTTCCAGAGACTAGGACATGGACATTTTAAGATGGCCATTTTTCTGCCTACTGTGGAAGGGGAGAAGGTAACAGTGAGTTTCAGCTAGAAAAAGACCAAAGAGTAAAGAGTACACAGAACATTTTACAAGTCCATTTTTTCTCAAAAAAAGTAATTATACATTGTCATTCTGAAAATGAAAATACCTAATTTTAATGGACAATTCTTCATCCTGCATGTGCATGGTTGAGGTACATTTTTTTTGCAAGTGGAATGCCCTTAAAAATGTCTGCATTGCTACAATAGAGAGGTGCTTAATCTATTGACTGTTCTTCAGAAGTTGCTTCATGTGACCCTGAAGTTGAAGCATGAAAGTCAACATTCCACAGCCAAGAAGACAGATACCCAAAGGCATGATGAAACTCACCTACATTTTCACACTTAGTGACTGAGAGACCAACTTCAAAACCCTGTCTCTTGACTCCCAATTCAGGGTTATTTTCCTCTACAAGACCACATACCAGTGACTGAGGATCCTTGGTAACTTTCTTACTATTGGCATTAGGGAGAAATTGAGTATAAAGTCCATTACTTTAGAAAATTAAAGAACAGACATCTGAATGCTACCATAAGTACTGATACAATTTATTGTTGCAAGGAGGCTGAGTAGACCACAACTTTGTTCTAAATGTTCCTGTGACAGGCAATGTTGATTGGCTGACTCCACAGTTATTCCAAATTCCCTCGTAGGATAGAGGTTGAAAAATACTCATTTTTTCCTACTGCTCAATGAGAAAAAAAATAAGAACTCTGCCAAAGGATTGAAAGATACTCTGAGAAAGCTTTTGCCTTCATGGTTAAATTAACAATCAGGCCTAGATTTCCTCTTCCTTTTTATTCCTACTTGGAGATAGGCTTTTTTTTTGTTTGTTGCTCTATCCAGAGCATCAGAACATTGGCTGGAACATAAATATTTATTGGATAAATGAATAAATATTTTTGAATGGTGCCAGAAGTTACAGCAGCTACTTGAGACTTAAAAGGAAATCGGGAGAATTCCAGAAACATCATCCTTGACATCATGGTGTCACTGAATTAATACCAACAGCTGCTCCTCTCCATATTTCTTGTTATATGACAAGATTTAACTCCACTTGATATTTTCATATGCCAGGTTTTTTGTTCCTTGCAGCCAAAAGCATTCCTTCTCAACAGAGTCACTTGGTGTGTTGCAACTCCTCAAATGAGACATATAAAAATAGCCTTCTTTAGTATGAGGGAAATGTATGGGGTAATGGTAATCTTCAATATCTTGATAGAGGATCATGTATGCATTTTTCAAATCTTAGTAAATTTAACACTTAGGATTTGTGCATTTAATTATGTCTAAATTTTAATTCAAAGAATAGAAGCCACAAACAAGTATTGAATTCTGGTTAATAAAATGCATCATGAAGTTTTTACACGGAAGTATACAGGTATCTGTAATTTACCTTGGAATGAATCAAAAAAATAAGCTATGGATTGATGGATTGACAGAAGGATTGATAGACATGTAATAAGCAAGTATTTTCTAAAAAAAGTTAGAGCCAAGTAAGATGTATTTGGGAGTTTACCCTAAAATTAGTTCAACTTTTCTCTCCATTTGATGATGTTCATAATATCCTCATCTTATAAACATGTACCAGAGCTACAGAAAATGATGTTTCTGAAATTTTTACTTTATGTGAGACTGAGTAGCTCTCTAGCTAGGAGTAGTAGGAAATGGCTTACTACACATCTACACACATCTGAAAGTGTGTAGTAACCATATGGTTACATCTGAGGGTGTGTAGTATCCATTGTACTAATCTACCCAAAATGAAATTCTCAATGGTAATTTCTTTTTGAACTTGATAAAATTAATACTAAAGTTTCCTGGAAGAATGAATAGATAACAATCATTATGAATTAAGAAAAAAAGAGTAAAATGGAAGAATTCATTCAACTGTACATTAAAATAATAGAAGAGTAATGAGAAGGCATTTACCCTGATTGAAATATAATATACTCTATTTTTGGAATTATGGCATATAATATATTTTTTAAAACTTTCTGGAAATACTGGGTGACATGTAACTGACATCCTTTTAAAGGCATGACTGAGATATTAAAAAAAAAAAAAGTAAGGGAAGTCTCTGAGGCCAAAACCCCAGAGCCCAACTAAGAACCTCTTGCCAATTACTCCCTGTCTGACATAGAACACATTTGACCATGATGGAGTGTGAGAATAGAGACACCAAAAGGAGAAATTATAAAGAATAATTTTTTTAAGTAAGAACTACATTGGAAAACAAAGATAGCTTTATGGGCAAGTGTGAAGATGATCATATAAATAAATAATCTCCAAAATATTGACATTATGGTTTGATCAGGAAAAAGCTATTTTGAATTCTAACCCCCACCACATATGTTTATTCATATATTAAATATTATACAATATACAAAATGCTAATATATTATGTATATTATAAAAGCACAGCCAGAATGAAAATTTAGGTTGGGTACCATGGCACATGCCTGTAATCCTAGCATTTTGAGAGGATGAGGCTGAGGCGGGAGGATCATTTGAGCTAAGCAGTTCAAGACTAGCCTGGGAAACATAGTGAAACCCCACCTCTACAAAAAAATAAAATAATAAAATAATGAAGAAAGAAATGTAAATTTAAAATTTAAAATAGGAGTTGTCTATATGTGCACACATATGTGTGTGTATGTAGGTGTATTCTAATATGGATTATCCTGAGCACTGCCTGGGATGCCCACACTCTCCTCCCCTACTTTGTTGTTTTTGTTTTTGTTTTTGTTTTGTTTTTGTTTTTGAGATGGAGCCTCACCCTGTCGCCAAGGCTGGAGTGCAGTGGCACTATCTCGGCTCATTGCAACTTCCTCCTCCCAAGTTCAAGTGATTCTCCTGCCTCAGCCTCCAGAGTAGCTGAGATTACAGTCACATGCCACCACACCCGGCTAATTTTTGTATTTTATTAGAGACAGGGCTTCGCCATGTTGGCTAGGCTGGTCTCGAACTCCTGACCTCAGGTGATCCACCTGCCTCAGCCTTCCAAAGTGCTGGGATTACAGGCATGAGCCACCGAGCCCGGCCTACTCTCCTCCTCCCCCACTTTAGAAACCCTTGGTCTTTATGAATCTATGTCATGTAAAGTAAGGATAAATTAGTTAGAAAGTCCCATGTCCTTTGACTTCCTGGCTGATGACTGAATTTATTTCTTTAGTTTTAGCCTATAGCATAAATAATTCCTAGTTATTTTCCTGGGAATGCATTTATTACAAAACGTGAAGCGAAAGCATGGAAGCAGCAGCTAACTCAGTGGGGAAGAGATCAATGTGGAAAGCAGAGAAAAGCGTTCTAAGTCCCGAGGTCCCTGATGGCAAATATCCTTCTTTTAGGGACATAAAGCCGTTTACTTGGGAGGAATTTATAGCACATAATTTGACAAAACTAGAATATTTCTCATTTCTTACATGTTTTATTTTTAAATAAACAGTTAATGATCAGCCTACTTCTTTATTCCAAATAGATAAGAGAATAAGCCACAGTATCTTCCACCCCAATCATCTACACATCAGTTTTGGTGCAACTGGCTGGCTGGACAGCCCCCACTCTAACTTTTGCCACTCCCATTCTCCTCACACTCCACCTCTGGTCAAAAAGAATACGCCACAGATGAAGGTGAAGAATTTCTGGGTATTATATTTCTTTTACCCCAGCTGGATTGAGGAGTTGGATTTTTTTAATTCTGGAATTTTCCATGCTTCTAATCTTCCTTAATCATTAAAAACAACCCTTAAAAAAAAACTTTGGATTATTTCGAATTATATTCTTTCAATTGCTTTTGCTATTTTCCATTCATTTTTGTAATCTTGAGGATATAGCTATTTCAGCTTTGAGTAAATGTCATTAATAAAATTCAAAATAAAATCTGATAGTTTTTCTTAGCTTTTACAGAAAATTAAATTCTAGCTAATCTAATGAGAAAAAGAATTAGGATCGAAAGTTTGTTTTTTGTTGAGCTGTTTGTGAATATATGGAAAACTCCTATTCTTTCTTTCAGGTGTAGCCCTAATGCAGTCTTCTTTCTCTCCTGACACAGATGTGGGCTAGAGCTAGGATTGATTGACATACTCAAAGCTTCCCTTGCCATTCCACTGCAACCACACATCTATAAGTCAAACACCACCCACAGCTGCAGCTTCCAATCTCCTTTTTAAGGAGGAAGAGTTATTCCAAATACCACATAATAGACAGTATAACTCTTGGCGTATCAAAAGCCTTTGATTTTTACTTTAAAAGTTGACAAACTTTCAAAAATAAATTTTATGTTCTAATTCAAAAGACATCAGACATAATGTGATATATTATTGGTAGATTCGGAACTATCATGATGAATACCAATTTCCATACCTTCATATAAGAATGAAATAATGCCCTTAACATCTGTGGGAAATCCAAATCAGCCCAGACATGTATGCTTCTTAAATTCACATTCATTTCTAATCTTGTTCTTGTCCCTTTCCTCCCCTTCTCTTGTTATGAATTCCTTTATGGCCAATATGTCTGAATGCAGGGGCTCTTTTACCAACTGGAAATCTGTACCTCGTAATGGACTATAGCTTAGAAAACAGAAGCCATCCTGTAAGTGGTAGTGGATAGCCCTCATGAGAGAACCTGGAAGATATTCCTATGAAAAGTGTAAGGTACTCTTACCTAATTTGGTTGTTTATCAAACTCTTGGCTATATTTGGCTTTCAGCTGTAATACAAATTGTGAATGCAGGGAAGGTAAAATATCATTTAAGAACTAATCCTCAGAATATTCATGTAATAGCCCAGAGTATATCAGTATCTTGAGTGGAAAAACCAAGGCTCCAAGCAAAAATTTCTTATCCAAGTCACATTAAATCCATTATCATACTGAAAACTGAACTCATGCATTCATGCATATAC
Organism: Homo sapiens; assembly: GCF_000001405.40. NCBI lineage: Eukaryota > Metazoa > Chordata > Mammalia > Primates > Hominidae > Homo > Homo sapiens. The sequence goes on along the minus strand of NC_000005.10, from coordinate 123,702,095 downwards.
TAAGTAGGTCTGTGTCCACTTGGAGATTAATAGATACTCTGAATTTTGATTACACATTACTCAGTCTGCTCTTCTAGCCCACAATCTCTAACACTTCATTTCACTCTATGCCTTAGAAATGTATTCCATTGAGAATTTCTAGGCATGTGCATGATGCCAAGAAGTCAGAATGAGTATGGGTCAACCCCTAAATTGGAGATTCTTAAGTAAAACAGGCAAAAAGTAATGTATAAACTGACCAAAAATAATCACATCCCCTTGAAACCAAGTATTTACTTTAAAAGATTAGGGCAATTTTTCTGCTTCCTGAATTGTTGGGATTATAACTCCAATTCTTCACTTACTTGGACTTTGCCAGATTTGGCTTCAAATCATGTGGCACTGATGTAAAACACACCCAGAGACCTACCATGAAGTTCAAGCACCAGGAAAGCAGCACCACAAGGAACAAGCAAAAAGTAGCAAAACAGAAAAGTTAACCACTCCCAGGATTTCTAGAACACAAAATCCGTAAGAGGCGAAACCAGCGAATCTCTCCTACATGGGAAAACTTTGTCTTATGGGGAATTTTCAGGCACAAAAATAACCCATGTGACAAATAAAGATGATAGAAACAGGTAGCAAAATCCTACAACGGGCAAGAATGCATCTGGTGTCATCTGTGACACCAAATTTCAGATTCTCTCTCACGTAGAAAAAGAGTGGGCTTCAGCCACAGGGTGGAGGGACTGCCCATTGAAAACTACATATGGTACCTCTAAAATGGTATACTGTCCCCACTGTTTTTTTAGAACAACTAGACCTGAAAATCTGTTCTGAATGGAATAATCCCCTTAAGATCTGTGTTTGGTTCCTCCCTTACTGAACAGCATCATCTCTCCGCTCTCCTTTCTACAATGTAGTGATGAATAAACTAAGTGCAAGAAAACCGCACTAATATGAGTGGAATCAAATAGATCAGGCAGGCACAATGGCTATGTTTCAGGAGGCTGGATAATTCAGGATTAAAATATGTGCCTCTGTATGCCAAGATGCAATGAGCATCCCAGCCATTTCATTCAGCAAATCAAATAGTCTCTCTTTCTCAAAGACGACCATGTTGTGGAGCAAATACATTTAGGACCAGTGTTACCGGAAGCAAAAGAATGTTTTTCCTAAGTGCCAGAAAACAGGCGATTTAGACATAAGCAAACAGCCCAAAGAACCTGCCTGACTCTTCCCTGGCAGAGGAGAGCCACAAATAAGGCAATAACATTTCAGTTTCATGAGTCAGATGCTAGAGAATGAAAAGATTTCCTCTTTCTGCTGTGGGTCATTGTGGGGATGACTTCAAGAGATATCACCATGGAGTTCACACAGCACAACAAGCACAACAATGGAAACTTGGAATGGCAGCATTGCCTGCTCTCTAACGTGCCAAATCCCTTATGTTAGCTCTTATACACATGCTATTTGCTTAGAGTATTATTTTTTTCCTCCTCATCTCTGCAATTTTGATAATAGTTTCTTTCCCATAAGTTTCTTATCTGACTGCAGAATCTAGTGGCCTTATAAGAATAATTGAAGAAACGTAAAGCCTCTCATTACCAACCAGAGAGCCTTAAATACATGTACCATAAATGTTTGTGGAATCAAACTTTGCTTAATCAACATCTGTTTGAGGCAAATAAATGTAAAAGTTATTCATTAGGGTCCAGGTCATCTCCACTATTTGAATTTGGGTAAGATTTGCTCCTGCTGTAGTCCAAAGGAGAAGTTATATTCATGAATATTTAATTAGTGCCACCTTTTAGAAAAAAAAAAAAAAACTAAAAGGAGAGCAAATAGCAGCTGCTTTCTAAAACCTTACTCTTTCTTGCATCCTCAACCTCCAATAAGAATTCTATCCAACCATGCTGCATATACAGATGTTTTAACTTTCCTCCCTGTGGCAACAATTGTAGAGTTTGTCTTACAACTCCAGCCCAACTCTTTTGGAATATACTCCACTGACAATTAGGGCAGGAAAGCTTAGGGCTCCCAGGCACTGGCATAGCTTGGGCTCCTTCCATGACCCAGTCTCTACCAAGTAGACACACCCACATGTGATTTGGAAGGCCAGAGGCAGAGCCTCGGCTTGTGCTGCTTCTTTCTGTTGATGAGCACAGCCATGGAAGATATTAATTTCTCTGTTGCAGTAATAATCAAGGACCCAGGGTCGAGTCCTTAGTATGGTGCCACACTGGACCCAGTAAGCCTTTCCTGGGGCCAGAAGAGGAGGACTGAGCAGAAGGCAAGAGAGAAAATATCCAGACTCAAGGTTCCTGACTCACAGCTCAGAAGGAAAAATAAAAACTTGTGGAGGGAGAGACAGCCAGATAGCTGAGGCCTGAATTGCTAAATAGTAAGGCTAGTGCCCTTCTCTCCTAACCTAGGCAGACAGCAACCCTTTTAGAAAAGTCTCACATCTGTGGATATGAACAGACACTTCTCAAAAGAAAACATTTATGCGGCCCAGAAACACAAGAAAAAAGGCTCACATCATCACTGGTCATTAGAGAAATGCAAATCACAACCACAATGAGATACCATCTCACACCAGTTGGAATAGTGATTATTAAAAAGTCAGGAAACAACAGATGCTGGTGAGGATATGGAGAAATAGGAATGCTTTTACACTGTTGGTGGGAGTGTAAATTAGTTCAACCATTGTGGAAGATAGTGTGGCAATTCCTCAAGGACCTAGAACCAGAAATACCATTTGACCCAGCAGTCCCATTACTGGGTATATACCCAAAGGATTATAAATCATTCTACTATAAAGACACTTGCACACGTATGTTTATTGCAGCACTATTTACAATATCAAAGACTTGGAACCAACCCAAATGCCCATCAATGATGGACTGGATAAAGAAAATATGGCACATATACACTGTGGAATACTATGCAGCCATAAAAAAGGAATGATATCATGTCCTTTGAAGGGATATGGGTGAAGCTGGAAGCCATCATTCTCAGCAAACTGACACAGGAACAGAAAACCAAACACTGCATGTTCTCACTCATAAGTGGGAGATGAACAGTGAGAACACGTGGACACAGGAAGGGGAATATCACACACCGGGGCCTGTCAGGGAGGTGAGGGCAGGGGGAGGGAGACCATTAGGACAAATGCCTAATGCATGCAGGGCTTAAAGCCTAGATGATGGGTTGATGGATGCAGCAAACCACCATGGCACACGCATATCTTTGTAACAAACCTGCACGTTCTGTACATGTATCCCAGAACTTAAAGTAAAATAAAATAAAATAAAATAAGAAAATTCCCACATTTAACGTGATGCTGTATTCAACATGAGAGAGATGGAGTAAGTGATAGCTGAGGGCAGATGAGTGTCAAGACAACTATGTAGGGTTCCACTCCAGAATTATATATAAAGAACAATCAAGAATTCTTAGTATCCCACCTTCAACAACAACTAGAGGGGGCAGAAATATTATGGGAGGTGTGAACAGGTAGATATATGAGGTCAGGAGGAGGTAGCTGCAAAGTTCAGAGCTTTTGCAATTAGAGGCAAAAGCCAATTGCCAACATGCACCACACCTCGGTGGATACCAGCGCAGGATGTTCAGGGAACAGGTACACCACGGAACATCACTGCAGGTAACAGAGTGACAGACTGATGCCTAAGTCCAAGCAGGACAAGAACAGATGAATAATACATAAGCTGTCCTGTGAAAATAGACTACTCCCGAGTGGTAGAAAAAGGACACAAGAGAGGCATAAAGAAAATACAGAAGACTGAGAATGTATGCAAAAGTAGCTGAGATAGAAATCAGACTACGATTGTAATAATATTTTAATTTCACTGAAAAGGCACTGATTGGACTGAAAATACTGGAATTACAAAAAAAGAATAAGTTGTCTGGTCAAGACAGTGACTGGGAGAGTAGAGGACAAAATGGAATTATAAAAAATTACAATTAAAGAAAATAAAATTACTTTAAAAAAACACACATCAATCGTTATGTGTAAATTTTGACCCTACTCTCACAGATAGAATTTATTAGTGTTTACCATGTGCCAGTCACAGCTCTAATTAAATATAATGAATATTATGTCATCTTGGTATAGTCTAATTATCTTCATTTCACAGGTAAGGAAACTCAGTCTCACAACTATTAAACAACTTGCCCAAGGATGAACAAAATTATCTATATGATAAAGATATGATAAAGTCATATCTATAGCCAAGCAGTTGCACAAATTATTCCCAATGACTAATCAGTCACTTCAGATGTTTTCTTTCTTCCTCATCCATTTGATAGATACTACAGAGACAGATAGTAATGACCGCACTTTGCACTGTGGGTAGGAAGGGAAGAAGAAAATGCGTCTCCCCAAAGCTGAGATTTTCTTCCCATAACTAGAGTTTGCTTTCCTTGCCTTTTTCTTAACAATATTTCCAACTTCATGAAAATAAAGACTAAGAACAAAAATCAAGGTGTTTGGACATGGAATAGATGGTTGTTGCTATATATTAGACGTGACCCATATCCTCTTCTGGGATTCAAATCACTTATTCTGTCATTAATTTACCAAAAGAAAAGGACCGGCTGTCAGATATTCTTCATCTCTAAGACTTCAAGAAAGAATTATAAAATCAATGTTTACATTATTTTTAAAATTCTAATGTAACATAATTTTAGTGTGGCATAAGATTTAACATAAAATAACTTGCCTATGGCATTTCCTTGTTCTGCCATCCCTTGGGACTAAGCCTGGATGCATTGTTTTGCAATGTTCAAAATTGCAGTCCTCCTTTGCTCACAGCACTTGTAACAGACCAAACAGGCTTATAGCATTCTGGACTCGCTCTGCCCAGCCCTGTCATCCAGATTCCATTCTCTTTCTCTTTGCCCATCAGGCCATCCCGGAAGCTGAGGAGGAGGGTGTGGGTGCCAGCTGTCAGTTCTGAGTTGGAGAGCTGGAGCCAACCCAGGCCCAACTGGGAGCCCAGAAACCGAGCTACCCCAGCCAAGCAGTGCCTGCTTACTTTGCTGAGAGCTTGCAGGGTGCAGTCACTGAACATGTTCTGGATGGTTGTCTTCATAACTCGTGCTGTCATTGTCAGACTGCTGAGCTGGGAACTTTTCCCAGAGGATCAGCAGCATATTTCACTCCAGCTTATGTGCTTCTTTCTGCATCTATTTTTGTATTCAAAACACAGCAATTCTTAGCATGTCCTGTTTGCTTTTGTATACACCCATTATGGAGCCCAAAATATAATAAGCACTCGCTAAATACTTATTGAATAGATGAATGAATAAATGGTAGAATTAATCAGGAACTCAAGGATAACCATGTAAAAATAGATTTAATTTAAAAGCAAGCTTTTTAGCCAGGCCCAGTGGCTCATGCCTGTAATCTCAACCATTTGGGAGGCCAAGACAGGAAGACCGCTTGAGCCCAAGAACTAGAGACCAGCCTGGGCAACATAATGAGACTCCAATTCTACAAAAAAAATAAAATAAATTAGCTGGGCATTTTGACACATGCCTGTATTCCCAGCTACCCATGAGGCTGAGATGGGAGAATTGTTCAAGCTGGGGAGATCAAGGCAGCAGTGAGCCATGACCACACCACTGCACTCCAGCCTGGTGACAGAGCAAGATTGTGTCTCAAAAAATAATAATAAAGCCAGGCACGGTGGCTCATGCCTGTAATCCCAGTACTTTCGGAGGCTGAGGCTGGTACATCGCTTGAGGTCAGGAGTTCGAGACCAGCCTGACCAATATGGTGAAACCCTGTCTCTACTAAAAATACAAAAATTAGCCGGGCGTGGTGGCAGTCACCTGTAATCTCAGCTACTTGGGAGGCTGAGGCAGGAGGATCGCTTGAACCCGGGAAGCAGAGGTTGCAGTGAGCCGAGATTGCACCATTGCACTCCAGCCTGGGCGTCGCAGTGAGACTCCATCTCAAAAATAATAATAATAATAATATTTTTTAAAGCAGCTTTTCTTGAATCTGGCATTGCTGTCCGGATACCAGGGTTCCCAGTGTGGATTCTTGGTGCTTCTCTAACTTTAACATGCATAAGAATCACCTAAAGATCTTGTTGTAATGCAGGTTTTGATTCTTTAGGTCTACGATTGGGCTTGAGTTTCTGCATGTCTGAAAAGCTCCCAGGTGATGCTCTTTACTCAGACAACATTTTCAGTAGCAATGTCCTAATCAATTAATTGATCCCACCGTCATTAGAATCTTAGTGAACTTCTGCGGTCAGGCAAACTTATCCATGGTTAATAAAACAACATGTATGTTTTATATCATAATAAGCAAGAAATAAACACAAAATCAAGATTTCATCAGCAAAGGAATAAATTTGGCTGATATAAAGGACTGGACAATTTCTCTAGTAATTTAAAAGGAGTGTTTACATGAAAAGTTTTCTCACTCCTATACCTCAGAATGAATTTCAAAACTTTCTATAAAGTGAATGAAGTGTTGCCACTTTTGAGTCATGGCTTAAATTCACTCAAGATTGTGAATTTAAGATTCACTGCATTCACTTTATAGAAAGTGGATTTAAATTCATTCAAATCTTCAGTTATGAAATATATTCAAACCAAGGTGTAGTTCTTCCAAACTGCCTCACTAACTTCACTCTCATGAGAAATGGAAAAAAAAAAAATAGTGAAAACCTGATCATCAGCTCACTTGACAGTTAATTTTATGTGGCAACTTGACTGGGCCACCAGATAGATGCTTAGATATCTGATTCAACATTATTTCTGGATGTGTCTGTAAAGATGTTTCTGGAAGTGTCTGTAAAGATGTTTCTGGAAAAGATTCGCATTTTAATTGATGGACTGAGTAAGGTAGATAGCCACTCCCCAGTGTGGGTGGCATCATTCAGTCTGCTGAGGGCCTAAATAGAACAAAAAGGTGGAGAAAAGTTGTATTTGCCCTCCCTCTGCCTTATTGCTTGAGTTGGAACATCAGTCTTCCATCCTCAGTGCCCCCGGTTCTCAGGTTTTCAGACTCAGACTTGGAATCTACACCATTGGCTCTCCAGCTCTCAGGCCTTCAGGCTACAACACTGGCCTTCCTGGGTCTCCAGCTTACAGACACCACATCATGGGACTTATCAGGCTCCATAATCATGTGCCTATACTTTATCATAAATCTCTTTCTAGATTATATATATAAAACATAGAATAAACATATATATACCAATAACATATACACATACACGCACACACTGATTATCTGGAGAACCCTGACTAATATACCAGAAGAGTTTTTAAATGTTGACATTTGTTGTTGACAAGAAGGAGAAAGTAGAGAGTAAAATGGAACTTAAATTAACAGAGTAAATTACAGATGAAGTAGATTGTAGTTTTCCAGAAACTGAAGCCTTTGGAGATAGAATGGAAAGAGACAAGATATTCCTCTGAGTAATGCAAAGCATGATTTTGGAGGAAAATATTCATTTATTTACAGTGGCTTTAGGTCACAGATTGGTATGTAGTGGCTTCTACAAATTAAATAATTACAGGAAAATCTCTCCCTTAAACTTTATGTTTTAGAAACAAATATTTTAAATAGTGGCCATGTTTAACCTGGGGGTTAATATGCAAGCTAAAATCACGATAGGACCTCACTAATAAATACATAACCTAAAATGCAGAGAACTGAGTTGCTCATACTCCCAAGTTTATAACACAGTCATTAATTATTCATATAAGCATCCTCTTTTGCTTCTATTTTTCTTCCTTTTGCCTCAATCTGCACTGCCAATCTCTTCCTAGACCTGTAGGAAATAACTATTGTGTTTCGCATTTTTCCTGGATATGTAGGTATATTTCAAATATGGTACTATTTTGTTGTGTGTTTATGTTTTAAATTTGCCCAAGTAAATGATGTTATAGAACTTGTTACCTTACTTTTTCCTCTGAACATTATGTTTGAAAGATTCATCCACATAACTCTATTTCTAATAGAGATAGAGTTTTGTTTCCTCTGTGAGCATCCCCAATATTTTTCACCCATCTGGTTCCCTAGATACAGTTGCATAGGTTGTCTACAATGCCCTGTTGTACAAATAATGCTTAATCAAATACACATGCCTCCTTAAGGACCAGAACACAAATTCCACAGGATGAGCAGGAGACCTGTGTATACTAAACTAAACTAAAACAACTAAACTAAATATCTCCAGATTACTCTCCAAATTAGCCCTTTGAGTCTGTAGTCTCTGCTTCACATGTTTCTGTATTGGTTCCCTATTTTTTTCTAAGGTTTTGTGGGCTTAGGGGGATTTTTTGTATTCTAGTTATCAATCTCTTCTCAGTTTTTGACTTCTCAAATAATTCCTCCTCACCAGGCATGCTTGCTCAGGCCTCTGATCCCAGCACTTTGGGAAGCCAAGGCAAAGGTAGGAGAATTTCTTGAGGCCAAAAGTTCAAGGCCAGCCTCAGCAACAAAGCGAGACCCTGTCTCTATTTTTTAAATAAGAATAATTTCTCTCAATCTGTTCCTTGTTGGTTGACTTTATTAATGGTGCCCTTTATTAAACAGAAATGTATAATTTTTTATGTGGTCAAGTTCATTTTTTTTTAGTTTTTTTTTGTTTTGGTTCATTGCAACCTCTGCCTCCCAGGTTCAAATGATTCTCCTGCTTCAGCCTCCCAAGTAGCTAGGATTACAGGCACTTGCCACCACACCTAGCTAATTTTTGTATTTTTAGTAGAGACGGAGTTTCGCCACATTGGCCAAGCTGGTCTCAAACTCCTGACCTCAGGTGATCCACCCACCTCAGCCGCCCAAAGTGCTGGGATTACAGGTGTGAGCCACCGCGCCCAGACAAGTTCATTGTTTTGTATCTTATGACATACCTTTGGGCTTTTATATACTAAGTCTTCCGCAATTCAAAATTACAAAGGTGTTTTCTGATTTATTTTTCTTCACTTCATAGTTTTACCTTTCATACATAAGCCTGTAGTCAATTTAAATTATAAATTTGAAAACTAACTTTTTTTTCTGTGTAATGGCCAGTTTTTCCAATATCAATTGATTAAAAAACAATCCTTTTCCATTAGGCCCCCTTCTATCAGATATCAGGTTCCCATGTAAGCATGGGCTTGTTTTAGAGCATTTAGTTCTGTTACATTTCTATGGCCTTGTAGTAGCCTTCAGTTTCTGAATTAACTGACATTTTTCTGAGATAAATCCAACTACATCATAATTATTTTTACTTTCTGGATTCAGCTTGCTAACATTTGGGTAAAAATTTTTACATCTATATTCGTAAGTGAGGGCCATACAAAAGCAGTCTTTCTTGAACTATTGGGAGCAGTTATGATCCCCCTAATTTTTCCCAGGCTATAGAATACAGACTTTGTAGCAGGAATAGATTCCTTGATTTCAGGGTGAGAGTAGGCCATTCTCTGACCATAGAAGATGAATCAGGATTGGTTTAATCTCAGTCATAGGAATTCCACACTCTTCTGCCGGTGATTGCTCTGGGAATCTGCATGTGACCTAGTTCTAGCCAAGGACATGTATTCTGGAGCTTCCCTTCCTTTATAAATAACCGCACTTGGGAAAAGCCCTACCGCGGCCTCTTCCTTTCCTAGAACTCTAGTTTGAGATTGTGAGGCTCTAAGTCACAATATGCAGTATCAACCATTATGAAAAAAATGCAAAAATAAAAAAGATAGAGAAAAAATGGTTAAAAAGAAACTAGGTTTCTGATAGTATCATTAAACAAGTAAATCAATTCTATCAGTTTTAAGCACTGTAGTTTTTATGTGTAAGAAAAGTAATCACTATTTGTTTAAGCATGGCTAAGTTTTTTTGTGATTTGATGCTGAATTCATCCTAAATTATACACTTCTGTCTTATAGTAGGTTTCCCCAGAAATAGACCCTAAGGTAAAGATTCAAGAGTAAAAATCCTATATAAATATTAACAAAGTGCAAAGATATATGAAACAGATAATATATCAAGATCTAATTGGGTTTCTTCTAGTAATATAAGGCTGATTTAACATTTGAAAATCAGTGTAATTCACTCCATCGAAGATTAAATTAGAAAAATCATATAATCATCTCAGTAGATGCAGGAAAATGATTTTATTAAATTAATCATTTATTCATGATAAAAATTGCTATCATGCTAGAAATATATGGGAACAGCTTATTGTGTAAAAGTATCCGTGAATCCTATTGCAAACATCATGGTGAATGGTAAAATATTGAAAGCTTTACCTCTGAGAATGAGGACAAGATATGGATATCTGCTTTCACCACTTCTCATCATCAGAGTCCTAGCTATTGCAATAGGGCAAGGCAAGACAAAAATAAGAAAAAGATTGGAGGAAAAACTAAAATGATCATTTTTTCCAGATGACATGATATTTAGGTATGTAAAAAAGTCCCAAAATATCTACAAATTAATATTACAATTGATACACGAATTCAGAGCAATTACAATATCCCAAATCTGTTTTATGTCTGTATACTAGCAACAAACAAAACTTAAATTTAAAGAAATTTTATAATAACATTAAAAAAACTAACAGCTTGGAAAAAATCTGACAAAATTAAAAAGTCTACAAAATATTACTTAGAGAAATACAGAAACCCTAAGTAAATAATGAGATGTAATACGTTCATGAGTTATGAATCAATATGCAAAGATGTTCATTTTTGTAGTTGATCTATAGAGTCAATGAAATTCCAAACAAAATCCCAGCAAGCATGTTTGTGGAAACTGGCTAATTTAAATGTTATACAGAAATAAAAATGATTGTTATAGCTAAGACCTCTTGAAGAAAAACACACTGGATCACAGACACACCCAGAATAATCAGAGAGAAAAACATATTGGGAAACTTCCACTAATGGATATAAAACCACATTAATCAAGGCAGTGATATATTGGTGTAAAAATAGACAAACCAATGTAACAGAATAGAGTCCAGAGCAAGATGGTAGAATAGGAAGCCCCAGAACCTCCTTTCCCCCAGGGAGACACTGACTCAACCAGAGTACACAGACTATACCCCTTTGTGAGAAATACAGAAAAAAGTTAAGAGGTTACTGCACCAGAGGAGAGCATGAAACCAACCACAGTGAAACCAGCAGGGAAATCTGTGGCACTGACTCACCATTCCAGAACTCCAACAGATCAATAAGAAAAAGACAAATGACCAAATTAAAAATGACTGAAAGATTTGAACAGACATTTTAGAAAAGAATATTAAAATTAAAAATTGCAATAAACAGGCAAAATGTTACTCAACCTTATAAGTAATTAGAGAAATGCAAATTAAAAATCACAATTTGATACCATTACACACTGAATGAAATAGCTGGAATTAAGACTGACATCAACATCAGGTATTCCTGTGAATCAACAGAAGCTCGCATATACTGCTGGTGAAAGTATAAATTGATACAAATAGTTGGAAAACTATTGGTCATATGTAAGGTTGACCATACATATACCTGATAGCCCAGCAATTTTGTTCTCTGTAATTTACATAAGAAAAATTTGTACCTATGTGCACCACAGGTCATATACACACAAAAAAAGAATTTTCATGGCAACATTATTCACAATGGTTAAGATTTGGAAGCAAATCAAATGTCCATAAAGAGTAAAATGAATAAATAAATTACAGTTTATACAATAGGATACCAGGTAGCAATAAAAATGAACAAATTATTGCTACATGCACCACCATAGATGAATCCTGTATATATGATGTTGAGTTACAATAGCAAGATACAAAAGAATGATTTCTATATGGTTCCATTTTTATAAAATTTGGAAACAGGCAAAACTAATCTATGGTTCTTAAACTCAAGGCAATGACTACATTTAGAGAGATAGAGGGAGTAGTCAAGAGAGGAGACACGAAGGGAATTTCTGAGGTCTGCTCCTATCATACTTCTTAAACTGAGTGGTGCTTACATGGGTAGGTACATTTTGTGTTAAGTCATCAAGATATAAACATAATTTGTGCATTTTCCTGTAAGTATGTTAAGAAAAACACATATAGTAAAAATTGTCCCTGTTTCTGCTAACTCCCTTCTACTCACCATTTCTACCATCCAACCCAGGGTAAAACTTTTTCTTTTTGATTTGACTCCCTCTATATTTTATTGTTTTGTGTTTTTTAATTAAATCTTTATTTTGATATGATTATAGATTAACATGCAATTGTAAGAAATAATACAGAGAATTTCTACGTATCCTTTACCCAGAAATTCTACGAATCCTTTACCCAGTTTCCTCTAATGGTAACATTTTGTAAAACTATAGAACAATATCACAACCAGAATGTTGACTTAGATACAGTCAAGATTTCAAAAAAAAGAACAAGAAAAAGATTTCCATCACCACAAGTATCTCTCATGTTATTTATAGCCACAACTGCTTCCCTCCTGCCCCCACCCATGTGGCCAACCTTTGGCAACCACTAACCTCTTTTTTTTTCTTTCTATAATTTTGTCATTTCAAGAATATTATATAAATGTAATCATAAAGTATATAACTATTGAGATTGAGTTTGTTTTAACTCAGCATAATTAGCCAGAGATTCTTCAAGGTTGCTGCATGTATCAGTAGTTCCTTCCTATTTATTGCAGAGTAGTATTTCATGGTTTGGATGTACCACTGTTTTTATAACCATTCACCTATTGTTTCCAGTTTGGGGCTATTATAAACTACTACTGTAAACATTCATGTACATGTTTGTGTAGAACACAAGTCTTCCTTTCTCTAGTTTTAACTTCCAAGAATGTAATTGCTATTTTATGGTACATGCATGTTTAGATTTAAAAAAACTGTGAAACTATTTTCTAGAGTCCTGTGCCATTTTACATTCCCATCTGCAATGTTTGAGGGATCCAGTTTCTCTGTATTCTCTGTTACCATGGTTTTTTTTATTTTAGCCATTCTTATAGGTGTGTAGTGATATATCATTATGGTTGTAATTTGGATTCTCTTGTTGTCCACTGATGTTGAACATCTTTTCATTTATTTATTTACCACCTATGTATCTTTGGTAAAACATCTCTTCATGCCTTTTGCCCATGTGCTGACTTGATTGTTTGCTTTTTTACCATTGAATTTTGAGAATTATTACTATATCTTAGATACAAGTCCTTTGTTGGATATATGGTTTGCTAGTCCTTTTACAGTTACGTGAGTTTTCTACCACTCTGTAACTTGTCTTTTTATTTTCAACAGAGCCATCCACAGAACAAAAGATTTTAATTTTTATAAAGTCTGATTTATCAATTTTTCCTTTTATAGATTGTGCTTTGGCGTCAAGCCTAAGAACGTTTGCCTAGGCCGAGATTCTGAAGTTTTTCTCACATTTTCTTCTGAGAGCTTTATAGTTTTATGTTTTGTATTTTAGTCTGTGGTTCATTTTAACTTTTTGGCTATGGATGTTCCATTGCTCCAGCATCATTTGTTGAACATTCTACCTTAACTCTATTAAATTGCTTTTGCACTTTTGTAAAAAATCAGTTGGGCATGTTTGTGTGGACATATTTCTTAGATTCTCTGTGTTCTGTCCCAGTGATCTATCTGTCCCTCTGCAAATACCACACAGTACAGATTACTATAACTATATAATAATGCTTGAAATTGGGAAGATGATTTTTCTCATTTTATTCTGCTTTTTCAAAACTGTTCCAGCTCTTGCAGTTCCTTTTTCTTTTCAAATAAATTTCAGAATTATCTTGTCTATATCTACAAAAACTCTTGCTGAGATTTTGATAGCATTTGCATTAAACCTTAATCAATTTGACTATGCTTTTCTGCACTGAATTATATGACCATGTGATTTTTCTTTTTTAACCTATTAATGTTGTATATTACACGAATATATTTTCAAATACTGAACCAGCCTTGCATCCCTGAAACAGACCCAACTTGATCACAGTGTATAATTCTTTATTTTGCTGAATTATAGGTGCTAATATTTTAAGTCTTTTTGAATCTATATTTATGAGAGATATTGGTCTGTAGTTCTTTTAGTTTTTGTTCTGTTTTGTTTTTGTATCTGTCTGGTTTTTGTAAATGGGTAACAGTAGCTTCATAATATTAGTTGTGAAATGTTTCTACCTATGCTATTTTCTGAAGCAGATTATGTAGAATTGATTTTAATTAGTGTTTAAACACTGGGTAAGATTCTCCAGGGAAATCATGTAGTTTTAGTGATTTATTTTTTGGGAGTTTATAATTATGAATTCAACTTTCTTAAGAATTTCAACAGAACTACTGAAATTGTCTTTTTCTTTTTGGGAGAGTTGTGGTCACTGGTATTTTTCAAGGAAGTGATTCATTTCATCAAATTTATGTGTGTAGGGTTATTAATAATATTTCATTATTACCTTTTTGATATCTGTGAGGTCTGTAGTGACATCCCTTGTTTTATTCCAAATGATGATCATGTCTACTCTCTTTTTTTGTCAGTGTGATGGTAAGTTTTATGTGTCAACTTGGGTGGGCCATGGTACCCAGATATTTGGTCAAACATGATTGTGGGTATTTCTGGGAAGGTGATTTTGAATGAGATTAACATTTAATTTAATTTTTTTCTAAATTTTGGATTCAGTGGGTACATGTAAATGTTCGTTATATGGGTATATTGCATAATGTTGAGATTTGGGGTATAGATGGTCCTATCCCCTAGTTAGTGGGCATAGTACCCAATAGGTAATATTTCAGCACAAACCCTCTCCCACCTCTCCCCTCTAGTAGTCCCCAGTGTCTATTATTCCCATCTTTGTATCCATGTGTATTAAATGTTTTGCTCCCACTTATAGGTAAGAACATGTAGTATTTGGTTTTCTGTTCCTATGTTAATTTCCTTAGGATAATGGCCTCCAGTTACATCCATGTTGCCACAAAGGATATGATTTTATTTTTTTATTCCATGGTATATCTGTACCACATTTTCTCTGTCCATTACACTACGGATGAACACCTAGGTTGATAACATGTATTTGCTTTCCTGAATAGTGTGGCAATGAACATACAAGTGCATGTGTCTTTTTGGTATAATGATTTATTTTCCTTTGGACATATACCCAGTAATGGAATTGCTGGAATAAATAGTAGTTCTGTTTCAAGTTCTTTGAGAAATCTCCAAACTGCTTTCCACAGTGTCTGAACTAATTTGCATTCCTCTTCTCTGCATTGATATTCTTTGACTTTTTAATAATAGCCATTCTGACTCACGTGAGATGGTCTCTCCTTGTGGTTTTGATTTGCATTTCTCTAATGATTAGTGATGTTGAGAATTTTTTCATATGTTTCTTGACCACTTGTACATCTTCTTTTGACAAGTGTCTGTTCATGTCCTTTGCCCATTTTTAATTGGTTTTGTTTTGTTTTCTTTGTTTTGGGTTTTTTTTAATTTATTTAAGTTCCTTGTAGATTCTGGATATTAGAACTTTGTCAGAGGCACAGTTTGTGAATGTTTTCTTCCATTCTGTAGGGGTTTACCCTGTTGATAATTTATTTGACTGGGCAGAAATTCTTAAGTCTGATTAGGTCCTACTTGTCAATTTTTGTTTTTGTTGCAGTTGCTTTCAGGGACTCAGTCATAAGTTCTTTGCCAAATCTGATATTGAAAAGTGTATGTCCCAGGCTTTCTTCTAGGATTTTTATAGTTTGATGTCTTACACTTAAATCTTTAATCCACTTGGGGTCAATTTTTGTATGGGATGAAATGTAGTGGTCTAGTTTCTTTCTTCTGCATATGGCTAGCCAGGTATCCCAGCACCATTTTTTGAATAGGGAGTCCTTTCTCCAATGCTTATTTTTGTCAACTTTGTCAAAGATCGGCTGGCTGTAGTTGCGCAGCTTTATTTCTGAATTCTCTAACCTATTCCATTGGTCTATGTGTCTGTTTTTGTACCAGGACAATGCTATTTTGGTTACTGTAGTCTTACAGTATAATCTGAAGTTGGGTAATGTGATGTCTCTGGCTTTATTCTTTTTGCTTAAGAGTCCTTTGGCTATTCAGTCTCTTTTTTTGTTCCATATGAATTCTAGAATACTTTTTTCAACTGTGAAAAATGGCACAGTATTTTGATAGGGATAGCATTGAATCTATACATTGCTTTAGGTAGTATGGCCATTTTAACAATATTTACTCTTCTAATCCATGAGCATGGAATATTTTTCCATTTATTTGTGTCAAATGTGATTTCTTTCAGCAGTATTTCATAGCTCTCCTTGTAAAGATATTTCACCTCCTTAGTTGGATGTATTCCTAAGTATTTCGTTTTATGTGACATTATTGTAAGTGGGATTGTGTTCTTGATTTGGCTCTCAGCTAGAATGTTATTGGTGTATAGAAATGCTACTGGTTTTTGTACATTAATTTTGTATCTTGAAACTTTATTGAAATCATTTTCCAGCTCCAGGAGCCTTTTGGCAGAGTTGTTAGGGTTCTCTAGGTGTACAATCATGTTGTCAGCAAGTAGAGATAGTCTAAATTCTTTTCCTATTTGGATGCCTTTTATTTCTTTCTTTTGCCTGATTGCTTGTGCTAGAACTTCTAGTACTCTGTTGAATAGGAGAAAGTGGGCATTCTTCTTTTGTTCCAGTTCCCAAGGAGAATGCTTCCAGTTTTTGCCATTTCACTATGATGTTGCTGTGGGTTTCTCATAGATGGCTCTTATTATTTTGTGTTCCTTCTATGCCTAGCCTATTGAGGATTTTTATCATGAAGGGATGTTAGATTTTATCAAAGGCTTTTTCCACATCTATTGAAATCGTCATAAGTTTTTTGTTTCTGATTCTGTTGATGTAGTGAATCACATTTATTGATTTGCATATATTGAACCAACCTTGCATTCCAAGAATAAAGTCTATTTGATTGTGGTGAATTAACTTTTTGATGTGCTGTTGGATTCAGCTGGCTAGTTTTTTGTTTTGTTTTGTTTTGGTTGAGGATTTTTGTGTCGTGTTCATCAAGCATATTGGCCTGAAGTTTTCTTTTTCTGTTGTGTCTCTGTTAGATTTTGGTATCAGGATGATGCTGGCTTCATAGAATGAGTTAGAAAGGAGCCCTTCCTCCTTGATTTTTTGGAATAGTTTCAGTAGGGTTGGTACCAGTTTTTGTTTTGTTGTTTTTTTTTTTTGTTTTTTTTTTTTTTTTGTACATCTGGTATAATTTGGCTGTGAATTCACCTGGTCAAGGGCTTTTTTAGTTGGTAGGTTTTTTTTATTACTAATTCAATTTCAGAGCTTAGAGATTAACATTTTACATTAGTGGGCTTTGAGTAAAGCAGATTGCCCTCCAGAATGTGAGTGGGCCTCATCCAATCAGTAGAAGACCTGAATAGAACAAAAGACTGATCTATCCTGAGCAAGAGAGAATTCTGCCAGTAGATGGCCTTCAGACTTGAACTGCAACATCAGCTCTTTCCTAGGTCTCCAGCCTGCCATCCTACCCTGCAGATTTTGAAGTTGCAAGCCTTAATGATCACATGAGCTAATTCTCACAAGAGAAATAAAACCTCTCTCTCTTTCTCTATTTATATCTTTATGTCTTCACATTCTATTGGTTCTGTTTCTCTGAAGAATCCAGACAAAGTTGGTCTTGCTAGAAGTGTATCGTTTTTATTGACCTTTTCAAAGAACTATGTCTTTATTTTATTAATTTTCTCTATTGCTTTTCTGGTTTCAACTTCATTGATTTCTTCTCTTAGTTTTATTTATTCCTTCCTTCTGTTTCCTGTGGGCTTATTTTGCTTTTCTTTTTCTAGAGTTTTCATGTGAGAGCTTAGATTATTGATTTGAAACTCTCCTCTTTTCTAAAGTATGCGTTTAGTACTGTAAGTTTTTTTCTCAGTACTGATATAACTATATGCCACAAATTTTGATATGTTTAATTTTATTTTCTTTCAGTTCAGTATATATGTTTATTTCTTTGAGACTTCCTCTTTGACCCATGGATTATCTAGAAACATCTCATTTAGTTTACAAGTGTTTGGAGATCCTTCTGCTGTCTTTCTGGCATTTATTTCTGCTTTAATTTCATTGTGGTTAGAGGACACTGTCTGTATAATTTCAATTCTTTCCAAATTTAGTTCAAATGTTTTAATGGCCCAGGATATAATTTATCTTAGTATATGTTCTGTGGGCACTAGAGAAAATGTGGATTCTGATATTGTTAGGTGGAGTGTTCTATACACATTGATCAGATATAATTGATTAATAGAGATTTTTTTTAGCTATTCTATATTCTCTCTGATTTCTGTCTAGTTGTTCTATCATTGTTGAGAGAGTAACATTAAAGTCTCTAACAGTAATTGTGTACATTTCTCCTTTCAGTTCTATTAGTTTTAATTCACATATTTTCAACTCTTTTGTTCTGTGCATTCACATTTAGGATTGCCACATCTCCATGGTGAAATGACATTTCTATCATTACATGACACTATCTGTCTCTCACAATTTTCTTTGCTCTCAAGTCTACTTTATCTCATATTAATATAGACACATCTGCTTTCCTTCAATTGATCTTCATATCGTATATCTTTTTCTATCCTTTTGCCTTCACCATGACTATATTATTATATTTGAAGTGAGTTTCTTTATTGACAACTTAGAATGGGGTGAGATTTTTTAATCCACACTTTCAATCCCTTTTAATTTGTGTATTCAGAGTATTTGCATTTAATGTAATTATTGCTATATTATGACTTACATCTGTCATTTTAATTTTTTTGTTTTCTGTTTTATCTGTTCTTCATTTCTCTGGGGTTTTTTTCCCCTGCTTTCCTGAAAATTACTTGGATAATTTTGAGAATTCCATTTGATTTAGTTATAGCATTTTGAATGTATCAACTTTGTATAACCTTTCTAGTGGTTATTCCACTACACTAGAACATATATATACCAGAGTCTACTGGTATTGTCATTTCACCAGGTCAAGTGAAATACAGAAACCTTACCTCACTCACCCTCCCCCATTTATTATATAATTATCTTGTGTTTCTTTTACATATATTTAGAACCATATGAAACTGTTACATAATTTTTGCTTCAATCATCAAGCATACTTGAGAAAATTCAAAAGAGAAAGAATGCTTATTGTTTTTAACCATATTTTTGCTGATCATATTCTTTTTATCTTCCTGATGTTCCAGAGCTCCTTCTTTTATTGTTTCCTTTCTCCTCTCCTTTCAGAACTCCAATGACATGAATATTAAGTCTTTTGTATGAGTCCTCCCAATTCTTCTTTTTCAAGATAGCTATAGCTATTCAGAGTTTCCTGTAATTTCACATAAATTTTAAGACTGGCCAGTCTACTTCCAGGAGAAAAACAAAACAAAAATACCAGGTAAGATTTTTATAAGTATAATATTCAATCTGTAGATCAGTTGGGGAATGCTGCCATTACAACAAGATTAAGTCCATAGACATGGGGACATGGGATGTTTTTCCACTTAAATACATTTTATTTTTTTATTTTCAATAATATTTGTAGTTTGTAGTGCGCAAGTCTTGCATGCTTGTCTTTATATCTTAAATCTTAAGCATCCATATGATTCTTTATTTGTAAATTTTAAATAACCTTCGACTATTAGCAATTAGAAATAAAGTCTTTAGCATGCTAACTTTTCTGCAACCCCTTCTCTCCTTCCTCTCTAACTTTGCTTCTTGTGTCATTTCCACATCATTAGAGTAAATACATATATATACTGTGTTGTTATTCTAATCACCACATTTGTTTTAGTCCCAGTTCTGTGGTTAAATATGTGTAATACACACAGAAGGCATTTTTCAATTTGATGAAGTCTATTTTTTTTTCAGAACTATATTCCTTGGATTTTTGGAAGTTATCATCTAGGTTTATAAGTGAAATAGCCTTATGATTTTATTTCTTGTATTTTCATTTGGATTTGTAACCAAGGTTATAGTAGCTTATAAATGAGTTGGATGCCTTTCTTTTTTATATTTTCTATAATTATCTGGATAATACGGAGATATTCTATTACTTAATTTTTTGGTAAAATTCTTCTATCATCTATGAGATTTTCCAGGGGAAATTCTTTGATCTCTTTTGCTGTTTTTTTTTTTTAATGATTATTGGTCTATTTATCTTCTTTCTTTTTCCTCAGATCAATTTTAGCATTTTCAGAAATCACTCATTTCATCTATGCTTTGAACTGTCTGTATATATTTTTTATAATATTTTTCTTATTTTAAACCCTGTGCTATCTGTAATTATTTGGCAATTTTTTCTGTACTTGGGCAATTTTTTCTGTACTTTATTTTTTCTCTCTCTCTTATTGTCTAATCTAGATCAGTCTCCATAGAGGTTTGTCTCTCATAAATCTTTTCAAATCAGTTCTTAATTTTGTTCTCTACTAAAGGCCTTTAGACATAGATTAATAATGCTAATGTTCTCCAGACACTTTGGTTATAAACATTTTTTCTGTAGATATAAGTTCAAAATATAATAAAGCAAATGAATTTTTTTTACATGTAGATAGCGCTCAAGACCAATGGGGTTTCTTTCTTATTATGACCAGTATTTTCATTTGTCTGGCCCTCTTATACATATTTAGTACCTAAATCATGTCATTGTTATCACCATTATTATGATGGACAAATCATTAGAACTTCAAAGTGTCTGAGTTGCCCATGCAACAGCTATCTTCCCAGGGGTCACCACATCATGACAAATAGCATTCTCCCTAAATAAATCATGTTTCCCAAGAAAACAAAAACACTTCTATTGATAAAAATGCATGCTGTGACAGAACTTCCTATATTTACTTGTTTTGTGGTGGTTGTGGTTAAAAAATAAAGGGAAAGCCAAGTGAACTCTTTCAAAAATTTTTTATAGGGGCAATGAAACTAAACTTAGAATCACATGATTTTGTGTGGTTTAGTGTTAAAAGTGACCATAGAAATAAAATAGTTCATTGCCCTCATTTTGCAATTGAGAAAGGCTTGGCCTGGAGAACTGACATATACAAGATGACACAGTGAGAACAAGAACTCTTTCAGACCACTGATTACAGCTTGAGAATAAACTGATTTTTTTTCCTTACTGGAACACACTAGAAAAGAAGCAAAATTCCCAGAAACTACAAACTTAGTAGTGATGGTATTGATGACAGGAGGATGCAGAATTGAAAATGCAAGATGGGAAACAGAACTTAGAGGAAGAATCCTACAAAGCAACTTCAGTGATGGAAACATAAATTTGCAAATGCTGTTTTATTTAAGTTATCATATAATAATAAATGAAAACTATTGTGAATTTTTGTAAATCAAAGCCAAAGTGCCCATTTGTTTTTTATTACTCATATTGGTATGATTGTTCTCACTGTTAAAACAATGATACGGAGGGTGGAGCCAAGATGGCAGAATAGGAACAGCTCCAATCTACAGTTCCCAGCGTGAGCGACACAGAAGATGGGTGATTTCTGCATTTCCAACTGAGGTACTGGGTTCATCCCACTGGGGAGTGCCAGACAGTGGGTGCAGGACAGTGGGTGCAGCACACCATGTGTGAGCCAAAGCAGGGCGAGGCATCGCCTCACCCGGGAAGCACAAGGGGTCAGGGAATTCCCTTTCCTAGTCAAAGAAAGGGGTAACAGACGGCACCTGGAAAATCGGGTCACTCCCACCTTAACATTGCGCTTTTCCAATGGGCTTAACAAACGGCACACCAGGAGATTATATCCCACACCTGGCTCAGAGGGTCCTATGCCCACAGAGCCTCGCTCATTGCTAGCACAGCATTCTGAGATCAAACTGCAAGGCAGCAGTGAGGCTGGGGTAGGGGTGCCCGCAATTGCCCAAGCTTGAGCAGGTAAACAAAGCAGCCAGGAAGCTCGAACTGGGTGGAGTCCACCACAGCTCAAGGAGGCCTGCCTGCCTCTGTAGGCTCCACCTCTGGGGGCAAAGCACAGACAAACAAAAGACAGCAATAAACTCTGCAGACTTAAATGTCCCTGTCTGACAGCTTTGAAGAGAGTAGTGGTTCTCCCAGCACGCAGCTTGAGATCTGAGAACCGGCAGACTGCCTCCTCAAGTGGGTCCCTGACCCCCAAGCAGCCTAACTGGAAGACACCCCCCGTAGGGGCGGACTGACACCTAACACAGCCAGGTACTCCTCTGAGACAAAACTTCCAGAGGAACGATCAGGCAGCAGCATTTGCAGTTCACCAATATCCGCTGTTCTGCAGCCACTGCTGCTGATACCCAGGCAAAGAGGGTCTGGAGTGGATCTCCAGCAAACTCCAACAGACCTGCAGCTGAGGGTCCTGACTGTTAGAAGGAAAACTAACAAACAGAAAGGCCATCCACACCAAAACCCCATCTGTACATCACCATCATCAAAGACCAAAGGTAGATAAAACCACAAAGATGGGGAAAAAACAGAGCAGAAAAACCAGAAACTCTAAAAATCAGAGCACCTCTCCTCCTCCAAAGGGACACAGCTCCTCACCAGCAACAGAACAAAGCTGGACAGAGAACGACTCTGACGAGTTGAGAGAAGAAGGCTTCAGAAGGTCAAACTACTCCGAGCTAAAGGAGGAAGTTCAAGCCAATGGCAAAGAAGCTAAAAACTTTGAAAAAAAATTAGACGAACGGATAACTAGAATAACCAATGCAGAGAAGTCCTTAAAGGACCTGATGGAGCTGAAAACCAAGGCATGAGAACTACGTGACGAATGCACAAGCCTCAGTAACCATGCGATCAACTGGAAGAAAGGGTGTCAGTAATGGAAGACGAAATGAATGAAATGAAGCATGAAGAGAAGTTTAGAGAAAAAAGAATAAAAAGAAATGAACAAAGCCTCCAAGAAATATGGGACTATGTGAAAAGACCAAATCTATGTCTAATGGGTGTACCTGAAAGTGACGGGGAGAATGGAACCAAGTTGGAAAACACTCTGCAGGATATTATCCAGGAGAACTTCCCCAATCTAGCAAGGCAGGCCAACATTCAAATTCCGGAAATACAGAGAATGCCACAAAGATACTCCTCGAGAAGAGCAACTCCAAGACACATAATTGGTAGATTCACCAAAGTTGAAATGAAGGAAAAAAAGTTAAGGGCAGCCAGAGAGAAAGGTCGGGTTACCCACAAAGGGAAGCCCATCAGACTAACAGCTGATCTCTAGGCAGAAACTCTACAAGCCAGAAGAGAGTGGGGGCCAATATTCAACATTCTTAAAGAAAAGAATTTTCAGCCCAGAATTTCATATCCAGCCAAACTAAACTTCGTAAGTGAAGGAGAAATAAAATACTTTACAGACAAGCAAATGCTGAGATTTTTTCACCACCAGGCCTGCCCTAAAAGAGCTCCTGAAGGAAGGACTAAACATGGAAAGGAACAACCAGTACCAGCCACTGCAAAAACATGCCAAATTGTGAAGACCATGAAGGCTAGGAAGAAACTGCATTAACTAACGAGCAAAATAAACAGCTATCATCATAATGACAGGATCAAATTCACACATAACAATACTAAACTTAAATGTAAATTGGCTAAATGCTCCAATTAAAAGGCACAGACTGGCAAATTGGATAAAGAGTCAAGACCCATCAGTGTGCTGTATTCAGCAAACCCATCTCATGTGCAGAGACACACATAGGCTCAAAACAAAGGGATGGAGGAAGATCTACCAAGCAAATGGAAAACAAAAAAAGGCAGGGGTTGTAATCCTAGTCTCGGATAAAACAGACTTTAAACCAACAAAGATCAAAAGAGACAAAGAAGGCCATTACATAATGGTAAAGGGATTAATTCAACAAGAAGAACTAACTATCCTAAATATATATGCACCCAATACAGGAGCACCCAGATTCATAAAGCAAGTCCTTAGTGACCTACAAAGAGACTTAGACTCCCACACAATAATAACAGGAGACTTTAACACCCCACTGTCAACATTAGACAGATCAACGAGACAGAAAGTTAACAAGGATACCCAGCAATTGAACTCAGCTTTGCACCAAGCAGACCTAATAGACATCTACAGAACTCTCCACCCCAATTCAACAGAGTATACATTCTTTTCAGCACCACACCACACCTTTTCCAAAATTGACCACATAGTTGGAAGTAAAGCACTCCTCAGCAAATGTAAAAGAACAGAAACTATAATAAACTTTCTCTCAGACCACAGTGCAATCAAACTAGAACTCAGGATTAAGAAACTCACTCAAAACCGCTCAACTACATGGAAACTGAACAACCTGCTCCTGAATGACTACTGGATACATAAAGAAATGAAGGCAGAAATAAAGATGTTCTTTGAAACCAACGAGAACAAAGACACAACATACCAGAATCTCTGGGACACATTCAAAGCAGTGTGTAGAGGGAAATTCATAGCACTAAATGCCCACAAGAGAAAGCAGGAAAGATCTAAAATTGACACCCTAACATCACAATTAAAAGAACTAGAGAAGCAAGAGCAAACACATTCAAAAGCTAGCAGAAGGCAAGAAATAACTAACATCAGAGCAGAACTGAAGGAAATAGAGACACAAAAAACCCTTCAAAAAATCAATGAATCCAGGAGCTGGTTTTTTGAAAAGATCAAGAAAATTGATAGACCACTAGCAAGACTAATAAAGAAGAAAAGAGAGAAGAATCAAATAGACGCAATAAAAAATGACAAAGGGGATATCGCCACCAATCCCACAGAAATACAAACTACCATCAGAGAATACTATAAACACCTCTACGCAAATAAACTAGAAAACCTAGAAGAAATGGAAAAATTCCTCGACACATACACTCTCCCAAGACTAAACCAGGAAGAAGTTGAATCTCTGAATAGACCAATAACAGGCTTTGAAATTGAGGCAATAATTAATAGCTTACCAACCAAAAAAAGTCTAGGACCAGATGGATTCACAGCTGAATTCTACCAGAGGTACAAAGAGGAGCTGGTACCATTCCTTCTGAAACTATTCCAATCAATAGAAAAAGAGGGAATCTCCCTAACTCATTTTATGAGGTCAGCATCATCCTGATACCAAAGCCAGGCAGAGACACAACAAAAAAAGAGAATTTTAGACCAATATCCTTGATGAACATCGATGCGAAAATCCTCAATAAAATACTGGCAAACCGAATCCAGCAACACATCAAAAAGCTTATCCACCATGATCAAGTGGGCTTCATCCCTGGGATGCAAGGCTGGTTCAACATACACAAATCAATAAATGTAATCCAGCATATAAACAGAACCAAAGACAAAAACCACAATTATCTCAATAGATGCAGAAAAGGCCTTTGACAAAATTCAACAATCCTTCATGCTAAAAACTCTCAATAAATTAGGTATTGATGGGATGTATCTCAAAATAATAAGAGCTATCTATGTCAAACCCACAGCCAATATCATACTGAATGGACAAAAACTGGAAGCATTCCCTTTGAAAACTGGCACAAGACAGGGATTCCCTCTCTCACCACTCCTATTCAACATAGTGTTGGAAGTTCTGGCCAGGGTAATCAGACAGGAGTAGGAAATAAAGGGTATTTGATTAGGAAAAGAGGAAGTCAAATTGTCCGTTTGCAGATGACATGATTGTATATTTAGAAAACCCCATCGTCTCAGCCCAAAATCTCCTTAAGCTGATAAGCAACTTCAGCAAAGTCTCAGGATACACAATCAATGTGCAAAAATCACAAGCATTCTTATACACCATTAACAGACAAACAGAAAGCCAAATCATGAGTGAACTCCCATTCACAATTGCTTCTAAGAGAATAAAATACCTAGGAATCCAACTTACAAGGGATGTGAAAGACCTCTTCAAGGAGAACTACAAACCACTGCTCAATGACATAAAAGAGGATACAAACAAATGGAAGAACATTCCATGCTCATGGGTAGGAAGAATCAATATCATGAAAATGGCCATACTGCCCAAGGTAATTTATAGGTCCAATGCCATCCCCATCAAGCTACCAATGACTTTCTTCACAGAATTGGAAAAAACTACTTTAAAGTTCATATGGAACCAAAAAAGAGCCCGCATCACCAAGTCAATCCTAAGCCAAAAGAACAAAGCTGGAGGTATCACGCTACCTGACTTCAAACTACACTACAAGGCTACAGTAACCAAAACAGCATGGTACTGGTACCAAAACAGAGATATAAACCAATGGAACAGAACAGAGCCCTCAGAAATAATGCTGCATATCTACAACCATCTGATCTTTGACAAACCTGACAAAAACAAGCAATGGGGAAAGGATTCCCTATTTAATAAATGGTGCTGGGAAAACTGGCTAGCCATATGTAGAAAGTTGAAATGATCCCTTCCTTACACCTTATACAAAAATTAATTCAAGATGGATTAAAGACTTACATGTTAGACCTAAAACCATAAAAACCCTAGAAGAAAACCTAGGCAATACTATTCAGGACATAGGCATAGGCAAGGACTTCATGTCTAAAACACCAAAAGCAATGGCAACAGAAGCCAAAATTGACAAATAGGATCTAATTAAACTAAAGAGCTTCTGCACAGCAAAAGAAACCACCATCAGAGTGAACAGACAACCTACAGAATGGGAGAAAATTTTCACAACCTACTCATCTGACAAAGGGCTAATATCCAGAATCTACAATGAACTCTAACAAATTTACAAGAAAAAACAAACGACCCCATCAAAAAGTGGGCAAAGGATAGGAACAGACACTTCTCAAAAGAAGACTTTCATGCGGCCAAAAAACACATGAAAAAATGCTCATCATCACTGGCCATCAGAGAAATGCAAATCAAAACCACAATGAGATACTGTCTCACCCCAGTTAGAATGGCGATCATTAAAAAGTCAGGAAACAGCAGTTGCTGGAGAGGATGTGGAGAAATAGGAACATTTTTACACTGTTGGTGGGACTGTAAACTAGTTCAACCATTGTGGAAGTCAGTGTGGCGATTCCTCAGGGATCTAGAACTAGAAATACCATTTGACCCAGCCATCCTATTACTGGGTATATACCCAAAGTATTATAAATCATGCTGCTATAAAGACACATGCACACGTATGTTTATTGTGGCACTATTCACAATAGCAAAGACTTGGAACCAACCCAAAAGTCCAACAATGATAGACTAGATTAAGAAAATGTGGCACATATACATCATGGAATACTATGCAGCCATAAAAAATGATGAGTTCATTTCCTTTCTAGGGACATGGATGAAGCTGGAAACCATCATTCTCAGCAAACTATCGCAAGGACAAAAAACCAAACACCGCATGTTCTCACTCATAGGTGGGAACAATGGGAACACATGGACACAGGAAGGGGAATATCAGACACCGGGGACTGTTGTGGGGTGGGGGGAGGGGGGAGGGATAGCATTAGGAGATATACCTAATGCTAAATGACGAGTTAATGGGTGCAGCACACCAACATGGCACATGTATACATATGTAACAAACCTGCACATTGTGCACATGTACCCTAAAACTTAAAGTATAATAATAATAATAATAATAAACAATGATATGGGCCGGGCACAGTAGCTCATACCTGTAATCCCAGCACTTTGGGAGGCCAAAGTGGGTGGATCCGTTGAGGTCAGGAGTTCGAGACCAGCCTGGCCAACGTGGTGAAACCTCCTTGTCTCTACCAAAAAAAAAACAAAAATTAGCCAGGCGTGGTGGTGGATGCCTATAGTCCCAGCTACCAGGGAGGCAGAGGTTGGAGAATCACTTGAACACGGGATGCAGAGGCTGCAGTGAGCCGAGATCGCGCCACTGCACTCCAGCCTGGGCGACAGAGTGAGATCTGCCTCAAAAAAAAAAAAAAAAACACGTTTACCTTCAAGTTATCTTTGCAATTATGGAGGATGGGGTGCAAGAAAGAAGGCAAACAGAAAACAGGCATCAACATGACTTTTACTAGGTAATTCTAAGTCATGCCAGCATTTCCTGTCCATCATGTTTGCAATCTAGGAGGAAGAGGAAAAAATATAATGTAATTTTATTTAAACTCAGAGCCTAATCACCAATGACCTTTAATCTCTGAAATCAGTACTACTGCCCATATGCTAAATGCAATTATGAAATTTGATTTCCTATATGTAGTACGCAATGAAACTGTTTTAATTGACACTGATATATATCTGTAATAACTTCTGTAGAAATTAAAAATCAATGCCAATTTCAACTCTCTGGGTAATTTTTTATTGAACAGATAAAAAATTCACATGAGTTCAACACTTGCAAATGGCAAAACAACAAATAAAACAAAAAAAAAACAACAACAAATAAAACAACAAAAAAACACAGCACTCTACTATTATAAACCCAGAACCAGTCTTTAGGCTACAGGGCTTACCAAGCTCATTGAACAAACTTGCTCAACCCTAAGTTGGCTTCAGAATTTAGGGAGACTCCCAAAATGTTCTGACAAGCAGGAACGCCTCAATAACTTTCACATTTTCTCTACTCCTACCCTCATATCAAACCACCAGCACTTCTATGCTTCATTCGCTTTTCTGAGACCTTTTTGTCCAGCCTTAAATGAGATACAGCTGAGGATAATGGAGTAAATCTCACTATAATCAAACTAGGTCCCTGTATTCAGACACCACACACTGGGAGGCCAGGTACACTGACCCAGGTTCCAGTGGTTGGCCTTTGATTAGACTATGCTAACCAGAAGAGTCAACATAAATGAAACAATGTGCATGAATGCAGGAATGCACACACACACACCACTGGGTAATTGGCGAGACAGCTGTTGCTGAAGCTGTTGCAACTTACAGTTGGCATTTATAGGTAACAAGTTCCCAGTACCTTTCATCACCAGTGGGAGGGACAGCATTGTCCTGTGGGCACTCGATATCTCTGAGCACCAGGCAGATTGAAAACAAGCCTCTCCTAAAAGGACAGTCAGCCCCTCTCTGGTGCATTCACTTCAGCTTTTCCTTCCTAAACTGCTGGCTAGAATTTAACAAGACTTTACAGACAGCAAATGCTGCAGATTGGGAAAGCTGTCAGAGCTATTATTTCCTTTTTCTTTCCCACATTGATTTCATTCGAAACTGAACATATCAGCAATTAAGCCTGTCAAATCTAGCATTCAACTTCCTATATAATTTTGAAAGTATTCCCTGTTGTCATCAGGCCGTCTGTGGTTGGGTCCTCTGTATGAATTCCCACAGGGACACGATCATACCAGGGGTCCAAGTCAGGTAGTATCTTTTCCAGGAATCCAAGCCAAGTAGTATTCCTCATAATAAGAAATATAAAGGTGAAGCATAATAAGAAATATATTCTTGTGTTAAAAAGAAGAGGAATAGAAGTGAATTGTATAGCAATAGAAATTGTATTCAGCTGGGTTGGGAAAAACCTGTGCAAAACTAGTGCATGGTCTAATTTTTATAATATAGATTTGTATTTATTTGTAAGTGTGTGTATGTATGTGTGTGTGTGCATACATATATATAGAGGGAGTGCTAGACTGTAACAAATAATAGCATGGTAAGATATATGCTTTTATTTATTTTCACTTATCCATATTTTCTAAGGTTTCTACGGTAATCTTGCATTAGTTTTCTTTTATAAAAAATGTTTAACTAGCGTGAGATGAGCTATAGGAAGAATGTGTGTGGAACATAAATCTCCTTATATAGGGCCAGAAAACCCAACTGTGTATAAACAGAAGGAAATATACAATTGTATGTAAGTAAACATACACAGAGCTCAGGAAAATAGAGTTGAGCCTGTGAAAACAGCAGAGCTGGAATCGCCTCCCCAGAATATTTATATCCACCCACAAAGTTATTTATATAAACTCATGGTCCAAGACTTCCCATGCTACATTCTTGCCATTTACACAGGCCCAGTGGCCCCAGAAGAGCCTCCTTTACAACTCTACTGTTGAGTACTTTAACCTTGCTCTGACATATAAATTCAAATGGCAATATATTATAATATGGGAATCTTCTCCAATCATGGAGCAGAAAAAAAAAGGAAAGTAAAGCCACCAAACTCTTCCAAATGCCATTTTTTTTGGGAGAAATAAGGGGCCAGAGGAGAAGAAGGGGTGGTTTAAAAACAAACAAAAAAATGATTCCCTCCTTTCAAGCCAAAAGCACGAAATCGTAACCGCCTTATAAATTTACCAATTTGTGCTCCATGTAAATCTCAAATGGGAGTTCTCCTAGTGAACCCTCCCCTAGAAAGTTGTTGCCAGGATGTTTATAGAATCATTACTGGTAAGTTTTTTTTTTTCTGCAGGAAAAGTCTCAGCTGCAGCTCCATTATTTGGGGGGTACAAAATGTATTTCAGGAAGCAGTATGCTCTTTTATTTTTTTTAAAGACTAATTCAGATCGTAATTATATTCTCACAAAGAAATTGAGAAATAGGAAATTTTTTTGGTAGATCAATGGCTTTATTCAAGCAACAGCTCATGAATAAATCTCTTTTTAAAGACCTAAAATGTGACACAAGCTCATTATTAAAAAATATTCAAATAACTAAGTATATAGCTTTAAGGGGAAAAGCTGTAGTATAGCATTCTGAACCAGAGCTGCATTCTCAATGATAAATCTTTTTTTTTTTAATTATTGGGGAAAGTACATTTTTGGTTAGATTAAAATGAGATCTGTGAGATCACTTTTCCTACAGATATTTCAACTGTAACAAAATAATGCAACACTAATCTGTAAGACTTTTTCGGTAATAGATGTTTTTCCTCAGTAAATCAATGCAAAGGCTAATTGGGGTGGAAGGTGGCTATCTCTCGTGGTTATAAATACATTTGCATTGCTATCAATCTTTTTTCCACCACCAATGTTAAACGAGGCTGAACAACCTAAAGAGGAGAAAAAAAAAAAAAAAAAAAAAAAAAATTGAAGTTCAATGTTAGCACATAGTAAATGCTGCCATCAAGTGGCCGAATGGAGAGTTGCCCTAACCAAAAAAGTTGTCACCTAAATTACTAACACAATGTTTAAAACCAGGAATCAATCTTACTCATAGTTTGACATATGTTTTTATTATAATCAGGGGCAGTATGCGGTCTGTGGCCCATTTTTGTATGGCCCTCAAGCTAAAAATGTGGCCCATAAAGTCTAAAAAAAAAAAACAAAACAACAAAACTCTGCAAGTGAATATTCCTACAGTAGCTTACTACTAAATCATATGTCCTGATCTCTTATTCTGTCTGTTGCAAGTTATATGTTGGTGACATTGACCTTGGACCATTTAATGTTAAGTCGTTGAATTCTATTTTCTGATGTAAAAGTAAATTGTTTTATTTAGTACTCTGAGCACCTAATATATGCAAACTTCATTTTAATAATTTTCACTTCTCATTGCTTAGGACCAACTTTGAAGTGGATGGGATATGTCTGAATAATAACAAGTAATTTCCCTAAAAGACAACCTAATGCTTTCACATATTAGACAGTGTGAGATACAGCTTTTCAAGTCCTTGAACATCCACCCCCATGTCTCTATGATTAATTGTAATATTAGTGATATTATTTCAATTTCATGTGTCAAGAAAGAAAAGTCTGATATGATGTTGAGAATCACAAAAATATGTACTTTTTTAAGTCAACAGATTTAATAGTGGTCATGAGAAACAAATTTTTCTTTTATTTGCAAAATAACAGATGCAAAGCATTGCCTACAAGTTAGAATGTTTATTCACAAAGACATTATAAATGATGCAGACAAATAGCTAATCATTGCTCAGTGAACAAACATTTTAAGTATGCATTTCATAATTAATAAAATTTTGAAAGTAGGCACAGGTTTTGAGGTTTCCAAAGTTCTATCATACTTATAATATAAAATATTTCTCAAAGTATAGTCACCATTCCTGGCAATGAAATTATAAGAAGTGCTTATTTTTTTTTAACTTTTATTTTAAGTTTGGGGTACATGTGCAGGTGTTTTACACAGGTAAAAACTTGCATCATGGGGTTTTGTTGTACAGATTATTTCATCACCTAAATTTTAAGTCTAGTACCCATTAGTTATTTTTCCTGATAGTCTCCCTCCTTCCAACCTCCACACTCTGATAGACCCCAGTGTGCGTTGTTCCCCTCTGTGTGTCCACATGTTCTCATCATTTAGCCCCCACTTATAAATGACAACATGCAGTATTTGGCTTTCTATTCCTGTGTTAGTTTGCTAAGGATAATGGCCTCCAGCTCTATCTATGTTCCAGCAAAAGACATGATCTCATTCTTTTTTATGGCTGCATGCTGTATGCATACTACATTTTCTTTATCCACTCTGTCACTGATGGGCATTTAGGTTGCTTCCATGTCTTTGCTATTGTGAATAGTGCTGCAATGAACATAAACATGCATGTGTCTTTATGACAGAACAATTTATATTCCTTTGGCTATATATCCAGTAATGAAATTGCTGGGTCAAATGGTAGTTCTGTTTTTAGCTCTTTAAGGAATCACCACACTATCTTCCACAATGATCGAGCGAATTTACACTCCCACCAGAAGTTTATAAGCATTCTTTTTTCACTGCAACCTCACCAGCATCTGTTATTTTTTGACTTTTTAATAATAGTTACTCCGACTGGTGTGAGATGGTATCTCATTATGGTTTTGATTTGCATTTCTCTAACGATCAGTGATATTAAGCATTTTTTATATGCTTTTTGGCCACAATGTATGTCTTCTTTTGAAAGTCTGTTCATGATCTTCACCCACTTTTTAATAGTGCTTTTTTTTCCTGTAAAGTTCCTTATAGATGCTGGATATTAGACCTTTGTCAGATGCACAGTTTGGGAAAATTTTCTCCCATTCTGTAGGTAGTCTGTTCACTCTGTTGATAGTTTATTTTGCTGTGCAGAAGCTCTTTAGTTTAATTACATCCCATTTGTCAATTTTTACTTTTGTTGCAATGGCTTTTGGCATCTTAGTCATGAAATCTGTGCCCATTCTTGTGTCCAGAATGGTATTGCCTAGGTTGTCTTCCAAGGTTTTTATAGTTTTGGGGTTTACATTTAAGTCTTTAACCTGTCTTGGGTTGATTTTTGTATATAGTGTAAGGAATGGGTTCAATTTCAATCTTCTGCATAAGCCAGTTATCCCAGCACCATTTATTGCATAGAGAGCCCTTTCCCCATTGCTTGTTCTTGTCAGTTTTGTCAAAGATAAAATGGTTGTAGGTGTGCGGCCTTATTTCTAGGCTCCTTATTCTGTTCCATTGGTCTACGTGTCTGTTTTTGTACCAGTACCATGTTATTTTTGTTATTGTAGCTCTGTAGTAAAGTTTGAAGTTGGGTAGTGTGATGCCTCCAGCTTTCTTCTTTTTGCCTGGGACTGCCGTCGCTATTTGGTTCTTTTTTGGTTCCATATGAATTTTTAAATGGCTTTTTCTAGCTCTGTGAAGAATGTCAATTGTAGTTTAATAGGAATAGCATTGAATCTATAAATTGCTTTGGGCAGTATGGCCATTATAACAGTATGAATTCTTCCTATCCATGAGCATAGAATGTTTTTCCATTTGTTTGTGTCATCTCTGATTTCTTTGAGCAGTGTTTTATAGTTCTTGTAGAGATATTTCACCACCCTGGTAAGCCGTATTCTTAGTACTTTTTCTTTTTTGTGGCGATTGTAAATGGGATTGTGTTTCTGATTTGGCTCTCAGCTTGACTGTTTTTGGTGTATAGGAATGTTAATAATTTTTGCACATTGATTTTGTATCATGAGACTTTGCTGAAGCTGTTTATTAGCTTAAGGAGCTTTTGGGATGAGATTATGGGGTTTTCTAGATATAGAATCATGTTATTTGCAAACCAGAATAGCTTGGCTTCCTCTTCCTATCTGGATCCCCTTTATTTATTTCTTTTGTCCGATTGTCCTGGCCAGGACTTCCAATACTATGTTGAATAAAAGTGGTGAGAGAGGACATCCTTGTCTTGTGCTGGTTTTTAAGAATGCATCCAGCTTTTGTTCACTCCGTATGATATTGGCTGTGGTTTTATCACAGATGGCTGTTATTATTTTGAAGCATGTTCCTTCAATACCTAGCTTACTGAAAGTTTTTAATATGAAGGGGTGTTGAATTTTATTGAAAGCCTTTTCTGCATCTGTTGAGATAATCATATGGTTTTGTCTTTAGTTCTGTTATTGTGATGAATCACATTGATTGATTTGCATATGTTGAACCAACCTTGATCCTATGGATAAAGCCTACTTGATTGTGATGGATAAGCTTTCTGATGTGCTACTGGATTCAGTTTGCCAGTATTTTGTTGAGGACTTTTGCAGCAATGTTCATCAAAGATACTGACCTAAAGTTTTCTTTTTTTGTTGTGTGTCTGCCAGGTTTTGGAATCAGGATGATGCTGGCCTCAAAGAATGAGTTAGGGAGGAGTCCTTCCTCCCCAGTTTTTTAGAGTACTTTCAGGAGGAATGATACCAGCTCTTCTTTGTACATCTGGTAGCATTCAGCTGTAAATCTGTCTGGTCCTGGGTTTTGTTTTTGTTTTTGTTTTGTTTTGTTTTGTTTTTTTGGTAGGCTATTTAGTATTGCCTCAATTTCAGAGCTCGTTATTGGTCTATTCAAGGATTCAGTTTCTTCCTGGTTCAGCTTTGGGAGGTTGTATGTGTCCAGGATTTTATCCATTTCTTCTACATTTTCTAGTTTGTGTGCATAGAGGTGTTCATAATATTCTCTGGTGGTCATTGTATTTCTATTGGGTCAGTGGTAATATGCCCCTTGTCATTTCTGATTGTGTTTATTTGAATCTTTTTCTGAAGTGCTTATTTTAAAAATTCAGATTCTTAGACCTTATTTTTGACCTATTGAGTCAAAATGTCAAGAAGAAAAGGGACCAGGAATTTAAATTTTTAATAAATCCCACAGGCAACTTGTATGACCTTATAGTTTAGGAACTTCCTCATTGTAGTTAAGGAGAGACTAAACTGATTTTCTCAAGATCTCAAAGCTAGACTTAGAGAATTGGAATCAAAAGTAGAAGCCAGCCTTCCTTACCTCCATTCCAAAATTTCTTACCCCATACTGCATGAACTGGGAAATACTTTCCCATATCAGGTCTCAGCATCCTTGCACTATTACTGGAAGCTATTACCTACATGTAGAGGCATTTCTTAAGTTCTATTTTATAATCCTTTAAAAAGTACAAAAATAAAATGTGCTATGTCATTAAAAATGAGGCATAACATTGAGTTTTTAAAATTATTTGTCATTATTAAAATTAATAATAGCTTGATTTCCTGTTAAAGGCAGCAGTATAAAATTGTCTTTGCTCTATTCTTTACTATGAAACCAAATAATAATAAGGTCAAAAAACAAATCAATAGATAAACCTGATGGTAGATTAAGTGCCCAAAGAAAGGCATAATAATCCTCCTACCAGTGGATGCACACGCATTTTGAATGTGACTTTGCCACCCCTTGAAACTGGTTTGGTCCCCTGACTTACTTTGACCAATAGAATGCAGAAGAACTGATGCTATGTGTCTTTCTAGCCTCAGCCGCCATTAGAGGTCTGCAGCTTCTCACCCTCATGGTACACAGAGATCTCCATGCTGTGAAGACACCCAGGATGAAAAACCATGTGGAGACAAACAGGCCAGACATTTCATCTTTTTCAGCCATCCCAGTTGATCCACCAGCTAACTACAGACACATAAGTGAACCCAGGTGAAACCAGCAGAACTGCCCAATCAATGAATAGAATTAGGAGAAGTAATAAACTGGTTTATTTAAGTCTAAGTTTGGTTTGTTAATAACAATATATCATTAATATGCTAAGAAAAAAACATAAGCCTAAACCACAACATATGAAAAAACAACCACAATGCTAAACCACAGCTGCTGTCAAGTGCAGTGAAAATAATGCAAAGATAGAGGAGAGCTCCATGAAAGACATCACACTCTGCAGGCCTTGAGTGAGGCATTTTTCACACTAGGTGAGAGATAGCAAGACAAAAAGAATCACCCTTTACTTGAATGGCCAACTGACTTTCATATAGATATTGTGGAACCCCGGGTAAACCTTATTTTATACCACACGGTGGCAATATTATCAGGCTGAATAAGAAAGTCTACAGACATTCCCCTTTTCAAGAGAGTGGATGAAACAGGGTGTTAGAGACATTATCAATGGTAAGAAGCCCTGCACAGAAGCAAGAAAAAAATCACTACCAAAAAAGAAAGAAAGGAAGAAAGGAAAGCAGAGAAAGAAGGAAAGAAAATAGAAAGAAAGGAATGATGGAAGGAAGAAAGCAAAGAAGAGGATAGATAGATGATAAAGTAAATAAATACAATTGTGACTTCCCTATGTGTCAGAGATTTCTTGCTAACTCATAGTTGATTTGTATTCATAGGGTAGAATATCAGTGAGAATGTATTCAAAGCCATGGCCTAAAACTCAAACTACCTGCTGTACTCTACTTAGCCTTCCTCTATGCTATCCATCATCAAATAGCTGATTCAGGTGTGCATTAAAGATGAATAATAGTCAGAAAAAAAGTCAGCTTGGGGCATGTACAAAGACAGTACCAAAACCTAAAGAAAAGAACATGGCAAACAGAAGACAAAAAATATGCAATACTGAAACACCAATCAGGCAAAAAATTAACACATAAATCGGGCACTCAAAAAATGGTACTCTTAAAATATCAGGAATTTAAAAAATTATAACCCCTCTGAAACAAGAGTTCAGACAAGATATAATAGGAGTCAAGGGAAAAGATAAGAAAATAGAGGTAATGAAAAGTTATGTGTCAGAGTGAAAAAATAGAAAGAAAAAATAAAACTATTACGTACATGAAGGTTACATTAGAGGCATCAAAAGAAAAAGTCATTTCTGAAAACAGAAAAATGTAAAATAACACAGACTGTTAAAGCATTAGAGGGAAAATTACCATTATGGAACCAAAGGAGATCCAACATGTGTATAATTGATATTCCTAAATAAGAAATATCACAGAATAAATATTCAAAGATATAATAAAATAAAATTGCCCTAAAGTAGAAAAAGAATCAAATGAATAAATTAAATTGGCATTGTGTATTTTTAAGACAACTACTATAGTATAAACTTGGAGATGAATGGAGAAATCATTGTAAAGACACTACCCAACTGTGAGAATTAGAAGTACTATAGAACAAAACATAAATGTAATAGGTCAATTTAGAAATGATAATAGAATCCACTTCAAGTAATATAAGGAAAGAAGTGGGAGGGGAAGTAAGATAAAGAGGAAGCATACTCACCTCAACATCTCTTAGAAGGGGAGTCAAACAGACATTGAATCTTAAAGTAATAACACCTCAAATCATGACTTACATATGTAAACACATTTTTAAAATAAACATCTTAGAGCATAGAGCAATCAAAAAATGATTAAAAACTAAAAGCTTACTAATAAAATTACAAGTTTTAAGTCCAAAGTAGTTGTCAAAATTCTGAATGTAAAGGAGAAGAACATAACCCATGTGTGTGTATATAATCCCCTCATGTTAGATCAAGAAGGAAAAACTTTCTATATAAAATTTTCTGAAAGTCTTGAAGAAAAAGAATGGCAAAGATACACCAGTAAACAAACAGACAGACCAGAAACTGCTGGTCAAAGAGGAGTCAGAGATCCACTGAGTTGTAGTTGAGAGACCCTACTCTTCCCTCATCCATGGCAAGGACAATGAAACCAAAATTTAACACATAATCATAATAAATAATAGCCCAATTTCAACACACCTCACTGCCTCTTTCGATGTTTATTCAACAGCATCAACAATTTTTAAAACCTTTTCACTATATTTGTAAGTCATTTTAAACTGAGAATTTAAACAAGCCTATCCTGAATCAAAGATTTCTTTTTTTTAATAGCTGTATTTCACGGTTGCTTTTACGAAAACAATACTTTCCCTTTTTACATAATTTTTTAAATTCCTTTTTATTCACTGGCACAATTTACTTCTTCACTCTAAAGAGAGGAGAAGAAAAAGGACTATCTGAAAGGTGATGGTAACCCACTGAGTTTGATATTATTTGCATACTTTTCACAATATGGTTCAATGCTTCTTCAAAATGCACTAAAGCGGTCTAACAGCCAGAAAAAAAGCTATGTTATAATCCTCCAGGAAAAGACACCTCCATAATATTCCATGCAGCTTAGGAGAACTCTAAGGCTCATGGAAAATATGAGCTGTTCCTAACACCAGAGAATCATAGGACAACGGGGAAAGTTGTCGTATTCCCCACCAACCTGGGTGTGATAGGTCTTCCTACTGAGGACATGATGACTGGAAATGACAATCTAGAAAATAACTGAGAGCCAAAACAAAAAGCCACCAGGATGTGGCAGGCAAAATTTTCACTGGGAAGTGTCAAGTTCAATAGAGACCATGGATACCACAAGGCTGGACATACTAGTAAGAAAGAAAGTCTCAGCAGAATTTACCAATATGTATCATAAGTGCCCAACCAGAGGAGTAAATGAGTCCAGGTGATTTTAATACATGAAATTGTAATTAATAAAAAAAGTTACATGTACCTAATCTGAGGTCCTAAAATTATTACTAGTTAAGCTGTAACATTTGAAAGTGAATTCATTTTAACCTTTCCACTAAAACGGACCAACAGGTTTTGGGTGAGAGCTTGAGTCAGTAAGAAAAAGATAAATCACCAAGAAGCTGTTCTCTTTTGTTCTCCTGCTGAAATGATTGTACAATATTTACATGAGTTGGTGTGCTTTCATGAGTTGACCAATCCTATCTAAATAAACATTTAAAATGCATATCTTGGGTATTACTTGTGAAATTAGCTAGGAACATTGTTTCCCTTGTGTCTTGAAAGACAGCTGACATGAGTAGTATATTGAAAGGGGGAAGTGGCTGAGAAAGGAAAAAAGCAGATACATGAGAGAACAAAAAGCTGAAAACTGAACGAACACATTATTTTCCTGTAGTCTAGATGTTCACGGGGCCAACAATTCACTTTCAAGCCTTAACTATTTTATTTATTTATTTATTTATTTATTTAGAGACAGAGTTTCACCCTTTTACTCAAGCTGGAGTGCAGTGGGGCGATCTCAGCTCATTGCAACCTCTGCCTCCCCGCCCCCCACTACTGGTTTCAAGAGATTCTCCTGCCTCAGCCTCCCCAGTAGCTGGGATTATAGGTGCCCGCCACCATGCCCAGCTAATTTTTGTATTTTTAGTAGAGACGGGGTTTTGCCATGTTGGCCAGGCTGGTCTTGAACTCCTGACCTCAGGTGATCCACCCACCTCAGCCTCTCAAAGTGCTAGGACTACAGGCATGAGCCAACGCACCTGGCCAAGCCATTAACTACTTTAACAGAATCACTTTCTTGAAAAAGTTATTTGTGCCTTAATTTCATATAGCTCATCACATAAAAATAAAAAGGCCAGCTGGACTTTGCATTCATACATTTTAGGACTGCCACTCTCCCAGTTAGGAACTGTTAAGAAGACAGTTGAGAAGCTTTTGTTTTTAAATCCTGAGGAAAGCAGCAATGATCACAATGAAAACTTGGAGTGCCTCTGTGAGCCAGGCTTTCTCACACATACCATCTCACATAGTTTAAGTGAGAGAATGCAAGGTCTTGAAGAGAAAATGGGATTTGGTTCTAAGGGATGAGGTTGCGGGTGGGCTAGGAAACAACTGGAAATCTCGGAATTAGTGGGGGATGGTTCTGGTTCTTATATAGAAGAGACCAGAATCTCCCTCTAATACGGTGTCCTGATGAGGTTGACTGAGATAAAAATGAATCCTAGGAGGTATGGCCTTGGCTGCTACAGAAGAATTTCCACTGGCTTAGTTGTTTATAGGGAAAACTGATGCTCTGAACAACTGACCAACCCACTTTTAAATGTTCCAACTGGACTGAAACAACGAGCAGGGTCTGATCAACTATGCTCACAGAAAACCAGAGCCCCTAGTCCAGATTTCTGGCCTGATTAAACTCTCAAGGATTTGTTCAGCTCTAGGGTGGGGGAGGGCCTTCCCAGTCATGACTGATATTGGTTGTCTTGCTAACCTATTTGAACAGAGGCTTAGATTTAATTTGACTTAGAAAAATAAAGCAATATGACGTGTCTTACACTTGAGTGTTATGAAACAAATACATCTCTGCCTCAATCATAGTCAACACAAGCTCTCCCTCAGCAAAAATGTATTGTGCTCAAATAACATCACTGCATTAAATGCAACTGTTACCCAGAGTTTTTAGTCTACTGTCATTCTCTTCACACTTTGCCCATAACATGGCTGTTACACAGATTTAAATGAAGTTAAGAAATATTATCTAATAGCAATTAACAGATGAAATTGATGTGAGGATGGGACAGAATTCTAAATTCAAGGCCAACCAGTAAGACTTGCCATTGACTTGCTAAGCTTAGATGTCAGTAGCCCAAGGGCTCTGATAGGTATCTCTCTTTGTGAGCCATTCCAACAGCCCAAACATATTAGAGGCAGTGAATACTGTAGCACTGCACGCAGAGATACTCTCCTCTGATCTTTACATCTTGTGGTTGGCTAAATAATGTCCCCAAAGGTGTTCATGTTCTGATCCCCAGAACCTATAAATATTAATTGATTTGACAAAAGGGACCTTGAAGGTATGATTAAGTTAAGGATCTTGAGATGGGATTGACCTATATTATCCAGGTGGGCTCATGTATTCACAATTATCCTTATAAAAGAAAGTTAAGACACCAGAGGGAGGAGAAGTTAATATGACGACTGTGGAAGCAGAGACTGGAGTGATTGAGTGATAAGCCAAGGAATATGGGCAGTCTCTGGAAGCTAGAAAAAGTAAGAAACAGATTCTCTCCAAAGCCTCCAAAACAAACCAGACTTACCACACCCTGATTTAAGACCAATAACACTGATTCCAGACTTCTGACCTCCAGAAATGTGAGATAATAAATGTGTTATTTTAAGCCACTAATTCTGTGATAACTTGTAACAGCAGTAACAACAAACTAATACATATCTCTTTCTTTCCATATTCAGAGTGGTGGATAATTTAGATTGTGCTTCTTTATGTAGCCTAAGAGTCAAACTGGTCTAATATTAGTTTAATTTTCCCATTCAAATTTTGGAATTCATGCATTTCAGGCTAGAAAGAGAAATGATAAAGCCATCCACAGTGATCATAATGAAAACATGGAGAGCCTACACGTTCCAGGCTTTCTCACACATGCTACCTGGTATAATTCTCACTACAACCCTGAAGGATAGGTGGCAATTTCCCAATATTTTGCAGAAAAGGAAATAGGTCCAGAGATTAAGTAGTTTCTTTCCTCAAAACACATCTCCTCCAAGAAGCTTTTCCCTAACCCCTCTCCTCCCTGTTATTAGGTCGGGTGGTATGACTGGGCTCCCTCACAATCTCACTATTCCCATAGCACTCCGAGTCATAACACTTATCCACTTGTTCACCACACCCACCCTCTCTACACAGCCTTGAAGCCAGAAAACTATGCTTCATTTATCTCTTCTCTATAAAAGTGGCTAGTATACAGTTGGGGTTCAATATATCTTTGATAAAGATATGAATTAAGTACAAAATTAACACAAAATGTAGGAATTATGTAAGTATGCCCAAAGGATGAGGGCCCCTTTGATAGCTCACACACCCATCCAGATAGGATATTAAGAATCTTCTGACCCTCCTACAAGTTCTGTGACCCCAGCCAGTCTTCTCAATTACAAACAAGACTTGATGATATACTTCAAATTCAGAGAAGCAAGGAGGAGATTAAAAACAAGGGAATAATCATCTCTAATTCTTATATCAAGTTGTTTTTAGCTAACACTGTAGCTAAATAGAAAGTTACATAAATTTCTTCTCCTAAACTATCCCATAAAATTCTCAGTGTTTATCTAAGGAACAATATACCATTTCTAGATAAAGTACCTACACTTTTTTTTTGACAACCTACCTTGTTGATAACATTTTTAGTCATTAATTTCAGATTCAGGAAGAGAGAATTCAGCCATTTTTCATAGTCCTGCTGAAATCAGACACATTTCTGCTCAACTGAGCGCAGGATAATGCTCCATGATCTACTCAACTGAAACACATCACCTCAGCCACCATACGTTGCCAACTATTAAAACAAAATGGGAATCAGCTTTGCAACCCAATAGTTTACCTAAAAGTCTCTCTTAGGCAGGTTTGAACTTTATAGCATGAATTTCATTTTGCTGTAAGCTCTTACATTTATATTACTGCTTAACATCCACTCTTCATAGAAATCTGCCCTAACAATTTCAAACTATATTTATTCATGCTGAACAGTCTGCTTAACTACCAGCCTAAAATGCAGTACAGTTACCACAGAAATATTTCCTGTTATTTCAGAACTGTGAAGGTCAAACCAGTTTTATGCAAAGGGAAACGAAATGTTTTGTGTCTTTAGGCTGTGTAGTATAATTTAAATGCTTTCCTTACTGTTTATGGTAGAGCCTTCCACTGTTCTTATTTCCCTGTTTTTTCACCATTGCTCTCCCTTGCCCTTTCTCCCATGCCTTCTCAACTGAGCACGGTTATTTCTACTACTCAGCCACTTATAGAAATTATGTAACATGTACATCCATTGAAAATTTAAGTTAAATGCCACCTTTTCTTAACCAGAAAGCAAGAGTTACATTAATGAAATTGTTCTGCAAACTTCTTTAATCACATAATTAATCCCTTGGATAAAGTAATTTATTTCATTCTCTATACTGTTTTGAGGAGTCAGATAAGCTCACAGAGACTGCCTGTTGTTGGGTTCCTATTAAACTTGCACACAAGAGCAACATAAACCCAGCCCTACTGTAAGTGGCTGATTTCCAATGGAGCCTTACGGCACAGTGACTAAGTGCTTGAGCTCTGGAATTAGAAAGACCTGGGTTTAAAACTTAGTTCTCCCTGTCATTCACCGTGCAAACCTAGGCAGCTTGCCTAGCCTCCTTTGTTCTGCATTCAACAAATTTTTGAGCACTCACTGCTCTATCATCATTATTTCTTGCTCATGGAATTTCAGCAGAGTGAGCCTAGGTACAATTGCAAAATTTGCAAATATTTTCTCCATTGAAAATCCAGTGAGTGCTGAAACCAGGCCAGGACCCCCACAATGTGGCTATAAGTGGGGAAAAAAAAGTTCTACAGGGCCAAGCAGTGTGTCAAAGTTTGGGCCCACAATAGGGTCAACCAAAGCACAACGCAAAAAGAATAGAGCAAACTTAGTTGTGGTTGGGACAAGTATCAATGTCAGGAGAGTCCAGTCTTCTGGCTAAGACACAGCAACAGGTAAAATCCTGGCTATATTCAAAAACAGGCATTTAAGAGGCCTTACAATTGTTCCTTGGTCTTCAGCTACCACTGCACAATTCACTATTACTAGAGATAAATGAGCAAGAAAGAGGTGAAGTTGAGAATTCCCATAAATCTCAGCTTACCACTTTCCTGTATATCACCTTTTTACAGATGGACACATACCTGTGTTATACATGACAATGTCATCCAATATGTGTTTTCCAATTGTAATGGGTTGAATAGGCCCCCAAAATATATGTCCACCCAGAACTTGTGAATGTGATCTTGTTTGAAAAGAGGGTCTTTGTGGATATAATTAAGGATCTTAAGATGAGATCTTCCTGATTAACCAGGTGAACCTTAAATCCAATGACAGTGCCCTTTTGACAGACAGAAAAAAAAAAGAGAGAGACCAGAGGAGAAAGCCATGTGAAGACAGAGGCACAGTAATGGGACCCCAAATAATTAGGCAAGTTAAAAAGCCTGACTCTGCTTCTAAAAGACAAAGCATTTATTCATTCAGCAGATGTTTTATGAAAGACCCAGAATTTGATGGGTATGGTCCAGTCAAATAATATAAGCTGGGGTAGTAGGAGGGTGTTTCTGTGATGAAGTCTACCAGAATACCTTGGGCTTATCCTTAACCTGTGGGTAGCACTGCTAATTCCAGGTCTTATCAACAAATAGATCTGGGATTGTTAATGTCTTAATTTTCCCTTTGTCAGGGTTGTCTCAGGAACCAAGGAAGTACAGAGTCATCAGGAGAAGGACACCAGTGGCTATTACTGTCAGGGCAGTGCCTGGAACAACGCATTACTTCTTCCCTCTTCAGCTTCTTCACCCTATAGGCAGCTGCCACTCATGCTTCCCTGGCACTTTTCCATGGCCTCAGGAATGTGGTAAAAATAAATTCAGACTTTAGTGTTTCTGACTTAAAGTATCATCATCTTTAATACATTGTTTTTAATGCATCATCTTATTGCATTAAAGTGTCCTTAATGCAATATCTCCATTCGAGAAAGAGACTGACAGTGAGAGAGCAATGCTTCCTCCAAAGGAATGGCTTTTGCATATGATCACTGTAAAGATTTCTAGCTAATGTGGCAAAGCTCAGGCTCCCCTCTTTGAAATAAACACAAAACTCAATGTGAAGAAAAATCATAAGTACAAAATATAAATGGAAATATGAAATATAAAGGTATATGTGTGATATGGTTTCACTCTGTGTCCCCATCCAAAATCTCATCTCAAATTGTAATCATCACATGTCAAAGGAGGGACCCAGTGGGAGGTGATGGGATCATGGTGGCGATTTCTCCTATGCTGTTCTTGTGATAGTGAGTGAGTTCTCAGGAGATCTAATGGTTTTAAAGTTTTTGGCAGTTGCCTCCTTACTCTGTCTCTTTCTCTCTCTCCTGCTGGCATGTAAGTCATGCCTTGCTTCCCCTTCACATTCCTCCATGATTGTAAGTTTCCTGAGGCCTCCCCAGTCATGCAGAACTGTGAGTTAATTAAGCCTCTTTTAGTTATGAATTACCTAGTCTCAGGTAGTTCATTATAGCAGTGTAAGAACAGACTAATACAGATAATTGGTACCTAGAGAAGTGGGACACTGCTATAAGATACCTGAAAATGTGGAAGCAACTTTGGAA
This sequence comes from Homo sapiens, assembly GCF_000001405.40. Lineage (NCBI taxonomy): Eukaryota > Metazoa > Chordata > Mammalia > Primates > Hominidae > Homo > Homo sapiens. The sequence continues at coordinate 123,657,111 of NC_000005.10, read as the reverse complement.
ATGGGTAATGGGCAGAGGTTGAAACAGTTTGGAGGGCTCAAAAGAAGACAGGAAGATGTGGGAAAGTTTGGAACTTCCTAGAGGCATGTTGAATGGTTTTGACTAAAATTCTGACAGTGATATGGACAATGAAATCCAGGCTGAGGTGGTCTCAGAGGGAGATGAGGAACTTATTGGGAACTAAAGGGAAGGTCACACTTGCTATGTTTTAGCAAACAAACTGGTGGCATTTTGCCCCTGCCTTAGAGATCTGTGGAACTTTAAACTTGAGAGAGATGATTTAGGGTATCTGGTGGAATAAATTTCTAAGCAGCAAAGTATTTAAGATGTTACCTGGCTGTTTGTGAAAGTGTACAGTCAAATGCATTCACAAAGAGATAATCAGAAATTGGAACTCATGTTTGTAAGAGAAACAGAACATGTAAGTTTTAAAATTTGCAGCCTGACCATGTGGTAAAAAAGAAAAACCCATTTTCTGGGGAGAAATTCAAGCCAGCCACAGAAATTTCCGTAAGTAATGAGGAGCTGAATGTTAATACCCAAGATAATGGGGAAAATGTGTCCAGGGCATTTCAGAGATCTTCATGGCGGCCTCTCATCACAGGTCTGAAGGCCTAGAAAGGAAAAATGGTTTCATGGGCCGAGCCCCTGGCTCTGCTGCTCTGTGCAGCCTTGGGACATGGCACCGTGTCCCAGCTGTTCCAGCTCTAGCCATGGCTAAAAGGGGCTAAGGTACATCTTGGGCCTTTGCTTCATAGGGTACAAGCCCCAAGCCTTGGTGGCTTCCACCTGGTATTTGGCCTGTAGGTACACAGAAGACAAGAGTTGAGCTTTGGGAGCCTCTGACTAGATTTCAGAGGACGTAAGGAAACACATGGCTGTCCAGGCAGAAGTCTGCTGCAGGGGTGGAACCTTCATTGAGAACCTCTACTAGGGCAATGCAGAGGAGAAATGTGGGATTGGAGCCCTCAGACAAAGTTCCCACTGGGTAGTGGAGCTGTGAGAAGAGGGCCACCTTTCTCTAGATCCCAGAATGGTAGATCCACTGACAACTTGCACCGTGCACCTGGAAAAGCCACAGGGACTCAACACCAGCTTGCGAAAGTAGCCTTGGGGGCTGTACCCTGCAGAGCCACAGAGGTGGAGCTGCCCAAGGCCTTGGGAGCCTGCCCCTTGCATCACTGTGCCCTGGATGTGAGACATGGAGTCAAAGGAGATCATTTTGAAGTTTTAAGATTTAATGACTCCCCCACTGGGCTTTGGACTTGCATGGGGCCTGTAACCTCTTTGTTTTGGCTAATTTCTCCTATTTGGAACGGGTGTATTTATCCAATGCCTGTATTGCCATGTATCTAGGAAGTAACTAACTTGTTTTTGATTTTACAGGCTCACAGAAAGGACTTGCTTTGTCCCAAATGATACTTTGGAATCGGACTTTTGAGTTAATGCTGGAATTAGTTTAGACTTGTAGGACTGTTGGGAAGGCATGATTGTGTTTTAAAATGTGAGAAGGACATGAGATTTGGGAGGGGCCAGGGTGAAATGATATGTTTTGGCTTTGTGTCCCCACCCAAACCCCATCTCAAATTGTAATCATCACATGAGAGGGAGGGACCTGGTGGGAGGTGATTGGATCACAGGGTGCTTCCTCCATGCTGTTCTCAGGATAATGAGTTCTCACAAGATCTGATGGCTTTAAAGATTTTGGCAGTCCCCTACTCCTCCTGCCACTATGTAAGACATGCCTTGACTGCCCCAGTCAAACTCCCTACTTGATACCATCCCCAGAGCGGGTCATACCCTCTTGAAGTCTCTCTTCTAAGTTCTTTTCAACTTTCACTTATGGTACTTGTTGACTATTGGTCTCATGCCAGTATTTAGCCATAGATGGAGTTTACCACCCTCTTTCGTCTGCATTCCCAAGCAGCCCAACTCTGGGAAGACCTGGGCCTGGCACACTGGGGACCACTACCAGCCTCACACCGTCCATGAGCTGGGCCTCAATCAGAAGGACTTGGGCCCCCCATGAGCATCACCGGGGAGTGGGTCTTCAATATGCCACATTTCCTGCACCCTACTGTGGGGCAGGGATTCAATGCTGGGCTCTTCCCTGTTCACTTGCTGTTACTGAGGGAGTCCAGGTTAATTTCTTTTCCTCCACTGACTAATATGCTTAAATTCAGCAGGTTGCCATGTCTGATCTGGTTATGTTCAGAAGGACTTGCCTCCACACCTTCGCCTTCCATCATGATTGTAAGTTTCCTGAAGCCTCCCCAGCCATGTGGAACTGTGAGAAAATTAAACCTCTGTTCTTTGTAAATCACCCAGTCTCAGAGTAGTTCTTTAGAGCAGTGTGAAAACAGACTTATAAAATGTGTATGCAGCCACAATGATGAACCAAACTTCAAGAAGTCAGCCAAAGGTAGTGAGTGTTAGAGCTCATTGAGAGAAGCTGAGAGTGGGATAACGCAGATCTTCAGTATTACAGGGAGATCACCAGATGAAGAGTGAAATCAACAACTCCTTACTTGCAAAGGCAAGGTCTGGGTACACGGCAAAGCACTCACTCCTTATAGCTGTTTGACAACACACTGTGGCAAAGGAAATTGAGATAAATAAGGGGGAAAACCTGATACATTGAAAGAAAAACCCACCTGTTGGGGTGAGAGGAAAGAAATGAGATGGAGAATAGTGACCTGTTCTTGGTAAGATAAAAGGAACACACTACATCAATTCATAAGAAATCTTGTGACATGGGAACTTTCAATGTGACCAAAAAAGATATTCTACTAGATAATAGCAGAATCTAACCCACAAAAGGGGTTTTTTTCTTAAATTTGTAAAGCCTACAAAGACAATTAATTAACACAGCTCACTCTTGCAGCCCTTCTGTTATACTTTATTTTTAAAAGAAATAACCAGTCGACTAAAAAATAACTTTTCAAGCCTATTCTCTTCATCATTGACTGTGTTTCTGTGCCATCTATTCTATTCTTTGCAGCATCTAATGTCTTGATTTCTGTTGGGCTTTTATTTTTCTCTCTCATTTCTTTTTGAGCTCTACCATTTCACTATTTATCTCTTTTTGCTGCTGTATCATTTTTTTTCTTATGGCTTTTTCATCTCTTCTCAATGCTCTTACATCAAAGGACTATATTTTCTTTTATTTTGCTAAATGGTCCATCTTCTCCTACCTCACTTTTTTTCCCAAAAGCCTTAATTCTAAGATGAATAGTAACTAGAAATGAACAAGCATGAAATGTATAAAGCATGGAATGTACTACATATATAATATATTTAATGGAATGTATTATATATTCCATATAAATACACATATATATTAAAGAAATATATATAAAGAAGTACTTCAAGAAAAAAAAGATAGCCAAAAGCTAAGCCAGAAAAACCACATTATAAAGCATATTTTTAAAAGGCAAAGGAAGGTCAAGGAGAAAATAGCTTTTCTATACAATTAATAAAATAAAATAAATAGAAAAAATAAAACCATGATTTAAATGAAGGAAACATTAGAAATATCAAAAGAGAACCTAGACACTAGTGAAAATAAAGTCATAAATATTAACAATCACATTGAGGAAACTGAGCAAAATGACATGAAAAAGAGAAAACACTGCACAAATAGTAGACAGAAAATGAAAGACAAAAGGGCTCCAAAATAGGAATAATTGGTATTGCTGAAAAAGGAAACAAAAGAAATAAGACAATAGTTTGCAAAAAAGGACAATAGAAAAAAAACTTCTATAAAAGACTGAAGAGGCATATTGTGCCCCCTGAAGTTGATATAAAACAATCAACTCCAAAATTTCAAAGATGAACTTAAAAGATACTATAAGCACCCAGGCAAAAAAACAACCAATCAATCAACTCACCTATGGGGTAGGATGTGCAAGGAACTACTCCATTTGCCACGCGAAATCTTTTTTGCCAGAAGACAGTAAAGCAAGTCTACTAAGCCCAAGAGGTAAAAGGGTAGATATTTATTCCCAGCCAACCTATTTTTTATAAACAAAGGCAAATAACATTAATTATTAACCACAAGGAGACTAAAAAATAATTGAAGAAATAATAGTTAAAGGATTGGTAGAATAAATTGATTACACTCACATATAAAAGCTGCCAGACACGATGGCTCACACCTGTAATCCCAGCACTTTGGGAGGCCAAGGAGGGCAGATCGCTTGAGCCCATGAGTTCAAGACCAGCCTGGACAACATGGTAAAACCCCGTCTCTACAAAAAATACAAAAATTAGCCAGGCATGGTAGCAGGCACCTGTGGTCCCAGCTACTGAGGGGCTGAGGTGGGAAGAGCACTTGAGCCTGGGAGGTTGAGGCTGCAGTGAGCTATGATTGTGCCACTGCACTCCAGCCTGGACTACAGAGTGAGACTTTGTTTCAAATTTTTAAAAAATTTGTGAAATAATAAAAATATAAATATTAAAAATTATGAATATATTTTTCAAAAATAATTAAGAAATATTGAGAGGATGAAAGAAACAGTTTGGTATAAGAATGTAAGCACATTGAATTTTTTAATTTTGTAAGGCATATTATTACTAGATTGTTTAAAGTTAATAAATCAAGCAATGGAGATAGTTTAGGATATAAACGGGAACACTTAAAGATACACAAATAAAATAACCAGGCAAATTAAAATAATAGCATATCCTGTTAGCCTATGAGATGGTATGTTGCAATGACTTTAAATCTCCATAAGTCATTCTATAAATTGTGATACCAGAAAAGAAAACTGTTCCAGGCTATTTTTTAACTAAAAAAACTAAATTTTAAGAATTAGGTCAAAAAATAAACATGCAAACATAAATGACTAGCTTAATCATATATTAAAATATATGATAAAGCTATGGTAATTTTAAAAGCTGAGTAAACAAGTTGATTGAACAGAATAAATTCCAGTAATATGTATACAATGGGACTTTATTATATGATAAAAGCTATTTTTCTGAAGCAGTGTTGAGAGATCTGTTGCTCAGTAGCAGTGTTGGAGAAAACTAGCTGCAATCTGGAAATGCATCAACATAGACCCCATCTCACTCTTATCAAAATAAATTCCAAATAAAACAAAAGTTTTAAAAAGCTATAAACATGCATACCCTTTAATTCAGCTATTCTAATTCTAGGAATTCTAGGAATTTTTCCAATTTATATATTTTAACTAATATATGCATGACTATGGAACAATTTATAGGATCCATTTTTAAATTAAAAAACAAGGTACAAAATAGTACATCCAGTATGTTTGTACTTATGTAATCCTACACCATATGATATATATTTGGGTATGTGTGTAAAGTTTACACAAGCATAGAACTTTTCTAAAAAGGGTATGCATAAAATTGAACAATAGTTGCCTCTGGGGAAGAGAGACTAGTAAACTGCATGTCTGGCATCAGAAGAAGACTTTCCTTCATTGGATAATCATATGTACCATTTGGATTTCTATCATTGGCATACATTGTTCTTTGGGTTAATGAAATGATACCTAAACGGCCCAGGTAGCAGAGACAGCCAGAGAAGCTAGGTGCTGAACCGTGCCTCCTGGGACCCTGGGAACACAGGAACAATGAACTTACATTACAAGTTACAGGCAACGTTGATGCAAGTTATAACTTGCTTGATTAATTGAAAGCACTAACTTGAAAGATGCATGGAGTCAGAGTGATATTACACTGTGGTGGTATATCAGGTATTCAAAAAGTTAATTCTTAGTCATTGACCTAACATCATCTCAGCGCTAGGTTGTAAAGACAGGATTACATTCATGGCTTCTATTCTAAAATCTATAATACAGTTTAGGAAAATTATGGAACTTTCCTTCAGTTCCAGATCAAATCTGGCCTTCTTTACCTGAGGGCAGATTCTTTGATTTCAAGGCACAATTAAAATAAACTGTGAAAAATGTCTGGTGATGTCTGAAGCCTCCAATACAAGGGTCACAGTCAAAAACAATTCTTTCGTGGCCAAGTTTAATATGAAAATATTTTTTCCTAATGAATTTGCAGATACTTCATGGAAATAGAGCTCCAGTTACAAGGCAGAGCTTTATCATATTCTTTGTGATAACTCCTTAAGTTTCAGCACTCCCAAAGTGGACTTGGAGCCATATTTTCACAAGAACTTTATTTAAGCCAAAAAGAAATTGAATGTTGTTCACATGAGAATGACATATCCATTCCCTTATGCATTTTTGTGTGTCCAGAAAAAGGCTCCATATTCGATAGTCTGAAAGCATTTTGCAGCTGAAGAAAAGGGCATGTTTTTAGGGCAGATGATGATGGTGCTTTCTACTTGACGAAAGGTAAATAAAGAGGAGTTCAAGGTCTCACTGCAATTTAGATGTAGTTTACTCATCAAGAAAGCTCTTGAAAACCACTCACAAGTTAACTACCTGTCATTTCCTAACTAGACTACAGGTTTCATTTACTATCCTTACAAAACAGGAGGAAGAGCTAGCTTCAGAAACACATTTAGTGTAGAGATTCCAGGGGTTACAAGCTATAAAATCAACAGAAATTTAAAAGAATTTCACTAAATAGTGTTAAGTCCACTATTTATATAATGTTAGTTAAAATGTATGTTTATAATAAATATTTTAATTGTAAAATAGAGAATATAAGTACATTATAATTGTAAGGGGACTGATTCATGTAATATATTAGAGTCCAATAAGTATTTGACTTTTTATTTGCCCATCTTAACCTTATTAGTGATGCAAAATCATGTTTCCAGTTTAACAGACTTCTGTCAACCAATACTTTTCTTTCTCCCTTTTTCTGACAAAGTCCCATTTCATCTGCACCCTATATACATTGAAAATTTATTTTTCATTAGGCTTCTATCATAAAACCAATCCACAAACAATAATTTATTGTTTATCTGTAAAGCACTATGCTAGGCTCTTTGAGATGCCAACATATTTTTGAATAACAAGGCCTCTGATGGAAGGATGCTAGAAAAAAATCCATCTCAGCCTTGTTATCTGAGCATTTAAGCCTCCCAGCCGATTCTAGGTGGCATAGGTAAGTCTTTATAAAAGAAATGCAACCACTTAAATTTCCTTACATAAAATTTGATCCCACACAAACATTTCCCTCCACTTACCACTAATATCTATCTCATATCATACTAATATATTTGTAGATCATTTTTTCACTGGACATTTATAATATTCTACAATATAGTATAAATAAAGTGCGTTTAATTGCAAATCAAAGTTTCAAATTTTGCAAATGAAAGATTCATGATGTCATTGAAAGTGATGTTTACAACTGTTCAGATCACATCCAAAGCTGTTAACAAATAAGGATTTTCTAGAGTTGCACCAGTTAACAAAAAAAAGGCGGGGGGGGAGAATAATTACACATCTTTAATCATGTTTGGGTTTGTTGAAATTCTTGAATATGAGAAGTCGTGACTTGAATCAAATTAGGGAAATTTTCAGTCATTATCTTTTCAAATAATTTCTAAGCCCCATTCTATCTTCTTACCTTCTTGAACACCAATCACACCCATATTAATTCTTTTGCTTTTGTCTCACAGATGCCTGAGGCTCTATTTATTATTTGTAAATATTTTTTAGTGTTCTTCAGGTTAATTTCAATTTCTTTATCTTCAGGTTTAATAACTCTCATGTGTCATCTCCTTTCTGTTATTATGCCCATCCAATGAATTTTTTATTTTAGATATTTTATTTTTCAGTTCTAAAATTTCCATCTGGTTTTTAAAAAGTAGTTTATATTTTTTATGAGGTTTCCTTCCTTTTTATTCTCCACAAGAATATTTGTCTTTACATCTTTGAGTATACTTTTAATAGTCACTCTAAAATTCCTGTTTGCTAATTTTAAACTTGGGCCACTGTGGGTCTGGTTTCTACTGACTGACTCTTAAAAATGAGTTCCATTTTCCTGTTTCTTAATATGTTGAATAACTTTGGATGATATCTTGGGCACTGTCAATGTTAGGTTGTGGAGACTCTATATTACGCTGTATTTCTCCAAAGATGAAGACAACTGCATTTGCTTGTTTTTTTTGTTTGTTTGTTTGTTTGAGCTGGAGTCTCGCTCTGTTGCCCAGGCTAGAATACAGTGGCACGAACTCGGCTCACTGCAACCTCCGCCTCCCGGGTTCCAGGGATTCTCCTGCCTCAGTCTCCCAAGTAGCTGGGATTACAGGTGCCTGCCACCACGCCCACATACTTTTTTTGTATTTTTAGTAGAGACGGGGTTTCACCATGTTGGCCAGGCTGGTCTCGAACTCCTGACCTCAGGTGTTCCACCCGCCTCGGCTTCCCAAATTGTTGGGATTACAGGCGTGAGCCATTGCTCTCTGCCACTTGTTTGTTTCAATACACTCTTAATTAGGTTGTTTTCAAACTGCAAATTCTGTATTTTGTGTGATAGCTCAACTTTCATTTCATTTATTTTATCCTTAACTAAAACCTTCTCTTCACATGTGCAGTTTTCAGGGGTCACCTAGATATTTTATCAAAGATTATGCAAAGAATTTCCTCTCTGGAATTCCCTCCTCACTTTACATTCTCTGTGGATTCTCTGAAGTCTATTGTCTGGTAATGCAGCGCAGAAATACTGCAGATTTTACATTTGCGTTTTAGCTGTACCACAAACCAACTGCTGCCCTCTTCAGTCTTAAAGCCATGAAAATGGGTAAGTTACCCTGTGCCATCCCTTCTTCCAAGTGCTGACAACCCTACGTCTTCCTGTTTTTGTTCGCACTCTAGTTCCAGAGTTTATTGTTGTTATCTATAACCTGATCAGGTCTAGTAAGAGCTCATTCAACCATATCAGAAATAGAAGTTGAAGATTCATGCTTCAAATAAAAAGGTTAAATTAAATGTCAAAAAGTTAAAATAATAACTTTGTCTAATAATTTTGCAAAACTGACTTATTTTATGAGCATACTACAAAACGGAAGTGAAATGTCATATCTTGATAGCATACAATTTTGTTAGAAATGTTGCTCCAGAAACATTAATTCCTTTTTTGGTTTGTACATACTTTCAATTCCAACCTACATTTGCTAAAATTAAAATTGTTATTTTTAAATTTTTTCCGTTTTCATTTTTAAAAGCAAGACCATCAAACCTATCACACTTTTAAAAAGTTGCTATTTACTATAAACCATAGTCTACATTTTATTCAGATTTACTTTACGTAGCTTTCTTTCCAGCATTAATTATCCTCAGTTAAGGAGTAGTTTCTGTACTTTCAGGTCCATCTCATATACCTAAGCATTCCCATTTATGACGGCAATTGGGAATCCTCAGAACTCAGAACAGTAGTATTTTAGACTTCAGGCCTGTTCTCAATCTGCCCTTTAATCCAGTTCCTGAATCAGCCCCACTTTTTGATTAGGATCCTGCTCCTATGTCAAAAGCTTATATTTGGTCTCTCCCATATCTCACATACTTTGATTTTGTTATTTCCTCTCTGGTCTTCCCTCCTGTCCAACATCTTCTGCTATGGTATGGTACAGCTTCTGATATGACACCCAGAGGTCCCTGCCTCCTGGTATTCCTGGTATTCATGCCCTTGTGTAATTCCATCCTCTAAGTGTGAGCTATAGCTAGGGACTTTCTTCTAATGAATATAATACTGCAAAATTTGGGAATGTCAGTTCTATGATTAGGTTACAAATTATTCTGACTTTGTCCTGCTAGTAGACTCTCTCTACTTCCTCCTCAGCTTGCAGTTTGATGAAGCAAACTGCCATATTGGAGAGGCTCACATGGCAATGAGCCGAGGGTGACATTCAGCTAACATTCATTGAGGATCTAAGGACTTCAGTCTAACAGCTCATGAGGAACCAAATCCTGTAAAGAACCACATGAACTTGAACTTCCCTAATCAGGCCTTAAGATGACCACAGCCCAGTCAACACTTTGATTGCAGCTTGTAAGAGGCCCTAAAGTAGAAGAACTAGTTAAATTCTGTCTAGATTCCATCAAAGGACTTCAAACAATGAAAATATAGTATTTTTGAATAGTGGTTCTCAAACTTAAGCAAGCATCAGAATTACCCAGAGCATTTGTTAAAACATAGATTGCTGAGTCCCATCCTCCCCTTATATGATGTTGATGATGCTGGTCTCGGGGGTCACACTTTGTGAACCACTGTTTTAGAACATGACTCTGGTTACATATGGAAAAAAATAATGAGGGAGGAGGGCAAGCAAGGGACCTGTTGAAGGCTATTGTAAGAATCCAGGGGCCCTGATCTAAAAAAGTGGCATTGAGAATAGAAGTAAGTGGGCAAATATGTTAGATATTTAGGAAGTATAATAATCAAGAATTGGTAACAAGTTGGATAAGGAAGGAAAGAAAAAAGCCAGGAATGACTCCTAGACTTCTGGCTTAACAGATTGGGTACATGGTAATGTCGTTTAAGGCAGAAGTGGTTAAAAGTCAGGTAAAAGGATAACTATAAAATGTAGTAACAGGACAGTCACTGGCAACCTTAGTGGGAGCAGTTTCGTTAGAATGAAGGGAAGAGTGAGTGGGCTGTAGCCAAATCACAGTGGAGGAGGTAAGCGGAGACATAAGGTGTATACAACTCTTTAAGAAACTTGGCGACTGGGGAAAGAAATAAGTAAGACTCTAGCTAGAAAAGGACACTGAACTAAAGCTCAGGGTTAGTATTAAGACCAATCCAATCTATCTAATTCATCTTTCTCTGGATTAATTGAGCAGACAGTTCTGTGGATGCTGGTTTGGATAGTGAAAGGAGAAGAGGGAATCTGAGTTCAGATCATGGCAGGTTCTAGAGGGATTCTGGCATTTAGAAAATAGCTGTGCTAGTTAATTGGCAGGGGTGGGATAATGGCATCAGTTCATAGGGCAAAGTGGTGATATGAGGGCACTAAATATTCGTGATCGATGTGAAACTGATAAAATACTTTGCATCTTGATTTATTCATCAAGAGACTTTAAAGTGTACCTTCCTTTTTCTCAATAACTCTGCTCTTAAGATTTATCCTGAGAAAGTAGTTCTAAATATGAACAAGTGATTATGGAGGAAGATGTTCATCACAGCACTTTTTAGAGCAAATAATTAAAACCTTACACACCAAACAATAAAAAATAGATTAAAGAGACTATAGTATAACAGTTTGGTAGAATTATACTGCATTTTAAATGGCCATTTACAAAACGAGTAATAACATAGAAGAATACTTAGAGTATATTATGTTTTTTAAAAGTGCCTAAGGAGTGAGGGACAAGGGATAACACTAGGAGTAAATTATAACTGCTACATTCAGATATTCAAACAACCTGAGGCTTAGTTTTATTTCTTTAAAAAATTCTCATATTTTGGCTATATTTAAAACTTCACAATTCATTGTAAAATGTTCTGCCAACAACAGAGAAAATATAATGAAACTATAGGTACAATGTCCTTGGAAGACCACCATATAAGTAGGAAGGATAAGGTTACAAAAGTATCTGTTTTATTTAATTACTTTTTCTAACCTTATGTTTCCTACATTTTCACAACTCAAGGAGGAGGAGAATGAAGAAGAGAGGTGCCACATGAATTTTTAAGAACCAATTTTGCTGTTTTCTAGCAATAAACTAGATGTATACTCATGGGTCTGGATCACTAGCTAGCTGAATAAAGGAAACTACACTGTGAATCACTTTTCTTCCTGTGGTTAAAACTGAGATCTTCAGGTTCAAAGCAAAGAAGTAGAAAGCAGAAAACCTGAAATGACAGGTAAATAAATGCATACAGTTAACTGTTGATTAATCTTCTCAGGTGCAGGCCTTCCTCTGCACTTTTTATGGTACATCAATCAACCAACTATTTCTGGCGACCCTTAACTTTTCCCAATGGCTCATAAAAACTTTTCCTTCCTGGTTTGAGAGCTTTCATAAAATCAGACTGTTTCTTCCTTGAGACTTCACATCTCACCATAAAATTGACACCTAAGAGGAGTTTAAACATTGCTCATTAAATGTAATACTACTTCATTTCTCTTCTTTTAGGCAGAGTTTTGAGGTGGGAAAGAACATGAGTAATCAACCCAACTATTCTTCTTTTAGTGACTATCATAGAGGTTCTCCTTTTCTTCAAAAAAATGGAGAAAAGTTTGGACACCTCTCAAATCTGAAAGCAGTAGCAGATAGTGGAAACTTAGGATTTGTTGAAGTTATACAGAACAACTTCTATTCAGTTTTGAACATATGTACTTCAACCATTGATGACTCCCAGAGATGGTGAAATAGCCACAAGCATAGAAGACTGCACACACACACACACACACACACACACACACACACACACAAAGAGAGAGAGAGAGAGAGAGAGACCAGTACAGAAAAGATATAAGAAGCAGATTTAGCAGAGTGTTCTTTAGTGTAAAGTAGCCAAATAAAGAGATATAGATGATATGAGAGCCATTTTTATCCTGCAGAACCCTTAAGAGGCTAGGGTCTTGGAGACACAAGGGAAGAAGGTGTTATGGGTGAGACACAGATTAAAAACAGGAAGATGGTTTATAAGTTAATATAAAAAGAAGACGCTCCCTTTTTAACACCAAATATAGAACACTAAAGGCTAGGCACACACCCTTCAATGAGAGACATGCAATGTTTTCTATAGATATTAAACAATCTCAGATGAAAGACACTCACATGTCAATAAATAAGGATGCTCTAGGAAAAATGGCCTCCTGTTTGGCCACTCCAAGAAAAAGACTATGCACAATACACAAATAGATTAGAAGTAAAAAGATAAGGAAAAAGATATCCTGTGCAAACAGTAACCAAAAGGGATCTGCAGTGGGTGTACCAATGCCAGACAAAATACATTTTAAGACAAAAAATATCTTTTTAATTAAAAGGAAGACTCCACATCCACTAGGATGTCCATAATTATTTTTTAAAAATTTTAAATGAATAATAAGTATTAGCAAGGATGTGGAGAAATTGGAACCCTCATATATTGCTGATGGAAATGTAAAAGAGTGCAGTCACTGTAGAAAAGTTTGGCAGTTCCATAAATTATTAAAAATAGAGTCACCATGTAGCCTAGCATTCTACTCAGAGAATTGAGAACATAGGTTCGTACAATTGTTAATAGCACCCCTATTCATAGCAAGAAAAAGGTGGAAATAACTCAAATGTCCTTTAACTAAATGGATAAACAAAATGTGATATATCTATAAAATGGAATTCTATTCAGCCATAAAGAGAAATGAAAGCCATAAAGAGAAATGAAGTACTGATATGTGATGCGACATGGATGAAACTTGGAAACATGCTAATTGAAAGAAGCCAGTTTTAAAGGCCACGTCTTATGTGATTTCATTTATATGAAATGTTCAGAACAGGCAAAGCAATAGAGACTAGAAGTAGATTAGTGGTTGAAAATGTTCTAGAATTAGATAGTGGTGCTAGTTGTACAATATGTAAATGTATTTAATGCCACTACATTGTACACTGTAAAATGGTGAATTTTTATATGAATTTGATCTCAATAAATAAATAGATGATAGTGTATGAGAAGACGTTGGATGATGCCCAATGTATACTTGTGTTCAAAGATAGAGAAACGTGCAAGACTTTGCCTGTTTTAAGATTTTTTAAATTACAGAACAATATTTTTCCAATGATAAAATATCTAGAAGGAAGAACCCTTTTAAGTGAGTGATTGAGAAGTGTTGCTGGTCTGCGTTCATATTCTTTTTGTCTCCTAAAAGTATTATCTCCCTTTCACGTCACATACATTTTATTTACTGTAAGTATACTGTGAAAGCACAAAGGAGAAAAATGTAAACAAAATCTGATTTCCCCTCTAGAAGAGGAAATTTCTATTTGTACTGATATACAAATATATTGCAAATAGAAACTTATACATCTGTGTCTACACCAGCAAATAGACTCAGATCTTAGCTGGTTAAAACATAAAATGTGTTATGTTCCAAAATAAAATGAAACTTTTAATTTATTTTTTCAACTGATGAATGTACAACAAAGAAATCTGAAATCATTTTCCTGTTCTACTTAATTACATTCCTTATTTATTTCCATTAATGAAATCAGTTCAAAGCAATAGAATTTTGTGTATTTTCTTTGTTTTTATTTTGGCTAACACCTGATTTAGGAAAGCCTTTTCCTTTGTATATAATCTTCATAATGTAAATATATAAAACTAGTGGGAGTTTTTGTTTTTGTCCCTTATTTTGTTTTTTTTAATTTTATTTTAAGTTTAGGGGTATATGTGCTGTATACCTATCTGACAGCAAAATGATGTGTTGGATTGATACTGAATTTTTAGATCTTGAACTAACTAGATTTCTACATCTATACAAAAAACAATGTAAGATGATTAATATGGAACATTCATGAAAGGTCAGTACATGCATAATGCATCTAATATTTCCAAGAACTCTTTAAAAGAGCAATTTGCTTATGAAACATTTCTTATGTATATGAAGATATTTTTAAAAATGAATTCTTACCATGGCAGAGGAGGAAAGAGTTCTTCATTTCAACACAAGTTTATAATTCAATCATTTTTAAGTCAGTAACTTTATACATTGCCCGAAGGAAAACTGAAGGCCATGGGTAGCAAATACTATAACAAAATTAAGTTTGAAATAATTATGCTTGCTCTTCGAAATTTTTGAGAACCACCCTTAGTCTCTTGATGGTTCCGTTTTCTCTCAGATAAACAGCAACTTGTGGGCAGCCTCCTCTCAGACTCACTTACATCTCAATCAAACAAAAACACCACAGCCAATCCCTTTCTTACCTCCCTCATACACACCATCTCTACAAAGCCTAAATCTGGGCAGCCCCTTCTTCATTTCACTTTCCCCTTTCTTTGGAATCCTAGCTCATCTTCCCAAGGTTTTATTTTCCTCCACATTCTCTCTCTCCCCAGGAGCTTAGTCTATCCTCACTGATAGATTCTTCCCTCAGTAAAAAAAAGTCAAGCTTCTCCAATCCTAAAAACACAAGCAAAACACTCTCCCTTGATTCTGCTCCTCCCTCCAGTTATTTCTCTATCTCCTTTCCTCTCAGGCAAGCTTCTTGAATAGAGAATTCAAGCAATTCAAAGTCTCTGTTTCCTCACCTCTTCATTCACGTACTTCACTCGTTTTAAATTTTCATTTGAAAATTACATATACATGTGTGTGTGTATATATATATATATATATATAATATCCTCATGATCTGATCACTTCTTAAGAAAAATTATATGTTAAAATATGAAAGTTTGCCTTCTCCATTTATGCCTCTCTTTATCAGGCTCTTAGAAAACTATGCCAAGGCTTTCTCTGGGTTAAAGATGAGCCATCTCCAGGGTAGGACTAAAACATAAAACTTGCTCTTTTATTCCTCTGAAGTAATTTATATACCTTACCATCAGAAGGAAGCAAAAGCATGCAATAGTTTTCACCCATTTTATCTCCCTCAATGTCATGAGAACTTATACATGCTTACAGCTTTGAATATTTCTATGAGAGAAGAAAGGAAATATGCTTCTCAGTGTCCTAAATGTGAAAGGAAAGGTAGGACTTAAATATCATCATTGTTGGTATTTGGTACACAAAAAAAGGAGCATTGGACTAGCTTGCATCATGGAGCTTAATCACAGATAAACCTCTTATAGGGTGATATGGTTTGGATATGTGTCCCTGCCCAAATCTCATGTCGAATTGTAATCCCAGTGTTGGAGGAGGGGCCCGGTGGGAGGTGATTGGATCATGGGGGTGGATTTGCCCCTTGCTGTTCTTGTGACAGGGAGTGAGTTCTCAGGCAATCTGGTTGTTTAAAAGTGTGTGGCACCTCCCGCTTTGCTCTCTCTTCCTCCTGCTCCAGCCATGTAAGTCGTGCCTGCTTCCCCTTGGCCTTCCACCATGATGGTATGATTCCTGAGGCTTCTCTAGTAATGCTGCCAGCCTGCAGACCTATGAGTCGACTAAACTCTTTCCTTTATAAGTTGCCCAATCTCAGGTAGTTCGTTCTTTACAGCAAGGCAAGAATGGACTAATATATAGGGCTGTCTTCACTCTTTAAGTTTCTTAAGTAATTCGAGGAAAGAAGTCACACAAGCAAGAACTGAGAAACTAATGGGAATAATATGTAATAATCACTTTATATCATCTTAAGTAGAAATAGAAGGATTTTTGTTGAAGAGCCTTTCTAGCTGAATCTGTCCCTTGGTGTTCTGAACTTTTCACTCACTGTCTTATAGGAAGAACCCATTAATTAACTTGGGATCTGGTCAGAAGAAGAGTTTTTGCCAATAATTTCCTTAAACACCACACCATCTGACTTCTAACAGTTTTCCATTTTTTTCTTGCATTTATCCACACTTATCTATGGATGTTCACAAAACACAGATAAAACAAGAATTGCATTTCAAACAAATTCAAATGCTATAGGATTTACTTTTACAGTTCTGGCTCCCAAAGCAGCAAGAGTAGGCTAGCCCTGAGAAGACCAGGCAGTGGTCAAGTAATCACTGATTCAGTCCCCAGAATATTAAAGGAAAATACTGTATCTCTTGTTTCAAGGAGACTGACTGGAAAGAAAGGAGAGAGATTGAGGAATAACTAGATGGGAGATCAGCATCAAGAGAGGGTGTTTTCCTTGTTTTTTTACGATTGGAGGGGACTGGATGTATGTGTTTACTGGGGATTGGGCAGTGTTGGCCCAGATCTGAGAAGGAAGG
This sequence comes from Homo sapiens, assembly GCF_000001405.40. Lineage (NCBI taxonomy): Eukaryota > Metazoa > Chordata > Mammalia > Primates > Hominidae > Homo > Homo sapiens. The sequence goes on along the minus strand of NC_000005.10, from coordinate 123,640,371 downwards.
CCAGTCGGAAGCTAAAATAGTGAATATTAAGGTCGTTGAGCAGCATCAGAAAATCAAGTCTTCTGTATCCATTATTTCATGTGATCAACACATTATATGAAAATGCCAAAGGCTAAGAGAATCTTCTTCATAGAATTTTTTAGTTTGTTTTCTTGAAGGAAGGTGTCTTAGTCTGTTTTGTGTTGCTATAACAGAATACCTGAGACTGGGTAATTTATTAAAAAAAAAGACTTTTTTTGCTCACAATTCTGGAAGCTGGGAAGTCCAAGAAGCATGGCATCTGCATCTGCTTGGCTTCTGGGAAGGGTATCATGTTGTGTTACAACATAGCGAAGAAGTAGAAGAAGTGGGCATGTGCAAAGAGGTCAAACATGAGAGTCAACCTCACTTCATAACAACCCGTTCTGGCAGAAACAAATTCATTCCTAGAAAAACTAATCCATTTCCATAAGAACTGTTTCAGTTTCTTGAGAAAGATATTAATCTATTTTAATGACCTAATGATCTCTTAAAGGATGACCTCCCAACATTGTTGTACTGGGAATTAAGGTTCCAACATGAGTTTTGGCAAAGACACCTAGACCATAACAGAAGGACTCCCTTATAGATATAAAATTGAGGCCCAGAAGGACTGAGTGACACAGCTAGTTAGTGGCATGAGGGATCCAGTTCCCTTTCTGAGGCCACTGTGCCACTGCTGAGGTGGAAAAGAAGAAGAGAAAGGAGAGAGGAAACATCTGACACCTACTTAACATGGAATTATTGCCGTCTGTCAGCAGTATTTTCTGTTTTCTGCAAAATAAATTCAATTGCCTCATTGATTTGTTGCCACACATACCTTACTTGCAGAGATTTGAATTACTACAAACATGTGCCCCAGTTTCATGCTGAGTAAATGTGCAATCAGGGTTTTCACACATCATCTTTTGCTTGACATCCCTACTCTCTGTATGACTTAAATGATAATAGCCAATAATACTACCATTCATTAAGTACCTACTGTGAACCTAGGATTTTGTTACAATTAACATATCACATCTTCCTCACCAAAACTCCATAAAATGAGGTTTATTAATTTCCTTCTCGAAATGAGGAAACCAAGGCTTAGGGAGTTAAATAAGTTGCCCAAGGTCACATGGTTTGGAAGTATCGGACCATGATTTAAACACAGGTTTACCCAGCTGTAGAATTCAAATCTTCAACCACACCACCACTCTATGTCTTAATCCTAACTGCCAACTTCTCTTCAGGGTCCCATGTTACCCTCATATCTAAGAGTCATAATTGTCCAAAATCACTAATAATAATTCATCTTTTTGTGAGAGAGCTCAAACTCAGCGCTATTTCTCTCTTTTCTCAGATTGATAGTATTTCGTTATTTTTTCAAATTTATTTATGTATTTTAAAGTGACAAATAAAATTGCATGTACTTATTAGGTATGACATGATACTTTGAAGTATATGAACATTGTGAAATGGCTAAGTCTAACTAAAATATACGTTACTTCACATAGTTATTTTGTGATGAGCATTGTTCAAAAATACAATATATGGTCATTAACTATAGCCACCATGCTACAGATCTCTTGAACTTATTCCTCCTAACTGTAATTTTGTATCCTTTGACCAACATCTCTCTAAATTGCCCCCTCACCCGCTCCCTGCCAAGCAGCCCAGCCTCTGGTAAACAAGATTATTTTCTGCTTCTATGAGATCAACAATTTTAGATTCCATATATGAGTGAGATCATATGGTATTTGTTTTCCTGTGCCTGGCTTATGTCACTTAATAGAATGTCATAGAGGTTTATTCATGTTGTCATAAATAACAGAATTTCCTTCTTTTTATGGCTGAATAGTATTCCATTGTGTGTGTGTATATATATACCACATTTTCTTCACCCATTTGTTCATTGATAAACACTTAGGTTGATTCCATGTCTTGGCTATTGTGAATACACATGGGAGTGTAGATATCTCTTCAACATAATGATTTCATTTCTTTTGTTTATATACCCAGTAGTAGGATTGCTGAATCGTATGGTAGTTCTCTTTTTATTGTTTGAGTGACCTCCATGCTATTTTCTACAGTAGCTGTATTAATTTATATTCCCACCAACAATGTAAAAGAATTACCTTTTCTGTATATCCTCACCAATATTTGTTCTCATTTGTGTTTTTCATAATAGGCATTCTTACAGGAGTGAAGTGATATCTCATTGTGGTTTTAATTTGCATTTCCCTGATGACTAGTGACGTTGAGCATTTTTTCATGTACCCACTGAACATTTGTACATCTTATTTTCAGAAATGTCAGTTTAGGTCCTTTGTTCATTTTTCAAATTGGATTACTTTCTTTCTTTCTATTTAATTGAATTCCTTATACACTTTGGGTATTAACCCTTATCAGATGTATAGTTTGCAAATATTTTCTCCAATTCTGTAGGTTATCTCTTCACTCTGTTTATCATTTCCTATACTGTGAAGAAGCACTTTAGTTTAATGGAATCCCACTTGCCTATTTTTGCTTTTGTTGCCTGTGCTTTTTAGGTCAAAAAAATTATTGCCCAGATCAATATAAAGGAGATTTTGCCCAATGTTCTCTTCAGACAGTTTCATTGCTTTGGCTCTTACATTTAAGTCTTTCATCTATTTTGAGTTGATTTTTGCATATGGTGTGAGATAAAGGTCTAATTTTATTCTTCTGCATGTGGATATCTAGTTTTCCCAACACAATTTATTGAAGACAATGTCCTTTCTCCATTGTATGTTCTTGGCACATTTGTCAAAACTCAGTGGCTGTAAATGTGTGGATTTATTTCTGGGATTTCTACTGTGTTCAGTTGGTCTATGTGTCTTTTTTTTCTTTCTTTTTTTTTTTTTTTTTTTTTTTTTTGACATCCAATGACCTCTGAACTTTTTATTGGCTTCCTGCTCCCCAAAGGGTACCCTGCTTCTGTTGGCTGAATGCCTCAGAACTTTGGTGTCGTGGGTCTCAGACACCACTTTGCCATCCACTGTCCGGTGGGTGGTGGTGGTCTTTTGGATGGTTTGCATGGAGTTGCTGCTGTCCAGAGCATCACCAAAATTGAAGTCCTCGCCATCTTCCAGCAGGCTGCGGTAGGTGGCGATCTCAGCCTCCAGCTTGACCTTGACGTTCAGCAGGTCCTCCTACTCCTGGGCCTGGCGCTGTCCCTCTGCCCGGGTCTGTGCCAGCTCTGACTCCAGGTGCAGCAGGATCCCATTGAACTGCTCCATCTGCAGGGCGTAGCGGGCCTCCACCTCCCTCAGGCTGTTCTTCAGATTCCAAGCTGGCCTTCAGATTTCTCATGGAGTCCAGGTCATCTCCAAGAACTGCACTGTACGTCTCAGCTCCGTGAGCGTCGTCTCAGCAGCTCCAACCTCGGCGGACTGAGTGGTGACCACTGTGGTGCTCTCTTCAATCTGCTGAGGCCAATGCTTGTCCAGCTCCTCTCCGTTCTTCTGAGCCAGCTCGTCATATTGGGCCCGGATGTCTGCCATGACCTTGGCGAGGTCCTGAGATTTGGGGGCATCTACCTCCACCATCAACCCAGAGCTGGCAATCTGGGCTTGTAGGCTTTTTGCTTCCTCTTTGTGGTTCTTCTTCATGAAGAGCAGCTCCTCCTTGACAGCCTCGATCTCTGTCTCCAGCTGCAGCCGAGTGACAGTGTCATCAATGACATTGCGGAGCCCGTGGATGTCGTTCTCCACAGACTGGCGCATGGCCAGCTCTGTCTCATACTTGACTCTAAAGTCATCAGCGGCAAGACGGGCATTGTCAATCTGCAGAACTATGCAGGCATTGTCCACAGTATTTGCGAAGATCTGAATCCTCAGGTTCTGGATGGTCTGGAAGTAATGGCATCAGTCTCTGACCTGGGGTCCCTTCTTCTCCAAGTGCTACCGGATTTTGCTCTCCAGCCTCCGGTTCTCGGTCTCCAGGCTCCTCACTCTGTCCAGGTAGGAGGCCAGGCAGTCTTTCAGGCTTTGCATGGTCTCCTTCTCGTGCTGGATGCCTCCTATTCCTGCCAGACCCCCGGCCATCCCCGCGGCCAGGCCCCCGGACTCCAAGCCGCCCTGGAAGCTGGTGGAGCGGGACACAGAGATCCGGGAACCAGAGCCCCCGGCGCCTGCATAGACTCTGGCTGTGCTGCTGACCAGCCGGGCGCCGTAGCTGGTCGCCTGGACAGAGCCCAGGGACCGCTAGTTGGTGGAGAAGGTGGAGCGAGTGGTGAAGTTCATGCTGTCCGGGGAGGAAGCCGACAGGACCCGACTCCGGCTTTACCGACCTGTTGTGTCTATTTTTATGCCACTGCTATGCTGTTTTGATTACCATAGCTTTATATATTTCGAAGTCAGGTTGTATGATGCTTTCAGTTTTGTTCTTTCTGCTCTAGATTTCTTTGGCTATTCAAGGTCTTTTGTGGTTCCATACAAAATTTTGGATTGTTCTTTCTATTTCTGTGAAGAATGTGATTGGTATTTTGGTAAGGATTGAATTGAATCTGTAGATCATTTTGGGTAGTATGGACATTCTAAGAATGTTAATTTTTCCAATTCATGAATATGGGCTATCTTTCCATTTAATTGTGTCTTCCTCAATTTCCTTCATCAATGCTTTATAGTTTTCAGTACACCTCCTCGGTTAAATTCATTTTTAAGTATTTTTTTTATCTGTTTTGTAGCTCTTATAAAGATTTTTTATTTCTTTTTCAGGTAGTGTGCTGTTAGTATATAGAAACACTGCTGATTTTTGTACGTTGATTTTGTATCATGCAACGTTTCTAAATTCACTTATTAGTTCTAACTTTTTTTGGTGGAGTCCCTAGAGTTTTCTATATATAAGATCATATCTGCAAACAGGGAAAATTTAACTTCTTCCTTTCTAATTTGGATGCCTTCTGTTTCTCCTTTTGCCTGATTGCTCCGGCTAGGATTTCCAGTACTATGTTTAATAAAAGTGCCGAGAGTCTGACTCTTAGCGGAAAATTTTCAACTTTTCCCTATTTGGTATGACTTTAGCTGTGAGTTAGTCGTATATGACCTTTATTGTTTTGAGGTACGTTTCTCCTATACATAATCTGTTGAGATTTTTATCAAGAAAGGATGTTGAATTTTGTCAGATGCTTTTTCTGTATCTATTGAAATGATCAGATGGTTTTTGTCCTTGATTTTATTAATGTGATATATTATCTCTATTGGATTTGCTTATGGTGAATTATCCTTGAATCCCTGGGATGTATCCCACTTGATCATGGTGAATAATCTTTTTAATGCACTATTAAATTTCATTTGCTAGTATTTTGCTGAAAATTTTTGCATCGGGCACATTGTCCTGTAATTTTTTACTTTTTGTAATGCTCTTGTCTGGCTTTGTTGTCAGATCAAAGTGTCCTCAAAATGAGTTTGAAAGTATTTCTTCCTCTTTATTTTTTGAAAAGAGTTTGAGAACACTTTGTGTTTGTTCTTCTTTAAATGTTTGGTAGAATTCAACCATAAAACAATCTGGAACTGGGTTTTCCTTTTTTTTTTTACTTTTAAGTTCAAGGGTACATGTGCACGTTTGTTATATAGGTACACTTGTGTCTTGGGGGTTTGTTGTACAGATAATTTCACCACCCAGATATTAAGCCTAGTACCCATTAGTTATTTTTCTTGCCTCTCCATCCTCCCATCCTCCACCCTCCCATAGGCCCCAGTGTGTGTTGTTCCCCTCTATGTGTCCATGTGTTCCCATCATTTAGCTCCCAATTATAACTGAGAACATACAGTATTTGGTTTTCTCTTACTGCATTAGTTTGCTAAGGATAATGGCCTCCAGCTCATCCATGTTCCTTCAAAGAACATGATCTCATTCTTTTTTACAGCTGTGTAGTATTCCATGGTATATATGTAACACATTTTCTTTATCCAGTCTATCATTGATGGGCTTTTAAGTTGATTCCATGTCTTCACTATTATGAATAGTGCTGCAATGAACATAAACGTGCATGTGTCTTTATGACAGAATAATTTATATTCCTTTGGGTATATACACAGTAATGGGATTGCTGGATCGAATGGTAGTTCTGTTTTTAGCTCTTTGAAGAATCACCACACTGCTTTCCACAGTGGTTGAACTAATTCACACTCCTGCCAACAGTGTATAAGTGTTCCCTTTTCTCTACAACCTAGCTGGTATCTACTATTTTTTGACTTTTTAATACAAGCCATTCTGACTGGTGTGAGGTGGTATCTCATTGTAGTTTTGATTTGCATTTCTCTAATGATTGAGCTTTTTGTTGGCCACATGTATGTCTTCTTTTGAAAAGTGTCTGTTTATGTCCTTTGCCCACTTTTTAATGCAGTTGTTTGTTTTTTGCTTGTAAATTTGTTTCATTCCTTACAGATGTTGGATATTAGACCTTTGTCAGATGACACGTTGCAAAACTTTTCTCCCATTCTGTTGGTTGCCTGTCCACTTCGTTGATAGCTTCCTTGGCTGTGCAGAAGCTCTTTAGTTTAATTAGATTACATTTGTCAATTTTTGCTTTCGTTGCAATTGCTTTTGGCATCTTTATCATGAAATCTTTGCCTATTCTTGCATTCAGAATGATGTTGTCTAGGTTGTCTTCCATGATTTTTACAGTTTTGGGGTTTATGTTTAATTCTTAAATCCATATTGAGTTGACTTTTGTATATGGTGTAAGGAATGGGTTCAATTTTGATATTCTGCATAAGCCAGTTATCCCAGCACCATTTATTGTAAAGGGAGCCCTTTCCCCATTGCTTGCTTTTGTCAGTTTTGTTGAAGATCAGATGGTTGCAGGTGTGCAGCCTTATATCTGGGTTCTCTGTTCTGTTCCATTGGTCTATGTGTCTGTTTTTGTACCAGTACCATGCTGTTTTGGTTACTATGGCCCTGTAGTATAGTTTGAAGTCAGGTAGCATGATGCCTCCAGCTTTCTTCTTTTTGGTTAGGATTGCCTTGGCTATTTGGGCTCTTTTTTGTTTCAATACGAATTTTTAAATAATTTTTTCTAGTTCTGTGAAGAATGTCATTGGTAGTTTAATAGGAATAGCACTGAATCTTTATATTGCTTTGGGTAGTATAGCCACACTTTAATGATACTGATTCTTTCTATCAATTTGTATGAAATGTTTTCCATTGTTTGTGCCATCCCTGATTTCTTTGAACCGTGTTTTGTAGTTCTTATTATAGAGATCTTATTAGCTGAATTCCTGGGTATTTTACTCTTTCTGAGGCAATTGAGAATGGGAACACATTCCTGATTTGGCTCTTGGGTTAGCCGTTGTTGGTGTAGGAATGACAGTGGCTTTTTTCTTTTGACTTTGTACCCTGCAAGCTTAAGGAACCATTTGGCCAAGACTACGTGGTTTTCTAGATCTAGAGTCATGCCATCTACAAATAAGGATAGTTTGACTTCCTCTCTTCCTATGTGGCTGCCCTTTATTTCATTCACTTGCCTAATTGCTCTGGCCAGGACTTCCAATACTATATTAAATAGGAATGGTAAGAGAGGGCAACCTTGTCTCGTGCCAGTTTTTAAGGGAATGCTTCCAGCTTTTGCCCATTCAGTATGATGTTGCTGTGGGTTTGTCATAGATGGCTGTTATTATTTTGAGGTCTGCTCCTTCAAAATCTAGCTTACTGAGAGTTTTTAATATAAAGGATGTTGAATTTTATTGAAAGCCTTTTCTGCATCTATTCAAATAATTCTGTGGTTTTTGTCTTTAGTTCTGTTTAATTAATGTATCGCATTTACTGGTTTGCTTATGTTGAACCAACCTTGCTCCCAGGGATAAAGCCTACTTGATCATGCTGGATAAGCTTTTTGATGTGCTGCTGGATTTGATTTTCCAGTATTTTGTTGAGGATTTTTACATCAATGTTCACCAAGGATATTGGCCTAAGTTTCCTTTTTTTTGTTGTCTCTGCCAGGTTTTGGAATCAGGATGATGCTGGCCTTATAGAACAAGTTAGGGAGGAGTCTGTCCTCCTCAATCTTTTGGAACAGTTTCAGTAGGAATCATACCAGCTCTTCTTTGTACATCTGGTAGAATTCAGCTGTGGATCATCTGATCCTGGGCTTTCTTTGGTTGGTAGGCCATTTATTACTGATTCAATTTGGAGCTCATTACTGATCTGTTCAGGGATTCAATTTCTTCCTGGTTCAGTCTTGGGAGGGCGTATGTGTCCAGGAATTTATCCATTTCTTATAGATTTTCTAGTTTGTGTGCATAGACCTATTCATAATATTCCCTGATGATTATTTGTATTTCTGTGGGGTCGGTGGTAATATCCCTTTTGTCATTTCTAATTGTGTTTATTTGGATTGTCTCTATTCTTTATTAATCTAGCTACTGATCTATATATTTTTGTTAATTTTTTCAAAAAACAGACTCCTAGATTTGTTTATCTTATGAATGTTTTTTCATGTCTCAATCTTCTTCAGTTCAACTCTGATTTTGGTTATTCCTTGTTTTCTACTAGTTTGGGATTGGTTTTCTCTTGCTTCTCTAGTTTTTTTAAGTGATGTTAGGTTGTTCATATAAGATCTTTCTAACTTTTTTGGGGGGCCTTTAATGCTATAAATTTCCTGCTTAACACTGCCTTAGCTGTGTTCCAGAGATTCTGGTATGTTGTATATTCATTCTCATTAGTTTCAAAGAACTTTTAGATTTCTGCCTTAATTTCAGTATTTACCTAAAAGTCATTCAGGAGCAGGTTATTTAATTTTCATGTAATTGTATGCTTTTGAGTAATTCTCTTAGTCTTGAACTCTAATTTTATTGTGCTGTGGTCCAAAAGAGTGTTTTTCATTATTTCAGTTATTATGCACTCGCTGTAGAGTGTTTTGTGTCTGACTGTGTGGTCAGTTTTAGAATATGTGCCATGTGGTGATGAGAAGAATGTATATTCTGCTGTTTTGGGGTGGAGAGTTCTGTAGAACTCATTTATCACATCCATTTGATCCAGTGCTGAGTTCAGGTCCTGAAGATCTTTGTTAATTTTCTGCCTCAATGATTTGTCTGTTACTTTTGGTGGGGTGTTGAAGTCTTCAATGATTTATTGTGTGGAAGGCTAGGTCTCTGTAGGTCCCTAAGAACTTGCTTTATGAATCTGGGTGCTCCTGTGTTGAGTGAATATATATTTAGGATAGTTAGCTCTTCTTGATGAATTGAACATTTTGCCATTACGTAATGCCCTTCTTTGTCTTTTTTTTATCTTTGCTGGTTTAAAGTCTCTTTTGTCAGAAACTAGGATTGCAACCCCTGCTTTTTTCTGATTTCCGTTTGCTTGGTAGATTTTCCTCCATCCCTTTATTTTGAACCTATGGCTGTCATTATGTGTGAGATGGGTCTGTTGAAGACAGCATATCATTGGGTATTGCTTTTTTTATCCAGCTTGCCTCTCTGTGTCTTTTAATTGGGGCATTTAGCCCATTTACATTCAAGGTTAGTATTGATATGTGTAGCTTTGACCCTGTCATGTATTGTTAGCTGGTTATTATGCTGGTTTGTTTGTGATTGCTTTATTGTGTCACTGGTCTGTGTACTTAAGTGTGTTTTTGTACTGGTTGATAACAGTTTTTCCTTTCCATATTTATTGCTTCCTTTAGGAGCTCTTGTAAGGCAGGTCTGGTGGTAATAAATTCCCTCAGCATTTGCTTGTCTGAAAAGAATCTTATTTCTCCTTTGCTTACAAAGTTTAGTTTGGCCGATATAAAATTCTTGGCTGGAATTTCTTTTCTTTAACAATGTTGAATATTGGCCCCCAATCTCTTTTGGGTTGTAGGGTTGCTGCTGAGAGGTCTGCTGTTAGTCTGATGGGCTTCCTTTTCTAGGTGACCTGACCTTTCTCTCTAGCTGCCTGTAACATTTTTTCTTTCATTCTGACATTGGAGAATTTGATGATTACATGTCTTGAGTATGATCTTCTTGTGACTTATCTTACTAGGCTTCTCTGCATTTCCTGAATTTGAAGTTTGGCCTCTCTAGCTAGTTTGGGGAAGTCCTCATGGCTGATTTCCTGAAATACATTTTTCAAGTTGCTTCCATTCTCCCCATTTCTTTCAGGCACACCAGTGAGTTATAGATTTGATCTCTTTACATAATCCCATATTTCTTGAAGGTAATGTTCATTTCTTTTAATTCTTTTTCTCTGTTATTGTCTGTCTTATTTCAGAGAGCCAATCTTCAAGCTCTGATATTCTTTCTTTATTTTAGTCTATTCTGCCACTAATACTTGTAATTGCATTATAAAATTCTTGTAGTGTGTTTTTCAGCTCTAACAAGTCAATTACATTCTTTTCTATACTGGCTATTTTGTCTATCAGCTCCTGTATCATTTTATTGTGATTCTTAGCTTCCTTGGATTGGGTTTCAACATGCTGCTGCATCTCAGTGATCTTTATTTGTATCCTTATTTTGAATTCTATTTCTGTCATTTCAGCCATCTCAGTTCAGTTCTGAATCTTTGCTGGAGACCTAGTGTGGTTGTTAGGAGGAAAGATAGCACTCTGGTTTTTTAAGTTGTCAGAATGCTTGAGCTGGTTCTTTCTCATCTTCCTGGGCTGATGCTCCTTCAGTCTTTAAAGTCGCTGTCCTTTTATCCTATTTGATGAACTAGAGAATTTGATTGTGGTGTAAGATGGTTTCAGTCAGCTGGTTTCATTTATGGAAGATTTAAAGGAGCCATGGCTCAGCTCACAACTCCTGGACTGCATGCTCTAACTCTGGGGAACTGTTATCAGTCCCGAGAATTTGTTCTCTGGCTTCTTGGGATTAGGAAATCACTGCACTGGCAGTGCCGCAGTGCTCCGGGACCACTGTGTCACAGCACTCTGATGGATGGTGCCACTCAAAGCTTTTTGTATGGTGGCAGCAGCAGGATCTGTTCTCATTTGCATGTGCCAGCAGCAGTGGCAGCAGCAGCAGCAGAGCAGGGTGGACTTCTTCTCCGCTGTGGCAGGGTACTGGCGGGTGCTGGGTGCTGGCCTCTGAGAAGGCATTCACAGTAGCAATGGAGGCAGCATGGCTGAGGGTACCTCTGGCAACTATGTGCACAGTGGTGCTGGTGGTGTGGTTAGCACAGGGGGCAGGGTGCTGGTGGGCATAGGACTGGGCGCACCCTCCATGAGCATTCACCCAGGTGGAGATGGCTGCTCAGGGTGGGGAAAGGCCCACTCTTCTCTGTGCCTAGTTTCACTCCCATGGCAGTGTTGTCACAGGGGTGGGGTGCTGGTGGGGGCGGGGGTGCGGCTGGCAGGCTCTGTGCCTGCCAAGGCTTTAACTGCAATGGAGACTTGGCGGGGCTGGGGTGGCCGGGAGCCGGGGGATGGAATGTACTCATGCTAGCATTTCTTCTTGATTATCCAGTTTGTTGGGGGTATAATTGTCCATAATAGCCTTATAATCCTTTATATTTCTGTGTTATCAGTTTTAATGTCTCCTTTTTCCTCTCTGATTTGAGTCTTCTTTTTTTCTTAGTCCAACTGGCAGGTTTATTAATTTCATCTTTTTTCAAAAAAAAAAACCAACACTTTGTTTTTTCATCCTTTCTATTGTTTTTCTAGTCTCTATTTTATTTATTTCTGCTCTGATGTTTATTATTTCCTTCCGTCTACTAATTTTGGGCTTAGTTTATTCTTTTTTCAAGACCTCGAAGTAAAATATTAGGTTGTTTACTTGAGATCTTCTTTTTTGATGTAGGTGTTTATTGCTATAAACTTCCATCTTAGAAGTGCTTTTGCTGCATCCCAGAAGTTTTAGTATGCTGTGTTTCCATTTTCATTCGCCTGAATACATTTTTTAATTTTACTTGTAATTTCTTCGTTGACCCATTGGTTGTTCAAGATGTTCAATTTTCATGTGTTTGTGAATTTTTCAGAGTTCTTCCTGTTATTTTTAGTTTTGTATCACTGTGGTCAGAAAAGATACTTGATATGATTTCAATCTTCTTAAATTTGTTAAGACTTGTTTTGTGACCTAACGCATGATCTAGCCTAGATAATGTTCCATGTGCACTTTAGAAGAATGTAAATTCTGCAACTCTTGAATGAAATGCTCTGTATACATCTGTTAGGTCTATTTGGTCTAAAGCAGAGTTTGAGTCCAATGTCTCAATGCTAATTTTCTGTCTGGATGATTTTTCCATTGCTGAAAGTGGGGTGTTAATGTCCTATACTGCTACTGTACATACTATTATTGTCTATTTCTCCCTTTAAATCTGTTAATACATGTGTTGTATATTTAGGTGCTCTAATGTTGGGTGCATATATATTTATAATTGTCATATCATATCCTCCTGCAGCATTAAGCCCTTTATCATTATATAATGGCCTTTTTCATCTTATTTTACAGTTTTTTACTTAAAGCCTATTTTGTCTAATACTCATGTAATACACATCTAATACTTTTGATTTCCATGTGCATGTAATATCTTTTTTCATCCCTTCTTTCAGTCTATGTGTGTCCTTACAGCTGAGGTGAGTCTCTCATTGGCAGCATATACTTAGGTCTCTTCTTTTTAAAAATCCATTTAGCCATTCTGTGTCTTCTGATTGGATAATTTAACATATTTACATTCAAGGTAATTATTGATAGATGAGGACTTAACCACTGCCCTTTCACTTATTGTTTTCTAGTTGTTCTGTAGATTCTTTGTTCCTTTCATTCTCTTTTACTGTCTTCCTTTATGATTAAGTGTTTTTCTCTAGTAGTATGTTTTCATTCCTTGTTTTTTGCGCACATCTACTATAGGTTTTCACTTTGTGGTCACAATGAGGCTTACCAAAAAAAATCTTATAATCAAAACAAGATATTTTAAGGTGATAACAAATTAACTTCAATTAAAAAAAAACTTTACTTTTACTCCACTACCCCTGACTCTGAGTTTTATCATAATTTACATCTTTCTTGTGTTCAACATCCCTTAACAAATTATCATATTTATTTTTAATAGTTTGTCTTTTAATCTTCACACTAAAGGTACAAGTGATCTTTTTTTACCATGATTACAGTATAATAATATTCCAAATATGATTGTGTCCCTGCTTTTACTAGTGAGTTTTATACTCTCAGATGTTTTCATGTTACTCATTAGCATCCTTTTCTTTCAGCTTGAAGAACTGTCTTTAGCATTTCTTGTAAGACAGGTCTGGTGATGATAAACTTCAGCTTTTTTGTGTGTGGGAAAGTGTTTCTCTTTTTCTCTTTCATTTCTTTCTTTTTTTTTTTTTTTTTTTTTTTTTGAGACAGGGTCTCATGCTGTCACCGAGGCTGGAGTGCAGTGGCATGATAATGGCTCACTGCAGTCTCCGCCTCCCAGGTTCAAGCGATTCTCCTGCCTCAGCCACCCGAGTAGCTGGGATTACAAGTGTATGCCACCACACCCGGCTAATTTTTTGTGTTTTTAGTAGAGATGGGGTTTTGCCATGTTGGCCAGTCTGGTCTCAAACTTCTGGCCTCAAGTGATCCATCCACCTTGTCCTCCCAAAGTGCTGGGATTATAGGCATGAGCTGCCATGCCTGACCCTTCATTTATAAAGAACAGATTATCTGGGTACCATACTCTAATTGGTTGTTGTTGTTGTTGTTGTTGTTGTTGTTTTCCCCTTCACCACTTTGAGTATATCATCCCAGTCTCCTGGCCTATAAGATTCTAGTGAGAAGTCTGCTGCTATGTGTATTGGAATTCCTTTATATGTTATTTGCTTCTTTTCTCTTGCTGCTTTCAGGATCCTCTCTATCTTTGATGTTTGACATTTTGATAATAATATGTCTTGAAGTAGTCCTATTTGGACTGAATCTGATTGAAGACCTTTAACCTTCCTGTAATTAGATATTTATACCTTTCTCCAGGTTTGGAAAGTTTTTTGGCTATCATTTCTTTAAATACACTTTTTGTCCCTTTATTTTTCTCTTCTGCTTCTCTAACTCCTATGGACTCAAATATTTTATCCTTTGATACTTTCTCACAAATTCCGTAAGTTTTCCTCATTTCTTTTCATTCTTTTTCCTTTTTTCCTTCTGTTTATTTTCAAATAACCTGCCTTTGAGTTCACAGATTATTTCTTTGCTTGATCAATTCTGCTGTTTATATTCTCTGTGACATTTTTCATTTTGTTCATTATATTTTTCAGTTCCAGGATTTCTATTTGATTTTTATTATCATTTCATTCTCTCTGTTAAATTTCTTGTTCTGATCACTTATGGTCTTCTTTTTATTGAATTGTTTCTCTGTATTTTCTTGAAGTTCGCTGAAAATGGTTACTTTCAATTCTTTGTCAGGAAGCACATTCATTCATCTCCATTTCCTTAGGGTTGGTCACTGGCACTTTATTTTGTCCATTGGTAATATCATGTTTCCCTGATTATTCTTGATCTTTGTTGTTCATTGGTGTCTGAGCAGAGATTCTAGGTATATCATCTGGCATGCTCTCTAAACCTGGTACCACTGAAGTACCATTGAGACACTGAGGGATGCCCTAATCCTGGGATCACTGCAGCCATATGATGCCAGGCTGGAATCTCATGTCTGCTGAGGATATCATGGAGCTGGGATGTGCCTGAAACTCACAGCTGCTGAAGTCTGCCTTCCAATGGGGGTTGTCCAGAGCCCAAGGCCACTGTAGTAAGCTGTCAGTGATGCATACAGCAGACTGATCTCACCTAATAGAAGCTATGCGTTCCTGCTGATGCCAGGGCACGTCTGGAGGTTCGGTCTGCAGGTACTCCCCTAAAGTCAGGGGTTGTGGGAGGTCTGCCTGGTGCTACCTAATTTTAGGTTTGAAGACAAAGTCCTAGGCTCACTTCTCTTTCCTGCAATTTCATGCTATCTTTTCACTTTGCTGCCTGGGATTGGGAAAGGAGTGACATGGGTAATGTGAAACTGTCCTTTCTACTCCCTTCAATGCATATTTTTAATAATTGTGCTATCACTGGCCCAGCATGGTGGCTCACACCTGTAATCCTAGCACTTTGGGAGGCTGAGGCAAGCGGATGGCCTGAGCTCAGGAGTTCAAGACCAGCCCGGGCAACATGGTGAAACCCTGTCTCTACTAAAAAATACAAAAAATTAGCCAGGCGTGGCAGTGTGTGCCTGTAATCCCAGCTACTTGGGAGCCTGAGGCAGGAGAATTGCTTGAATCCAGGAGACAGAGGTTGCAGTGAGCCAAGATTGCCCCACTGCACTCCAGCCTGGGCGACAGAGCAAAACTCCATCTCAAAAGAAAAGAAAAAATTGTGCTATTACCAAGTACCAAGATGGTTCACCTGACTCACTTAGCTCCTGTGAAGGTATTTTTGTGCATGGATAGTTGTTCAAATTGATGTTTCTGCAAGGGGAAAGATCACTAAAAAGTCCTCTTCTGCCATCTTGCTTTGCCTTTTTCCATTCTTCTCCATTTTTATTTTTAACGTGAATAAAAGAGACATAATCTACTCTGCCAAACTGGTCCTCTTGCAGAATAAAGACTCAGCAGAAGGATAGTCTTGAGCATTAAAGCTTACCAGTCCAGGTACCAGAGCTTGTTTAATACATTTGGATGGAGATCTCTCTATATCTTTAGGACATAGTATACAGAATACAGAGTGTATAGTTTTCTGATTTCCTAAGCACTCCATACTAAGTTTAATATTTCACATTATTTAGGGCAATGCTTTTCAAGCATTTTTAAAAAGAAGAACCCATTTTTGAAACATTTTTCCTGGAATCTTAGTGTAACAGAAGGAAAGAGAGGGTAACAGTAATAACGTAGCAGAAAAAAGTGTAATAAATTGACTATTTAGAAAGGTGCAGCAGGGTTAAAAGAAGTCAAAAAGGCTGATTATATTCCTGGGTGTGGTATTTCACTGGAAAAAGCTGCTGTTGACCAACAGACTTTCTAAAGCCTGGTTATTGGAGCAAGGCACTTGCTGATCAGCTGTTGTCTAGAAGCATGGGGCTGTCATTAACTTGCTTACTTTCAGAAGACTAGAATGAAGCTGTTGTTGACTAGCTTATTTTCAGAAGCATGGCCAATGGATGATGTCATTGATTGATTTTTTTTGTATATTTATTAAAGTTATCTTAAATTAACAGTGGTTACTTGTTCACAACTTCAGGCTTTGGCTAAAATTCAAATAGCCTTTTTCTTTCTTGAATATGAAATGTAAGTACTTTCAAGTCTTACTCCCCACTTTTGGTATTCATTGAAACCTGTAGGAGAGATAAGGGATTGTTCAGATGTTTATTTGTGGAGGAATAATTTTCAGCTGCTGTTACCACATAAGTAATTTAAGCATTCCACATTACTGTGGAGTAAAAATAGCTCTAATTGCCAATATTCTTGCAATTTATCAAAAAAAAAAAGCCTAATAAATACAGGACATTTAGGGCACCTGACAAAGTCAATAAAGGATTCAGGACAAAATACTGTACAAGGAAGACATGATTGATTTTCTACCTATATGACATTTAAAATGAGATTTTCATTTCCAAGACTTAATTTAAGATGGCTAGAATGTAATGGTATAAGAATAATTGACATGTTTAAATGATTTTTTTGCAATGAGGATGAAGGTGAAAATAGAAGATAAAAATCATGAAAGGGATTGTTATATATACCATCTACCATCTGGTTAGAGATGACCAAATGATTCACTCCAGAAAACTGAGCAGGAAGTTTGAAAACAATACCAAGAAGTCTTCACACTAATGCACATACAAGACTATGATCAAGAAGACTTACAAACAAATCAGGGTAGTGTAAGTAAGACATAGAAATCGTTGACATGGTATGATGAGGTTTCTGACTGGAATACACACTTATGAGAAGGAAGGGGCAGAGGAGTATACTGAGAGGATGTATACTTGCAATGAAATTTAGTACACCCAAGGTAAATGCACTGTGGAAAATATTTGAGCAAAGAGAGGGGAAATTAAGATACCATTATGAAAGTACATTACAAAAGGCCAGGCCAGTTAAAGAAAATCAGTATTTAAGCACACAAGTCACTGCCTGACACAAGGTGTTCAAGAGGAGCATAAAATACTAAACATAAAATTGAGTAGTGATAGAGGCCCCCAATTGTCTGGAAATTTCTAATTCTTATTTTACTTCAGCTAGGGTTTCTGATGTTCTCTTTTGTGGGAGCTAAAAATCAATACAATGTATCTCATGGAGATAAAGAGTTGAAGGATGGTTATGAGGCTTTGAAGGGTAGCGGGGAGGGGGGTGGTGTGGGATAAACTGGGGATGGTATTATGGGCACAAAATATAGTTAGATAGAGCTGGGTATGGCGGCTCACACCTGTAATCTCAGCACTTTGGGAGGCTAAGGCAGGCGGATCACTTAAGATCAGGAGTTCGAGACCAGCCTGGCCAATATGGTGAAACCCCATCTCTACGAAAAATACAAAAATTAGCCAGGTATGGTGGTGCACACCTGTAGTCTCAGCTACTCAGTTAAACCAGAGGTTAGCTGAGATCGTGCCACTGCACTCCAGCCTGGGAGACAGAGCTAGACTCTGTCTCAAATTAATGTATGTGTATATATACACACATATACACACACGTGTATATATACACACATATACACACGTGTATATATACACACATACACACGTGTATATATACACACATATACACACACGTGTATATATACACACATACACACGTGTATATATACACACATATACACACACGTGTATATATACACATATACACACATGTGTATATATACATATACACACGTGTATATATACACACATACACATATATACACGTGTATATATACACGTATATACACGTGTATATATACACATATATACACGTGTATATACACATATGTGTATGTATACACGTATATACACATATGTGTATGTATACACATATATATACACACACACATATATACAGTTAGATCTAATGAATAAGATCTAGTATTTGGTAGCACAATGTGGCTATAGTCAACAATAATTTATTACATATTTTAAAACAACTAAGAATGAAATTGGAATGTTCCTGACACAAATGACAAATGCTTGAAGTGCTGGATAACTTAATTACCCTGATGTCATTATTACACATTGTATGCCTGTATCAAAACATCACATGTGCCCCATATAGATACCTATCATGTACTTGTAATAACTAAAAACAAAAACAAAAAAACTTTAAACCCAGAAATTCTGTAAATTCTTTATATGCCTAAAATCTAATCTTCCAGGAAATAGAGAAAGCAAAAATTGAAGCTACTATTCTGTACCACAAAAATGACCAGCAAGAGGAATTTGTTGATAAAGCAGAAGGGTCAGGCACCTTGAGAGAATGTGAGCATCTCATCTTAAGGTCTATGATACCTTGTGAAAAGAACTCAAGACTCTGATTTCATTTCTGCAATGAAAAGTGATCCTAAAAAGCAAAAACGTTTGAGAAAAGAGTCTCCTAACAAGCTCAGCTTTTAAAAGGGTATAGGAAATAAACGTAAAAAAAAAAGGTAACATCTTTAAGGTTTCATATTAGCTCGAGATTCTTTTTAATGCTAAAGCCAACAAAAAAAGAGCTCTATAATCTGTATGTGGAGCCATATGTAAAGGAAAGGCTGAGGGATGAGGAAGAGAATGTAAGGCTCAGCTTTTTAAAATCAAGAATAATCTTTAGCCTGAAAAGTTAAGTGGGGAAAAAGGCAAGAAGGAAATAAAATCCAAAACTCATGTCAAACTCAATCCAATTCCTTTTTTGATGGCATAATGAGAATGAGTGGGCATGGAAACAGACCAAATGGTTTACCTGGATTTCAGCAAAGCTTCTGATAAATAGCTAATAGTAATTAAGTGGTGTTGAAGGACTCATACATTACAGAGAACATTTAGACATGTTATTGGTTCAATGAATACTGACCTTAACATGGACTACAGCTGCTTCAGACAGGACTGATATTGACCTTAACATGGACTGCAGCTGCTTCAGACAGGATTTTGCCTGGTCCTCTCCTGTTGTCATTTTTATCAATAAATTAAAGATTTCGAATTTGTTGATGTCACTAAGTGAGGCAGAATGGTAACTGTACAATGTGATAGAATTAGGGCCCAATATTTTTAAACACATAGAAATAATGGTGTCAATCTAGGAAGACAAAGTCTAATAAACACCAGACCTTATTCTCGTCTTAAAGAGAAGTGTACACACTGTATGAGAAATCAAGGTGTTGCTCAGTTTAAAAATTGTACTTTTAATGAAAGTAATGGTAAATGCATTGAGAGCTATTATAAAGATCATCCACTAATCCTCAGAATCACACTTCAAAGTAGGCATTATCTCCAGTTTAAGGTGAAGAAACAGGGTAAGTGAGTTAACTTGCCACAGTTCTCACAAGAAGTTTAGACTGAAATTAAATTTGTCTAATTCTGACATTCATGCTCTTTCTAAAGCTGCACACTGCTTCAATATCTAAGTTCATACGTGAGCCAGACTTAGACCTCATTTGATTTCTAACTCCCATATGTACTGTGGTTGCATTTTCCATAATATTTTAATTCTTGGTGCTACTTCAAAATGAAATTTTCTTTCATAAAAGGAGGAAAGGTCATCTTTTGGTAAGCAGTTTCATGCAATTAGGTAAAAACTAATTTAATTCAAACATTCAAATCTTTCCAGTGTGGCACAGAACAAATGTTGGCAAACTATGGTCTGCAGGCCAAGTTCAGCCCACCTCCTATTTTTGCTCAGCTCACAAACTAAGAATGACACTTAACATTTCTAAATGGTTGAAAAAAATTAAGAGGGAATTTTATGACACATAAAAATTATATGAAATTCAAATTTTAGTGTCCATAAATAAAATTTTATTGGAACACAGCCATGTTCATTCATTTACACATTGACTATGGCTGCTTTCATGCTACAAAGGCAGAGGTGAATAATTGTGACAGTAACCATATGTGGTGCTTTCATTGTTTTGCACTGCTATTCAACATGCTACAAATCTCAGTGATGGCTATAAAACTCAACAGCATTTCAAGTGTCATACATATTGTCATACGGACATTTTATTATTTTTTATTACCAGTGCATATACATCATGTCAAAAAAAGTTTTAAAAAGTGGACTTTGAGTGTTGCACTTTTAAGGCACAGTGGAGTGTGAATTGTAGTAGAACTATATGGCAAAGCATTGTGTTTATTATGCAATGACACTTTCACTGTGCTCAAAAATATATTTCCAGACTAAGCACTCATCACAATATTCCCAACCCACAGGAAATCAACAGAACAATTAGAAAACTTAAAATGTAGTATCTTATCACAGCATAATCTACTAATTTAAAAAATTAGAATAAGGGTGTAACCAAAGTAACTTTCTGAGTGGCTCATTTGTTAGCCAAGCAAAGACAGCTATATACTGATGGTGAGTTAGAGTTAATTTAATTGTGTTTGATTGTAGCAACCAGAAAGTGGGCCCAAACAAAAACTTCTTTATGACTACTAGCTTTTCAGCAAGAATACTTGCTTGGAGACATGAGGACACTGTGGCAACACCAACAGTTAATTAAAAAACAAGGCAAATGATTTCAAGTAGCTTTGCTTGGCTTTTGGTGAGTCAACAAATGTTACCAATACTGCCCCGTTGTATACTTGAGAAGTCAATGCTGAGTTTGAAGTGACTCAAGAACTAGCCTTTATGAATAGTCTGCATACAATAACTACAGGAAAGAATATTTCAAAGAAGTCGAGAAAACACCAATTTAGTACAACCTGAAGTAGAATCTGCTAAGATGTGTGGCAATTCATGGTGGTAAAAATGTGTGAAGTGGCCAAAAAAAAAAAAAAAAAAAAGAAAAAAAACCCGCATAGCTGAATAAATTGCTCAATGGTTATATGGTGCATTATTCATCAGCAGGTATTTGTGGGAAATATTTGAATTGTCATCCAACTAGTAAAGTCAATGGTAAATTTTATTCACTTGTGATCTTAATCATCATTGGTTCCATTTAGTTTTGTTAGAAATAGAAGTTGAGTATTCTGACTTGCCCAATTACATAGCGGTTTGATGGCAGCAGTAAAGGTTTTTGGCTTTGTTTGTTAGACACAGGATCTCACTCTGTTGCCCAGGCTGGAGTGCAGCAGCATAATCATGGCTTGCTGCAGCCTCGACTCCTGGGCTCAGGACATCCTCCCACCTCAGCCTCCTGGGTAGCTGGGACTATGGATGCATGCCACCATGTCTCGCTAATTTTTTGTAGAAACGGGGTTTTGCCATGTTGCCCAGGTTGGAACGGTAGTTTTATTGTAATTTTTTGAGCTCAGAACCAAGACTGAATTCGTTATGGATGAGGAGAATCACCCTCAAACTATTTTCAAACACTGAATAGCTTTGGAAATTAGCTTTTGCTGCAAACTTAATAATGCTTTCTAATAAATTCAACCTACAATTATGAGGCAAAACAGCACTTACATGTGAAACATACTGTGACAAGGTCATTTTGATGGCAACAAATGTTGTTTAAATCACAAGTAATATCAAGCTGGCTTTATATATTTCCCATGCTGTCAAGATAAGAAACAAGATCTCCATTCCCGCACAAACTTGCAGTGAACGTATTTTCCAAGTTCTACTATAGTTCAAGCTGCATTACTGAACCTTAAGGCAACTGCAAAGGAAATTTTTCTATTTAATTATTCACTTAAATATACAATTGAGCATCCACCTAACCTTCAACAGGAAGTGATTAATATGCAATGTAATGACAGCTAAAAGGCAAATGGCAATAGCAGAATCTAATAGAATTCTATAAATACCTTCCAAATGATGAATATGATCAATTAAAATTACACAATCACAACTGATAACAGTACATGGATGTATCTATTTGAGTGAGAAGATGTTTTCAAAGATGAAATACAAAAAATCACATTACAGGCCAGCATTAACAAATGAATGCTTGCAATTAATTTTGAACCCCAATTTAGTGAGATATCCCCTCAAAATCACTCGATTCTTATCATTAGTAGCCCTGTATCACACAAAAAATTCAAGTATTAATATATTTTGAATTTTATCAATAAAATATATGTGAAAATTTTTCATTCTCATTAAATATATAAAAGCCTCAATTTTGCCTTTTGGCTCACAAAGCCTAAACTTTACCAAAAAAGATTCCAACCCCTAGTCTGGAGAAGTGCCAGAGTGTCTGACCATTTAAGTGAAATCAAAGTATAAATATCCCAATAAACAATTGGTTTAACAAAACCATTTTTATATCCCAATAATATTACCTGATCATTCTTCTATATATAGTCCTTTCTTTGGTTATGATCCATGTAGTCTTATGAACAAGTAAATGTCCTAAGAAAATAATTTATGTGGGTCTGTATTAGAATTGGGCAGAGAAGAAATTAGTTATCCTGAATATCAGCAAATCTTTATAATTCTATTTGCACTCTAGTAGAAAAAAAAGTTTTTAACTCTTCTCAACCAGTTCCATCACCATTGTGTCTCCTCAAGGTCAAACCATGACTCAGGCTCAGCTACTGGGAGAACAATATTCCCTTGTCCATAGTAATTGGCTCAGGGGTGGGCACATCAACCAATAAGGGAATGTCAGTCTTAAGCTTCTGTTGGAAATATTGAGAAAAATGGCCCTTTGTTTTTGCTGAGACTACTAAGATGGTAGGGTAGAAGTCTCAAGCTGCTGGATGACCACTTTACCATGACACATGGAAAGTCTTCCTGACAGTGAAAACAGCAGGGTAGGAAAGCAAAACCAAAAGATATGGAGAAGATTCCTGTCTTAACTCCAGGATTAAGCATGTCTGAAGGCAGTCCTACCACTGAACTTTTCAGTTAAATGAAATAATGTACACTCTTATTGCTCAAGCCAGGTTAAATTCTGTCACTTTCAATTCAAAGAGTTCTGACTAATGCAACTATACATTCATTCAGACTGAAATCCCAATCTTAAAGTCGAATTTTTCTAAATAGAGCCTTTAACAGTTTTGTGTCATCTCCAGATCTTTCTCCTGCTTCTGAAGGTCTCTGCTGCTTAATGGACACAATATTCACAGGGTGAGAGAGGGCTGCTTTGCCTTTTCTTACCTGTAGCATCCCTCAGTAAGTAGCGTACCATTAATGCCATTTTGTAAAATCCCTTAAAGCACCTAGCACAATGATGAACTATGAGATACTGTTAGAAATATGGGCTCCCCATCTACAATGATTTTAAAGTCATTCACTTAAAACTGGAATAATGCTTAATTTCTGTGAACATAATAGTATGATTCCATTCTCAAAAAGGAAAAATGATGCTATTTCCCTTAATTTATCAGAAGATGTATTTAATTATTGCTCTATTAAACAGTTCAGAGAAGTATAATTTTTTTTATATTAAAGAAAGCTTAGATCCTTCCTAGTGTGTGCTTTTTACCACTGGATTTCAAGAAAGCAAAACAAAACATAAAATAACAAAAGCATATTCCTTTAGCTCTGCTTCTCATATATAACAGACTAAATAAACCAAATTTTTATAATTCCTATCTTAAATTAGGGAGTGACATTATTTTACCCATCTTTAGAGGAAATGGGAAAGAGCAAGTTTAAAAAAACTACTTTTATTTTTTTTTATTTCTTTTTCAGTTACATACTTTTAAACAGGGATGTGTTTCATTATTCAGACATTCAGGCAATGTTGACTTCATTAGTGTTGACAGAAAATAAGCATAAAAATGCAAAACATTGTTGGCTTAACCTGAACATACCTGCATTACCTATTATTGACCAGTTTGTGTTGCCAAAAGACTTATTCCTCGGCATTAAAATGGAGCACTTAAAAATATTGCTAAAAAGCAAATGCCTACACACTGGTCTTTGCAGCAAATAAGGGTATTTATACTTTTAAAATATTTTAAGTCCATAATTGGATTAATATACACACCTTCTTATGTATAAGGAGTTCAGATCATATAAACACTGTACAATCCAAAAAACCCTACTGAGAATAAAACTAAATAGGCTTATGATAAGAAATACAGATATTCGCATGTATTTACAAATATCATAGACACACAAGTTTGGTCAAATACTGTAAAGAAAGAAGAAGTGGTTTCACATTATAATGGCCAAAATGTTTATCTACCTTGCTCAAAGCAAATAAAAATATAAACTCAGTATGTAACTCCTGCAGTTTAAGACATCATGACAGTATACAGATAGATAGAAACTGTTGACCAAATTATACAGCAAATGTTTTGTAGGTTAAGTGTAGGTCTTTAAAATAAAAAAAAGATCATTCATAGGATTCATAGCAACAATGATAAACAATGTCCTGATTTGTGGTGTTCATGTGGGTGCCTAATTCATCAAAAAAAAATGCATTAAACTTTTGGCTAATAAGAAAAATAAATTACAAAGTACAATTAAATCCCTGTAAATGCAATAATGAAGTAAAAAAATGTAGCTTTACTTTAATATACATCTTAAATGTTACCTTGAGACAATAAAAATAAATAAGCATGCCTGGAGGCACACACTTAAAGACAACGAAGAGACTGCATGGGAGGAATAAGTAACAATTATATAAATGAAAGATGAATATGAGATTTATTCAAAATAATTATCTTTCTAGCCAGTCTTTGTTTTAACCCTTCTTGAAAATTTTGGCTAGTAGAATGTGACAAAACTACATGTGTGTCTTTATGGCTTAAAACAAAGCATACTTGAAAAGTGGAATGGGCTTCCTTTTTTACAGAATTTTTTGTTGTTGTTGTTGTTGTTCATATGCAGGCACTTCAAAAGACTATGGAGGCAAAGCACCTGACCCATCCTTTCCAAAATATTTTTCAATCATCAAAATTATGCTAAAGAGTAGGAAAATTCCAGAGAATCAGCAAAGTTGAATACAAGAGACTAATGTGCACAGAGGGCATAGAGTGACCCACTTTTTATTGCTGGGGGTCTTTTTTTTAATCAAAGAGCAAAATAATTACACAGACACCATTGCATGGCACATCCAAAGTTTTCTGCTTAAGGGAGAATGTAATCATTCAGCAGTAAGTTTCGGTGAGATTTCTTTAGGCTTCCACCTTATACACTGCAACAAGGTTCACATTTACTACCTCTCCTTAGTGTATTTCTTTATAACTCCAACATACATCACTTTTTAAAGTATTCATTTCTTGCTGTCTAACATACATTATTATTTGGAAGCATAAAGTTACATTGTACAAATATTTTGCATTTTTAAAAATAAGCGCTTTTGCCACTTCTGCAACACAGTACTTCACATAGTGATGCAACAAAAGCGGAGCACATATTTACCACACTCCTTAAGATTCATTTTACCACCACCATCTGCCGAACCCATATTGCTTTTTCCTCAGTACCTCTGGGCAGTGACTGTACCATGATTTCACGGAGAGAATGTTAATATGACTTATGAATAACAGTACCATCAGTAATACTGAAATCAATGCAGATGTCACAAAATATGAACTTCTCAAGGAATAACTTCTTTTAAATATTTGGGCAACTCTGTTTTCTCTGTTGTATTATCCACTGAGAAAAGAAAATTCCTGTTTGATTATGCTCTTACAGAAGTTATAAAAAACCAGATTAGGTATATAACTGGTTGACACTTAAGATACTGTACTGCTTTCTACAACAGAAGAACTTCTGGAAAATGTTCTATGGAACTATATTCATTGATACCACCTCATTGGTCCATTCCATTCACTGATGGGCAAAGCACTCATGTTTTGACAAAACTTTAAAGCTTCCATAAAGGTTAAATTAGAGAAAAAAAAAAAAAGAAAAAGAATGTAAGACAACCACAAAATGAAGTATGAAAGTATGACATTTTTGTTTCTAAGAGTGAGTCCTTGAAAATATACGTGGTCACTACAGAGATGATTTTAATCACAAGACAGCAGATGAACATGTAAGTAACTCCCCAGGATCTGTCTGTGTCCAGAGTCATTTGTGGCGCTGTATGGTTTTCCTTTTCCTTCGTTTGAAAAAACAGCAGCACCTGCAGATGAGGGAAACACTCTTTTTATTTTAAAAGCACTAAAATATCACAAAGTTGACTGTATCACTTTAACTTAAATGATCATAAAAAGCAACAGGCTAGTGCAAGATAAACAGTGATTACACCAATGAAGCATACGTATTAGTGAAAATATGGCAGAGCTATTACTATTATGTTTCATTCACATGCCTTTTAAGAATAGCAAGACATTCTATGCAACATAAAAAGGAGCCATTAAATTCAAAAGGTTTTTCACTAAGAGTAATTAAGAATTTCATTCTATGCATTCTCACCCTTTCTCCCTGATATTTATATGTGACTGTTGAAGCCATTAGGAAGGCAATAATGATCCTAACATTGGGGAGTTTATTCTCACCAATAATCAGTTTAGACTCCAAAAATAAAAAGACACTCCAATATACACTAGTCAACATTTTCCATCATATTAAAAAAGTGAAAGACAGAAAATACATTATATAGAATACCAAGACTGGCAATTTTGAATTCTTTAAGGGTTAAAGAAGGTCAAGCTTATTGAAAGTTTAGTTAAGGTAAAAACTATGCTTAATATTTAAAGTAGCACAATTGAGGTGATTCCATTTTACAAGTCAAAACTGTATATGCAAAAAAATATAATACTGACTTTTATTTCTAGGTGAAAAAAAATCTTGGCTGGGCACAGTGGCTCATGCCTGTAATCCCAGCACTTTGAGAGGCCGAGGCAGGAGGATTGCTTGAGCTCAGGAGTTTAAGAATTCAAGACCAGCCTGGACAATACAGCAAGACCCCATCTCTAAATATCTCTCTCTCTCTAACTACATATACACATACACAAATATCTCTAAATATATATATACACACATACATATATAAATGTACACACATATATTATATTATACATACATACGCACACACACACACACACACACATGCACTGGACATGGTGGCACCCGCCTGTTACCCCATCTCCTTGAGAGGCTGAGGCAGGAGGAATGTTTGATCTATGATTGTGCCACTGAACCCCAGTCTGTGTGACAGGGCAAGACCCTGTCTCTAAAAGAGGAGATGAACACATCAAGGCTGCTGTGGGAAAATGCTGTGGTCTGGTATGAACTGAAAAAATCACTGATCTGCTCCCACCAAAAAAAAAAAAGAAAAAAATTAAATACACATCTATCTTAAATGCCTCACAATCCTTCAAATAAAGGCATGAAGGTATGGCATTTTCCCCTTCCAGACATAAAAGAGTCTATTAAAATATACAACATGACAGACACTACATATAGTTAGGCACCTTTTCTTTTAACCTTTAAACAGTCAACCCCTTCCTAAGGTTGAATTTACTTTTGGCGCAGGCAAGCATGGTTGAGTATCCCTGGTTTCCACTGAAGTCCTCTGTGGGTATGTGGGCATGTTTATAAATCATATTTTGTAATAAAAGCAAAGTATATTTATATACATGGTGATTTCATCATCGAGAGCTGCCAATTCAGACTGTGTATAATATGCCCTTATAAAGATGTTTCTATAATTCTTACTAATCTATATTCATAGAAGAATAGTTTTGGCCAGGAGGGGTGGCTCATGCGTGTAATCCCAGCACTTTGGGAGGCCAAGGTGGGCAGATCACAAGGTCAGGAGTTCAAGACCAGCCTGACCAACATGGTAAAACCCTGTCTCTACTAAAAATACAAAAATTAGCCAGGCGTGGTGACAGGCACCTGTAATCCCAGCTACTCAGGAGGCTGAGGCAGGAGAATCACTTGAACCCAGGAGGCGGAGGTTGCAGTGAGCCAAGGTCGCGCCATTGCACTCCAGCCTGGGCGACAGAGTGAGACTCTGTTCCAAAAAAAAAAAAAAAATAGCTTCAAGTGTCCCACCCGGCAAAAGATTACAGAATATAAAATAACTACTAGGTATGTTTTATATACTTCTGTGAAATAAATGTAAACAGAAATCTACACTGTCCAGTTAAATTACATAATCTCTCTACCCACATTATCTTTAGTCAAAAATAATTTTAAATTATTTATTGTGATTTCTGCCATAATTATGAAACTACTATGAGGGTACTGCAAACCAAATTACACAACTGCATTTTTTTAAGTAAACCAAACAGTAAACACCGACTAGACCGTGGAATGTAAATAATTTAAAATTGTGGACCAGCTGATAAAGATTCAACTAGAAATATATGTAATGATGAATGTTTATCAACTTTACTCTCATGGAGGTGACTAGCAGAAAGAACTGAAATGGATTACCCAGTCAAGAGCCTAGAGAAGAGCTGCCACAGTACAACAAGACTACACATGTAAGAGATTTGATCTGGATTTAAAAAAATAAGTCAAATTTATTTTTAACTGTCAGCTACCTAATATTTCTCAAATCTCAATTACTTTCTAAAAGATAAAATCCTTTACTCCAAATGAACCTTTAAATTTAAGACTTAGAAAAGAGCAGAAAAATATCCAAATAGCAGAAAGCAAGACATAAAAATAGGTATTTAGAAGTGACAGACCAAATACTTAGAATATTAAATTTAAGAATATGGCCATATTTCAATGGAAATTTATTGTTTGATATAAAATTCCTTTAATAATGTTCACTATTCTTAAACACTATCCTTTCAAATTCCAAAGTAGATTCTTTCAAAATTTTCTAAAGTTGTATTAGCCCTTTGAAATGGGCAATTTAATGTAATACACATTTTGATGAACAAGACAAAGTCCCAAATTTTCTACACTTGTATCAGCAATTTACTTTGCTTAGTTTGTATTTCCAGTACTGAGAGTTCTGAGAGTTGAGTTCTGAGAGTTGAGTTCTTTACACTTAAGTAATCTTTCCTTCAACAGTGTTTTACTGAACTACGCCAAGCATTTATTTGAGACTAAATAAGATTTTCAAATAAATTCTAATGGCCCTTAAATTCAAACACAATCTAAAAAGGACATCTATTTTAAATAATTCCCACTAAATAAAGAACGTCCTTATAAAGATTTGCAAAAGTAAAGCTGGCATGCTATTAAAGTTACTACCACCAGAGGACAGCATTGCCTTATGTGATACAAATGCATCCAAATAGACAAGAGAGAGGTTCTCAAAATACGATATACTTACAGAAGTTAGGAAGTAAATTGATGTTTTAACCTTATGGCTTATTTCTTAAGATAAAAGTAATTACCGAAACAGCTAATTTATAGTCTTAGAGATTAAGAAATCAGGTCTCATCTCAATTGCTTCCTCTTCCCCAGCACTTAATCTGAAACAGTGCTGCTCCCATGTAGCCACTTGAGCACACTATTGTTTTATTTTTCTGTAATAACTTACTCCTACTTTGAAATTATTTTATTTATTTATTATCTGCCTTTGCACTAGAATTTAAGCTTCATAAAGGACTGCTCACAGTTATAGCCCAACAAACTGGCACAAAGTTAGTACTTATTTAATAGTGGTCCTCCCACTTCAGCCTCCTGAGTAGCTGGGACTACAGGCGCCGAGCTGGTAAATTTTTTTTTCATTATTTTTAGTGGAGACAACATCTCACTATGTTGCCCAGGCTGGTCTCAAACTCCTGAGCTCAAGCAATCCTTCCACCTCAGCCTCTCAAAATGTGAAGCTACATCTCTACTCTAAAATTCTTTGGGAATATATGTTAAGTCCTACTTATGATGAACTTTAGAAACAACCTTAGTTTCTTTAAATACAATTAGGCAACAAACAGGCAATCAAAATGGATCAAAGTCCTAAAACACATACAGGCTTGTGCTATTGACACCGCACCACCATTTCTCCTTTGTTCATTGCCTTTTTCTTCATATATTTGTATATACTTCCTTCTCTCAAATCCACCCAGAAACTGAAGCATGTTTCCCTATCTGGATATGATGTTCTTATTTATCCCTTCTAAGATGACTCATTGCTCATCCTTTGGTTGAGAGACTGTTGGTACCTCCTAGAACTAACCACGTAGGACTCCAGAACCTAGTTTCTCCTGACCTGGGTTGATGAGTGTACAGAAAGTATATTTTATGGCATCTAATCTTTAATTCTTTGACAAAGAATATTTCCCCTTAAGGTTTAAACCTGAAGTGTAATTTCATATCTCTGGATCTCTTGATTTAAAGAAAAAACGAGGAACCATTTAGCTAAGCAAGAAGAGTTTAGATCAGAGAACAAGATCATCTACAAAATTACTCCAACCAAAAGCCTGCAGGCCCATCTTCATCTCCAATTTCTTCCTCCCTATCCACTTGCAACTAGTCCCTTAAGTCTGAAATGACTTTCAAAATTTTCCCATTTTCTCATGTTGGCTGAGTTCTGAACTTTTCAACTTGCCTCCACCACTGCTAAGCACCTTTTAAAGGACTTCCCAGTCTAAGTCTCTCCTCTCTCCAATCTGCCATCCAAATTGCCCCCATCATAAATATGCCATGCCCTTTTCCTCTCAAATCTCATCAATGATTCTCCATTGACTAAAGCATTAAGTTCACAGAGCTCTTCAAGAATTTTGTTCCCAACCTATTTCCACCCTCCTCTTAGTCTCATTCTCCATTAGGCTTCCTTCCCAGGTGGCCTATACTATGAATGGAAGGAAGGGAAAAGTAAGAAAAAGCAAAAATCTCCTTGTCATTCCCAGAACACACCACGTGGGATTTCTTACCTCAGTATCTTTGCACATGCTCTTCTTTCCACTTAAAATCCATTTGCTCTCTCCCAAAAGAGTTATACAGTCTCTGTCACTTTGTATTATAATTTTTATACCTCTCTCTTCCTCACTGAACTGATCTCTTGAGGAAATAAATTATTCTTTACTTATCTTTACAGTTCTAGAGACTATCAAAGTCCTGAACACTTAGTATTATAGAAACTAAACAAATGGTCCAATACTATAATCTTAAAACATTTTTTAAGGAATAGTTTGTTTACTAGAGAATACTAACCCAAAATAGAAATTATCCATCTAGTTTCATAGGAAAACTTAATTT
This sequence comes from Homo sapiens, assembly GCF_000001405.40. Taxonomy (NCBI): domain Eukaryota; kingdom Metazoa; phylum Chordata; class Mammalia; order Primates; family Hominidae; genus Homo; species Homo sapiens. Next base: position 123,609,353 of record NC_000005.10, on the reverse strand, counting down.
ATATTTTTAAACCATTTTCTGCAATCTGCTGAACCCCAGGAAGTGACATAAGCCTCATAACTGCTGCCAAATTAATTTTCCTAAGGATCAACCTGATCATATTGTTTCTTGGCTTAAAACCACATGTCATTTCTTGGCTTCCTTTCTTGTGCTGAGAAAGATAATGTCCAAATTTGGTTACTGGCTACCAAGGCCCTCTGAGATTGGGAAATTAGCCTATCTCAGTTTTCATTAACGTGTTCATATATTCTCTGCCTGCATGAGTTACTCCTCCAACTGGTTCAATTCTTTCCTTGCGTCAACCTCTTCTCTCTGACTCCTTCTATCCATTTCCCTTGCCAAATCATTCTCATCTTTGAGAACTAGTGTAAATGCATCCTTACCCATGAGGACTTCTCCGATCTTCCCAACTAGGAGGACATACTCCATTTTCTGAACTCCAGTAAAAATTATCCCTTTCCTATAGTGCTAATCATGTAATACTTTGTATTAGACCAATGATCCTTAACCCTGGCTGCTCCTTAGAGTCACCTTAGAAGTTTTTTAAAAATACTGATAACCAGGCCCCACCACAGACCAACTAGTAAAATCAGAAACCTTGAAAATACAGCCTAAGTATTAGTACATCTTTAAAACTCCCTAGGTGACTATAATGTGAAATCAAGGTTGAGAACCATTGTATAAAAGTTGTTAGTATACTTTCCAACCAACTTAATGGTATGCAAACTTTGACATACCTTAATAATCATCACATTACAAAACATGATAATCTGTTCGGTAAATGTTGGAAGAAGGAAAGAGAAAGAATAAAGGATGGTTTCATACTACTTAAAAAGTAAATAATTAAACTAAATTATTTTGTTTTCCTAAGTTCCTGGAAGGAATGATGAAGGTGCTATCATTTGTATTACCTGTCTTAAAATTCTCAGCTACAGTAAACAAGAAAGACAAAACCTCATTACTAATGAAGCTAATCAGCTTTTCCATCATTTTCCATATGGGAGAATAGAGTATTTTCCATCATTTGGAAATCAAGTATTTACCCCAATGAGATACTATTCTCAGGAAACATGAGGATGCTAAAATGTGCATTATAGAATACATTCTAGTAAATGGGGTGGGGTGAGAAGGATCTCTGCTAATTATAGGTAAGAAGAAAGATGAAAAAGAAATTCTGAAAGAAAATTCTAAGCAGGTCCCTAGTTACGTGTCAAATGGTGGCACAGAGAAGAGAAGTATAAGATGCAATTTAGAAAAGGAGCTGGGTATGATGGTGTGCACCTATAGTCCCACCTACTGGGGGGGCTGGGGCAGGAAAATCACTTGAGCCCAATAGTTCAGGGCCAGCCTTGGCAACACAGCAAGATTCCATCTCTTAAAAAAGAAAAAAAATCATGCTCAAATTTCTTAGTCACAGATTAAGAGGGTATGAGGAACACAATAACAAACGTGTAGAAATGTCAGAATAAACCTAAAGAAAAAATCTTGTTTAAATAGAATGTTTAATCAGCAAAGAGGTAGGAAAGTTCTGAGGATTTCTGTAACCTACCTAACCCACCTGAAGTAAGGCTTCACTGATATTATGAGTTGCTATACTTTTTTTAAAACAACCATTTTATTAAGATATTTTTCACGTTATAAACTTTATCCTTTCAAAATATATAATTCAGTGTCTTTTAGTATTCAGAATTGAGCAGCTATCACCACTATCTAATTTTAGAACATTTCCATCACTCCATAAAGAAATCCCATCCTCCTCTTCCCTGCCCTGGGCAATCACTAATCTTTTGATGTCTATGTATTTGCCTATTCTGGACATTTCATTTAAATGGAATCACATAACATGTGGCCTTTTGTGTTTGGCTCCTTTCATTTAGCACAATGTTTTCAATTTCATTTCTTTATATTGTCAAATGGCAGTCCATTGTATGGGTATACCACATTGTTAATTATTTAGTAATGATTTATTAGGACATATAGCCACTAGGAATCTGAGGATGAAAAAATACCTGTTTTCAAGAAATTCAGTAAGTTTCAAGAAGTGGGAAGTACATACAGAGGATAACATAGCAAATGCAGATTTAAGGAACCAATGCTATATAAAGTTCAGAATGGAAAACGGAGCTGCAAAAATAGATGGGCCAGACTATGACAGGTATGAGAAGCCTTGGTGCCATGCCAAGAAATCTGGACATGATGTGGCAGGCAATGGAGAACCCTTCCTATAGCAATAGCCTTCCCACCACTTTCTTCTTTCACATCCTCCAGTGTCTACAGATAGGGACCCAAACACACACCCACACTCATCCCAACTAAATAACTGTGCCATTCTTCAGAGCCACCTCCATCAAGTATTCTCTGATCATCCAGGTCAGGAAGTAATCTTTATCTTTACAAGCTCTAACCATTTTTTAAAATACCTTTTTTATCGTATTAATCACATACTGACATATACTAGTACAACTGCAATCTTCCTGCTGGCTTGTAATCTACTTAAGAACAAGGACAGCATCAGGTATGTCAGAAACCTCAGCAGTGTAACTGCTGAATGAATAAATGGATAAATGTAATAGATTTTATTAAAAGCAAGTCTCCAGGAGGATGTAAACACAGAACAGCCAGTTTCAGTGAAGAGTGTGTGTATGGAAGTAAAAATATAGGACACAGATAAAAGAGGCACAAGCCCAAGAACAGAGATGAGAAACGTCACCAGCAGTTGGAAGAGAAGAAATAAATAGGGGTGATAATAGCTATTGAGTACCTGCCGTGTGCCAGACAAAATACCAGGGCTTTATCACATTTAATTTTCTCAACCTATGAAGTAGGTATTATTAGCTTCATTTTACAGAAAAAGAAACAAGCTTTCTTGAAGGTAACAAATAAGTGGCAGAAACAGGATTCTATAACCTATGTCTAACTGCAAAGGACATGTGCAGTCGAATCTGCCACACCACCACCCTACTTTCCTGTCTTAGGATTGTACCTAAAATTCCCAAACATAAGCTGTTGTTTTTATATTTGATTTAAAAACACACAAGTAAGACTATACTTTCACGGATTTATTTCTGTAGTTCATAAAAATATACAAGTATATAGCTAATTATATCCTGACATACACTAGTCTTAATCTTATGTCAATAAATTCTATAGTCAAAAGTGATTAAAATGGATTCTTAATCACTGCTCTTTAACAAAAAAAAATCCACAAAAGTTTCCTAATTTTGCAGCCAACAAATGAGCATAATTTTGAAAATTATATAAGGTGCCTTTAGATATGAGTAAAATATTTCAAAATTTACTAAACTAAGCAACTTCCTTTATTCACTCCCAGTCTGACTCAAAATTTGTCCTGAAACTGAGAGAAGCATTTTAAGCACAGTATTACAATTAAAGGCAAATGTCAGAAAATAATTTAAATCTAAAATTATTTCTATTAATGTTACTTTCCATAATATCTGCAATTATTAGCAACCATTTAGATGAGGATTTTTAAAATGGCTTTCTCACTACAAGGTTATCATGAAATTTATCAATATTGTACTCAAGGGCAATGATAATTGGTTAGTAAATGAAATACTGTTTTAGTGATACTACTGTGGGGGATGAGATCTGCTACATGTATTTAACAATTGCAAAGAGAAAAAAGAAAGCTTAATGCAAAAATCTATCTTTCTATTTAAATAGCAAATAAAAACTATTATAAAACAAATGCACAAGCACAAGCAGGGTTGGTGTATCATCTATGCAATTAAAAAGTGGCCCCAAATCTATGTCACTTAAAGTAAAAAAGTTGCAGCAGGCAAAAGAGCTCCTCAAACAATTATTTCTTGCTTTTCAGAGCTATCTTAATGATATCAAATACTTTTGAATAACTTTTACCAATTATAATCACTGTGTTGAGAGTTTTGTTTTCAAAAGACACAAAATGATGCTAAATCTTTGAAATTACAGTCAATGGAGCTATTTCTGCCTGCCTACACTTGAGACTCACCACATGTTCAACACTTTCTGGCAGCTATACGCACACACAAAAAAAAAAATACAAGGAAAAAAAAGAGAGAGAGAGAATCAGAAACAGCTCACATTGAAATTATCACATTGTTTTTCATGCTTAATTTTTTCCAAGCAATGTTGTTATAATTTATGTTTTGAAAAAACTAATTCAAAATATTAAAACATGCATTTTATAAAATTAATTTCTTATGCTTACAGAAAAAAGATTGATAGTACATCAATAACTTTCATGCATCAACACTCCTAAAACTCAAAAGCTAAAAATATGTTGTTAATTCCAAATAAGAATTTGAACACAGTTCTTAAATATTTTGTATTATTAAAATGTTTACTGGAATAGCACTATTTTAAACTCATTCTAGTGATTAAAATAATTAAGCATACCACTTGTTTTGCATGCACCTATTCCCTGAAAAAAATTTCCTGAAATAATTGTATGTAACTATAAATCTCAAGCATGCATAATTTAAGAACAAAAAGTTACTAAAACAAGTAAAACAAACACATACTTGGTTTCATCCATCACTTCTACTTCAGTAGGGGCTGTGATGGGTGCATTTGAACGTCCTGCGGTGGGGTCATCTGTGTTTAACTCTCCATTTGTAGAACTTACAACCTGTTTGAAAAAAAAATTTTTTATATATGTATATGTACACACACATGCTCATAAATATACATACATATTAAATAGGTTATACAAGGATAAACATAATTGTTAAAGTATTTCAATTAGAAAGTTAATGTGAGGAACACAAAACAATATGTAGCTGTTCATAACTAAATACAGTAATTGGTCTAGCATTTTATTAAAGATTAAAGTCATCTAATATGCGCTTTTCAACTTACTTCCTTTCCTTATTGAAATCTGTGTCTTCTGTCTCCTTCCCTCTGGTTTTTAAGGCTAACTCCTGCATGTATGTCTCAATCAGTTTCCTCTTGTGTGTCTATGTCCTCTGGCACCTTGCTATATCATGAATTACTTTCCTTGAATATTGAAAAACTTCAATATTACTCCTTCTAATGGATCCTTCACTTCAATCTGCAATTATGCTCAAGTCTCCATTTCAAACTGCCCATTTAAATAGAGACAACACCATTCATTCACCCAGTTGTTCAAACGTAGGGGTCACTGTGATTCCTCTTTAACTTAAAACCCACATCTAATCCATAAATGGCAGATCCTGTTAAATCCTTCTCCAAACATATCCCATATCTAATCAATTCTCACCATCTCTATTACTACAAGGACTCCAGTCCAAGCCACTATGATCTCTTATGTGATTAAGAGCAAAAACCTATTATCTAGTCTTCAGCTTTGTCCCCCACTCAAATGTATTATCCACACAGCAATCAGGGTGCTCCTTTTAAGATGCAAATCACATCATGTATAGCTCTCTGCTTAAAACTCTCCAACTGTTGGCTTCCCGTTTCACTTAGAATAAAAAATCTATATTCCTTACACAAATTGACAAAGTCCCACATGATGTGATGCCTGCCTACCTCTCTGAGCTTACACCATCTTCTCTGAAGCTCACTAGCCTCCATCCAATATGTCGAGATTCTTCCCACTTAAAGGCCTTGGCATTACCTATTGTCACTGCCTAGAATTCTCTTCCTACTTATTAGCTGACTTCTCATCTTTCAGATTCTCAAACAGCATCTCTGAGACAGGCCTTTTCTATCACACAGCTAAAAATTTCTATGCTGACACAGCACAGAAATTATGTTACACCCTATTTTAAATTATTTGTACAGTATTTATCAGTATTCATGTTTTTCTTATTTGCTTGCTCATTTATTTGTTGTGTTTCTTGACATCCATCCCTACCTCCATTAAAATTAAGCTCCAGGATAAGAGAGACCTTGTATTGTTTCCTGCTATGTCTCGCAGAGAATAGGAACTCAATAAATATACGTTGAAATAAATGAATGCATGTATGCATGAATGAAATCCTGAAACAAGATAAAAATGAGGAAATTCCCAAATTCTCCCAAATTCTCTTGTTTCTGCAAATTTACCTTATTATTTCTTCCTTTTCCCTTATCACTAAACTTTTTGGAAAAAAAAAATATATAACTCACCACTTCCATTTTTATAAAATTTTCCATGTGTTTATTCCTTTACTCCTTGCAATCAGTTCTCCAACCCTACATAAGAACTCTAATAAGAGTTATCTTAAAGGTTACTAATGATTCCTAGAAAATGTATTCAGGACACTTTGCTCGGTGCCTCATTTTCTTGTACATCAAATCACTTGGCGCTAGCTGATCATTCTGGAGTAAGATGGGTCTAGACTCAAAGCCTAGCTCTACCACTTACCAGCTATGAGACTCTGGGAAAGATACCTTACCTTGCTAAACCTCAGTGTTCTCAAGTATGAAATGGTGAACAGTAGCATCTAATTAACAAGGTTGATATGAGGGTGAGATGAGATCAATACATAAATGTTAATATATAAAGCACAGTGCCTGGCATATGGGAAGAGGTCAATAAATGGTGGCCATCATTATCACTATGTTTTATCTATAATGATGGCTTCAACTCTCACCTCTAGGTAAAGGACTCCCTGGGCCTAACCACTCACCCATATCCTCAGTTTGCTAAGCCAAGTTTGGCACCTTAAACTCTGCATTTCTAAAGGCAAATTTATCCTACTCCCTCTGAAATGTATTCTCTTCCCAAGGCTCCCATTTCAGTTAAAGCCCTCCCATCTTCCAGACTTCCAGGCTCAAAAATCTAAGAATTCTCTTTGATGCCCCTCCTACCCACTACCTAATCTCTTTAAATGAAATAAAAGGTTAGCAACCCTGTCATGGGCTACAGAGTTGACAACTGACTATTAGACTTAAAAGTAGTATTTATAGTACCTCATATTTCTAAGTTCTTACTTTAGTCTACAACATGCTTAGGCACTGTTCTAGGTATTTGGAATACCAAAGTAAGCAAGATAAACATCCCTGTCCTTCTAGATCTGACACTTTAGTGTAGAGAAACAGGACCCTCTCCAACTCCAAGGAAAGTATTAATATCTACAAATCAACCAACATATTTAACTTAGGAATTGTAGAAATTCAGTTTCCTATATCCTATATGGAATAAGTACTTAGAAATGAACACTGCAGTTGTGCCTACAGCTGAAAACATACAAAACTGCCTTGATAATCTTCAAAGGCAATCTAAAGAAAAGAATATTCTTACATCTAAGCATGCCTCTCCTTTTCTGGGGCACTTGCTTCCCCCTTTCTGTCATTCTATTGAACTGTAAATTTTTTCTCTTTATTTTTCTCTCTCTCTCTCTGAAAACATTTAAAAATAATTATTTTTTCTAATTATTGAACATAATTTTGTTCTTTATTCTTAATTTTGAAAATGTCATTGCCTCTGCACTAAATTGGAAAGGAGACACAAAGTAGTATTCTTATCTCACATATTCTCCACTACCTTGAACAGAGTGCCTGTATCCAGTACATAATCAAACAGTTCACTGAACAATTTCCACTGCTCTTTTCTCAACATACTATTCAACAGGTTTCCTATTCTCCCTTTAGTTCAATGGCCCTAGACAGCTAGCGGGATGCCACCTCAACTTACAGGCAGCTCCTCTAACATGTCTTCCCTTATTTTAAGCAGCATAATTGAAAATGAAAAACTCAGGTAGTCTAAATTCTAGCAACATTACATATTTTCTAGCAACAGTGACTATATATACACTGTAATTATATAATCGGATTTACTTCAGTTCACAGAGGAAGACTTTTTATACCTGACTTTGGTAAACTTTATTTTATTGAAATGTTTCAAACCCCATTTTACCTGGTTGACCAGAACCAGACCAGAAGGAAGCAACATCTTCCTTTAATGTAATTTTTCCAGGGTTTCCCAGATTCCCCAATCCTCTCAGTAAAGGCTAGTATCCCAAGTTCAGAATAGAATCACTGTGGTAACAGAGTTAAGATAGGATACTGCTGTTGACTTTCATAAACTGGCCTATTTAACACCGGTGACTTGAGAGTGTATCATGGCATTAAAATTATTTTCACTTAAAATTTGTGTCTTTTTGCAAAAGGGTTTTACAAAGAAGAAATGAAGATATACTACTGTAAATAATATATCATTATACTCCTGGAAGGCTAAAACAATCAAATATGCACAAATATTTTTATAAGCCAAATTCTAAAGAATAATTCTATTAAAGTGACATTTCTAGAATTATAACTTGAACTAGAAGATGAGTCTCTGAAATACTAGTGTACATCAGGCTGATTTCTTGAAAGCACATAAAAATGACAGATATTCTGAGGTTTGACATTTCAAAAAATAATTCAGGTATTATACAGGATTGTTGTTGTTCTTAAAAAAAAATTCCCTCTGACATTCCCAATTTGACAGGAAACTTAATACGGTTCTTATTTTAAGAAGATAAAAAAAAAAAAAAGGCAACTAGACTCCAGTTTTACTGTCAGAATTTAAGAGGGATGTTGGAAAAACAGCCCACAAGCAAGTGTGAGACATAATTGTAAACTTAACAGATGCCTGACAAATCCAATTCCAAAAGATGTTATTCTTATAGATTTCAGAGTACAGACATAACATATAGTATTTTTATTGTCAATGATTTTTAAAATCAATTAATGTACTTTCCAAATATAATGAATTCATACAAATTAGTTATACTACTGTCTTCCTAATTTCTTTCTTTCTTTTTTTTTTTTTTGAAATGGCATCTTATTCGGTCACCCAGGCTGAAGTGCAGTGGCATGATCTTGGCTCATTGCAACCTCCACCTCCCGGGTTCAAGCGATTCTCCTGCCTCAGCCTTCCAAGTAGCTGGGATTACAGGTGTGCACCACCATGCCTGGCTAATTTTTGTATTTTTAGTAGAGATGGGGTTTCACCGTGTTGGCCAGGCTGGTCTCGAACTCCTGACCTCAAGTGATCACCCGCCTCAGCCTCCCAAAGTGCTGGGATTACAGGCATGAGCCACCACGCCCCTCCTGTCTTCCTAATTTCTATTTGATACCTTGTAAGCAAGATTACTAAGTAGAACCTTGATACAATGTATGAATTAACCAAATATTTTAATTAGCCAAATTCTCATCTAATAATGTATTAGAAATACTAAAACATTATATATTTTATTTATGTATTCAGCTTTTTAAAAAGGCATCTATAAGAAAGCACACTAATGAGATATATTAACAGTTAAAAGAGTGACTTCCAAATAATTTCCTGAACCTGTGCTAAAGTATACATATACTATATGAAACCAACTTATTTACATATCCTAAAGACTAAAGGTATAATTGATACTCTTGGTATTCCAAAAGATGACCCTAAAGCACAGATAGTGACATGCTCACCAACTTTCAACAAAGATAAGCCAAAATGGATTTTCAATTAACTTTCACTTAGGATAATTATTTTCCTTGATCATCCCAGTCTTCAGAGATGTTACTGTAAATGTTATTGTAAAAAAAAAATAAATTCATAATGCTGATTTACCCCAATGATACTAGATAAGGAATTTCCTAAACTAGATGAACTATAAATTATTTATGTAATAAAGGCACATAACCATACTCCCTCCACAATCTCTCTTTTGCAGATTTCAGTACCCCAGAAAACTATGAATAGAAAGATGTGATTGTAATAGTCACTAGATTTTGTTCCTTGTTAATAACTGCATTTTCAAATATTTTGTAGACTGAAACTAGTATTAGAAATGTTTTAGAAAGGTCAGTATTCACGATTAATGTAATTGAGACAATAGTATCTACTATTCCTCTAGACTTTTAATCACGTTTTATTATCATCTCAAGATACATTTATTATCATCTCAAGATAATCCTTTTCAGTTATCACCAACTGTATTTATTTGTTCTGATGCTTCACTGGCTAAAAGATCAGACTGCTTATTACAACAATGAATGTTATTCTTTCGTTTTCCTCAACAATGCCTGGTTGCACAACATATCTGCACCATTTGTAATTCTGCCCCTTTTTCTCCCAAGTGCTCAGAGTCACATTATTCATTAGATTCAAACCAAAGACTGTACAACTATAAGAGATTTCCAAACAATCAGGAGGTATACATAGTACATGTACATAGTACAACCATGTAAAATAGTTTTCCAGCAGTGTCCTTAATGTTTGTCTTTTTCCCTTTGCTTACAGTTGCCTCTATATAGGATCAGATTTTCAGTTTGCACTGAGCTCGATGGATTTGTGCTACAGTGAAAAGCATAGCTAAAATGGAATTAGAGATTACTACTATCTGTTGTCAGTGGTATATTTTAAAACCTAATTTTGGGGATCTTGATTTGCCATGTAGAAACATGTCAAAAAGGGGTAACAACTGAACTTTTCCTTTCCCGTCAGCCCCATACCCAACTAAACTCTACCTTCTAATTCTTTTCAAAGCCTTTCATTTCTTGTTTATCCCCACTACCCAACATTTTTCCTCAACTACAGACTTTTGACAGCTGTATCCCTCATTTAGACTTGTCTCCTTTCAATCTAGTGTCCAGCAAACGCAATCTTTAGAAAACACTAGTCAAATTTGGTCTCCTAATCCCCCTTATGGCTACCCATTATCCTCAGAATAAAGCCAAATTTAGTAACAAGACCCGTTAGATCCTTCATGATTTACCTCCAGCCTACCTTCTCAGTCTCATTTCTCAACACACACCAGCTTGACTAAATCAGCTTCCTCAATATGTCTCTCTCTCCACAACCTTATTCATATTGTCTTCTCTGCCTGGTATACTCCTCTCTTGACCCCTTCTATCTTCAGTTGATTAACTCCCACTGATTCTTTACGTCTCAGTTTAGATGTCACTTTCCCCAGAAAGTCTTGACTCATCCAGGTTAGGTGCTTTTCGTATCAATTCTCCTAGTACCCTGTGCTATCTCCACTTATCACCCTGCCTGTTCATCAGCCTCCTTGACTGACTTCTTCATGGACACAGCCACCATGTCTTTACACACTTCTTTTCATTCAAGAAAACCTACAAGAGCCTAGCACATAATGAACACTTAGCAATTTGCTGAGTAATGAATGGCCAAGAAACTGAATGTGGTAGGTCTGAGTTTCTCAGCCATATTTATTACTACCAATGATTCTAAGAGGGAACCGAGAGGGGCACACTTGATTCCCCTAGGGGTTTTCCAGAACACAGGCTGATACAAAATAAAGGTAGTAGATATCTGAATATTATTCTTAGTCTCGTGAATGGAAAAAGTTTATCAAACGTACAGCTGTATCTTTTTAGCTAGTGACTTAACATGACTGAACTAAAGAGATAAAATAAGAAAAATCCCATTCATCAATGCTTTCTTTTGACTGTACCTCTAATACTTCACTTCCCAGAGATCAATAAAATGAAAATACTACTCAAGTTTCTTAATTTGCAAAAACAATAGATTCTACTTATCTAACACTTCCTAAGCCTCAACATCTATGCTAAATACTTTTTAAATTAAATTTTCATAACAAAACCATAAGGTAGAGGAATTGTTAAAATCCTCATTTACTAATAAATAATCTTGGCACAGAGTTTGAACTCAAATCTGACTGCAGAGCTTAAGCTCTTAATTGCAACATCATCAACCTGGTAACTCTCAACTTGGTAACTCTGTCTGGTCTGCTATATAATAATTCTGGAAAGGCAGGGAGTTCAAATTTAGACTCTGCTGATAACTTCTACTAAAAGTACATGTGAAATAAATACCTGAGGATCTTTCTATAGGTCAAAAATGGCAAGAGGTTTCATCTTACATGTCAACTCTAAACAGCCTGGAATGATTTTCAGTGCTTCACTGACAGCAATGATCAGTTCCAAGGAAAAGACTGCAATGATAGTGAGGAGTGAAAGCCATAGTCTTACCGAGGCTCATTTTAAGTAACTTGATTCTGTTTCTGGATATCCTAAACCTGCGTCACATTTCAATACCAGACAGTGACTTATTAATTAGGGAAATGTCTCTCCTAAAAAAACTATTTGATGACATACTCTTAGTATGTTTATTAAGAATAATTTTTTAATTGCCATATAAAGTCTTTGCATCTCCTGTAAAGCCAATGCTTGAAAGTTTGTTCAACAGGTGATTTAATGACCATTGCACAAATAAGCCCAAGGCAAATTCTTCTCATATTTTTGTATTACTGAAAAGTTTTTTTCTCTTTCTCTCCTCCCTTTATCAAACAATGAGAATAATATTAATAGAACATATTGTTTCCCTTTCTGCCTTCATTCAGAATCAAATATAGTATTCAATTATAATATCAGTTCAAATTTTAGGTACTTTTCTTTGCTCTTATTACGTTTTAATTTATAATTTCATTAGTCCAATTACACAAGGGTCACATTACAAATTTTCAAATAATTTTGAAAGTGTATAGGACATAAATTATAAATGAATTCAGTCTTTATTTTGGAGTGGGAAGGATTCAGGCATGATCCTACTTAGGCTGTCATATTAGTCCATCATATCATGTGTCAGTTAATATTACAAAATACATGAAGTCAATGAAAATACTATTCTTTGTTTTACCTATGTATTTCCATATTACTAGAAACCTATTAAGTTAATCACTTATTGAATATTAGGATGAAGTCAGATGTAGTCTCAGTACGCTGAAAACTCTTAGAAATAATGAGAAACGAGCAATGTTCAAACATCTCTGTGAAAACATGTGAAACAATAAACGTGAAGTAGTGAAATAATGAATGAATAATGAAATTCATTCACCCTTTGACAGTCCAAAGGAATCCCACGAGCCACCTCAAGGAATCACATAAGAGTAAGAAGAGGCTAAGAAAATAAATCTGGTAATGGTACAGAAATGGTAGGAAAATTTTCTAATAGTGCCTTAATTGTTACACTGAGCAAAAACACTTGCACACATACACACAAACTTAAAAACATGTAAACATATACAGATACATACAAAATATAGTTTGTGTTATGCAAATAGAATATATTTGCTGAATTAGCTTTTCTAACTATATGAATTGAAGTCATAAAAATTTTTACAATTTAGACACTCTTGCCTCTAAGTTCTTCACCCTAGACTTTTATAGATCTACTCAAATAAGTCTACCACACATTACTGAAAATTCCATAAACTGCAAAATTCTACAAAAGTACTCCATTATATAATTTAAATTACCTCTAAAATTTAATGATGAGAAAAACGTGAGGGCTCATAAGATTTAATCATAATTTAATTTTTAGAACTCAAATCAAGAAAGAATAGCACCCAGAGTACAGAATCAGTTGATTAAATATATACACTAAGAAAAATGCAAATTTGATAAAATGGCAAATTATTCAAGTGAAAATATGTAAAGAAAAAAATGAAAATGTAAAAAAAATTCTAAATTGAAATGTACTGGGATAACATTTGTTATCTCACTTACTTTAAGCTGGCTTTTAGATTACCTTAAACCGATATTTTAAAAGACAATACGAGACTCAGCAATCTTTCCCTATTTCTACAATATACATAAATGATTAAAATTTATGGGGCAACGGAGGGCAGAATATATATAGTAGCGGTCTCTAAGTGTATAAAAAAGGTGAAAAGAAACAAATCATAAATAAGGGACTGCTTTGAATTTATCTAAAAAGCCATACAATTTATTGAGGGGAGTATTTAATAAACACTTCTTATTAAAATTTCCATCTGATATTTTCTATAAGTACAAACAAAACATGTATTATAAAAATTAGGGTCATGTTCGTTTGAACAATTAATCAGAAAGTACATTCTGAGTACTAAGGATGAAAAAAGATATTTAACTGATTATGTTTGAAGGAGGCAAAGTCAATGAATGGGAAAAAATACAAAAATGTTCTATTAATTTAAGCATTAAAAAGACTGATCTTATTATTGGAAAGTCAAGTTTAATACCTATTTCAAGCATAATACCGTTTGTTTTTCTAATCTGCTATATGACTTAAATATTGTAGCATATAGTTGCAAAAATGAACAAAGGAAAAATCTTGGTATTCCTGATGGTCTTTCTAGACCACGTTAATTTTGGTTTTTCTGGTTAAATAACAAAGGAATAGAATTATGGATAGAGTAGTTCAGCAACAAATTTTCCATTAAGATATGAAATCATGCCATGAGTTCCAAAAAAAAGGGTTAGTTGTATAAATCTGGGTAATAATCACTCATGCAAAAATCAGAAAATACCTGTACCGAGCCACCATGTCTGTCTGCTGCAAGGTGAGCTCTCAAATGGTGGGGATTTGCCTGCTGGGAGTCCCAAGCTGCCCTGTGGTCTGCCGACTGCCATTTATTTAATGCATATGGCATGCATGGAAGAAGAAAAACCCAATATGTTAAACATTTTATCCTCATAATATATAAAACAAACGTATAAAAGGAAATTTAAAATACCCTTACTATTCTGAATCATGGTGCAGTTATCTTTGTATACAGAATGTGGAGTGATTTTAATTAAGTTGCCAAATTGTGTAATGATCAACAATAAAAATAAAATAGAACCATAAAATTTTAGAAGTAAAAATACTTTAGAAATCACAGACTCTACCCTCTAGCTTTATAAATGAACTAATAAAGAACCAGAAAGGTAAAAATGCCATGACCAAGAAAGAACTCCAAATAAATCCTGGGCACACTAGAAGTCCACCCACTATATTTTTACACAGTAGATGTCATCACTGGTTTTCTGATGAGGAGCTATTTTTAGCAAGGTACAAATGATGGCCCTTAAATAACTGTACCTGAGATTCTAAAAATATTTTCTCTCTTGCTTAGTCCCCCATTTCTGATTCTAAGGATAATATGAGAAAACAGAAAAGTTCTTTGAAAAGGGAGAAGCACTATACAGAATACTATGAGAATATGACAAAACAATTTTTTTTCTAAGTGATAATCCTACATATATGAATCTCTCTGCTTCCTTGATCTCCTTTTATCTGGTTCAAATTAAGGAACCCATGTCTATGAAATAATCTGAAAATTCTTGATGTTTTTAGATCCCTTGGCAAATATGCATGGCAATAACAAACATCATAATCTACCAGTAAAATTAAGAGAAGTTTCTTAATAGGGGACAACTTCTGTTTCAGGAAAATGTGGACAACACTAATAAAAAGTAGGGAGAAGAATATACTATTTAAACTTTATTACATGTTTGGTTCTGAATTAGCTGCTTTATATATTACCATATTTTGAGGTAGATATTATCATCCACTTTTACTGATGAAGACAGTGAGACATTAACCACTTCCCCACAGTTACAGACCTACCAAGGAGTACAACAGGAATTCCAACTCAGAGCATAATGCTCTTCCAATAATACTACCTAGCTCCTTACGAAAATTAAATATATTCTAAAGCCTTCAGTACTCTTTTCTTTCTTTTTCAAACAAAGTCATGAAAATCTTGCCACAAAGTGCCAAGCATATTGGAGTATGGGGAGCCTCAAGCATATTGTTGGCCAGAACAACCTTAAGGGGAGAGATGTAAAATTCAAGTAGACACATGAATACATGTTCTGGCACTAAGCTTCCTAAATTGTACAATGCAAAATTACATACTCTGTGGCATAAAGTATGTCATCAAAACTATGACAGTTCTATAATGTCTTTTCGTTAAACCCTCCAAATCCATAACCAGAATTAAGCAGATTTGTAGCTTAAGTTGAAATCAAATCAGATGAAGTCAAGTCTAGACAAGATCAAAGAATAAAAATGATGCTAAAATTGAGACAAACATCTAGGGCAATGCGCAATATTTTGGGGTCATGGAACTCTCTAAGAATATAGTAAGAGCTACACGCCCTCTCCTGAAAATAAACAATTACATGTACCCAACAATTTCAGGATCCCCTCAACTTAACTCATTTATCTAGGGGCATTACAAAGGTTTAAGTCACGTGACATAATCTATCTTCCTCTGGGATTGTGAACTGTGGGTTTCTTGTAGAACTTAAGCTGCTTAGTGGTCTAGAGATATTTAAGAAGTTTTTTTTAAATATACAACTTTTCTATCATGATGAAAGTGTGTATATTCACATCCCAAATTCAATATATAAGCCTATCCTAAAGAATTGCCTAAATATTATATATATGTGTGTGTGTGTGTGTGTGTGTGTGTATATATACACACACACCCACCCTACATTTAGTGCAAGGACTGGACAAATGAAACATGGTTCCTACCCTCAGTGAGCTTATACTCTAGTTAGCAAGACATGTCTGAAAGATGTAGAAAACTAAAAGTCTAAAACATTAGATTTATAATTTAATTCAACAATAGAGGAATTTCACTTATTATAATACCTAACAGCTCAAGTGGAGAATTTCAAAGAATACCGTATTAATCTTCTTCCAAGTACATTCAAGGAATTAACTCTGGTTTATAAAACACAAACTAAGTCTCAACTTCTGAGCCATTTCTTTCTTTATACAGAATCTTTTCACAGCACTCCAGCTATCAACTAATTTTAATTTATATATGAAGTAATTTATGTATGAGATGCTTTATAGTACCAATTTTTCTAAGTCAAAAATTTAATATTAATCTTTTAAAACTGGCCATGCTATATATATATATATAGCATAATATTGTTAAACACTCCCTAAAATGTAGCATTTTATTTTGCTATGATTTTTAACAAGTGGTGTTCTTTCTTTTGATTGTCATCCTGTTTTAATCTTTAATCTTCACTTAAACTTTGATGGGATAAACAATATAAAAGTCAAAAAGGACGGCATACTATCCTTCTCCAAAATGGATTGTAAGAGAAAATTTCTAGACACTCCTTAACTCAGTGTGATAGTGAAATTTTTAAGTCAAAGATGTCTTCGATAAAACTTTTTTACCAAAAAAAAGAGAAAGAGAGAGAGAAAAATTAAAACATTGCCCAAAAATTTCAACAGCTTTCTATTCCTTTACCTGGCCAGGAAACATGAACTCGCTACTTGATCAACTTCTATGCCTTATCTCAGACTGACTCTCTACTCCCTCTCTAATCCATCTCTACCTACCTCCTGCTCCAAACAAATTTGAACCGCTTGCTATTCCTCAAATTCTCTATTTTTAAACTTCTGCTTCATATTTTATATTATTCACTCTCCCCAAAATGCCCTTATCTTCATTTCCCTTTAAAAACTCCATTCATTCTTTAGGTTCATGTCAAAAGCTACCTTTTCCATAAAATCTTCATAGAGCCCCACATATGATCTCCATGCTACTTTATTAGTGTTTCATGTAATATAGCTTATTCTCTTTTTAAATATAGCTATTTCTGTATTTATTGTAATAATAATAACAGTAACAGCAGACACAAGAGTTTTGATTCAAAGCTTACTGTATGCTCTAAATTAACATGCATTATTTCCATTTTATAGATGAGGAAACTGAGGCTTTGACAGATTAACTTATTTGCCCAGGGTCAAGCCATATCCATGTATGCCTGATTCTAAAGAATTGAGTGAACTCTTAGCTACAACACTGCTTTTAGACACTGGTGACAAAATCATTCTTAAAGGTTATACAGTCTTCTTTACTTCTGAATTTCTATAATGTGTAGAACAGTAGCTTTACAATAGCAGAAATTCAATAAATAATTTATTGAACTAAACTACAGTTAGAAAGTCCAAGTGTTATTACAATTCATTCTAATAGGGTATCCAAATACTTCCATTCTAACAGAATATCACATATTCCTAAAAGTTTACACTAATTTGTACCATTAATTAAGGATTTATGATTAAACATTTTAATGCTATTATTAAACTAATAAACAGTGAAATTAAGAGAAAATAGATTATCTATTAAAAATATGTATTTTCAATCCTTCAGTCTGTTTTATCTATTGAAGAAAAAAGTGTATGTTTCAATCATGAAAGGAAGGTATTTCATATCTAAAGGGCAGCAAACCTGGTTTTTGGATTGTTGCATCTTATCTCTGTGTTGATGTGCTTCTCTGTTTGATGACAGAGCAGGATCTTGCTGAACTGCACCCACTGGAGTAGGCTACAATACAATAACAATTGGTATCAATACATTCCATTTTAAAATTCTTATTTAAAATCATTTAGCTGCTTAAAAGAATTAAGGAAAAAAACAAAAGACTGTTAAATAAACTAAGGCTTTAAGTAAAGGCATCATTATCAAAATATGTTGTTAAAGCTAAGAAGGTAAAGCAAAAAGAATATACCTACTTTTTAAAGTGTTTTTAAAATATTCAAATTCTTTATAAAGTACTTATTTTTACATCTACAGAACACTTAATGCTGCCATTACTTTTAGGCTACATTTTCATATCAACATGATAAAAATGTATATGTTTATGCCTCTCATTTCCAAAGCAAATGTATACATAGAATAAACTTTTAAGAAAATTAAAAGAATAAAAAAACTAATAAAATTACTTATTTCCAATATTTTGACTTGAAGAGACTCATACAAATTTTAATTTTCATCAAGGGATTGAAGTATTAAATTAATCATGAGAATATTACACAAAAAAGAGTATATTTGACATTAAGAACTAAATCAGGATGAAAAGTTAAAAGTAACTCTTCATGCTAAAAGGCAAAGAATCCAGATGTAGGGCTTCTGAAAAACTCAAAGAACACTAGTACGGCACTACCTGCAGAAATGTCCCTTAAAAAACAATAAAATGAATCCTTTAAAACAACTATTTGTTCTCAACTCTTTTCAATTGAAGATATTGTACTATTAAAAAGGCAACAGATACTGTAAGTAATATATTATTATATAGAATACTCACCAACTGTTTACCAATCCAGTCATATTCATAATCAAACATATATCCTTTTCGATCAAACAAGTCAGTAAAAAGCTTTCTTAAGTAGTCATAGTCTGGTTTTTCAAAAAAATCTAGCCTTCTTACATAACGAAGATATGTTGCCATTTCTTCTAGAAATAATATAAAAATTATTTGGACTATACTTTTCTTTAATACTCAGTAATAAAATTAAGTATCTAAAAGCACATTGTATTATATAAAAACACTTGAAAAGTAACAAAATTACATTGCAATTTAAATTTTTCTGAGTTTAATTACAACAAAATAAAAAAGAGGAAAAGAAGGAAGGGAATAGAGACACAAGAAAAATGGGAGGTTTAGTTTAACAACCACTATTTTTGCTTCATTTCATTAGGAAAAGCTAAAATTTTCATTTTTATAAGATTATTTTTAATATTTGGTAGTATGAGAAGTTGAATAAGCAGTTTAATAATGCATGATTAATCACAAAGCATCATATTCAGTTTATAAATTTAAAATTTTATTTAAAATACCGGTGAGAACTGATTTATATGAAAGCATCTGTATTGGCTTGCTGGATTTCCTTTAGAATCAGTGACATAAACCAACTAACTAATAGAGAATTCAAATTCCTAACCTTGGCTTTGAGCAGTATTCTAACCAATTAAGCTAACAAAGGAAAGCTAAAACAAATCTCAAAAACATAACACAAGAGGACAGTGTAAGTCTTCTCTTAATTTCTGGTCATATATTTAACAATTATTTGGCGATATACAAATCTCTGCATGCTATTATAATTCCAAAATGTATTAGATACATGTATCTAATACATGCAAAAACAAACAAACAGACAAACAAATATATAAATATAAAACAATGGGCAAAATGGTGAGCAATTAGTAAAGCAGGGCATTTCACCATCAGGGCACAGAAAATCACTACAGTAAGAGATGGTAAGTTACACCTAGCATTCACAGGCAGCCCCAGCCAACAGGAAAAAGATCACACCCAGCACAATGAGGCAACAAAAGTGGTGTGCAGTGACCTTCTTTAGGTGGTGACTCTCCCACTATTCCACTTTCTAGCTAAATACCTGGCTAATTTGATTTGGCAACCCCATTTTTCCCACCTTTATATAGGCTTCCTTAATGACAACTACCCTATCTGCCTACACTAAACTGCTAGTACTATTAACCGACATTTTAAAAAATCTACTTCTAGATATTATAGCAAGAAAGGAAAATATATAATTAAAGTTTGCTGTCAATGAATAATATAAACAAGCTTGAGAAAGAGCTACTTTTGTTATGTTGATAATATTATTATTACATTAATAACGCCAGCATTATACAGGAGAACTACGGAATACTAAAGTGAGATAGGAATTCCGTATTTTATCTTCAAATTTAGCTCTCTTTTCACTTAATGTGGCTGCACAAATAAATCACAGTCATTATCTTAATATACTAACAAGTTATTCTTATTCCTTAATTGATGTAGAAATCTTAAGTAAATTTTTTTTGGCTTAATTTGAGTTGCCATAAATCTACTTGAAAGCAAAATTATTTTCATAAATGCATACAGCTCCCCAATATAAAATTAGCCCCAAACTAGTGAGGTCAGTAAGGTTTTACTGGCCTTACTTAATTTAAGTTTAATTTGAAAACTAAACCAAATCATACTTCACATACCTCCTTTGAACTTGACATTGAGACCCAAATGACTAACACTGAATACCAAAACTTTGTAACTGGCATTTCTTAGCAAAAATTTTAACTCATTAAAAGTATATCACTAAAGAAAATATTACTTCAGCTGGTAATGATCAACACTATTAACAGACAGGATTTTCTTCTATTAATACCATTTGCAAAGCAAATACACAAAGTGTCCCTGTGGGTTCGGCATCAAATGCTGACAACCTTTAAATCATATTTTTAGCTCTTTTTTTTTTAAGCATAGAAAAAAATATGTATAAACTTAAGCAATAAAAATTAGCATTTCTAGTTTTCTGTATATAATGTATCAACCTCACATTATTCATTACCTGGAAAATTTTCACATAACACTTCTATTGGTGTAGCCCGTTTTGTATCTCCAATTTTCTGATACCTCTCCTTTAATGTGTCAGCCTAAAACAGAAAAAAAAAATCTTGAGAATGTGGTAATTTAAAAATTATTTAGCTGGGACTGCACACGGTAGCCTGTAATCACAGAGCTTTGGAAGGCCAAGGCAGAAGGAATGCTTGAGCCCAGGAGTTTGAGACCAGCCTGGGCAACACAGGGAGCCCTGATGCCTACTTACAAAATAAAATTTTAAAATATGAAAACTGTTTAGTTGGAAGACAGGACCTTAATATCTTAATATTTTATGAAATTCAATAAAGAAACACAAAAACAATTACCTTTAAGCCTTGCCAAGGAAGACTGCCTCTCAGAAAATACATGAACATATGACCTAAAGCTTCTAAATCGTCTCTTCTACTTTGTTCTGAAATACAAAAGAAATATAAATTTCACTTTTCTCTAACAGTTAAGAATGGAAGAATGGAGAGTTTGTTCTTTCATTATGTATAAATTAATTTCCAAAAGTTCAACATATAAATACAAAATACAGATCTAGTAACTATAAGTGATAAAATTATATCTATATAAATAATGTTTTTACATTAAGATTATTGAGCATCTTTAAAATATTCCATTATAATTTTTAGATGCTGTTAGAGATTTATTTATCTGCTTAGATGTCTATTCATGGAAGTACAGGCCACGGGGAAAAGAGTTCCATGGTCAGAGTCACTGTATACTACAGCTCTGTCTTAAAGATTCAGAAGGTAACGTATTAAAACTTCTGAGAAATCTAGAATTTAAAATGTTTAACTTTTTCAACCCTGCATTTCCTAAAGTTATATGAGCACAAAACTCCCATGATAAATACTCTCCATTAAATTAAACACGATTATGGAGTATTGTGTGTAATATATTTTAAGAAAAACTTGTGTTTGACACATACCAACATTAATAACCCCTTCACTATCACAAAAAATACTACTTGAACAAACTGTCATTTTCAAGTTGTTGTTGTAACAAAATGTCATTTAGCACATAAGTGAATAAAGATTACAGACTAAGGCTCAGGGAGATGCTTATAAATACTTGCTGACTGAATGATATTTCAATTTTTCTGTCACTGAAGTTAAATACTTAAGATTTCTTGATGTTTCAAAATAATACCAAAATGCTAACTACCAATGAGAAAATACTTTAATAAGAGGATGTCTGTTTATGTGCAAGATGTTTTATCCACATGAACAATCATACTATCTAGGCAGTACTTAATGCTTTCAGAAAAGCAAACTTTTCAAAGTATGGCTCTGAACTAGGATGAAGGGTCAGAAAAGGTTTTGATTTTTACTGTGTAAACATTCTATACTTGTTGATATGGTTTGGTTGTGTTCACACCCAAATCTCATCTTGAATTCTCATGCGTTGTGAGAGGGACTCAGTGGGAGGTAATTGAATCATGGGGGCAGGTCTTTCCCATGCTTTTCTCCTGATAGTGAATAAGTCTTATGAGACCTGATGGTTTTATAAGGAGTTTCCCTGCACAAGCTCTCTTTGCCTGCCACCATCCACATGAGATGTGACTTGCTCCTCCTTGCCTTCTGCCGTGACTGTGAGGCCTCCCCAGCCATGTGGAACTGTAAGTCCATTAAACCTCTTTCTTTTGTAAATTGCCCAGTCTCAGGTATAACTTTATCAGCAGCAGCAGCATGAAAACAGACTAATACACTTGTTTTCAATAACACTTGTTATGATTTAAAGATACTATGTTTGTGTTTTTATTTAATCAATATATATGCTTCCACCAGACTGCAAGTTGCAGAAGTATACATCAAAATTGACAGTCATTAAGGCTACAAGATTGGAAGACTAGAGAAGAGATTTCAACTTCCCATTTCGCATGCTAAAAATGTGATATAACGGAGAGGTTTTTTTATTTCTTGTACTTTTTATTATAAAATGTAAGTATATGCTATTAAAAATAGCAAATTTTCCAAAATAAGTAGTGGCCTTAAAGTCCATCTACATCCACTAATGAAAGTGGGGATGAGAATATGAAAAAAACTAGTTATAACTTTTATAACGAAAATTTTACTTCATTAGATTCTCGTAGTCCTGAGGGTATAGTTTGGTAAGTTTTAACAACAAACACACCTGCATAACTACCACCACAATCAAGAGGCATTTCTAATGCTCCAAAATGTCTCTTGCCTATTACTCTCCCCCAACCCCCACAATACCATCAGCCTCAGGCAACCACTTATCTGCCTTCATCACTACAGATTAGACAGGTGCACATGAATGGAATCATACAGTATAGATTCGTGTCCAAATTCTTTCACTTACTATGTTTTCAGGATTTATCCATGTTGTTACGTGCAACCATAGCTCATTACTTTTTAATGCTGAGTAGTATATTACAATGTGTTTATTCATCTGTTGACAGACATTTGAATAGGTTCCAGTTTGGGGCTATTGTGAATAAAGCTGTTATGAACATTCTTCTTGTACTAGTCTATGTTGACATACATTTTCATTTATGTTGGGTTAATATCTAGAAGGGGGATTGCTACATGATGTTGTAAGTATAGGTTTAACTTTATAAAAAACTTCTATATGATTTTCCAAAGGGGTTATGTCATTTCACATTTCTACCAGCAATGTATGGGAGTTTCAGTTGCACCTGTCCAACCTCTGTATGGTCTTTTAAATTTTAGCCATGCTAGTGGCTATGAAGTATAAGCAGTAATAAATCCTTTCAGAAAAGCAAACTTCAAAGTATGGATTAACTGACTTAATTTGTATTTCACTGGTGACTAACACTGAACTTTATTTCATGTGTTTGCCTGTTTAAAAAATTGGATTGTCTTACTAAAAAGTTGTAATAGTTCCTTGTATATTCTGGACACAAGTTATTTTCAGATATGTTTTGCCAATACCTTTTCCCTTCAAGAAAACAGCTTGCTATTTTTTTGTTTTCTTAAGAGTATGTTTAAAAGAAATTTTACATTTTGATGAAGTCCAATTTATCAGGGGTTTTTTCCTCTTATTTTCTATACTTTTTGATGTCCAATCTAGGAAATCTCTACCCACAAGATCACAAAGATTTTATCCTGTTTTTTCTTCTAGAAATTTTATAGTTATGGTTCCTACATTTAAACCTATTACTCATTTTGAAGTAATTTTTTTTTTTGCTTTTGGTGTGGAGTAAGGATTTAGATATATTTTTTTCAATACTAATATCTAGCTACTCTCATATAGTTTCTTGGCAAAACTATCCTTTCCCCTCGAGTTGCTTTTGCACCATTCTCAAAAATCAATCGGCCATCTATGTATAAGTCTATTTCAGACTCTGTATTCTGACCAACTTATCTGTATCTGCCTTCATATCAATACCACCCAAAATAAACAGAAGGACAAAATAATGACAAATGAGGAAATCAATGACCAATGGACAATCAGTAATGAAAACCAATGAAAACAAAAGCTGGATTGGAAAGTTCAATAAAATCATTAATCCTCTCAGCAGGCTAAAAGAAAGAAACACAAATTACCAATAACAGAAGAAACAGAAGAGGCATCAGAACAGATCCCACAGATATTAAAAGAATGATAAAAGAATACTACGAAACAACTTACATGTAAATTAAACAACTTACATGAAATGGACAAATATCTTGAAAGCTACTAATAACTAAAACTGCCTCAAGAAGAAAATGTGAATAGCTCTGCATCAATTAAAGAAATTAAATTTATTATTTAAAAACTTCCCAAAATACAATCCAGATAGCATCGCTACTGAATCCTATTAAACAGTTAAAGAATAATACCAATTCTACATAAACCCAGGATTGGAAGAGTTCCCAACTCACTGCATTACCCTGTTACCAACAACAGATAAAGACATTACAATTAAAGGAAACTATAAGAAATATTCCTCATAAACACAAACATGAAATCCTTAAAAAGATAATACCTCATGACTAAGTAAGGTTCATTCTAGGAATGTAGGTTTGGTTTAACTTTTAAAAATCAATCAATGTAATTCGCCAAATTAATAGAATAAAATATAAATCATATTGTCATCTCAGATACAGAAAAAGTACTTGACAAAATCCAACACGTATTAATGATTTTTAAAAAAATCTCAGCAAACTAGGAATTACAAGCCAACTTCATCCTGACAACAACTACGAAAAATGTCAACTAACATAATTCTTAAATGATAAAAGACACTCCTAAGATCAAGAACGAACAAAGATGTCCACTCTTACCCTTTCTATTCAGTATTGTACTGGAAGTTCTTGCCAGTACAAAGAAGCAAAGAAACAAAATTAACAGATATTCAGATTGGAAATGAAGAAATAAAACTATTGCTCTTTGCAGACAACAGGATTGTATATGTAGAAAAATCCAAATAACCTACAAAAGGTCTATTACAACTAGTAGGTAAGTTTTAGCAAGGTTACAAGATATAAGGTTAATACATAAAAATCAACTGGGGCCAGGCTCGGTGGCTCACACCTGTAATCTCAGCACTTTTGGGAGGTCGAGCCAGGTGGATAGCCTGAGACCAGGAGTTCAAGACTAGCTTGGGCAACATAGAGAAACCCTAACTTTACAAAAAAAAATTTTTTTTAATTAGCTGGTGGCTGGGTGTGTTGGCATGCACCTGTAGTCCCAGTTACTAGGGAGGCTGAGGTGGGAGGATTCCTTGAGCCTAGGAGGATGACAATGCAGGGAGCCATGGTTGCACCACTGCATTCCAGCCTGGGTGACAGAGCAAGACCCTGTCTCTACAAAATAAAAATAAAAATCAACTGGATTTCTGGGCCGGGCGCGGTGGCTCACGCCTGTAATCCCAGCACTTTGGGAGGCTGAGGCGGGCTGATCACCTGAGGTTGGGAGTTCGAGAGCAGCCTGACCAACATGCAGAAACCCTGTCTCTACTAAAAATACAAAAAAAATTAGCTGGGCATGGTGGCACATGCCTGTAATCTCAGCTACTCGGGAGGCTGAGGCAGGAGAATCGCTTGAATCTGGGAGGCGGAGGTTGTGGTGAGCCAAGATCGCGCCATTGCACTCCAGCCTGCGCAACAAGAGCGAAACTCAGTCTCAAAAAAAAAAAAAAAAAACTGGATTTCTATACTCACAACGAACAAGTGAAAATTGAATTTTAAAACCAATACCTTTACAACAGCATTAAAAAACAGGAAATATGTAAGGATACATTTATCAATGTATATGCAAGACCTATATATAATATGCATATAGTTTAAAAAACTTAAAATACTATACATGTAAAAGTATGCTGAGCCCTACAGTAAGACGCTCTGTTATGGAGAGGAACTCAATATAAAAGGCACTTCCTCTTTGAATTCTATCCAAGGGGAAGCTTTAGTCACATAGTGCCAATAAGCCACGGTCATAAGGTGATCTCGCCTACATGGTTCTATCAGAGAACAGTATTAGTCTCATAACCCACAAAGCATTTCAAAATTCAAGCCATAAATATTAGCTAGTAAAACAAATCTATTACTGAAACTCAGTCTGAAATGCTCTTTACCCTCATAATTTCTTTTTTTGTGTTCTTTCACCAACTGACATATCTGGAAATAAATTTTACCATGTAGTAAGTTACAGAAATCACAGGAAGGCTTTCTCTTTGAAACACAGTAACTAAAGAACACCCCCTAGGGTCTTTAACAGTTCTTTTACATGAAAAAAGTCTCCCAACAGTAATCTGGCCCCTATTAAAGCCTGTTCACATTTTTTAAAGCACTTAACTACAAAGGCCTGTTTGAAAGCGAATGTTTTTCCACAAGGCCAAGAATCATTATAAGAACTCTTGCTATGAGCACCTAAGGAAACCAGAAAGTGATTATTTTTCTTTAAAATAGGTATCATTAAAGATTATTTTAAATAGGTCTTGAAACCAATTAAAAAGGTACATAGTCCATTAAAATTTTCCTCTTCAGGAATATATGTACCATAAAAAATAATCAACACGTATTAAGAGTCTGTGTCCATGTTTCATATATACTATCTTTCAAAATTACAGCTACACTGAAAACAGTTATTTGTAATCCCAAATAAGGAAAGTAAAGCTCAGAAAGATTAAGTGACTACTTCAAAACTAGGTACCTAATAAGTGGAGGGCAAGATTTCAGCCCACTTGTCTGCATTTTTTTCATTTTGGAAAGCATTTCATCACTTAATCAATGTTGATTGGAAACCTTCTGCAATGCTTTTCTATTTAAAAATTCTACTCTTATATCTCAACATTATTTATTTTTCTTTAAATCAGATTTCATTCCTCACTTGCCTAACACTGTTTCCATTTCAATTGAAATTTCAATTCAATTTTCAACAAAAAAAATTCCCTTTTTCGTTAACTCAAATTTATCGATGCCTCACACAGAAGCAGGAAGTTTTCTATGATACATGCATATATTTGCAAAAATAAACTTACTACTGCATTTTCTACCATAATGAAAAACAATGAGGCCAAAAGACATGTTGGCTAAGCAAAGCACAGACATGAGAAGACAAAGCCAAGACAGCTCAAACAACAAAAATTCTCCCTGAATAAAGTTTAAATCATTTCTTATAAGTAAAAAAAAGATAAAAATTATCTACTACAAGGAAGAAAAGGTTCACTATATTTCCTTCTTAAATATTAAAAGTTACTTTAGTTGGCACTACCCTAAAAAAAACAAAAATACCTCTTCCTCAAGATTCATTGAGCTCAGTTTTCAAAATTATATAACAAGGATTTTTTTTTTAAAAAAAGAGAAAACAAACCTAAAAAGGAAAAGAACAAAACACAATTATGCAAGACAATACACAGGAACAGTTCACTAATCTAAACACCTAATCTAGTAATATAAACAAAACTTAGAAAAAGTTTTCTGTGCAACTGAACCCAGTACATGCATTCACTTAATTCCTAAAGTTCTCTTGAAATCTAGTTCTCTTAATTTAGACATAATTCTTGTAAGTTTGGTGACAAGGTCAAAAGAAGTAAATCAAAGGTAGAGAAAAGCAAAGTGTTGCCAGCAGTAGCTATACTACACACACTATCAAAAAGTAAGGGACAACACAGGTGAAGGCCAAAAAAAAAAAAAAAAAAAACAAACCCAAAAAACAAAAAGAGAATCTATTACAAAGTATAAATAAAATTGTCTCCAAATTTATTTAGATAAAGATATCCATCCTAACCTTCTCCAACTGATCTTGAGAATATTGCTATATAATAGTAATCATATAAAAAAAACTATACCCTGAAACATCAAGAAAATACCAATTATGTTCATTATACTCTAACAAAAAATTATATAATACATTTTAAACTGTTAAAATATAATTATAAAATGTAAATACATGTTTTTAAACTGCAAAAAAGCTGTGTGAGCAGCTTAAAGAGCAGGCCTCAGAAACTGGAACAATTAACCTAGAAATTAAATTATATGAATCACACCACAGAATGATAGCACAGAAAGAAGGCATTTTTGGAACACCATAATTCTGTGGTTCCTTCTCTCCTATTCAGAGAACTTACCACTTAGAAGCTTGAAACATCATTCTTCTATTAACACTTACAAAGCAACTCCCAACTTATCCCTCAAATCCTAGTTTTTTTATTCTTGAATAATCAATAAAAATTTAAAAATAAAAGATCTGATTTTTATTTCAAGGCTATTCACCAAAGAGAAATAGACATTATTTACTTAATATCAAATGACTTCAACAAGAGAAGACATAAAAGGGAAAAATAGTCATCCAAAGGAAGATTATGAGGTTCAGGGCAGCTAACAAAAGTCTTTAAAAAGATATTAAAAAGCAGACACTTGATCAGATGTGACACAAAAGTAACAATTCAATATGTCAACACTAAAGAAAGTTTTCATGCAAGGACACATGGAAATCCACATCTGTAACATAAAGCTTTATCAAGATTGCATCTTGGACAGAGACTTAAGCAGCTATAAGAAAGGTATAAATGTGAACTGCAACATCTGCCTTCTGAACATAAATAACCTAGTTAAGATCAACAGATACTACAAGAATAAAATGTTAATTCTTATTATGTGATTTTACACTATTCTTCTATATTATTATATTAGGAACATCTTTTTCCTTTTTAAGTCTAAGATAGTGTCAGTCTCCAAAAAGGAAAAATACTTACAAACCCATATAATGTTCCTTTGACCAAACTCTCTATTTTGAAAAGTTCATGTGAGCAAGAAGTCCTTGAGTGCCTAAGAATGAATGAATGGATGGAAAGATGGGTGAATGAATAAGGCTTTAAAAGTAATCACCAAGATCCAGGCAAAGCAGGGAGGGCAGAAATAAGATACGCACAAATTAAAATCACATTAAAAGGTCATGTTTTCTCTGCTCCTTTTCCTTCTTTATCTCTTCCTGACTCCTCACAAAACCAAGTACTCTAAACTTAAAACACCGCTATGTATTCCATATCCAAAGGCATCGCAATTTGCCAAATGCTTTAATTCCTCAGCATCCAAACTCATATTACCTTACTCTTAACTTTTTAAATAGGAATTCATGTAATCTTAGAAACAAAATTTTTTATCTGTTAATATTACCCACCTACTCCTGAGTTTTACATGAAAACTGAGAAGCAGAGTGTTTATAAATGGGGAAAAGTAAACATTAAGCATTCGTTGTTTGCTATACCTGCCAAATAAATACATTTTTATTTTATTCCTGAAAGAGGAGTAAAGAGAGATTATTATAATAGTTCAATCTCACTTCCTAGGTACTGATGACTTTTCCTAACAATGACAAACATATCACACTCACTTCGCCATTTCTACAAATAGAATGCTGTTACATTTACCATTGTTCAGATAAGGAACATTAGGCCCTAAGGAAGTTGTGACTTCATGTCTCACAATAAAATAGTGGTGAACCTTTGTTAGTTGTTATAAAATAGTCTGTTAACAACTCCCGTAAAATGAAAATTTCTCACAGACTCTGAACATGTAAATAAATATAGGTGTGCCTGGTTTTAATTGAAGTCACAACCCCAAAAGTTGTATAGCTACCCAATCATATTTTTAAGTCTACCAGGAAAGTCAGCTATTGAAAGCTACTCCCTGAACATATTAACTGAATAAAACTTGTGTTTCATAATTTTAAATATTTGAAACTTACTTTTCTTAAAAAAAAAAAAAAAACAGCAAATTTACATTTTTCAGGCATTTCAGATGTCTGAAAAGAAAAAAATACCATAAGCCTACCGTCAGGTCAGCTGTTAGGAAAGATGCCACATCCTACTGAGTTATGATTGAGAGGCAGAGCAGGGACATGCTCTATAGAGTAGCTAAAGCTGGGGAGAATGTTTAGAGGAAAAGCTAAGATCAGGATTTGAAAGTTGGATTAGACGACCTCCAAGATTCTGTCCAAATCTGTGATTGTATATTTGAAGGTACTTTTGAGCAGCAGTGATGGATATATACTGATTGGTTCACATTTCTGTCTATCTGTTGTAAGATGTCTAATAGTATCTGAAAGCAGAATAATATCTAAAAGCAGATAATTAAGTTTGTACTTTCTCTGATATGAATACTGAATGTGGCAAATGTAATCTAGAATTGACTTTTTAAGAAACACACTAAGGTAATTCAATAAGAAAGAATACGATATCATAGAAAGAACCTCAACCCCTATCTCACACCATATAAAAAATCAATTCTGATGGAGCACAGATATAAAAGGCTAAAACTATAAAGCTTCTAGAAGAAAGCATAAAATGTAATGAAGGTAAAGATTTGTTTACCTTATTACATGAAGGTAAAGATTTGTTAGAATTCAAAAGGCAATAACCATAAACAAAAAAACTGATAAACTAGACTTCAAAAATATTTAACAGTTCTGCTCATCAAAAGATACCATTAAGAAAATGAATAGGCAAGCAAAGACTGAAAGAAATTACTCATAATGCATATATATGACAAAATAATTATACCCAGAATATATAAAGAACTCTGTAAATTAACAATGAAATGACACACACTTTTCAAAAGAAGATATACAAATAGCCAATAAATACATGAAACAGATCTCAGAAACAATAATCACAAGGAATTAAAAGACTACCCCTTGGCCACTAGAATAGCTACAATGAAAAAGACTGACAACTCTAAATGTTGTCAAGATTATGAAACAAACAAAATTCTCATTCATTACTGATGGAAATAAAAAAAGGTATGAACACTCCTGAGAACAGACAGGCAGTTTCTTATAAAGTTAAATAATACCTGCCATAGGACCAAACTGAAAAATATGCCCACAAAAAGATTTGTAAGAATATTATACAAGTTTTATTCATAAGTCAAAAACTTAATCCAAATATCCATCAACATTCAAATGGATAAGCAGTTTGTGATATGTTTATGCAATGGAATATTACTTAGCATTAAAAAAGAATAAACTACTGATACTTGCAACAACATAAATGAATCTTAAAGACATTATACCCACCAAAAGAAGTTGGATGGTTCTATTTATATTAAGTAATAGAATCAGCAAAACTCATCTGTTGTGATAGAAATCAGATCAGTGATTGCTTCTAGAAAAGGAGGGGAATGACTAAGATGGGTAAAATGGAAGTCTATAGGATAATGATAGTGTTCTAAATCTTGATAGTGTGTGGGTTACATAGTATGCACATTCATCAATACTCACAAATTATATAATCAAATGTTGTATATTTTACCCAATGTAAATTTTACTTCAATAAAAAAAAAACTCTTCAATAAAATAAGAATTACAAATGTTATAATTCTATTAGACTTGCTATATAAAGTGGTATCATTTGGCAATCTGAAACTACTTTCTGAGTATCCTCAGCTTTTAAAAACAAGTAAATATATTGTAAGTAGTGATAGCCAGATTTCTCACTGTTAAAAAAAAAGATACAAATATGGAAAAGGGATGGAATTACAAATATAGAAAAGGGAAATACTATTTTGTACTGACAGACTGAAATTAAAAGTGTATCAGTATAAACTCAAAATTTTTAACAGATATTAACGTATGTCTCTGTGTGTGTGTATACATACGTATATATGTAGGCATATTTCTATGTGTGTATGTATATACATATATGCACAAACATTTCCTAGTTCTGCTGCAGAAAGGGCCTGGCAGTAACAACATACCACAGTAATGAGCATATCCAGTGGCCAAATCTTGGTTTCTAAATACCATTATCCAATAAAAGGATTCAGAACTTCTTGGAGAAAAGGACTGATTATGGGGCTGCAGAAGAGAAACTACAAGATGAGTTTGTTTATAAGAACTTGCTGCACCAAAAGAAAGAAAGTACTCAAAGATTCATGAGAACATGTCAAAAGGACAGAGAAGCCAGCTTGAAGGAGCAACGGGTGGCCAAATCTGGAACCCTTTGGCTATCAGAATAAATAATGATAATGCATTCAATACATTACATTAAATAAGATAAGAATTAATAAGTTCATATAGACATAAGTCAATAACTGGGGGAGAAGGTAAAGCTTCTGCTGACATTAGAATATCAACTGACAAATAAGGAAATGTAAATATTAGAAATAATGGAGTTAGAAAATCATCAATGGATGCTAAATCTAGAGGGCAAAAATCTGATGAGGAACAACATGTTTACATAATCCCAAAATCTAACTACAAGAAACTTTTCAGTAGAGAAATTTGGCAGATATCGTCCAAGCAAGTGATCCCAACATGATGCACTAAGAACACATCACTTCTGTGATATTTGTGCTCAAAATGCCTACCCAAATCTAGTCAAAAAGAAATAACAGACCCAAATTGGAGATATCCTATAAAATAGCCTGTGCTCCTAAAAAATATTAAGGTCATGAGCCATAACGAACGACTGAGGAACTGTTCCAGATGAAAATGATTTAAGGGATATGATAAATATGAATCTGGGTGAAGGAAGAATGCTATAAAAAATCCTGTGAAGTTGATATTGTTTTACTCTTTTTACCAATAAGAAACCCCTTAAAAAGGTTAAACTTGTCCGAAGTCATAGTTAGCATACAGGTAAGCCAGCTCTGCCCACCTCTAAGGTATATGCTGTTAGCATTATACTTATTAGGCTAGTTGCTATTTCTGTGGCTAGCCATATTGGAGAGCTATGGTCTCAATCCAAAATTTCCACATGTACTGAATTCAGTTAAAATTTGGTATTCTCTCATATTTTGTAAGAGAAATGATTAAATGCATCCCCATAACTGTATCAAAGTTGAACACTTCAAGTTATATAAATACAAAAAATACAGTGAATGTAAAGATAGCTGTCACTCATTTACTCTATAGTAACTTACTTTCAAAGAGTTTTATTAAAATATAAGTGAAAGTAAACTCTAGGTAGATGTGATAAATGAAAATTATAATAAAAGCTATTATAATCTGCAAAAACTGAACCATAACAAATAAAAACTCACAGTGTTAGCACAGCTGCTAAGTTCAAACTTCCATACTTACGAAAGGTACACATACCTTTTCCTAAATGTGTGTTTATGCTCATATATCTAGCTGTTCCTGTAAGGCTCTTGTGTTCTCTGTATGGTATGTGTTTCTTTGTCTCCGGATCAATATATTCCTTTGCCAAACCAAAATCTATAATGTGAATAACTTGCTGGGTTTTGTTTCCTGGTCGTCCTATTAAGAAGTTCTCAGGTTTTACATCTCTGTATATCAAGTTCTTTGAATGGACATATTCCATGCGAGAAATCTTGGTTTAAGAAAAAAAGAAGAGAAGTTTTATTTTGGGCTTTGACTAGCCTAAGCAAGTATGATAAAGGCAAGACAGAATGAAAACATACAAAAGAAATAAATCAGAAATTGTTTCAACCCTTTAAAAGTAAAATGATGTCAGCCTATCATTCTTCACATAGCAAATTGCAATTTAAAATCTTTGCCTTTACTGTTATGGTCACTGCTAAACGAGAGTATTTGAATTTTATGAATTCCTTTCATATCAGCAAGCCTGATTCAATGAACACTTTCAGAGGATGCTACTTCATAAAATCAAAAAGCCACATTGATATAAGACCTTGAACCCAAAAGTATAAGCAGACATATGCAAAACATTGCAATATAATCTTCCTTATCAGTTCAATAACCAAGCAACTTTTACAAGTATATTAAAGAAACTTAAGAGTCTAAACTATTAAGTAAAAACAACAGCACTATTCAGTATCTTTTTCTTTTTCATAACATGTTTCCTTTACTTTTTCCTAGGTATTAAACATTTAAAAATGATTAATCTTGAAGCTAGAAAGATCATAAAGCTAGAAAAGTCTGAAATCCAACTCTAATATTAATAATATAGCTCATTTTTGTTAATTATTTTACAGATTCTCAATGTTCATTGTACAAACTGTCATAAAATAGAGTATTACAAATAAGAAAATAAAACTGCTTCATTTAGTGATAATCATGGTTAACAATGCAATGTAAACATATGGCTACACAGGCCATTCTAGTTTGTTTAACAAACTTTGCAGCATATAATGTACAATATTCTATGTCTATATATTCTTAATTAATGATATGAGCATTTGCAAAGTCATGAAATATTCTTTGTTTTGTTTGGGGGCAGTTGGTTGGTTTTTTGATGTTTTGTGTGTGGGGGCAGGGACAGGGTCTCACTCTGCCACCCAGGATGGAACGCATAGCTCATTGCAGCTTCAACCTTTAACCTCCGGGCTCAAGCAATCCTCTTGCCTCAACCTCCTCAGCAGTTGGGACTACACAAGCACACCACCACACCTGGCTTATTTTTTTTTTTATTTTTATTTTTGTAGAGACAGAGTCACACTATGTTGCCCAGATTGATCTTGAACTCCTGGGCTCAAGTGATCCTCTAGCCTCAGACTCCCCAAAGTGCTGGGATTACAGGCACAAGCCACCACACCTAGCCTATAAAACAATCTTTAATATGCACTTTTTAACAGCTGCATATTTTCCTCTGGATATTAATTTATTCAACTAACCCTGTTATTTCTGCATATTTGGGTTGCTTCTCCTTTTTTTATTATAAACATCCTTTCATATAAAGCTTTAAGTACCTATGAAAACATCCATAGGATAAATTTGTAGAATTAATGAGTCAATGAATAAAAACAATTTTAAGACTTCTGCAGCACACTTCTATTGGCATTTATTTCGAAACTGCCTTAAAATCACTCTCTAATTGTTATCCAACGGATTCCCTGAAGTCTAAGTAGTTTATCAAGACTCTCTCATTAGTCTGCCTCTTGTTTTTCCAGGTCATAAAGTCTATTACCAAAATTAAGAATCCATGTTTCTGGCCCGGCACGGTGGCTCACGCCTGTAATCCCAGAACTTTGGAAGGCCAAGGCGGGCGGATCACAAGGTCAGGAGATCGAGACCATCCTGACTAACATGGTGAAACCCTGTCTCTACAAAAAATACAAAAAATTGGTCGGGCGTAGTGGCATGCACCTGTTGTCCCAGCTACTCGGGAGGCTGAGGCAGGAGAATTGCTTGAACCCGGGAGGCAGAGGTTGCAGTGAGCCAAGATCTCGCCACCGCTCTCCGCCCTGGACAACAAAGCAAGACTCCGTCTCAAAAAAAAAAAAAAAAATCTATGTTTCTGAGGGTTCTCTTTTGAAGTAATCATCTTTTATATGAAGAAATGGCTAGCAACAACTTAATTTGCAAACTGAGCATTTTGATCTTAAAGCAATTATTAGTTTTTATACAAATAAAATATACTTGACTCAGTTATTTTAAGTTACATGGATCCCAGAAAGACAACATGAAAAGTAGAAACATTTGTATTACGTCAAACGCTCTGTAAGACAATATCACAGAACTTTAAACTTTTAATATGAATTTGTGACCAACAACCATGTAATTGTTCAAACAACTTCAAATACCTTATTTTACTTACCAGTTGTATAGCTATCATGAGAACTGTTTTAAGAGAAAATGTTCTGTCACACAAGTCAAACAAGTCTTCCAAACTAGGTCCCAGCAGTTCCAGCACCATAGCATTGTATTTACCACAAGGGCCGAAATAGTAAACTTGAGGTATACCATCTGGGGGAAAAGAAATACTCATTTAATAATTTCATCATCTTAAATACTAAGGTTTTCCTCTTAAAAACTGATATTTAAAATTTTATAGTTTCAAGAACTAAAGCAGTACTATCACTTTTTCCAGATACATACTTTTCCTGACCAAACCTCCCAACCTCCCAATACCTTCTCTTTGATGTTCACATTGTAGCCTGGATACACCTCTATTGCAGCTGCATGACTGAATTACATTATAAACAGTACTTCATTGTTTCTCTCTACCACCTTATTACTGGACAAAAGCTGGGCTTTTTAGCTTTATATTTCCATGGCCTGGAGAAAGGCTTAGCACATAGGAGAGATTCCAGTTCTACTGAAAAGAGAGTCACTACTGGCTTTAATAACCATGTGATAGGCATACTGCTAAGATCACCACTGTCAAGATTCCCATCCTCTGGCTTATACACCTTGTATAAACCCCTCCCTTTGAACGTGAGCATGATTCCTGGGATCTCACTATTGTGACCAGGCTAACTTATACGGCAAATGTAATTAAGGCTCCTATCAGTTGACTGTAAGTTGATCAGAAGGAAGAGAATCCTGGTGGACCTGACCTATTCAGGTGAGACTTTAAAAAGATAGTCTAGAAGTCAGAGATATTGGAAACAGCAGAGAAACTCTCCTGCTGGCCTTAAAGTAGCAAACCACCATGCAGTGGAGGGAGCCACATGCCAGATAGGAATCCTTGAGGAAGTAAGGGCCACACAGTTCTATTGCCATGAGGAATTGAATTCTGACAAGAATCAGTGAACTTGGAAGAGAGCACTGAGGCTCATGTAAGATTGCAGTCCAGGCTTACACCTTAATTTCCACATGGTAAGACTCTAAACAGAAGACCCAGCAAAGCCATGCCCGTATTCCTGACCCATAGAAATTGTGAGATAATAAAGTCTTTCATCTTAAGCCAGTAAGAGATAGTAATAATTCATTATGAAGCTATATAGAATAATACAAACTCCAAATATGAAGTCTGAATAATACAAACTCCAAATATGAAGTCATCTGTATTTTATTTTCAGAACTAACAGACTCCCAATAAACTGAAATGTAAGTGATCAATTTACTTTATATGGAAGTTGTCAGAATCAAAACAGAGTCACTTGTATTAAAACCCTGACAAACAGAGCTAGGGAAGGAGATGAAGGGAGGGTTCTCACACATATATATATATATGCCTGATAAGAAGAACTACCACAAAAGACTGCAAAAACCACAACCTGGAACAAAAGCCACCACAACTTTACAAAAAATTACTCTGTGAGGACATCTGCCCAGGAACTGCCTGTCCAACTTCAGACTGAGGCCATTCTTGTTAATGATCCT
The DNA here is from genome assembly GCF_000001405.40 of Homo sapiens. Taxonomy (NCBI): domain Eukaryota; kingdom Metazoa; phylum Chordata; class Mammalia; order Primates; family Hominidae; genus Homo; species Homo sapiens. Next base: position 123,572,030 of record NC_000005.10, on the reverse strand, counting down.
TGTAGCCAAGGGTAACTCTCTCAAAACAACTTATGTGACCCTCCTCATTTTTCCTTTAAAAACTCTTGTCTTCCTTTACCTCCCTGAATATACTCACATATATTCCCATTGTAATGCCCACTCGTAAATAACTATCATTTTCTTTTAGACAAGTCTCCCTATTATTTAGTTTGACACTTAACACTGCATTTATCTATTAGCATGAAAAAATGAACTTCTTCCACCACAAATGTCTCAGTTTTACTTCCAAGTGATTTTTTTTCAGTATATTGAAAGAGAAAACAAATCTAATGAAAACTTCTCATTCTTTTTAATAAAACGTTTTTTAAATATAACATTATTATTATTTACCCTATTATTTTGAATATAAATCATTGCAGGACAGAATAGAAAACACTGAACTAAAAACCAAGAAAACTACATTCTTAGTCTAACCTAATATTCATCAGCTGTGTGGCTAGCTTGTCATTCAACCTCTCAAGTGGGCCTCAGTTTACTTATCTATTATAATATTAGTGATTTGGATGAGACAAGTATTTCTCAGATATGAATATGAGTGAGGCAGCAGAACATCTGCAGGTGGGAATGTAAGCTAGTGTAATCACTGTAGTCCCAGCTACTCGGGAGGCTGAGGTAGGAGAATCACTTGAACCCAGGAGGCGGAGATTGCAGTGAGCCGGGACTGCGCCACTGCACTCCAGCCTGGGCGACAGAGCAAGACTCCTTCTCAAAAAAACAAAACAAAACAAAACAAACAAACAAAAAAAGATAGTGTAATCATAGCAGGAATGGATACAAATTCAAACTGCATACATGGTGCCCTCCCCAGAAACAGAGATTCTGATACACCCCAATGTGTATGTATCACCACCCCCTGCAAACACACACACATCACACACGCTTGTCCCATCTCCTCTTGCTACTGGGAATCAAAGACACTCCTACCACAGCCACTCTTAGATGTATTTGTCATATCTACCCCTCACATGTGTAAAGGTGGAGAAAAGGTTCAGAAACAGGGAATGAGAGGCTTGTTAAGTTTATTCCAACTCTAAAATCCTGCTTTTACAATGCTATATACATTAAGAAGCTGGAGATGCAATTAAGATTTACAGACAGCTCTCAGCTACCACAACATCGACAGCTCTCAGCTACTAAGCTTTGAAAATTCTTTCCATAATGCTTTTTCCCCCTCTCTGCCACTGAAAGTTGTTAATTTACATCCTCTCAATTTAACAATCTCTAATAACTTATTCCACTACAGTTTGTTACTTCTGATATGCAGGGTGCATGGAAACCAGATCAAAGCTTGTTAGAACTATATAAAAAATGTAAAAATAAAAAGGTTTTGAACTTCTTCAATGAAAGGACTGTCGGCTGGGCGCGGTAGCTCATGCCTGTAATCCCAGGACTTTGGGAGGCTGAGGCCGGTGGGTCACTTGAGGTCAGGAGTTCGAAACCAGCCTGGCCCACATGGTGAAACCCCATCTCTAATAAAAATACAAAACAGTTAGCCAGGCATGGTGGCGTGTGCCTGTAATGCCAGCTACTTGGGAGGCTGAGGCAGGAGAACTGCTTGAACCCAGGAGGTGGAGGTTGCAGTGAGCCAAGATCGCGCCACTGCACTCCAGCCTGGCTGACACAGCAAGACTCTGTTTCAAAAAGAAAAAAAAAAAAAAAAAAAGAAAGGACTGTCAAAACGTTCTCTACTTCCTTCTGAATCACCATCTATATTCCCAATAGTTAACGTTGTTGAGAAATGACTTCTGAATAAGATAGATAGCAGTATGTTTTGGTTTATAAAATGACTGGTTTTTTCAAAAGTTTTCAACAGTTTCCAAAACAGGAAAACCATTTAAGGAATTTCACTGTCTTAATTAATTGAACAAATACTTACTGGACATATACTATATCTTTATGGGACTGGGTTGGGCATTACGGATACATAAGTGAATGAGAAACCATGCTAAGAATGTTTTAATCCAGGAATACAAAGTTGGGTTAATATTCAAAAATCCACCAATATAATTCACCATAATAATAGAAGAAATGGCAAAAACCTTAAGATTATCTTAAAGGGTGCTAAGAAAGCATCTGATTTAACACTCAAAAATTTGGAATAGAAGGTTTCTAAATCTGATAAAGGGAATCTAGGAAAAGTTACCAACTAACATCACATTTAATGGTGAAAGATTGAATGCTTTCCATTAATGACTGAGAGCAAGAGAACTTTTAACTTTTCTATTCAAGAGTACAACGAAGCAAAACAAATAAATAAATAAAAAGCATTCTCAAGAATGAATGAAGAGACTCTTACTTCAAGAAAAACTGACATTTATTACCAATAATAAAATTAAAGCTTTCAAGCAATTTGAATTTTGTAAAAATTTTTATATGCTATGATGACCTTGACAGTTTTCCAATACTTAAAAGCTTGTTCTGATGAAATTGTGGTGATATTAGCTATTATGATTTAATGTTGGGTAGTGAAATGTGTTAGTATTTGAAATACATGCATAACTCAATGAACCAGTGTCCTCCAAAAGACAATGCATGTAGTCAGAAATGGTTCATTCAAACTACAATGGATTTTAATGTATGAGAATAGAAAAAGTTTTTTGGTATGATTTCTATACTCTACATTGTAACTGACCTTTAAGAAATGACCACTTGTCAAATTTTGGTGTAGTTTCAAAGGCATATTCATAATTTAAAAATTAATTAGTCAAGACTGACAAAGTTGTGGGTTAAAACATTGATGAGAATAGAAAGCAGCACATTTTTGGAGGAAAATTACCCTATCCTTTTGTTTTTGAAGGAAAATTACTCTATCCTTTTGCTTTTGGAGGAAAATTACCCTATCATTTTCAAAGCAAGCATAAGTATGCATATAATCATGTTCAAGCTTCATTGTTTGTTACAGTTACAAAAAGAGTTGGCAGCTACCTAAAAATCCACCAACTCTAAGCTAATTAAACAAATTATTAGCTTGGTGCAAATGTAATTGCAGTTTTTGCATTGTTGCAAATTGCTGTTTGATACTGGAATACATTCTTAAATGTCGTCATGTTATACATCATTTTAATGCATGTTTCTCTTTTTATGTATTTTTGCTAATGACTTATTACTTGCTGTTTATTTTAAATTTACTTTAGACTATGGAAATGATGTTAGACAAAAAGCAAATTTGAGTGATTTTCTTATTCGAGTTCAAAAATGGGTCGTATATAGCAGTGGAAACAACATGCAACATCAGCAATGCATTTGGCCCAGGAACTGCTAACAAACATAGAGTGCAGTGGCAGTTCAAGAAGTTTTACAAAGGAGACAAGAGCCTTGAAGATGAGGAGCATAGTGGTTGGCCATCAGAGGCTGACAATGACCAACTGAGGGCAATCATCAAAGCTGATCCTCTTAAAACTACACAAGAAGTTGCCAAAGAACTCAACGTCGACCTTTCTATGGTCGTTCAGCATTTGAAGCAAATTGGAAAGGTGAAAAAGCTCGATTAGTGGGTGCCTCATGAGCTGAGCAAACATTTTTTAAAAAAACATCATTTTGAAGTGTCATCTTCTCTTATTTTACACAACAACAATGAACCATTTCTCAATCGGATTGTGATGTGAGACAAAGAGTGGATTTTACATGACAACCGGTGACAACCAGCCCAGTGGTTGGACCGAGAAGAAGCTCCAAAGCACTTCCCAGAGCCAAACTTGCACCAAAAAAAGGTCATAGTCACGTCTGGTGTTCGGCTGCTGGTCTGATCCACTGCAGCTTTCTGAATCCCAGCGAAACCATTACATCTGAGAAGTATCCTCAGCAAATCAATGAGATGCACCGAAAACTGCAATGCCTGCAGCTGGCATTGATCAACAGAAAGGATCCAATTCATCTCCACCACAACACCGACCGCACATTGCACAGCCAACGCTTCAAAAGTTGAACAAATTGGGCTATGAAGTTTTGCCTCATCTGCCATATTCACCTGACCTCTTGCCAACCAACTACTACTTCTTCAAGCATCTTGACAACCTTTTGCAGGGAAAACGTTTCCACAACCAGCAAGATGCAGTAAAAATGCTTTCCAAGAGTTCATCAAATCCCGAAGCACTAATTTTTATGCTACAAGAATAAACACTTATTTCTTATTGGCAAAAATGTGTTGACCGTAATGGTTCCTATTTTGATTAATAAAGATGTGCTTGAGACCAGTCATAATGATTTAAAATTCACAGCCCACAACTGCAATTATGTTTGCACCAACCTAATATGTCATACCCATATTACGGAATATAATACAGCCTTTGACTATCTTTGGCGATAACTGTGAAAGACAAACTTTTATTACTTACTTCTTATAATACTGCTGATTAAAATTTTTGTTGTTTTAAACCATGTATTACTTTTAAAATATTTTTTTTTAAAATGGAGTCTCACTCTATTGCCCAGGCTGGAATACAGTTGTGCGATCTCAGCTTGCCACAACCTCCACTTCACGGTTCAAGTGATTCTCCTGCCTCAGGCTCCCAAAATAGCTGGGATTATAGGCACCTGCCACCACGCCCAGCTAATCTTTTTATTGTATTTTTAGTAGAGACAGGGTTTCCCTATGTTGGCCAGGATGGTCTCAAACTCCAGACCTCAAGTGATCCACCCACCTCAGCCTCCCAAAGTGCTGGGATTACAGGCGTGAGCCACCACGCCTGGCCTTAAAATAAAATATTTCTAATGAGTCACTGATATGGTTTGGCTGTGACCCCACCCAAATCTCATCTTGAATCGTAACTCCCACAATTCCACATGTTGTGGGAGGAACCCAGTGGGAGGTGACTGAATTATGGGACTGGGTCTTTCCTGTACTGTTCTCATAATAGTGAATGAGTCTCAAAAGATCTGATGGCTTTAAAAATGGGAGTTTGCCTGCACAAGCTCTTGTCTGCCAGTGAGATGTGCCTTTCACCTTCCGCCATGATTGTGAGGCCTCCCCAGCCACATGGAACTGTTAAGTCTAATAAACCTCTTTCTTTTGTAAATTGCCCCGCCTCAGGGCAATTTATCAGCAGCAAGAAAACGGACGAATACAATCATTAAACATACATACGAATAGAAAAGATAACATAAGAAAAAAGCAGAAAGCTAACATTACTGGAAGCACTGGTGATTTCTACCTTCACTTTTTTTTTTAAACTTTTCCTAATTTTTATTACGAACATATGCTATTTTTGCAATCAGGAAAAAAAGTGCTTACTTTAAAGATTCTAGGACCACAAAGAAAAACTTAAAATGATATTTACACCAAACTATAATTTTATTTCCCAGAACAAGTCTGGACAGTTTTTTTAATCACTGAGCAAACAACTTAAATTTTTAAGAGTTAAGAAGAATTGCAATTAACAAACAGAGGTTGAGGCAGGGTATATCCTAAGCAAAAACAAACCAAAACCACCAGAGCAACGTAAATGGTAGGTTAGGTCACAAGGTAGAGATTCTTTAGAAATGGGAGAGGTAAGGAAAAAGAGGGCACGACAGGCTCAGAAAGGTTTGTTCTTACACCTGGTGAATTTTCAATTATAAAATCTTACTCCACCCATTCCAGTGGTTCTAAAATTATTTTTATTTGATACTAATATAAAAAGCTATCCACTGTGAATTCATGAAAGTTACATCTGATAATTTCCAATATCTTTACTTTTCAAGAGAAGTTTATTTTTTCCCAAGAAAAGCTCAAGGAGTATGAATACAAAATTCACATATTTGAAAATACAATCTCACCCTCACTCCCCCAAAATTCACTTCATTAAATATCTCATTTTATATGTTGGTATTCCCTTTAAGTGACAAAACAAAATTAGGTCACACAACAGTAATACACAGAAACTATTAAAGACTGCTTGGTACTTTGTGTCAAGTTTTTAAATACTTCAGTTCCTTACAGGTAAGTATTAGTTAAGTAGACCATTAAGGAAATAATATCATGATCCATTTCACAGTAATATCATGATCCATTTTCAGGTCTAGAATTCTTCATGTAAAATGTAAAACAGTGATATAGTTTGGGTGTTGTCCCCTCTAAATCTTACGTTGAGTTATAATCCTCAGTGTTGAAGGTGGGGCCTGATGGGAGTTAACTGGGTCAATGGGGCAGATCCCTCATGGGTTTGTGCTGTTCTCATGATTTTGAGTTCTTATGAGATTTGGTTTAAAAGTGTGTTGCACCTCCCCTTCACTTTCTCTCTCTCTTGCTCCCACTCTCTCCACGTGATAACTGGCTTCCCCTTGCCTTCTGCCATGATTGTACACTTCCTGAGGCCTTACCAGAAGCTGAACAGATGCCTGGCACCATGCTTCCTATACAGCCTACAGAACCGTGAGCCAACTAAACCTCTTTTCTTATAAATTACCCAGACTCCAGCATTTCTTTATAGCAACACAAGAACAGCCTAACACAAATAAGAAGAATTAGAACAAAAGTACTAACAAACTTATTAGGAAATTTAAACTTCCTGATTTAATTTAAACAGCTCTGATTAAGAAAACCTAAATTGTGGCTAGAAATGCTAAGTACAGAATTATCACACAGTATCACCCTATCTTTTTTTTAGGGTAATTTTGCATTAAGGCATTCTTAACCTTTAGCACAAATGCTTATACTCCTAGATCAACAGTTTTCAACATGTGGCCTGAAGCTCTTGAGGACAGAGGTGGTCCGTGAGACCCTTGCAGGAAGTCAGTAATATCAAAATTATTTTGTAATAACATAAATATGTTTTTTTCACTCTCATTCCAGAGACTATGGGACTTGTGTTATCACAATGTATTAAATGCAGAAGATATGGGAATCTAGCTGTTTACTGTTAAGCCAGACATTAAAGACATTTGCAAAATATGTAGAACAATGTTACTTTTCTCATTTTTTCTGTTTTGGAAAGTATATCAACAAAATTGCCTTGATTTTAAAATGTCTCAATTATTATTTTTATTTTAAACAAATATAGCAACATTTTTATATTTCTGTGTTAATTTCTAATATGGTAAATATCAATAGCTACAACCCACAACAACAAAAGTGCTCTGAGATACTCAAAAAGGGTAAGAGCATAAAAGAATCCTGAGACCCGAAAGTTTAAGAAGTGCTGTCCTAGCTGAATAGTAAGCGCTGCTATGAACCAACAGGTGAACTGAATTATGGACTTGGTAACAGTCCTTCCATTAAAAGACCACAATATCTGCATTTAGCAGTAAAATTCTATCAATTAACCCCAAATAAAAGGAATCAAGTTATTCTACTGTAAAAAAGAGCAACAGTCCTTTCTGTGATGATTTAATTTACACATTTAGAAATTATTCTAACATTCAAACAACATTAAAAAAATAACATCACCTACAAACAAGTAAAAATTTAACTGTTGCAAAAACTGAATGGAACTTAAGTTGTTATCCAATTTGGGCCTATAAAATTTAAGGAAAAAATGGACTCTATGATTCTTCCCCCTAGTCCCTAAGCTACAAGCTTACAAATCTTTTCTTCTTACAATGCATTATATAACACTTAAAGCAAAACTAAATATGAAATTTTCATAATTTTTCATGGTTTTATACTTTCTATCTTTTTACTATTACACAAGGAATTACAAAAATTATGTATATTTAGTAATATCCTATTCAAAAGTATGGTTTGCTTTTTGCTTAAGATTCCTATGTGCTTAATTAATCATTGAAAATACTATAATAACCACACCACACACAACACTAATGCCTGCACCATATAAACCAAACTAAAACCACTATCAGTTAACACCTCTTTCTGATAATGCATAACATTCTTTAAATGTACCCATTCTCCATAAACTACAACTTTAACAGAAAAAAATTGTATACTTCCATCTACTATGATAGTAGTAACAATGTAAGTATATATTCACATATAAATAAGTAAATGTTTAGCAGTGTAAAACTTGTAGAAATTTCCATACAGAGAGATCTCTAACTTTAAAGAATTAGAAGTATTACATATTTTTAAAAACTTCTTCTAAAAGCAATTTAGCTATGACAGAAAAAGGAATTCTAAGAATCTGCTACATAAACTGTTGGTTACCTGGGCTGAGATTAAGTTTACACTACTGACTAACCCACTCATATCATATTTTCATTATTTTTGTTAATATCAAAATACAGTAAGCAATAGTCTAAGTATTTATTCACTTAACTTTCATGCTTTTTACAGTACTTCCTTTCAATTTTTTCAAACAACAGCTTATAATATACATAGAGCAGAATTTTTTGAATGTCTTACCTAAAACATGGTCTGAGAAACTTGATCTGGTAACTGTGAATTAAATCAGTTTTAGATACTACTGAATGGTTTATACCCACAACTTTTAACAAAGTTTATACTATTACCCATAATACTTCTCAGAAGTGAACAGTACAATAAAATTTCCGTATATTACAAAATCACCAACGTTCATTTAACCAGCAGACGGAACTAAATCATCTTAAAAATAAAGTGAAAACGTAGGCATCGATAAACCAGTGTAAAAAACTGCAGGGAGCACATAAATCCAGACTTTTTAACAAGGCACAAATCAAGAAGGCAGAAGGATCAGCATAAAGAAGAAAGAGGGGGCTTTTCAAACACCTTTTAAAAGACAGCATTATAAAGAGTTATAATTTCAGTAACAGCACCTGTGGCTACCATCAAATTATTGCTTAGAACTACATAGTCCAAGGAATCTCAAAAAGTCAAGCCACTCGAGAAATGATGATTTAACATATGAATGGTGTCAAACAGTATTTTTAATATCATCTCTATAGTCAGAGATTTGCCAAGAATAATTTATGACAGAGAAAAAGATCATTTACTTCCTCTGATAAGTAGTAATTTATGACAGAAAAAAAGGTTATTTTTTCCTATGATTAAAAATATCAGCTAATTAAGATGTTCCAAGGAATGCATTAATTGCAGTTTCTCCTAATGTAGCCTATTTAAACTCATGTCAAAAAAAATTAAGAAGTGTTACTGAGAATCACAGACCTCCAAAAACAATTTTCCCATAAATTTCAAATATGTTCTATGCATTTTCATGAAATATCAACAATTCAGATATACTTACTTTCAAGTAAATGAAGAAACTGAGTTAATTCTAATAATTAAAGCCCACCCTTCTCAAGAAAGTGACTAATTTTAGATGGCTGAGTTGTATAGTTCAGCAAGTTTTAATATAAAACTTTCTGCATATCTCCTTGGTTACCACTTCCATTAATTAAAAAATTCTCACCAATAATTTTTTCCTTTGATCTCTAGTTGTCCAAAATGAGAAAATAAATTTACCTAATCATAGGATAATACAAATGAAATTAATTTTTAGAATTTAAAAATTTGAAATTGTATTATTTGTCCAGAAATAGAATAAACTCAAAATTAATAATACGACAATTTTGTGTAATATTAAAATATCAAACTTTAATCACAGGGTCACAGAAGTTAGAAAATATAGGAAATTTGAAGATTATACATCCCAACTTCACATCTAATGAAAGAAAACAGTCTATTATTGTTAGTTAAGAATTTATTCTTTCAACCATTTACCAAGAACCTACAAGTGCCAATCATTCTGCTACCAAGAAGAAAAAGATGAACATATCATTATCACTGCCCTCAAAGAGTTCAAAATTCAGTGGAGAAGACAGACATAGACAAATAATAATTACCATACGATAAAAGAAAAATAAAGGTTTCAAAGGTTTACATATTCAAAATATCAGATCAAATAAGAAGATTTTCTGGAGAGGAAAAGATGTCAGAAAATGCATTGCTAAGCAGGTGACATTTAGCTAGGGCTTAAAGAAAAATAGAATTCATTAGAAAAGAAAGATATTCGAGAAAGAATACAGACGTGAAAATAGTAAGATCTACTCAAGGAATAGTAAGTGTAGTGCAACTAAAAAGTAGGTCAGTAGAAAGAGAAACGAATTTGGACTTTATACTAAATGATGTGCCCCTCTGTGCAGGTAGAGGTAAAAAGCTGGTTGAGATATTCAAAAGGAAGCCCAATTCGAAGAAAAGTAACAATGGGGACTGGAAGAGAATTAAGTCAAGAGAGATTTTAAGAGACAAAATTGACAGAACTTTTTTACTATACCAATACGCCAAAATCAGAGGAGGCTAACATTTCAGCTTGAACAGATGTGGAACTAATGGAACTAGGTAATCCAGAAGATCAAGCAGGAAGGTCTTTTAAGAGAGAGAGAAACTGTCGAGAAAATAAGGGGAAAAGAAGGTAGGGAACTCAATTCCAGCTATATGAATTTCTGATTTCAGTAGGGATATTCATATACAGCTAGACTTTAAGAATAGAAGCAGGAGATAAAGAACTGGAAGTTGTCTTTACACAAATAGTAATTTCATTTCTTCCTCCTTCCCTCCTGTTACAAAAAGTCCAGGATTGCAGGATGAAGCCACACACCAAGGTTAGGAGCCTGGTTCCTTACTTTTGAGCAGCTGTACCAACCCTACAATTGCCCACCTCTGAACTCACTTGTCTCACATTACATCCCTTTACTTGTTTAAGCTACTGCTTTCACAACTTTTGTTATTAAGAGTCAAATCTATTTATATCCAATGGAGTAGTCCACACAGCTTTGTTCTTGCTATTCTTTTCTTGTCAACCTCTATACTCTCCTCAGGGAGATCTCATCCATTTCTTTAGCTTTAAAAACCATCTATGTGCTGATGACTCCCAAACCCAGGTCTTCATTTGACTCAACGAATACTGAGTAGATGTGACAAAACAAGACTATTCAATACATTAAATTTTTGCTATCCCAGAGAGTGATAATGGTATAAAACAATAGTCTAATCCTATGCAAAGCTAAATAATGTAATGTAAAGAGGGATATTGTCAGAGAAGCTACATAAAGGAAAGAAACATGGATTTACAGGAGGATCAAAACCCAAACGGGCAAAACCAAATTGTATATTTTTTCACAGATACCCCACTAAATAATTCTAAATAAATCTATTTTCCAATTTATTTGTGGTAAAATACACATAGAATTTGTCATTTAAACCATCTTTAAGTGTACAGTTCAGTGGCATTAAGTACATTTACATTACTGTATAACCATCCCCACCATCCATCCATCTCCAAAATTTGTTCATCATCCCATACTGAAACTCTTACCCAATGAACAATAATTCCCCATTTCTGCCCTCTCCCCAAGCCCCCAGAAAACACCATTCTACCTTCTGCCTCTATGAATTTGACTATTCCAACCTCATGTTAAGTGAAATTTATTTGTCCTTTTGTGACCGCCTTATTTCACTTTGCAGAATTTTCCTTTTTTTAGTACAATGGCATGATCAAAGCTCATTGCAGCCTTGACCTCCTGGGCTCAAGCGATGCTCCCACCTCAGCCTCCCAAGTAGCTGAGACCACAAGTCTCAGTGCTGGGATTATAGGCGTGAGCCACCACACCTAGCCTTCCTTTTTAAAGCTGGATAATATTCCATCTTATGTATATACCACATTTTATCCATTTTTCTGTCAATGTACACTTGGGTTGCTTCTACCTTTTGGCTAGTGTAAACAATACTTCTATGAACATGAATGTACAATTACCTGTTGAAGTCATGCTCTCAATTATTTTATGTATATATCCAGAAGTGGAATTGCTAGATCAAATGGTAGTTCTATGTTTAATTTTTCTGAAGAATCAACATACAATTTTCCACGGTGGCTTTTTTAAATTTTTACACCAATGCACAAGGATTCCAATTTCTCCATATCCATACTAACACTTGCTTTCTGTGTATTGTTTTGTTTTGTTACAGCCATATTGAGGGGTATGAAGTGGTATCTCATGGTTTCCAGCTGCATTTCCCTAATGATTAGTGGTGTTGAGCATTTTTTTATGTTTTTCATCAGCCATTTGTATATCTTTGGAGATTTGTCTATTCAAGTCCTTTGTCCATTTTTCAATTGGGTTGTCTATTTTTGTTGGTGAGTTTTAGAAGTTCTTTATATATGCTGGATATTACTTAAATATATCTATTTTTAAAGAGAATATTAACAAGCAAATTGCTATATAAATGAAATTCAGCATACCATAGGAAAATTATAGGTTGAGTTACTCTAAATAGCCCGTTTATAATTAAGAGCAGTCTGAAAATATAATCTTTTCAGATATGAATTCCAAAATCAAACTGTTTAAAAGTCATCAGTTCTTCCAAAACAATTAAGCACTCTTGTTTTTCTACAAAGCTCACAAAGGTACTTAAAAATGCTTTCACAAAACTCACAAATGACCAAAAAAAAAAAAAAAACCACAAAAAATATGCCCAAATTCATGACTCGTACAAAATACTAAAAAATATCCACATGTGTCACAGCTCAGAGCCACCATGATGCAAACCTTCAGTAAGACCATTTGTATTTCAATCTATGTAAATGACACCCATAGAGCAGAGAGGAGCATAGCACCCTTAGTAAACAGAGACTACCCTGTAAATGGTGGTCCCTGCAGTTGTGCAACACTGCAGTCCTATGGCATACAAGTCCTAAAAGATGTTTCATTTTTATTCTTACTATCTCTGACATAGTTTTTAAATATAAAACAGAAAAAAGTTAAAATAATAAAAGTACATCTTTGTTACTCAATTCAATGACTTGCTAAACTCTAAACTGACTAACTCATTTCTAACTAAACCACTCAATCCTATTCTTCCAAATGACAGTTTTATTACTGTACTAGATAGATCTGGTTTTTTTTTTCATCACCGTGGCATCCAATCCCCCTTATATAACACCTCGATTTCCCAGTAGGCAATCACCTCCCCCATTCTCAGTCTCTAAAGTTCGGATAAGCATTTGATCTAACTTGAGGCAATCAAATTCATAGTAATTAAATCAGGGATAAGCATGACATAAGGCAGTAAGATTTAGTCCTACAACTTTTGCTGAAATTTTTAGGAAAGAGATGCTTTCATAATTGCTAAGCCTAGGTTATTGGTGGCAACCTCCAGAATCTCTTAAGAAGGGCCAACTAGAGAGTGAAGCTTACACATACTCATAAGGCATATCATAGAGACTTGACATGTTGATGACAGTATTTGAAGCACTGGATAGAGCAATGTCTAATCTATCAAGTCATTTCCTTGAATTTCCAAGTACATGAGTCAATAAATTCGTTTTATACCCACTTAACTTCTTATTTGCTAGTATAATAACTAATATGTATAGTTTCACATATAATTCGTTTTATCCCAATAGCCTTTAAATCCCAGTTGTCAGTGATAATTTTGATAACTCCCTGAGGCCTGTCTGTATCAGACTTAAATATGTATTATAAGAAGTCTGTAGTGATGAACACATTACTACAACATTTAAAACTTATTGCCCCTACAATGACTACTCATTTGCAAAGTGTGCTCTTAGAAAAAACAGAATGTAAAACTGATATCAGTATGAAATGGACAGCTCTACCCACTAGAATGTAAACATGCTTACAAAAAGATACATGAAGAAATTCCATTTTATTAAATCTGGAGAAACAAAATTCCTCTACCTGTATTATACAAGAAGCTATACAAGTAAAATTCTTACAATTAATTGAATAGAAGTATACAGAAAAGTGCTGTGAGAACCTTTTAACATAAAGGAAATGTAACAAACAATAGAAATTTTTTCCATGAATTTTCTCTAGTGGCATGAAATAATCTCACTTGAATTTAGAGTTTATCTAAAAACATACCCATATTAGTTGCCTACGGCTGCTGTAACAAATTACTACAAATTTGGTGGCTTACAACAACAGAAATTTATTTTTTTACAGTTATGGAGGTAAGAGTCTGAAATCAGTTTCATTGGTCTGAATCAATGTCTTCGCAAGGCCACACTCCCTCTAGAGACTCTAGGCGAAAGTACTAGAAGCCTCTTCCAGGTTCTCTCCACTCTGCTCCACAGTCACAATGCCTACTCCTTTTCTGTGTGTGTAAATGTCCCTCTGCCCCCACCAGATAATCCAGAATAATCTCTCCATCTCAAAATCCTTAATTTATCATACTTGCAAAGTCTTTGTCATACAGTAACATGTAGAGGTTCTAGGGATTATGATACAGATAACTTCTATGTGGCCATTTTTCAGCCTACCACTATATTGTAAGTCACTTCAACAGCTATAATAGTGCCTCCAAAAAGACTAAGAATATGGAAGAAGTATGCATTTTATATTTGCAAATTAAATTTTTTCACAATGTTCTCTACTCATATCAGCATAAACATAAAAAGCTCCAAATTTGTCATAAAATAAAAAAGGGATCCTAAGACCATAGTAAGAAAACGTATAGTAAACATAGCCTTGCAAAGTGATTTCCTTAACCAAACTTAAAATACCATTCCTTGAAACTAAAAAGTCATGACAATCCACTTTATTTCAAATTTAAAAATTAATATAAGACTTTACCTCCAGATCCTAACTGCTTATAGAATCTGTATTCCAAATGTAGCTGTGGTGCTCTTGATTTCATGGGCTCCTAATTGAAAAACAAACAAAAAAAGACATTTAAGTTATTAAAAGAGCACTAGGTCCCAACACAAATGTTATAAATTTTGGTGTCAATGCCTATATTATGTAATAGTCTACCAGGCATCTTTGTCTAAGATTAGATTCATATAAAAATCAACTTTCTGTTCAATGTAAAATAAAATGATACTACAAATGTACATAAACTAAGTAGCCATTAGATCAGGCAGGAGAAAAATCCCTTAAGTTTGACTCTTTGACCCTGAGAAAAATATGTTCTGAACATTCATCACTAGAGAAATGATGGCTCTTATGCTATTTCTCCTGTTCTCCAAATTCACCTCTGAACTGTGTATTTCTTACATAAAGGTTCTAGATTAAAGTTAAGTCATAGGATAGTAAGAACAAAGATGGTAATTTGAAAATTTTGATAGTAGCAACAATGTCTTAATTTTTTTTCACTAAAGTATAACTTATATGCAATAAAACACACAGTTCATAAGCGTTAAATACATATTAACTCCATATATCCCTATAACCACCACACCAATCTATAGAACATTTCCATCATACCTTTTTTACTTCTATCACCTTTGGATTAGTTTTGCCTGTTGCTGGATTTCACCTAAATGATATTATACAGTATATGCTTTCTGTTGTGTCCAGCTTTTATCATTCGACATAAATGTTTTTGAGATTCATATACACACACCACACACACACACACACACACACACACAAACATGTACAGAGGAAACATGGGTTTTAGACGTTAGAAATAATATTAAATATGAAAATACAAGAAGTAGAAAACTGTAACAGGGTAACAGGAAATTTTAAAAAGAACCAACAGAAAAGTATAACAAGGTAATAGAAAATTTCAAAAAGAATCAATAGAACTTTGAAAAATAAGAGAATACAATAACTAAATTTAAAACTCATTTTGCCAGCAGATTAACAGAAGAGAGAATTTGGAAACTGTAAGGCAGACAGAAAAACTATATAGAATGCATCATGAAGGAAGAAAAACTGGAAAACAGAAGAAAAGGATCAGACACCTGGACAATCCAGTGAGAAGATTTAGTATGGATTTGATAACAGTATCAGGAGGAAAGGAGACAGAAAAGTGAGCAGATGCAATAACTGGATAAATTATTGCTATGAATATTCCAGAATTGATGAGGTTAACAACCCACCAATTCAAGAGGAATGTGAATCCCAAACAGGATAACTAAAAAGAATTTTACACCAACACATCATAATGAAACTGTGACCAACAACAAAAGAATTCACATAAGCAATATTAAAATCCCACTGCAAAACTTATAAGTTTTATTACAGGAGAAAACAATCAGCTTAGTTCTTGAGAGGCAGGATAGTACAGTAGTTAAGAGCACAGACACTGAAACTAAATTGTACTAGGTTTGAATCCTAAATCCTCTATTTCTAGCTGTGTGACTTTCAGCAAGTTACTTAACTTTTCTGTACTTTCCAGTTCCCTCATCTGTAAAATTGGGTTAAAACTTAACCTTTCTTATATATAAAGTACTTAAAACAGTGCCTTCTATACATATAGCACTATATTACCTATAATTCTTCAGTTAACTACCTAGAAGTACATAACCTTAAGATGCAATAAAAAGATGTCCATGTACACAATCACAAATGAAATTAAATATATAACTTATTCAATCACTACTCCCCCTTAGGATAAAAATACTGACCCAAATCTGACTTAGTTGAGTCATTTCAACTAGATTCCAGTACTTAAGCAGTAAAATTTTAACACTATATAATAAAAGTCACCTTCCCCAGGATGACATTTTCATTATTCATGTACAACAAGATATAAGGATGGTAGCTGAGGTAATATTAACAAATTATCCTGAAACAAACTGTTGATCTGAACTAGGGTAATATTAGATAAATGTAAAAAATCTTTGTAAGAGATAATGGAGTGAAAGCAGTCACAGAAATCTGCTCTCTGAACTCAGGTTATCAAATAATGCCTTTATTTGTACCGAGCAAAGTATAAAAGCCAGATAACACTGAGGTATGCAGACATAAGATGTTCAAGTGATTACTTTTATGGCAGGTCTAAACAAAATCATGTTATCTGGCACAAACAGATATAACAGACACAAATGAAAAAACATATAAGGAAATCATGAACTATCATTCAACAATGTATGTGAAAAGTTTTCTGTCCTTCCGATATTTTGGATGAACTTGAGGTGAACGTGACTAGATACCACTCTACAACCTCAAAATACTAGAGACATAGATCCAAAAATATTCCTAGTTCCCCCAAAGAACAATGTATAACCATAATTATTACATGTAATGCTGATCATTGTGCTTTAAAGAAAGACAAAACAGAGAGGAGGAAGAATGTTTCCCCCTAAAAAGGGGAGAAAACTAGTTAAGAGGACAGAGATACAGCACAAAAATAAACTTAAAAAAGTGATATATGTGTATGTATATAAGAAGGCTGAAAGATGACATAATAAACGTTTAGTAAGGCATCAATGGTATGAACAAGTTCCAAATCTATAAATAACAGGACCTAAGGATCACCACTTAATGAATGAAACAGACAAGGAAAGCTCAGCCTAGAGCAGGGGTTTCTGCTTTGACACGATGGTTTATCTGCCTTAATATATCAGATAACTATCATTCACATACAAAGCATGCTCCCATGAGTAGAGCTGCCCACTACAGGCTGTTGTATCAATAGCACAGACTGTAAACACTGCCACACTTTTATCCTTGCACACCACAAAGATTGTTGTAGGTTCAGGACCACTGGCCTACAACATGAGAAAAGGAAGAATTTCAAAGAAATGAAAGTCAGCAATGCCTGTTCAAACAACGTCCAGGCTGGGCACAGTGGCTCACGCCTGTAATCCCAGCACTTTGGGAGGCCGAGGCAGGCGGATCCCACAGTAGGCCTCCCCGCTGTGATTAATATTCACCAACCTCTTTCTGATTTCATGCTCATGAGGGGACCTTGAAATTTTAACTTGGCTTTCTATGTACATCGGCCCATAGAAAGAAACTTGGGCTTTCTAGACCTGTAAAATACCTCATTATTAGTTAGAAATTCACTCTTTCCTGAATCTGAGAGCTTGATAGTGTGAACTGATTACTGTGAATCCACCTCTAAGAAACGCTGACAACTGGTGAGATAACCTAATCACGTTTTGTTTCATAAGCCAAGGACCAGATCTTAATACCAAGACGGACTCATCTAGGTAAAATCCAGTCTAAAGCCACATGTCAGCCAACCAATCTCTCTTCATGGCACTGCAACCCTACTCCACATCTTTATTTCAAGTGAAAATAAACATTTGTTACACTAAAACTTGGTCTATATTCAAAAGATACTTAAAATTAAATAGTGGAGTTTTTCTATTTCCTCCCATTTGCCTCTTCTCCTAATAGTCTCTCTTTTATATATTCATTTCATATTACCCTAATAACAGAGGTTATATTGACAGAGACAAGGTTGAAAAAGGCAGAGAAAACCAAGCCATGCTAAACCTCATACACATACATATATGTGTATGTATATAAGAAGGCTGAAAGATGACATGATAAATGTTTAGTAAGGCATCAATGGTATGAAAAAGTTCCAAATCTATAAACAATAGGACCTAAGGATCACCACTTAATGAATGAAACAGGGAAACCTGGCTGCAAACCAGACAGAAAAGTTGTACCAGGAAAAGTATGTCTTACAAAAATAATTCCTAGATCCCAATTTTTCCAAAGAGATCGCTCTGCTCTGCAGCTGTCATACTGGGCACATTGAAAACTTCAGAATAATTCCACGGGAGTTTGCTTTCCCTGTTATCTATCACCTACCACATCAAGCATTTCTGCATCCCTCAAAGTCAAGCAATAGCCAGCTTTGCCATATATATGAAGTAACAATTTAAAAAGAAATTTCAGAAGCTACCTGGAAGTATGTTTTCAAAGAATATAATCCTGAATACTAAGAACACTTTTGTTTTACCAAAATGTTTGAATCAGAAGGCAAAATCTTGTTAATTTTTATCTAATTAAAAATCCTTCCCTAAATTAAAAATAGGGCCAAGATCCAGTTCTACAATGCTGCCAAAGTAAAGGGATTGAGTTTTTGTGGCACAGACAAACATGAATGTCCTACACATTACCATATACTTTAAGAGCAGGATGATGTTAGGAGCTTAGCAACAAAGATTAGCTATGCATATAACTGTCAAATAAACATCCAAATTATAAATGACATGAAAACAAAAAATAATTAAAATATATAAGTTACTTAAAAAGTAACAAAGAAATCATTAAGAAAAATTAAGAAACAGGAACTTACCAACTTAATTGCCACATATTCATTTGTGTATAAATTTTTCCCTTGAAAAAGAAAAAAAAATCAGATTCTGCCAGTAATTGATTTTAAAGATACATTATATAAAACTGTACTCTGAAAAAAAGCACATAATACATTTAACTAAAGCATAGGTTTTTGCTTCTATTTGGCAAAAAAACTTAACAAGGAAATATTCAAACTTATTATCAACTCGATGTATTTAGTATTTCACCTAGATTCAGAGTAGAAAGTGATACAGACACTACAGATACTAGTAGCCCACTTATAAAAATGGAAAGATTCTGACTTTCTTGGAATATTGTATACAATTTAAAAGTAATCAATAGTCAAATGCATGGTCAAAAAATTTCAAAACGAGAACTCCTATATAAGAATAAGAATACCAAATTCCTCTTCCAACTATCATTTCATTTTAAATTCATCATTATTATGAGATGTAATCTTACTAGGGCTCATATTTAATCCAGTAAGTATATTAAATAAACATAAAATATCTGAAATAATATTTAAAAACATTCAATAATTGGCTGTGATAAACTAACCACTTTGAGGAGAAAAATAGTTACTGGTGCCTCACCTTACAACAAAATTAATTCCAAATATCTTGAGTTAAATATAAGCTAAAAACAAGAAAGAATATTTATCACATCCACATATTAAGGATATTCTGAGCAGAAGAAGATCATGGCCGGGCGTGGTGGCTCATGCCTGTAATCCCAACACTTTGGGAGGCTGAGGCAGGTGGATCATGAAGTCAGGAGTTCAAGACCAGACTGACCAGCATGGTGAAATCCTGTCTCTACTAAAAATACAAAAATTAGACAGGCATGGTGGCGCACGCCTGTAATCCCAGCTACTCAGGAGGCTGAGGCAGGAGAATTCGCTTGAACCCAGGAGGCAGAGGTTGCAGTGAGCCGAGATCACACCACTCCACTCCAGCCTGGGCAACAGAGTGAGACTCCATCAAAAAAAAAAAATTAGGATCATAACGTTTTATACAGATTTGATTACATAAAATATTTAAAATATCTAATATCACTAGAGATTTAATATCACTAACTTGTAAAGAATTCAAGTGAATTACAGTAATCTTTAGCACTGCAAATCAAAAATAATCTAGAAAATTCCAATTGGTCAGCATCTGTAGTCAAAGTAGAGTACTAAAGAGAATTTTGGAAGCACTAAGTATATGAAGATAATTTGATTAATGTATAAGTACACTAAAAAGAATGAAAAAACTGTACAATATGATTTCTGAATTTCCAGTATTTTTTCAATTAGCATGTATTACTTTTATAGTGAGGAAAACAAAACAATGATAGTTTTTTGGGGTTTTTTTTAATAGTGAGAGTAACTGGCCCTGGTCACATTGGCTACTGAACACAGAAGAAGCAATCAACAACTATGACACATGTGATTTTCCAGCATAATGGCCTGAACCTCCTTCCATACAGCAGCTGATGAACAGTAGCAAAACTTCTAGGCAAAATTTCAGCTTCAGTTGTGTTGCCACCTTTGTACAGTAGTGTTTATTTATACAAATATTATAATACTTTTCTGAATTTTGTCCTTATTGTACAAAATTGAGAGAAAATAAAGGGCAAAAAAGAAGTATTCATATTAACGCTAAGTAACATAGGTGTCATAAACTCAATACAGTTGGCAAAAAGGATGGAACTCAACAGAAGTTCCAAAAGTGGTCAACTTTAAGCTCTATTCATATACTCATTGAACCTATATACATATTTTTAAAAATTACGGAATATTTCATATTTTTAGTCAATTAGTTCAATGTTTAGATGTGCCTTCATATACATTTTCAAAAATGCATTATGAATGAAAAGTTAGGTTTCCTCTAGTAAACTTGGCAGTAAATAATTTAATGATATTCACAATGAAGAACTTGATGTCAAAGAACATTAACAAAAGACAATTCTGGTTTTGAGTTCCAAGACAGAATTTTTATTTCCCAAACATATTATCATCTTTTCATAACTATTTTGTATATGATGTTTATTCACAAGTACACAAGGAAAAAATTTCACAGGACAAGAAGTTAGGTTAACTACAGATCTCAAAGAATCAAAATATAACAAATGCCTCTAAAAGTACTATTTTTGTTGGCTTTCATACCTTTGAGGTCACAGCAGAAAGCACTAAATCCTAAAAGGATCATCTTTTTTTGAATACTAGAGATGTTGCTGAAACTTGAAGTCACAATTATGAACAAAGATTAAACAATAACACAAGTGCATTTTTGTCACCTAGCATAGCCACAGCCTCACTTTTAATCAGTATTTGTTATAAACATAAACAAACAAATGATGCACAAAGTATGTGTTTATGTATGGTGTGATTGAAAGGGAGGGAATGTGCATGTAGTGAGAATCCCATTAAAAGAAAAATCCAAGTAAACTGGTGCCGGTTAAGTGATGTTTTAATCCAATTTTAAAAGACATTTCCAGTAAAGCATTGTGCCATATTAAACTTGAAAATATAGTTTTACCAATTTTGTGGCTTTGGGGTGGTAATTATCAAAAACTATGTTCTTCAAAAACTACACATATATGTTTACAGCAGAAACAACTATTTACCCACCAATAGCCATTCTCCCCCTACAGAATGCCCAAGCTTGAAAATGGCTGCCCAGCTAAAGACTACATTGCCTGCCTCTCTTTCAGCTTAGTGTGGCCATGTGACTTAAGTTCTGAATGTCAGTAGACATTAAGTATGTTCCTCCTCACTTCCAGAAAGGAATGTATATGCTCCTGCCCCTTTTTTTCTTTATTCTTCCTGGCTGGGAGATGGAAACAGCTAAAGCAATTACCTTGTGCACAGAGACGGAAGTCACATATTAAGGATGCAGAGGTACCCTGACAGCCTTCGGGTTTCTCCCTCTGGTCTGTGTCGTGTGAAATGAAAATAAACCATTTGCTTGAAACCACTATATATTGGAATTTTTCGTTACCGTCTTACAGTCTATTCCTTAGTTATTACATTTTTCAGGTAAGTTTTATAATAGCTTCAGTTAGAAACAGCAGAAAAATCAATAAACATGAAAATGATGAACCCATCCAAATCTACATATTCATTTGATACATATAAGGCCTGCAGAATTTTCAACAAAGCAACTATCAAACATAAACAATAAAATAAGGAGTTATTAGCTATGTAGGAATAAGAAAAGAAAAAACAAAAATAAGAGATGTTATGGAAGCTCCTGTGGCATACTTAATTATGTCAAAAGTTACAATATCTTATTTCAGGTATGGTTATTCATTAAACAATACATAATATTCTCTTCTGTGCTCTTTTATGATAGACAGATGTGGCCACAGAGCACAAAGGAAAGTCCCTCATGAAAACAAAGGTTACTATACTTAACAAATTCTAAACAGGAAGTCACATCGCATGCCACACAGGGTCACAGGGGAAACACTAGGTTTTGGTTAGGTGGCAGAAAAACAAGAGCAAGCGGAGTGCCTAGGCCAAAGCATTTACTGGGGTTTCCCAGCGAAAGGCAATGCAGGGCAAGGTAAATGGTAAAGGATTACTTAGTTTGAATAATTCCAGTGACTTTTGGGCTATAAGAATGGGTCTCTAGCTTCCAGGTACCTGGCCCTGGGGAAGATAAGGTAGAGGAATATTGCCTCTTGGGTGTATGGGCCAGATAGAAAAGGAGTGTGGATTGGTTAGAGCACATATCATAGGCATGCTCCCAGCTGAGTTTTTGGCTAATTCTAAGAATTGGCTAACCTCTGGAGGGGTAATCTCTTCCCAGCCAGAAAGGTTTTTTAAGATGTCAAAACATCATAATATACAGAAAAATAAAAATACATATATAATACAACCCTATATTTTAGCTAGCTATGTTTGGTCTTATTCAGTGCCTGTCAAAAACATTCCTAGGAGTTTGACTGCCTAAACTAGAAATACATCTACCAATGGCAGAATGCAAACCTTACTACCAACACATAAAATAAAACTACAAACACAGAAGTTCTCAACTATGATGGTTCAATTTGAGATATTTCAACTTTATATAATGATGCAAAAACAACATGCATTCAATAGAAATCATACTTTGAATTTTCCTGGACTAGCAATATGAAGTATGATACTATCTCTCTATGCTGGGCAGGTGCAGTGAGCTGCCGCTCTCAGTCAGCCACACAATCATGAGAGTAAACAACCAATATTGTACAGCGTACTGTGTTGCCAGCATTTTCTGGATATTGTGTTTTGGGGTTTCCAATGTCATTATGTCTATAAAATGCCCATTTTCAACTTATGATATTTCAACTTAAGATGGGCTTATCAGGATGTAAACCCATCTTAAGGAGTATTTGCACATCAATTCACCTTCCTTATTATCATTTTTTTTTTTTTACAGACAGGATCTCACTATATTGTCCAGGCTAGACTCAACCTCTTAGAATCAAGCTATCCTCCTGTCTTCCTAACTCAGCCACTCCACTCCAGTAACTGGAACTACAGGCATGCCCCACCACACCTGACTGTTCATTCTAAACGAAAAACAGAATCCAGATAAAAATGATAAACACACGTATTTAAATTTGAAAGCAAATAAATAAATATAATTTAAAATTATTATTTCAAATGTTTACCCATTTTTTTTCATCTCATGGCCTTTTTTTTTTTTTTTTTTTGAGACAGAGTCTTACTCTGTCACCCAGGCTAGAAATGCAGTGGCACAATCACAGGTCACTGCAACCTTAAACTCCTCAGCTCAAGTGATCCTTCTGCCTCAGGCTCCTGAATAACTAGGACTATAGGCATACACCATCACACCTGGCTAATTTTTAAATTTTCTGTAGAGATAGGCTCTCACTATGTTGCAGAGGCTGGTCTTGAACTTCTGGCCTCAAGCCACCCTCCTGCCTTGGTCTCCCAAAGTTCTGAGATGATAGATGTGAGCCACCATGCCAAGCACCACAAGTCTCAAGTTTTAAATGCCCTGCAATGTCTGGGACAGTATTCTACCCCAAAAAAGAACTGCCCAGCCCCAAATACCAACAGTACCTTTATTGAAAATCACTTACCTATAACATGTATACCTTATAGTCTTTCTTAGCCAATACTAACCATATAAAATTTCAGTACCAGTAATCAAATGTTCAAGATGTATCTATTAATGAGGTTTTAAAGAAAGTACTTTAAGAATATAAACCAGCTTTTAACATTAGTGTTTATCCAGGTATAGAAAGATTAATGCTCATAATAACATTTTCTTAACAAAGAAACCATCTGAGGCTTTTTGAAAAAGCAGTAAAATACCCTTTTAGAAGTCTATGAAAAAGGAAGAATAAATGATTAAATTAGCTCTATGCGTACATATTATAAGTATACATAAAACACAGATATATAGAGATAATACATTTAAATAAATTTAAATAAACATACACAGATATATATATACACACATCAAAGACCCATACACAAATTAGATAGATAGAATAGACAGACAGATGTACTAAGAAGCCACGATACTCCTATTCCTGCTTATTCACAGACTACAAAAGAAAGGGGTGCTTTACCTCTTTTTCAGTATATGACATATATAGCTTCAGTATATGGTACATACAGTTTCTCATATTTCTCGTATTGCCCTTGTTAAAATGGTCAACTAGCTTTGTGTGAATACACACACACACACACAGACACATACCTATATACATGTGCCGTGTGTGTATATATGTGTGTGTATTCACACAAATACATATGTATCTGTGTGTGTGTGTAGTTATTTTGAAATAAATTATATGAATCAGATTCTGAATAAAAATGGCCAAAGTATATGCAAGTATAGTGTTGGTCTTTTTACAGTATCATCTAAATTTAATCCTCACAATAACCTAGGAAGTGGTAATAATCCTGATATAAAGAAAAACGTGAAGCCCTGAGTGGTTAAATGACTTATCTGTTCCATAAGGCACTATTTTTATATTTTACCAGCATATTATCAATGTCTAATCATGCCTGGTACATGATAAATATGTAATAAGTACTGGATGGATGTTGGTGAGAATTATACACAATAATAACAGATTATAAACACGTAAATAATGTTTTCTCTAACTCCAAAGTCTGAAACAATTTAAGAATTTCATAGTATCTAATTCAATACCCTTCAAATAATAAAACATAAAACATTCACCCTTTCAAATATTTGAGTCCCTACTAAATTTGAGTCTGCCAGTCACATCATGTAACAAGTATGTATAAACTATATCATTGCCTTTTATTGGCTTGCTTCATTCAAATATTTAATGTGTATCAACTTTCCAAAACTAGTAAGATGAATGAGTCACTACAAATTAGGGTACTTCACAAGATGAAAAGAAGAAGTAGTTGAATACATAAACATAAAATTGGATTTATTTCTAGCAGCAGGATTGAATCTAAAATAAATTGAGAAGTCAGATTTTCTTTTTACATCTAAAGTTCACTCTTGGTGGTCCACTGACCAGAGCCCTCCTGGTACCTGAATACTGACTTCTATACAACCATTATAACCATAACACCCTCCTTCTTAGTTTTTTGCAATGGAAAAGCTACATCACTACTGTACTGGAAGTTAAAATACCTAGATTTTGATCCTGAGCTTGTTATTCAATTGTTGTGAACATCTGACAATTCATTTTCCCTCACTGAGTTCCAATTGCCTTGAATATAGAGTTAGGAAGCTTAATTAGACCAGTGTTTCCCAAACTTGCCTAATTATAATAACCTGAATCAATACTCTGAGCCCCTTGTTAAGAATATAGACTCCTGAGCCCCACCCCAAACATACTTGGGGCAGAAGGAAGGGTAAAAGGAAAAAATTAAATTACAATGATGTAAATTTCATTAATTGTATGCAGTTTCAGTATATTAACTTGACTTTAAGCCATACCTATGCCCCAAAAGTTATCAATTACTAAACATTTTTGAATCTGAAAAAGTGGCCTAAATATCATTCCTAAAGAACATTGCAAAGGCTTTACTGGCAGCTATTTCAGCCTACTGGGCTATTTTAATTTAATTGTTTGTTTTCTCATAATCTGGATAGTCAATCTCTGGATGGCTAAAGTAGACACTCCTATACTAGGGAATTCCTTACACATGAAAATACAACTACAAAAGAAATTTCCAACATCTTTATTCTTTAAAATTACCACAACCATTAAACAACTAAACAATTAAATAACTAAATCATTTTCATTAAAAAGTATCTTCCAATTTTTAAAATGTTTCTAACATAATGGAATAAACAAAATAGTCTTACCTAATCGTAATTCTCCAAAATTGCCACATCCAATTTTTTTTCCAACTCTAAAGTTAGGTCCAACCATTAAAACTCCAGACGATGAAGACCCAGTTCCTCGAGTGTTGTGTCCCGATCGACCACTAGGTCGTGCCATTCTATCATCTGATTTGTCCTTGTCTTTCTTTTTATTTTCCATATCAAGTTTGCGGTACTCCACTTTGAATTCTTTAATCAAGACAAGCACACTGAAACAGGGTATTGTGAAAATAGGTACATCACTAGGTAACTGTACCAGATGGGTAATGTTAACATTCAAATTGCAGTAGGTAGTCAATTAACTGGAGCATGTTCATCCCATTCGTAAAATTTTTCTTAGTGTCTTTTCAGCAAAACATGTCTTCAAAATTATCTTTTCAATGATGTGAGCTGATATTGATAGAGAGCTAGAATATTAAGAAAAGGAAATTAGTCAACTAAGAATTTTAAAATATATGTCTGGGAAATTAGATAACATAACAAAAGCTTAGGCAAGAATTACTGCTATCTATTGATGCCCATTGAAATCAAACCACAGTATACTTTTAAATTAACCACTACCCTTTATTTATATACCTTAATAACAAAGATACGAAACAAAGATATCAGGGATTCAATTACTTCTTAAAAATTAAAGGAACAAAATTATACTGTTTCATAAATCAACATACATTCACTAATATAAACCTCCCAACTTAAAATTACCTCAATTAGACAAAAAGTACTCAAAAAATTCCAGTAAGTCAACATAAGATTTTCAATTTAAAAGTAGAAAGAGAATGAATTATAAAAATAAAATACCTTAATAAAAATATATTCCCCATGTTCATATACTTAATAATTTTCAAAGTCTTTTTTAAATATATATTATCATATGATTTTCATTTATTCAAGTATTACCTTATAATTACACATGGGATTGGAGCATAGAACTGACAATATCAAGAACATTCTTCCCACCCCTCAAAGAAAACAATTAATTCTTATATAACATTTAACGTGGGCCTTAAAAACATAAATGTAATTTCACAAGACTGTGAAATGTTGACAGGCATCAACCTTATCAGATGCAGAAATTAGGTATTAAATTTCTAACATGCAGATAAAAACATTAAAGCTCAAAATATTTTTCAAGGCTTTTGGAAGAGTCTGCCCCATTCATAGTCTCTGGGAATTGCAGTGATCAAATGTACCTTAATTCTGTGGTAATTCTGCACCTTTACAGGATTTCCCTACTTTTGTTTGAACAAATTGAGTGGGCTATCATTCGTTGCTATTAAAGAAGTTATAAATTCAAAATATAGTCACTAATGAAGAAACAAGGATTGATATCAAATACTTATTCCTATTACAAAAATTTTCTAATTATATAATGCAACCATAAAAAGGGTTGAAACGGACAGTATTTTCTGATTAATTTTCAGCAACCCCCAAATATACAATTACTGTTACAAGTAGTGACTAACTGGGGCCGGTGGTGTAGGCAATAAGGGAATTTACCAAGACAGTTGGTAAAGAAAGGCAGGCTTATTAGAAAAAGTAGGAAAACACTTTGCAAGAAAGCAATGGGCAGATGAGCAAGAGAGGAGCTGACTGAAAAGAGACTAAGGCTTGGTGGGGATTTTATAGGATCGTTCTTGTGCTGGAGAGGGCTATGTGCAGTACTGGTAACGCCAAGGTTGCAGTGAGCTAACCTGCACTTTTCTATTAGCAGAGGGTCTGGTGATAAGTTGCGTATAGGAAGACTGTGAGTTTTTTGCACAGGAGGACTGTGAGATTTTTGCACAGGAGGGCTATGTGTCCTGGACTGTGAAGAAAGGCAGACTTACAGTTTATCTGTTTTTTCTTTTTATGCTCCCCTGCTCCCACCAGCCTGACTCCTTTTCCCTAATTAGGATTCCACCATTAGTCCTAACACCCAATCTATTTATGAAGTTTCTTGTTTTATTTGCCATATTCTTATTTGCAGATGAAACTGAGTTCCTGTTTACTCTGCTTCTAGCCATGACAGAGTAACTATACTGAACATCTCTGCCTGTTGTAAACAAGTAGAAAGCTGGACAAAACATATGAAGCACCTGTTTTTAAGCATCAAATAAAAGGCAGCACAGACTGTGATCCCTTAGAAAAAACACAAAAGGTGAGTCGCACCTTCATCCAAGCTCTCTGGCTAGGAGCAATTTCCTGACCACAGCACAAAGAGGTGAGGCTCAGGCAACACACAGTGATCACAGATCAGAATTTGCAGCTGTTGAAGTAAATGGAATTTGTAGTACACAGTATCAAAAATGAAGGAGTTTTGCAGTGGAGTGGTGCGGTAAGGTGGTGGTAGGGCAGAAGGCTAGGCTACATGTGTACAAGGGAATAGTCTAAAAAAACCGAACAGAAAATAGTTACTACAGTGTTAAATGAAGAATGGAGACACTAGAAGCTGCACAGAACTGAGAGACTCTAAAGTTCCTATTCAGTCATAGCAGAAGAACCTCACTAATATCCCAGGCATTCAGCTCAGAGGCCACAAAAACTCTTAAAAGTAAGGACCATACCCGACATAAGGCCTACTCTAGACTGTCCCAACTGAAGTCTAAAACTAAACCTAGATAGGATTCAGAGTAGCTCTGAGCACATTAACTGCATTCCAGAACAAAACTCAAGTCTCAAAAAGACAAAAAGCCAGACTCTCAACAACACAGAATTTCCAATATCCATGACACAACTAAAAATTACCAAACATGTAAAGCAGCATCAAATGTAACCCATGGTCAAGAAACAAAGCTGTCACAGGAGACAGACTCCAAGATGACCCTGATGTTTGAATTAGAAGATACGACTTTAACACTAGTAAATAGCTGTTAGAGTCCTATTTAACCAGAGAAAAAGAAGAGGGCGGAAAAAAAAAAAACGAATAATAGCTAAAAACTCCCCAAATTTGGTAAACACACACACACACACACACACACACACACACACACACTAAATCTAGGCATATCACAAACTGCTAAAATCCAAAAATTTGAAAAATCTTGAAAGCAGAGAGAGAAAAAAATACACGACATACAGCAGAACTAACTTCTTATCAAAAACAATGGAGGCCCAAAAGAAAATGGAAGGATATTTTCAAAGCAATGAAAGGGGGAATAAAAACTTTCAACCTAGAATTATTTTTCCCCTCTTTTTGCCACAGGTGTTGATCAATTCAGAATTCTACATCCAGTAATATTATTCTTCAAAACAGGGAGAAAAAAAGCCATTTTTGGATGAAGGGAAGCTAAGAATTAGTTGCCAGCAGACCTGCACAACAAGAAATGCTTTTAAAATAGTCCTTTAAGCTGAAGTAAATCACATAATATCAGATAGAAATTTGAAACTTTAAGAAGAAATCAAGAGCAATGAAACTAGGAAATGCATGAGTATTAATTTCCTTTAAAGATAAATTACTATTAAAGCATAAACAATTTCTTAGTGTCATATATAACAGGTAGAAGTAAAATATATGACAACATAAATGGCAAGGAGGGGGAGTTGTAAATGGAACGACACTGTTTTAAGATTCCTTCTTGAAAATTATTGAGAGAAGATTTTAAGTCTTCTCACCACATACAAAAAAAGTAAGGTAATGCATATGTTAATTAGCTCTATTTAGCTATTCCACAATGTATACTTATTTCAAAATATCATGTTCTACACAATAAATATATATAACTTTTATTTGTCAAATATATAAAAAGAAAACAGATGGGGAAAATATTCTATTTGTGAAGAATTATGTGGTTCCACATTCATTCTAGGTAGCCAATGATAAGTTAAAACGCACATTTTAATACCTAGTTCAAACAATAAAAAATTAGTTACAATAGGAATAGCTAAAAAAACAGTACAAGAAATAAAATGGAAGACTAAACATTACTTGGTTGAAACAACAGAAGAGAAACAAAAGACATACAAGATAAAACAAATAGCAAGACAGTGGACTTTAAAACATACATAAAATGAAATAGACCAGATTTTCCCCCAAAAAGAAAAAAATTGTCAGACTATATAAAAAAGCAAGACTCAACTACAAACTGTTTACAAGAAACTATTTTAAATACAAAGACACAGCAGTGGCTCACAACTGTAATCCCAGCACTTTGGGAGGCAGAGGTAGGTGATTCGCTTGACCTCAGGAGTTCAAGACCAGCCTGGGCAACATGGTGAGAGCCTGCCTCTAATAAAAATACAAAAATAATAAGCTGGGAGTGGTGGCACACACCTGTAGTCCCAGCTACTTGGGAGGCTGAGGTGGGAGAATGGCTTGAACCTGGGAGGCAGAGGTTGCAGTGAGCTGAGATTGTGCCACTGCACTCCAGCCTGGGCAGCAGAATGAGACCCTGTCTCAAAATAAATAAATG
Organism: Homo sapiens; assembly: GCF_000001405.40. Classification (NCBI taxonomy): domain Eukaryota; kingdom Metazoa; phylum Chordata; class Mammalia; order Primates; family Hominidae; genus Homo; species Homo sapiens. Next base: position 123,541,432 of record NC_000005.10, on the reverse strand, counting down.
AACAAATACAACTATACAGATAGACTGAAAGTTAAATAAAAGAAAAAGATATACTGTGTAAATAGCACATATAAGAAGCTTGTGAGGCTGTATTATTATTATACAAACTGGACATCAAAACAAAGGATTATCTACAAATTTACAGAGGTGCATTTCATAATGATAAAAATATCAATTCAACAGAAAGACATAAAAACCATAAATATGAATGAGCAAAACGAGGCAAAACAAAACTAAAAAGAAAAAAGGCAATCATTGTTACAAATTTTTTAATAGCATGATTTCAGTAATCAACAAGGTATAAGACAAAATATCAGTATGTATATGGTAGATCTAGATAATACCATCAACTACCTTGAGCTAACTGCCATGTATAAAATACCGCAAAATAAAATTCCCTTTCAATGCTCACCAAGAAAGATCATATGCTGTGCTATAATTTAAATCTCAAGTCACTAAAATATTACAGAGTATATTTAGTCAAAATAGAATTAAATTAGAAATCGCCAGACTTGTTGGCTCATGCCTGTAATTCCAGCACATTGGGAGGCCAAGGTGGGTATATATCACTTGAGGTCAGAAGTTCGAGACCAGCCTGGCCAACATGGTTAAACATGGTTAAAAATACAAAAATTAGCCAGACGTGGTGGCACATGCCTGTAGTCCCAGCTGCTCGGGAGGCTGAGGCAGCAAAATCGATTGAACCTGGGAGGCGGAGGTTGCAATGAGCAAAGATCATGTCACTGCACTGCAGCCTGGGCAGCAGAGCAAGACACTGTCTCAAAAAAATAAAAAATAATTAAATTAGAAATCGACAGCTGTATAGCATCTAGAAGAGTCCCAAAATTTGAAAATTAAACACACATTTAAATAATTCAGGAGTTGAAAAAAAAATCACAAGAGAAATTAGAAAAAAATCTAATTTGCAATTCTAATGCTTAGCAGAAAACTAGAAGCTTTAAATGCCTATATTAGAGAAAGTTTTTAATCGGTGATCTGGACCTTCTTCTTAAAATAGCTAGAGAAAAGAGCAAATCAGACAAGAGTTGAGGAAGTACTTCAATAGAGTTATCACTAATACAGACTTATAGGAAAATATAGTCTTAATGAGCAAAAAATGTAGTCTTAATGAGCAAAAACAGGAATTCTCAGCTGATAAACGGAAAAATAAAACAGAAAAAAAAAGAGACCCTCAAATAAAAACTGTCATATCTGAAATGAAAAACTTCACTAGATACACTCAGTGGCAAACTGGATAAAGCAGAAGAAAGTGTCAATAATTTCCAAAGAAATTATCCAGAGAGGAAAATCAACAAAACAGAAAATAGAACACAACAGAAAAAATAAAGACAAAAACTGATTCTTTGAAAAAGGTCAACGAAATTTCTAACTCTTAGCAAAAATGATCAAGAACAAAAGAGAATATACAAATTACCAATAAGAACAATGAAAGAAGGGATATCAAAATGATCCTATAAATACTAAAGGACAAAGGACTATGAGTAACTTTAGGCCAATAAATTTAATACAGATGAAATGGACAAATCCCTTGAAAAATGTAACACAGGGATACAAGGTAAAACAAAATATCAAAAGTTCCATATCTATTTTTAAAACTTAATCTATTAAAAAAAAGTATTCCCATAAAGATGATTTCACTGGCAAATTTTATCAAATATTAGGAAAAAGTAATACTGTTCTAAAGCTCTTTCAGGACACAGGAATAATCAATTTACTTTGTGAGATCAGCACAATCCTAATACAAAAGCCTGACAAAAACAATTCGAGCAAAGAAAATTAAACCTGCATTTCTCATGAGCATAGATACAAAAATTCTTCACAACATAAGCAAATATGTAGAAAGTTTAACAAATAATAATCAAACAGAGTTTAATACTAGAAATGTACCACTGACTTAACATTTGAAATCAATGCACTACCAAACTAACAGAAAAAAGAAAACCCACAGGGATAATCTTTTTTTTTTTTTTTTTTAATCTGCTCTTTCACCCAGGCTGGAGTGCATTAACACAATCACAGCTCACTGCAGCCTTGACTTGCTCAGGCTCTGGTGATTTTCCCACCCCAGCCTCCCGAGTAGCTGAGACCACAGACACACACCACCACACTCAGCTAATTTATTTTTTTGTACAGTCAAGGTTTGCCATGTTGCCCAGGCTGGTCTCAAACCCCCAGGCTCAAGCAATATACCCGCCTCAGCCTCTCAAAGTGCTGGCATTACAGCCCAATGAGATCATTTCTACAGACAAGAGATTACGTTTGACAAAATTCAACCCACAACCAGGCGTGGTGGCTCATGCCTATAACTCCAGTACTTTGGAAGGCAAAGCCTGGAGGATTGCTTGAGGCCAGGCCAGGCTGAGAAACAAAGCAAAACCCCGTCTCTACAAAAATGCATTTTTAAAAAATAATAATTTGAAATGGATCATAAACCTAAATACAAATACCAGAACCATAAAGAGGGGTATCTTTGCTATCTTAAGGTAAGTAAAAATTTCTTAGAAGACGCTAAAATCACTAATCATTAAAAATCTTAATAGTCATCAAAATTAATCATTTCTCATCAAATGATAGCTTTAAAAAACAAATACAAACACTTCCAAATGGGCTAAATTATTTTATATGAGTGTGTATAAATACGCTGCAACTGAACAATAAGAAAAACAACTTTTAAAAAAATTATTATACTTTAAGTTCTGGGATACATGTGCAGAACGTGCAGGTTTGTTACACAGGTATACATGCGCCATGGTGGTATGCTGCACCCATCAAACCGTAATCTACATTAGGTATTTCTCCTAATGCTATCCCTCTCCTAGCTCCCCACTCCCCGACAGGCCCCAGTGTGTGATATTCCCCTCCCTGTGTCCATGTGTTCTCACTGAACAACTGCATTTTTTTAAATATAGAAACGATCTGAATAGACTCTTTTCACAAAGAATATATACAAATTGCCACAAAGCATATGAAGCACTGCTCAGTATCATTACTTGTCATGCAAACATAAATTAAAACCATAATGAAATACCATTTCACACCCATTAAAATAGCTAACATTTAAAAGACTGACAATATCAAGTGTTGGTAAGAATGAAGAACTGGAACTCTCAAAAAAGTGCTGGTGGGAGTAAAAAATAGTATGACTTTGGAAAAAAGGTTGACAGTTTCTTATAAAGTAAAATATACACCTATCCTATGACCTAGCAATGCCACTCTTAGATGTTTACCCAAGGAAATAAAAATGTATGTTTACAAAAAGACTTGTACACTAATGTTTACAGCAGCCTCACTTATAGTAATAGTCAAAAATTGGAAACAATCCAAATGTGCATTAACAGAAGAATAAACAAATTGGTATAGTCATATAATAGATGACTACTCAGCATTAAAAAGGAACGAACTGCTGATACATGCAACAATATGGTGAATTTCTCAGATATTAGACTGAGGAAAAGAAGTCAGGCATAAACAATTACCTATTACATGATTCTAGTTATATTTGGCTCTAGAACCAGCAAAACTAAGCTGTGGTGATAGAAATCCTATCAGCGGTTAAGTAGGGTGGTAGGAAATTTGACTGTAAAATGTCATGAGGAAACTTTCTGCAGGAAAGAAATGTTCTATATCTTAATTGGGAGGAAATACATGGATACATACATTTGCCAAAACTCATCAAACTATATTTAAAATCTATGCATTGTATGTAAATTGCATCTCAAAATATGATTTTTAAAAACAACTGCCCCCATACACACATAAAAAACTGCGTGTTTCATCTCAACATGTATGTTTTCCCCAGCACACCATTACTATAAAACTTAGCTTTTATGCTACGTTTTGTACAAATCTATGGGGTACATATACAATTTTGTTACATACATAGATTGCATATGGTCAACCTCAGGGCTTTTACCATCACCCAAAACATGTACATTGTGCCCACTAATTAGTTTCTCATCATCCCACTCCCTCCCACCCCCTCACCCTTCCAAGTCTCCACTGTCTATCATTCCACTCTCTAAGTCCATGTATAAACATTTTTAGTACCCACTTAGAAGTGAGAACATGTGATATCTGACTTTCTGTTCCTAGCTTAAGATAATGACCTCCAGTTCTATCCATGTTGCTGCAAAAGACATGATTCACTCTTTCTTATGGCTGAATAGTATTCTATTATGTATATATACTACATTTTCTTTACACATTCATCCTTTGATGGGCACTTAGGTTGATTCTATATCTTTGCTATTGTGAACAGTGCTGCCATAAATGTAGGAGTGCAAGCATCTTTTTGACATGTGGATTTCTCTTCCTTTGGGTAGATACCCAGTAGTGAGATTGCTGGATCCAGTGGTAGTTCTATTTTCAGTTATTTGAGAAGTCTCCATACTGTTTTCCATATAGGTTGTACTAATTTACATTCCCACCAACAGTGTATAGGAGTTCCCTTTTCTCTGTATCCTCGCCAACATCTGTGATTTTTTGTCTTTTTAGTAACAGTCATTATGATTGAAGAAAGATGATATCTCATTGTGGTTTTAATTTGCATTTCCCTGATGATTTGTGATGCTGAATATTTTTTATTATGCCATTGGCCATGTGTGTATCTTCTTTTGAAAAATGTCTATTCATGTCCTTTGCCCACTAATAGGATTATTTCTTCTTCTAATGCCACTTTTTTAACAATTAATGAACTTAATATTTTATTTTAGAAGTTTTATTTGACATATAATTGTACATATTTATGGGGTACATGGTGATGTTTCAATACACATACTATATAGTGATCACATCAGAGTAATTAGCATAGGCATCATCTCAAACATTTATGATTTATTTGTGTTGGGAACATTCAATATACTCCTTCTAGCTATTTGAAACTATGCATTACTGTTAACTATAGTCCCCCTACAGTGGTATGGAAAACTAGAACTAATTCCTCCTATCTAGCTTTAAGAAGCTTTTTTTTTTAAAAAAAAAAAAAAAGCCCTTCATATTTTTTCAATTTAGAAGGAAATAATTTTCTTTTGGCAAATTTTCATGTTATTTTAAATATATAGCTTTTTATTTATGTTTAATTAATCAAATATCAAAAAAAGTATGCTACATGTAATAAGAATTCCAGTATTACAATGAAGTAAAAATATCCCTTGGGATATCCATACCCCTTGTCTTCCATCCCACCTGCCCTTGTCAGAGAGAATCATTACTTTTCATTTGATGTGTATGCTCCAAAGCTTTTAATGCTTGTGCATGCATATAAATACTTATGTACAGAAATATGTGTAGGTGGATTGGTTCATTTTACATAAGAGGTCCATATGAAGCCTCTGGAGAACCAAAACTGTTCCACAATAAAAGCATTTAAAAGCACATAAAGGACTTTTGCCTTTTCCCTTTCCTATTCCTTCCCCTGACATGAACCCTAGAGGAGCAAGGGGCAGCTAATGAATGGGAGAATGCAAGAAAGAAGAATGAAGAAACAACAACTACTTCCCTTCCTCAAAAGAGGATCCAGAGTCAAGTGCCAAGTCTGAAACTAGGAGGGAGAGAGAGGCAGAAAGAAGTGATGAGTTAGCTTAAAATTGAACATCAAAATTTGAACGGGTCATTTTGATATCTGAAAAGCAATCCATTGAGAAAACAGAACTATTCTTATAAAGATACATGACAAGAAATCAGTGAAAATGGACTAGGATATCATTCATGAGTCAAGAAGTGAAAATAATAAAAGATGTAGATGACAACAGTGGTTAGGGAGAAACTAAGCCATTTCCTATTTTATTCCATCTAGTTTAGTACATTCAGGTAACTGTTCATAAACTTGTAATAATGTATTTTTTTACTTTTCAAAAATACTTTTAACAAATTAGAATTTTAATTAAAATATTTTCTTAGTAAGAGTCTTAGTATGTTATAGTATTTTCCCTACCATAGCACCTATCAAGCAGTATTAGAATTGCCTACATGTTTCTCTATACCAGGAGTCATGAAACTACAGCCTGCAAGCTATTTGCCTATTTTTATAGAACCTTAGACCTACGAATAGTCTTTACATTTTTACATAGTTGGGGGTGGGGGATTATAAGAATAATAATATTTTATAACATGCGACAATGATAAGAAATCCAAGTTTAGTCTTCATAAATAAAATGGTATAGGAATCCACGCTAATTTGTTTACATGTTGTTATGGATGCTTTTGCGCTACAAGAGAAGAGTTGAATAGTTGTGACAGAGACCATATGTGGTGCTCTTATCACTTCACACTGCTGCTCAGAGAATCATAGCAGTGGCACAGTTATAACTTGACAGTAGTGCCACACACATAACCTACCGCTACATCGTACTTATTTTTTATTACCAATGCATATGGATCATGTCAAAACCAATAGAGAAAGTGGACTTTCACGGTCGTGCTTTTAAAGCACAATGGAGTTATTCGTTCTCAAATTAGATGAGAAAGCATTGTGTTTATTATACAATGGCACTATGCTGAACAACACAACACACTTGGACATGACCAAATGTATTAGTTTTCTATTACTGTGTTACAACTTATTAAAATCTTAGAGGTTTAAAACAACACAAACATTATCTCGCAGTCTCTGTGGATCAAAGCCTGGGCACAGCTTAGCTAAGTGATCTACTCAGGCTGTATTCAAGGTATTGGCTAGACACTTTCTCATCTGGAGGTTCAAGTGGGGAAAAAATCCTCTTCCAAGCTCCTTCAGACTGTGGGCAGAATTCATATGCTTGCAGTGTATAACTGAGAGCCCCAGCTTTTTGCTGGCTGTCAGATGGAAGCCACCCTCAGTTTCTAGAGGTTGCCTAGAGTTTCTAGAAGCTACCTATAGTTTGCCATGTGGGCTTCTCCAAAATGGCCGCTTATTTCTTCAAGCCCTCAAGAAAAATCTCTAGCTCTGATTTTCTAAGACTGAGTATTATATAAGGTAGCATAACCTTCTCTTATACCTAAGTCCCAAGCTTTGTATCCTGCTCCAACACACCAATTCTCCCAGGTCTTGGAATCCTTGATAGCTGCTTCCAGACCTCTTTATATTATAAAGAACATAGAATTAAACAAAAGTAGTCCTAGAATCCCATTTAGCTCCTATGTAGTTGTACAGCATTGAGCAAGACACTTAATCTGTCTAAGCTCATTTTAATAATTATAAAATAGAAGGATTAGACTTGGAAATTTCTAAGGGTATTCTTATATAATATGCAGTTTTATAATTGCCTGTCGTATTTGATGACAAGGGCTCTAGTATACGTAACTTTATGATCCCTGAACCTAGCACACTGCCTGACACCTAGGACAGTTAATACATACTGTAGATGAATAAATGAGTTCTTTCTATCTCTAAACATTTCTAGTCAATAAACCCCATCCGTGCACAGGATCCCAAGAATTTTATGAAGAAAAAAAACAGCAGAGAAAACAGAACAGCAAAAGAAACCTAAAGCATTTACCCAGAAATATTAGCCTAGTCCCTCAATCACAAATATAAACTGACAATCAAGCACCACTAGATACATCAGGAAAGCTAACAATATGAAAAACACCCTCTTCCAAAAAATAAAAAATAAAAAAAAGAAAAAACCTCTGGGGGAAGCAGATCATATGAAGAACAGAAGAGAACTTACTTTAAAAACAGCAGCAAAAATTGAAACAATTAGCCCCCAAGGGCTTTTGAGAAGTATAATAACACATAAATATATAAGAAAATAATGCTGCATTAAATGGAATAAACAAGAACAAAGTGGGGGAATAATCCTAATATTTAAAACAAAAATATAAAGACATTAAAAAATAAAGAAAAAAAGACGGAAACAATCCAATACCTCCAACTTCCAACTAATAATAAAAATTAATAGGGAGGACAGAGAAAATTAAGAAAAAGAAATCATAAAAGAAAATTTTCCTAAGCTGGGGCCAAAAGGGACCTCAGAAGGTTAAGAAGGAAAGAAAAGCAACTCTATCATACTACTTGATTCAAAAGCTTGTCATAATACCGTACGATAGATAACTGATTTTCAACTTTTAAATTCAATCTTAGCAAAAAGAAAAAATGCAAGATAAAAGTCCTGTAAAAATATAAATTTAACCAACCTTGACAGTGTTAAAATAATACTACAATTGAAACTGACAGAAGCTCAGCTGTTAATGGGAAATAGGTAAGGTAAAAGGAAGGACGGGGCAAGAATATCCACATCCTGCAAAGTACAGAGTTAAGAGATAACCTAAAAATTTACTAAAACAAGAAATAGAGATGTAAGAACATTATTTAAAGTGTCAATGGTAAGTAATAGATTAAGTAAACTTAATAACTACCCAAAAATTTAAAGACAGAAGGGAAACTGGGAGTATGTGAGTTAAATTTCATCCTTAGTGGAGAATTAAAAGATAATACAAAAATTTGACATAGTATCAAAGAGAAAAGTGTATGCTTATTATTTAGAATTCATAAAAGTAACCACCTGAAGCATTTAAAACTAAAATAACTAAAACTGGTTCTATCTACTGAAAAATTCAAAGACTAGAAATAAAGGGCAAGAGACTATTGCTTATATTTCTTTTCCACATACGGGCATTAATTTAATAGACCTATTAATTCTACTATCAACAAACGAGTAACTTGCATCCTAAAGATAACTAAAAAACACTGTGAAATTTGAGAAGAATATTTCAAAAAATTTAACAGTACAAAGTATTAAGTGCCTCTACAAATCAGTTTTTGCTTTTGTTTGCTTACTTTTAATGAAAACAGACGCCATCAATAATAGTGGAGACAGCTGTGGAGTTCTTAACATGAAATCCATACACTTCCTGAGAATTTTCTAAAGAGAAAACCACAGTTTTCAACAGGTTTGATATCAAAAGATTATGTGATCTTAAAAAAAAGTTAAGAACCACTGAAAAGAATACTGTTATTTTCTCACTGAATTGCTTTATAAATATATTCTTAGAAGCAATCTATCCTAAAAACTTAAGTAATATCAGCACTTTATTTAAAAGCCAACCTTGTTATAAAAAATTATTTAGGGCAGTTTGTAATACATGCACTACAAAAAGGATGAAGAAAAGATTTACATAAAAAAATCAGCAGAGAAGTAAAATGATCTTAGAAATAAAACTATGTAATACTAATATACCATGAGTTTCAGTACCCATTCAAAGCAAATGTATTTTTGCACTTTATAGTAGTCAGGCAAAAACAAAAATATGATTAGAAATAGAATTAGCTACAAAATTCAGAGTGTACATTAAAATTATACCCGTTGCTAAAAATACCTTACTATTACACCAGTTGCTAAAAATACCTAAATATTCTTAAAAATTAAGAGTAATCTTAATATTGTATTATACCTGCAGATGCAGTCAATGGTAAAAACTGAAAATTTCCCTCACAGAAGCTTTAGATTCAAAAATTACAGGAAGAGAATGGAAAAATGCATCTTGAAAACTTAAAAATTAGGCACCCATTAAAATAAAAACTACTGAGAGAAGACTCACAGAAATACCCCCTGCTTACAATTTTTTGTAACATAGTTACTTGTACTGCTCTACATTTTTATTTTTACAAGAGATATTGCCTCTTTAACTGAAACCTTAATCCATCTACTACTAAAAATAACAGATATACATTTAATGTAGCATAAAACTACATGTGTGAATAAATGGTAATAAAATATTTACAACTTCAAATCTGTAATTATTCTCAGTTTACTAACTTATTGAAATATCTACATTCAAAAGGAATTCTTCAAAAGAAAGCTTTTAAAAATTATCTTTGAGAATGAATATAAATAATTTATTTGCTTTCACAAACAATTACAATTTTGATATAGTAATATCTACTAATAAAGATAAAAATGAGCTGCTAAATACAGAAAACATTAGACATAATCTGATTATATGAATAGAAATGTCAGCCACTGGCATACTTCTAATTTGATGACCACTGATGAATCTACAAAACACAGAACAGAAAATCAGATTCTCTAATATGCATGGCCCAATAATTTAGGACTTGACAAAGCCAACTGACCTCCTTAAGACTGCAAACTAAGTCTTAAGTCTTAGTCTTAAGTCTACTTAAGTCTAAGGAGAAAGTAGTCTGAGAACATATCGGTATTAAGTATTGAAAGTTCCTATAGGTATATTTTCATATTTAGCATGTTATTCAATATTGTTTACAAGTATAAATTTACAACAAATGGAAATTTAAAAATCAAAATTTATAGTCAAATGTTACTTGTCATAGAATTGATTTCCCACTGCTTCGTTATCTCAAATGAAAACCTCCAAATTTAGTATATGAAACGACTCATTCAGTGTTTCAAATGCTTTATTCAGTCTCAATAAAAATTATATTACAATACATGTCTTCAGCCTTCTCCAAAATTTAAATCAGTAAAGATATTTGTGATGTGAAGGCTAGCCGTTACATCACATGCTTCTATTAGCAGCAAGTGTCCCAGTTACTGGTTTCTGGCATTAGCTCAACTGTGGTTGTCTAAGAAAAGAATAAACACTTATTTTTAAAAGCTAAATCATTAACTGTAATGTCAAAAATGGATATCAATTTCTAAAATTACATACTACAGAAACTTTTTTTATCCCAGAAAGATTTAGTAACTATCATCTACAACACTTTACAGTTTTGAAACTTGATTTCAGTGATATCTTTGTACATTCCTATTAAGACCCAGGAATTTCTAGCTTTTAAAAATTACCACCCAGTTTTGTTTAAACAATGTTCTCCAAACTGTGGATCAGGGCCCATTAATGGGCCACTTAATCAATTTAATGGGTCTCAGACAACAGTTTTTTTAATAAAATAGTACCAAACAGGAAAGAAAATGGAAAGTACATATGTAATAAGGATAAATCATGTTTAACAAGATTTGTAGGCTTTAAATGAATGTACATGTATCATTGGGTCAGTAATCAAAAAGCATTTCTACAGTTTAAAAGCTACTGTATTATGGCACAGGAGTATCATCAAAACATACTATATTATAATCAGTTACAATTAAATAAATTATTAAATGAGAAACCTTATTAAAATCTAAATTTCCTAGGTATAAATATTACTGGAAGTCTAATTAAATTAATAGTCTAATTATTCAGCTCTCACTGTTCTCCAGTAACTACAATACGACCGTTTCATAGGTCCTCAAAATGTCTTTTTATGCCTTCTATTCTCAATTTCACAAGTGAATTTACACTCCCATTTGTAATACCCTTTATCATAGCCCATATGTCTCAATAGTTGGAAGGGGAGGAAATATTTAATTTATGATTTTTTTTTTTTTTGAGACAGGGTCTCACTTTGTCACCCAGGCTGGAGTGCAGTGGCCCGAACACATCTCAAAATAGCTGGGACTACAGGTGCATGCCACTACACGAGGCTAATTTTTGTATTTTTTGTAGAGACAGGGTTTTGCCATGTTGCCCAGGCTGGTCTCAAACTTCTGAGCTCATGCAATCTGCCTGCCTTGGTCTCCCAAAGTGCTCATGTAAGTATGAGCCACCACACCCAGCAGAAATATCTAATTTGAAAATGCACACCCTCCTAAGCATTTACTGTACCTAAACCCAGAAAAGCAAAGAGCACCTTCATCTTTAAGAATGACAGGAATCAAAACTCAAGACGAGGTCATGCTAAATTTTTATTACCGAAATATTCACCATACCAACCTCCGTGAGCAGGTCATCTTACTATCTAAAATCAGAAATTTCACTGCAAACCCTAATCCTAACAATGCCATAAAATTTAAACTGCAAGCCATCAAGGAAATTTTGGGATGCTTATTTTCATTCAACAAATATTTACTGAGTACTTACCATGCACCAGACACAGGTACAGGTCTAGGTGCTAGAAATACAGTGATGAACAACTTGCCCCCAAAAAGATCTCATCAGGACTCTTAATGATCTATCTACTTCCATTACCCACAACTTTCTGTAGTACATTTTTAATACTGATTTAAAAGAATGTTCTTTCATCTCAGGAAAACCAAAAAAACAGCTGATTTATTAGCAGTTATGTTTTATAAAGTCACTGCAAATACTGAACCACTGCTTCCAGGATAAATACAGAGTTATGTTCCGCCAGCCTCTGGTCACAAGATTTTCATCAACCAATCAATACGTAACTTTGTTTTTTGTATGTTTCTCTTTCAAGACACCTTATTTAATACACATCTCTGATTCATTAACATTGCACTAATAGCCAACAGCATTATACTCATGCCTGAACTCAGTTTATTTAACACATGAATTTTTTCCATAAGGCTTATCACACCTCTCTTGCACTTAGGACCACTAGGCAGCAGCACATCAGCCCTAAGCTTGGGGGCCATTTTAAACAGTGAAATCACCAGGAAAAAGTTAATAAATAGCTTGCAAAAAGCAAACTCTTCTTCAGAAAGCAGAGAATCACTTTATTCAACGTCAACTGGGAACACGCACATTGGGTGACTCAAAATTTTTGCCACTCTGTGTATGTACGTGTCTGTGAATGACTGGGATTACTGAGTTTAGGGTTACAAATAAATTTTAGCAAGCAAGTAAATTTACAAATATGGAATCTATGAATAATGAGAATAAATTCTAATTGGTGAGGGGGATTTTCTCTTAAAAAGTAATCTAGCTAATAAATGAATAAGAAATGACAACTAAATTATAACCATTACACAACTCTTAGTAAATTAATGGACTAGGCAAGGATCATCAATGACTGCTAACATTCCAAAAAGAAAGACAACTTTTGATCTTCCCAATGGAAGAAAAAATAATTGAAATTGATCAAACCTCTACACCTCACTACCGATTTAGAGGAAAGATATGGGACAATGTTTTCACTCTTTAACCTTAAGATACTCCATTTGTTAATCTGATGTCCTCAAGGAAAAAAAGTCATTTTATTCAATTCTGTCTCCCTAATACCTACTATAACACATAGCAGTCAACATTGATTAAAAGTTCCTTAAATAAATAAGTGAATAAATGAATGAACAACCTCTTAGAAATTTAAGAATGTTAATTTATATGATCATCACTTTTTCAAATAGAAGAGGAAAGAGAAAGTTATGGGCAGGCAGGCAATTTATAGCTCTAAGAGATACTACAGGTGGAATAACACTCCACAAATCAAAGGTCATTTACACAGTGATTTCAACTCTTCAAAACAAAGCTATGAGCCAGAAGAAAAAGAAATTCACTAAAGGAGGTCACAAAATGCATATTCTCTTCATTAAACAATAAGAGCCTCTAAATTCCACTTGAGTCAGATACTTTCATTTTTAAATAATTCTAATAAGTTTATAATAGAATACAAATTAAAAGGGAAAAACTGAAGTGACTAGTAAAATTATGACTGAGAACAAGGAAGACAAACAACTTTATCCTCATCAATAGATTTACAGACATCTCTGCATAACAGCACTTTATAGCTGAGGTTCAGAATGAGAGCCCTAAACTAACAAGAAAAGATTTGAATATGTTAGAAAACACGGAGAAAACAGTACTACTTTGTAAAGTTTGTCATTAAAAGAAAAAAACCTAAAATAAAATATATTTTGGTAAAAGGGTATGCTTCAGTATTTCTAATTTATCTATCAGGTCATTCCCTATAATGCTAACTAAATGAGAAAGTACATCCAGAAAAGTCAGTGGTTGTATCACACATGGTTCTCATAACAGTTATATTCGTTCTTCTCAACTACAGCGAAATATTCTAACTTACAAAAATATATAACTACTAATACATAGACTAGTATATGCAAAGGCCACAAATTTAAAAGGCTTATTTGAGAGTAATGATGTTTGGGTAAGTATGTGTCAACTCTCCTCATAGAACAGACTTAGTAGTATAACTGATTGTAAATTATAAGTTAACAACTTCAAAATTCTAGAATGAAATGTGCAAGCTGAAATAGAAACAAGCTGAAAAATAGAAACAAGCTGAAAGTACTACTACTGCTCTGGAGATAGGACTTCCTTCTGCCCAGCTAAATCAAGAGACTTCTTCCTCCAAACTATGAAAGCCTTAAGATAGAGACTGAGAATTGACCCAAAGGTACCTTAAACCCCAAAATGAACACAAGGTTTTAAAAGCCTAGTTTTTCTCCTAGAGATCAGGGCTACATTACTTGAACAAGAAATAATAGTTCCAGAACACAATGAAGATTGCATTCATTGAAAAATGAGGCTCCCGTAAATCACTATTTCTAAATGACAGAGCTATAGCAATGAAAATATCACATTCAGGATATTACTGTCCCAATATTGCTGGTGTGCAATCAAGCTAACAAATCAAAGTGATTCAATACAGCCAACTTGAATTTTAGAACTGCTTACTACTAGAACTCTTCTATATTGCCAGTGGGAATAAAAATGGTACTGCCACTTTGAAAAATAGTTTGGCAGTTTCTTACAAAGTTAAACACACACTTGCCATATGACCCAACAATCCCAACTTTAGGATCATACTCAAGGAAAAAAAAATTATGTTCATACACACACACACACACACACACACACACACACACACACACAATCTGTACATGAATGAAACATTTCTTAATGGGCAAATAGATAAATGTGGTGAGGTACATCCATACAATGGAATATTGCTCAGCAGTAAAAAGAAACCACTGACACTCGCTACAATATAGATGATTCTCAAATGCATTCTGCAAAGTGAAAGAAGCCAGAATCAAAAGGTTATATAACACATGTTTCAATTTATATGATATTCTAGAAAAAGCAAAATTATAGAAAGAGAAAACAAATCAGTGGCTGCTAGGAGTGGGAGAAGTTGACTGCAAGGGGAATTTTAAGGGGTGATAGAACTGTTTTTGTGTTTTGATTATTGGCAGAGTGAATTTTAGAGAGAAAAACTATTTAATATAAAAATATCTTAAAATCATAACTAATTGAAATGCTAAAAAAAAAGAGAATATTTCCTTTAACAAAACTGTCTGGCCACCCACTAATAAATTTAATTTTAATTTTAACTTCTGCCATTTAAAAAAAAATTGATTTCTAGGCTGGTGGCTCATGCCTGTCATCCCAACACCTTGGGAGGCCAGAGTAGGAGGATCACTTGAGGCCAGCTCAAGACCAGCCTGGGCAATATACCAAGACCCTGTGTCTACAAAAAAATAATAATAATAAATAAATTAAATTAAATTAGTCAGGCATGGTGGCATATGCTTGTAGTCCTGGCAATGTGGGGGGCTGAGATGGGAGTATCACCTGAGCCCAGCAGTTTGAGGCTGCAGGGAGCCATGATTATGCCACTGCACCCCAGCCTGGGCAACAGAGTGAGACCCTATCTCTAAAAATAAAATGAAAAATATTTCTATAAAGTATTTCTACTTTTTTTTTTTTTTTTTTGAGACGGAGTCTCGCTCTGTCGCCCAAGCTGGAGTGCAGTGGTGCGATCTTGGCTCACTGCAAGCTCCGCCTCCCAGGTTCATGCCGTTCTCCTGCCTCAGCTTCCCAAGTAGCTGAGACTACAGGCGCCCGCCACCACGCCCGACTAATTTTTTTGTTTGTTTTTTTAGTAGAGACGGGGTTTCACCATGTTAGCCAGGACAGTCTCGATCTCCTGACCTCGTGATCCGCCCGCCTCAGCCTCCCAAAGTGCTGGGATTACAGGCATAAGCCACCGCGCCCAGCCAGTATTTCTACTTTTAAGCCTGAGCAGCTAAGTCAGATGCTTGTGTTTATTATTTTATTTAAATTGGAAACACTTTGTGTGTTTGAGATTGTCTCATACAACTGTAACAATGCAAACTGCCAGGCATGGTGCCTCACGCCTGTAATCCCAACACTTTGGGAGGCCGAGGTGGGCAGATCGCTTGAGGTCAGGAAGTTGAGACCAAGCCTGGTCAACATGGTGAAAATACAAAAACTAGCGGGGCGTGGTGGCACACGCCTATAATCCCAGCTACTTGAGAGGCTGAGACAGAAGAAGTGCTTGAACCCGGAGACAGAGGTTGTAGTGAGCCGAGATCGCACCACTGCACTCCAACCTGGGCGACAGAGTGAGACTCCGTCTCAAAAAAAAAAAAAAATGCAAACAACTGGTGTAGGACAAGCTTGGTGCCTTGCAAGGCGTTTAATCAAGGCTCTCCCATGTTAACATTCTCCCTAATTAAAAAAAAAAAAGACAGAAACAATCCATTCAACAAATAAGTGATCATTAAAGACCTATTATGTGCTAAAGGCAGGAAATACAAATGGCAAACAAGACAACCTGTCTGACATCACATAGTTTAAATGAGCAACAACAGAAAATATGATACGAACTACAATAGAATTATAGTGCTTTCCGAGCACAAAGCCAGTGCATATAACCTAACTGTGTTAAGTTTTAAATCTTATTCTTGAGGTGGAGAAGAATGGCTACCTATAAGGTTCACATGCTCCTATTAGGATCTAGAGAGTGCCTGGTATCTTGCTGAACTTGAAAACACAGCTTAAAAAGCATATAACACCAGTGCTCCCCCCCACCCATTATCCTTCAGTGTTTAAGGATGGAAAGAAAAGAGACCACATACACAGAACACTACCTCTGCACAAGAAGTACAATAACCATTCCCTTAAAACAAGGTCCTCTTCAGAAAACTATAATACTAAAATATACAGATTTATTTGTCACCTTTCTGGCAGGCAGAAAATTTTTCTGATACAGAATACGATAACTATAAGTTTTTCTTCTTGAGGAATATTATCTTACAGTGGGGGAGGAGGAGGAAGAGGAAAAGAAATGAGAAGAACCACAAAGTATGGGAATAGGAACCGGAGGCAAAAAATAAGAATAAGCCAAAGCAGATATAAATATACTTGAAACGAAGTCTTAAAAACAAATTAAGGAAGTTTAAGGAAACTAAAACAGAGGGATTGCAACCACACCCCTGCTTCTTTCTATTATTAAAAAAGTAAGCCAAGATATGTAAAAGAGAGGGCTGCCTGTAGGCGCTTTGGCATGAAGTTATCATGTGCAAAGGTAAAATTATGTAACCCCAAGGACTAAAAAGAGTGTTTGATGAATACTCAGTCATGCCAAAGTTACCCAAAACATTTTCCGTCTCAAGCATCCTAATTACACAACGCTTCTGGAACTACAGTGGGACCCACAGGACCAGAGTTAATAACTTAGTATCAAAAACCCAGGAGAGTTTTCAACAACTGTTAAAGAAACTAACACAGATTCAAATAAAATGCCACTTTGCATTTATATATTTACAAGAAAAAAGGCAGAAGAAATTTACTAGCACCTTACTGAAACTCCACCTCAGAGAAGTAAGATATGGAATAGTTTCTATTAAGGGGTTGCTGCAGGTCCATAGTTTGTTTTCCAGCATTCTGGCAGTCAAACATGTCTTAGAATTCAGAATGTCTAGAGATTTTTGACAGGTGATACAGTGGGTATACACCATATATTTAACACCACCTCTAGAGAAGGCTGGGATAGTACAGAGAAGCCTAGGACAGCACACTATAATCAAACATTTGCTATTTCCACAATGAAACCTTTAAATATATGAAATAAAGAGAACAGTTCAGAACAGATTTTGTGAAAAAATCAATTTGTACCAAACACACAGAAAAAGTTTTGGGTTTCAGAGTGCTGTGGATGTTAGAACTGTTGAAAAGGAATTAGGTCCTATAGAACGGTACTCATTACTCTTTATCATGTACCAATTTTATTGTGGCATTTTGGTGAATCCAGAATAATTCTAAAAGTCTCCTACTGGTTCACATAACACGTCCTCTAAACTCTACCCGGTGCTAAATTTCTGTACCACATTCTCCTATCAGGGCAGTTTTCAGAAATCTAACCCTTGCAATTTATAGAACTGCCAAATCCAATTTTGCCACCACACAAAAAATGTTCATTGAATTGAATATATTGAACTCATCCTAAAATGGCTTGCTCTCATTTTGTCACAGAAAAAAACACTGTAACTGCTGAGGGTGTTCCTGACCCAGGAAGCAACATCAAATCAGTCACTAAAAGGACCCTAATTTTGTCCTAAATATCAAGATACAATAACCCTATAAAACCCTATTATCATAGTGTATTTATGTGTATATATTTCCAGACTATATGCAATATAAACAATATAAACTATATGCAATAAACACAATATACTATAACTAAGGTAAAATTTTTTCACTGAGCGGGAATAAACAGAGACCGTTCCTCATCAACAGTGGTATAAAAAAGAAGAAAGCAGAAGTGCAGTTATACTAAATAATCTTTGAAGTCCCTTCCATCCTGATGTTCCATAAAAAATACAGCTCAATGATATTGTAAATATGATAAATATAACCTAAAATGAATAACTTTTTATTAGTAACACTTCTTCCCCTCTTATAATTTATAATAACTTTAGAGATATCACTTAGGTCTCCTAAGATTTCCAGAAACAACTGAATTGATGCCTTAATTTATATTTGATAAATTTCCCCATAACAAACTTTCCAAGCTTCAGAAATCCTCTAACTTTGGCGTTATACTTAATCAAAGACTGCTAATGAGCAATGAATATAGGGGCCTCACTAAGGATGCTAAGTACAATTGACCCTCATTATCTATGGGCTCCTCATCCTTGGATTCAACCAACTGCAGATTGAGATATTCAGGGAAAAAAAAGCATCTGTACTAAACATGCACAGACTTTTTTTTTTATCATTATTCCCTAAACAATACTTCATAACAACTATTTACACAGCACTTACATTGTATTAGGTATTACAAGTAATCCAGGAATAACCTAAAGAATAGGGGAAGGTGTCAAAGGTTATAGGCAAATACTGTGCCATTTTATGTCAGGTACCTGGCCACACCCTCAGATTTTTTTTTTCTTTTTTTTTTTTGAGACAGAATCTCGCTCTATTGCCTAGGCTGGAGTGCAATGGTGTCATCTCGGCTCACTGCAACCTTTACCTCCCAGGTTCAAGCGATTCTCCTGCCTCAGTCTCCCAAGTAGCTGGGACGACAGGCGTGTGCCACCACGCCCCGCTAATTTTTTTGTATTTTTAGTAGAGACAGGATTTCACCGTGTTAGCCAGACGGTCTCAATCTCCTGACCTCGTGATCCGCCTGCCTCTGCCTCCCTAAGTGCTGGGGTGAGCCACAGCACCCAGCCCATCCTTGGATTTTGATAGCCATGAGGGGTCCTGGAACGAATCTGAGGAACTGTATGAAGCTATGAGCAGAAGCCACTACTTTAACTTGATTCTCTTGCTAATATTTTCTTTGCATTTTCTTCTGTGTCATCTTCATACCTCCACCTCAAATTTTAAAAAGACAGTTGGAAAATAAAAGAAAGCCATTTTTTTAAAGGGCTGAGAGTGTAAAAAGAAGGAGAAATTAGTTATTTTCAACCCTGCAGGACACTGGAATCGTCTGTAGAAATCCTAAAATATATCAATGCCCTAGCCCTTTCCAGGCCCTACTGATTATTTATGGAATATAAATTAGCATGGGTAGAATCCCAACATCTGTCTTTTTTTTTTAAGCTCCCAAGAAAACTGTAATATGAACTCGGGCCAAGAACCACTAGTAAAAACTTTCTCCACAAATCCTTCCCTCCTCTCATCTATTTAGTTAAATGTTAGCATTCCCAGCCCATAGCAAGGACTGCATGAACTATCTTTAAAATTGTCCATTTTTCTTCTTTCATTTACTCTGTCACAGAAGAAAAATTACTAATTTTCAACTGGAAATTTTTAAACAAGTGTGTATAGTAAAATTAATTTTAGCTTATTGGATATTCTCATTCCCAAATGCTCAGGATTTCTTTTTCAGTCTTAAAAAAACCACCTTCATTAGTAGGTATTAAGGTAAACAGCAAAGCATACAATAATAAGCAAACTCACAATATGCATTCTAGTTATCGACTTTCAATAGATATCAGAAAATACTCAAAACAATTATCTTAAGGAGCTGATTATATTTTGATACTTTATTAACTACAAACATTTGCAGAATCTCAATTATATAAAGACACATCAGCAACAATATATCCTGATACTCGTATGACAGAAAAAGTACTCAGTAAAGATCCTTTTTTTAAAATAAAAACTGGCATCACAAGATTCCACATCTTTAAGATTTAAAGATTTACATTTTTGGAGTAGGGAGAGTCAGACTGTTGTCAGATTCCCTAAAATAAATGTAGAAAAGAAAATAATGTTTTGTAAAAAATATGCATCTATAAACACTTTTTTTCAAGGTCATCTAAAACTGACACCTACTAGTTTCATCTCCAAAACAATACTAGACTATTTTTGTACTCCAAATTAGAATTTTATTAAAAGGTCCTGTAGTCATAAATTTGCACACCCTAAGACTTATAGAATACCATAAATTTTCTCTCTTCTGTCCTGATTACCTAATATATTTGCCTGCCACTTGAAAGTATTCATTGCTAGAATATAAAATAAGTATTTCACAGAAATAGAAAATAAACATGACACACAGTGGGTGTAAAGAAAAAAAACATTTTCACTTCCCTTTTTACTAAAGGAAATTCTGAATATAATTTTAACTCTAATAAATCACAGTCTAATACACTGCCTAGTATACCACCTGAAGTCAAACCAAACAAACTAAAAAAATAAATAACACAATAATTTCAAAATATTCAGAAGTCCACTAATTTTATAATGTATATTTGTACCAAAAGATATTATATGGCCAATTTCAATTTAAAATTTTAAGATAAGTAATTTTAATACATCCAATTTTAAACATAAAGAAATCTGCAAAGTATCAATACATTTGAGGCACACTTTATTCATGGTAATATACAAGGAAAGCAGTTATATATTAAAATCTAAACTGGTAGAAAACACATCCCACCCCAAGATTCTACCCCCCTCAAAAAAAAAAAAAAAATTACTGTTTTTTCTGATGGTAGAAATAATGCACAGTGACAGCTGAAAACCCAAACAATATAGAGAAGTAAATGAAGTATAAAAATAAAAATCATCCTAAATCTCACCATTTATAAACAACTGACATTAACATAAATATTCTTCCAGAAGATGGATGGATTTACTCCATATACTTACAACCCATACATATATGTATCTATGTATACATGTATAGTATATATGCACATATATATTCCTTTCATTTACATATATTGATGGTAAAGAAATGCTTAAGATCATTTTCTTGAAAATAAAATAATGAATTGTCCCAAACAGTCTGCTTTTGCATTTTCATTTAAGCAGGCTAGGTTTAAGATTATTCCATGTGTGTGTGTCTGCCTGTCTTTCTGTGTGATGTTGTCATTGTTGTTGACTGCTTGAGGCAAGCTGAAAAATTTTGTCTGTTTACTTATTTTACTGGAAAAAAAAGAAAACTTCTGGTTAAATTTTTCCAAAGCCTAAGAACACAGGTATCTGTACTAAAGGTGATTAGCTGACTGATTTACATTGGTAGCCCACAGTCCTGAGCAAAACTGTAAAGTAGACAAGATTATTATGGCCTCCTAATTCTTACTCAGAAAGAGCACTCCACTAGTAATTAGGATATAAGAGTTCTACTAATCAGGTGTGTGGCTTGAGCATTTCAATCTTCCTATGATTCATTTTAAGTCTAAAATCCTATGGTCCTTCCCTTCCTCCCCAACCCCTTACCAACTCTGCTGCTCTCAAAATATGTAAAAACCATCCTTTCCTCCAATCTCACTGGAATTCCAGGATTCAAAATAAATCCTTCTGACCAAGAAACTCCCATTTCCTCAATGCACTTATTCTCCCCTAGATATGATAAGCAAAGTAATCAATGAAATCAAAGGTATGGGCAACTTCATGGTGAGGAAGGAAAGCAACAATGCAGAAAAAAAAATTTAAACAAGTTTATAGGAAAAAATTTTAATGTAAAATTAAATGGCTTCATGAGTTTCATAGAAAAAAATTATAATCTTTCAACTTCACCACCTATTTTATTGATTCAAAGTTAGCCAATGAAAAAATAAAGTAGTGTTTTTAGCTCCTAAAATATTCAGACCCAGCCGGGCACAGTGGCTCATGCCTGTAATCCAGCACTTTGGGAGACCGAGGCAGGCAGATCACCTGAGGTCAGGAGTTCAAGACCAGCCTGGCCAACATGGCAAAACCCCGTCTCTACTAAACATACAACAATTAGCCAGGAAAGGTGGCGACTGCCTGTAATCCCAGCTACTCAGGATGCTGAGGCAGGAGAATCACTTGAACCCAAGAGGCAGGGGTTGCAATGAACCGAGATCATGCCATGGCACTCCAGCCTGGGAAACAAGAGTAAAACTCCGTCTCAAAAAGTAACTTGCCAGCCACGGTGACTCAAGCCTATAATCCCAGCACTTTGGGAGGCCAAGGCAGGCAGATCACTTGAGGCCAGGAGTTCGAGACCAGCCTGGCCAGCATGGAGAAAGCCCATGTATACTAAAAATACAAAAATTAGCTGGGTGCAGTGGCATGCACCTGTAATCCCAGCTACTTGGGACGCTGAAGCACGAGAATCGCTTCAAAACAGGTAGACACAGCGATCACTATTTATCATCTCTCTAACATCCATATCCCCCAAATTCTTCCTTCCCACAATTTTTTTAAAATATCCTCCCTCTTCCATCTAACTCAGAAAAATGTGATCCCAACACCAATTGCAGAAGGTATCTCCTGATTAGTAGAAACCAACCATGATAACCTTACTTCCCTTATGATAACTAGTTAGGACGTTCATGTGACCTAATTCTGGTCAATAAGATACGAAGAGAAAAATATGTTGGTAGGCTTATGCAAAAGATGTATTTGCTTTTCCAGAGACACAGACAGAAAGAGAGAGAGAGATCCATTCCATCCTCTGGCCAGTGCATGTCTAGATGTGATCTTGCTGCTGGCCTTAGGATGACTCCAACACACAGAAGACAAACAGCCAAGAAAATCACAGAGGGGCAGACCAGAGCTCTCAAGTACTAGCTTGGAGCCACCCACCCTACCTTCATACTTCAATGTGCCATTTCAGCATCTACTGTAATTCAGCAAGCAATGTGGTTACACCAAAATAAATAGCATACCACATATACCACTCCTTCTCCAACCTGGACTTCCTGCTCCTTCAACTGAAAGTTCTCCTTTCCATTTGGACTGAGCTAGGTGAGATAGGAGGCTCAAGTGCTCCTGGTATATATCAAGGGTGTCACATTTCCTCCTTCAAAGAACAATCTCCTCTACCCCAGCATTCCTAATTGGATGGAGATGTTGGAACTATAAGAAGGCTTACCCCTTCAACCCTGACAGTACATAAAAGTTGAAAGGTAGCTTATGAAATCAGATTAGGGACCATACTGGGAAATATGTGAGAACCATAGATTGATCACCTGACTAGATAAACAATTCACTCTAAGGAATGAACCTCTGGGAATAACAGGATCTTCCTTTTTTTTTTTTTTTTTCTTAAAGAGGATGTTATTAAATAAATCTCTAAGCAGTAGTGTAAACTAGGAAAGATGATGTTTTAGAAGCAGACTTCTTTAATATATTACAATTAATAAATGGTTCTGAAGTTAGCCTAAAAAGGAAATCATTTCTCAACATCTACAAACTCTATACATTTTATTACAACTAAAACAAAAATGTCCATTCACAAGACAATCTTATAATACAGAGCTATGGCCTTTTCTTCCAGTGTGGGTCTATCGAAGAAAGTTCTATTTCCTTTTTCTTGCAAAAACTACCCCCATAAAACAACACCTGTGATTTCCAGTTTCTGTTTCTTAAACACAGAAAGACATTTTACAAACGTGAAAAATAATATTATTGCAGATTTTTTTAGATCGTTAGGTGTTTTTTGTTTTTTTTTCCCTAATCATTTAAAATTATTTAACCCTCATCTATTTCAACCATAATTGATTTTGGCTACTCACTTGATTTCAAAGTAGCCAATTGGTTCTCATACAAACGCCTTTTTATCTTCAGAGTTCACTGAATAATAATTCATTAAACTATGTGATTACAACATCAAGTGCCATAACAGTGTGTTGGGTACAAACACAAATGTTTCTTGGTAAGTCTACAGTAACTGGGGGGAATAAAAGTTCAAGATAAAACTAAAGAATAGTCTACTGTCATTCAATGTAGCATGAGCATCAGTCAGCAAATTCTACAGAGAGAATGAAGACTATCATTTAATCTCACGAGTGGGTTAAGCAGAGGTCAGGTATGAGAGATTTTCCTGTAATAGGGTGTTCCCGAGAGTCTTTGCTTGTCTACCCACCAATCCACCCTCTAAAATTCTTATCGGCAACTTCTGAAATGAAGGACAGAAGATTTACACAGTGCCTACTATGTGGCAGGCATCACATAGTCCTTGGCACTTCATATGAATTTCCTCCATTTTGATGAAGAATATAATGGCAGAATAACAGGGTAACTCTCTTCCCTTTTTTTCCAAATGTAGCTATCAACTGAAGAAAGTACTTCCAGGTAACACAAAGTGATCTAAATAAATGTAATAAATTTGAATACAACTTCAACCTCACATTACTAACCTAGAGAAAAAAAACATTAAACTTTGTATTTAAGAAAAAGAGTATCATGAGACCATCTCTCATTCCATTGAAAAGTTATGAAAAATGCGGACATGATTTAGCCATGTGGACATAACTTACTCATAAATTTTCAATAAATTACAACTATGTAATATATCATTGGTAAACAAAGCGACCAAAAAAGTGTGTCTTATCTCCCCAATACATAAACACTTCAATTCATTGTTAAGAGTTATTTCTTATAACTAAGATGATAAGCACGAAGTGGCAGGAGAGAGTATAACCAATCACTATGGTCTAACAACAAATAAACACATACTTTCCTTAGGTTTCATAATAGAAGGGAAGCCCAAACATTTATAGTTGCTAAATCTCAGCTTTCAGAGAGAGCTTAAAAAAAAGAAAAAATGTCTAACAGCAGCCTCCACCATGTCGCTAGAAGTTATATATTTCTACATTTATCTCCCATTCCATATTTCCTGAGCAGTTCAGATGCCCTTGAAAATCATTTCACATTATTAAAGCACATTTGATTTCTACACATTAAGAATCCAAGCATAGTTCTGTCCTGCAGATCAGCAAAAGGTGATGCTCTGAGGTGCCTTAAATTACCAGAACCATACTGTCTGCACCTACAGGATCCCACAATTAAAGACAGATACCTCAAAACTACCGCTTCTGAAGAAATTACATCATAAAGAACCAACACTCAGACACATACTATCAATTAATACCACGAATTGCCAACCGCTTGAGAAAAGACCAAAAAAAGGATGAAGATGGAAGATAAGAAAAAACAGATCATTGGTGGCTTAAGACTTTGAAGTCAGAAAAAAAAACTGACTCAAATATGCACTCTGCTACTTCCAAGATATATCTTCAACACATTATTTAAACTCTAGAAGACTGTTTCCTGCTCTCAAAAATGAGGTTACACCACCTAACTCAGAGTTGTCGTAATAGTATCATTTATGGCCTCTATACAAAGTAGGCACTTAATAAATTATAGGAGGTATTGTTGTTACTGGGAGGTTGAAGGGAACACAAATTCAGTTATAAGTCCTTTTTGAATACTAAGAGGGGAATAATTAGGGAAGCTAAGAGGGGAATAATTAGGAGAAGAAAAAAAAACTTCAAACAATTTTCCCTGTAACATGATTTTACTTGCATTTATAAACTGATTTTTTTTTCTAAGCACTCCTTTGATAATGATTAAGTGTGGGGTTACATTATTTTAGGGTCGTCTAATATTTAAGATGACTTAAAAACCTCACACACGTTAATCCCGAACTGTGAAAATTTCTCATCTTATCATCCCTCTGTTACTATCAATTTTCCTCACGTACAGATTCTTTTATAATTACTTCATTAAAACCACTTTCTGTGAAAATATACATTCTTTACATTTCATCTCATCCACAGCAAATCTCACTATTAACAATAATATAACTATTCAATGACCTATATTTTGTTATTCAATACTTCAGCATTCCTTCTATTTAATTTGACACATCCTTTTGGGAAGCCCTTTGGAACAAAACAACCGCTTGTTCCATTCTGAAAAACATCTGAAACAATAAACTATACCAGAATAAGTCTACTCCCAGCATGGAGAGGATTACAGGATGGATCAGAGGAGACACAGAGAAGTAACTGGAGAGCTTCTCATTTCTTCCTGAGTCACATTTTTACAGTCTGGATTGATTTCATGTATAACCAATTACTAGATTACCAGACACACCCATATTTAAATGCAAATAAAGAAATTTAACGAAACTATATATAGATTGTTTTGGATTATATACTTTTCTGCTTTCCTTCAGTAGTGCCAATGATAGAAAATTGACTATTTTATTATAACTTGTTTCCTTAAACTTACTATCGTTATTTGCCTACCTACTGTCAGCCTACGATCTGTACATTTGGACCTTCATGCCTCAAACTGACTCATCTTTAAATACAAGCTGAACTTCCATGGCCTGATCTCCACCTACTTTCATAGCTTCTCCCACAAAGACCTCCTGGCAAAACAGCCTTATGTCCAGTTCAACAAGCCCTATAACACAATCACATGCCTTTCCTCAGGCTGTTCCCTTCACCGAGAAAACTACCCCCACCATCACCCCCTCAGTCCCCATTTTGCCTATTAAACTATGTTAAGGCCCAGATGGAGTGTTACCAGCTCTACATCCATTCAAAATTTCCCAGTCAAAAATTAGTATCTCACACACACACACCCCATGCTTCCAATACACCTCCAACAAAACCCACAGGAATCTGTGAATTACCTCTGTGTATGTCTGCTTCTCCCTTGAAGGCAGTACTGAGTCTCATTCATCTTCATATTCTACCCACTGTTCCATCCTTGCCACAGAGTAAAGGTGGTCCTGGTTGAATTAAACTATTCCTTGATTCCACTAATTCCAGTCCTTTATTTTCAAGGAAGTAATAAATGCCTTTCATGTACTGAAGATTTTGTTAATATATTGTAAATGCTTGCTAAATCTAATGATGAAAATGTCAATAATTACATAACACACTAATGTTTAAGCTGATGAATGGCAGAAGGGGGTGGATGACTATAATAAATCATCAGTAAAGACAATCGTTTCTCAAGATCCCCAAAAAAATGTCATTCATAACAACATTAAAATTAACCTTTCTGTCTCCCATTTCAATAATTACTTCTATTTAATGCATATTCAGAAATGCCAGTTCACATAAAGCAGAAGTGTCTGTACATTCTGCTAAGAATGTATGTCAAAGCCACACAATGTATTTGATAACATCTTTCTTCCAATGTCCATAAAGGTAATTTTTATCTTTTATCTTTTGTGCAACTATAAAGGTTAACTATACAAAAGAATAAGACAATTTATCCTAAGATACAACTGGAGCAAAGTTTGTAAATAATTACAAAATACACTAAGTACAGCTCAAAAAAAAAGAAAGCTATTAATGTCACACACCAGATCTGATTTTTTTGGTGAAAAATATTTTCTTAAACTAGTTTCACATCTAATTCCACATTATTCTCACAATTTCTGTAATGTTTTTCTTCTAAATTTACCGGGAAAGCCAATATTCTTCAAAGAAACATCTTTAAAAAGAAACATCTTTAAAAAGTATATACTTTTCATTTTATATCCCATCTTAGATATAGTTTGCCATCTCTCATATCTGTGGCCAAATGTCATTTGAATCGGACTAAGTAATTGCAAAAAGTAAAATAATGACTTATTTTCTTAATTCATTAAAAATAAGTACATTTTTAATTCTCTAATTTAAAGTAAATATTTTAATAGAAGATTTAAAAGGAGCCACTGACCAGCCTGGGTGCTTACTACAAAAGAGTTGAAAGTAATTCACACAGTGTATCAACAGTAGCTGTCTCCCACACACACAGGCACACTCACTCTCTCCCCCATCTGAACTTTTCCTCCCTAAAACATGAGGTGGGAGAAGGGGAATGACCATGACACAGGCCTCACTACCCCCACCCCACGAGTAGACACACATCTCCCTCCTCATCCTGCTGAAAAGAAATGTGGAGGCTGTGGACCAAGAGACCCGATGCTTCTCAGTGTCACTTCCCCTGCATGTGGGATAAACAAACAAACCGGCACCATGAGAGTAACCATCAGAGTGATTTTGCTAACCTTTGACTAATGTCTTGGTTAAGTTTTGAGCTGAGTCAAAGCTCTAAGAAACAGGTAAATCCCTGTGTCCCCCCACCCAACCCCTTAAACACTCCAACGGGAAGTTTATCCCTGAGCTGAACGCTGGCCCCCGTCGCCTCCTCCCAGCCTATCCATGCCTCCTTCCTGCCTGAAGCCCCTACTCCAAAGGTAATTGTCTGGACACAGTCAAGGAGCACCGTGGGCGACACTCCCCACCTCCCAATCTCTCCTAAGGAAGCCCCCGCCGGCCCAGTTGGCCCACCTCCCTCGCCGCCCCAGTCGCGCCGCACCACTCCGGCAACTTTTGCACCCAGCCCGACCCGCCACCCGCGGCCCCCGCTGCCCCCTAGCCCTCCGCGCCCTCAGCCTCCGACCGCGGCCCCCTCCTGCCCACGCCTCCGGGCCACCCGCCATGGTCCTCGCCCACCCCTCCCCCGACACCCGCGCCTGCGGCGCCGCCCCCGCCGCACCCCACCCCACCCGCCCGGGACCCCAGCCCCACCCGGGAGGGAGGGCGCCGCGGCCGCGCCGAGGCAGCCGCCGGGCCGGGGCTGGCAGCGGAGCACCTACGCGCAGGGGGCTTTACCTCAAAGGCGCGGCCGCGAGCAGAGGGGTCGGTCCCGGGCGCGGGCGGCGCCCCCAGTCCGTCAGCGCCGGCGGGGGCAGCGGCGGCGGCACATCACACCCGCCGGCGGCCGGAGGAGGAAAGCGAGCCACGCAGGGAGCGAGCGAGCGAGCGAGCGAGGTAGGGGGGAAGGAGCGAGAGAGAGAGGTAACGCAGCGCTGCTCGGATTCGGTCCCTGCACTGCCGCTGGTGCCTCCTACCGCCGCCGCTGGCCGGAGAGTCGCCGCCCGAGCCTCTGCTGTCGCCACCGATGCAGCCCGGAATGAATGCACAGCAGCGCCTCGCTTATCCGGAGGTCAAACATCCTTCTGCCTCGGGCATCCGGATCGACGCCGGACCCGGAAGTGAACACATGGAAAAAAAATTAAAAAGGAAAGCGTCTGTTTAGCGGCGGCGGCCCCCAAGCTGCCCGCATCAGCGAAAACAGCCGAGTAGAGCCGAAGATTGCACCAACCTTCTTGGATTGGTCGGATCGCCGACCGGAAAGGAGACGGCGCGGTCATTGGCTGGCAAGGTGTATAAAGCCTAAGCCGCGCCCTATCCCCGTCTTTCTAGAGCCGTGCGTGAGGGAAAGTGGGGAGAGGCTGTGGATACGAGTGTTTCTCTGGATGAAGCAGTGGGCGGAGAAGCATAGCAAAGTCTACGCAGAGAACTGGAAGAGAACACCACCATGCTTTAGGAGAGCTACTAAGAACTGAGTGAGCAAAGAGCCTTAAGGGTACCATTGTGCCAAGTCAGGGTGCTGAGGCTTTCCCTGTTGTGCTCAGCCCGCCAGGTTCCAAAAAAATCTTAGGGCCCGGCCTAGGAGTATGACATCACTGGGTTGACATTTTTCCCCGCTTGTTTGTAACCCCAGTGCCATATCAGGGCTCCAACTGCTTAGAAATGTGAATTATGGCTCACATTTGCGTCTCATTTGCTGTTTGTAAGCTGAGGTAATCCTCTGAACTATATAGTGTGGCATTACCTGTTTTTCAAATTCACCTCCCAAAGTTCTGAGAAGCCAAACATCACCCAAGTTATCAAGTTGCAGCGCACAAACTGAAATCGGTGTTTCTGACTCACACTTAAGTCCACTCTGCCTACATAGAAAGACTGCATTCCTTTCATTTTCCCTCTTGCAGTTGCTTCCCTGGGATGGAGATAAGTCATTTTGGTAGACTTCTATGGAAATTGATCCACCATGAAGGCATGGAAACTATAATTTTTTAAAATTGTGATTCTTATGTCTCAAGTCCTTTCAAAAGTTAGGCATTAAGGTGTGCAGGAAGAAGAATCAGCCTGGTGCCATGTTTTTTAAATGTTCATTTTATCAAACCCGTTTATATTCTTAATATACTTACTGTATCAAGAAACTTGAGTCTTGTGTATCTCTATCTCTCCTGTCTACCTCTCAAAACGAAAAGACTAATGAAACAAATGCACTCCTTCATTTTCCTCCCTGCTTTGCTAGATTAACGGTATAGCTAATGTGTTACCTTTGGAAGGGTAGTTAGTATAGAAATCTGTTTTTGATTTTGGTTTGTAATACAACAGTGCCTTTTTTTTAAACCTCTCTTCTCACTTCTTCCCCAAACTGGAAGTTAAGAAGTGACTAGCATCACCAGCCTTAGAAGGGTAGTGATAAGAGCTTTGCTCCATGCTTACCACACCATCATTCTGTAGGAGACTCAAAAGCAGCTAAGATGTATGCATGCTCAGAATTGTGAATGACTTGCCTAGGGCAGATGACATATCCCAGAATTTCTGATCTCTCCCAGGACCCACTAATAGACAAGAAACAAAGTTAACAACATCTCACTCAATAGAAGAGAAGTGTCTGCAACACAGGAAACTCTAAATATTGTCCTCAACTCCCAACAAACCATTTTATTCTCTCTACCTCAAAAAACTCAGTTTTGATAAAGAACACCCACTCTTCTAAGTTTTCATAAATGGTTGAGAAAGTCAAGTGTATAAATATATGATCAAAACACATTTTTAAATTAAAAATGGGCTGGTCTAAGTACGGTGGTACTTACAACGAATTGCTCACAACCAGTTACAGATTTCTTTGTTCCTTCTCCACTCCCACTGTTTCACTTGACTAGTATTTATTAAATTATATTAGAAACGTATGGGAATAAATGTTTACATTTTTAACACTGCAGGGAAGACTTTTGGTTAAAATTTGGCCTATAAGCTCCTATAGATTAAAATTGGCAAAGCCTGGTGTAGTGGTGAATGCCTGTAGTCCCAGGAACTTGGGAGGCTTGAGGCAGGAGGATCTCCCAGTAGTCTAAGGCTAGCCTGGGCCACATAGTAGGATCTTTTCTCAAAACAAAAAAAAAAAAAAAAAAAGCAAGTAACCTAGGTAGGAGGCAATTAAATTTTCAGGTCATTCTATTAACTTATAAGAAAAATTGGTTTGGGAGGCCGAGGCAGGTGGTTCACCTGAAGTCAGGAGTTCAAGACCAGCCTGGCCAATGTGGCAAAACCGCATCTCTACTAAAAATACAAAAATTAGCCAGGTGTGGTGGTGTGCACCTGTAATCCCAGCTACTCTCGAGGCTGAGGCAGGAGAATCGCTTGAATCTGGGAGGCGGAGGTTGCAGTAAGTGGAGATAGCGCCACTCCACTCTAGCCTGGGCGACAGAGTGAGACTAAGTCTAAAAAAAAAAAAAAAAAGTATGTATATATATGAAAAATTGGCAATGTGAAAACAGCTTATATTAATGAAGGAAAAGCCAATACACAGGCATTGCAAGCAAAACTCTTTATCTTATAGCATGATGCTCCAACCTAAGCAGCCAGATTATACTTGTCAATCTGCTATATTACAAATCAAATAGTTTATTTGTTGTGTCACCTCACATTTCCTGGCATTGCCACTCTTCAGGTATTTATATTCTATTAATATTTTCATTATGATTATTGCATAAATTCATGTGATACTGTTGTCACAAGTTTTGTAGTACATTGGAAACTTGCATTTATCAAATTCTCTTTTCACAAAAGCTTTCTCTACATGTCCTGCAGATGCTTTGTGTGAGACAGAGAATGGTATGTAGAGTTTGTGGAATGTAAAGCTGGCCATTTTTTCTCCTTTGTAAGCAGTAAAACTTAAAGTTGAAGAAAGATGGAAATGAAACAGTTTGATTATGGTTTTAAGCAGGAAATTATGAGACTAAGATATTTACTAAGACTTTTCAAAATAAAAACAGATAAAACATTCATTTCCTTCTTTCAAATATTTTGTTTAACTGTAATGGTAAACCTGGCATGGTGATTAACTGGTTGCCAGAATAAGGCCTGAGGCATCACCAAATTATACTTAATTCTTTATTTTTTAACATTATTTTAAAGGAAAAGTACCTGGAAGAAAGATGTAATTAGGAAGAAGTAAACAATGAAGTAGAACGGGGAAGGATGCAAAATGGAGAACTGTAACAATAGCCAGGGGCTGGGAGTAGAGCAACATATTTTACTACGATGAAGAGGAAAATAATTTCTTCCCCCCGTCAAGCCTACAGTCAAGGGGAGAGACAAGAAGGATTGTGGGAGAAAGCCAGTCACATACAACAGCTAGATCAGGTTTTGGGGAAGCTATCGCTTAGCAACCTTTATTTTAGACTGTTACATGAGTACAGCTCGAAAAAGTCAAGACACTGTTTTATACCATCCTTAGAAGGATGATTTGAAGTATTTGGTAGGTGGTAAAATAAATGTACAATAATCACAAAACTTTTCTGAGAGGCTTTATTACATGTTATAATGTTGATCTTCAGAAATGTTTAATAAAATCACATTTCCAGGATTCCTTGTCTTAGCTCGGGTTGCCATAACAAAGTATTGCAGACTGAGTAGCTTAAGCAATACAAATTCATTTTCTCACAGTTCTGGAAGCTGGAAGTCTGAGATCAGGATGTCAGCATGGTCAAAGTCTGGTGAGATCTTTCTTCCTGACTTTCAGATTGGCACCTTCTCCCTGTGTCCTCACATGGCCTTTCCTCAATGTGTGGGCATGGAGAAAGAGGGTGATCTCTCTCTCTTCTTCATCTTAATCCTACAGAAGTCCCCACCTTTATGACCTCATCTAACCCTATTACCTGCCAAAGGCCCTACAAATTCCATCACATTTGGGGTTGGGGATTCAGCATATGAACTTTGGGGAGACAAAATTCAGTTCACAGCACTCCTCAAAGGGGTATTTTCCATGCAGAGAGTATATCATCTATAAATTAAAGGTAAAGGCTAGACAGGATATTAATAAGAGAAGACAACTTGTAGACCATGTTAAAACCTCATGGAGAAAAGAATACATTCTTAAGAGAGAGAACTTCCATGAAGAAAACGCTCCATAGGGAAAAGCTAAAACACCATAAAAATGTAAAAGTGTCTTGCCAAAAAGAGTGACTAAATCTCTAGCTAGGCAATTTAATTTTTGTTTTTTTCCATTAGCAGACCTGAATTTTGGCAGTTTTTATGTAAGTTTGGCTATCCAAAGAATGTTGTTTTGTGATAAATGGAAGTTAGCTAAAGCTGTGATTTTCTTGTAATGGTTTCAAGAACAGCTTGAATTCTGAGTAATATATCAATCTAAAGTTTGGAGATGGTCATAATAATTAGTCCCTGTTCCATTTTCCCTCTTCTTGTCTTCTTTTGCTCCCCATAGTTATATCTTCATATTTCTACCTCAAGAGTCCTTCCCGGCTCATGAGACAAATCTGAGCAAGACTAAATGTCTCATCAGCCCCCACCTATAGGAACCATGCAGCCCTCTGAAGATGTAGAATGCTAAGCAAGAGTACTGGATTAGAGGTAGACTTCAAGCTGTGCCACTTCCCTATATCCCTAATATTTTCCCAGTCTATAGCACTGGACTTCTCCTTTGCTTTTCTTTCATAATTGGAACTGTATCAATTCCTAAGCTCTCATCTAATGTGAAGGTTTAAGCTTGGTTTGGAAAATTTTTCACTAGTCCCTGTTCTGACTAGATCCTAGTTCATTGGACAGGATACTGTTATGATAGATTACCCTCAAGCTACTGAACTTCTTCAAACATCACCCACTGACTAAGCTTACTGGATTACTATATCCTTCTGCTGAATACGACTGCATTGGTGCCACAGCTTGTCTATGCCATCTCTGAACTTCATGTACTCTGTGGACAGTGAGCAAGGGCCTACCTGTGGGGATCAGCCTCTCTAATTATGTTTCTTTAGTCTCAGTCATGCTTGGTTATGCTTGGCCTTAACGTCATCCCTTTCTTCACCAGCTAGTACTGCTAAATTCCTGACATGTCTTCATCCTCCCACCTATGCTTATTGTGGTATCAATGCCATATCTGTCCGAACAAGATCACAGGGTCAACAGAAATTAAAATTGATGTGAGAGGACACTTTAGTTTAAATTCTCACTTCTGTTTAGTTCTCATTCTACTTCTGCTGTAATTAGGATTATACTACTTTTTGGCTTCCTTCTATATTCCTTCCTTATGCAAGCTTTTTAAATAGTCTACACCTCAGCTCATCTGTAAAATGAGGCAATAGTATCTGTACCATATTGATATCGGGAAGATTAAATGAATGATAATCTACAATGTACTTATCACAGTGTCTGACATATAGTAAGCAATAAATAAATGGTTGTTGTTAAATACCAGTATGACCCCTAGGAACCTGCGTTTTCCAGTCCAACATGAGCAGTAATCAGAAGTTGAAAATATCAGATCCCAAGTCGTTTCCTAGCTTTAAGAGCCTAAGACTTGGAACCAGATTGTGGTTCTGAAGCAAAACATTATTATTTGAATTTGCTTCAGGCCCTTTCATAATTTTATTTACCAAGTACTTATGGACATTCATGGTATATTGGCTGTCCAGCATCTATTTACCTTTTCCTAGTAGCACTCAGATTTCCCTTTGATGAATCTTTTTCTGTCTCACTCTGTTCAGTGATCAGAGGCTGTGCCTTCCTGTAGGTGTGGAGTAAGGGAGGAGGAGTAACGGGGAACATGTTGCTGAAACAATATCAATTGGATTCTCTCTCCCTAGATTTGAATTATTATTATTATTATTATTATTATTGAGACAGGGTCTCATTCTGTCACCCAGGCTGGAGTACACCTAGGTTTGAATTATGAGGTGAGGAACGTGAAGACTAAAAATGGTTGGAATGGGAGGGACTCCATCCCAAGAGTGGCAACCTGACCACACAGTTTCTGACACAGAATAATGGCTATGATCTTACTTGCCAGCCTCTGGAGCATTTTGGATTCTGCCTAGACCAGGTCTTCCAGCTTCCGTCAGTTCTGTGACTCCCCTAATTGCCTTTCACTAAATTCTGTTTGATTGCATTACCCAGAGTATATTTCTTTTGTTTGCAATTGAAGAATCCTGATCACCAGGTTTTCATTCTTAGCTTTTGGTTTTCCTCACCTCTTTCTCTCCCTCTCTTCTACAAAGTACTCTTTCTATTCATAATCTGGCTCTGTGCCCACGTGAACATTTAAATTCAAAGCTGTAGTTTGACCCTGTTTAACTTCTTTGGCTTCACCCTAACATAATCTTTGACTGTCTCACTGTTGTGAGGCTCTCTAGCTTCAGGTTTGTGTTCTCCTAATTGACAAAGCTAGCTACACCCTACCAAAGCTTTGTATCTCAGCGCAGCTGCCTTCTGTCACCAGGCAGCCCTACCTCAGCTTCTTGCTGAAACTCTGCCAGTTGCAGACCTAACCCTTTGTACTGTGACTTAATGCTTTGTGTTCTGCCAGCTTCGGTGACCTGATCTAACTGACAGCAAATTTCAACCAAATGCCAATGCTTGCTTTCTAGAACTGTTACTTTAGTATCTATTAGTGTATATCTGTCAATTTATATTCATAATAATAAAATCCAATATAGTCCTCTATCTCATTCCCTTTACAATACTATCTATGCTCCTCTGATATTGCTGATTCATATCAGCCAAGATAAATCAACTTGGTCTGTCTATAGTGAAAGAATTATGTGTTATAAAGTAACTATAGCAATTTGGGTACTCAGTGATGGGGTAACACTTGATTTTAAAAGCTGACTAATCAACTCAGTTCTGGTTTTCACATATTAAAGAGAATCCAGTTATGAAGTTTTTGAACTACAAACCAAAACAGCATTCCTCAGCTTTCCCCTACATGCCTTTAAATCAGACATTAATATCTCACTGGAAATCTGTCAGTGGCATTGAACAGGCTACTCTACAGAGTCACGATTAAGGTTACAAAAAAGAAGCTGAGTTTAGAATTCACTTCCACATATCAAAAAACCCCAATTGTAAATGATTAAGTGATAATAAATGTTAATTATTATTAAACTCAATAGAGTAAAATATTGTTCAAAGCAATAGAAAGAATATGTAGCACATATTAAGATTATGACTGGCCAGTAAAGGGAAAGAATGCTGATTTTATCCTGTACATATAAAATAATTTTTAAAAGATCATGATTCCAAATGACTTTAAAATGTTGTAACTTGTATATCTCTAGTGGGATTTATCATAAAGACAAAAAAATTACAAAAACTTGTTTGACTTTTTGGTAGTCATATTGTTGGTGCTCATACTCTTTTTTCTGATACTGTGATATGCGCGATGTGAGATAAAGCAAAATGAGTTACTATAATATATTGTAATTCTGTTATTCTTGACGTTGACATACATTAAAAGAATAACTAAACCGCCTTTAGTTGTAAATTTGAATTACAAGTATCATCATGAACTCACAGTATTTCGTACAGATATTTCCTAGTTCAGTTGACTGAAAAGTTCCAGAAGCAAGCCAAACTCAGTTGCAATGAGTATCTTTAGCCCTTACGCTTCAGACTTCATATAGCAGAGCCTTTGGAAGAGAGAAAAGTAGCATATGGTACTATATTCCTTTCCTATTGCTGCTATAACAAATTACCATAAATTTAATGGCTTGAAACAATAAAAATGTATTATCTTACAGGTCTTGAGGTCAGAAGTCCAAAATGGTTCTCACTGAACCAAAATCCAGGCATTAGCAGGGCTGTGTTCCTTCTGGAGGCTCTAGGAGAGAATTCATTTGCTTGTGTTTTCCAGCTTCTAGAGGTTTCCTACATTCCATTTCCGCCTTCAGAGCCAGTATCATACCACTTCAAATTCTGCTTCCATCATCACACCTCTGACTCTCACTGTTACTTCCCTCTTTCACTTAGAAGGAATCCTATTATTACATTGAGCCCACAAGGATAATCCAGGATAATCTCCCTGTCTCAAAATCCTTAATTTAATCTTAATGCAAAGTCCCTTGTGCCATTTGAGATAATATACTCATAGTTTCTGGGGATTAGGATGCGGACATCTTTGGGAGAAAGGACATATTTTGCCTACCACAAGCACCAAGTCAAATAGAAGGGTTTTAGGTTTTAAAAAGGGGTTGAATCTAACCACAGT
The DNA here is from genome assembly GCF_000001405.40 of Homo sapiens. NCBI lineage: Eukaryota > Metazoa > Chordata > Mammalia > Primates > Hominidae > Homo > Homo sapiens. The sequence goes on along the minus strand of NC_000005.10, from coordinate 123,504,100 downwards.
TGCTGAGATAAGACTTAATACCTACAAATGCCACATCTGGCTCTTAGAATAATTTTATCATTATTGCCCACAGCCTCATGTAATGGCAAATTGGATGAAATAAAACTAACAACTAGTGAGTGCCCAACTGAAGACTTTCAGGCATTTTCTAGAAAACATTTCTTAATCACCATAGGTAGGTATCATTTTCTCTTTCTTTGTAAATGAGAAAAGTAAGACTCAGAGTTTAAGCAAAGTGTTCAGGTCATTCAGCTAGTAAATGACAGAGGTACAATTTCTATACAGGTATTTCTGACTCCAAAGTCCATGTATTTACCCTGCTTTTCATGATGTGGAATAAGGGGTGAGTTAGGAGATCCTGGGACACACTATCAGACTTAGGGTTGACTTATTATAATACAGTGTCTCCAGATTGAACCTGTTTAGACAAAGGAATAAAGGAAAGAGAGAAGGAGGAGGAAAGAAAGGATAGAGAGATCCTAAAGTAGTGATTTATGCCAAACTGAATTAGAGCAACTGTAAGTATGTATATGGGAGAGCAATGAAAAGAGACAGGCTGAAGGAAAGCCTTTTTAAAGCACAACTTCAAAGATGATAGCATTCACAGGAAACAGCACCAGTCAGAGAATTACTGTGGTGTGTACTCAGAATACTCTTTAATCAACTCTTATTGCAAAATGTCAGGTCCCAAAGAATGACAGATTCTTTAAGCTAAATAACCAATATTTACTTGTGTACAACTGGCTCACTTACATAAGTGATCCTTTCAGCCACATATCTACACAAATGATTATTAATAATTATTTTTAGTAAACATTCTCCAACCTTTAGCTGCTTACAACTCTAGGTTCTCTTTTCAGCTACTTTATCCTTGAAGATTCAGTAGGAAGTTGCATTGTTTGAAATTAGACAGTGTCTGTTCTAACATGTCCTGGTTAGGATTAGCTTTGATAAAAAGGTTGTGAGTCTAATTAATGGGTCTGCCATTAATTGGCAAGAGGTATTTAAGAATGTAACTTTAAACTGCCCTGTCAAATAATACTGAAAACATTTGAAAAAAATATTTTGGGGGAATTTTCTAAAAAATATGCAGCCTTTCTACTTCTATGGATATCTCAAATTTATGCTTTGATTTAGATACATCTGGCCCACATGATTTTGTATCTCCTCCACTGCCCCAACAAACACCTTGCATAGAACTTGCTTACCAAAATGTGGATTTCTGTTATGGATAACTTTTTTTTTTTTTTTGAGACAGAGTTTTGTATTTGTTGCCCAGGCTGGAGTTCAATGGCACAATTTTGGCTCACTGCAACCTCTGCCTCCCAGATTCAAGCAATCCTCCTGCCTCAGCCTCATGTGCATGTGCCACCACGCCTCCTGCATGTGCCACCACTCCTGAGTAATTTTTGTATTTTTAGTAGAGACGGGGTGTCGCCATGTTGGTCAGGCTTGTCTTGAAGTCCTGACCTGAGGTGATCCACCTGCCTCGGCCTCCCAATGTGCTGGGATTACAGGCGTGAGCCACTGTGCCCGGCCCTGTTATGGATAACTAAGTGATTACATTGTGGGACAATATAAGAAACTGTCCTATGAGACTCATTATAGCAATTACTGTAGGAATATTTTTAAGGGTGATATTTACTCCATCACACCATATCTTCGATGTGAGAACCCAAAGAACAAGTTTATTTTAAGTTACAATACCAGGAAGAATTATGTTTCTTTTATACAGCTGGTTTGTTTTAATCTTACGGGTGCCATAAATCATTTAACATTTCTATTTCCTTATGGTGCTGATTGCTAGGAAACCCAGAGCCAACTTTGTAGTCTATCTCAACGTATTCCATGTATCTTAAAACATGCATTTTAGTTAAGCAACTCTGGTGGTATAATCTTGTCTTGTATACTACTCCCTTTCATTTTTATCTTGTGCTATGTGTATTTTTGTAAACTGTCTTGATTTCTTTAAAGCACAGTATAGAAAATATGTTGGGGAAGTTCAGTTTATCTTTGTCTACTTAGGCACGTTGCATGAAAATTATTGGGTCTCTTTTTCCCCTCCAAATTTGGAGAGTATCTTTGGGTTAGTCTGGCCTAAATGTGACACTCCTGAATTTCACACCAAGGGTTATGGAGGGGCACCTCAAGGAGAAACACATTTGTCTCCTAGAGAGGCCAAAACTGAGATGCAAGAAGGTCAATATGACTTCTAATCAGGAGAAATACACTATTAAATTAAGTGTTTGGGTCAGAGAAAACAAGCAAATATAAGCTTAAACTCAAAAGAAGCAAGGACAGGCAAGTAATGGCACATGAAGCTGCTTTTTACGTGGACACTCGCTATATGTATTTTGCTCCAAAATATACAATATTCCTGTAATAGCATGAACTTGTGTGTTTAACCATAGCTAATGAATCTCCTGAGCAACATCCCCTGAATGGTCACTAGTAATTGAAAAAGAATTACAAGTGTAAGATAACTATCAACTCATTACACATTGAAAAAAATATAATAATAGCAATGCTACCATTGAACATTTATGGAGTGTCTACGATATATACCAGGCACTGTGGAAGTACTTTGCCTGCTTTCTCTCGTTTAATTTTCAGAGTCCCAGTAAGTTGGCATTTTTGTAAGTCCATTTTACAAATGAGAAATGTAAAGGAAAGCCACTAGAGGATTCAAGTAGAAGCTTGAAAGAATCTAATTTACATCTAAAGAAGACTCTGGCTGCTATGAAGAGATTTGACTCTAAGGGTAGCCAGTTTGGAGGCTGTTACTAGCACAACATGCTGACTAGGACCAGAATGGGATAATGGGATAATGGAATTGCTGAGAGGTTTTAGACTCATAATATATTTTAATTAACATGTGTGAGTGTAGGTGGGTGTGTATGTATGTGGTACACCATGTTTTTTCTCAAAGCCAATAAACTAAGTGAAAGTTATCAAATGTCAGTGAAGTTCTCCTGTCATTCTGCTCCATGCTGAGGGTGAAGCTAGGGCCTTTTTTCTGGTGATGTGATGCTACCAACTAGACCACCTTCCAATAAAGGGGTGTGATTTTGTTGTGGAAAGAGAGGAAGAAACTGCCAGCTTCCTTCTTCTGTTCCCTTTTGGTGAGTGCCGTGTCATTTCTCCTTTGAGCAGATTGTCATACCCACTGTGTCAGGGAACTTATGGGAAGAGATGTTAGGAAGTCAGAAACTTGGAAATATATTAAGGTCCCAAGACTTCTTAGTTATTTCTTGGCTTTTCCCTTCTATAAGCTTTCCCTCACTTTATACAGAGCTTTTATATGTAAATAAGAGCGATGGGGCTTCTAACAGCCAGGAAAATCTGAGGTAAAACTATGAGAATCAGCTTAAATCCTTGCCAGGTCTCAACCCCAAGGTACGTGACTAAAATGAATTTTTTGTAGATTACTAAATCCATGCTCCCCAAAACAAATTGTATTTCGAAATGACCTAGCATGACATAGACATTTCACTCCCACCAGAGTTCTAATTCTTGCCCTATTTTTCTTGCCTCAAACATATTTTCCTCCTTTATGATCTCCTTATTGTGTTCTCAGTAATATGGGTTTCCCATATGTCTTTCCACTGTCTGCGAGTAGATTATATGTTTTCTGGATTCTCTAATGTGGCATGAGGCTGCTACCATACTATTGGGCTAGCCTGAACCAGGATTCAAGATGGCATGTGGCAGTCATAAAGGGCGTCACTGTAAGTTTTTAGCTAGCTACATTTTAAATGTGTGCGTATATATAATATGCATTTAGATAATATATAATGTGTATATAATATACTTATATGTATGTATGTGTATATGATATACTTATATGTATGTGTATATAATATACTTATATGTATGTATATGTATATAATATACTTATATGTATGTATATGTATATATTAGAAAATAGGTAGTTGTTGTGCTGTGGGTATATTTGTTTTATACGTTATGCCTCCACCAGCTTCACCCATAACACACACACACACACACACACACACACACACAGTTTTAGTGACATTGATTCTACATTACTTCATGTGGGCAAAGTCAACTACTTTAACCTCCAAAAATCTGAACCACATGCTTTTCAGAGTGAGGTTTTGTTGCTCTCTGGGGAAGTACATAGATTTTTTTCACCTTTAATTCCATGTCCTTTTACAAACAGTAGATTCCTAGATCACTGTGAAGCCCATCCTGAAGAGCCTCACATGCCCTCAGATTGGATTATGATGACTGGCTTGGTAAAGTTACTGGAAATAAAGAACAGGAAACAAAAAGTACCTTTGCCTTTGGAAGATAGTCAGATCTAAATGTTCTGAAATTAACTCCACTTTAATTCTGCTTCCAGAACCCGAGCTAATTCCAACTCACCCTTTGGTCAAATCATCTACATCAGGGGTCCAAAGGACGGACCTACACTGGAATAAAGTCCCTAGGATAATTTCCCCCTGACTTTTTTACTCACTTTTCTTACTGTCCCTCCCCAAGGTATCCAATTATCTAGAAGAAAATATATTGCTAAGGTGACCCTTGGGCAGAGTTACTTAGCTTTTTAAATATCTTCAAAGTAAGGAGTAGAAGCAGCTTCCCACAATTACTAACTTCTAAACATCACTTTTCCCTATCTTATCTTTCAGTTCTTACAATATTTTTGTTTTTTTAAAAATCCCTTCATTAAATCACCTGTGTTGGAAATACCTAAAGTAGTTTCTATTTTCCTGATTGGGCACTGGCCTGTAGAGATCTGAACTAGCACCTGAGAAGAATGCCACTCCTTGGAGCTGAACTGATAATACAAAACTGGCTCACTCTCTCTCTCTCTTTTTTCTTAATTGGTAGCATTATCTTTGGCACAATTCCTAGTCTTTCCTTTGATATTCCAGTTTCTCCTACTGGGCAGTTTGCTACTTACACACCTGGTTCTGTTGTTTGGTTCCCTGGTTGATTAGAACCATATTACCCATTGTTGGAGCGGCAGCTCATGCTCTACACTCTCCTCGAACTTCGATTTCCTAACTAATTGCATTAGTCCATTCTTACATTGCTATAAAGAAATACCTGAGACTGGGTAATTTATAATGAAAAGGGGTTTAATTGGCTCGTGGTTCCACAGGCTGTACAGGAGTCATAGCAGCTTCTGCTCAGCTTCTGGGGAGTCCTCAGGAAACTTTGAATTATGGCAGAAGGCACAGTGGGAGCAGGCATGTCTTACATGGCCAGAGCAGGAGCAAGAGAGAGAGAGAGGGGAGGTGCCACACACTTCTAAACAATCAGATCTCATGAGAACTCACTATCGTGATGATAGCACCAAGGGGGAATGGTATTGAGAAACTGCCCTCATGATCCAATCACCTCCCACTAGGCCCCACCTCTGGCACTGGGGATTACAATTCTGCATGAGATTTGGGCAGGGACACAGATCCAGACCATATCACCAATTAGGCTGTATATCAAACTTAGTGCATTTTTCCTTCTGAAACATTACATAGTAGAAGAAACATTACATTTTTTCCCTCTGATAAATTACAAAGAAGTTAGAGACAGAAGACCTAAGTTTATTTATCAGCTCCACCATTGGTGTGTAACTTTGGACAAGATAACAAATCCATTTGAGCCTCAGTTACCAAACTTGTAAAATAATAATAAAACTTGCTTTATAGGATTATTGTAAACATCAAACGACATCAACCATGTTGAGGGCTTTGTGAACTACACAAGACTATGTGCAATTTATTGTACTTTTCTAAGTCATAGCTTATTATCAGACAGATTTTCTGCATACAATTCCTCTAACAGCAGTCTATGATTATTATGAAAAGCTTGTTATTTTAAAGAAGGTAAGAGACCTCCCTCAGTTTATCTTCTCAAAATCACAAATTTAAGAAGCCACTTACTCTACCAATATGTGAGTACCCAGGGGTACGCTGGTAAATGTATAACAACCAGCTCTTGGTAGAATATGCTAATTTGCATGGTGTAAATATTTCCACCATGCCCAATTTCAATCCACCAATGTGACATCAACTACCTTGCAAAATTCCTCATTATTTAACAATTGGCTGTCTAGCACACCGCTGTTTTAATCAGCCTTGTTACCATAACAAGACTCGTTCTTGGTGTTAACATAGGTTCTAGAAAAAAAAATTCTGGATATTGGCGTTACTCAAGATTAGCTTTCGGCCAGGCACAGTGGCTCACTCCTGTAATCCCAGCACTTTGGGAGGCCAAGTGGGTTGGATCACCTGAGATCAGGAGTCTGAGACCAGCCTAGCCAACTGGTGAAACCCCGTCTCTACTAAAAATACAAAAATTAGCTGGGCCTAGTGGCATGTGCCTATAATAGCAGCTACTTGGGAGGCTGAGGCAGGAGAATCACTTGAACCACGGAGGAGGAGGTTGCAGTGAGCCGAGATCGTGCCGCCGAACTCCAGCCTGGAAAACAGAATGAGACTCCATCTCAAAAAAAAAAAAAAAGAAATTAGCTTTCAACCTGGAGACTGTCAGAGTGAAAAAAATTAGCTTTTTTTTTCTTGACTCCTTATCAGTTAGGGTTGATAGAATGCTTATTTCTATAATAATGTCCTTTTTCACTGCAAAAATCTTGAACATGAAGCCCTTCTTTTATTTTCCTTACTAGTAAAATTGCACTCTGATGATAAGGATATGATTTAATTTTAACTTAATTAACTCTCAAGAGTTTAAAGGCTGTAAAGTATGTTTTGGAAAGATTAACATGTAATATAATGACTACTCAAAGTGAAAATAATAATAGAATTTACATAGTACTAACTACAGAATATCTAATATTAACATGTATTTTTAAAATATTAACTAAGGTCTCCGCATCTTGGATATTGAAGTATACTTTTGCATTTGCTTTGTATTTCATTGGCTGACAGTTCTCTTATGGTCAATGTAACAAGATGATCACCATGGAGAGACTGCATTGGCAACGCGCCTGTGCTCCAACTGCACACATGCTTCTAAGAATTGATCTGGTTTCCACTGACTCTTAGAGGTAGGAGTGCTGGGAGATTTCCAGCTGACTCAGACCATTTCCAATTGAAGGGTTTTTAGGTGTGTAATTTCTGGCCTGCTGTGGGTTTGAATTAATTCCACTGCATTTTTATACATTATTATGTTATTGCTGTTGTTGTGATAGGTTCCTTCTGCCACCCTAGACCTACTCCAGATCGGAATTAAATCCTTAAATAGGCAGGGTGTGGTGGCTCACAGCTGTAATCTGAACACTTTGGAAGGCTGAGTTGGAAGGATCACTTCAGGATAGAAGTTCAAGACAAGCCTGGGCAAAAAAGCAAGACCCCATCTGTACAAAAAAAATTTTTTTAATTATTTGGGCATGGTGGTGTGTGCCTGTAATCCCAGGTACTCAGTAGGCTGAGGCGAGAGGATCACTTGAGCCCAGGAGGTCGAGGCTGCAATGAGCTGTGTTCTTGCCACTGCAGTTCAGCCTGTGTGACTGATCGCGACCCTGTCTCAAAAAAAAAAAAAAAAAATCCTTATATAAGTTTCTATAGACTAGGGATAAGCAAGATCAGAACCTCAGAACTAATCCCAAATGGAAATCCTGTTACCACATCATGGCAAAAAACCATACTGACACACCCAGCCATTTGGCACACTCTCGGACACAAGTTTATCATATCTGTGGTCTGAGTAGCTCTATGTATTCATCTTCTGGAGAAAAAAAAGAATGTTAGGACAAATTGAGATTTTACTCTGTCCTCTCTCAGCTTTCTTCCAATCCATGCTAAGGACAACAGAAGATAAGGTATCTTGTAAAGCATCATACAACAAACTTACATTTGAAAATTGCTATGGAATGCTGCTGAAAATGTGCTGCAAGAAACACTGGATAGGTGACTTTTCAGTATACCTTGAAATGATATTTATATGTCTTACAATGAGCTTAATTATTATCTAAAAAGGAAAAAGCTTGGGCTGGGTGTGGTGGCTCATGCCTGTAATCCCAGCACTTTGGGAGGCCGAGGCAGGAGATTCGTTAGAGTTCAGGAGTTCAAGACTAGCCTGGGCAACATGGTAAAATCAGTCCCTACAAAAAAATACAAAAATTAGCCAGACATGGTGTTTAGCATCTGTAGTCCCTGCTCCTCGGGAGGCTGAGGTGGGAAGATTGCCTGAGCTTGGGAGTTTAAGGCTGCAGTAAGCCATGATCACACCACCGCACTCTAGCCTGAGCAACAGAGTGAGACATTGTCTCAAAAAAAGAGAACATAAAATAAAAGGTGGCAATTTGAGGACTTAATGTCTCAATGGATTACATCATGACTTGTTTCAGCACAAAAATGGAAAATAGCCATTGCATTTGGCTATGCTGTTCTTATATTTATCTTTATTTAAAATTATATTTTCTTGAGAACACAAAATTTGAATATCATGAGAGTCCTCCTTATAAACTAAAAGTATTTGAATAAACTTGAACTTATCCATAAATTTTTCTTTCAAAAACACCATTAAATATTGCCAGTGATTGGTGTTAGAAATAGCCAGTTTCCAAATAGTATATTAAATCTCTGTCAGAGGCACTAAGAAATATTTTTGGAAGGGCATGAATTCCTCTAAAGCTTAGGTGTAGTAATGAGTCACACAATTTTTTTTTCTTTCTTTTTTCTTTTTCTTTTTTTTTTTTGAGATGGAGTCTCACTCTGCCACCCAGACTGGTGGAGTATAGTGGCGCAATCTTGACTCACTGGAACCTCCACCTCCCAGGTTCAAGTGATTCTCCTCACTCAGCCTCCTGAGTAGCTGGAACTACAGGTGCGTGCCACCACACTTGGCTAATTTTTGTATTTTTAGTACAGACAGGGTTTCACCATGTTGGCTAAGCTGGTCTTGAACTGCTGACCTCAGGTGGTCCACCCACCTCGGCCTCTCAAAGTGCTGGGATTACAGACATGAGCTACCAAGATCGGCCACAGAATTTTTTAACTACCTAGAGGAATCCCTTGTGGATGGATCATCTATATACAATTATTTCAAATTATTTTATTCTGCCCATGTTTTCAGCTTCTGAAATTAAACTAATGAGGTCTATAAGTATGCAACCAACTTGTTTTTAATTGTCCTAAATTTACCAACTTCAAGTACCAAGCTGATTTTGACTTTTCAGTTGAAACTTTTTTTTTTTTTTTGAGATGGAGTCTTGCTCTGTCGCCCAGTCTGGAGTGCAGTGGTGCTATCTCGGCTCACTGCAACCTCCGCCTCCCGGGTTCAAGTGATTCTCCTGCCTCAGCCTCCCTAGTAGCTGGGACTACAGGCTCATGCCACCACATCAGCTAATTTTTTGTATTTTTAATAGAGATGGGGTTTCACTGTGTTAGCCAGAATGTCTCGATCTCCTGACCTCATGATATGCCCGCCTCGGCCTCCCAAAATGCTGGAATTACAGGCGTGAGCCCCACGCCCAGCCTCTATTGAAACTTTTATTGAGATAACTATGGATTCACATGCAACTGTAAGAAATAATACAGAGTTATAGATTCCTTGTACACTATTCCCAGTTTATCCAAATAACATTTTGCTAAACTTAAGTATATCATAACCAGGATATTAACATTAATAAAATTGGCCCATTTTATTCAGATTTCCCAGTTATAATTTAACTCATTTTTGTGTATGTGTGTGTATAAGCACCATACAATTTTATTACCTGTGCAGATTCATATATCCACTGCCAATTATATAATCCTAATTGGATTATTTAGTTTTTTACTATTGAGCTTTGAGAGTTCTTTATATATTCTTGATACCAGTCATTTGTCAGATACGTGGTTTGCAAATATCTTCTCCCAGTCTCTACCTTGTCTTCTCCTTCTCTTAACAGGGTCTTTCTTGGAGCAAAAGGTATTTATTTTGATGAAATCCAATTTATCAGTTTTTCCTTGTATGGATTGTGCTTTTGTGTCAAGTTTAAGCACACTTTGTCTGGCTCTAGATTCCTCCTATGCTTTTTTTCTATTAACACAAGTTTTATAGTTTTACATCTTATATTTAAGTCTATGATCCATTTAAAGTTAATTTCTCTATAGGTATTCTCCAGCACCCTTTGCTGAAAAGTCTATCATTCCTCCTTTGAATAGATATTGCCCCTTTGTCAAAATTAGTTGAGCATATCTGTGTGTGTGTTTTTCTGGGTTATCTATTCTAATACATTGACCTGTGTGTTTATCCCTATGCCAATATCACATTCTTGATTACTGTACCTACATAGTAGATCTTGATATCAGGTAGAGCAGCTTTTCCCACCTTACTATTTTTTGTCATTTTTTTAAAGCTATTATAAGGCCTGTGCCTTTCCATATAAATTCTAAAATAAACTTTTCTATGTCTTCACAGATTCTTGCTGTGGTAGAGATTTCATTAAACCTATAGATAAATTTGGAGAGAGTTGGCATCCTTACTCAGTGGAGTCTCCCAATCTATAAATATGGTTGTGTCTCCATTTATTTATTTATTTATATTCTTCATTAGCATTTTCTAATTTTCATCAAACAGATTCTGTACATGTTTTCTTTAGTGTGTTTCTAAGCATTTAATTTTCTTTGGAGCAACTGTAAACTGGTATTATGTTTTAAAATTTGGTTTCGGCATGTTTATTGTTAGTACACATAAGATGATTGATATTTATGTGTTGATCTTGTACCCTGTAATCTTTCTGAGCTCCCGTACAAGTTCTATAAGTTTGTGGGAGGTTTTTGTTTTTGTTTTTGCTTTGGAGATGTCATGGTATTTTATGTATAGACAATTATGTAATTGGCCCGTAGAGATAACTTTATTTTTCCCTTACAAATGGTATGCCTTTTATTCATTTTTCTTACCTTTTTCCAGTCATTAGAACTTCTAGTACTATGTTGATTAAGAGTGATGGGAGTGTACACCTTTGCCTTGTTCCTGTTAAGTATGATGTTAATTGTAGGATTTTTTTATAGATGGTCATTACCAAGTTGTAGTAATTCACCTCTATTACTAATTTTCTAAGAGTTTTATCATAAACAGGTGTTGGATTTTGTCAAGTACTTTTTCTTTTTCTTTTTTTATTTTTTAATTTTATTTTATTTTGTTTTATTTTTGAGATGGAGTCTTGCTGTGACGCCAGGCTGGAGTGCAGTGGTGTGATCTCGGATCACTGCAACCTCCACTTCCTGGATTCAAGCAATTCTCCTGCCTTAGCCTTCTGAGTAGCTGTGACTACAGGCGTGCGCCATCACGCCCAGCTAATTTTTGTACTTTTAGTAGAGACGGGGTTTCACCATGTTAGCCAGGATGGTCTCAATCTCTTGACCTCGTGATCTACCCGTCTTGGCCTCCCAAAGTGCTGGAATTACAGGCGTGAGCTACCGCACCTGGTCTCCTTTTCTGCATCAATTGATATGACCCTATGGTTTTTCTTCTTCTTTAGCTTATTGATATGATAGATTACATCATTTGATTTTTAAATATTTAACCAGTTTTGCATACCTGGAAAAAAAATCCCACTTGGTCATGGTGCATAATTTTTAATACATTATAGAAATTGGCTTGCTAATATATATTAGCAAGCCTATATATATATATATATATTTTTTTTTTTTTTTTTTTTTTTTTAACAGACAGGAGTCTTGCTATATTGCTTAGGCTGACCTCAAACTGCTGGGCTCAAAGGATTTTCCTGCCTTAGCTTCTCAAGTAGCTGGGACTATAGGCATGTGCCACCACACCCAATTAGTTTAGTACTATTTTGTTGAGGATATTTGTATCTATATTCATGAAAGATATTGATCTGTAGTTTTTGTTTTTTGGGTTTTGTTTGCTTTATGGTGCTGCCTTTGCTTGGTTTTGCTATTAGGGAAATACTGGCGTTATAAAATAAGTTTGGAAGTGTCCTTGTCTCTTCTATGTTCAGGAAGAGATTGTGTAAAATTAGCATTAATTCTTCTTAAGAAGAGATGCCACTACTGGTTTCTACCTATTCCCACCTCCATCTGCTGCTCTGATGTCTCTGGATTGGGGAGGAGGGTCTCAGGCTTGTGGAGACAAAGAAGATTCCTAGATCCAGCTGCTGGGTCTCTCCTGCTAGTTCTCCCTGTCTGCTTTGGTATCTCTCAATGGAAAGGGGAGACTCTGGCTCAGGAAAGGAGTGTATCTCCTCCAGTCACTTATTTCCAGTTAGTTTTCCAACCCATCCCCTTTGCTGGTGTTGTCAGACTCAACTGATTTTGTCACTGGGACTCCAGTGTGGTCCAGGGAAATGAATGAGCCTGTCTAGTTTGCCTCCTATTGCTAGGTCGGCTTTCAACCTAGGTCTGGGTGGCCTTTCACTGTTGAGTATGGGCATATAAGATACCGTCACTGTGCTATTCCTACAGTCTTGGGGTCCCACACCATCTTGTCTTCTGCTGACTACATTTTAGAGTTCTCCTTTGGTTATTTTTTTTTTGTACTGTTTCCAGGGATTATAGTTGTGCTTAGTGGAGAGAAGCAGAAAAAACAGGTCCAAACCATCTTTTCCAAATTGGAAATGACCTTTACTTTCAATCATAGATGCCCAAGTACTCACTCAGCTCTAAAAGGTCTTGAGTTGCTTGAATTCTCCATAAATGAACAAGGCCTTAATATGAAGATGAGGAAGAGGAAAAGACACAGCCATACATCATTGGAACTGATTCAATCTAGTACAGCACAAATCACAAAGAGAAAAAAGCAAGCCAACATCATGAAACCGGGAACAACATATTTTTCTTTGTAATAGACACTGGCTAGCTTGTATTTTCTTGATATTTACCTCTCTGCTTCACGTTTTTAATGTAAAGCAAAGTTTTTCATCCAATATTTTAATATGTGGATTGTGGAAAATTTGTAAAACTTGGGAGCAGTTGTATTATTTGAGAAGTTAGCTCAAACTGTTGCGCAAACACAAAACATTTTATCGTTCATCAGCCGTACATTAAATGAAACATCAGGGTGGAGATAAGCAGTAACATGTGTTTGTTCCTTATTTTACCTTATCTTCCCTCTTTCCTTTTTAATCATCAGTTGTAGAAAAGATATATTAGTTCCTTAAGAAGTATTACAGGGATATATTTTTCTATCTTGAAACTATTCCAGTTTTATACCCTCATTATTGATCAATTTTACCTGTAAAAGTCAAAAAGATGCTATTTATTGAAACTGCTTATTTAAATTACATTTAATAGGCCAATATTTATCATTTGAGGTTCTTTTTTTTTTTTTTTTTTTTTTTTTTTTTTTTGAGATGGAATTTCGCTCTTGTTGCCCAGGCTGGAGTGCAATGACATGGTCTCAGCTCACTGCAACCTCCACCTCCCCGGTTCAAACGATCCTCCTGCCTCAGCCTCGCAAGTAGCTTGGATTACAGGTGCATGCCACCATGCCCGGCTAATTTTTGTAGTTTTAGTAGAGACAGGGTTTCACCATGTTGGCCAGGCTGGTCTTGAACTCCTGACCTCAGGTGATCCACCCTCCTCAGCTTCCCAAAGTGCTGGGATTACAGGCATGAGCCATTGCGCCCGGTCCATTTGAGGTTCTTAGAGAGAGCAGTACATCCTTTGGCAGAGATGGATTGCATTGAAATAATAGGGAACTTCTGAGGATGAGCCACGTACTTCTGTGCTCATATTTTGCAAAGAATGCCATAGTAGAGGGAAATTACCTTAATCAACTGTGCCTACTTATATTATGCAAGTAATTCTTATAAAATGATACCCAATTCAGTGTGATGCTAGTGTAAGAAATATGCATATTAAACTTTCTAACTTAGGTAGAATCATAACAATATACCAGGTATTCTTCCCAAAATTATTAAGGAGCAAATCTAAACTATTACAAAAGCCAACTGCATTTGAAGTAACATTTACTGATGAGTATTACTATCCTTAAAAAAAAAAAAAAACTTATTATAGCAACTGTACTTTAGCTCCAGAAATAGCACTCTCCCACTCAGAAAATACTAGCAGCAACAGAAGTTCAACTGAAAGTCTTGGAAAAAAGCTTCCATGTTATGAAAGATCTGCAGATTTTTTTGAGCTACATTAAATTTACTTAAATAAGACATATTGGAAATTGGGCTTTACTTACTAGACTATTTTTTGAATTATAGAAGAATGTTTATATTTTTGAATGATATTAGGAGGAACTCTAACAGTTGTTGGAATTTTGTGAAAAAGTAAAAAGCACAGTGAAAACCTATCTAACATTGACTACATACTATTTGTTGGTTCTAAAGAAATGGTTAGACTGCCTTATTAACTGTAGTCATAGTAATATACTCAAGTAACCTAACATGATAGTCAATATTTATATATTCAAGAATTAACTTTTAAAGTTCTAGGTAACCTAAGCTAAAAGAACCCAGTCTCTTCTGCTTACACTTTTCCAATAATATCCAACAAATCATTAGAAACAAGCTAGTCCATAGTTTGTGAACTCCTTAGGAGCAGGGATCCACTGTTACGTATCTTCATAGCCCTAGAACTTAGCACCATAGTTTATACAAAATGGCACAGTGAGGGTTCACTAGACAGTGGTTAAATTAATTTTTAAAAAGAACTAAAAGATAAATGTTACTCAACCTAACATTTATATGCCATACACTGATAGGCCATAAGCCCCACAAAAGCCCAGTGAGATTCAACGCATTGATTAGCAATGTTTTGGTTGCAAACAACAGAAAACCTAAATAAAAACCTAGCTCAAATAATAAAGGGAATTTATTGGCTCATATAACTAAAAAGTCCAGTAATATGTGAGGCTTTAGATACAATTTCAACACTGTTTTGGCTAAATTTCTCTTCTGTTCTCAGCTTTGCCCTCATTCATGTGTCTAATTCAATTTCAGCTGGCTTCCTTCATGGCAGCAAAATAGCTACAGTCATTTCAGGACTCACATCAGCACATCTCATCCTTCCCAGGGATAGAGAGTGCCTCTTAAAGTAGATGTCTTAGAAGATTCAGCATGTACCCCAGATGCCCTTGTGAAATGTCTCTCTAAGCATTAATTTAAATTGGATTACATGCTAATGGAATGAAATGATTTGCTTGAACCCATCAAAGCCAACTCTTAGACTTGGGTTGGGCTTAATCCCTCCCAAACTGCCACTAGCTGGGAACCCTGGGATTCTCTTAGGAAAAAAGACAAGAGAGCTAAGTGCTGTGTAGGCAATCAGCATATGTCCACATATTCTTAGCTCCAGTTGGGCTCAGAGAGTTTAACGATTGAGAGTGGTTTAAATCTAGATCCTGACTCTAAAGCTTGTGTTCTCTCCACTTTAAATTGTATCAAGTGTTTGGAGAAACTACCAGATAGTATAAAACATTATCCTTGTTCTAACTTCAGAAAACTAAAACTAAAACTCCTATCCTAAGGAAAAAGTGTGGTTTAAATAGAATATCTTCTCTTTCCCACCCCTTCCCTATAACCATTGTTCCCAGTATCCTTACTTCCACTTTCCCTAACCCACTGGAATTCTTCCCATCTTTCCTACCCTAGCCCACTGCTCTCATACTTCCAGGACTGTGGTGCATGATCCAAGATGATCTCCTTTTAATTCTCAATGAACTCCTATCCCTTTAGGTGTTTGATTAAACAATTCATCGTTAATAATAACATAATGCACTACCATTCCCAGGGATATTTGCAACTTTTATCATGACACTTGTTGGATACAACCCCACACACTCCTTGCCCCTAAGCGTATCTCCCGTAGGAATTTGAAGGGAAGGAGACAGTAACAGATGAGTGAGAATTTTGTTGCAGACAAATCTTCCCCAAACCTCTGAAATCAAACTCTGAAAGTGATTGTTCCCATTGAGTTTTTCCATAAATGAAGTACCTTGGCTTGCCAAATTGTCTTTTTACAAGAGCATTGTCTTTCCTAGAGTATTTCCATTAGCTAATCCTTCTCTTTTCCCACTCCCATACATTTTCAAGCTGCTTTTTATATTTCAAGGTTGTTTTTTGATTGATGTTTCTTATGTGATAGCTGTTTTGTTTTAAGATTGTTCTGTTATCTACTATACTTAATAATAATTATTCTCACTTAAAATGACTTCCAGAATTCAAATTGCTTTGGAATGTGATTGTATCCACTCACTCCCCACAAACACCTAGGTTTTATTGTCTTAAGGCCTCTTTAAACACTCAAGAACTAATAATAGAAGAAAAATTAAAAGCACAGTATGTTGAAGAGTCTAAAAATTCATCTTTTTAAGAATGATGAAATTTGGGATTTATTCATCAAAATGTCTGTTGGCTACTTTGTCATCATATAAAGCCAACCCCAGTTGAATTCTAAATTCAGGAAACTGTGATGGAATTGAGTGGTACAGTGTTGGTTAGATCTCAAGGACATATGAAAAAAGGAGAGTTACGATACCTTAAACTGCCAACGTGTTTGGACTGAAAAGAGCTGGACTGTGGGTTGTTTAGGACTCTTAAGTGAGCCAGAATTAGACCGTGGGCTCTAGGTTACTGACCCTTGCTTTAAGGCATGCAGGCTGACACGAAGTCTGTGTGTAATTGTTTTATGCTCATAAGCTTTACCAATGTTTTCTGCTGTGTTGCAATTATAAACATGTTTGCCGCTTAGCTGGCTGCATGTGAGACACTCCTTCCCGCCCACCACCCACACAGAGAAATACTGCTCTTTCAATATTCTGAGCTGTACAGCCACTACAGAATCAACCCCCACACAGTAACTGTTAAAGTACTTATTATGTCCTCTTTAAAATCTGATTTGTTAAGTTCTGTTTTTTTCCTAATCGAAAGCAACATTGCAGTGTACATATTTATAGACTTATTTCTAAATTGGATTTTAAAAGACTCTTTGTGATCTTTCCAAGACAGTGTCACAATTGTTGAAATTTTGAGTAATTTTTATTGCTGGCAGAATGCGATTTCTTTTAAGGAAAAAAAAAACGGTACTATACAAATCAGGGAATTTCAGATGTGGGTGGCAATTCATTTGGACACATCCATTTAAGCTGAAATGAACTAACTTATGGGCTTGATTCTGTCTGCCAGCATTTATAGAGCATTCCCCACATTCATAATGTGACAGCACACTGGAGGTGGGGAGTGTGGGGCAGCTGTGGGGGGATTGGCAGATGCAGTGTCCCCATTAAGAGCTCCTGCTTACTGTTTCTAGCTGAATATGAAGTATTCTTTCTGCCCACTCAAGAACAGATGAGGCCAGACTAAACAGAGTCAGAACTGGGGAGTAGAAAACAATAGAATATCTTCTTAAACAGAAGTTTGGAATATAGGGGAGGGGTTTCAAAATTTATACAAAAAGGCAATTTGACACTATTGTATCTTTCCATGAATTATGTGTACATCTTTGATTATTGGTTCTTTTCAAATATCAAAGCAGCAATCTTAGAGCTAGTTTCTTTGTGCCTGTAATACTTAAAGGCTATTTTCAGATCAAATTTTGTTAAGAAAGGCTGGGCAGGCTGAACCCTGCCTCTACACCTTTCATGAAGCAAGCATTTATGGAGCACCTGCTATGTGCCAGTCACAGAACTGAGTACAGGGAGATAACAATAAAAGCAAGAAGGAGCCCTCCATTTATGGCACTCTGTCTAGTGTGAAGGGAGATATTTAAACAAATAATAAACATCTAGTCAAATAAATTCTATAATTGAAACATGTACTCCAGGAAAGGCTGACCAACAAAGATGACTTAATAGGCTGGAGTAAACGCTGGTGTTGAGATAGGAAGAATGATTAAATGGAACCAGTGTTTAAGTGGTCAGAATATGGATAAATAATGTCCTGCTCTGTACCTTTAGTTGTCTATGTAACCTCGTAACTTAGAGATGTGGATGATGAATCCTCAGATACTGGTGGTTCTCTGTGTATCCTTCTTCCCCATAGTCAGGACCACTGGGTTCCTGCCGGGCTCTACTCTAAGGCCAATCTTGTATTCAATTTAAAAAGATCCCTGTTTCAGCTAGCATAGAGTATCCTGTCTTGTGACAGAGTGAGCAAGTTTCTGATGGCCATGAACAGCAGATGTAAGAGGAGGAGGAGGGTGCAGGACACACTCACTGAGAGCCATTAGATGAAGGAAGTACATTTATAACTATAAAGTGCTAACTATGTTGTTATCCAACTTAAAGTGACAAGGTTTAAATTGAAGTTCAGAGAGGCAAAGTGACCTACTCAAGATCACATAGCTAGTATTAGAGCTGAGATTGTAACATAGTTTTCCTGACTTTAAAGGTGGAATGGGCCCATTCTAACCAGCCAGGCAGTTACTTTAAGTAAGAATGACATGGCATCCTGTTTCTTAAACTGGGTGGTGATGGGTACACTGGAGATTATTATTTGATATTTCTTAAAACATTACATGTGTTATCATTGGGATTTTATGCCTATTCAATATTTACTAAAACAATTTTTAAAATAAAATTAAATGGGGATGTTGGATAAGCCAGGACTGTATAAAGAGATGTTTGCGAATTTAAAACAGAGAGAGCGAGAATTTGGCAGACAATTAGTTGGCATTGGCCAGATCCCACCAGGAATGTTAAAAGTATTTTCATAGAAGCACAGTGCTGGGAAATCCACAAGAGGTCAGGCAGAGAGCTCCAGGGTTTTTAACAGCAAAGAACAGGGCACCAAGCACAGATTGGAAGTTCAGAAAAGCACCCAAGCCTTTGGTAGGGATGAGGGACTAGCAAGAAGCAAAGCAGTATTTCATTCCAACTTCAGATCCAGGAAATAAGACAAGGTCCTGGTCACTAGAACTGGAGTCTCAGAAACAAGGAAATTGAATCTCAAGAACAATACAGAACCTATGCTAGAACTAAACCATAATGCATAGCCTGACCAAAGTAAGAGCGTCTCAATGCACAGTCCTCTCAAAGCTGGACTGGAGTTAAAAAAAAAATATTAAGGGGCAAGCCTATAATGAAAAGGTTGTGAAAACACTATAAGATTATGGAGAGAAGAAGATATTGGGACAATGACTACACTAATCCTAAAATGTTAGGGTGAAAAAATACTGCCTATAGGGGATATCTGTTTTGTTTTGTTTTTTTTCCTGCCCTTCCTCCGGTAACAGATAGTTTCCTAGTTTGCTTTTGAGACTCCTCCTCATTTACCATAAAGGCATAGTGGTTGCCAAAGATTCTTGCCCACCCTAGACCTCGGACCCTAGCTAGATCAATTCTCTCCCTCCCAGAATGTTAATCTCCGAGTAAGGAAGGACAGCATGGAAAATAATTGATGCTATTTTATTCCTAATTCTGGACTTCAATGAACACCTAGTTGCCAAGCTGTCTAGTTCCTATCCTTGCTGAAGTCTGGGTCTTCATTATTTCCTGGATTTTGGAACTATCCATATCCATCCAATGTATTTGTTTTCTTTAAATTAGCTAAGGTGATTTCTGTTGATAAGAACCAAAGTATCAATGTTAAAAATGATAGCAAGATTCTGGTTCTTTTCAGAAGCAGCCTTCCCAAAGGTAGAGTTAGAATCAATGTCCCCAAGTCCACAATTTGGGGAACCCCAAAGAGCTGCCCTCTATCTGCAGAATCATGTTTCTCCAGAACTCTGCCAAGCCAGGCAGATTCTTCCATCCTAACCTTCTCCAACCCTACATTCTGACAGCTAATGAAAACATTTTCCTAAGCTCCAAAATACTTAAAGCATGACCTAATTCTCTGATTTCTCTACAATTTAAAATATTTCTATGTTAATAGGTTAAATATTGTCTTTATATTCAATGTTGGAAAGAAATGTCAGATCTAAAACAAATACATTATCACACAAACAATATATTTTTGATGTACTGAAATTGAGTGAAAAGATTGTGGACAGGTAAAGATATATACCTAAATTAGATCAGGCTAAACATAACCACTTTATTAGAAATGTGACCAAGAAAATGATCATTTTCTTATTAAAAAGCTAAAGCAGAAAATAATTCTTTTTAGCTCCATGTCCAAAGGTTTCTTTTTTCTTAAAGCACATCATTTAGGAATTTACAAACTTGTATAGATACAAATTTTTTTCCAGGTCTTTGACTCAATCTCAATATTTTCATTATAAAAACTCAAAGAGCCACAAATGGTGAAGATAAAACAATGAGCCTTAAACTACAAAGAGGTAACTGAAGTTATTCATAGCCATTTTTACTGGCAATCAATATGGTATTGATTTTCTCTTCTTGCTACTCTTGCAGTAATGTCCTTGGCTTGAAACTCAGCCTAAGCTAGGAAATATTAGCAAATGAAATAATTCAAACCTAAGAAAATGGCAAGAGGAAACAAGAAAGTGAAAGCCTGTATATACTTCAGGGATGAAAATAACTGTCTACTGGTAGTTCATTCTGCTAGTCAGAAGGTGGTACCATGGTGACCCAGGCTGAGATTAGGCCTAGTGTGAAATTCCTGGTTTCACTGTGCTCCACAGCTAAAGACCACATGCATATCCTAGCTAAGAGCATCTGTAGTGACACAGAGAAGTGGCCAAGAGAGTCTGGATCTGGATGGATTCACATCACCATTACTGCAAAACCTACTCAAAGTGCATGCCCTACTGACTGTGAGTCAATAGCATTATCTGAGTACATGAGGAAAAGCAGAATCTCATTCAAATTTAAAAAGAATTGATCAAATTGGAAAATTTTAAAACTATCATGCATTAAAACAGACCATTACAGAAGCCCTGGGGAAATTCATTCCAGAAGTGGAGGACAATGATTTCTTACAAAATTGAACATGTTGAGGGCTATGTTGAGTAATTCACAGGAAAACATCAAAGCCCAAATTTCAACTGTGAAAACTAGATTCCAAATAAAGAAACATCAATTATAGTGTCATATTTGATCAATGTAATTTCAGTTACTTTGAACAAGTCCATAAAATGACTAGTCTATGCTTTGTAAAATTGTCATTAATCAAATCAAGGAGTCACATACGTACAAAAAGCTAACATGGTAGATGAACTGTGTCTGCCTCTAAATCACAACAGTGGTTATAAGACACCGGCTTTTAAATATTTCTTTCCTTCAGCATCTTCTTGAAAACATATTTTCTGGGGAACATCTACTATCCGACAAGTGTTAAGTCCAAGGTAAAGCCACAATTATTCTACATTAAAAGTACAAAGATGGGTCATTTAAATATTTTTCAAAGGACTTTTCAAAATAGTGATATAAGGCCAGGTGCCGTGGCTCACACCTGTAATCCTAACACTTTGGGAGGCCAAGGCGGGCAGATTGCCTGAGCTCAGGAGTTCGAGACCAGCCTGGGCAACATGGCGAAACCCCGTCTCTACTAAAAATAGAGAAAATTAACGTGGTGGCACCTGTCTGTAATCCTAGCTACTCTGGAGGCTAAGGCACGAGAATTGCTTGAACCCGGGAGGCAGAGGTTGCAGTGAGCTGCGATCATGCCATTGCACTCCAGCCTGGACAACAGGCACTTCCCATCCCCCTGACTCTGTCTCAAAAAAAAAAGGTAATATAAAAAGATTATTAATTTTTTGGAGTGCAATATTCAGGATGTGAGTCATGTTTATTTTCACAGAGCAAAACTTCCTATAGCCACAGGAAAAGTTGTACCTTGTTGCAAATGGCAGAGTTCCATAGTAAGAGAGGCCTGAAATTGAACTTGGCACGTAAATGATACAGTTCACTTATAAAAGGAGAGAGTCAACGGCACCACAACCAAACTAAAATCTGCGGTGTCCACATAGACAGTCTCCCTGTATCCCAGCATATTTGTTTAAGCCCTTCTTTGCAGAATCTTCCAGAATGGTACAGAATGATTTTCTGAGCTACTCCTACACTAATTTCCTTTTGCCAAAGCATGGAATGAACCCAATAGCCTTTTTCCCCTCTGTCCCATTTCTCTTGCTAGTAGGAAAAACAAAAACAAACACCTTAAGCTTTGTTCGTGTGTACATTTTAGTTAACTATAATACTATCCTTTTCTAACATTAAGTAATATGTCATTATTCAGGTATTTTCCCATGCTGGCATTTCATAGAAATAATAGAAGTAACCTTGTAGTTCACCCAATCTAACACTTCACTTACTGATAAGACAAAATTGTGTCCTAGAGTTAGAGGATTGGTTTTAGTTCACTTCTCCAAAGCATAAAAATGATTGCTTTTGCCATGTTTGCCATTTCACTGGCACTGTATTCTCTTTCCACATACACTGGAACAGCTCATTTATTCTGGGTTTTAAAAGAAAGGCTTAGCTCTAAACAACACAATTAACTCTGCAAATTACACAAATACATTACCTTGAACAAAACACCCATTTAAATGACTAGTATGTGCTCATTAATGTAGAAAGCAAATACTTGGGGTAATTTTTTTTTTGAATAAGCTACTGCCCATTAGAACCCATGATAACAATTAGATGTCAAAAATATAACTAAAGAGAGATGTGCAGTCTCCCTGGTAGATCTGCTGTTGGTATCAGACACCATTGAACTAGATGGCCCCACATTGGATTTTCCAGACACTGCAACATATGCCATCCTATGCAGTAAATAGCGAGATCCAGGGTCCAATACGTTTTGTCAGGTATCATTTGATAATAAGAATTCTAACTGATTGGAAATTGTTAACTGGGCGTAGGAAACTTCTAGGAACAGACCCTGATCAAAATGCAAGGAATCTGGGATTGGTTGCCTGGTATGCTTAGGCTTAAAGACAATAAAATTAAGCCAGTGTTAAGGTATGCTACTTTGGCAGCCTAGTCGTTCACATTTAATTGAGTTATCACCTCTGTTCACCCAGAATGAATACCCATTAAAGATAAGACTTCTTGGGCAATCTCATGGCTAATGCCATAGACCATATAAAGCACATGAGTAGAGTGATTGTGTATCCAGTTTCTCCTGGATATTTTATGCTCATTATTTTTGCTGTGGATGATAAATCCTAGGGTGAGGAGATCAATGAAAATTGGATATAGTAGCTGCTTCAGTTGGTGTCAGCTTGAAGTTGGTGAATGGCAACAGACTTCTGTGGCAGTGCTTAAAAAAACAAAAAAGAGCAGATCAACACACAAAATATTTTATGTCTTCAGATTGCTAGGATAAAATGGCCAAAAATAAAACTCAAAATTTGATCAGTGGGCTGTTGAATAATGTCAATTAAACCCATAGTTTCTCCAGGTCTCTTGTGTAAAAATCAGAGCAGCTATTGAGAAACAGCAAATCTATAAGAATTAGAATAGGCTGAGCATGGTAGCTCACACTTGTAATCCTAGCACTCTGGGAGGCCGAGGTGGACGGATCACTTGAGGTCAGGAGTTCTAAACCAGCCTGGCCAACATGGTGAAACCTCATCTCTACTAAAAAATACAAAAAAATTAGCCAGGCATGGTGACGGGTGCCTGCAGTCCCAGCTACTCGGGAGGCTGAGGCAGGAGAATCGCTTGAACCCAGGAGGTGGAGGTTGCAGTGAGCCGAGATTGCACCACTGCACCCCAACCTGGGCAACAGAGCGAGATTCTGCTTTCAGAGAAAAAAAAAAAGAAAAAGAAAAAAGAACTAGAATAGTGATTTTTTTGGAAAGAGTTGAATGACTCAAAGGGTAGCTTCTTTTCCTTTTTGGATAAGGCTATTCCTGAATTTCTTGAAAAACTTCTAATGGCCTTACCTGAGGACGTTTTCAAACAAGGGAAATCTGAGGCCAGGTGCCTGAATCCACCAACCTTGATTGTCTCCAGGCCTGTAATTAGAGTCCCTAGAGGACCTTTTTGATTAATACAACAAACATGGCCTTGAAGTTTGGAGAGCCTGCCTTGAGCTATCACAACAATCACAGCTCTTCATCTACTTCTCAAACCTGAGTCGACATATAGACATCTCCAGAGATTGAGAGGAGGCTGGATACACTTAAGCATGGACCCTGTAATAACAAGTATGTTCTATGTTTTTCTTTCTAAATATTCACAAAGGAAATTGTAGTTGTTTCCTAGAGTAACTGTGTGCTGAGGAAAGAGAAATACCCAGGACTTTCAGGGATGATTGGACACTGGCTCTGAGCTAACGCTAATTCTGGGGGAGGGGGGTTGATTATCAATGTGGTTCACTGGTTGGAATGAAGGCTTAAAGAGATCAGGTAATGAATAGAGTTGTGACCCATGGAGGCCCAGTGGGCTCCTGAATCTATATAATGATTATATTCCTGATTACTAAATGTGTAGTATCAGTACAGATAATCTCAGCTGATGACCAAATCCCCACACTGCATTTCTGACCCCAAAGTAGCAGTTTGCATCTGTTTTTGGCATAATTATTAATTAGTATTCCCTTTTACTATGAAAAATATCCTGGTTTTAATGAGAAAGTATATGGCCACGCTAGCCATTTTGGTAGGAAAGACCAAAGAAAACTCTTAGAATTCCCCCTCCCTGTCAGAAGAGTAAATCAAAAGCCATATTCTGGGGAGAAGGCTAGGAGAGGTGGGGAGGAGATGCAAAGTTAAATGCCACCTTGGAAGACTTAAAAGATGCAGGGAGTAGCTTATTTAGCTTATGCAGAATTCACCTGGGACTCAGAAAATGTTTCACAAAGACCCTTGTCCAGTTGATTATCACAAACTTAATCTGCTTCTTGAGTCATGGTGGTCAATCCAGATATAGTTTCTTTACTGGAGCAAATAAAAACAATTTTTGGTTTGCATCTATTAATCTGACAAATGTTATTTCAAAAAATAGAGAATCTCAAAAGAAGTTTATTTTTACTTTTTGGAAACCATAGTTTACTTTTCTTGTCTCGGGATTATAGTTCTTGAGCTCTGTGCTACAATTAGGTCCACAGAGTACTTGATTGTGTCACCATTCCATAGGGCATCATGCTAGTAAACTACATTATTGTATCATGCCCATAAAACCCAGAAATAAAATGTAGCAGTGATTTACAGGGGCTCTCACCTGTCTGAAGCACATAAGGATATCCTTTCCAAAATGAAGAATAAGTTACTGCACCTCGCACCTGATACCATTGAAGAAGGAAACATAACACTTTATAGGCTTCCTTGGATTTGGAAAGCAACCGATAATATGGGTGTGCTTCTTCGATTCATTTACACGGTGACGTAAATGACTGCAAGATTGGGCTGGGACCTGGGACTAGAAAAGGCTAGATAGTCCAAGCTTCACTGCAGGCAGCTTTACTTGGCTTTTTTGACCTACTGAATACAACAGGACTCGAAGATTTTGTAACTGATTGAAATGCTCTCTAAACCCTGTGGAAATTCCAATTAAAAAATCACAGCAGATGCCCCTGGGGTGTTTGAACATAAGCACATCCACTTTGCCAAACAATAATTCCCCTTTTGAGAAACAGCTTTTGTTTGCTATTGGGTCCTGGTACAGGCTAAGTTAGAGAGATTTGCATTAAAAATGGACATTCCCTGGGATACTCTTGTGTTTTCTTGATAAGCTCATGAAAAAAAGTTGTTACCCTGAGAAAACATAACCTATACATGGACTCAACTATATGGGCTTCCCCTCATCAAGGCTGGCCTGGCTATTGCCACTGCTGAGTGTCCAATATGATAAGCCTCTGAGGTGGTACTCAATTCTAGGGGACCAGAAAGGCACTTGGTATCAGGCTGATTATATTTCTTCATGGAGGGACAGTTTTTATCATCGTTGGAATAGACATTTATTTTGGACTTGAATTTAAATGATTGCCATACATCTGTACCACCATTTAATAAACACTTTATTCATTAACAACCTCTCTTTCTTCTTTTCATCTATTTACCTTTTAGTGAAATAAGGCAATACACTGATCTCCGTGGAATCACAGTTTTTATATGCCCCATCACTTGAAAGCAGTTTACCTTTATAGAATGGCAGAATGCCTATTGAACATTCAATTACGTAGTTCAGAAAACAATATCTTACCAATCTAGAGTGCTATTCTGTAGATGCAGTAAGTGCTCTGAACCATAGACAAATATTTGGTTCTCTTTCTTCTATCGTGTCTTAGTCAGTTTGGGCTGCTATAGCAAAATACTTCAAATGGGTAATTTAAAAACAACAGAAATTTATTTCTCACAGTTCTGGAGACTGGGAAGTCCAAGATTAAAGTGCCAGCAGATTCAATGTCTGGCGAGGGCTTACTCTGCTTCATAGATGGTGCCTTCTTTCTATATTCTCACATGGCAGAAAAGGGGTCAAGGCAGCTGTCTTTAACCTCTTTTATAAGGGTACTAATCCCATTCATGAGGACAGAACTTTCATGATCTGATCACCTCCCAAAGGCTCCATGTCTTAATATCATTACTTTGGGGTTAGGTTTCAACATATGAATTTTGGAAGGACACAAACACTCAAACCATAGCCTATAGCAACACTATATGGGTCCAAGAACCAATGGGTGAAACAGAGGGTGACACCTCTTACTATTAAACTAATGATCCTTTGTTCCTTCCTTTCTTAGGGTTTGCTGATTTAGAATTCTTGATACTCAATGGTTTCCTACTCCAGATATAAAAAATTATGGTTCCATTGAATTAGAAGAAACAACCTCCACCTAGCTATTTGATTCCTTGTGCTATCGAGAAACAGGCCAAGAAGGGAGTACAGTCAAGTCTTACATAAAGTGTGCTGTTTACATTCTGGAATCTTGTATTTTCATATATATTATGACTTGTTTGGCTTAAGACAGTAAAATGTCTTATTCTAATAAAATTAGTATAATAATTTTCTGACAGATATCATTGAAGTGTCTTGAAAAAAGGGGCATCTTTTCCTAATTTGCATAAAAACACCCTGTAGACTAATGAGTCCCTGGTTATAATGATGCTTAGGAGAGTTGAATCTGTCTATCCAAGGTAGCATAGTTGCTGCTATACAAAGGGGTGAAGAAGTATGTCGATGCAAAACGGGATGTCTGAGATGCCTCCTAGTCATGCAAATATTTTGTCACATTGGACTTTTCCTTTTGTGTATGATCTTATAATCTTCCCCAAAGCACCCGAGACTTTGTTCTCTTTACAAGTTTGGAGAAATGAGTTTAGAGGAGGATAGAGCATGAGGAGAATTGCCTCATCTTTGAAGAGAAACTCTCCAGTACATCACCATGAATGATTGTTTGATGTCCCTATATTTCTCAAGAATAATTTCAGATGAACACAGTCTTGATCACATGTCTGAATGAAAGTTTCCAGAAGCTTGAAGAGATGATATATTTGGCTCCTGTGGCTATTGTAACAGAAGGGATTACACAATGGGAGTTTCTGCCCAAATCTCTGACTGAAATGCTGGAATTTCTCCCTGTTCTCACACAAAAGAAAGCAACTAAAAAAATCAACTGTCTGATATCACTATAATTATTATGTGGTATATGTATGAAATAATTAAGTCAACCTACAAGTAAAATTTAAAAATATTGAATTTTTGACTTTATAAAAGCAATTTAGATTTTAAACAGCCCAGCCTTGTTCAACACAACACACATCCAGTGTTGGAAAAGAATGTTGACAGTTTCTTACAATTAATTGAAATGAGATCTAACTTTTGAGGACAGAATACATATAACACTGACACATGCAGTGACAAGTTGACAGTGTCATTTCTCACAATGCTGAAGGTGACCAATTGTATGATTTCCAGGATATTCCTCTTGAAATATCCTATTTACTTGTCTAGATTCCATTTAAGGGGTCAGGGTATGCTGCAAGGTATTGCCTGCAGAAGCCTGAGAGGAGTTAGATGCCAAACAGGGCAAGGTGAAATGTTTTCCTAAGCAGTCAGAAGCCCATAAGTAAAGGAGTGCATATAAATTATGGTGGAAAAGGGATGCCAAAGACAAGAAAAAAGTTATGAGTTAGGTCAGGTGCCAGGAAAGCAGAAATAATCTGAAAGTAGAAGGGTCAGGGAAAAAGGTTTCAGCATAGAATCCACAAAAGATGCCAGCATACTGGTTACATGGTATGTGAACTGTCCAGAAAATGTTATGAGCCATGCAGGACCAGGCATTGATTAGAAAGTTTCTGGACCAGAGAGGGGAGTCTGAGTTACAAGTAGCAGCATAAAATGTTAAAGCCTCTAGGTTTTAGCCCAGACAGCACTTACAGGCTTTGGTCTGCACCTATGCTCATAACATAGTTGCTGGGATGCAGAGCTCTGCTACTGGGGATGCCTGCCATATCCCTTTCTGGGTCACTGGGCTACTTTTGCCTGTGAAGAAGAAAGGTGATCCACTTTGCCTCATCATGTTACATGAGGGCTTAGCACCTCTTCCACTTTTACGTGAAGATAGAACTGGCTGCTTATGTGTAAAGAGGACCCCCTCCCCCACGCCAAGCAATTTATTCTTCCCTTAACTTTTGAGAAATTACAAATTGTCCTATGACACATAATAGAACTACCATTGGTTTACATGGTTGAAAAGTCTTTCTCTTCAAAATTCTCAAGAGAAAGAAGGGCAATCATTCTTATAGGCGATGCTATTTATTTATATCAATGCAAAATTCCAACAAATCACAAGGGAAGAGAAAGGAATCAAACCTTAGATCTATGTATTTGGCAAAGTAATTAATAACTTGAGATAGATGAGTGTTATTGTTTGGATACTTCTAAACAAAACACTCTAAACAAAATTCAGGAATAGATTTATATAAAGGCATTATGCCTTAAAGGCAAAATTGTTTTGTATAAAGTCATTTTTGAATTCTAAAGCAGCTTACATTTTTCTAGATAGCCATCAGTTGATCTTTAAGTCCCTACCATTTAATATCTGGTAAACTCCAAACCATTAGTTTAATTCCATATTTCCATGGTCTAATTTTATTTTTTTAAATATAGTGTTATTAAGTAGTTACCAGGAGCTAAAAGTGCCACATATGCCAAAACAAAAATAATCATTTTATTGAAATTTTACTATGTAGAAAACAAAAGCCATTATCTATTTCTAAACATGCCAATCACAAAGGACAATTTTTAACATAATAAGGATTGATATTTTATTCAGTCAATATCTACTATCAAAAAACAAAAGAGATAAAAATTCTTGCCCTCATGGAACTTACATTATGGTTAACTTCTGACTACATCATTCTCCATATTTATAAACTATCCAATCTTATCAATCTGTCTTCTGCTTCATTCCTCAAATTTACTCTTTTTTTCAGATCCCCTCACCACTGGATTAATTTAGGCTTTCATTATTGCTTTTAATATTTATTCATCTATTTCCAGATAATTCATGCACTTGGTTAAAAAATAAATAAAACAGTAAAAAACGCCTAACACCCAAACTTGTGTGCTCTCCTTTCCTCTTCTCAGAGACAACCACTTCTGCTGGGTTTTTGAGTATCTGGAAAGATACTCAGCACCTATTTGTATTTTATATAAATAGTAACATACTATATACACTCTATTTTGTATCTTGCTTTTTGAAATTAAAATATTAGGGGGATTTTTCTATATCAGCACATATTAGCCTCATTTATTTTAATAGATTCATGGTTAATAAATATTTATCAACCACAATTTACTTAAATAGTCCCCTATTGTATTAGTCAGGATAGGTTAGCTTATGTTGCAGAAACAAATAACCCTACAAACCTTGGTGGTGTATTTCTTGCTTACAAAATGTCTGTTGAAGTTCTGGGCAACTGTCCAAGGCAAATGCCTTCCATGTGGCTGCTCAGTGATGGTTTATTATTGATTCTACCATCCTATTGCTGTGCCATCTGGAACAAATGTTCTCCTTAGTCAATGCAGCAGAGGAAGAAGGAGCTTTGGCATAGAAGTGGGCCCACATTGCTTCAGTCTGAAAGAGGCACACATACACTTCTTCCAATCCATTCACCAGAACTAGTCTCCTGGCCTTTCCTAACTACAAGGAGAGCCGAGAATAAAATTCTCTAAAATTCTCGCATATGCCTGAAAGAAAAGAGAGTTGACCTTGCGTTTAATTAAAAATCCCTTTGAAAAACTATATTTGAAAGCCATATTATTAATCTAAATCTTCTCTTTTTTTCTTGTTTTTTGAGACAGGGCCTCAGTCTGTCACCCAGTACCCAGGCTGGAGTGTAGTGGCATGATCTTGGCTCACTGTAACCTCTGCCTCCTGGGTTCAAACCATTCTCCTGCCTCAGTCTCTGGAGCAGCTGGGATTACAGACATGCCCCACCATGCCCAGATAATTTTTTTTTTTGTATTTTTGGTAGAGATGGGGTTTTACCATGTTGGCCAGGCTGGTCTTGAGCTCCTGACCTCAAGTGATCCACAAGCCTAGGCCTCCCAAAGTGCTGGGATTACAGGCATGAGCCACCACACCCAGGCTTAAATCTTCCTAAGGTGGTACATTATATATTTTTGGGTGTTGAATAAACATACTTTGGCTAGCCAGCATTAGTGGAGTACTCATACTCATTGATAGCATACCCAATCAATGAACGGCCTTTTACAAGTATAAAATAGCTTAGTTAAAAATGACCATCACAAGTTACATCTGAATTATTGCTGCCATTTTCAGAAAAAGTAAAGATGAAAGATAAATATCAAATATTTTAGGAATCATTTTAATACTGGTTTGGTTCATATTCAAATAAACTACAGAATCTCTCAGACTGGCAATAAGAAAGATGAATGAGTACACTAATGTTTATAGTAGCATTATTCACAATAGCCAAATGATGGAAGCAACTCAAGTGTTCATCATAAATGAATGGATAAACAAAATATGCATATACATACAATTAACTACTATTCAGCCTTAACAAGGAAGAAAATTCTGATACTTGCTATAACATGGATTAACGTTGAGGACATTGTGCTAAGTGAAATAAGCCAGACACAAAAGGACAAATACCATACGATTCTGCTTGTATAAGGTGCCTAGAGTAGTCAAATTCACAAAGACTGAAAGTAAATGGTGTTTGCCAGGCCCTAAGGGGAGGATGGGATGAGGAATTATTGTTTAATGGATATAAAGTTTCAGTTTTGCAAAATGAAGAGTTCTGGAGATGGATGGCTGCACAGCAATGTGAATATACTTAATGCCACTAAATTATATACTTCAAAATGGTTAAAATAGAAAATATTATGTTATGTATATTTTCCCACAATAGAAAAAAAGGTGTACAAGTAACAATCTTTTGAGAATGATGACAAAAATCTGTGAGAAAACCTTGCATTGCTCTGATTCCTTAAAGGAACTAAAGAGGCAATGGGTATGAGTAGGGAACTAGCAAGCTGGAAAGAGAAAAAGCTGTAGTCAGAGAATAAGAAACTGGAGTTAATGACTTAGGATGTAAAAAAATTTCAAGTGGTGACAGGATCTAGGATATGGCCATGGGAGCATATGGCTGCAGTGGAATAAAGGAAAAGCTAATGGAATATGTGCATGCCAAAGAAGCAAGAGGCCAAAATGCTGAAAGGGACAGCCACATGAATGTTTAAATCACCCAGGAGGAGGACAGAGTTTGGGATGAAGAGGAAGATTGTGAGTAAGGGGCTAAATCTATAAATAAGTAAAATAGGAAAGTTCATCCCTTTTGATTAGCATTTCTGGACTATATTTAGCCTCTAGATATAGTCATACGCCAGAGGAGCTTGGAGAAGACAGCTTGTATAAATGAGAATGACAGCTAGCTAAGAAGAGCAGTCCCATGGACTGTTCAAGTCTGCGAGAGCAGCACATTCCTTCCCTGTAGGAAATGCGCATGGGAAAGCATATTACAATCAGAAGCTATTTAGTGAACACGGGATGAGGGAAAGGGTGGTGACAGTTGAGAGGGGAAGAGAAGAATTGTAGTGCTTAAATGCCTAATGACATCACCCCATAATAACCTGGTTTATCAGCCTCCAAAATAGGGTCACTCACCGCAGAGTCCCAATAGAGCAGTTAGGATTCGAATATCTCTTTTCCACTGGACACGCTGAGCGGGTATTGCCAAGTTTTCTCTTTGATGTCCTTTTATCTAGGCATTCATGCTGACTACTCAACTTTGGTTGACAACCCCCACCTTTTTTTTTTTTTTTCTTTTTTAGAGACGAGGTCTCCCTCTGTCACCCAGGGTTGAGTGCAGTGGTACGATCATAGCTCAGTGCAGTCTCTAACTCCTGGGCCTAAGAGACCTTCCCACCTCAGGCTCCTAAGTAGCTGGGGCTATAGGGATTTACCACCAGGACTGGCTTTATTTTTTTCTTTATAAAAATAATGGCATCATTTAATGTGTAACCAGTTATAAAATGACTCAGGAGACATTCTGCCTCTGTAAATTATGTTGGCATTTCCTAGTGACTGAATGTTTGTGTTCCCCCCAAATACCTATCTTGAAGTCCTAGTCCCCAGTGTAATGGTATTGGGAGGTGGGGCATTTGGGAGGTAATTAGGTTTAGGTGAGGCCATGAGGGTGGAGACCCCATGATAAGACTAATACTCTTAGAAAAAGAGGAAGAGACTTGAGATATCTCTCTGTGTGTGTATGCACACCAAGGGAGACCATGTGAGGACATAATCAGGTAGATAGGAACCCCTCTCCAAGAATCAGGCAGGCACCCTAATCTCAGACATCCAGCCTCAGAACGATGAGAAATACCTGTTGTTTAAGCTACTCAGTTTACGGCATTCATTATAGCAGCCAAAACGAAGAAAGCATTTTTCTGATAACATTATTTTTTGTCAATTTTAGTAGACTCTAGGAGCTGGGTATTTGCCTTACCTTATAGCAACTATTTTACTTTTACTATCACTATTATCATTACTGTTTTATTATTTTGTTCAGCTTCTCAAAATTTCTGATGCTCGGACTGCCCTTCTAGCCATATTATTATTATGTTTTCATTAATTCATTCATTTCAGTGAGTCTTCTACATAAAAGGCACTTCCACTGATACATTAGGTACTAGGGTCCCAAGGGTCCTAAACTAAGCTGGATCTGTCATGGAGAGACCTGAGTTCCTAAAACAATGATCTGATTTGGACCAAGGACCACTCTAATGGAAATGGGTTCTTAGTCTCAACTCCGGAGGAGGCTGCCACTAATTGGATTTTGCTCAGGCATCCATCCAATTTTGAAGGGCCGTTTTAACTTGCTGCCTCTTACTTTTTGTTGAGTACTTAGAGAAGTGCATTAACACTTCCATGTCCCTAGAGATTCTTTTAGCATAGTATCACATTAAGAAAAAAAAAAGCCTGTGGTATCCTAAGCATAAAATAGCTTTTCATTTATTCCTGCCTCCAAAATTTTAATTTATTTTTCCTTTTATTATGGATAGCTGTTATAGATGCAGGTGGGAGGGAACATCGGTATGCCTTCTCCCAGATTATTTGCCTTTGGATTTTTAACTTAAAAACATTTTTTTCTTTATATTATATATGTCAATCACCAAACAATTAGAAAATACCCAGAAAACATAAACAAGAAAAACAAAACTAGATAGCATCCACAGTTCTACTCTCAATCACATTTAACATTTGATTACACATCCTTCCACTTATTTTTAATCTGCTGTCTGGTTGTGTCTCTCTTCAGATTTACTATGTGTAAGAAAACAGTTTTTTCACATGTGCAATCATACATACTATACATATTATTCAGTAACTTGTTATCTTTTGCCTGCATTGTGAACATCTTTCTATGTTGATACATATAGATTGATGTCTCCCAATTCCATAATCTCCTTCTTATAATGTCTTACTGTTTGAAAAATGACCAGAATTCCTAACATGATTAACAAGGACCAGTCTGCCCTCAACCTCATCTTATACTGGTTTTTCTATACTCCAGACATTTCAATCATTTCTCATTTCCTTGGAAAGACATGCTGTTATCCATGTGATATGGTTTGGCTCTGTGTTCCCACCGAAATCTCATGTTGAATTGTAATTCCCAATATTGGGGGAGGGACCTGGCGGGAGGTGATTGGATCATGGGAGCAGATTTTCCCCTTGCTGTTTTGGTGATAGTGAGTGAATTCACATGAGATCTGATGGTTTAAAAGTGTATAGTACTTTCCGCCTTGTTCTCTGTCTCTCTCCTGCCACCATGTGAAGATGTGCTTGCTTCCCCTTTGCCCTTCCATCATGACTGTAAGTTTCCGGAGGCCTCCCCAGTCATGCTTCCTGTATAGCCTGTAGAACCATAAGCCAACTAAACCTCTTTTCATTATAAATTACTCAGTCTCAGGTAGTTCTTTATAGCAATATGAGAACAGACTAATACACCATGCTCTTGGCTGAAATTTCTTCCACTTACGTACCTCTTTCCTGAAAAACTCCTGCTTATCTTACTTATATAAAGTCTTTATTTTAAATATAGGTCATATCTTCCTGTTTTATGATCTTACAGCACCCTGTTTTCATCATGGCACTTATCACAAATGTAATTAATTGATGATTAACATAGTTATTTAAGGGATCTCTTTCCCACAAAACTACAAGCTCCATGAAGTAAGAGACTAGTTAGCTTAATATTTGTGCTCCTAGCACCTAGCAAAGTGCCTGGCACATAGTAGGCACTCAGTAAATGTTGTTTGTTGAGTGAATTGTAGTGGATTTAAGATAAAAGGAGGAAAGAGCAGGTGCAAATGTAAATTTGTAGGTCTTAAGA
Source organism: Homo sapiens (assembly GCF_000001405.40). Classification (NCBI taxonomy): domain Eukaryota; kingdom Metazoa; phylum Chordata; class Mammalia; order Primates; family Hominidae; genus Homo; species Homo sapiens. Next base: position 123,469,487 of record NC_000005.10, on the reverse strand, counting down.
TGACAAGTTGAGGTGCCCTGCATTGCCCAAACTAACAAACAATACAGTCAGGAGGGTTAAAGGTGATTGTAACAAATTAAAAGACAAGATGTCTGCTTATGCCTTCTTTGCACAGAATTGAAGAGAAGAATGTAAGAAGAAAAACCCAGAGGACTCTTTTGATTTTGCAGAATTTGGTCTGAGAGGTAGAAGAGGATGTCTGGGAAAGAGAAGTCTAAATTTGATGAAATTGCAAAGGAGAATAAAGTATGCTATGATTGGGAAAGATAAGTCTAAATTTGATGAAATTGCAAAGGCAAATAAAGTATGCTATGATTGGGAAATGAAGGATTACAGACCAGCTAAAAGAGGCAAGAAGAAGAACCTTTATGCCCCTAGAAGACCAACATCTGGTATTTCCCATTCTGTTCAGAATTTTGTCCCAAGATTAAATCCACAAACCTTTGTGTCTCTATTGGAGAAGTAGCAAAAAAAAAAAAAAAAAAAAAGCTGGGTGAGATGAGGAATAACTTAAGTGACAGTGAAGAGCACTCTTACATCACTAAGGCAGCAAAACTGAAGGAGAAGTATGAGAAGGATGTTGCTGACTGTAAGCATAAAGGAAAGTTTGATGGCACAAAACATCCTACTAACATTGCCTGGAAAAAGGTGGAAGCAGAAGACGAAGAAGATGAGGAGAATGAAGAGGAGGAGGCAGTGGAGGAGGATGACTTTAAAACCATTTATCTATCTCTATGTGAATATCTTAGAATACGGGAGGATTGTAATTGATAGTTTCTTATTGTGAAGTGTCTATTGGCCTCATTAGATTTAATTACAAAATCTGATGATGATCATATTGTAGCCTCTCAAAGTGCTCTAGAAGTTGTCAGTGGTTTACATGAAGTGGCCATGGGTGTCTGGAACACCCTGAAATGGTATCAAAGTTGTATGTATTTCCAAACATTTTAAAAATGAAAAAGCACTGTTGTGTTCTGTTCACTGTGTACTTTGTTGTTGGTGTAACAAGGCATTTAAAGATGTTTCTGACTTTTTTAATTTGTAAGGTGGTGTTAACTGTATGGTTATTGGCTAGAAATGCTGAGTTATTAACCGTTCATATTTATAGTTTGTAAAAAGAATAAAACAACCAATACAAACTCTTGATGCTTGGTATTGAGGCTATAGGGAGAGATGTCTTTTGCAGGGGCCATAGCTCAGAGGGTGCACTGTGAGGCTGGAACTGTTTCCACTGTGATGGGCTTCCGTTTAGCTTAGGGTAGTCTTGTTTTTTTATATAGTGACATAGCATTGTGCTGCTTGGAATAAGGGGGTCAGGTGGCATGAGAAGTGTTAGAATTTTTTTTTAGTTAAATGCAGTCGTTTTTAAATTGTTTTTAGACAAACTGTAGAGCTTTTCACTGTCAGCAAAGCAAAGAGCCACTGTGTCAATGAAAGTTCAATAGCCTTCCGTACTTAAACAAGATTTGCAATGTTCTGGGTTTTTTTATGTTTCAAATGCTGAAATGTTTTCAAACTTAAATAAACTGTACTTCAATTTTTAAAAGGTGACAACTTCAGGAAACTGCCTTTTATAGTTACTCTCTTCTCAGTAGGGTAGGAGATGAGAAAGTCTTCTGGAAGTGATTAAGATTCTGGGAGGTGGAAGAAAGGGTAGCAGATATTGAAGATAACATGAAACATTTTGGAATAATCATGGTGAACAATTGGAGAGTTGGGCAAGTAATATAGTATCTCTTTAGGCCATGTGAGGGTTAAGGTTAATAGTCATTAATAAATGGCAATATTAACCTACCTGGCATAGGATTTTCTTCAGCAGAATATCAGAGCCTGAGTGGGCTTGGTAAAGGCAGACTTAAATAGACTCATTTAGGGATAGTAACATTACAGAAGGTAGGAGAGAAGGACAATTTTGAAAATAATTTTAGGGTACTGGCAAAATAACATTTAACTAGGTTGGATTATTGTATCTATGGTCTATAAGAAAGGAAGTGAAGTCAAAAGGTTGTCAGGAGAATAAAGGATCAATGGGCTAGAAATCTAATGAGGCTTAAAAAAATTGTGGTGGGAGTATATTTCAAGGAGAAAATGGAAAAAAGGAAGCTTTGTTCACAGCACAGAATCTTAAATTAATCCCTTTGAAGTTGATGGTAAGTTCCAAAGAATGACTATGGGAGTGGGTGGCTCAGGTGGGATGATGGAGGTCATTGTGGGAGATGTGTGACGCAGGTGTCACACAGACCACCCAGGATATTGTATCACCTAGGATGAAAGCCTAGCTTGAGATACAGAGGAAGAGTGCCAAAAACTTCAGAGAATGGAAGAGGACGTGACCAGGATATTAGAAATATGGTTCTACCAACCCAAATGTCTATCAATGATAGACTGGATTAAGAAAATGTGGCACATATACACCATGGAATACTATGCAGCCATAAAAAAGGATGAGTTCATGTCCTTTGTAGGGACATGGATGAAGCTAGAAACAATCATTCTGAGCAAACTGTTGCCAAGGACAGAAAACCAAACATTGCATGTTCTCACTCATAGGTGGGAATTGAACAATGAGAACACTTGGACACAGGGTGGGGAACATCACACACTGGGGCCTGTAGTGGGGTGGAGGGAGTGGGGAGGGATAGCATTAGGAGATATACCTAATGTAAATGACGAGTTAATGGGTGCAGCATACCAACATGGCACATGTAAACGTATGTAACAAACCTGCACATTGTGCACATGTACCCTAGAACTTAAAGTATTAAAAAAAACTTCTAGAAAAAAATATACTATTATATATAGCAAAAAAAAGAAATATGGTTCTAGACATTGCTATAGTTTAAATTATGTACATGAGACTGCTTAAGGAGAGCTCATAGCATGAGAAAATGGAAGAAGATCACCAATATTTACAGAAGAAGGAAAGGAAACTAAGCCCAGTAAAAAGGTAGGAAAACGTGGCCAGAGAGGGAAGAGGAAAACCAATACAAAGTATTGAAAGCAAAGAAGGTGATACCAATTGTAATGTGCTTAGAATAGTGTCTTGCTATTTTATAACTGAAAAAAATGTGTCAATGAAGAAGAGAGTTTAAAAGAGATGATGATTATATTTAGTGATGAATGAGTTCTTGGTAACCAAGAGGAAGTTGTAGAATGGATATGATGCATCAAATTTAATATTTTAATTTTCCCCTTCTTTCAGATTTTTTGAGAAATATATAGTAATCAGTCATGGGATAAGAGGTCTTATCATTCTTTTCCACTTTAAAATACCTGTTCTCATTATAATCATACATTGGTTTTAAAATTTCTTAGGAGACTCCATCACCTTCGGTTACGTCAGTGATTTGTATACTAGTTCCCCACCTCCTTAAAAAAACAGGTTAGTCTCATGGGAGCATTGCAATTCAACTGCTTTCCTTATGAGAAATTGTCAAAAATTAAAAAGATGAGGTACTCTTCCACAACTTTGGAAACACTACTACAGCATTCTCAATATTTAAATAAATGTTTTCTGCTGAGTATCCATGCTTGGCTCTATTGATTTTTTACTGTGTAAGTGTGATCTGGCTTGGAATATGTAGTATGTTATGAAGTATCTACTTAAAGATTTATTAGGCATATATTTTCAAAGTAGAAGGGAAATAAGGTGTCAATGATTGTTTGACCAGAGATAGTATTATAAATTGTGCATAAAAGGATTTTTATTTGAAAATGCATTCTACATGTGCTGTATAAACTATTAGGAAGCAAAAAGCATATGTATAAAATATATATAAATGCATAGAAAACAGCTATCTGTTCATGGCCAGTATTTGTTGAATGTCTGCTGCTATGTGCCAGACACTATACTAGGCACTCTGGATATGGTACTGCATGAGGCAGGGAAAGGCCTGCTTCACAAAGACTGTGGTATCTTGGGAAAAGAAAACCTTAAACTAATATTACAAGCATGATGACTATTCCAATGCGGGAAATATCTAGTGCTATGGGGATGTATAATAAGACACTAGAAAGACACAATCAAAAATATTAACAGGTTATTTCTGGAAATCAAGAAAAATTACAAGTGATTCTATATTTTTTATTTTATTTTATTTTTCAAACCTTCTGTTTTGAGCAAAACTTTTTGTATTAGTCAAGATTTTCCAGAGAAACAGAATGAATAGGATATATAAAGATATGTATAAAAGGGGATTTATCATGGGGTTTGGCTCACGTGATTTTGGAGGTCAAAAAGTCTTATGATCTGCCATCTGCAAACTGGAGAACCAGAGAAGCTGGTAGTGTCATATTCCACATCTGAAGGCCTGACAACCTGGAGTTCTGATGTCCAAGGGCATAAGATGGATGTCCCAGCTCCAGAAGGAAGAGTGAATCCATCCTCCTTCTATCTTTTTTGTTCTATATGGGCTAATTTCTTCCAGAAAACCCTCATAGACACATCCAGAAATCATGTTTTACTTGCTATCTGGGTATCCTTAAACCAGTCAAGTTGACACACAAAATTAACCATCACACTATTGTTACCAGAAAAGACGTAATGTTCACTGGGTGAAAAAAATTCAAACAAAGCATTTTAGTGCTGCTTCATCTCTTGCAATTCTGATCAACAACTTTAGCATTCTAAAGTTTATTTTAAAACATTAAATGCTAAACTAAAGACAATGTTGCATGTTCTTTTCTTGGATTAGTCAGTGAGGATTGCTGATTTTTATTCAATCCTGGACATCCTGGTAGCATTTGGATTAAAGAATACATTTATATGCATAAAAACAGACATTTAGACCAATAAAAAGGAATAAAGAGCCCAGAAATAAACCCACACATGTATAGTCAGCCAGTCTTTTACAAGGGCACCAAGAATGCACAATGGGGAAAGGACAGTCTCTTCAACAAATGGTGTTAGGGAAAATGTGTATCCACATACAAAACATGAAATTGGACCCTTATTTTACAACATATACACAAATTAACTTGAAATGGATTGAAGACTTAAATATAAGGTCTGAAACCATAAAACTCTTAGAAGAAAAGATAGGAGAAAAGCTACTTGACATTGGTCTTGGATGTGACACCAAAAGCACAGGCAACAAAAGCAAAAATGAACAATTGAGACTACAACAAACAAAAAAGCTTCTGCTTGGCAAATGAAACAGTCAACACAATGAAAAGACAACCTATGGAATGGGAGAAAATATTTGGAAACCATGTAACTGATAAGGGATTAATATCCAAAATATCGAAGTTCCTTAACTCAGACAACTCAATAGAAAAAACTCAAGTAACCCAATTTCAGAAGGGGCAAAGGACCCGGATTGACATTTTTTCAAAAGAAGATAGACAAATGCCCAGCAGATCTGTGAAAAAATGCTCAAAATCACTGATCATCAGAGAAATGCATATCAAAATCACAATGAGGTATCACCTCACACCTGTTAGGATGACTACTATGAAAAATAAAAGATATAACAAGTGTCAGTGAGGATATGGAGAAAAGGGAACCCTTGTACATTGTTGGTGGGAATAAAAATTGGTACAGCCATTATGGAAAACAATATGAAGTTTCCTCAAATAATTAAAAATAGAACAAGATATAATCTAGCAATTTTGTTTCTAGATATATATCCGAAGAAAATGAAATCAGTATCTTGAAGAAGTATCTACACCCCTGTGTTCATTGAAGCATTATTCACAGCAGCCAAGAGATGGAAACAACCTAAGTGTCCATCAACAGATAAATGAATAAAGAAATTGTGGGACATATATACATTAGAATGTTATTCAGCCATAAAAGAAGGAAATCCTGGCATTTGCAACAACATAGATAAACCTGCAGAGCATTATGCTAAGTGAAATAAGCCGGACACAGAAAGACAAATTCTATAAGATCTCACTTAAAAGTTGAACTCAGCTGGGCGCGGTGGCTCACGCCTATATTCCCAGCACTTTGGGAGGCCGAGGTGGGTGGATCGCCTGAGGTTAGGAGTTTGAGACCAGCCTGGCCAACATGGTAAACCATCTCTACTAAAAAAAAAAACAACAACAACACAAAAATTAGCTGGGCATGGTGGCGGGTGCCTGTAATCCCAGCTACTCGGGAGGCTGAGGCAGGAGAATCACTTACAACCTGGGTGGCAAAGGTTGCGGTGAGCTGAGATGGGGCCATTGCACTCCAGCCTGGGCAACAGAGCGAGACTGTGTCCCAGAAAGAAAAAAATTGAATTCATATACAAGCAGAAAGTAGAACAGTAGTTGCCAGGGGCTGGGGAGTGGGGAAAATGAGGAGATTGTTGGTCAAAGGGTATAAACCTCCAGCTATAAGATGAACAACTTTTGGAGATCTAATGTACAGCATGAGTGGTGATAGATGTGTTAATAATAATAATAAATAGCTTTATGGGGGGTTTACAAAATAAGCACAGATTAAGAAACTCAAATATTCAAGGCCAAGTTTCATGCTATACTTATACAGGATGATGAACAGTTTGAATTTCAATTCCTCCACAGGAAGAAAGCAGAGACTGAGATTGACCACCAGAGTATATAAGTAGGTTAGGAATTCTGTTTAAAGCTACTGCAAGTGATGCTCACATTTGTTGCCATTAAATTACGGATCTAAAGGGTAGTTAGTGATTCAATATCAGACTCTGCCTGGTGATAATTAGAGAGAAATAACTTTTATAACTGTGTATTATATGTTTTTTCTGGATTCTGAAATGACTTACTTATTCACATACTAAAAAAAAAATCCATCTCAGTGAGAAATAGGCAGATGCCTAGAGCATATAACAATTTTGTGCATACAGGACATTGTGTTAAAAGTGACTAATGACAATTAACAGTTAAAAATAGATACTCACCTAGAACACCTATACAATACACACATTACATTTCTAAAGGGCTTAACAATTAAATGCATTCAATGCTAAAACTACCTGGACCATAATCTCGTATTCGAGACCTTGTAAGCTCTTCATTATGAACATTATTTACTGTAGATATTTGGAAGTGTCACAAGATAGAATGCCTGGGCAGACATGCTTTTGTGTTACATACACTATAAATGTATGGTACAAACTATAAATCAGGTTGACTTCTCATTTTTCAAGTGAGAGTGAATTATCACTTCAGCCTGGTAATTGGTATATTATGTGAGCTAGTTGATTTTTTAAACTTTAAAGGTAGTATGTAATGACACATGCACAAAAATTTATAATATATTTCAGCTTGCCTGAAGTCAAACTTCAGACATTAAACACACGGAATCAATGCACTACTATAAATAGAGAATAGTAGATAGCATTTTATTTGGTCTTTAGAAGATCAGTGTGAAGGAAGTTTGGGCAAAACAGCAAGTGTTTAAACGGAAAACAGTGTGACAGGGATTATGGCAGGGTTGCAGCATTGGCAATTAGCTAATGTCAATGATACACTTAAGAAACACTGTGCAAGACAGCTAATAAATCACAGCCAACCATCATTAATAATCCATGACAGAAGGGAAAAGAGAAAGAAAGGAAAGAGAAGAAAAAGGTAGAGGAGAGTGCTCTGTAGTGGGCTACACAGTAAAAATGAAGTGTGCTATAATTAGAATTATTTCTATTACCAGAGGACCCAGGAAAGGCTTTCTAGTGAACAATTCAACAAATAACCAGGGGGTTGATAAGCATATTGCTAAGTTATGAGTTTTTCACGTCTTCCATTTCATTTTAATTGTGTGCATGTGAGTATGTGTGCCTTTTAAAGTCATGGTACCAGATGACTTTATAATAAAAGGCACACATAGATATAAGGGAGTTAATTTTGACTTCCTACATGTTTCTAAAAATATTATAATTCCAAACAAAAAGGTAGGTAATATATTGCCATATAGTCTCTTTTGGAACTTCTTAACTGGACAATTTGCCAGCAGCAACATATAATAACCACTGGACTCAGAAAATAGTACCCCAAAAGGAAGGCCTCAGAAGCAAAGTTTTTCTCTGATCTGCCCTCCTATCTCTCACTCTCGTTTTCCCCCAAGGCTAGCCAAAGAAATTAGGATCCCTCTTCCCTGAGGTGAGTCATAGAAACCAGAATCCCTTCCCTCAGAGCCAGCTATAAAATCTAAAAATATTATAACTTTCTCACCCTGCTCGTAAAAACTGGCCATATCAGGAGTTCGAGACCAGCCTGGCCAATATGGCAAAACCCTGTCTCTACTAAAAATACAAAAATTAGCTGGGCATAGTGGTGCATATCTGTAATCCCAGCTACTCAGGAGGCTGAGGCAAGAAAATCGCTTGAACCCAGGAGGTGGAGGTTGCAGTGAGCCGAGACCTCACCACTGCACTCCAGCCTGGGTGACAGATGGCAGAGTGAGACTCTGTCTCAAAAAAAAAAAAAAAAAAAAAATAGACTAGTCATAGGGAAATTATCTGACCTACTTTGTTTGAATATAGGTCATAAGAGTCCCATTCCTGAGAGGGTCTCACCCCTCACTCAGAAGGAAGGAATACATGATCAGAGAGGCCAAAAAGAATCTAGACAGACAGGCCATGCTGGGCTTCCCCCCTTAGCCTATTAACATTAGATCTTACCCTTTTGTCCAATCATATTTTTACACAGCTTCCGTACTTTGTTGAACCCAAGCATGAAAATGGACAATTTCCCCTCTATCTTTGGGTTTTCATTCTGAAGGCTCTCATGTCAAGTAAAACTATGATCAAATAAATTTGTACACCTTTCCTCTTAGTAATCTGCCTCTTGTCAGTGATTTTCAGCAAACCTTCAGAGGGTGAAGGGAAGCTTTCCTTTGGCTCTGACATAACCATTACTTGAAGTTTACCCATATACAGATAACTTTACACTCTTCTCATATCCATTTAATGTTTCCAGTCAATGTTATTACCTGTATCTTAACAATTATGCCAGAGTTCACAGTGAGAAGTGCAGCATGCTAATTTTTAAACACTGACTAGGCTATTAAACTGGCAGTTATGATGTGGTGTGATAAGGGGAATGCCAGGGAAAGTAGGAGGTGCTATCGTCAAGGCATGACTTCAAAGGTCAAGGAAAGCTTCCTGCAGTGACGCATAATAGGAGACCTGAAGGGCTTGTAAGAAGTAAACAGGCAAAGATAGAAGAGGATTGGGGTGGAGAATATGATTCAAGCAGAGGGAGTGTCATGTGCAAACCCCAAAAGTAAGAAGGAGTATAGCAAGATGGAAAATGGAAAAGAATTTAATCTAAAGTGATAGATTTTGAGGTATGAGTGGTGATAGATAAATCTAGAGAGGTAAATTGAGACCTAATTAATCACAGAGTTTTGAGGCCAGTGACAAGGCAGTACAGAGTTTAAGCAGGGAAATGGCATGATCAGGTCTGGAGCAATTACAGTGATCCAGATAGGCTATGATAAAGATTTTTTTTTTTTTTTTTGAGATGGAGTCTTGCTCTGTTGCCAGGCTGGAGTGCAGTGGCACGGTCTCGGCTCACTGCAACCTCCGCCTCCTGGGTTCAAGCGATTCTCCTGCCTCAGCCTCCCAAGTAGCTGGGATTACAGGCAGGTGCCACCACACCCGGCTAATTTTTGTATTTTTAGTAGAGATGGGGTTTCACCATGTTAGCCAGGCTGGTCTTGAACTCCTGACCTCGTGATCTGCCCACCTCGGCCTCCCAAAGTGATGGGATTACAGGCGTGAGCCACCGCGCCCGGCCAAGCTATGATAAAGATTTTAAGCACTAGTTGTAGTGGCCTTAGATGATGGTTACATAGAGTTATTGAAGGGTATAGAAAGAGGTTGGAGGCAGAATTCACAATAATTACTATTCATTATTGAATTACAAATTCTTAGAGGAATTTCAGATTATTATTTTACCCCCATGTATGTAGCACAGAATAAATATTCAACAAATACGTGTCAAATTAATTAAGAAATAAAACAAATTCAACCAAATTTATTTTTCTTCTTTTATTTTATTTTATTTTATTATTATTATACTTTAAGTTTTAGGGTACATGTGCACAATGTGCAGGTTAGTTACATATGTATACATGTGCCATGCTGGTGTGCTGCACCCATTAACTCGTCATTTAGCATTAGGTATATCTCCTAATGCTATCCCTCCCCCCTCCCCCCACCCCACAACAGTCCCCAGAGTGTGATGTTCCCCTTCCTGTGTCCATGTGTTCTCATTGTTCAATTTCCACCTATGAGTGAGAACATGCGGTGTTTGGTTTTTTGTCCTTGCGACAGTTTACTGAGAGTGATGATTTCCAATTTCATCCATGTCCCTACAAAGGACATGAACTCATCCTTTTTTATGGCTGCATAGTATTCCATGGTGTATATGTGCCACATTTTCTTAATCCAGTGTATCATTGTTGGACATTTGGGTTGGTTCCAAGTCTTTGCTATTGTGAATAGTGCCGCAGTATACATACGTGTGCATGTGTCTTTATAGCAGCATGATTTATAATCCTTTGGGTATATACCCAGTAATGGGATGGCTGGGTCAAATGGTATTTCTAGTTCTAGATCCCTGAGGAATCACCACACTGACTTCCACAATGGTTGAACTAGTTTACAGTCCCACCAACAGTGTAAAAGTGTCCCTATTTCTCCACATCCTCTCCAGCACCTGTTGTTTCCTGACTTTTTAATGATTGCCATTCTAACTGGTATGAGATGGTATCTCATTGTGGTTTTGATTTGCATTTCTCTGATGGCCAGTGATGGTGAGCATTTTTTTATGTGTTTTTTGACTGCATAAATGTCTTCTTTTGAGAAGTATCTGTTCGTGTCCTTCTCCCACTTGTTGATGGGGTTGTTTGTTTTTTTCTTGTAAATTTGTTTGAGTTCATTGTAGATTCTGGATATTAGCCCTTTGTCAGATGAGTAGGTTGCAAAAATTTTCTCCCATTCTGTAGGTTGCCTGTTCACTCTGATGGTAGTTTCTTTTGCTGTGCAGAAGCTCTTTAATTTAATTAGATCCCATTTGTCAATTTTGGCTTTTGTTGCCATTGCTTTTGGTGTTTTAGACATGAAGTCCTTGCCCATGCCTGTGTCCTGAATGGTAATGCCTAGGTTTTCTTCTAGGGTTTTTATGGTTTTAGGTCTAACATTTAAGTCTTTAATCCATCTTGAATTAATTTTTGTATAAAGTGTAAGGAAGGGATCATTTCAGCTTTCTACATAAGGCTAGCCAGTTTTCTCAGCACCATTTATTAAATAGGGAATGCTTTCCCCATTGCTTCTTTTTCTCAGGTTTGTCAAAGATCAGATAGCTGTAGATACGTGGTGTTATTTCTGAGGGCTCTGTTCTGTTCCATTGATCTATATTTCTGTTTTGGTACCAGTACCATGCTGTTTTGGTTACTGTAGCCTTGTAGTATAGTTTGAAGTCAGGTAATGTGATGCCTCCAGCTTTGTTCTTTTGGCTTAGGATTGACTTGGTGATGCGGGCTCTTTTTTGGTTCCATATGAACTTTAAAGTAGTTTTTTCCAATTCTGTGAAGAAAGTCATTGGTAGCTTGATGGGGATGGCATTGAATCTATAAATTACCTTGGACAGTATGGCCATTTTTATGATATTGATTCTTCCTACCCATGAGCATGGAATGTTCTTCCATTTGTTTGTATCCTCTTTTATTTCATTGAGCAGTGGTTTGTAGTTCTCCTTGAAGAGGTCCTTCATGTCCCTTGTAAGTTGGATTCCTAGGTATTTTATTCTCTTTGAAGCAATTGTGAATGGGACTTCACTCATGATTTGGCTCTCTGTTTATCTGTTATTGGTGTATAAGAATGCTTGTGATTTTTGCACATTGATTGTGTATCCTGAGACTTTGCTGAAGTTGCTTATCAGCTTAAGGAGATTTTGGGCTGAGACGATGAGGTTTTCTAGATATACAATCATGTCATCTGCAAACAGGGACAATTTGACTTCCTCTTTTCCTAATTGAATATCCTTTATTTCCTTCTCCTGCCTAATTGCCCTGGTCAGAACTTCCAACATTATGTTGAATAGGAGTGGTGAGAGAGGGCATCCCTGTCTTGTGCCAGTTTTCAAAGGGAATGCTTCCAGTTTTTGCCCATTCAATATGATATTGGCTGTGGGTTTGTCATAGATAGCTCTTATTATTTTGAGATATGTCCCATCAATACGTAATTTATTGAGAGTTTTTAGCATGAAGCGTTGTTGAATTTTGTCAAAGGCCTTTTCTACATCTATTGAGATAATCATGTGGTTTTTGTCTTTGGTTCTGTTTATATGCTGGATTACATTTATTGATTTGCGTATATTGAACCAGCTTTGCATCCCAGGGATGAAGCCCACTTGATCATCCAAATTTATTTTTCTTTGCAACGTAACTTAGGAGAGGTGTTCTCATCTCCATTAACATTGGCAATGCCTGGAGTGGTGGCTTTTTTTGGTTTTTGTTTCCATTGAGCTGCCCTAACTTGAGAAAGAGAAATTACTGTTCCAAAATGTTTATTATGGAAATTTTAAAACATATAGAAAGGTTGAAAGAATACCAAAATAAATAACCCACCACCTTGTTAATAATTTGCAATAGTTCCTTTGTGTGTGTGTGTATATACATTTGAAAGTTACAGACATCACACTTCACCTCTAAATATTTCAGCTGTAATTTCTAAGAAGATGGGATATTTTCATATAAAACTATAATAGCATTATGGTCCCTAAGAAATAGAACAGTAATTTGCACATATAATAGTAATTCCAAAATATAACACTAATTTACCTAATATAATCATTTTCAAATTTCTCCAATCATCCCAAAAATGTCTTTACAATTTTTAAAATAAGGATTTAATCAAGATTCACAGATGTGCTTGGTTGTTTAGTCTCTGGAAATGAGAGCTTTCTGAGTAAAGAATAAAAGTTTAGAATTATTTGACCTGGGACAAAAGTGCTGAGAATCCCTTAATATTTGATAGACAGTATTGTGAAACCAGGTTTATTTCCTAATTGGAAATGCTTTCTTTCTCTTTAGCCACTAGTTCAGTTGGCAAGTGCTTTGTATTTATGAGTCTTAGGTCAAAGATTCACTCTCCATGTGATTTTCCTCTTACTTTATGGAGAATATCTGTCCACGTGATCATACATTGTACTCCATGCCCTGGGTAAGCACCTGATAAAAAAAAAAAATTGGCCTTTGGTCACAGGCAGGAACTGAATAAGTGTATATAGATTATTAGGTGAAAATCTAGTACACCTTTGGTGGAAAAAAACCCTCAATAAATAATAAGTTATTAATTTGGTGGGACATCTTCAAATACAAAATAACCCATTGGCTTAAGTGCATGCTTGCATCATGGGGTAATTTGCACAGTGCTTCCAGTTGAGTCTGTGACTGGGAACAAAGGATAAGCTGAGATAAATGACAAGCAAAGTTGGACATCACTCTCTCCCATGGCACTTGCCAAATAATCAAAATGTAGAAAATATTAAGTACAAATATCTGAGCCTATTTTCTAGGAATAATATTTGTCCTCCTTTCACTTCCCTTTCCCTCTCCCCATCCTTCCTCTTTAATTGAAATGCCAATAGGAATTTGACAGTGATGGACACCCTAGTGGCCTCATAATGAAGTTTGCAGATCGGGTGCAATATCTCCACTTCTAGTTGCACAAGACTGAAAAATGGTTATAATTATCCTTCTTTGCATATGTTCAAGCACAGTATGGTATTGCAGGGTGCTGTCTCTTAAAATTGTGAAACTGCAAGTCATGGTGTTTTCAGAAGACTCGGTGAATATTGGTTTATACCTTTTAGTTCCTAACTACTTGAAGCTTCCCTGTGAGCTGTATCAGAGAGGATGGATAACCAAAACAGAAACATTTGAACTCTCTGAATAACTGGGGTAATTCCTTTATGAGCTTTCTTTTTCCTTTTAAAATTTGAAAATAATATATACCATCCTATATCACACACTCTGGTTTTATGTTAAAACAAGCAACCTGATTTTTCAATGCATATTAAATATAAATATTTGCAAAGGAATATTAGTGATAATGATGATGGGGCAGTCGTGATGGTTTTGGAAAGTTTGTATGTGAACAATAGACCTTTCCATTTATATATATATATATATATATATATATCACTTTCTGGTTTCAGGCTGCTACTGCTATTTATAGTCTACCCTTGATGGTAAGCAGATGTCTCTACTCTTAATCTCTTTCCGTAGCCTTTGTTTCAGGCAAGCTGGCTCATTTCTAATTGTTCCACACTGGGCTAATCCATCCCTTTTGCTTACAATATGCTTGAATGGCACATGGTTAGATGCTGCTACAACGCAGATATTAGGGAATCCCTACATAGTGCATTCTGTGAACATTCCCTGCTCATTGGCATTACATAAAAATGCCCATTATTGAAATGCAGAGATAAATAGGGTTCCAGAACCAAGTGACTACTAGTGCTTCAGGACCTTACTATTTTCTATTAAAGTTGATTCAGAGATAAAGCTCACAAAACTGGAAACACCACCAGATGGGACATCAACTGGAGGTTAGATGTACTTCAGGATATATTAGCAACTGTAATCACAAATTGTTCAGCTATATATTCATAGTAGAAAAGATTATTAGTGGATCAGGGATTCCTAATCATCAGAGTGTGTGGCAGATTAATGTGAAGAGAAGGTTTACAGCCAGGCTTCAGATTATTGTGTACAGCCTGCAGCCAACTGTATCTCTACTATGCCTGTAGTAACAGTGGGTATACATACTTGTGCATATAAACATGACTCATCAGAAATGTCCTGCAGAAAAAAAAAAAATAGTTCGCCATTCCTCACTACTTGTAAACCTACATTTTTCCCTTAGAGTTTCATGTAGATTAATTTCCTTTTCTGTCTACCATTCTAACTCTCAAAGAAAAAGCCTTCTAGGAAATATAAATCAGTGGGTTGCCTCAACTGACATAACACTGAATTGAGAACTTTATCAATAGTTGATATTATGGAGACATTTAGTACTTTTGAGGGAAAGTTGTTTAAGGAAGTAGATACCCATGGGACTATCTTACTAGCACTGCATGCATTTCAGGCTTTTACTGTGCTCAATCAGTAATGTGTTAAAATCACAAAAGCATATGGAAAGCTTTACTTTGTTTAGGAAATATGTTTACTGAATACAGTGCAGGCATATACAGTTGCCCAAAAGGGAAAACTAAGAGGAGATTCTGTTTGCTGATTGCTTAAAGGGGGTTTCAGGATTTTATTAGCATCTTTATGTAACCAGGAAAGGGGAATCAGAGTCCTGGACTGAGCCTAAAGTAAGATTTAAGCCCATTCAAACATGTCTGAGGAACTTTTAAGCAGGACTTTCATGAGTCCATTTGCCAGAGAGTTGCTCTTTGAAAAACGGGAGAGGTAGGGAGGTTTTGTGCCTCAGGTATCCCTGTTTCATAGCCAGGGCCCCAAGCGTGAAGTTTAAAGAGAAAGGCGTAGTAGGCATGAAGCATCGAAGCAAATTCCCTAAAGCACTCAAGGGAGTAGAATGTGGCATCAAGAGGCAGGAGGCTAAGTATTCCCTTCCCTTCTGGGTGGAAAAGACCTTGGCTTTGGTACAGTAAGACTCCTGGAAATCCAATGTTGGGAGCATCTAGGGGAGGCACCCTGGTGTGGCTAGACATTAGCCTTGTCACAGGACCAGCAGCAGGGGAGGTAAAACGTACCCTCAGGTAGCTTAGGCAGGATCTGAGTTTTTGTAAGCCCATGAAAACCTTAAATGGGGAATCCAGACATATATTGGTAAGACTTTAAGTGGGGCAGAATTCCTGAAATCACAGGCAGGGGAATGAACCAGTGTTCTCCCCTCAATATTAGCCTATGTGCAATAATGACCACAGACAACATTTCTTCTGAGCATCTTACAAGTCCTAAATCATCGCCTTTCTAAGTTGGATACTATTATTATCTTAAGGGTTTTTTTTTAGATGATAAAACTGAGACGCAGAAAAGTTAAATGACTTACCTAAGGTGACACAGTAATAAATATAGAGCCCAAAATCAGACCCACCCAGACAATCTGACCCCAGACTTCTCTCTTTACCCCTTTACTATACTGCCTTGCAGTATTAAACACACTGGTCTGAGATCAATCAGGTTACCTATGTGACTTTCTATTTTCTTTCAGGAACATCGTCCAACCCTTATAAATCTAAGTAAACATTAGAAACTGTTTATATTATGATAAATTAATTAGCATTGAAAGTTTTCTCTTTTTTTTTTTTCCCAAGACGCAGTCTCGCTCTGTTGCCTAGGCTAGAGTGCAGTGGTACCATCTCGGCTTACTGCAACCTCTACCTTCCGGGTTCAAGCGATTCTCTTGCCTCAGCCTCCCAAGTAGCTGGTAATAAAGGAGCCTGCCACCACGCCTGGCTAATTTTTTGTGTGTTTTTAGTAGAGATGGGGTTTCTCCATGTTGGCCAGGCTGGTTTCAAACTCCTGACCTCAAGTGATCTGCCCGCCTTGGCCTACCAAAGTGTTGGGATTATAGGCAAGAGCCACCACGCCTATGCATTGCCTAGCCAAAAGTTGTCTAAGTATCATTGGATTTGCAGGAAAAATGGCACTTTAGAATTATTTATTAATTTGACAACTGTATCTAAACACTCATGAATAGCTGTCAAATTAGTGAAGGTAAAAAATGCAAAAAGAGTAGTTGAGGAAGCTTGGTATATGGAATGGACATGGAATGAGCAAAACCTAGTTCAATTTTGACTCTTTTGGCCACATATTTTACTATACTTACATTAATTTCCTTAATGAGAAGCTCTGAATCTAGTAGATGACAACAAAGGAAAGAGCTCCAAAAACATCGCCGGAAACATGCAGGGTTCATAGTAATCAGCTACTTAGAGAAGCATAGAGAGGAAGTAGAATAGGGCACGGAGGGGAGCCTTCCTCTCTTTTAATCATTCTATGTTGTGAAAGCAGATGCATTATAGATTAAAGATCGTGTTTGCATCTAATAGGAGAAGGGTCTGGCTTGACTGTTAGGAGAGGTAGAAAAGCTTTTTAAACATAGCATTTTGATTTGTTTTTTTTAGTTATGGTCTTTGAGAATTCAGCCTGTCAGGGTTTGAGACCTTTTCCTTCAACCTTTTCGTCTGGGTTGTATTCTGTTTAAGTTTTTACTCCAGGCTGAAGGAACCTGGAATCAAGAGTAAATTTACATTTCTTTCTGGCTTCCTGTGATAGGCAAAGGAGGAAAGGATCAGGGCCCCAAAACACTGTCTGGGATTAAACGCTGTATTAAGTTTGGGCCCAGCTCACAGGTACCTAAGGGGAGAGATCGGGAGGGACATACATCCTGGTAACTTTGCAGTGTATTTGTTGGTTACCGTATATTAAGGGCCAAATTTCTGAGTTTCACTTATAAAATGATGATAGCACTGTATATCCTACTTACTTCCCAGAATTGTTTCCAAGATTAAATAAGATGATATACATGTAAGTTTTTAGAAAACTATGTAGATTATTTTAAATTAGTAAGTAATTATTCTTTAAACTATATATTTGTGTGCTATGGCTTTTCCATTAGTAGTTATGATTATCTTAATATAATAGGATTCTTTATTAATCACAAAAGCAGCGATTTTATAATATCTTTTGAAAGTAAGTATATTATACTACAATTTGTGCTCTGTAGTCTTATTCAAGTTGAATGACTTTTCATTTATATATTTTTTATTCTTTCCTAAATTTTGAGTGCCTTGAATTCAGGGAGTATTGGATTCATCTTTATTCCCAAGCTTCCGTCACTCAATAAAAGTATGTGACCCAGATGAGTGAATATGCAACCAATCAGTGATTCATAGTCACCAAGGTACATATGTGAAGAAAATGTGATAAAATTTTCATCAAGTGAAAAATGTAGATTGTTAAATAATTTTTGAGAGAATAGAAGTGTTGGATTATTTGTTAAATGACTATACTAAATGTCTTCAGTTCTGGTTTAATGTGTTTGGAGGTTCATAAATTCTTTCAGGCTACTAGGATGCCCTTTTAGTTAAGATAAAACCCTATTTTACTAATGGTACCCTAGTGACCTCTGGACATTAGTGAAAACTGCCTAATTTATGCCTGTGGCTAACTCGTTTATCAAATAAAGTCCCACCCAGAATACAGACATAAAGAGAAGCAGGGTTTAGATCACTCCAGGGGCAACTGAGCATCTGTTCAGTGCCCCAGGAGGCAAGATATTGAAAAACATATTTGAGAATGAAGAGATGTAGGGCCCTAATCCTGACTCTGCCACCAAACAGCTGTGCGACCTCAGCTAATCAAGCCTGTTTTCTAATCTTGAAACTCGCAGTGGATCTCAACCACTACTAATTTACCACAAATATATATATGTAGCATAGATGGCAGGCCTGAGTTTTTTGAACAAATTTTAAGACATTATTATAATGAAAGGAAGCACAAAACTCATAAAATTTTGTGTTTGCATTTTGTTGTTGTTTACTGTTTTTTTCTGTTATGGTGAGACCCAGGAGTTTGGTGGATTTATACCATATAAGAGGTTGAAAACCAGTGGAACTGAATGATTCCTACTACATGTTCCACACTAAGGTTCTGTGAGTCTAGTTAATCACTGAGTGTTTGTATGAAAGGAAACAAAGCTGGCCATGAGCCAGAATTTGTTCTAGTTGTCAAGCCAAAGCCTGCCCCTCAAAATAATGAGCTTTTAAAGTGGCTAAAACTGTTTTTATTCTTACAGTGAGCAGCTTGCTTATAATAAAAGGATAGCAGACTTCAAGAGTGTTCTATTCCCTACAAATCTAATATCCACATCAAATGAATCTGCCATAGACAATTATAGTTGCAAAAATTAGAAATGATTGTCATAATTTTTCCCTTAGAGTTTAACCACATATGACAGGGAATTTTTTTCAAAGTTATCTGCTGTATTTTAAAAAGCCAACAATTTTCTTATTCTGTGTAAAATGCAAAATTTCTTTCTAAAAAAATTAAATGAGACAAAATTATTGTTTTCTTCATCTCATTGAAGAAGAGAAAACAAGACAGTATGTTCCAATTAGCATAAATACACAACAGATATTTTCTGCTGCAGACTTAGATCTCTGATAGGAGACATTATGTCTGGTACAAGTTATCAGGAAAGGATCGAAAGTATTTTGTAGCATGACATAAACAAAGGCACAAAAAGCAGAAGGGAAAAGAAAACTGTAGCTACCACAGCAACAATGAAACAGCATAACATTTTACTAACCTTTCAAAATTTTCAAGATTCAGGAGTGACTCAAAAGCAGTGAGTTATTTTACAGAGCTAAAATCAGAATCAGAACACTTTTAACAGTTCTAAAGGAGAGAAAAATAGAAACCAAATAATCATTATGAAAACTTGCAATGATTAAAATAATTAGAAATATTAACGGGAAAAAGGAGTATGTGAAAGGACATGAATTGAAAACAAATGTATATGTGCCATTATATATTACCACAAATCCGCCTTTACCTCCAAGTAGACTAGCCTAGGTAATAGATTTATCTAGCTCTAATTTATATGAACTGGATCATGGAAGGATAAGATTTCTAGAAGAAAGTCATTAATCTATTAGTCAGTGTTTTCAGAACTGAGAACTGTTGCAATATGTATATACTGGTTGGGAGACAATTCTCCGTGGGTCTTTCACATTTATGCACATATTGTGACTGCCCTTTTTTGTGGATAATCTCAAGGGTGTTTGTATAGTGAATGGACTTGGCAAATGGAGAAAGTGTTGCGCTTCTGAACAAAGGTTTGCTTACAGCCTTAGAAGATAGAGACAGTGTCAAGCCTCTGGGGCAATGGACAGGCATGCCTAATATCCAGTATAACAAAGAGAATATCTCATTCCAAAGCAAAGGGCAGGCATGCTCACTGCCCATTGTAAAAGATTCTGGCTCTCTAAGTTCAGGTTCCTTTCCTGGAACACAACCAACAGTGTGTTACAGCTGTCATCTGCCCCATTTGTGTTGTCCTGTAAGAGTTGGGGCTCAGAGAACCAGCACAAAAATTCTGACACTGGCTCCTGCTATCTTTCATCTCTGGTCCAGGAATCTTGTCTTTTTTTCAGCATCCATGAAACTGTGGCAGCATAACTTGTAAGCCAGAAAGCAGGGTAAAAATCTCAGAACCTTCACAGTTCTTGACAACACTGACATTTGTAATTAACATCATGGTCTCTTCTCTGGAGTTCTAGTAAATAGAAACATTTCATGTGTTTAAAATGGATAATTTTTCAGAATGTATAAACAGTAGTTTTACTGTCATATGGAGAGGAGATACAGAGGTATGTACACAATTTGATCACCCCAATAAGCCCTTAGAAGTACCAGTACTTGCATATCTAGAAATTCTGATTGTCTGGGTCCTTAGAGTTGATACAGCCTAGGGACTAACAAAACTCATATGAGATCGATAAATAGTTCATAATGCCTGTGCGTTCATTTACATCAAAAAATATAATCTCCGGCCAGGTGCGGTGACTCATGCCTGTACTCCCAGCATTTTGGGAGGCCAAGGCAGGCAGTTTGCTTGAGCCCAAGAGGTCGAGACATGCCTGGGCAACATGGCAAATCCCTGCCTCTACAAAAAAATATATAAAAATTAGCCAAGCATGGGGTTGCATGCCTGTAGTACCAGCTCCATGGGAGGCTGAGGTGGGAGGATCACTTGAGCCTGGGAAGTCGAGGCTGCAGTGAGCCATGATCATGCCACTGTGCTCCAGCCTGGACATCAGAGCAAGACCCTGGTCTCAAGAAAAAAATACATAATTTCCAAGTGTATCAGAAGTTTGCCAGAAAAAGAACAAGTAAGTGCAACTCTTACATGCAAATCAAATGTAACAATTAAAGAGATAAATGCTCTCAATGATTAGTCTCACCAAGTCTGGTTACATGCATGACCACTCAGTCCAGGTTGATTATTCATATCACTTCGTCAATGTGCTCCCTTTTCTGAGTAATGCTGAATAACCACAAATTTTACTTTGGAAGATGTTCTTTTTCCAAAAATCCATACAGATCATTCCCTCCCTATAAATACCTATTTTCTTCAGACAGAGAGCAATTCCACTGATTAAGTTTTAGCTTTCATTGTCACAATTTCTTTCTAGTAATTTAATTTCATTGAAGATACAACCTTTGTACTTTGGCCAGACTCGGTTGTTCCCAAACCTCTTCTGCTACTCATTTAGAGATAATAAAATGTCTAGTTTCACTAGTTGTGTTTTCACTTTCAAGTTCGTTCTGACTTTCTTAAGCTTACATTCTAAAAACATGAAATCAGCCATAGATTATGTGGTTTTCATTCTTTTGTTTTCAAGGTGTGGTTCCCAGGCCACTATCATTGGCATCACCTGGGAACCTATTAGAACTGCAGCCTCTGGTTCTCCACCCTAAACCTATTGAATCTGAAATTCTGGAGGAGGAACCCAGTAACCTCTGGTTTAATGTGCCTGCAGCTGATTCTAAGGCATGCTAAAGAGCCACCATATTAGTTAAATCTCACTAGATGACTAAAGTGAATTTGTCTAGAGGGCTGTTGAAATTATTGAAAAATATGTAATCTGCTTAATTAAAAACAATATGGTCATTGACTGGAAATATTTTGTTGTGTATGAAAAATCTGTTAATCATGTTAATATTTGCTATCATTGGGAGAAGCTGGATGGACAATGCATAGTACCTCTCTGTACTATTTTTATTATTTATTTATTTAGAGACAGGTCTTACTCTGTTGTCCAGGCTGGACTGCAGTGACACAATCTTGGTTCACTGCAGCCTCAACCTCCAGGACTCAAACAATTCTTCCACCTCAGTCTCCCGAGTAAGCAGGATTACAGGTGCATGCCACCATACCAGGCTTTTGCTTTTTTTTTTTTTTTTTTTTTGCAGAGATGGGGTCTCACATGTTGCATAGCCTGGTCTTGAACTTCTGGGCTGAAGTGATCTACCCACCTCTGCCTCCCAAAATGCTGGGATTACAGGTGTGAACCACCATGCCTTACCTGTACTATTTTTATAACTTGTTGTGAGTCTATAATTATTTCAAAATTAAAAATTAAAAAACCTTTAAAATATATTTTTATTATTAAGGGAATTTGCTTTCATATAGGAAGAATTAAGGTAGCCTCGTGGCACATAAATGAGAAAACAAAGATGTTCACCTATGCTATCTGTGTTTTACTGAAATCTCCCTTATGCTTTTTTTCATCCTATCAGTGAGAGGGAAAGTGAGAAACACATCAGTTCTAAAGATCCAATGTCTACTTGGGCACTATATGACAAACCAAAAACAAGTTGATATTCCCCCCAAATTAAAAAAATTGCAGAATATGTAATTATATTCACAAAAAGTTTTGTAATTAATAAATATCAGAGTTTAATTCACATAAGTATAGGTGTTAAGTTTTACAGATTTTCAACAGGATTGTGCTTCAAAGGATAAAATTGACCACATTAAAGGTTGGATGATTTTTCTGTTCTTGCCCTCAAAGGAGCAGGTGCCAAATGGAATTAGACATGCAAAAACTATGCGAATTTCAGACATTTTTAAAGGAACTCTGTGTGAAAATTTTCCATCATATATGGTTTGAGACCAAAACATTCTAATATGGTAAAAATTAATAGCTTTCATACACACAGTAAAATACCCAATGTAATTTTTTCATGACTGTGCAACTCATGTGTACTGTATATTGCTGTATACTGAAGGACACAAAGCCCCAGCCCAGGTCTGGCAGTGCCTGTAAGAGCAAGGCTACAGACTCCATCAGAGCTCTCTGATGATCAGGTGTTCACACAGTAGCCATTAATGGCCTTTTCATTTGTTTGTTTTTAATTAATAAACTTTGTCTTAGAGCAGTTTTACGTTTACAGAAAATATGAGTGGAAAGTACAGAATTCCCATATACTCCCTGTCCTCACTCCGTCTCCCTACCCTCTACAGTTTCTTCTGTCATTAGCATCTAGCGTTAGTGTGGTACATTTAGTGAGCCAGTATTGATACATTATTATTAACTAAAGTCTACAGTTTATGACTGGGTTCACCTTTTTGTGTTGTACAGTCTATGGGCTTGACAAATGTATAATGACATGTATCCACCATTACAGCATCATAGAGATCAGTATTATTGCCCTAAAAATCCCCTGTACTCCACCTATTCCTTCCTTCCTCCCTTACTCACTCCCGCCTCAAACCCTTGGCAACAACTGTTTTTTGTTTGTTTGTTTGTTTTTTACTGTCTTCATAGTTTTGCCTTTTCATGTAGTTGGAAGCACAGTATGTAGCTTTTTTAGATGTGTATTTAAGACATGTATTTAAGCAATCTGCAGTTAAATTTCCCCCATCTCTTTTCATGACTTTGTAGCTCATTTCCTTTTATCTTTGCATGAATGTACCACAGTTAGTTTATCCATTTACCTATTGAAGGACATCAGTATTGCTACTCTGTGCCCCCTCCCCTTTTTTCTTTTCTCTTATTTTCACAGGGGTTCAACTGTGGCCCTTTTAAAGATCAAAAACAGCACTTTTATGAGGTATTACCAACTTATTTATTAAGTACTCCAGTGTGATTCTCACTTTATGCAGAAGGAAATATAGCAGGTAGGATAGGCAGAGATTTTCTCCATTCCAGACTCAAGAGAGTCCCAAATCTTTCTAGCACAAAACAAAGCTTTAATCATAGTAAGTAGGGATTTCTGAAAAGAACTTAATGTTTATGGCTGTTTCCACTTTAATCTCAGCTACTAATTAATACCCTTTCAGCAAGTAAACTTTGAGACTCAAGCCTGAATCAAACTTGTATTTCTAAAACTTTGTAAATATTGTTGGTAGTTTTCTAAAGAGATGTTCACTGAAAATAACAACAGAAGGTAACGCTGGATTGTAGGAAAGGTATTCATTTTCTTCTAGCTTTCCAGTAAATGGAGATAGACTTTTAAAATCCATTTCCGCCCCAAGAGAAACAGATGGTTTTCTCTTCCTAGCACACCTGTGTTACTGGTTACCCTTAGTCAGACAAAGCTTTAGACACAAAAGACTCGCACTGGTTTACTAAAAAAAAAACCTGTATAATTATAATACACATGTTCTTCTACAAAGTGTAAGAGAACTGAGGTGTTTTCCAGTTTTTTTTAAAAAAAACTACAATTGTCATTAATAAAAGATTTTACTTAAAAAATAAAGGGAGATCAACTGCCTTTTATTCTAACCACAAAAGTAAAACATGTTTGGTCAGGTGTGGTGGTTCACACCTGTAATCCCAATACTTTAAGATCTGTTGAACCCAGGAGGTTGAGGCTGCAGTGAGACGTGGCTGTGCCATTGCACTCTAGCCTGGGCAACAGAACAAGCAAGACCCGGTCTTTATATATATATATATAATTTCTAATAGTTGTTATCTAATAAATTTGGTTATTTAGTGGCAATGAAAATCAAGGCAAACTAAAGAGTGCAAAACTGATTTATTTTTGCATATACACTGCTTTCAGCTTATAGTCCTTGTAAATTCTTCTTCTGCAGTCTAGTAGTATACAATGTTGACCTTCTGTATCATTTACGGAAAACAAAAGGAACTCAAGAAGTGAAATAGCATAACAGTATGCTCCCTTTGTGAAAATTATGTAGCCACCTGTGTCCCCAGTTATAGTTTAGGTATTCCACATAATAGTGGGGATAGCAAGCCACTCTAACTTAATGCTTTTCCATTGTTTCCTGAGGAACATGGTAAATTCACACACCTACTCAACTAAATCTCCAGGTTTTGCACTATACCAGGGGCTCTAAAGAATGTGATGAACAGGCAGAGAAAAAACCTCTCCATATTCTCTCTGAGCAGAGAAAATAGGTAGGTGCCATCCTCACTATTTTGCAGAGAAGACTAAAAAACTAGATCAGAAGTATAGCATATGTAGGTTTATTGCCATGGTATAGATTTTTTTGGATTTTTATATTGATTTTCAAAACACGGAATTTTTTGTTAATTTTTTAATTCATCGGAGACATAATACAATATATACAGATTGTATATAAAAAGAATAAGTGGAAACTTAGGCTTAAGTTGCATCAATAAACAGACCTAACACAGTATTTTTTAGTCTTTATTATCTGTAAAAAAGAACACAATTCAAGAAGAGAAGAACGATCGTATTTAATCTAGCTCTCCTCTCACTCCCTTCTAGCAGAATAATCTTTTTACTTAATGTGTATGTCTGTGACACAATCTGCTCTTGTAAGACATACAATCATTCACCCAGATCCAGCCATGAGTAATGCAAGATGAAAAATACACACGTGAATTTCTTCTTCCTGTAACTTTAATTGTCTCTTAGAGAAAGAGTAGAGGATGCCAAACCTTTGTATAAATCAGAATAAAATGTGATTTTAAAAATGTGTATAAAATCCTGTCTTGTCCATATAGTTACTGCTTGGTTCAGGTGGATGTTTTATTTCCTAATTAGATTGTAAACTCCTTTTGGGGAGTGAATTTATCTCATCATCTTTTTTTATTCCCTTATAGTATATACAATGAATATTTGTTTACAGATTGCTTTGCAAGGCTTCAGGTAAATGAGCTAAAAGTGATGAGAAGCATGTAATAAAATATACTCATAATAAAAGTTAGTGCCTTGAAACAATATTACTCTATATTAAATAATTCTGAGGACAGGCTCAGTAACTCAGGCCTGTAATCCCAGTACACTGAGGGGCTGAGGTGGGAGGATACTTAAGGCCAGGTGTTGGAGACCAGCCTGGGAAACATAGCAAGACCCATCTCTACAAATAATAATAATAATAAAATAAATAAATTTAAATGTTAGCAGGGCATAGTGGTGTACATCTATAATTCTAGCCACTCGGAGGCTGAGGTGGAAGAATCGCTTGAGCCCAGGAGTTCCAGTTGACTGAGAGCTATGATTGCCACTGCATCCAGCCTGGGTAACAGAGAGAGACTCTACCTCTAAAAAAATAAAAATAAATTCTGGGGCAATGGCTCACACCTCTAATCCCAGCACTGTGGGAGGCCCAGCGGGCAAATCCTTTTAGCTCTCCCGTTGGAAGCCAGCCTGGCCAACATGGTGAAACCCAGTCTCTACTAAAAATACAAAAAAAATTTACCCGGGCATGGTGGCATGTGCCTGTAGTCCCAGCTACTCTGGAGTCTGAGGTGGGAGAATGGCTTAAACCCGGGAGGTCGAGGTCGAGCCAAGATCATGCCACTGCACTCCAATCTGGGCAACAATGTGAGACCCTGTCTCAAAAAAAAAAAAAGAAAAAAAAATATATATATATATATAAAATAAATATAAAGTTTAAAAATCTGAAAGACAGGGTTTATTTGAAAATAAAGACATTTCTAAGTTTTCATAGAGTGCAGTGAACCTCCACTAAACATAGGCCATTATATATTCTGCATATGTATATTGTATACATATATGTGTGTGTGTGCATTCCCTATCATGTTTGAAAATAACTTTTTGTCCCAAACATGATAAATAATCAAGAATAGAAATATACCATTTTATAACTGTTTCACTCTTAGGTAAGACTAAATTATTAAAAACTTTTGTTTTTCTTGCAAAAATAACAATAAAAATGGAAATTTGACCATCAGCTATTTGTTCTCCCATAAAAGGCTGTCATTGCATATATCTCTAAAGCTAAACTGGAATTTTAAGTTTTCTTTGCCTCCCTCTTTAACTACAACCCTTTATATTCAGAGGAGCAAAGAGTGTAGTGTCTGTTTCTGAAACACACACACACACACACACACACACACACACACACACACACAGCTTCCAGATGGCAGGTGATTAAAAGATATTTACTGCATGCCTTTTTCTTTCAGTGTTTTACTTAGATGCTTATACAAATCAGTAACAATTTGAAGTTTTCGTAGTAACTTATGTTAATACCACTATCCTAGATAGGCCTTTACTAATGGATTAAGATATGGAATGCTGTTAAATGCATAATAGTCTTAATTTAAAAAAAATATTTTTAATGCTATAATAACTATTTACAACAAATGCCTGGATTGGCCTACATAATAAACTGTGAGTTAATTATACATAAAATAGATTGACCAGATTTGAACACTGAAATTCTAAAATTAAAAAAATAGGCTGTGAATTTTATAACTACTGTAGTATGAGTATTTCAAACACATGTTTTGGTGGTCAGATTTTTTTTTAAATAGGAATCAACATAGCACACAGAAAAAAAAAGGTAGTAAGAAAACCAATGATTTGCATGATCTACTTTTGCCTGAATAGTCCATCCTCTGCCAACTAAACATATTCAATTTTTCTGTATCTTGGAACCAATCATTAAAATGATGATAATATTTACTAGGCACTTACATGCCAGGCACTATGGTAGTTCATTGAATCCTTAAAACAACATTATGAAGTAGATATTACTAAAGCCATTTTACAAATGAGAAACCTGAGGCCTAGGAAAAGGTTAAATAACTTGCCCAAGGTCATGGAGCTAGCGATTCAAATCTAGCTGCTCTAGCTTTACAGCTGACATTCAAATCTAGCTGCTCTAGTTTTATAGTCTACGCCCTTAGCTCCTGTTCCATTGCTTCAAAAATATGTATGGAGCAAGGACAACGTGTCAGGTACCCTGCTGGACGCTGAGGAAAACATAGCTGTGTATTTTCTGACCCCAGTGTAGCCTAGTAGGAGAGACAGACAACAAAAAATAAGACAAATGACTAAAATAATTACAGATTTATGTGTATGGCTACAGCACAGGCATACAGCTCCTAGGCTTGGGGTGGCGCTGAGTCAGATGGTTCTTCCTGACATCACTGTGTCATCTAGTTCCTGCAGTAGCATCTCTTTTATGTTCTTCTGTCCTGCACTGTCTCAGTTTTCAAGAAGGTTGAAGTAACAGAATACAGGAAAGCATTTGATTTGTGTCATTGACAAATGTGTCAGCTGAATTGTTGATCTAACCCATAACAGAAGCTAGAGGGAATTATGCCAGAAGGGATGATTCCAGTTCCATTACAGAAATTTACTGCCTCCCTCAGAAGTCAAATTACTAACCCTCAAAGTACCCCAACTGGGCATCAGGCCCACCTGGCATGTAGGGCCATGCGTGTTTAGTTTGTACCCTGGTATAGTGGCTTTCAGTTGATGTAGACTAACTGATTATTATCTTATTTATGGCTAATTTTATGATTTTATGGGGGCATCGTTTTGGAATAAGGTCCAATTGCATCTTATGGCAAGAGCTACACCTCTGAGGATATTGTCAATCAGATTTATAACTCCATTTAAGTGTAGGGCTGTTTCCACCATTGAAGTATGTACATGATTATTTAAATGATACACAGGATTGCCTTTAATTGCTTGACTGGAACAGGTTCCTTCCACAGTCATGTACCGCATAATGACATTTCAGTCAATGATGGACTGCATGTATGACAGTGACCCCATAAGATTATAATAGAGCTGAAAAATTCCTACTGCCTAGTGATGTTGTAGCTGTAGTACCATCATAGTGCAACACATTACTCAAGTGTTTGTGGTGATGCTGATGCAAACAAACCTATTGTGCTGCCAGTCTTAGAAAAGTATAATACATGCAATCATGTACAATTCATAATTCTTGATAATAAATGAGTATGTTACTGGGTTATGTATTTACTATGCTATACTCTTTATCATTATTTTAGTGTTTACTCCCTCTACTTATTAAAAAAAAAGTTAACTGTAAAGCAGCCTCAGACAGGTCATTCAGGAGGTATTTCAGAAGAAGGCATTGTTACCACAGGAGAGGACAGCTCCATGTGTGTAATTGACCCTGAAGACCTTCCAGTGAGACAAGATGTGGAAGTGGAAGATAGTCATACTGATGATCCTGACCCTGTGTAGGCCTAGACTAGTGTGTGTGTTTGTGTTTCAGTTTTTTAAAAAATGTTTTAAAATTAAAAAATTTAAATAGAAAAATGTTTATGGAATAAAAATATAAAGAAAGGAAACTTTTCGTACAGCCTGTACGATATATTTGCGTTTCAAGCTATTACAAAGAGTCAAAAGCTAAAAAAAACTTTAAAGTTTATAAAATAAAAAAAAAAACACAGTAAGCTAAGGCTACTTTATTATTGAAGAAAGAAATTTTTAAATAAACAGTGTAGCCTAAGTATACAGTATTTACAAAGCCGATAGTAGTATACAGTAATGTTCTAGGCCTTCACATTCACTCACCGCTCACTGACTCACCCAGAGCAACTTCAAGTCCTGCAAATTCCATTCACGGTAAGTGCCCTAAATAGGTATGCCAATTTTCTCTTTTATACCATGTTTTTACTGCACCTTCTCTATGTTTAGATAGGTTTAAATACACAAATATTTACTATTATGTTACAATTGCCTACAGCATTCAGTACAGTACATGTGTAGAGGTTTATAGGCTAGGAGCAATAGACTATATCATATAGCCTGGGTGTGTAGTAGGCTGTACCATTTAGGTTTGTGTAAGTGCACTCTCTGATGTTTGCACATGATGAACTTGCCTAACGATGCATTTCTCAGAATGTATCCTGTCATTAAACAATGCACATGTACTCACTGGCTGTCTCCCTACGCATGATCTCCACGAGGAATCTTAGAAATCGCCATACCAGCAAAGAAACAAATCCAGATGGTCTCCACATGTGGTCTAGGCCTTAGCGCCTCTGTAATACTTCAGGAAGCAAGTCAAAGCACTTATACAAAATCTGTATCTCTGAATGTTGTTCCACTTGAGAAATGTATTGGTTTTCTAGGGCTGCCATAAGAAAGTACCATGGAACATGTGACTTAAACAACAGAAATGCATTTTCTCACAATTCTGGAGGCTAGAGGTCCAAGATCAAGGTGTCAGCAAGGCTGGTTTCTTCTGAGGCCTCTTGGCTTGCAGATGGTTGTCATCTCCTGTGTCTTCACATGTCTCTCCTCTGTGTCCTAATCTCTTTTTTACAAGGTAACCAGTCATAGGGCCCACTCTAATGGCCTCATTTTAACTTAATTACTTCATCAAAGGCCCTATTTTCAAACACAGTCACATTCTGAGGTTCTGGGGGTTAGGACTTCAACAGATGAATTCTGGAGGAACACAAGCCAGCCTGTATCAGGAGAGTTCATCAGATGGGAGAGCATTCCCTGACCAACATGTCATTCAGTTATAGAGCGTAGGGGTTCATGGTAACTCCTCAATTCCTGAACAGTTTCCAAGGCTGGCCTAGGGCAACAGCCAGGTCTGCTCCCTAACGCTTTACACAGGGCAGCTTCCTCCAGCAAGTGTTTGCTAGAGGGGTGTGCATCCCGGGAAAGGAAGTGAGGTAGTAAAAATAATATCGAATCATATACAGAAAGTGACTCAATGTGCTTGCAGTTCTTCTGAGGAAGTCCTTGAACAGTACCAGTTTGTTAACGCTTTTAACTATGCTAAAATGCTAACTCCTCCTACCTACTCCCTAACCTTTTTTTTTTTTTTTCTAAACAAACAGAAATCAAGCCTCAGGCTCAAGAGCCTTTGGCAAGCAGCAGCAACTAGCCTTAACTAAATACTTTTTAAAATTGTTTTCTGTTTGTTTTCATTGAATTAATGAGGTTGCCTTGCATATCTATTTGTGGTAAATGATACAGTTTCTTAAAATTAAAATATTAATATGATTTTATTTAACAAATATTTACATTTTAAGAAGTGAATCATTTCCAAAAATATTAATGATAGCACAGGTGGTAGGCAGATATGGAAAAATCATGAAGGTAGTCTACAAGGGATCTAAAGTCTTGGAAATGCTGCTGTACCATAAAAACAGAAATACTGGTTTTAGTGACTCTTGAGTTGTCCACTAAGGGACACTTCTTAGAGCAATGGCACTTCCAGCTCTACCCTGAGCCACCATTCTCAGTACGGCAGTCAACACTTGTTTCCTGGGCCTGGTTGGTTTAAAGGCAATGTCAACTTCTTGCAACAATGACTGGGCCTGAGCAAGTCAGCTGTGGCATTCCCCTAGCCACAGGACTAGTTCAGAAATGAGCACGAGGGCCAATGAGAGCCAGTGAGATTCCAGCTGCTTGGAAAGAAATGTTCTTGCTTTTAGGAGAAAACTCCTAGAAGAGACATCCCCTCTTTCTCTGGCAGTCTGGCATGCTGTTGCAATGCCCAGGACTCTTACAGCCTGGCTTCAGGGAGGGAAGCTGACCTGAGAATGAAACAACTTAGAGAAGACAGCACAAATGAAAAATTTGCACTAATCCTAAAACCCTTCCTACTTCTAAAGTATCAAAGGCATACATTTTCTTATTCTGTAAGCCAATTGGGGTAAAGTTTTCCATGTCTTGCAGCTGAAAGCACACTAATACTGATACAATATATATAATATTGAAGAATTATTCAAAAATATATATGTATCATCTAACTTACCACACCATAGGTTTTGTGTGAATTGAGTTTCGCTTCATAGGTTGGAATGAATAAGAAAAAAGAAGTGGCTTTAGTCTATCTAGTCTTGATTGAAGTTAATTACCTAAAATAGCATCTTAAATATTAATTCTAAAAGTTTCCATTAAATACAGCATCATAACATGGTTAAGTTATAAGAGATGATGGCTTTTAGCAATCACAAAATGTCAATGATTTTCAGCAAATCTCAATAATAGGATTTATGCTTAAACTATGTTTTACCTGTATTATCCTTGGGATCTCATCTGAAAATATCAATGCTGATAAGAAGTGATTAAAATACATTCTTTGTGAATAATTTATGTATCACATCATCACGCTGAAGAATTACATTAAAGAGAGAGTTCAATAACTATAGCAACACTGGAAGAATAATCCTTATGTTTTTTAAAGTGGTGTCTTTTCAGATGGCTCATTCAGTCCTTTAAATTTATTGAAATATTTTAAAACAGCAACATTAACACTACAAAATTTAAGGTGAGTTCCTTTTTCCCTCTTTAGTAAAATTATGTTATATTCTATTTTGTAATTCGCATGTCTAGGAAGTCAGTACCTTTAGAGTGTGGGGAGGAGAGGAGGTGATGAAAAACAGATGCAAGATAATCACGCGATGATTTTCTAGGAGAAATGTAACTGCATTGAAAGTATATGTTTTTGAAGATTACTTAGGTGCCAAAATAATTGTGGCATACCTGTATTACATTTTGATAGAAAAATCATCTGACCTTCAAACATGCTTATTTGGGGGTTTCCAATTTCTCTTCATTAAACTCAGCAGTATTTATTTTGCAGACTGCAGATCCACAGGCATATTGCCACCCATCTTCCATTATTTACTTATATTTAATTTGCTAGATTCATACATTTCTACATATTATAACAGCATATGGCCACAGCGGAAATAAAGTATTCAAGCTGGCTGAATATTGATCATCGAGATTTAAATTGATTTCCATTTTGCTGACACAAGAAAGTAGGAAAAAAGATTGCTACACCAAAAGAGAAAGCTCTTAAATTAAGGAAAAATGCATTAAATTGGCTCTATTCTTTTTGGTTGCGGAGTTCATGTTTGAGATTTTAGGAGGGAGGGCAATATCTGAACTACCAACTAATTAGACAACTAATATGAGATGATTTGTAGGTTCTACTTCTAAAAATCTAAAACATTTGAATCCAAGGAGACTTTGTTTAGGGGAAGAGGGCTTGTAAACAAAATATCTTAATGAGTAAAGTTTTGATTGAAATAAATGCCATAGATGGATATATTATTAACTTTGAATAAAGCCACGGTCAACCTATTTGGGGGGGGGGGAGATGAAGAATGTAGTGAATAATTTTTCTCTCATTACTGGATATCTAGTTCAAATATGTTTGATTTAAATAGATTTGAAGTTAATGAACAAGAAAAACTGCTATGAAGTTCCACCTCTTTGTATGAAAATGATAACATTAGGGACCCATACTCATGAAAACCAGGTTGGGCAAGGAGAAAGGTAAATTGATCTAGGCAGAAACACTTTAGGGGAAAGAACAAGAAAGGAAACATGACCGCACTAGTAAGATGAGTGCTCCCTAAGCTCTACTCTTAGAAGTGGTAAGTTGACTATTTGCATGGGATGACAATTGGATCTATTGAGCTGCATTTGTTATACCATTTAATGCTTTTTAAGTGGAAGCAAACTCAAGCCCTGGAATGTCTGCTCAGTTTTCCTAAAACTTAGAAGCTTACTTTAATTTAAAAAAAAGAAAAAGAAAAAGAAATCACCAGCAAACTCTACTGAAAATAGGTATGTGATAAATTTATTTGATTCCCCTGTGTACATTCAGAGGTAAATTTTTCAAGATAAACAACAATGTGGATTGGGGCATTTGAAATTTGAGGAAACTCCCGGGAATCTTATGGTGCCTGATGGTTCTACTTTGGTCCAGTTAGGAAACAGGAGAAAGACCTTGAAAACCTCTGATTTCCACACAAAAATTGAAGTTTAAAAGTTTGACAAACGGAGAAAGCTACTAGCCAAATACAATAAAATATTATAACATTTTATTGTGAAGAAATGAATATTCCAAGAAAGTGTGTAATATTTTGATTCATTTACTTTACAAAAGAGGATATTACTCAAATATATCATGTCGGGTTAGATTTCACAGTCAGTCCATCTACTGGCTAAAATCTATTATGTATCATATTGAGCGCTTATTGTACTCCAAGCACTATCCTAGGCCCTGGGGATAGAATGTTAAACAGGTGAACAAACAAGATGCCTATCTCAGGTAACTTAATAGATTGTACTTCATTGGCACTTGTCTAGCAATATAATGACACTAATTTAAACAAGGATTTAGGATGCACTATATCAAAACTCTTAAAATTCACAACAAGGAAATAATAACAAACACATTTGATATATGTGTGTGTGTGTGTGTGTGTGTATATATATATTTTTTTTTTAAGACGGAGTCTCACTCTGTCACTCAGGCTGGAGAGCAGTGGCGTGATCTTGGTTCACTGCAACCTCTGCCCCTAGGTTCAAGCGATTCTCCTGGCCTCAGCCTCCCAAGTAGCTGGGACTACAGGCGCCTGCCACCAGGCCCGGCTAATTTTTGTATTTTTAGGAGAGATGGGGTTTCGCCATGTTGGCCAGGGTGGTCTCGAACTCCTGACCTTGTGATCCACCCATCTTGGCCTCCCAAAGTGCTTGGATTACAGGCATGAGCCACCACACCCTGCTAATAAAATATCTTTTTAACTTCACCCTGCTCAATAGACATCATTTTAGTGTGTTCATATTCCTTGATAGAGATAACAGAACCCAGTTTGTTAATAAATGCTGCCTGGATAGTGGACAAAACTATAATAGTCTCTATCTTGATCCTTTGTAAATGTTATATAAATAAGAAGTAGTAGAAGTGGCTGACAAATACATAATTTCAAAAAACATTCAGAAAATGCCACTCACTGTATCAGTGGGTATTCGTTTAAGTTCTTCAGATGTCTAGATTTTTAACCCCCCTCTCCTCCCCCTCCCTTCCCTCTCTCCCTCTCCCTCTCCCTTTCCCTTCCTTGTCTCTTTCTTTCTCTTGTCCCCCTCTCACTCCCTAATGGAATATCCTCTGGTTGTCAGGCTTCTTGTGGTACTGCCAATGAAAACACTAATATAACATATAAACTTAATATTATATCTCTCCCTTTTCTTTCTTTTGTTCAATTTTTCCTCTTTCTCCTAACACTTATAGTTAGACATATTTTCCAATGTTAACCTATTTACCCTTATCCCTGATATTCCTCCAAAATCATCTGTTTACAGTCACC
Source organism: Homo sapiens (assembly GCF_000001405.40). NCBI lineage: Eukaryota > Metazoa > Chordata > Mammalia > Primates > Hominidae > Homo > Homo sapiens. The sequence continues at coordinate 123,434,675 of NC_000005.10, read as the reverse complement.
TTAATATTTGAGCCTTTTCCCAAAGCATTACTATAAATTTTTCTCTTCTCCTCCAGTGCAATAAATAATTTCCTTTCACATTATCAAAAAGCTTCTGAAATCAAATAAATACATCATAATGTTTTTCTTAATGTATCAAAGAATGGCTGGCAATTTTCTCAAATGCAATCTGAGTAAGACAATCTCACAGCCACATTTCTTTATCTGCACTTAATTATGTATTCATTATTGTCTTCTACACATATAAGAATTATATCTCTATTACTCTATCACTGGTGTAAAGTTCTAACATAGTTATAAATTTAGCTTCATTTATTTATTAAATGGGAATTTATTGAGTCTTTACTATAAATTTATTCAAGACACTTCTAGGCACTAGGAATATGGTAATAAAAAAGACACTATTTTATAAGTTACTATAATTTACATTTATCAACTTTTGGAAGATTATATTTTTCTGGTTAATGTTAAGCCTGTAAATGTTGATATTACAGACTCTTAGCCAGAAACTTTTTTTAAAAGAAATCACTATTTTGTACCTCTGATTTCACTAATCTGGGATATTAATCAATTTTATGATTAGCAAAAGTACTTCACATTCATAACCATTTATAGAGTACACTAACATCCTGTTTTCACACTCAGCAATTATAAGGGTACCTCTCAGTTAAACATTCAGCCAAATGTATCTGGAGTACTAGAATATCCAAGTGAAACTTCCTAAAAATTTCATTCACTATATTGATGTAACAACGATTTTAACATGTAATTGGAATAATAACTTTAATCTTCTTCTACCCCATGGAGCATAATATGGAAGTAGCACATTACTTCCTCTTAAACATTAGGAAATGTTCCCCTTTTACTAATCCAAACAGCTTTTAATGTGATCTGGCTCAAGAATGTGGGTGATGAGCTTCTCAAAGTTTCCCCAAGTTACTTCTTAAGTGCAGAGGAGAGTTAACATGGACATGGTTTCTGTAGGTTGAAGGCTGAAGATGTAATCCAAAACAAATTTCTCTGAGGTATTATATTTTATATTTAAAAATCATGCAAGGCCATGCGTGGTGGCCAATGTCTGTAATCTCAACACTTTGGGAGGCCAAGGCAGGCAGATTGCTTGAGCCCAGCAGTTTCAGACCAGCTTGGGCCAGATGGCTAAATACCGTCTCTACAAAAAATCAAAAAACTAGCTGGTCATGGTAGTGCATGCCCATAGTCCCAGCTACTCAGGAGGCTGAGGTGGGAGAATCATCTGAGCTCTGGAGATTGCGGCTGCAGTGAGCCATGATCATGCCACTGAACTCTAGCCTGGCTGACAGAGTGAGACCCTATCTCCAAAAATAATAATAAATAAATCATGCAAATGTTTATTGTATCCGCATAGTTTCTATTTGTTTTATTATAAATACAATGTTTTAATTTCTTACCATTGATGAACATTGTTGCTCTACAACATGATATACTGTTTCTACTCCAGTTTCCTGGCACAGCTCCATGTTCTCAGGGTAATTTGAGAATAACTTGGGTAGCTTAACACAAGCACTCAGAAGACCTGAGCTCTGATTGTTATCAAATCGCTCAGGTTATCAAACTTCAGATTTTCTCATCTGTTAAAAGATGGTAAATCCCCTGCTTTTCCTCCCACAGTGTTGCTTAGGAGATCAAAAGGGGCAATATGTATGACTGGTTTATTCAACAATCTGAACTTGGGTCAAGTACAAATATGAAATAGTTCAATTTTTCTCCAAATATTGCTTTCAGCTATGTTCCACTGAATCTCTTTTTCCCATCCCTTAATCACAACTTTGTCAGATACCATAAGCTTTCTGATCACTTCCAACTATTAAAATGTCAGTTCATTCCATTTTGATCGAATTTAAAATTTCATCTCATATCTATTTGAAGTCTCATCTCCTCCTACCCCGCCAATTTCAGCAAAGTTTCTGTCTGAGGGACTTGGATTCGGGTGGGAGCGGGATCAATTTTTTTCACTCCTGTTTTTGGGAGCCTTTTCCTGGGGATCAGAGACAGACTACAAATATCCTTAACTTAGCCATGTGGCTGTGTTCCTCACTTGTCTCTTGCTCTTTTTCTGTTAAAGATCCATCAGTCGCTGATGCTAAGTGGATCCCAGCTAAATGTAGAGTCTCTCCTGGGACACGTGTTATTTCTGGGTTGATGTTGCAGAGTGGTGGAGTGGGGGGTCCCGGTGCCATATATTCTGTTCTGAGAGACCTGCATAACTCAGTGACTTCTGACATCTGCTCACCTCTTTTGAAACCAAATCAGTTCTTATTTTGGATTCTATACCAGGTAACGTTATGCTGCTTCAGTCTTCTCACCGGGTGGCCTGTCAACTTGGACACCAAAATCACTGAAAGTGACCTGCCGTTATATTCTTTTCACCCACAGGAATCTCACACATTTTTGCCACAACAAATTTGGACACAGGCTGCTAATCAATTCATCATCTCTCTCTCTCTCTCACACACACACACACATACACGCACAGTCTTTCTCTCTTTTCTTTCTACTCAAGCATTAATGGTGAATTGCTGATTAGCAAGTTCACTCATCTCTGTGAGAGGTTCCCTTTACCTGCCCTCTTCTACCTGGCTTGGGGTGAGAAAGGGAAGTGCTCCCACCTTCTAAACAGAAAAGACCTCAGGCTTATCACTCAATACTCCTCTGCTCATCATCTAGTAATATAAAGTTAGGTGGTGCTAAGTTGATGGCTGAGGGTAGCAAAGTCAGTGTCATCTCCTCTTACCAAGACTGGGAGTGGTATCTGTGCCTCAGTTTCCTTGGGTGTTCTTTAGAGAAGGGGGACACAACGCCTCTTTGTCATCCCTTGGGTCATAGGTGATAATGTGTCTGGAATTGGTGGGTTCTTGGTCTCACTGACTTCAAGAATGAAGCCGCGGACCCTCGCGGTGAGTGTTACGGTTCTTAAAGTGGCGCATCTGGAGTTTGTTCCTTCTGATGTTCGGATGTGTTCCCAGTTTCTTCCTTCTGGTGGGTTCATGGTCTCGCTGGCTCAGGAGTGAAGCTGCAGACCTTCGCGGTGAGTGTTACAGCTGTTAAGGCAGCGCGTCTGGAGTTGTTGGTTCCTCCCGGTGGGCTCGTGGTCTCTCTGGCTTCAGGAGTGAAGCTGCAGACCTTCACGGTGAGTGTTACAGCTCATAAAAGCAGTGTGGACCCAAAGAGTGAGCAGTAGCAAGATTTATTGCAAAGAGTGAAAGAACAAAGCTTCCCCAGTGTGGAAGGGGACCCTAGCGGGTTGCCACTGCTGGCTCTGGCAGCCTGCTTTTATTCTCTTATCTGGCCCCACCCACATCCTGCTGATTGGTAGAGCCGAGTGGTCTGTTTTGACAGGGTGCTGATTGGTGCGTTTACAATCCCTGAGCTAGACACAAAGGTTCTCCACCTCCCCACCAGATTAGCTAGATACAGAGTGTCCACACAAAGGTTCTCCAAGGCCCCCACCAGAGTAGCTAGATACAGAGTGTCAATTGGTGCATTCACAAACCCTGAGCTAGACACAGGGTGCTGATTGGTGTGTTTACAAACCTTGGGCTAGATACAGAGTGCCAATTGGTGTATTTACAATCCCTGAGCTACACATAAAGGTTCTCCACGTCCCCACCAGACTCAGGAGCCCAGCTGGCTTCACCCAGTGGATCCCGCACCGGGGCTGCAGGTGGAGCTGCCTGCCAGTCCCCCGCCGTGCGCCCGCACTCCTCAGCCCTTGGGACTGGGCGCCGATGGGACTGGGCGCCGTGGAGCAGGGGGTGGCGCTCGTCGAGGAGGCTCGGGCCGCACAGGAGCCCACGGAGGGGGTGGGAGGCTCAGGCATGGCGGGCTGCAGGTCCTGAGCCCTGCCCCACGGGAAGGCAGCTAAGGCCCGGCGAGAAATCGAGCGCAGCAGCGCCGGTGGGCTGGCACTGCTCGGGACCCAGTACACCCTCCGCAGCCGCTGGCCCGGGTGCTAAGCCCCTCATTGCCTGGGGCCGGCAGGGCTGGCCGGCTGCTCCGAGTGCGGGGCCCGCCAAGCCCACGCCCACCCGGAACTCGCGCTGGCCCGCAAGCGCCGCGCGCAGCCCCGGTTCCCGCTTGCGCCTCTCCCTCCACACCTCCCTGCAAGCTGAGGAAGCCGGCTCCGGCCTTGGCCAGCCCAGAAAGGGGCTCCCACAGTGCAGTGGTGGGCTGAAGGGGTCCTCAAGTGCCGCCAAAGTGGGAGCCCAGGCAGAGGAGGCGCCGAGAGCGAACGAGGGCTGTGAGGACTGCCAGCACGCTGTCACCTGTCAGTAACACTAAGGCAATAAATAAAAGTCACCATTCAACTTGCTGTTAACTGTTACACTTGCTAGAACCTGCTTAGAAACATACACATTTATGCAAATACAAAGCATTATGTTGGCAGCAGAAACACATACCATAATTCAGGAAGAACAGTTTTGTGGCTGATGCAATAGTCAAGGGATAGAGCTTTGTTATACCCCTTGTGAAATGGGTGACTCAGCTTACTAGCTGCTGGCTGCGGAAACTTCTTGTGCAGTTGCTTAATATATGATGGAGGCTTTTCTTTTCTCTGAACCCAGGTTGTATGTTTAGAACCTTCCTCTGAATTCAAAGGGGAGGGGGGTTACTATTGACTGTTGTTATAATTTATTTATTTATCTATTTTGTTCCTTGAAACACAGAGAAGTAGGGGATAGTTTTATAACCTTCAGGTGTACTTGTAATGTCAGCATTAAATAGAACTCTTCTGCCAGAGATAGCCTGTAGTACAGAAGATTCTGTGTTATCATTTACTGGGGTCAGACTTTTATGGGCCAAAACACTCAACCAGAGCCTGGGGAATTTCTTTAGCAGACAGCTGAGTAGGCCGGCACCAGCTCTTCCTCTGCTATTGGCTCCGGGGTGTCAAAAGAAAGATTTTTGGATGAAAAAAAATCCACACACATCAGACATTACACAATAAGTGAATCAAAGTCCCACAATGTCATATAATGTTCCTCAATGTCACAGTGTTACAGAGAGGGATTCCAGCATCTACCATCTGTTCCAATCTCTACTCCTAAAATGAAGCCCATTCACAAGTCATCTGTCTCTAGAATGTGGTCATTTTACCAATGGCATAGTTTTTTCAAAGCAAACCTGAGCAGCATTTTTTGTTGGCCTGAAACCCTTTGCTGTAGTTCCAGAATGTCCCTACCTCTGCCTTTCCTCCATGGAGTAGGGAGCATTCTCCCACCCTCCACTCTATACCTTGCCTCAGGGAGAGCCACTGTGACACACACCACAACAGAGTGGCTCAACGCTCATCTCAGTCTAAAGTAATCCCATGAAGCTTACAACACAAAGGACAGTGTGCAAGAAATGTTGCTTTTCTTTATACTCAAATTCAACCCCAATCTCCTTCTGCCAATCAACAGGAAATTCAATCTCAGTAATCACTGGGTCTTCCCTCTCCACATACAAAGTGCTGGGCAAAGGTGCTGGAGTTCTCACACAGAGCAAATATTGGGGGAGGCCTTGCTGGCTCTTGCCTTACTGGTCACTGATAAGCTAATACCCAAGCCAACCTGCTGAGTCTGTCAAATTAGGGCATAAGAATCTATGCCAAGGATAATAAACCAGGACCTATGGTCTCACTTCTCTAGGGTTCCCACGGGGCCACTTTCTGTGTCTGTTCCCTGCCCAAGGCTCTGCCAAAGAGTGGAATGTTGGTCCCCACTACACTTTCCTTCATCCTGTTTCTTCCTAGCTTTAGGCAATCTCTTTTATTTACTGCCGTCTTTTCTCTGCCCTGACATCTATCACAACCATCTCAATGAATTTGGCTGAAGGTAACTAACCTGTGGCTGGCAGAAGTGTTTGGTGATTTTTTTTGAGACAGAGCCTTGCTCTATCACCCAGGCTGGAATGCAGTGATGCAATCTTGGCTCACTGCAACCTTGCCTCCCAGGTTCAAGCAATTCTCATGCCTCAGCTTCCTGAGTAGCTGGGACTACAGGTGTGTGTCACCACGCCCAGCTAATTTTTGTATATTTCATAGAGATGGGGTTTGGCCATGGTGGCCAGGGTGGTCTCAAACTCCTGGCCTCAAGTGATCTGCCTGCCTTGGCCTCATAAAGTGCTGGGATTATAGGCATGAGCCACTGCACCTGGTCTGCTTTTTGTTTTTAAACTAAATTTCATTATCGGCATTTAAAATTTGCATGAGTTCACATAAAAATCTGTAATTCTATCTCCTTATGAAACTTACAATCTGTCTTATTGCATGGCAATGATCAGCGGGAGCAGAGCAGGGCTGCTCCTTGAGACAGCTGTGTGCCATACTTCTGCCCTCACCCTGCCAGCCCACTTCACTACTTGACCATACCTGACCTGCAGGATGGTTTGACTTTGGCATGCTCTATTGTGGTGTTTTCACAGAAGTCAGGGAGATATTATGCATTGCAGACCTGTATCAAAATATCTCACATAACCCATAAATATGTATACCTACTACGTGCCCACAAAAATTAAAAGAAGCCAGGGAGATAGGAGCTGTTTTGGGGATATCACCAGTAGAATATAAATATAGGCCAAGGTGAGGGAATATAAGGGTCTGGTTACCTTTGTAGAACCAAAGAAAGGGAACAAATTTCAAAATAATCCCACAACAAATTATCCCTCCATACTAACAATAAAACTAGCTACCACGTTTGGCGATTTCATCGTGTCCTAGGCCCCTCACAGAAGCAATCCCATTTAATTCTGACAAAAACCATGTGAGGAAAGGACTAATACCCTGTTTTACAGATGGAAAAACAGGTTCAGAGATAAGTGACTTGGCTAAGTCACAAAGCTAATAAGTCATGGAACCTGAAATTCAGGGACATATGACTCTTTGATACTGGGTTATCTTGCCTCTCTTATGATAGATGTTAGAGGCCCTTCTTCCAGGGATCAAAGATGCCTAAATTAATTGCCAAGTTAAATTACAGTAGATCCTGAATTGAAAGGGTTCTGTCTTCTTGACACTAAGCGATGAGGACTAGTTATCACTTTCATGCCCATTGCCTCTTTCTAATGGAGGCAATTTTAGAAGCACCTCTTGAAGTTGGGTCTGGCACCATGCTTTTACAAACTGCAGTTATTCAACAGATGGGCTAATTTTATTAGTCTTTGGGAGCTTGCCTAAAATTTTATGAAGTGTGTGTGTATTTGTGTGTATACAGTGGAAGAGGCTGAAGAAGAGAAACATAGCTCATCATTCCTCCTGTGGTGGTCCACAGAAGTGGTTGACGAAAAAAAATATAGAGAAATCCTACAAAGTAAAATGTTTTTCCAAAAGGTAAAACAACTACAGCAAAGAAAGTCTTAAAATATGTCAGAATGCTTTGTTTTATTCTTTTTTTGATAGAAAGTTATGGAAATAGAAAGCCACCTAATATGATTAGTTACTAGGTTGACAAACTAATAAATTCAGAATCAAGCCTTTCATCAATTCTGTCAGTTTCACCCAGGCGTGGTGGCTCACACCTGTAATCCCAACACTTTGGGAGACCAAAGCGGGTGAATCACCTGAGGTCAGGAGTTCGAAACCAGCCTGGACAACACGGTGAAACTTCATCTCTACTAAAAATATAAAAATGAGCTGGGTGTAGTGGTGTGCACCTGTAATCCCAGCTACTCAGGAGGTTGAGGCAGGAGAATCACTTGAACCTGGGAGGCGGAGGTTGCAGTGAGCTGTGAGCCAAGATCGTACCACTGCACTCCAGCGTGGGTGACAGAGCAAGACTCCATCTCAAAAAATAAATAAATAAAATAAAAAACCTGTCAGTTTAAATTTATAAGCTTATAGTGTAATGAATCTCATATTGTCTTATAGATAAAAATTACATGTTACTAGCATTTACTTACATATTTTGAAACAGTAATTGGTACTTTATTAACTTACAACAAGATTTTCCCTCATAAATTTAAGCTTAAATGTGATGATTTATACTAGAACTGAAGTTACTACTGTTTAATATCACATATGAAAGGAAATTAGATTATAGAAAAACAGATATAGATGATGATAGGATTATAATTCCATTTCTAGATGAGGAATTTCATATCATTGATTTTGTACATTCTGTTAGAGGAAGCACCAGGCCAACTAAATTGGTGACTTTTCAGTAGCTGTGCTGAAAGTGATTTTAGAAATGATGTTGTTCAGGAGGAAAATCCAAATAAAGGGAATCATGTGAAATTTACTACATGAAAAAGTTTCTTTGTTAATTTTAATAATCTGTCAGATTTTTTATGACCTAAAACTATTCTATGGCATACAGTAATGGTTTATAATCTAGGTGTGAAGCCCTGCTAGATATCCTAAAGCAAAACAACAAGGTATGCTGATGGACAGTTCCTGGCTCTTTTCACAGCTACTACTTAAAGTCTGAGATTGTTCATATAAAAAATAGTAACTAAGTGGCATTTACTACATTTAAGTCCTGCACTAAAGAACCATGCATACTATCGTTTTATAGCTGAAACTGAGGCTCAAAGAGGGAAAGTGATTTGCTTAAGGTCACCTGACATGCAAATAGCAAAGGTAGGTCCCAAACTCTGATCTTCTGGGGTACTCATTCCATCAGAGGTACTTGGGCCTCTCTTTGTCTATAATGCTAAGTACTGTCTTGCACCACTGATAACATTATACTTCGCTTGTGGTTAATTTGTTTCCTAATCTTTAAGTGTTGTTAATGTGTACATATTTATTAGACTTCTCAACAGAGGATATGTTAAACCACAACATTGGTATTATACCAACAAAATTCAGACTGTGGTAAACTCTGCAGACACGACCAGTTTCTTCAATAAAGAATTTCAAGAAAAAAAAAAGAAGGATTGGGTACCTCCATTAGTCCGTTTTCATACTACTATAAAGAACTGCCCAAGACTGGGTAATTTCAAAAGGAAAGAGGTTTAATTGACTCATAGTTCAGCATGGCTAGGGAGGCCTCAGGAAACTTATGGTCATGGCAGAAGGCAAAGGGGAAGCAAGGCACCTTCCTCACAAGGCAGCAAGAAGGAGAAGAGTGAGTGAGTAAAGGGGGAAGAGCGCTTAATAAAACCGTCAGATCTCCTGAGAACTCACTGACTATCAGGAGAATAGCATGGAGGAAACCACCCCCATGATTCAATTACCTCCATCTGGTCCCTTCCTTGACACTTGGGGGTTGTGGGGATTACAATTCAAAATGAGATTTTGGTGGGGGCACAAAGCCTAACCATATACATTAAAAAAGACAAGAGACATACCAACCATTGTATTTTGGAACTTGTTTGGATCCTGATTTGAAAAAACCGACTGCAAACAAATTATTAGACAATCAGAGAAATTTGAACAGTATATATTTAATGGGATTAAGAAATTTTTGTTAATTATTAAGTGTAATAATGGGATTGTGGTTAAATACTTAATATTTTAAGATTCTTTAAGAAGTCGTTATCTTTTTTTTTTTTTTTTTTTTTGAGACTGAGTCTTTCTCTGTGGCCCAGGCTGGAGCGCTGTGGCATGATACCGGCTCACTGCAACCTCTGCCTCATGATTTCAAGCGATTCTCGTGCCTCAGCCTTCTCGTGCTTCAGCCTCCCAAGTAGCTGGGATTTCTGGCTTGCGCTACCACGTCTGGCTAATTTTTGTATTTTTAGTAGAGACGGAGTTCTGCTATGTTGGCCAGGTTGGTCTCGAACTCCTGACTCAAGTGATCCGCCCACCTCAGCCTCCCAAAGTGCTGGGATTACAGATGTGAGCCACTACCACACCTGGCCAAAAAGTCTTCATCTTTTAGAAGTACGTATCCAAAAAGATGAATTGATGTGATGTTGGGGATTTCTTTAAAAATAACACAACAGATGAAGATGATTGGTCTTAAGTTGATAATCGTTGAAGCTGGGGTCTGGGTAACTGGGGGTTCATTATATCATTCTGCTTTCTTTAAAGTATGTTTGACATCTTCCACAAAAATAATGCATTGTTCAATGATGAATCCAAAGTAGATCATTACTTTGATTTTACATTGAATAGTGCTTCATTTTAAGAATGCCTGTGATAGGACCTGAAAGGGCCTTAGAAGTAATTAGTCCAATCTCTACATATTCCTCCTTTTCTTTTGGGCAGAAAGCAAAGAAGGAAGAATAAAGAAGAGGAAGAAGAAAACAATAGTGATATTATATTATTTGCTCTCAAAATAACTTCTAAATTTCCAAAACAAGGAAGCAATAGAAGAAAAAGAAAACAGCGAGATATTATATTTGCTCTCAAAACAACTTCTCAATTTACAAAACCAGAAAGTAATAGGAGAAGCCGCACTTATGTCCACTACCTAGTGCTATCTCTGCAGCTTTATTTTATTATGATTTACTTTTGTTTTCCGAAGCAGAATTTTTCCCAAACTTAATAGTGTCCACGATCGCTCCAACCAATTCGGTTATTTAAGTTTCAAGCTAGATAACCTCCAAAAGAACTTTGCCTTTGACTTGAATACATGCTTCTTGCAATTTGAGTAGTGTTTAGGAGGCCGTTCCCTTTACAAGTCTTGAACCGTTTCTTAAATCTGAATTTGGGAGACGTTAAGGGGAAAGGGTCGGCAGACAGCACCTCAATGCCTTGTTTATTTTTGGTTTTGAGTTTGCTAATAACTTTGTCATCGGGGGTGGAAGAACCTTTATATTTCATTGCCCACGTGACAGTGTTTTTGTTTTAGGGGTAATTTCTAAGGGACAGGAAATTCTCGGGGAGTTTACGTCAGCTTTAACAAGTACAGTAATTACCGTATTGAAGCTACTTGTTTTCAAAGGTCGGAAATTTGAGGTGCCGCGTGAGCACGATTTAGGGACTTTAGAGTTTAGATTTAAGTCATTATTTTTTTGTGATTTAATTTTTTAAGCAGTGTTGACACTGGGTACGTCAACTAAGCTAGGTTTTTTTGTTTTTTTAATCCCCACTAATATAACTCTCAGGTTGTGGCTGAAGCATAAAGCAGGTAATACGCTACACTCACGCTCCTTAAAGGCTACGCAGCTTCAGGAAGCGTTTACAGCAGTAGTGCGCTTGCGCAGCTGGTCCCACACCAAGTCGCCCGCCTCTCCTCGTCCGGCTAGCAGAGGGCGCTGTGAGGTAATGAAGGCGTCCTCCTTAGGGCTCTGGAACAGAGCGTAAAAGGGCGGGAGGCGAAGCTCGCTGACGGGCGTTCTAGCCTTGACTGCTCTGTCTCTATCACCCGTTGTCCTCCAACCTCCCCTGGGCACTGGGCCTGCGGGCCTGGTTGCTAGGCGGAAGCTGGGCGCGGCGGCGGCCGCTGCGGCCGCCCGGGCGTTTGAAAAGCGGCTACGCAGGCGGCAAAAGGTCCTCGGGTGGCGGGCTTGTCTCTGCTTGCAGACTGGCAGGGCTGCAGCGTGGCTTTTTCCTTGAGTCGGGGCACAGTTAGGATCTGGGCTGGCGGCCCGAGGCAGAGGAGCCGGGCGCGCTGCAGCAGACGGCGGTGGGACCTGGCTGCGGAGCGGGGTCCGGGCATCAGGGACCGGGGGCGGGCAGTGGGGGTCCCGCCGGGGGTCCCGGATTACCCGCGACTCAACTGGACCTCACTTCCCCCCAGCCGCCTTCGCCCCCGGACCGCTCACCGCAACCATGGTCTCCAAATCCGACCAATTGCTCATCGTCGTGTCCATCCTAGAAGGTGAGCAGCCTGAGGCTTGCTTTTGCAACTGCTGCCTCCCGAGTTTTAAAAGCTTAGTGTGGGACCGAGGCCTTGTTAACCTTAAGAACCCTGTCATCTGTGCTTTTGTGGTCCCCACAGACTTGTTCAAAGTTGTACGTAGTGAGGTCTGTTAGGCAATTGATTTAAAAATCTCTCCAGGGATATGAGCGCTATTAGGGATAAGTGATATTTAGCGTGACTAGCCGTAGCCCCAGAGAATCTAGAGAAAACGATTTTCATCCAAAGCAGCACGTCGATGGCTTTTATATATGAGCTGAACGTGGTCCTGAGAAGCGCGTTCTGATCAGCGGTTCCCAATAATAGCACTTGTAAGAGCTTTGACTTGAATACAGGCTTCCTGCGATTCCAGAAGTGTTCCGGAGGCAATTCCCTTTACACGTCTTGCTGGAGGACTCAGGGGACTACAGTTCTTAAGAGGGTGTATTATACATTCCTTAAAAGGTGTGTTTTGGATGAATGACATTGGTTTATTGGGACTCATTGAGTGTCAGACACTGTGCTGGGAATGTAAGAATGAAACAGTCCTGATTCTAAAAAGCTAAGGATGTAGCAAGGAGAGTGTGTCAGCAAATAATTCATCAGGATGTGGAAGACCCTAATGAATGACCACCTCTGTCTAAGGAAACTGCGGAAGTTTCACTAGAGGAGGTGGCATTTTTTGGGGTCCTACAGATGATTAGGAATTTGTCAGGTGAAAAAAGGAAGGGCATTCCAGGCAAAGAGAAGAGCAGGGAGCACTTAAAGTATGGAAAAGCAAGACACGTTTTGCCTTGCTTAATTAAATTCACTCAGTAAACATTGGTTAAATTCAGTGTGGTTGGAGAACAGATTTGCAAGAAAGTGGAGGGCATAGGAGATAACAGGTGAATTGAGGACACTTTACGAATAGTATGTTAAGAAGGAGTCATCTTGAGCCAGAGCAGAAGCCTGGCTGCATTTTTTCCCCCATGGGAGAGTGTTTTATAAAGGCCTGGCACTGTGTGAGGGATGAGAGCAAAGGAAACATTGTAATCCTAATCTTTGAATTTTGGAACAAGAGACTGACCAGAAAAGCCATAAAGATTTGGAGCACTATTAACTGTTAGTTTACTTATTGTTTAAAAACATAGGACTGAAATAACCTTAAAATTTGGTTAACAACAGTTTTTAGACTTATAACTGACCATGCTATGAGGAAACAAATACCTCCATTCCCTCCAAGGATGTAGAGGTCTGTCCACGTGGGGAGATCACAGGACACAATATGTTGGGGTATAATATTTAAAATATGTGATATGTACTGTAAATATAGGTTTGAGGGTAGGGTGGGTGGGATGGCTGAAGTTCTTTAAATAATAAGTGAGCTTTAGATATGTGACAATAGAATTCTATGGACAACCCAGGCCAGTCTGACAACCCAGGACATAAATGCAATTCATTTGGGGAAGCTAGTTTTAGAGCAGCAGAAAATGAGGTCCTGAGAGAGGCCTGTTAGTGCTAATTGGGAGAGCTGTGCGATGTGTGTTAATATTCCTAATACAGAGTTTCAAGTGAGAGCCTCAGGCTTAAACTCAAAAGGTTAGCAGTCAAGGTCTTTCTGACCAGCTTGATTCCCAACCAAGTAGCTTGTGCCGGGGTGAGCATGGTGGGTGGAACATTGAAAAGATCAGCAAGATGACCAGGGTAGAGGAAGGTGAATATTTAGAAATGTCATGGTAAGAAATGAGCTTGTACAACTGGAGCGAATAGGCCTCAGAGGATCTTGAAAGCCAGTTTAGAATTAATGTTCCAAGAAATAGGTTGGCAGCATATATTCCTAAATAGAATGCTTTTCTTGAGTTCAGTTTAGTAGCAGTGTGCAAGGAAGAGAACCTGGAGTCAAGGATGTCTGTTAGGTTGTTTCCACAAACATACCCAAAACTAGCATGTGGTCCTCCCTCCAAACTATTCTTCTCTCTTGTTCGTACTGTATTTCCATTCATCATAACCATGCTGTTGCCTTAAGCCAAGAACCAAGGAGTCATCCTCAGCCTGGATTCACTCTCCATTTCTAACTTCCAAATGGTCATCAAGTATAATTGATTTTATTTTCTGAATAATAATAGATTCTACATACGAGTTTTTGAATGAATGAGTTTACATTGTGAGTGCCTTGGTAAGGGGCCCTCATTATCCACCTAACTTACTGTAATAATCTTTTCAGTAGTCTGATTCTTCAATGTTTTCTTCCTTTCCAGAAACATCTAGACTTCCTCCTTTACTCCCTGGGGATGATCTTTCTGAAATGCAAATCTGATTTTCTTAAAGTCCTTCAGTGTCCTAAAGGATAATGTCTGTATTTCTTAGAATGGCATACATGGCCCTTTGTGGTAGACCTCTTGCCTACCTTTTCAGTCTCATTTCCCCTCATGTATTCTCATCCCTTTGGCTTGGTGGAGGACTCGGGGGACTACAGTCCTTAAGAGTTAACTTGCAATTTCTTGACTACACTTTTAGAAATGCCCTTTATTTAAAAGAAAATGGTTAAGCTTTTACCATGAACAAAATTTGGGCTATGTACTAGATTCCAAGGATGAAAAAGACCATTTCTGTTATCTCTGTATCATTGTCTGCAGCAAGGCAGGCATCTGTTTGTTCCCTTCACATCCTCTGTTCTCAAGCTTGTTGGAAGCTGCTAGTTATAATAATATGGAAAATATAGGTTCTTTGACATATATGACATTCATTTGGGGAAGCTAGGTATCTTTTGGAGCAGCAGAAAATGAGGTCCTGAGATGGGCCTCTGTTAATGCTAATTGGGAGAGCTGTGCGATGTGTGTTAATACTCCTAATACAGAGTTTCAATGAGAGCCTCAGGCTTTAACTCACAAGGTTAGCAGTCAAGGTCTTTTTAACAGCTTAATTCCTACACTTCCCCCACAAGTAGCTTGTACCAGGGTGAGTAGCAGCAGGGATTTCTTCATTAATCAATGGATAAAATTCCCCTCAATAAGATCCACCTTAACAGATTTATAAACAAGAGAACTAGTTGACTCAGTGCAAGATTCTTAGTGCTTCTTCGTTGATGTTCTTTAGCTTCCTATTTTCAGTTTTTTTTGGTTTGTTTCTCTTAACTAGATCCTCAGTTTTTTTAGAGCAAGTACTCTGTTTTACTCATTTTGTACCCCACCATCTGATAAAATACCTGACTCTGAATATGTCTTCAGTAAACATTGATGAAATGGGGTTTGGCAGTACAAATGAAAAGTGATGTGTAGATAGAATATTTGAATATTTCCTGATAGTGTACAGTGTTGTCCTTGAGAATAGAATGAAGGAATCCATGTGGCTATTTTTCTTTAGCTAATTTGGAAAGTATTCTGTTTTTTTTTTTTTGTTTTTGTTTTTGTTTTTTTTTGAGATGGAGTCTTGCTCTGTTGCCCAGGCTGGAGTGCAGTGCTCACTGCCACCTCTGCCTCCCGGGTTCAAGCTGTTCTGCCTCAGCCTCCCGAGTAGCTGGGACTACAGGCGCATGCCACCACACCCGGCTAATTTTTTGCATTTTTAGTAGAGACGGGGTTTCACCAGGAAAGTATTCTTAACTGAGTTAACAGAAAAATTAAGCTGCAGGCAAATTTGTTTTTACTAATTTATTTCCCAGCTCTTCAGATGACTGTTCTCTATTAAGTAGTGCAATAGTAGTACCTAAAATTCGTGTAATCACATTAAGTGTTTAATTCCAGATGTTGTTGAGATCATTCCTACTCAAAGTGTGGACCAAGGACAGCAGCATTCACATCACCTTGGATCTTGTTAGAAATGCGGAATCTTAGGCCCACCCTAAATCTACTGAGTCAAAATCTACATTTTAACAGGGTCCCTAGGTGATTCATGTGCACACTAATGTTTGAGAAGCACACATTTATAAATTATAGCTTTCCATTTGATTCATGTTTCTTATGAATTATGGAAGTGAGTGTATATGTGAGCCTGCATTAGTGAGGTAGCTTATGGAATGCATGTCAACCACACTTAACAGATCATTAGTTTTAAAAAAACACATGCTAGGCTGGGCATGGTGGCTCATGCCTGTAATCCCAGCACTTTGGGAGGCCGAGGCAGGTAGATCACCTGAAGTCAGGAGTTCCAACATGGCAAAACCCTGTCTCTACTAAAAATACAAAAATTAGCTGGGTTTGGTGGTGTGCACCTGTAATCCCAGCTACTTGGGAGGCTCAGGTAGGAGAATCGCGTGAACCTGGGAGGCGGAGGTTGCAGTGAGCTGAGATTGCGCTACTGAACTCCAGCCTAAGCAACAGAGTAAGACTCCATCTCAAAAAAAAAAAAAAACCAGCCAAACAAAAAAACACATGGTAAATGATCCTGTTTGATTTTTGTACACTTTTGATTAATCTATATATTCTGTTTCTCCAGGTCGGCATTTCCCCAAACGTCCAAAGCATATGCTTGTAGTGGAAGCAAAGTTTGATGGAGAACAGTTGGCTACTGATCCTGTGGACCACACTGACCAGCCAGAATTTGCTACTGAGTTAGCTTGGGAAATTGACAGGAAAGCGCTTCATCAGCACAGGTGATTATCATTTTCATTTTAGCTTCTTTATTGGTTTCTTATTTTTCAGGCTGTTATAAATAAATACAGTTTGAGTATTTAATACTTGGGACCAGAAGTATTTTCGGATTTTTGGAATATCTGCATAATCAAAGATACCTTGGGGATGGGACCCAAGTCTAAACATGAAATTTATTTGTTTTACATTATACGCATAGTCAAAGGTAGTTTTATATAATATTTTAAATAAATTTTCATAAAATGAAGTATGTTAAATGCTTGTGTGTGGAATTTTCCGTTTGTGGCATTATGTCAGCACTCAAAGTTTTAGAATTTGGAGCATTTCAAATTAGGAATGTTCAACCTATAAATTTTGTATCTGTCATTACGTTTAATAATTATAGTTATTGAGTGTTTTTTTAAATGTGACAGGAAATTTTTAAAGTACTTTGCAACAATAACAGTTAAACATCAGAACAACACTATGAAGTTGTTATTTTTATTTCGCCCATATTATAGATGAGGAAACCGAGGCCTGAGATGTTAAGTATTAGTAACTTGTTTTAAGTCTGTTAGCTTAGTAGTGGTAGAGCCCAGGCAATCCAGCTTCAGAGCCTAAGCTTTTACACTACACTTACACTGAGCTGTTTGGGTTTTTTTTTTTTCCTAATGTGTGAGACAGTAGATATTCTAGAAATACCTTGATGATACCTACTCATTATTAAATATGGTTGGAATTCCTTGTAATTTCTGTTAATTTATTTATTGTATATTTACCTGGCTTGCCAAGGATATATAGAGGGGTATCCAGTGAAAAGTTATGAAAGTAATTCTATCAAGGTTTCTTTCTAATTAATTTATATTTAATTTTAAACAAAACCACTTTATTAGTATATAAAATAGACTTAAAGTTATAGTATATATTTTTTGTGAACTCTGACTAGAAGCAGGCAACAACAATAAAAGCAATACTCTTATTTATTTAAGGATTAAAAATATATTTTCTTCTGGAAAACATGTTATCACTTTAATACTTGCTTGTTCTCAGTACTAAATTAAATCAAAATGGAAAGTTAAAAAAAAGGAAAGCAAGGAAAACTCTATTTACCTCTGTTGCTAGAGTAGTCCATGGATTTATTTGAAGAAGTATTGCATTCTTAGAGAATATCAATGTTGGATTTCCTTTCAGTGGTGTCTATAATGGAGTCCTGCTATGAGCTGTTAGGGCTTCCATTTTGTTAGTGCCAGGTTAGTACCACTCTGATTGTTGTAGGCTGAGAAAATACAGATAAATTGAATTTATAAGTGATGATTTTGTGCTAAGTGCAGTTCTATAATAACTCCACTAGATAAAAGCAGTGGCAAAATCCATTCAGCTTAATGCATGAGCCAGTTGAGGGGTTCCGAACTAAAACAGCCCATGCTAAACAAGCCAATATCATTCTTTCAGAACACTGTTATGTGTTATATTATTAATTTAAATTTTAATTTATTTTATATTTAATTCCTGTTTGTTTTTTAGCTACAAAAGAGCTATAAGCATGTATTTGTATTTGTAATTTTATGTATGTTACAGTATAAGAGAAATAAAATAGGTCCTGAAAATTCATGATAATTTTTTACTTTCAGAAAGTTTTACACATTACAGAAGCTTAAGAAACATTGACCTACATGATGGCTTCTTAGATGAAAGAATGTAAAATATGTTGACATGTTTTGTATAATATTTAGTTGGTGTAGAGGTTAGTAGATATAATTAATAGTTCTTACCTGTTTATTTTTTTTATTTTTATTTTTATTTTTATTTTTGAGATGGAGTCTTGATCTGTCACCCAGGCTGGAGTGTAGTGGCGCGATCTCGGCTCACTGCAACCTCCGCCTCCCAGGTTCACATAATTCCCCTGCCTCAGCCTCCTGAGTATCTGGGATTACAGGCGCGTGGCACCACACCCAGCTATTTTTTTTTGTTTTTTTTAATTTTAGTAGAGATGAGGTTTCACCATGTTGGTCAGGATGGTCTCGATTTCCTGACCTCGTGATCTGCCCTCCTCGAACTCCCAAAGTGCTGGGATTACAGGCGTGAGCCATTGCGCCTGGCCTAGTTCTTGCCTGTTGAAGAGTTTTTTAGACAATGTAAAATAGTTACAGTTTTATCCAACAAAATTATAAGTATCTTGATAATAGGAAATATTTTCAAGGCCAATAGAAAGTTTATTAAGCAAAAACCATTTTATTTATCACATGTTTTGTTATAGGCTACAGCGTACTCCTATCAAACTCCAATGTTTTGCCTTGGATCCTGTAACTTCAGCCAAGGAAACCATAGGTTACATCGTTCTGGATTTAAGAACCGCTCAAGAAACAAAGCAGGTATTGCCCTTTTGATGTTTTGCTAATGATTATGTTAGACAGTCGATTATTTTCAGTAGATAACAGATTGATGAAAAGGACATGAAATACTAGACCTGATCAGTCATAGACTTGAGCCAATATGGCAGTTCTTTTTTTTTTTGAGACGGAGTCTCTGTTATCCAGGCTGGAGTGCAATAGCACAATCTTGGCTCACTGCAACCTCCGCTTCCCAAGTTCAAGCAATTCTCCCTGCCTTAGCCTCCTGAGTAGCTGGGATTACAGGCACTCACCACCACGCCTGGCTAACTTTTGTATTTTTAGTGATGGGGTTTTGCTATGTTGGCCAGGCTGGTTTCAAACTCCTCACCTCAAGTGATCTGCCTGCCTTGGCTTCCCAAAGTGCTGGGATTACAGGTGTGAGCCACTGCACCCAGCCAATATGGCAGTTCTTATGTTTTAGTTTATGAATTAGATTTAGAAAATCTCAACATTTTAGTGATTTCCTTGACCAAGAACTGTCTTGCTCAAAAAGACATCTCTGAACTGACTTGTATCCAAGTTGCTATTACCGGAAGCTTAACATGCCTAGCCCCTGAGCTTTCCTTTTAAAGGTGGTTCATCCTCTTCTAATGTTTCCTGCTTCAGTGAATTGTCAGCATTCCCCTTTCAGTTATACAAGTTAGAAATACAGAAGTCTTCCTTGACATTTTTCCTTTTCCTTCCTCCATAACTACCTGTTCCCAGTTGGGTTTTTTCCCTCCTGATCTGTCTGCTATTCTGCTTTTCACTGCTGCCACCCCAAACTCAGCTGCTATTGTTTCTTACCTTGGCTATCATAATAGCCTCCCTGCTTCCTGCTCCTTGCATTCCTTGCATAGCAGTCAGAGCAAGTGAACTTATTGAAACACAGTTGATGTTATCTAACCAGTACCTCTCTGCCCCCCTACTCCCAAGAGAAAGAACTCAGAATCATCCTGATTCCTGTGATGGTGACTTTTATTATTTAACATGGTGCTGCTTAGGGCTTTTTTTTTTTTTTTTTTTTTTTTTTTTTTTGAGATGGAGTCTTGCTCTGTTGCCCAGGCTGGAGTGTAGTGGCACGATCTCGGCTCACTGCAAGCTCTGACTCCCGGGTTCATGCCATTCTTCCGCCTCAGCCTCCCCAGTAGCTGGGACTACAGGCACCCGCCACCATGCCCAGCTAATTTTTTTTTTTTGAATTTTTAGTAGAGACGGGGTTTCACCGTGTTAGCCAGGATGGTCTCGATCTCCTGACCTCATGAACCACCGGCCTTGGCCTCCCAGAGTGTTGGGATTACAGGCGTGAGCCACCGCGCCCGGCCGCTGCTTAGCGCTTTAAGTATCTTCTGACCTTTTTGTATGTGACCGACTTTAGAAATCTCCCTTGCAATTTTTCTGATTGTCTTGGGTCATAATTTTCTTAAGGGGGGAAAAAAGTTAAACAATTAAAATAATATCTTCTCTTTTATTTAAAACGCCATTCTTGATTTGAATCTTAAATTGGGATTCTGTGAAGAAAAACTTATCTTTTACTAATATTTTTGCTGCTGATAGCAAGGATATTTGCATATGATCAGTCAGCCTAGCCCAAGGTTGGAATAATTTAAAAGAAACTGAAATTTAAAAATGCTTTAAAAGAGGATTTGTTTTCCCCCCATCCTTGGTACTCACTGCCTCTCTGCCACTAGATCTTATTCTGAAAAGGTTTTTCCTTCTTTAGTTTTAGACCCTGGGCTTTGATTGGGCTCTTGATGTTTCTCTTAACCACCTTCTCTCATGTAGCGTGCAAGTGTCTAGAAGACACTTCTGCAGTCAGTTTAGTTGCAGAGAAGGTAAATCCTCTTAGGGGGGTATCTGAGGGATGAGGTCATGCCTCTAAATACTCTTGGCATTCTTTGTCCCCTTGTCCTTGAGAACAGTTTGTCAACATATTTGTAATCAAAGGGAGAAATGGCTCAGTTATTTAAACTAAATGCTGTATTGCTTATTCTCTCCTGTTTGTCAGCATAAATATTTGTAATTGGATAGTACAATATTTGAAGTTCAAAATAAATTGATTCTCTGTAAATAAATATAAACAGAAAAAAATCCAGATTTATTTTTCTGAGTTATATAACAGAAAAAGTCATCAATTCTCTGAGTAGCTGGAAATCTTTCTTTCAGGCTTATATTCAAAATTATAACATATTTGTTATAAGAAATACATCAACAAACTGTATTATGCATTTTTATCTTTAAAAAATTAGGTTGTTGATTTTTATTTAAAGCTTTGGCCTACTTAATTCTATTTTACTTATCAAACATGACTTGAATATAAAATAGCAGTATAGGCACCATTTATTATGTCTTTATATAACAAAGACAATATAAGCACCATCTACTATATCTTTATATAACAAATGATCAGAGTAAAAAATGCTGTTTCCAAGTATTGAAATGGTATTCCCACTGATCAGTGGTTCCTGCCCTAATAATATATGTAGGCATGATATTTTTCAGGCTATCTTGAGTACTAGAATTTCTGAGGTTGGTCTAGTGGGGATATTCAAATAATTTAGGATGCTTCATTCTGTAAGAAGGCTTTTGTTCGAGTATCAGTCAAGTACCTGGTTCATAATCCACCACTCTTCCATTAGGCCTTGACTTTAGTATTTTGTTAATGCTTTTTATTAACACTAATAAGATTTTCTTTTTTCTTTTTCTTATTTATTTATTATTATTATTATTTTTTTTTGCGACAGGGCTTCACTCCTGTTGCTCAGGCTGGAGTGCAGTGGTGTGATCATGGCTCACTGCAGCTTTGATTTATCGGGCTCAAGCAATCCTCCCATCTCAGCCTCCCAGGTAGCTGGGATTACAGGCGTGCACCACCATGCCTAGCTAATTTTTCGTATTTTTAGTAGAGACAGACGGGGTTTCACCATGTTGCCCAGGCTGGTCTTGAACTCCTGGACTCAAGTGATCTGCCCACCTTGGCCTTCCAAAGTGTTGGGATTACAGGCATGAGCCACCCATCCAAGATTTTCCTATGCTTATTGATATAAGCAGAACGAAGCAGGTCTATGGCAGAAAGAAAAGGTATAATTTAAAAACGTGAGAAGATAGAGGTTAGGGAATTAGAAAACTGGTAGTTTTTTTGTTGTTTAAGGGATGAAGTGAGATTGAGGGTATAAGACGAAAGGTAGAAAGAAATATATTATGCTTTCTTCCTTTTAATATTTTGCCTCTTGAAGCATAGGAAGACAAGCAAAGAAAACAATTTAAATTTCTACGTAGTTTTTCTAGAGGGAAATTCAGTTGATGGCTTCCTAAGCAGGATTGATTTGTTTTGAGAAAAATGTGAAAAAAAAATTGTTTATAAAGTACTGAAAAGCTACAATAAATTTATTTAGAACTGTATAGCATTTCCCAATATGTTTTTTCCCTTATTAACTATTAGGTGTTTTGTTATTTTATTATTCTCTAGGCACCAAAATGGTACCAGTTGCTGAGTAATAAATACACCAAATTCAAGTCTGAGATACAGATAAGTATTGCTTTGGAAACCGATACAAAGCCACCAGTGGATAGCTTTAAAGCAAAGGGGGCTCCCCCTCGAGATGGAAAAGGTTTGTGCATCATCTCTAAAAACATTCTCTGAGAAGTTCCATCTTTGGACTAGAGCTTTAGGAAGCGGGAGTGTTATAGGGACATATATGCAGGGTGTAAACTGTTCATCAGACAAATATTGTGACATTGTTACACATGCAGCACTTGTTGCTCTTAGCTCTTGTTTGCAAATCTTAGAAATAGGAAAATTTATTCTTTATTTGGTATGTAATAGAACAAAGCACAATTTTGTATAGTTTTAAAAATTTGCCACTTAGGACAGTTTTCTTCCTAGGATGAGTACAGGAAAGCCCAAAATGATCATGCTGTTCTCTATTTATTAACTCAACTGTAGGTTAACAAAACCTTTATATTTTTTCTTTTTTAATTAATAAACTTTATTTTTTAGAGCAGTTTTAGTTTCACAGTAAAATTGAGCAGAGAGAAATGAGAGTTCTCCTATATACTCCCTGTCCCCACATACTTGCAGCCTCTCTTGCTGTCAACATGCCACACCAGAGTGGTGATACTACAATGCATGAACATATCATATCATTCATATCAGTGTCACCCAAGGTCTATAGTTTACATTAGGTTTCTCTCTTGGTGTTGGACATTCTATGGGTTTTGACAAATGTAAATGACTTGTAGTATCCACTATTGTAGTATCATACAGAATAGTTTCACCACCCTAAAAATCATCTGTGCTCCACCTATTCATTCCTCCCTCCTCCCATCCCCTTGGCAGCTATTGATCTTTTTTACTGTCTCCATAGTTTTGCCTTTTCCTGAATGTCATATAGTTGGAATAATATAGTATGTAGCCTTTTCCAGATTGGTTTCTTTCCCTTAGTCATAAGTGCATGTAAGTTACTTCATGTCTTTGCATGGCTTGATAGCTCATTTCTTTTGAGTGCTTATAGTCAATTGTCTGGATGTATCACAGTTTATTTTTTCACTCAGCTCCTAAGGGACATCTTGGTTGCTTCTAACTTTTGGCAATTATAAATAAAGGTACTGTAAACTGCTGTAAACATCTGTGTGCAGGTTCTTATGTGGACAGAAGTTTTCAGTTCATTTGGGTAAATATCCAGGATTGCAGTCATTGGATCATGTGGTAAGAGTATGTTTAGTTCTGTAAGAAATATCCACACTGCCTTCCAAAGTGGCCGTGCTATTTGGCATTCCCACTAGCAATGAATGAGAATTTCTGTTGCTCCATATTCTTACCAGAATTTGGTGGTGTTAGTGTTTTGGATTTTGGCCATTCTACTAGGTATATCATAGTATCTCATTGTTGTTTTAATTTGCAATTCCTCAATGACATAGGATGTTGAGCATGTTTGCATATGCTTACCTACCATGTGTGTATCTTCTTTGAGGTGTCTGCTCAGGTCTTGGGCCCATTTTTAAATTGGGTTGTTCATTTTCTTGTTGAATTTTAAGAGTTCTTTGTATATTTTGGATAATAGTTCTTTATCAGATATGTATTTTACAAATATGTTTTCCCAGTATGTGGCTTATCTTCTCATTCTCTTGACATTGTCTTTCCCAGAGCAGAAGTTTTAAATTTTAATGAAGTCCGGCTTATGAGTTGTTGCATTCATGGATTGTGCCTTTGTAGTTGTATCTGAAAAATTGTTGCCACCACCCAAGGCCATCTAGGTTTCTCCTTTGTTATCTTCTAGGACTTTTATAGTTTTGCAGTTTACATTTAGGTCTGTAATCCATTCTGAGTTAATTTTTGGAAAGGTTGTAAGGTCTGTGTCTAGACTCACTTTTTGCATGTAGATGTCCAGTTGTTCCAGCACCATTTGTTGAAAAGACTTTCTTTGCTCCATTGCATTGCCTTTGCTCCTTTGTCAAAGATCAGTTGACTTTACTTATGTGAGTCTATTTCTGGTCTCTTTATTATGCTCCATTGATCTATTTGTCTATTTGTTTGTCAATGCAACACTGTTTTGATTACTGTAGCTTCAAGTAAGACTTGAAGTCAGTGTCAGTCCTCTGACTCTATTCTTTTTCTTCAATATTGAATTGGCTGTTCTGGTTCTTTTGCTTCTCCATATAAACTTAAGAATTTGTCAGTATCTACAAAATAATTTGCTGGGATTTTTATTGGGATTGTATTGAATCTGTAGATCAAATTAGGAAGAACTGACATCTTGCCAATATTGAGTCTTCTGTGAACATGCACTATCTCCATTTATTTAGTTCTTTGATTTCTTTTATCAGAGTTTTATAGTTTTCTTCATATAGATCTTACATATTTTGTTAGATTTATATACGAATTCTTTATTTTTGGGGGTGTTCATGTAAATTTTATTTGTTCGTTGCTGGCATATAAGAAAGCTGTTGACTTGTGTATTAACTTTGTATTTTATAACCTTGCTATAATCACTTGTGTGTGTGTGTGTGTGTGTGTGGTTTTTTTTTTTTTTTTTTTTGCTTGTTTTGTTTTTTGAGACAGGATCTCACTCTGTCACCCAGGCTGGAGTGCAGTGGTGCGATCTTGGCTTACCACAGCCCCGACTCCCAGGTTCAAGCGATTCTCCTGCCTCAGCCTCCTGAGTAGCTGGGACTACAGGTATATGCCACCATGCCTGGCTAATTTTTGTATTTTAGTAGAGAGAGGGTTTCACTACATTGGCCAGGCCATTCTCAAACTACTGACCTCAGGTGATCCGCCTGCCTCGGCCTCCCAAAGTGCTGGGCTTACAGGCATGAGCCACCACACCTGGCCTTTTTTAAAATTCTTTTTGTTGTTGTTGATTCTTTCCACATATTTTTTATGTAATCATGTCCTCTGTGAACAAAGACAATTATATTTCTTCTTTCCTCATCTGTATACTCTTTATTTCCTTTTCTTTTGCATTAGTAAGGCTCTAAGTATGATGTTGAAAAGGAGTGGTGAGAAGGGACATCCTTGTCTTGTACCTGATGAATTATATTTCTTCTTTCCTAATCTGTATACTTTTTATTTCCTTTTCTTTTCCATTAGTAAGGCTCTAAGTATGATGTTGAAAAGAAGTGGTGAGAGGGGACATCCTTGTCTTGTACCTGATCTTGAATGCTTCAGGTTTTTCACCATTAAGTATAATGTTAGCTGTAGGTTTTTATATATTCTTTATTAAGTTGAGGAAGTTTCCTTCTAATTCTGGTTTATTGAGAGTTTTTATCATTAATAGATAATGGATTTTGTCAAATACTTTTTCTGCATCTATTGATAAGATTATGTGATTTTTTTTTCTTCATTAGGCTGTTGATGTGATGGATTACATTAATTGATTTTTGAATGTTGAACCAGACTTGCATACCTGGGATAAATCCCACTTGATCATGGTGTATAATTATTTTTCTTTCTAAAAACCTTTTGTAGAGATGCAGTCTCCCTATGTTGCCAAGACTGGTCTCGAACTCCTGGGCTCAAGTGATCCTCCCACCTCAGCCTCACAAAGTGCTGGAATTACAGGTGTGAGCCACCATGCCCGGCCTATTATTCTTTTTATACACTGATGGATTTGATTTGCTAATATTTTGTTGAAGATATTTGCATTTGTGTTCATGAGAGATATTGGTCTGTATTTTTTGTTTGTTTTCTTTTCTTTATTGTAATGTCTTTGATTTTGGTATTAGGATGATGCTGGCCTCATAGAATGAGTTAGGAAGTATTCTCTATGTTTCTGTCTTCTGAAAGAGATTATAGAGAATTGGTATAATTTCTTCCTTAAATGTTTGGTGGAATTCACCAGTGATCTCTAGACCTGGTACTTTCTGTTTGGGAAGGTTATTGATTATTGACTCAATTTCTTTAATAGATAATAGGCCTATTCAGATTGTCTATTTACTCTTGTATGAGTTTTGGCATATTGTGTCTTTCAAGGAATTGGTCTATTTCATCTAGATTATCAAATTTGTGGGCCTAGACATCTTCATAGTATTCCTTTATTATTATTTTAATACCGGTAGGCTCTGTAGTGATCCCATCTTTCATTTCTGGTATGGGTAATTTGTATCCTTTCTTTTTTTTTTTTCTTATTGAGCCTGGCTGGAGGCTTATTGATTTTATTTATCTTTTCAGAGAACCAGCTTTTGATTTTGTTAATTGTTCTCTATTGATTTCCTGTCTTCAGTTCTATTGATTTGCTGTAATTTTTATTATTATCTTCTGCTTACTTGGACCTAATTTGCTCCTTTTCTGGTTTCCTAAGGTGGAAGCTTAGATGTTTGATTTTAGATCTTCTCTTCTAACAGACATATGCATTTAATGCTATAAATCTTTCTCTAAGCACTGCTTTCATTGCATGTCACAATTTCTGTGCCCAGCGAAATTATCCTTCAAAAGTGAAGGAGAAATAAAAACTCTCAGACAAATAAAAATTGCATCTCACAATTTTTGTTGTGTTTTCATTTTCATTTAGTTCAAGATATTTTAAATTTCTCTTGAGATTTTTTTTTAACCCATGTGTTATTTAGAAGTATATTGTTTAATCTCAAAGTATTTTGGGATTTTCCAGCTATCTCTGTTACTGATTTCTAGTTTATGTAGCCTGACAGCAGACACGGTTCTGTTCTTAAATGTGTTAAGGTGTGTTTTATGGCCCAGAATTGCTCTGTCTTGGTGAACTTTCTACGTAAGCTTGAGAAGAATGTGTATTCTGCTGTTGTTGTTTGAAGTGGTCTATAGATATCCATTGCATCCAGTTGATTGATAATGTTGAGTTCAGTTATGTCAATGATTTTCTGCCTGCTGGATCTGTCCATTTCTGATAGTGTGTGTTAAAGTCTCCAAGTTGGATTCAACTATTTCTCCTTGCAGCTCTGTTAGTTTTTGCTGCATGTATTTTGATACTCTGTTAGGTGCATTCACGTTAAAAATTATTTTGTCTTTTTGCAGAATTGACTCCTTTATCATCATGTAATATTCCTCCTTTCCCTGTGAACTTTCTTTGGTCTGAAGTCTGTTCTGTCTGAAATTAATATAACTACTACCATTTTCTTTTGATTAGTATAGCTTTTAATCTATATTTGTTTTTATATTTAAAGTGGGTTTCTTATAGATAACAACATATAGTTGGATCTTGTTTTTTGGTCCACTCTGACAATCTGTTTTTTAACTGGTGCATTTAAACTATTGATGTTCAAGGTGATTATTAATATAGTTGCATGAATAACCTTATTAGTGTTTTATATTTGTTTCTCTTGTTTCTTATTCCTGTTTTTGTCTGTAACTCTTTTCCCACATTTGTGGTTTTAATTTTCTCTTTCTTGCATATCAGTTATACTTTTTTGTTTTTTGTTTTTTTTTTTTTTACTTTTTTAGTGGTTGCCCTAGAGTTTGCACTATACATTTACAAATTTCAAATAACAGTATACTGCTTTTACTTTGAAGGTCCAGCTTCAAATAACACTATACTGCTTCACAGGTTG
The DNA here is from genome assembly GCF_000001405.40 of Homo sapiens. Classification (NCBI taxonomy): domain Eukaryota; kingdom Metazoa; phylum Chordata; class Mammalia; order Primates; family Hominidae; genus Homo; species Homo sapiens. The sequence goes on along the minus strand of NC_000005.10, from coordinate 123,406,988 downwards.
TTTTAGGTATTTTAAAATAAAATATTACTAATCCCTCCTTCTTGTCCCTTGTATCATTGCTTTCATTTCAGTTATACCTCAGCATACACATGTGCATGCGTGCACACACACACATAATAATTGAAGAACCTTTTATCTGTTAGATCAATTAAGAATAAAAAATAAAAGTTTTTATTTTACTTTCATTTATTCTCTGATGTTCATTTCTTTGTGTAGATCTGAGCTTCTTACCCATGCCATTTTTCTTGTCTGTGAAGAACTTTTTAATATTTCTTGCACACAGGTCTACTGGCAACAAATGCCCTCAATTTTTATTTGTCTGAGAGTTTTTATTTCTCCTTCACTTTTGAAGGATAATTTTACTGGGCACAGAATTCTAGGGTGGTGGTTTTTTTTTTTTTTCTCAACATTGTAAATACTTCACTCTACCCTTCTTGCTTGCATGGCTTCTGAGAAATTGGATGTAATTCTTATCTTTGGTCCCTTAGAGGTAAGATTTTTTTTTTCCCGTTTGGCTTCTTTCAGTATTTTTTCTTTAGCTTTGATTTTCTGATGTTTTAATATGGGATGCCTAGCAGCAAGTTTTTTTTTTTTTGGCATTTATCCTGCTTAGTGTTCTCTGAGCTTCCTGAATCTGTGGTTTGGTGTGTGACATTAATTGGGGGAAATTCTCAGTAATTATTGCTTCAAATATTTCTTCTGTTCCTTTCTCTCTTTTTTCTTCTGGTATTCCCAGTCTGTGTTTATTACACCGTTTTTAGTTATCTCACAGTTCTGAGATGTTCTGTTCTGTTCTGTGGTTTTTTTTTTCCCCCAGTCTTTTTTCTCTTGATCTTCCAGTTTTGGAAACTCCTATTGTCATACTAAGCTCAGAGATTCTTTCCTCAGCCTGTGTCCCACCTACTAATGAACCAATTCTCATAGTCATTCATTTCTGTTTTAGTATTTTTGTCTCTAGCATTTCTTTTTTATTCTTTCTTACACTTTAGCATCTTTCTGCTCCCATTATCTCTCTGTTCTTGTATGCTGTCTACTTTTTTCATTAAAGCCTTATAAGGCATATTAATCATAGTTAAAAATTTTTTCTGTTTTGATAATTCCAACATTCCTGCCATATCTGACTTTAGTTCTGATGCTTGTTTAGTCTCTTCAAACTGTATTTTTTTTTTCCTTTTAGTATGCCTTGCAATTTTTTGTTGTAAGCCGGACATGATGTATGGGACAAAAGGAACTGCTGTAAATAGGCCTTAGTAATGTAGTGGTCAGGAGTCAGGAAGGGGAAGCATTCTATAGCCTTATGGTTAGGTCTCAGTCTTTTACTGAGCCTGTGCCCCTTGGATCTGAACTTCACCATTGCTTCTCAGTTTTTTCTTCCCTTAGATGGGGCAGAGTGTCTGGAGGGGCTGGAGTTGTGTATTCCCTTCCCTTGCATGGAAGACCAGAGGCAGCTGGAGTTGGGTATTTCTCTTCTCCCTGGTCAGTTAGGCTCTGATAGAACCTCAACAGGTTAGGCTCTGGCAAATAGTTTCTCCGAGGGCAGGCCTTGTTAACAAGAACAGAATTGTCTGGCATGTTTCAGAATGGTTTCTTTTCTCTTCCCTATGCCAGAAGAATGAGGGAACTTTTCTCTGATATTCACTGTGAGGACCTGGTAGAGCTCCCTGGAGGTAAAAGTCACGAAAGTGTGGGGCTGCCTTGTGACTGGGTCCCCTGGAGTTTTTATCTCTCAGGCTGGTTCACACCAAGCTACTAGCAGTTCATCCCAGTTCACGTTTTCCTACTTACTGCATTGGCTCTTTCTGTTCCAAAATTGTGATTCTCCGTAGCTCCCTGTCTGTTTCCTTAGTTTTGGGGAGCAGCAGTTTTCCTGAGACCTCACTTCTCTGACAGATCTATGGAGAGTTGTTAATTTTTAGTTTGTTCAACTTTTTATTTGCTATTAGGGCTAACTGAAGATTTCTAAGCTCTATGTGCCAGACTGCATATTTCTTCTTCAATGTTTTACAGTCCCTATTTTCTTTTAGGTAAAATGATGGAGTTGGATGAGATAGTCTCGAAAGTTTTTTCCTACTATAATATTTTGTGATTACATCTCTTCTGTAAACTTTTTCTGTAGAGGAAGAAGGTGTCTTCTGGAAGTGAGAGAAACAAATAGTGAAATTGAAATCATACAATTGATATTCTACTATGCTTCAGTCATGTTGCATGGAATGTCCTAGACTTACATGGAAAACTAATGTTAATAGCGGTGTTTGTATTGGCACATATATTCTTAGTTCAGTGAATTTATAAATAGTTGTCCTAAAAGTTTAATTCTGAGTTGAGAATTACCTTTTGAATTGAGAAGATATTATAATTCAGTATTTTAACAATAACTTTTCTTCAGCTTCTTCTCTTACCAGTACTTCTTAACTTCCTTTTGGCCTTTTCGTTCTCTTCCCAACCTTTATATATTAAAGAAATTTCTTCTCATTCTGTACACGCTCTTCCAATGCAATACTATTTATTTACCAGGCATCAGTCATACAATCATACTCTTCTGTGCCGAAGACCCCCACTTAGGCCTTTGGACCCAAATATCACTTGCCTCCTGGACATCTTCTTTTGGATGACCTCTAGGCACCATAAACCCAAGAGATGGTTAAATTGAATTTCAGCGATGTGTTTGCCAAAATGGCATACATTGTACGTAGTGAAGTCAGGATGTGAGCTTGGAAGTCAGATTCTAGAGGCTTTATTATTTTTTCCCTCAGTGAAAAAAAATTTTAAGAATTTGTTTTCGTTGTGAAATAATCTCAGTCTTCCCCAAAAGTTGGAAATATGAAGAAGAATATTTTTCCCTGGACTGTTTGAGAGGAATTTACTACCTAATGCACCTGAATATTTGGAGTATTTATTAGAGCATTCTCCTTCATATCCGTGGTATATCCATCAGAACTGGGAAATTTACATCAATATATTAACACATGTAACCTTATTACATTAATGAAACATTGATACATTGCTACCACCTAATTTCATTTGAGTTTTGTTTTACCAATTGTCTTTTCCCAATAATTTCCTTTATAGGAAAAGGATTTAGTTTAGAATTAGATGTTACATTGAATTGTTATATCTGTGTATTCTGAAATAGTTCCTTGATCTTTCCATGACCTTGAAATTTTGAAGATTGCAGGCCAGTTAATTTGTAGATTGTTTCATGACTTGAGTTTGTCTGATTTTAGATTTAGCTTATGCATCTTTGGCAGAAATATCATCGAACAGATGCCACGTTCTTCCCATTGCATCTTATCAGGTGGTGCACAATTTTGATTTGTCCTATTTCTGATGCTAACTTTGATTACTTGATTAAAGTGTTGTATGTTAGTGCTCTCAACTGTAAACTTGCTCTTTTTTCCTTTGTAATTAATAACTCTTTTGTGGGGCAGAATTGTGAAATTATGAATATATTCAATTTCTCATTAGACCTTCAATTCGTTTATTTATATCAGTGTGAATTTACAGTTTTCTCTTTTTATTTAGTGTTTTACAATATTTAACTACGCTTAATTGTTTGTCCCAGATTTGGGCAGCCCTTTTAAGTTGCTTTTGTTTCCTTTTGAATGTCTCCATGATTCTTTGAACTTATCAACAAATATTTTCAGGCACAGCAAGATGTTCCAAGCTCATCTTGTGCTTACTCTGTCTCAGCTCTGGATTCAGCCATTTCTCTAAGGAGCCCTGCTTCCTTTCGGTAAAGAATGATTTTTAGAAGCCAAGATCTAGGTGCTAGGTATGTTAGCTGATATCGAGGTGTCACTGTTCCCAGGCCCTTTCAGTAGACAAAGTGAGGGAATTTGTGCATATATGTGTACACACACATATAAATACATACACACATTTGTATATATACATATGGTCTTACCTGTTTTGTGCTGCTATGATAGAACACTACAGACTGGGTAATTTATAAAGAACAAATTTATTTCTCGCAGTGCTGGAGGCTGGGAAGTTCAAGATCAAGGCACTGGCATCTGGTGAGGGACTTCGTCCTACATCCTCACATATTGGAAGGCTGAAGAGCAAGAGAGGAACTCTCTCCACCAAGCCTTTTTATAAGGGCACCTGATCTCATTCATTAGGGAGGAGCTCTCATGACCTAATCACCTGTTTAAGACCATATCTCCTAATACCATCACATTGGCCATTAAGTTTCAACACCTGAGTTTTGGAGGGGACACATTGAAACCATAGCACATATACACCATTTTGCTTATATTTATCAATATACATTGAACAGTGCCAGGTGCGGTGGCTCACGCCTGTTCCAGCACTTTGGGAGGCTGAGGCAGGTGGATCACTTGAGGCCAGGAGTTTGAGACTGGCCTGGCCAACATGGTGAAACCCCTTCTCTACTAAAAATAGAAAAAATTAGCCTGGCTTGGTGGCACAAGCCTGTAATCCCAGCTACTCAGGAGGCGGAGGCAGCAGAATTGCTTGAATCCGGGGGGGCAGAGGTTGCAGTAAGCCGAGATCCACTGCAGCCTGGGTGACAGAGCAAGACTCTGTCTCAATAAAAAACAAAAAACAGACCAAGAAGCAGCTTCTCCGCTCCTTCTAGGATCTCTGCCTGGTTCGGCCCGCCTGCCTCCACTCCTGCCTCCACCATGTCCATTAGGGGACCCAGAAGTCCTACAAGGTGTCCACCTCTGGCCCCCGGGCCTTCAGCAGCCACTCCTACACAAGTGGGCCCGGTGCCCACATCAGCTCCTCAAGCTTCTCCCAAGTGGGCAGCAGCTGCTTTCGGGGTGGCCTGGGCGGCGGCTGTGGTGGGGCCAGCGGCATGGGAGGCATCACCGCGGTCACAGTCAACCAGAGCCTGCTGAGCCCCCTTGTCCTGGAGGTGGACCCCGACATCCAGGCTGTGTGCACCCAGGAGAAGGAGCAGATCAAGACCCTCAACAACAAGTTTGCCTCCTTCATAGACAAGGTACGGTTCCTGGAGCAGCAGAACAAGATGCTGGAGACCAAGTGGAGCCTCCTGCAGCAGCAGAAGACGGCCGGGAGCAACATGGACAACATGTTCAAGAGCTACATCAACAACCTTAGGCGGCAGCTGGAGACTCTGGGCTAGGAGAAACTGAAGCTGGAGGCGGAGCTTGGCAACATGTAGGGGCTGGTGGAGGACTTCAAGAACAAGTATGAGGATGAGATCAATAAGCGTGCAGAGATGGAGAATGAATTTGTCCTCATCAAGAAGGATTGTGGATGAAGCTTACATTAACAAGGTAGAGCTGGAGTCTCGCCTGGAAGGGCTGACTGATGAGATCAACTTCCTCAGGCAGCTGTATGAAGAGGAGATCCGGGAGCTGCAGTCCTGGATCTCAGACACATCTGTGGTGCTGTCCATGGACAACAGCCGCTCCCTGGACATGAACAGCGTCATCGCTGAGGTCAAGGCACAGTACGAGGAGATCGCCAACCGCAGCCAGGCCGAGGCTGAGAGCATGTACCAGATCAAGGATGAGGAGCTGCAGAGTCTGGCTGGGAAGCATGGGGATAACCTGCGGTGCACAAAGACTAAGATCTCCGAGATGAACCGGAACATCAGCCGGCTCCAGGCTGAGAATGAGGGCCTCAAAGGCCAGAGGGCTTTCCTGGAGGCCGCCATTGCAGATGCCGAGCAGTGTGGAGAGCTGGCCATTAAGGATGCTAACGCCAAGTTGTCGAGCTGGAGGCCGCCCTGCAGCGGGCCAAGCAGGACATGGCGTGGCAGCTGCGTGAGTACCAGGAGCTGATGAACGTCAGGCTGGCCCTGGACATCGAGATCGCCACCTACAAGAAGCTGCTGGAGGGCGAGGAGAGCCGGCTGGAGTCTGGGATGCAGAACATGAGTATTCATACGAAGACCACCAGCGGCTATGCAAGTGGTCTGAGCTCGGCCTGTGGGGGCCTCACAAGCCCCGGCCTCAGCTACGGCCTGGGCGCCAGCTCCTTCAGCCGCACCAGCTACTCCAGGGCCGTGGTTGTGAAGATCGAGACACGTGATGGGAAGCTGGTGTCCGAGTCCTCTGACGTCCTGCCCAAGTGAACAGCTGTGGCAGCCCCTCCCAGCCTACCCCTCCTGCGCTGCCCCAGAGCCTGGGAGGGAGGTCACTATGCAGGGTAGCACTGGGAACAGGAGACCCACCTGAGGCTCAGCCCTAGGCCTCAGTCCACCCGCGGGGGAGTTTACTGCCTGGGGACCCCCCCTTTGCCCATGCCTCCAGCTACAAAACAATTCAGTTGCTTTTTTTTTTTTTTTTGGTCCAAAATAAAACCTCAGCTAGCTCTGCAAAAAAAAAAAAAAAGCCATATATATATGTATATGTATGTATTTATGTGTATATATATGTATATATATGATATCTGAATTGATGCTGCTCTATATATATGTATATAGACGCTTCAGTATATATATTGTCAATTCAGATTGACACCTTCAATTCCATTCCAGCACCGCAAGATTCTAGTTTTCATCTTCACCCTATTTGTAACTCCCTTCCCTGTCAGTGAGAACATGTCATACTTATTTTAACTTCTAAGCTCTATTGGCCTTATTGTATGACGGCTGCCTTTATTAAAGTGCTTAATGGGTCAGAGTCTGTGCTAAATGCTTTGCTTTCATTATTTGATTTGATCTTTCAACAACTCTATAAAAGCTTTCTAGAAAAAAAAAAATGGAGACTAAAAGAGATGGATATGGGTTCCCTGTGCAACAAGTCAAGGACAGAACTGGGATTGGAACCTTGGTCTATGCGACTTAGATATCTGTGCTCTTAATTATTATACTGTTTTCAGCCACTGCTACTGTAAGCACAACTCTTTAGGATTAACTCCTAGAAGAAGGATTGCTCGTTTATAGGGTATGCACATGTAAAATTTTGATAGGCCCTGATATATCACCCTCTAATTGGTTATTCTAGCATGTACCTGCCAACATTGAGAGCATTCACTTTCCTGCGTTCTCCTCAACATTGGATATTATCAATTATTTTAGTTGTGTATGTTTTTTGTTTTTTAAATCAATTTGAAAAACCTTGTCCCTCTTCAGTCTCCTCATACTAAAGCCTATTTGATTATGTCAGTTTTCTTCTCAAAACTAGTTTCATGATTTTCTCTTATTCTTAGAAAACTATCCAAAAATGTTTCTGGATAGCATACAGAAGGACTGTATGATATGGCCTCTGCTTATCCAGCCCCACCTCCCTCTGTATGTCGGTTCTCACTCTGTGATCTGGCACCCTATGCCTGTGTCAGTTTTCTCACACATGCTTTCTCTTGCTTCTGTGTTTTTGTACATACTGTCCCTTCTGTCTAGAACACTCTTTTTTTTACTCCCCCATTCCCTGTTCAGCTGCCCTTTTCTTCTTAGCCATATCTAGCTTATTCACTTTCCAGTTTAGATTCACTGTAAAACCTATGTTAGATGCCTTTTCTATGTGGTTTATTACCTTAAGGTTTTAAAAATGTTACTCCAGAATTTTACTTTTACATACAGAAAGACAATGCTGGTTAAGTAAGGTTTCTTTGGTGAGTATGTAAGAGAGTAAAGGAAACCTTATTAGATATTAACTGTATTCATGAAAATTACCAAGCAAATTACAAAATATAATCAGTTTTAAAAATCTTATAATGGTTTATGACAAACTACAATGTAGTTTAATCGTGTTTTTCTCTGTAAAGTACCTGCCATCCTGGCTGGACTTGACCCCAGGGACATTGTGGCTGTGCTGAATGAAGAGGGAGGCTACCATCAGATTGGACCAGCAGAATACTGTACTGACTCCTTTATTATGTCAGTGACCATAGCATTTGCTACCCAGTTGGAACAGGTGAGACTTTTCATGAGATTGGTGACTTACGAATAATTTGAAAACTATGTAAAACATTTTACCTTTCAGGTATTAAAAAGACTTGCAAGTAGACTTTTTTTTTTTAACTTTTGAAAAATGAGTTCAAAACATGTTTTCTTTCATACTGGAAAGAAAACTTCTTAATTTAGAAAAAATAGATTTTGATGATCTTGATTGTAAGAGAATAAATCTCTCAGGATTTAGGAGAATGGCCATCAGTTAACATTGTTTTCCATTGTACTGTGTGGCATTGTAAGGACTGACATGGAAGGATTTTTAAATTTGTGAACGATTTACTTTTTGGAGAAACTTACAATGTCAGGAATACTTTCTGCCACTAATACTTAATGCCTATAGAGTTTTGGGTTCTATTTTATCTTGTTTATAAACTAATAAATTAAGCTGTTACTGTCATGGATGCTAGCAGAAGACACAGGTTCTTGGATCAGAAACAAAAGAATTTATTACCCTTAGTAGCAGAGCAAGAACATGAATATTGGTATATTTCCTTCAGTTGCCCTTACCCCAGGTCCCATGGGGACTACACAGAGGGGCCCAGGTGGTTGCTCTACACATAGTGGGTTTTATCACAGCTGAGGAAACTGAATTTGGGGAACCTGCCACTTTCATTGTAAGCAGTAAGCAGGCCTAGTCTTTGTCCAGGAAGACACATTACCTTATCTCTCAAGCTGCTTAAACAACCCTGGGAAATGGGCTGAGTAAAAGAGTGGTCTGGGCCTTGCAGTCTTGCCATACTCTGCAAGAATGTCCAGGGATGCTCAGGGCTCATGGTAGATTGCCTTCCCAACAGCGGCTCAACACAAAACTAGCTGTTATTCCACTGTCCCTCTCAAGTCCACTTCCCTTTTTTTTTCCCTCCTCTGCCATCAACTTGGTTTTACAGATCTACTTTTCTTGACATTATGTTGTTCTGTAGTAGCTGAAATGAATTAATACTTACAAAAATAGATAATATGGTTTATAACTGTACAATTTTTATCAGAGTATTCCCCTCCCCACTTTTTCCCCTAAGAGACAGGTCTTTCTTTGTTGCCCAGGCTGGAGTGCCTTGGCATGATCATAGCTCACTGTAGCCTCAAGCTCCAAGAGTCAGTTGATCCTTCTGCCTCAGCCTCCTGAGTAGCTGGGATTATAGGCATGTGCCACCACACCCACCTAATTTTTAATTTTTTTGTAGAGACAGGGTTTCACTATGCTGCTCAGGCTGGTCTTGAACTCCTGGCCTCAAATGATCATCCCACCTCAGCCTCGCAAGGTGCTGGGATTACAGGTGTGAGCCACCATGCCCGGCCTTATTTACTTTCTTAGAGGAACAAAATGTCCACGTAATCCACATTCACAAATGAAATTTGCAATTAGTGGCCACAATTTTATTTGACTTGCAAGGTACATCAGGTAAAGATTTTTATCAGGAAATGTGTTTACTTTGTCACACTGAATTCATCCCCACTATATAAAGAACTTGGTGTTCTTTGAGCATTTACTCTTTCTCTCCTTATTTGGTACTGTAAATTTCCTCACTGATACATACATACTTTTGCCTTTATATCAGTTTCCGTATTTTTCTTCTCTTAAAGGTCTGCTTATGGATTGTTAATAGTTTAATATGCCACTCTAGTTGCAGGGAAAGCCAGATATCTATTGCCTTTTTATTTATTAACCACATCAGAACACTCTTGTCTATATGTCAGATAATTAGGAATGTACTGTATTTTTACTGTGTTGTTACCATATTTGCAAAGCATTTTATTTTTTATTTTTATTTTTTTGAGGTGGAGCCTCGCTCTTGTCACCCAGGCTGGAGTGCAATGGTGCAATCTCAGCTCACTACAACCTCTGCCTTCCCGGTTCAAGTGATTCTCCTGCCTCACCCTCCCAAGTAGCTGGGATTACAGGCACCTGCCATCACACCTGGCCAGTTTTTATAGTTTTAGTAGAGATGGGGTTTCACCATATTTGCCAGGTTGGTCTCAAACTCCTGACCTCAGGTGATCCTCCTGCCTTGGCCTCCTAAAGTGCTAGGATTACAGTCATGAGCCACCATGCCCAGCTGAATTTAAAATCACTGTTTTAATACTTTTATCCTCCTTAGGGAAGCATAATTGTTCATATTTATTGATTACTTACTGTGTAATGCTTTGTATAGTAGACATTGTGCCACCCACTCTGCATATTTTGTGTTTAATCCTACCACAATCTTAGAGTTGATCATTTTCATTTTAGAGATAAGGAAAGCAAGTCTTAGGAAGATCTTACAGCTAGTTAATGGCCCAAGTATTTCTGACCACGTGGTCATTTTTAATATTCTCTTGTTCCCATATAATGCTCTCTTGCCTCTTAATGAGTTTGGAATAAGATAGATTTGAGTTGGAATCTCATTCTGTTTTCTAGCTCCTTCAACTTAGGCAAGTTACTTAACCTTTTTGAGGCTTGATTTTATGTAGTCGTGATAGTTACCATCTTTTCAGTTGTGCATGAGGAATGAGGTAATATTACTAAGGTGCCTACCATGTTGTTTGTGAGAAGCTACATTTGTATGGTAAAGTTTCCTATGGGTAATTGACCTATTGAGTCCATAACTTTTAAAAACCAATATAATACAGTTCTTGGTAATACAGGTGAATTACTGGGACAAATTACTGTTTCAGTTTAGTTTAAAAAAAAAAACACACAGGTTGATGTCTGGCAAATTGTTTACTATCTCTATAAAAAATTAAGGCAGATAGATTCCTCACAAAGTTAAACAGAATTACCACATGATCAGCAATACTACTCCTAGGTATACACCCAAAAGTATTGGAAATAGGTATTCAAATAAAAATCTGTATGTGAGTGTTTATAGCAATACTATACATGATAGCCAAAAGGTGAAAACTACCCAGATGCCCTCAATAGATGAATGGATAAACAAACTTTGGCATATCTATACAATTAAATACAATTTAGCTATCAAAGTACTACCTGTGGGTGGTGTGGCATACACCTGTAATCTTAGCTACTCAGGAGCCTGAGGCAAGAGGATCCCTTCAGTCCCAACAGTTCAAGACCAGCCAGGGCAACATAGCGAGACCTCCATCTTTATAGTAAAAAAAAAAAAAAAAAAAGGAATGGAGACCAGGCTCAGTGGCTCACATCTGTAATCCCAGCACTTTGGGAGGCTGAGGAGGGCGGATCACGAGGTCAGGAGATCGAGACCATCCTGGCTAACATGGTGAAACCCCATCTCTACTAAAAATACAAAAAAATTAGCTGGGTGTGGTGGCGGGTGCCTGTAGTCCCAGGTACTTGGGAGGCTGAGGCAGGAGAATGGCGTGAACCCAGGAGGCGGAGCTTGCAGTGAGCCGAGATCATGCGACTGCACTCGAGCCTGGGTGACAGTGCAAGAATCTGTCTCAAAAAAAAAAAAAAAAAAGGAATGAAGTACTGATACATGCCACAACATAAAGGAATGGTGGAAACATGCTAAGTGAAAGAAGCAAGACACAAAAGGCCACATATTGTGTGGTTCCATTTATATGAATCATCCACAATAGGCAAAAGTTCCTACAAGCAGATTTGTGATTTCCAGGGACTGGGGGCAGGAGAGTATGGATGGTAGGGTGTTGCTGCTTAATGATTGTATTGTTTATGTTTGGGATGAAATTAGCTGTTTAATTTTTTCCTCTCAACTTAGTCAAAGGCAATGTGAGAAAGCATCTAGCAATAAACAGATTTACAAACCTTTTCAGATGCAAATCAGTGACTTAGCACATGTTACTATAAAGTTTTAATAGAATGGAGGATTGAGTTTGGAGCAGGAAGGCCGGCTAGTGACAATCTTGCTTCCTTCTTTTCTTAAATACTGAAAGTTAAGAGTAGGAAAAAAGTAGTCTCTAAATATCAGGATAATAAAGAATTTTTAAAGAATTTCTTCCCATAATGGGAATAATTCAGAATTAAATGTACTGTGAAATATATAAGGATCTTTATTTCTTAATGTTTTTATTGCTGTATGATCATGAAAGAAAGTAAAAGAAAATGAAAATCTTCTCTAAACCCCTCCAGAATAATCACTGTAATGGTTAGTGTGTTCTTCTCTAGGTATTTTCCATTCTCACATAACAACAGCTGTGTGCTAGGCATTGTTGTAGCAGCGACTATGTATCTCTTTTAATCCTTCCAACAACCCTAAAACAAGTGCATACACACAGTGATTAAGTAATTTTTCTAAAATTTCACAGTAAGTTACTGATGGAACTAGAGTTAGGGTTTGGGATCTGACTCCAGAATTTGTGATTGTAACAATTATAAGTGCATAGGTGCTCCTCTCAATGTGTGTAAGTCCACATGATTAAAATCTCCTCACTTAAACATGAATACATTTTAAAGTGCAGGATTAAAATAACTTACATTTATTATGTGTCTGGTACTGTGCTATTGTAATCTAAGTGGTTAGTACTTTTATTTTCACAAACTATACAAACTGTCCTGTAATTTTTTTAAGCCAACAGTGTATCTTAGAGAGGGATCCTCAACCCTCAGGCTGCGGACTGGTACAGGTTTGTGGCCTGTTAGGAACCGGCTACACAGCAGGAGGTGAGCAGCGGGCAAGTGAGCATTAGGGCCCGAGCTCTGCCTCCTATCAGATCAGTGGTGGCATTAGATTTTCATAGGAGCACGAACCTTATTGTCAACTACACATGTAAGGGATCTAGGTTGCGTGCTCCTTATGAGAATCCAATGCCTAATGATCTGAGGTAGAACAGTTTCCTCCTGTAACTATTCCCCCTATACCCTCCTGTTTGTGGAAGAATTGTCTTCCACGAAACCAGTCCCTGGTGCCAAAATGGTTAGGGACTGGTGTCTTAGATAACTTTCATGTTAATGTGTTATTATTTAGCAGCCATGGTGTATGATAATTATATGTAAGCCATCTCCTATTGATCAACACATTAAATGTTTATAGCTTATTGTTTAACAGTATGCTAGTGAACATTAAAGGTCTGTTAGAAAATATATTTTGTAGGACAAGAATCCCATCTCTTAGTCATATGTAGCCATGAAACTAGCAACTCTGAAAAGTAACACTCATAGTACAAAAGGTATTTTTTTGGTGTTATTTTCATAGGCCTCTAAATTTCGACAGAATAGCTAAAAACTTTATCGGAGACCTCAACTAAGATGTTATATGTTAGATAGCCTGGATTAAATTTCTTTAAAACCTTTCCTCATTCATAACATAGAGCCTCTGATGGCTGAGGAAGTATGAGATGAAATAAAATATGTGAAAATAAGGAAAGCTCAGTTTGAAATATTTAATCTCTTTCTTCTAAGTAGAACTTTCACATATTCTTTCATGGACCAGTTGAATGCAATGAAAACTTTAAAACAACATAAATCTATAAAGTCTTTTAGACTCTGCTTTTCTAAGACGACTCTTTTTTAAAAAAATAGTAATTTGGTAGTAATTTGGCAGAAATTCAGAAATTTTATTTGAGCGGTTAAGACATCAAATAAAAAAACATTTTAGCAAATGTTTTTGGAATGTAATAGATACACTAAGCATGTTCAGTAGTTTAGAAAGTAATAACTGTTTTCTTTTTCCTGAAATGTTTAGTTAATTCCATGTACCATGAAACTTCCAGAAAGACAGCCTGAGTTTTTCTTTTACTACTCTTTACTGGGAAATGATGTTACAAATGAACCCTTCAATGATTTAATCAACCCAAACTTTGAGCCAGAGAGAGCATCAGTTCGCATCCGTAGCAGTGTAGAAATTCTTCGTGTTTACCTGGCTCTTCAGTCTAAACTGCAGGTGAGTATTGCAGCAAATCGTTTTTAGCTGGAGGTGGTCTTTTAAGCATTAATTTAGTACCTAAACTAAACGAGAGTTTAGTACCTAAACTTAATCCTATTTCAGTAGTACAGGTTATCTTTCTGCCACATCTTCTAATTTTTTTAGGTACTATCCTGAGTCATGAAGTTGTTGGCATTACAATTACCTCAGAATTTTATGAGATAATACCTCTTTTCCCAGGAATTGAGAAAAGAGGTATATCAGTTATCAGTCCTTTGCAATAAAAAAAATTATACCTGGAGCCTAGGGCAGCAGGCACGAGCAAGATTTCATTATTGTTAATGGAGATATTAGGTGTAGGCACACAGATCACACTCTCGATTTCAAAATATATATGCCTTACTGCCGTTAAAAGCAATGAGGTAAGACAGCTTTCTAAAATCTGCCCTTGAGTTGAATATTTTTTATGAACTATTTTTGAATTGGACTCCATTTAAAAGCAAACATTGGTGGAGCATGGTAGCTCACACCTATAATTCCAGCACTTTGAGAGGCTAAGATGGGAGGATCACTTGAGGCCAGGAGTTCAAGAATAGCCTGGGCAACATAGCAAGACCCTGTTTCTACAAAAAATAAAAAATTACTTAGACATAGTGGTGTGTGCCTGTAATCTTAACTACTCGGGAGGGTGAGGTGGAAGGACTGCTTGAGTCCAGAAGTTGGAGACTGCAGTCAGCTATGATCACACCAGTGTACTCCAGCTTGGGCAGCAGAGCAAGACTCTGTCTCAAAAAAAAGATAAGTTAACCTTACCTAGTAAGCATTACTCTTCTGTCTTTTATGACACTTCCTTTTGATCAAACTGAAATAGGGTGGTGTTGTATACGCTTAGATACTCATTTGTTTAAAATAAAGTAATGGACAGGAGGTGAGAAGAAGCATTAGGAAATTTTAGTAGAACTAAATTTTAGAGATGATTCTGCTAAACCCAAGATATTTAGAAAACTGAAGACTATATAAAATGGTGACATGCAGGGAAAAGCAGTTTGAGTTTTATTCTGTATCTAACATATCAGTCCTTACCAAAAGTATTGATTTATTAGTTTCTAATGGAGGACATTTACATCATAAAAATACTTTTTTTTCCAGCCCATAAAAATATTACACCTTATAATAACTTTGGGACTAAGTTACAGGTCTCTCTTAACTCTTTCACTGATGATATTAGAGCTAAATATATTTTACAGCATGATTGCTTATTTATTATTCATTCAAATACTAAGTTTGCTAAGGCTTCAATATAGTAAGGGAAAACAAGTTATATAACATTTATCTGGAAGAGTCTTTTTTTTTGTACTTGTCAAAAGGTGATAATATTGAATTTTTAATTAGCTATCAGTGATTAACAGTATACTCCACTCCAGAGATATTCTTTTACTTACTGTTAAGCACTCTTTTTAATATGAGGTCTGAAAAGCAAGAAAAGAGAAATATTCAAGATATCTTATGGGTGAAAAAAACAAAACTATTTGAGGTTTTTAAATTCCAAATCAGGATTGATCCACTGACTTATTTTTTGAAACTGTGTTTAAATTAATGGTAAAATGGAAAAAGAAAAATGTTGAGGTATTTCTTTGTTTTTTTTGTTTAAATTCATGCATTAATTTTGTTATAGTAAAATATTAAAGTAGCTCACCAAAGAGACAGAAAAAGAAGCAATAACATATGATTATGTAATACCGAAAGAAGAAATGAAAAAGGTAATAGCTATTATTGAGTTTTTAGTAAACTTTGTGTTTTATCACCAGTTTTAACAGTTATGTGTGAGAATTCATTACTTCGTCACTTGAGGTCAATGAGGTATAACCTGCATAATATTTTCTTTCCATGCATCATTTTACAACTTCTTATTAAGTTTATGATATTTAGGAGAAAGGAGAAAGTATAAAGCCCTATTTTGATTTTTCCCTTTCATATTAGATTCACCTCTGCTGTGGAGACCAGTCACTTGGAAGTACAGAAATACCTTTAACTGGATTACTTAAAAAGGGCAGTACAGAAATCAACCAGCACCCAGTCACAGTCGAAGGTGCTTTTACCCTTGACCCTCCAAACAGAGCCAAACAGAAGCTTGCACCTATTCCTGTGGAGCTAGCCCCAACTGTGGGAGTGTCTGTGGCTCTGCAGAGAGAAGGCATAGACTCCCAGGCAAGTAGTGGCCCTCCTTCATTCCCCTGGCTTCACTAGTCCCATGCATGATTACTTACAAAAGTTGAATTTCAGAAGAGTTACCTTCATAAGGATATATTTATTAATCTTAATTAGTGACCTTTGTTATATGATACCTCCTTTCTGAAAAGTGCTGTGACTTCTGTTATGGTTTATAAGTGATTCTACCCAGAGCCCTCTTAGCCTTTGAGACAGTCTTTTTGTGTAGTGGAAACCCACTTATGGTCTCCCCCACCCCCAACTCCAGAAAAGGAACTCCAGTGAAAGAGAACATTTTTAGACCTAGTTTCTGGGAATCTGCATTACTGATATCTTTTTGGTTAATGCAACCTGAGCCAAAATAAAATCCTTGGTTCCTTAGTGCTTTGTAGTCCTCATACTCTCTTTAGTCAGTTTTCATGACACAGATGATCATTTATTTGGCCGTGTATTTTTTTTATTGTATCTATTCCCAGAAATCAACTTTATCTTGTTCTTTCAAAAAGCTGATCTTTATGCAGGTTGTGAATTAAAGATAGAAGAACCGAAATGAGTGTTTAAAAGATACATATACATATATTTTTAGTGGGGAGTGGAATAAAGGAGAGAAGGAAAGTCATACTAGACATGTGTTTTTTCTCTTTAGGAGTATAGTTCTCCATTGTACTGCCTTGGTAGGAATAACCATTCCCGGGGACACCTATGCCTGACTTCTTTTCTCAAATATCCCTTCTTACCCATTAGGATGCATTTTGGTATTCAGCTCTGGATATCATATTTCCTCTGTTCATCTTCCTTTTTCTGGTCCTAGATGCTATAAGGAAATTTGCAAATTACGAAGAAAAATAGACTAGGAATATCCAAACTGGGAAAGGAAGCTTATATTTTTAAAAAACAATGCCAAGTTTTTTGCTTAATTATGAAGGAAAGTTCTTTGCAAATTATACTTTATTTAAAAATTGTTTTTAGTCTTTAATTGAATTAAAGACCCAGAATGAACATGAGCCAGAGCATTCAAAGAAGAAAGTTTTAACCCCCATAAAGGAGAAGACACTTACTGGGCCAAAATCACCAACAGTGTCCCCTGTTCCATCTCACAACCAGTCACCTCCAACAAAAGATGATGCAACAGAAAGTGAAGTGGAAAGTTTACAGTATGATAAGGACACCAAACCAAATCCAAAAGGTAAGGTTTTTTGTTGTTTGTTTATAGATCTTTGAGGTATTGCATTTTGCAGCCATCTAAAAAATGACTATGAGAACTTTCATGAGTTATAAGTAAAAATTGTGGGTTTGTTAAGAACCAATAAGGCTGGGCACGGTGGCTCACGCCTGTAATCCCAGCACTTTGGAAGACCGAGGCAGGTGGATCACCTGAGGTTGGGCATTCGAGACCAGCCTGACCAAGGTAGAGAAATCCCGTCTCTACTAAAAATACAAAATTAGCCAGGCGTGGTGGTGCATGCCTGTAATCCCAGCTACTCGGGAGGCTGAGGCAGGAGAATTGCTTGAACCCAGGAGGTGGAGGTTGTGGTGAGCCAAGATCGCGCCATTGCACTCCAGCCTGGGCAACAAGAGCGGAACTCCGTCTCAAAACAAAAAACAAAACAGTAATGTGTGGAAATATAAAAAATTTCAATGCAAAGTCATTGCAATCTATCTAACTTCAAAATATAATTCTCTAAATTAACAGAATTTTTTATTTTACTTGTACACTGGAAATATCCTATTCAATAGACATTAAATAATATAGTTTTTGCAAGTAGATTTTTTAAATGATTAGATTCTTAAATATCTTGAAGTTTGGAGAAAACAGTTGTTAACTGCCTCTTATAGTAAACTCATAATAACCATTTTTGATCCTGAAGTTAAGAGAGAGTCTAAGAATGCATATTTATCTGATTTAATAAAATTTTTCCATCCATTGCAGTTATAGTTAGTAGTGTAAATAGTAGTGGATTAGGAGTTAGATGTCTTTGCTGTAAGTTACATCTCTGTCACTGAGTGGCTGTGTGACTTCGGCCACTCACTAAGTATCTCTGATCTCTAATAGGTTGGACTAGATATCTGTCTTTTTAAGTTTTAGCTTTCTGTTATTTTAAATATGCCTAAAATAACCAAAATTACTGTAAAAAGGTGATGTCATTATATCTCAGTAAGTCTCATATACAGCCCTTCAAATGTTAAGTTATGTGCCTCTTGGAAATAAGTTAGTGCCTTCTAGGCTGCAGTCATGTATATTTCTCTATTGGTTCTGTACGTTTTCTATATGTATTGAGAGTAAGCTCTTTTTTCACACAATTCTAGAATGGAAATTAAAACCTGGGTTATTTTTGTGTGAGTTACTTTTAAGATACTTATACCTCAATTCATATGTTCATGAGACAAAATAGCCCAATTCCTGCTTAAAGGTAAATGAGATGATAGCCTTAAACTATCTGTACAATTTAAGAGAAACTGTTAGCAAGTGTGATTATTTTGTTTTATTTTATGTTCATTTCAGCCAGTTCTTCTGTACCTGCTTCACTGGCCCAGCTAGTGACTACATCCAATGCTTCAGAAGTAGCTTCAGGACAGAAGATTGCTGTACCAGCAACATCACATCATTTTTGCTTTTCAATAGACTTAAGGAGTATACATGCCTTGGAGATTGGTTTTCCAATCAACTGTATATTAAGGTGTGATTTGATTTTGTTTCAAAGTATTATTTTCTGAAGAGAAAGGACTTTCCTGTGTTTGGGGAATTGCAGAGAGAAATGTCACCAAAGAAGTTATAACATTTGTTAAATCAGTGGACTAAAAGGGGGTAAGGCTATATCCTAATGATTTTGAATTCAAACAAGGGTAGCATAGTAGTAGGAGAGGTAACTGTCTTATTATTCTGATATAATAATTGTAGGCATTTATAATAACTTATTCTAAGTAATATAATACATGTATGTATTTTGATAAACATACATAATATGCCATATAAAGTACAGTGCCTCTTAAACTTGAAAAGTGCTTTTTTTCTGGAAAAAGTATTACTGGTCAAAATAATAATAATGGTCAAAAAAAAGTAATAATAATACTAGTCAAAGTATTACTGGTCAAAAAGGTAGTGTATTATCTGATTTTTCTATAAAACTGTATTATAATGGGAGCTCATATTCCTAATACCTCCATTTCATAGCTATGAATCTAAACACCATACTTAATCAGCTGTAAGTGGAATGTGTCTACATTGTTCTATATTAAGAATTTTATATAATATATATGTCAGTTAAGTAGTTTTACACAATAATTTGTTTTTAATGATGTTACATTTTTATAGTCTTTTGTGCCCGAGATATAAATTAAATATAATACAATAATGTATTTAGTTTGGGGTAGTTAGCATCTCCTCATAAATTTTTTGGGAACAAGCATTAGCATTTGCAAAAGTTGAGGAAATAAATTGTTACAGTCCACTTAACACTCTTCATAGAATTCATTTGATACGGACTAATAGTTCGGTCTTTGAATCATTTTAAGGCACTTTAAAAATGCTGGCCACTTAACTTTTTCTGTTGATAAATTTTCATACCATGCTCTGTATTGGTATGAAATTGTAGTTTGCAGCTGTGTCATGGAATTGGTTAGGTAACACTGGTATTTGAAAAGTTTCTTATCTGCATGACTTCCTTTATTTATTTTTCTTTTAATCACTAAATCCTGTAGTGTGGTGGTAAGCATAGGGAGCTGAAACTCTAGGGCATTTAACTTTCCTCGGAAATGACATGATTTAAATGGATATATAATTATATAGGAATTGGGTGACTACATAGAATTCTTCTTGTTGGAAAGCAGTTTTTACTAATAGTGTTTAAATTTTAGTTCTCATATATGAATAACAAGATACAGGATTAAATTTAAATGAACATTATAATATCTTTATATTTGGCTTTAAATACAAATTAAGTTCAGCAGTAGTCAGGCATTCTTCCATTTAATCTAGCATGGCTTTGTGATGAAAGGGAGAAACAGTGTTGTTATGTCACTCTCTTGATTCATCCATAATACATTCGAATTGTTTGCATCCTTGCAAGATTACCATAATTACCAGATTACCATGAATGCATCCTTTTGGAGTTGACTAAGGGCTTTTTATCCCATAAAAAATCAGGATACTATTGTATAAAATAAACCAGGTTTACAAATAAATTTAGGAAGCATTTCTTGAATATTTATATATGGCAGAAACTGCCTGTGTCCCTGGGAGTGCAGAGATAAAAAAGGTAGGACATGTGCCGTCAAGGAACTTCTTACACAGATGACAGATTGCTATGTCTACCATGTTTCTATTAAAAAGTTGTATTTGCTCATAATATTCATATTATACTTTTTTCTAAAAAACAGACTGAATGTCATCTGTAAACCATATCATTAAGGCTTTTTTTTTTTTTTTTTTTTTTAAATTCTAGGTACTCATATCCATTCTTTGGAAGTGCAGCTCCTATTATGACTAATCCTCCTGTAGAAGTTCGGAAAAACATGGAAGTTTTTCTTCCCCAGTCTTACTGTGCATTTGATTTTGCAACTATGCCTCATCAGCTGCAAGACACCTTCTTAAGGTAATGCATACAGTGTATGTATGATATTAATTAATTTAAGTCAATTCTTGAAAATTTGTATTTTATTAAAAAGGAATTCTTATAGGTTTAAATCCATAGCAGTTTATGCATTTGAGGATCAAGAAACAAATTTACTAATTATGTGTATGACATTTGTGCATCTGCTACAGGGTTTTGCATGGTTTATTATAAAGGCTCTTTTTTGATTTTCCTATCTTATTTACCTGAATTTAGATATTTTAACTTTGTTAAAACAAACTATATGTAATGAGGGGCCTTTGAAAAGTGGTCTTGCCTTTTCCTGATATAATGTGGGAAGATAAAAAGCTAAGAACTAAATATTTACTTTTTATTGTTGATTCACTGAATGAAAAAATTTGCTTTTTCTGTTTTTTTAAACCTATAACTAGAGATGTTAATCTGACTATCTGAAATGGATTCATGAAAAAATCTGAGATCTGCGAAACACCTTTTACTTTCTCAGAGTATCACAATTCAAATTTATACATTATTTTAAAAAGAATGAAGGGTAACTTAAATCTAACCATTTGTGGGAATTACAGCATTTGAAGGTTTTTATTGCATAGAAAGTGGTACAAAAAATATAATAGTAGGCCTGGCATGGTGACTTACACCTGTAATCCCAGCACTTTGGGAGGCCAACTTGAGCAGATTGCTTTGAGCCCAGGAGTTTTAGACTAGCCTGAGCAAAATGGTGAAACCCTGTCTCTACAAAAAATACAAAAATTAGCCAGCACCTGCAGTCCCAGCTACTTAGGGGGCTAAAACGGGAGGATCACTTGAGCCCAGGAGGTTGAGGCTGTAGTGAGTTGTGATTATGCCATTGCACAGCAGCCTGAGTGGCAGACCAAGACCCTGTCTCAAAAAAAAAAAAAAACAGGTATAGTCGTGAATTAAAGATAGGGATACATTATGAGAAGTGCATTATTAGATAATTCTATTGTTGTGTGAACATTGTAGAATGTACTTAAACAAACTTAGATGGTATAGCCTACTGTGCACCTAAGCTGGGTGGAATAGCCTATTGCTTCTAGACTGCGAACCTGCACAGCATGTGACTGTACTGAATACTGTAGGCAGTTGGACAAAGGTAAGTATTTGTGTATCTAAACAGAAAAGATACAGTAAAAATATGATATAATTTTATGGGACCATCATTGTATGTGAGGTTCATCATTGATGGAAACATCATTTCATATTTGGTGCCTGTGAAATTTAGCATTCAGTCTAACAATTGTGTTAGACGACATTCCAGGTAACAAAAAACATCTTTGACTCCATTGAGGGAATTCAAAGAATTTAGTTCAGAAAAGACTTTAGGTCAGAGTTGATAGGTATGAACACATGTTTCTCTCTTCCTTAGGATTCCATTACTGGTTGAACTATGGCACAAGGATAAAATGAGTAAAGATTTACTTCTGGGAATTGCGAGAATCCAGCTTTCTAACATCTTGTCTTCAGAAAAAACTCGTTTTTTAGGTTCTAATGGTGAACAGTGTTGGCGTCAAACTTACAGTGAAAGTGTGCCTGTTATAGCAGCACAAGGGTAATGCATTTCACAGAATTGGTATTTGCTTTTCTTTTCAATTCATGGAATGATTTTGATTAGTCAGCCACCACTTCACCCTTCCATAACCTCTTTTTTCTGATCCACCACTTCACCCTTTCATAACCTCCTTTTTCTGATCTTCTCTGACCTGTGGCAGCTATACCCCACTTTGCCCTTTAGCTTTCTGATACTGATTTCACCTCACAGAAGTCAAGAGTCTGTGTTACCATGGTATTGTAATATTCAGATGGCTAATTATTTTCCTTCCTCTCTCTAGCTTGAGAATTTTAAATGCAGGATCTATTTTTTTATTTTGTAATTTGAGGTTAAACTTTATAATGTATTTTATATTATTTTGCACTGGGAATGGCTAAGACTGTTTTTCCACTTAAAATATTTTACTCCTACCCCAAATCAAAAGTCTGAGGACATTATAGATATTTGGCAGTCAGAGGCAGTTTTTAAAATAATTATTGGTTTTTTGCCCTGAACTTCATTGCCACAAAGAAAAACTTGCGTTTTTTTAACATATTTTAAATACAGTAAAATATTTGTTGAATTATCCTTTCAAAATTAACAATAAAAATTTAAAATTTAACTTAACATTATATATCATATGCCCTTTATCATTAAAGATAAGACTAAAAAAAAGAGAAACAAGGCTCAGTGAAATTTTAGCTCTAAAAGTATTGAAATGTCTTTCCTTATTCCTCACCATTCATGGCCATTTTGTTTCAACTCCTATTATTGAAGAATCTTTCTTAAAAATTAGCATTTTTTTGTCGTAAGTAGAAGATAATAAAATCACTAATAATTGAAGCTATTTTAATGCTGCCCGTTTGTTATGAATATTAACTTTTATTGCCATACTTTGTAGACAGAAAGTTTTAGGAGATTTACTTAAGTGAGAACCTTAGATACTCTCAGGAGTTTCTGTCAGATACAGTAGTGCTTCATTTAACTTTATTCATTTCTTCTGAAATCTGTGAGATTAGAAGAAGAAAATACAAAAGTTGGTTAATTAAGAGTTCTAATTGTGTGAGAACCATTCATTCAAGTTTTGTTTGACCAGAGTATATTTGATTTAGACAAAACCATGGTTTTGTATTACTAGCATTTTATTTTCTTCTAATATTTTATCTTGTTCTCATTTGGTTAATGACAAATGCTGCATGCAGTTGTATGATACAAAGAGGTGCTCATTATGCTCATACTAACATATAATTATCCTAGAAGCATTGCTTATGTGCCAATTAGGCCTAGAGGCATTGCTTATGTCTAGTAAAATATTTATGAGTATGTACATCCCAGGAAAAGTAGAAAAAAGAATTCAGAATAACCAATATAATCAAGAGTAGGGGAATTGTTAAGTATATTTTACTACATAAATTCATTTGTATATTTTACAGGCAGTAAAAAAAAAATCACATTTTTAAATTAATGTTATGATGTGAGAAAATGCCCCTGATGTAAATAGGAAAACAAGACAAAACTGTATGAAGTCAGCATGCATGTGTGCATGTATATCTATATATAAATAAAACAGGAGGGAAATAAACTACATATTAGCAATAATTACCTGTGGGCAGTAAGATTTTAAATTTCACCTTTATACCTTTTAAAGCTCTCATAGGGGTCATTTTGTAGTAAATGTATGCGTGTATTTAGCAGGGTGTTTGTGATGATCAATTTATATATATATGGAAGGTGTTGAAGCCTACAGAAGTTGCTGCAGTTTCAAAAACAATAGAGTTAGGAGCAGAAAATGTTGCTTACTTCCCATTGCTAAAGCACTGGGGAAATAAAAGGAAAAATAATATAAAGTATTTCTGTGAATTTTAAGGTATTTCTTATTTTATTTGTAGATCAAATAACAGGATAGCAGATCTTTCTTACACAGTGACTCTAGAAGATTATGGACTAGTAAAAATGCGTGAGATTTTTATCTCTGATTCATCTCAGGTAAATATAATTGAATGTTATCAAATTTTTTTTAAAAGGAATCTAATGTGCATATGTGTGTGAGTGTTTAAATGTACTTTTTGGTTCATCTCTTAGGGTGTATCTGCCGTACAGCAAAAGCCGTCTTCTCTTCCTCCAGCACCTTGTCCTTCAGAGATCCAGACAGAGCCTCGTGAAACGTTAGAATACAAAGCAGCACTTGAGCTAGAAATGTGGAAGGAGATGCAAGAAGATATATTTGAAAATCAGGTTACTTTTTAAATGTTACTTTAAAAAATCTGCTTTGTCTGCTCTGTATATTTTTCCTTCTCCGTAGCAAGGTTTAATCTCTATGTTCTGTAGGTACCTTATCTAACTTCTTTGAATGTCAACAATGCTTTACTTAAAAAAATTTGAGAATCAAAAAATACCTGAAATGTGGCACCTTGGCAGAAGCCACTCAGAATTCTGTAAACTTTGTTCATGATTATTGGGTAAAATTGGGAAGTTACTCTTTAAATTTCATGTCCTCATTTGGCATGCCCTCCTGGAACCTTGCATCATTAGTCTCCAAACAAGAGTTAGAAAGCACAACCCACTGTTAGTTTTATAGTTTCCTGAAGTGAACTCAAATGGGCATTATTTGCCTCAGGCATCCTCCTTTTTTTTTTTTTTTTTTTTAGAATAAAAAAGAATGCCTGAAAAAATCATATTAGTGATCAGCATCGGTTATTTAACTGACAACTGATTCATTTATTTGACATATTTGGGGTTTTTTGGCGACTTTATTTTTCTTCCTTTTGTAGCTGAAGCAGAAAGAACTGGCTCATATGCAGGCTCTTGCAGAGGAATGGAAGAAAAGGGACCGAGAAAGAGAATCACTAGTAAAGAAAAAGGTAATAACTTGTGTAAAAGTGAGGAAGAGAAGGAAGAATATTAATGATAATATCTTGTATTTGCGTTAAAGACAGTCTCTGGAAGGAATAACTAATTTTAGTGGTGATATGTTGGCATGGAAGAAGTGAGTGGTGGCTCTGGATAGAGAAGGGAGGCGTTTCACTGTAAAGTATTTTGTGCTTTTGGAATATGCAAATGTATTACCTATTCAAAAAATATATAATATAGGCCAGGTATGGTTGCTCACACCTGTAATCCCAGCACTGAGGGAGGATTGCTTGAGGCCAGGAGGTTGAGACCAGCCTGGACAACATAGTGAGACCCCCATCTCTTAAAAAAAAATATGTGTGTGTGTATATGAATATACAAAAATGAATAGAGAAAAACCCTGCTGATGTATAAAAAAGAAATAAAAGCACATTTCAATATATATAAAACTACATATTATAATCTGTAAGTTAATAGAATGCCTCAAACGTTTAAGCTATTTTTAAGAATTATGAAATAAATTACATTTTTAAAAATGATAACATGAGACCATCTGATTTTATTCCTGAAGCAAAAGCTTAATATTTATCCATTTACACTGAAGTTATTAAATAAAACAACCCTAACAGACTTTCTTCAAATATTCTATTAATAATTTTAGGACTTTAGAAATACTCTTATTAGTGGTTAATCAGTATTCAGCTTCAGATTTGAGGGGATGGCTCTACAGGGCTCCAGTGCTCCTTCTCTCTATAACCCCCTCCTCTCATCAACTCTAGTTGCCTCAGCCTCTCTGGTCTCCATTCCGTTTTCTCAGCTCAGCAAGATTGCTAGTGTCTGTTTGGGTTCCCCTTCCTTGAGCTACTACAGTCTTCAGGCAGTAAGCTAGATATATTGTAGTGGTTGCCTCATTTATTTCTCACCTTTTAGGGATCATTGTCCTGTGCTGCCTGTTGCCCAATGTCTAAAAACAGTTGTTTCATAAATGTTGTTTAAGTTGTGTTTATAAAGGAGGGCCATTTGTCTTTTATGGGTGGAAACAGAAGTACACAGGCCTTTGATTTTAAAATAACCAAATCAGCTTTTTCTAACTTAATTCTCACCATTAAAAACTTGAATAACCAGTGAACTTTTAAAAAAGCTGAAAGACAAAAATAAGAGTATTTCAAAGTCTCTATTCTTTAGAAACGTTCAGATAACCAAAATTACAATAATTAGAAGCCCTGACATACATTTTAACATTATGCGAGTTATCCTGTTATTAAGTGAGTTTCATATTAAGTAATATTTACAGACCTCACCTATTAGATATTCATTGAATCTGGGGGAGCTGGAAAATACCATTTTAATTTTTAAAATTTTTAACCTAGCCTTTAAGACAAGATGAGTTTATCCTTGAATCATTTCTCTTCATTGTGTTGAAGAGTATTTTAGTATTGAGGTCTGCAAAATTCAAATCGGGAAATACTTGAAAAGTTAATAAAATTACTAGAACCGTGACAAATTCACTTTGTGCCATAATTAAACTTTCTGTGAAAACTCACCAAGTAATTTTTGGTTTGTTGTCATTTTGGTAATAATGATCTTTTCAGCTAAAATTTGTAATTGGTTTCCATTTATACACTTCTACCCTTTCAGCCTGAAATGATGAGTTCCTGGCTAGTTAATAACTCCAGTCAGAAAACAATATGATGCCTACATAATAAGTGTTTGTGCTGTTTATTCAAATTAGTCATATGATAAAGGTAGATCTGAGATTGAGATTTGCCATTTTCTTTCAACCTAAGTGCATTTTTGAGACCAAATACTTTAATTCATTTGTCTTAAAGTATCCTGTCTTGCATGGGATCAGTTTTTCTTTTAAATTTTATCAACCACTACAAAATCAAGTCAGTAGTGAGAAAAAAAAGTTGTTTTTCAGTATGATGAAATATTTTAAAGCTAAATACCCTGAGACTCTCACTATAGTATTTTTTAAATGTCAATTATATGTGAGCCTTTTCGTTTATTTACCTGATTTGTCTTAAAAAACGATGTATAACTTCTTTCACACTTTGAAAATTTACCTGAAGGAGTAGATATATACGTGGTTCTTGTTCTGCCCTCTGGAGCAACTGAGATATACTCTGTCTTACATATGACTGCCTGTCAGATAGCTGAAGATAGTCATTACCCACAGAGAAGGAAGACATCAGTTCTACATAAGGAAGTGTTCTGTAGATAAGATCATGCTTTCACTTTGGTGAAGATTAGTGGATATTGCCAGGTAGACTCAAAGGGTATTCCGGACACAGCCCCTTGAGGAAAAGGCAAAGAAGTTTGAAATACACTCTGCATTAAGAAAATTATATGTAGTTTGATGTTGGAAGAGGGGAGGAAAGAGTGTGCCTCAAGAAATAAGGTAAGAGAGGTTGATACCCTGGAGAATAAATGATCTCGTAAATCCATTATGTAGAGTTTAGACTAGATACTGTAGGCTTTTCTTAGCCAGGCCTTCCTGAGAGAATGAAGCCCTTAATACCCTAAGTGATCCATTATTGGTAATAAATTAACTTTATCCTATGCATCTAAAATGGTAGTTATGTACCATTTTAGGAGAGGATGGAGAAAATAATTAAATCATTTTCTGTGTTTTGTGGTTCAGATGATAAACCCTGGTTGAGAACGGTAGAAATATCAGAAATTTTTTAAATGAAGATTTTTATATAAAATAATTAGGTTTTCATTCTATAACAATAATTCTGATGGAGGTACAGTGGCTAGAATAGAGGAATGTGAAACTAAAGTCCAGGAGACCAGGAAAGCAATATGTATAAAAAACGAAAGCCAAAAACTAATAGTAGTGAAAGGTTATGGAGAAAAGATGGGTGGTAAAGAGATGATTTTAAGGAGGTTTAGGACCTCAAGCGCTAAGACGTCCTCACGGCTGCTCACAATCCTACTGCTTTCCCTAGTCAATTCATTTTCTCACTCGCCAGAACAGTTAGTTTTTGTCTTAACAAACAATCCTTCCTCATCCTTACCCGGTTTATCTCTGTCTTTGAAACACTTCCTCTATTTGGCTTCTTTGACTATATTTTTTTTTTGGACTACACTTTTCTACTGTTGTGTTCCGCTGTCTTCACTGGTCTCTCTTTCCTAATTTTCATGCTAGATTCTCCTCATGTTGGCTTTATTGGCTTGTCCCACAGCCCAGTCCTCAAATACCATCCTTTCTTCTCTCTGTATACTCACTCCTTGGATGATGTCATTCACTCTCTTGGCATTATATACACCAAGACACCCACCACACGCACCCCCATCCCTGACTTCTTCCCTGGACTCCACACTTGGCTATTTAGTTGCTTACACTACATATGCGTTTCAAATTTAGCAGTCTTTTGTTTCCATCCTCTGTAAATTTAGATTAAGTCTAACATACTAGAGGATGTGGAAATCATAATATGTGAATAACAGTTAAAATTTGTGTTTATCTTGGAGAAGAAAAAAGACCAAGAGGAGGAAATATGACCATCACCAGTCTCAAATTCATAAAAGCACATTTTTTTCTTTGAATTGGCGGATGTAATTTGTGACTTTCCTATTCTTAGGTCCTCTGTTTCAGTGAAATGATGTGTATTTTTGAATTTGTGTGTGTTTTAAGTTTGGGAGAAGGTAGGTAACTTTTTTTTTTTTTTTTTTACTATATTTTAGGTGGCTGAATATACTATTCTAGAAGGAAAACTTCAAAAAACTCTAATTGACTTGGAGAAGCGAGAGCAGCAGCTTGCTAGTGTGGAATCAGAGGTATGTCATTCGTCCATTGTATTTTTTTTCAGCATAGAGGGGTTTATTGCAAAGTAGAAATACTATTTTAAAAGTTAGATGCAAAAGAGTCCCGAGAGAGAAGGGACTCAGGATGGGCTGCTTATAAGAATGAGACAAGCAAAGACTGGAATAGAGGCACTCCATTTATGAGAGTCTTACATAATTATTTACAAAGAGGTGGAAAGTGGTGTTATTAGTAAGTATGTCATCTATCATATATCTTTATTTCACAGAGTCTATATATGAAATTCATACTGTTTATTACTTTGTGCTCTATATATTTCATGAAAATTGTCTTTTAGACATGCAGAAAACTGCTATTCAAACTGCTATTCAGCATATCTTATATATTAAGAATAGGTCGAAAAGTATGTCAGAGTGTTTAAACTTAATAGTGTAGATTTGTGCCTAATACCAAGGCTGTATTCTATGCGATTAGGCAAGAATCAGAAGTTTCTAAAAGAAGAAAAGAAACTTGGGCATATTTGCTTACACACTTAAAAAGGTTTTATTCAAATGGAAATGTTAAGTGCTTAGGGTTTTCAAGTGAATTTATACAAATTGTTTATGGATTTTTATATGTGTGTATAATAGTATTAAACAATGATTGAAAACTTATAATGGTACACTTGAACATTAACTCTCTAATAACTAAAAAAGATATGAAAATAAATTTGTAAATATCCTCAACATTTGAGTGTATAGAAAGATATTGGAATATCGAATAGTATAATGCAGCTAGCAATAAACCAACCTCTTAAAGATGCCTTTGTTTTAAGCTTCAAAGAGAAAAAAAGGAACTGCAATCAGAACGTCAGCGGAACCTGCAAGAACTGCAGGACTCTATCCGTAGGGCCAAAGAGGACTGTATTCACCAAGTAGAACTAGAAAGGTTAAAAATCAAACAGCTCGAAGAGGATAAACACCGCCTTCAGCAACAGGTTGGATAACGTACTTGTCATCTTTTTATGCTTAGTTTATTTGCATTCTAGTAATAAGAGAAATAGTTCACTAACTACTAAAAAGTGGTAAAATTCATAGTAATTTAGACTATTAATCATATTATTGCACTGAGATTCAAATATACTTTAAGTTGGATCTTTTTCTAACTATTTTGTATGAAATTGTGCATATTTCAGGTCATTTCCAACTTAAATCTTTTTCTGATAAGTCTTCTTTAAGCAAATATAGATATTCTTCATGTAGCACTGAACCAAATTCAGTTAAGGACCAAATTTAGTTAAGATCCAAATTTCATGAGAGAATTGTCTCTGTTCCTATTTCCTCTCCTCATACTCAGTAAAACTGATTGGTATCATCAACACTGTTGTCCTTGTTTTTGTATTTTCTCTTCTCAACTTCCACATCACCACTCTCCCTTGTTTTTCTCTACCTTTCTGGCCACCCTCAGGCTCTTTTGCAGGCTTGTCTTCCTTTAGCCGTTACATGTTGGACTTCCTCCAAGCTCAGGACTTACTTTCTGCAAAAACAATCTTATTCGTGATTTCATGCCCATGATTTCAGAGACAGTCTACATCTGGGACTTTCACATGCAGGGTCATATCCAAGACCTTACCTTTGCCCTCTAGACCCATATATCTGATTGGCTTTTTGGCATCTCTGTTCAGATGTCTTAAAGGCATTTAAAACCCACTGTGGTCCTTCTCTCCATACTTGACCTTCTACCTGTAAATGTTCTTTGTTTCAGTGATGGGCCCCTCTAATCTGCTCCTCATGTTGTAGCCAGAATGATATTTTTGAAATTGGGAATCTTGATACTCTCCTCTTTAAAACCTTTCAGCATTGTCTTGTTGCTCATAGGAAAAAGATCAGAATCATTGCCTTGTCCTGCAGGCCTCTGCATAGATCAGAGCCTGTCTCTCTGACTTCATCTCCCACTCTTGTGCCTGTGCTGTGTACTCTCTGCCCGTGCTTGTCTGCCCTCAAGTTCTCAGGCATGCCATGCTCACTTCAACCACAGGATCTTCATGTTTGCTGCATTATCTGGGCCTGGTGTACTCTGTTCCTCCTTCAGTTTTAAGCTAAAGCATCACCCACTCCTAGAAATCTTCCCTAATTCATCCTCCTCAAGTCTAGGACAAATTTTTATTTTATGGTCTCATAGGACATTATTCTCCTGTTCTTTTTCTTTATGATATGTCATATCGGTTTGTTTTTATTTTCATTAGCATGATAATTTAATCAGTATCAGATTGTTTGCTCCATAAAAACTGTTCTGGTTTATAGCTGTATCCCAGGAGTCCAGGCCAGTTGTCAGCACATAATAGGGGCTCAATAAATATTTGCTAAAAAAAAAAAAAGAATCAAGCTGTTAAAAATTAAGCTTATCTTTCTTGAAAAATTCCAATGTAGATTAGATATGTATGATGAATGCCTCCCAAGTCTTCAGTAAATTTTCTCATGAACAGTTTCCACAGCAGCACAGAGCCATTATTTAGGTGGTTGTAAAAATATGAATTTGATTGTTACCAAGTAGGGTAGTCTTGTTTAAAATACAAAAGATAAAGTTGTAAAAGTGGGCAATTATGATGGGATTCACCAGTAATGCTTCTCTTCTTCCAATTATCAGGAAGATTCACCCATCTAGAACAAAGGCTCTTAACACATATTAGAGTCACCAGGAGAGCTCTTAAGAAATACACATATCTGTACCTTGTCTAAGACTGGTATAAGCCAGGCACAGTGGTTCACACTTGTAATCCCAACACTTTCGGAGGCTGAGGTGGGAGGAGTGCTTGAGCCCAGGAGTTCAAGACTAGCCTGGGCAACATGGCAAAACTGCATCTCTTCAAAACATATAAAAATTAGCCAGGCATAGTGGTGCACACCTGTGGTTCCAGCTACTCAGGAGGCTGAGGTGGGAGCATCACTTGAGCCCAGGAGGTCAAGACTCCAGTGAGCCATAATCACAACACTGCACTCCAGCCTGAGCAACCGAATGAGACGGTGTCTCAAAAAAAAAAGAAAAAGACTTGTGTATGGTGTTGTATATGGTGTAGTTTACTTCTTTGTAGGAATAACTAACTTTGGTGGGAAGAACTGGTATTTTGGAAAAATTACTTGGAGCACACTTGTATTCTTGAAGCACTGTTCTAAAACCTGGGGGAAAAAAAGGGGGTAGGAAGGACAGGAGAAGTTTCCAAGATGCCCAGATTGCTAAGTCCATGACTGTATACATTTCACGTTTTAGGTGTGGAAAAGCTTTTTGGGTCCTTACCTTGACCATGTTACATGTATTATACACACAATTCTAACTAGACTGGTAGAAGGGACAGTTACACTGTCAGTGAGAGCTGATGAAGATGAAGTATCTGTACTCAAATAGATTATAGCAGTCACCAGAACTCAAATCTGTAGTTTGTGGATCACTTAGCAAAGGAAAAAGAGCCCAACATGCCTTAATAGCTTACTGCTTTATAGCCCAATTGTAACAAGAATTGTGTATGATAATGTTCTGGAATTGTGAAGAAACTACCAAATTTAATATTTTCTTAGCTTTTGTTTAAAACAGAAAAGTGAGAGACTTTAGAAAGGTTTCTGTTCAACTTTGGATGTTAAAAAATAGGTAAACTTCTGTCATATGGACAGTTCTCATGTATGGAACACTACATTACCTAAACATGCTAGATAAATCCTAATTATTACTGATGATTTCCATTTTTGCCACATATTTTCTTAGTATTAATATTTCAGATTTAGGTAAGTCCTATGCCTTAGGGAAGAGACAATTGGTTTATATAATGATGGATAGTCATAGCGGTATATGTTTTTGGAAAACATCTTTAGCAATCTTTGTTCGCATTTAAAAAAAAACTCATTCAAAAAAGAACATCTTCGTACCTTTTTAAAAATTTTTGAAACTGTTCTAAGAGAAATTTGAATGTTTAGTCAAGGCTATCTTGTCATTTTGTTTTTCAGGAAGTATTGACTGCTTTAATGAAAGCATTATTCAAGGGGATGAAAAGGTCTGAAGTTAGTTTTTGCCCCGCTACTGACTTAGCTCACTAGGTCTTTGACATTGCCTCAATTATTTAGCTTCTTTGACTTTCAGTTTTTGTTGTTGTTGTTGTTGTTGTTGTTTTTACCTATTAGTATGAAGGAATTGAACCAAATAATCTTTAAATTACATTAACTTGTAATAGTATTTGAATTTGTAAAATTCATATGGTACCAAACTGTAAAAACAAGAAATGCTACATTAAAATTGAGCTTATTTTTATTTACATGGATATTTATCTGGCATATCTGTAATGCTCAGTCTTTTTTTGGCAGGGGGTCAGGATTATTCATTTTTTTCACATTTTATTTTCATTACATTGGGCTGGGTAGAGTCATGCACCAGAGTACTGATGATTATGGTATTCTTTTGCTTTCAAACAGAATTGAGATCCAGGTTGTAACTGTCTCTAAATTCAAGATCTGGAGCAGAATCAGCAGAGGTTGACCACTGCTGCTGGGGGCTGGGGGTCTCTGGGAAAAAGGAAACAGGCATGGAGCTGACTGTGGAGGCCTTATAGTTCCAGGGCTCCATTGGGGTACCCGAGGATCTTCCATGTGGCTCAGAGGAGCCCTTCAAAACACAAGCCTGGAGTTAGAACTCAGGAATTGGAAGGACAATCACATCTGTAAAGAGAGAACCTGAAAAGATGTCATCCTTCCATCTGTATCCCAGAATCCTGTGTAGGCCTTCTCCATAAGTAGAGGGCCAGGGTTGGCTTGTTGGCCTCAAAGTAGTCTAGTAAAAGTCTGCAAACTTGTCACCATCTGGAGACACTCTTGCCAGCTCTTCTTTATGCTCCTGTTCTTTGGACACTGGGCAATTGCTCTAGACTATTCCTGATTGTTCGTCCTCAACTCTTCAAATTCAAGAAATTTCCATTCTTTTAGTAAACTGGATCTCCCGGTCACTCCTTGATTTAATTAATTGGGCTGATGGTTTTTCTGGTTTCTTTTTCCTTCTTTGTTTTCTGAGGATTTCTAGTAATTTTAGCCTGTAATCTCTTTCTCTGTTTTTATTCCTGAGTCTTCTCCTGAGATTCTTTTCACTGTAGCTGTAGGGCCTAATCCTGGGTTGGCAGATAACTTGCACTTACTCTGCTCTCATGGAATCCAGGAGAGACAGAGTTGCCTTAGTGTTGAAATGTGTTTGTTCCTCTCTGCTTCTGGTGGTCTCTTGCTGAATTTTTTCTTATATGCGACATCTTAAGAAAAGTGTAAAGAAAGTGTTAGGATTTCTGAAGGTAACTTTTACATTTGACATTTGAGTTTTACCAAAAACATTTTCATGATACCAGTTTGATAAGAAATTTCATACTCTTCAAAAGTTTTTGTAGAATCAGTTGATTTACTGAATTTTTAATTACTAAGGATCTTTATTTTCCTCATTGTACTTTATCAGTTTTCCAGATTTTCTACTATGAGCATGCTGTAGAATAAAAAAAAAGACCTTGTTGAATTGAATACTTTATTGTTAAACTTTGCATATCATTGTTTTGAAATGGCTAAACTTTTTTTAATACAGCTTAATGATGCTGAAAATAAGTATAAGATTTTGGAAAAAGAGTTCCAACAGTTCAAGGACCAGCAAAACAACAAACCAGAAATCCGTCTACAGTCTGAAATAAATCTTCTCACCTTGGAAAAGGTACACATGTTAATTTTGTGCAGTTTAACTAGTCCCAGTGATTAATTTATAAAATCAATCAATAATGTGTATACAATATAATAATGTTTTGCTGTAGTGTTCTGATGTCAAATAAGAATGCATTAGAGAATTAAAGGCACGTGACATTATTAGTACTTGAATTTCTTGGCTTATGTCAGTTGTAGCTTATACAGATTAGAGTCCTTGGTTGCAAACATCAGAACTGACTAACTCTAGTAAGGAAGGGATTTACAAAACTTTCAGGAGGCTAAAGAAGTAGTTTCAGAATATGGGCAGGATAGGGAAAGCAAGGCATAGCCAAGATCCTGTCAGAAAACAGTCTACTTCGGTTGCTCCTTTTGGTGCTGTCACTGCCATGTCACTGGATTCCCTACCCTCTGATTCTAATGTCATGCTGTTGAACTGTTCTGTGGTAGCCATTGTGAATATTCTCTCCGTGTATCACCCCTGTAGATTCAATGTCCTAGATAGGAGTATTCATTTGAACCACAGACTTGCACTCTAGCTCTCAGCTAGGAAGAAGGAATAGTTGTCTTATTTTGTTTTCTGTGGTTGGAAGCCATGTTCTTCTCATTTAAATTGAGATTCCTCCACAAACAATGTTCAGGTGCTAGGCATTAAAAATGTGTAATGTCCAATAGACAAGTTTGACCATATGTGTTCTTGCATTTTATGATTTAATAACTTTTAGGCATGATTAAAAAAATATAGCAGTCAGAGGAAAATAACACAGGTAATACATAGGAAAATTACCTTTAAAGTTTAAGGATTTAATTGTGCCAGCCATTCCCATCTTTTCCTACTCAGCTTTGTGTTGAAGGCTTCCTTTCCCTCATAGACACGCCACCAGGGGGCACTAGCGGAAGACCAGTGGGTGGGAGTTGGATCTATGTTGGGAAGTTTTTTCCATCTCTCTCTACTTCCTTTATTTTCGCTGGCAGTAGTTGAATCTTTTTATGGTTCCATGTCCCATCAGAGAGCCCTTCTCTCCAGCTTCCTTCAGGCCATCCTCCCTGTGGTTCTAGTTCACTGGACAACAGAGCTCCGGTGAGCATTTCCTTTGGGCACTGATATAGTTTGGCTCTGTGTCCCCACCCAAATCTCATCTTGTATCTCCCATAATTCCCAGATGTTGTGGGAGGGACCCGGTGGGAGATAATTGAAACATGGGGGCAAGTCTTTCTTGTGCTGTTCTCCTGATAGTGAATAAGTCTCACAACATCTGATGGCTTTAAAAAATGGGAGTTTGCCTGTACCAGCTCTCTCTTTGCCTGCCGCCATCCACATAAAATGTGACTTGCTCCTCCTTGCCTTCTACCATGATTGTGAGGCTTCCCCAGCCACGTGGAACTGTGAGTTCTCCATTAAACCTCTTTCCTTTGTAAATTGCCCAGTCTCAGGTTTGTCTTTATCAGCAGCGTGAAAACAGACTAATATAGGCATCATGTTACATTAAAAAAGTTTCAAATGTTGGAACATTTTAGATTTTTGGATGAGAGATGCTGAACCTGTAATAGTAGTTTATAAAATAGGGCTGATAAGAGAATGCTGGAAGTAAAGGTAATTTTTGGCCATATGGGGGAATGTCTTAGATGCTAAGTTAAAGAATTCAAATTTTATCTGGTAAGCAAAGTCAAATATTACTCCCAAGTTTGTAAGATTTGTGTAATGGATGTTAATAGAAATGAGTTTTGATGAATTGTAATCAGAAAGTAACATTGGGGACTGGGTATAGTGGCTCATGCCTGTAATTCCAGCACTTTGGGAAGCCACGGTGGGCAGATTGCTTGAGCTCAGTTCAAGACCAGCCTGGGCAACATGGAGAAACCCTGCCTCTGTAGAAAAATATACATATATAATATATATATAAAATATATATTATAATACATACATTATATATGTGTGTATGTATGTATATAGGTATATATGTGTATATATATATACACACACACACACATATATGTATATATAACATATATATACACTAGCTGGATGTGGTGGCACATACCTGTTGTCCCAGCTACTCAGGAGGCTGAGGTGGGAGGATCACTGGAGCCCAAAGAGGTTGAGACTACAGTGAGCCATGATCCCACCACTGCACTTCATCCTGGGTGACAGAGCAAGAACTTATCTCAAAAAAACAAAAACAAAAACAAAGTAGCATTAGGGAGTGATAGACTTCCATGTTTTGGAAAATGGACTAAGGAATAACAGTCACAGCCAAGAGTACTTTGAGAGAAGTAGTGTCTGGTGTCTGCTAAAGTGTGGCAGGGAGAGAAAGACTATGGAATAGCTTCAAAATCTTTTATTTAATAAATCCAGCACTCAAATCCTTAAAGCTTATGTTGAGATACTATAATCTGATAGTAGGCTGTGGAATAGATTCCTCTAGGAACTTTTAATACTTACTGTATACTTCTTATACTTATTTCAGAGCTACCATAATGCAACCTAGATTCTAAACTTTCCAAGGCAGAAACCATGTTATAGCTATTTTCATATTACCTATTCTTAAGACAGCACCCTGTACCTTATAGCACTGAGTAAACATTTGTTATTCATGATGATGAACCAACACCATGTATGCTACTCAGAATTTTCATATATTCATTTATTCAGCAAAAATTAATGGAGGGCATGTTGTCATCTTGGTACAAAATTGTTTTGAGATGTTAAGTTGCTGCTAATCATTTCACCAGCTATTTATTGAGTACCTTCTATGTTTCTAGGATTATAGTTAGTCTTGCATTGAACAAGACAGATTCCTCAGGGAGATCCATTATAGAGGAGAGAGTAAAAAAATAAATGAATGAGATCATTTTTGTTTATGTCAAACATAAAAGTAATAAAAAAGGTGATGTCATTGAATGTGGCAATGTAGGTGGCCTGTCAGGAATAGATACCACCCCACATAAGGTGGTTAAGGAAGGCCTCTTTGAGGAGGGTAACTAACATTTTAATTGGGATCTGTGAGAAGAGAAGGAGCTAGCAATGTGAAAAGTTATAGAAGGTGTGTCCTGGGAACAGCTGCAAAGGAACTGAAGTGAGGTTAAGCCTGGATTGTTTGAGGTTGAGGACGAAGGCCATCCTAGAGCATGAGGGAAGGAGAATGTACAAGATGAGGTTCAAAGTATGGGCCATTAAAGCCATGACAAGGAGTTTAGGTTTTTATTCTAATAGAGTTATAGTATAATAGTAGTTAACAGTATGAATATGAGCCACATCACCTTGGTTCAAATCCTAGCTCTGCCACTTAGTTTACTTCTCTGTACTTATTTCCATATCTTTTAAATGGAGGTAGTAAGGTGATAAGGTTGATAACAGAGTTAAATGACTCAATATTTGTAAAATGCTAAACATAGAACCTAGGACATTGTTTTACTTAAATTGTATGTTTGTAAATATAAAAGTTAAGTAAATAATGAGATACCATTGAAAGGTTTTAAGTAGGAGAGTAACTTGATCTTTACATTAAGGAAAAAAATTATTCATCTAGTGTGTAGAAAATATGTGTTAGAGGACAAGACCTGTCTCTTCGGCTTATGACCCATATATTCAACTGCCTACCCAACATCTTTTCTTGAATGCCTTAGAACAGTAGTTCTCAAACTTTTTTGACTCAGGGTCCCTTTATTGATAATCACTGTATTAGAAATGGGAAAAAAAAACCTAGGTAACATTTTTATGAAAAATAACCATTTTCTAAAACAAAAAATTGAGAAGAGTAACATTGTTTTACTATTTTACAAATCTCTTTAGTGTCTGGATAATAGACATCTGAATTCTTGTATCTGATTTTGAATTCACTCTGTTGTGATATTATACATCATGTAGCCTCTGGAAAACTCCAGTGTACATTTATAGAAGCATGAAAGTGGAAAAGACAAATAATCTTTTGATATTATGGAAATAGTGTCCATCTCCTGGACCCTTGGAAGTCAGTCTTCAAGATATCCCAGAATGTCCAAAACTAAACTCAGCCATCTCCCTGAAATATATTTTTCATGTAGTGTTTCTGAACTCAGTAAATGTTTCTGTAGCGTGTTAACTGCCAAGCTATCTTGGGGTACTCTTATCCCCACATTGCTTTAATTGCAAGTCTTAATTGATTCTTTTTCTTACATATTTGGTCAGTTTCTTCATTTTTCTACCAGTGAACTTGAATCCAGCTGGACATTTCCCATTTCTCTTTTGATAAAACCAAGTAGTAAAGTATTTCTGCGTTTATAAATATGAATTCTGTAGTGCCTACCAGAAATATTTGAAGCACTCATTGGATAATGTCACATGGATTCTCCCAAGTTCTATTATGTGGGTGTCTAAGAGTACTTCCATTTTACCCTGGGGAAATTTAAAGACCAGAAATCAAAATTGTAACAGAGGTGTTATCTTATTCATCCCTGAATACAGACTGGTTGACTAGGTAATATCCACAATAAAAATAAATTTTAAATGACTTTTAAAATTTCTTCCAACTATGCTTTTATCAGAAGGATAGAAATCATTAAACATATTAAAAGTATAAGCAGTACTGTGAGTTTGCCTTGAGAGAGAAAAGTACATAATTTAATTGCCTCTATTTTAGACTTAATACATTCATCCAGCATGTTTAAGTGCCTAGTGAAAAGAGGCTTTTCAGCTCTTCTGAAAATTCTTTGTAAATCTTTTTGGAGCCAGAAGAGGGCAGAATCTTATTTCTTAAAATAGTGACAAAGAGATAAATGCACAAAAAGAAAGACCCAAGTTAAAAAGTATCTGATTTAATTTGTAAGCTCTGGTTATGTCTGATTGAGAGTTTTGTTTCTTTTCTCATTACGTATTCTTTTCAGTGTAATATGCATATTCCCATTTTTTTACTGAAATTGTCTAAAAATAAGTTAACATAAACATATAGTTTTAGCAACTGTAATTGTTGATTCTTTTTACAGGTTGCATATCCCTTATCCAAAATGCTTGGGATCAGAGGTGTTTCCACTTTTAGATTTTTTGGATTTTGGGATGTTTGCATTGTATTTACCTGTTCAGCATCCAATTTTAGATTTTTTGGATTTTGGGATGTTTGCATTGTATTTACCTGTTCAGCATCGCTGTTCGGAAAATCTGAAGTCTGAGATGCATTTCTTATGTGTCATGTCAGTGCTGAAAAGGTATTGGATTTTGGAACACTTTGGATTTTGGATTTTTGGATTAGGGATATATATACATACATACATATATATATAAATATAGCTTCAATAATTGGGACTTTAAAAAATGAAATATTGAAGGCATGTAATTTAGTAGGGCCTACATAGGTGGAAAAGACTGAAGATATATTGAAAGAACATAAATATTTTTAATTAAGCTAAAATTTATGTATGTAAGAATATTTGGTGAGTATCTACTATATGCCACCCCTGACTTGGGGCAAATGGGAAAGATAAGAGAAAAATCAGAGACAGGAAGAGAAAAAGTACATTATCCCTTTGAGACTTCCTTTTGAGACTTCACTTAAAGAGTTCGTAAAGTAATTGGGAGATTACTCAGAGAGCAGTAAATGACCTTGAATAATCAAACACCAAGGAATGTGATAGAAACCATTTGGCGTTCGGAATCTAGTAGTTGTAAGACAGCTTCATGTAGAGGTAGAGTCTGAGCTGAGCCTTAAGATTTAGGTAAGCAGAGGAAAAAGAATTGGCAGCCTCAGGAAGTAAATTGGGCAAGGAGTAGGGAAGGCACAGGGGACACAAACCTGGTTGGAGTAGGTTTCCTGTTGAGGAAAGCAGGTTGAGCGGGTAGGACAGATACTGTATTTTGGAATGCTTTCAATCCTAGGTGGAGTAGTTTAGGTTTAATGCTGTAGATAAATAGTAGCTACTATAGATTTATTTAATAGTGGTTTTTACAAGATTAGTAGATAGAATAGATTTGAGGCTGGGAGGCTGGAGAGACAAAAGAACCTCATAGTCAAGATGAGTTGAGAAGAACCTGGGCTAAGGAAGTAGTGGTAGGAATATAAAGGAATAGAATTTGAAAATATTTCAAGAGAAAAATGTAGAGTTCCTTGTGACAGAATTGATCTGGGAATAGCAGATTAAGAGACAAAGACAATGCCATACTTCTAGTAAAGAACTAGAATTGTAGGTGTATCAAGAGTAGAAATAGGGAGATTGGAAACCGGTGAATTTTAATCTATGCTTTGAGTTTTCCTAGCCTCTGAATGGACTGTAGGTCCTGAGCTGAGTTTTTCTTTCAGGAGTATATAACTTGGCTTATGGTCTATTACCTCAGTCATGACCAAGAAAACCTGAAGAAAAATATAAGTACAAAGGTTTCCAGAAGTTTAAATCTACTTACAGTAAGGGCTCTTAAGAACCCAAGTCTTTGAATGCCTTGAAATTATATCAAAATTTTAGTTGTGTATATTTTTTCTGGGAATTGGGTCCATATATTTCTTTAGAATCACAGAGACATCTATATCTTAAAAAAAATAAGTTAGGAATCGTTGATTTGGGGATAGGAATGAATTAGAAGAATGAGGTTTGTGTCTCAGATTTACTTAGCTACAGGATTGTATTAAGAATAAAGAAATTATATCTATAACTATACATGTGTTTTAAGTTAGTGTGTTTTAAGTTAGTGTGACTATGCAAATACAAATTATTTTAATAATTATGGCAGAACAGATATAACCTATCCACAATTTTTTCTGATGGTGCATTGAGTATAAGTAATCCCTCTAGGTTCATCTCTGGCCTAACCCTCATTCTTGGGCTCATCTAATATACTAGACCTTCTCTCCAAGACCCATGGACATGATTGCTTGTATAATTGAATACTATCCTCTTATCCCACAGTGATAAAAATATTTTTTTCTTTTCTTCTGAGGTATGGCCTCTTGTTAAATTACCAAGTAGTAGGTATACATCTTTGGGGCATAAGTAGAAGAGATCATCTTCAATAATCTCAGCAGTATTATTCAACTTAAGATGCTTGAGTCTAGTTGTGAAATGTCAACACATTTAAATCCAAGCACTAGGGATTTGTAAAGCAGAAAAGACCTTGACTCCATGTAGTCATATATTACTGCAGAAGATGTTCTGCACTTTTGTGAAGGGAATTTGACCATCTGTTTTTCCTTTCATTTTATTTTCATATATTTATGGGAAAAACTAGACTTGATATAAAAATTAGACCGGTTCAGAGTAACAGTGTATTACTGTAATTCAAGCAGATTATTACATTATCACTTAATAGTAAAACTGTCTGTTGGCTACATGAATTTGTTTGGTACTTGGTTTGAAACACTGAGTACATTCCAAAACATAGCCAAGTTGGCTTCAGTTCATGTACAACAGATTGCCTGCTGCAAGTATAAATAATCATATTTTTTAATTGAATCACTTTAGTGTTTTCTTTATATATTTGAGGAAAAATAGAAAATAGAATGTGTGTTATTAAGGAACATTATTTTTCTTACTCTTGGCTTTATGTTAACATTCTTAAAATATTTTTGACTTTGTACTCTTTCTTAGTAAACTGCTTTCTGATAAAACATTTCAGTGTTTTCAGAGTTTCATGATTTTGCCAAAATATAGTTATAAAAGCATCTCTACTGGCTGTCTTCATAAGACAAAATTCCATATGAAGATAGGCCTCCAAAAAGAAAATTTGGCTTCTAAGATTTAGAGTTACAGCTAAATTGGAATGTTAACAGTTAGAACTGCTTTTTGTAAAAAATGAATGTATTTCTCACTCTATGATCTTTATATAATATATATGTTTAAATACATTTATAGTAACTGTCTGGAGGTTAAGACTAATTCAGTTCTTTTTAGGATAGACTGTTAGGCAATAAAAATAAGACTATATTTTAAACAAGAAAATGTTCATGTGCCATAATATTTATAGTAAATTATATAACAGTTTTAGATGATGTCGTATGTTACACTGTATAAACTCTTTTCTTAAGCCAGACTCTTTGTATATATTATCTTTCAGTGGTTGTACACAGTGGTATAGTGTTTCACTTGATATGATTTTAATCACTGTTAGGTTGAACTTGAAAGAAAGTTGGAATCTGCAACTAAGTCTAAACTGCATTACAAGCAGCAGTGGGGACGAGCTTTGAAAGAACTTGCCAGACTTAAACAGGTATGTAGTTTATAGCTTATTCTTTTTATATCTTTTTCCCTTGTTTCTTTGCAAATTCGTATGTTTGGCAATATCTGTTATGCTCTGATGTCTGCATTTGAATATTGCTATTTTTTGAGATTAGAGGCTTTTATAAAAATATGTTATAAAGGCAAGATCCTTCTTTTTTATAGTTAGAAACTGAAACAATTATGTCTTTTAAAAAAAATTGCCAGCTATCCCTTTCCTCAGAAGAAACTGGGAATAATTTATTTTACTTTCACTTATAAAACAACCACCCTTTTCTTTCTTAGGATTAAACTTTCCACTGGGAGTGCTTTTTAGGATGAAATTTAAGGATAACTTGAACATTTTCTCAAGTTTAAGAATATATTTTAAATGTTATTCTTAAGACACAGTAATTCAGTCAAGAAAGGGAATTATTGGGAATTTTTGCATGATTTTTAAAGTGTTTAAAAACTTTGATAGAAGTTTTCTGAATTATTATATTTTTTTCTTTCCTGCTACCAATCAACAAATGCTGTTAGCTTCAGAAGAAATTAATCTTAATTTTGGACACATTTGATCTTAATCATTTGAAGAAATTATGAATAAGATTTTTATTTTGAATCTAACCCTAACTGACCTAAATCTTTTAAAGATTAATAATGGTTAGTTTATTCTAAGTTCACTTTTCTTTAATGTGTCAGTTTTATTCTGAATGAAATTTCACACATAGGGTCTTTCAGGTTTGTATTTTTCTTAATATGTCTCCATAACTGTCAAATACTATTAAACATCGTTATGGTATTATACTAAATGCTTACCACTTTCATGGAGTACTACCAGTCTACATGAGAATTAAAAACTAGGGTAGGTAGTTTACCCTAACATAAATGATAGAGGAGTTGGGATTGTAAGCATTACAAATGAAGACAGGTAGATATATATGTAAATATAAAATAATGTACCATGTGACTATATTATATAAATGTTGACAGGACTAAGGATAGACATGGGTAGTACTAAGAGTCTCCTGTATTGAAAGCAGTGTCTTACATGTACAATAAGTATAAAATAATATTATACCAGGTGTAAATATATGCAAGACATAGGCCTTTCCATCACAGAGCTTGCAATTTAGTAATAAGGAAGAAACAACTATAAATATAAAATTTACTGCCTAATAGTAAGAGCCTTGACACAGGCCATATAGAGTACTCAGGAGGAGAAAGTACGTCTATTTAATAGGAGTTGGAAAGGTGTCATAGGAGAGGAGGTATTTGTGATAGACCTCTGGAGATAGATACTTAAGATTTTAATAGAGGAATTGGTTGTGATTTAGGAAAGTAGTGGGGGAAATGTAAATATAATGAACAGAATGATCATAGCAAAGAGGCATGAAGTGGGAAAGCATAGGCT
This sequence comes from Homo sapiens, assembly GCF_000001405.40. Lineage (NCBI taxonomy): Eukaryota > Metazoa > Chordata > Mammalia > Primates > Hominidae > Homo > Homo sapiens. The sequence continues at coordinate 123,363,094 of NC_000005.10, read as the reverse complement.
GTTCTTATAAAACAGAGGAGGGCCCGTTTTCTAAGTCATTTCTGGTAATAAGGGCTGGAACTTAAGTAGTAGCAGTAGGAATGCAACAAGAAGATTCTTGTCAAAGATGATGCCAAGGGCTCAAGCTTCAGTGTCTGGTCCAGTTTTGGAAATACAGTTACTAAAAAGCTGTTTGGAGGGTGGGAAGGAGATAGGATTTGCAAATTTGGATGTTTTAATTTTTACAGAATGAAATTCGGCTACCAGTTAGAAATATGGATCTGTTGTTGGGAGAATGATTGGGCTTAAAAATAGACATAAAGGAGTCCTTTGCAGAGGTAGTGTTTAAAGTTGTGCCAGCTAGAACTTGGAATTCTTATGTTTAGGAAAGAGAAAAGAAAGCTAATGAAGGAAATAACAGCTAGAGAAAATGTGAAGATCACTATGATGATACTGTTAGAGCAATTAGCATGTCTGGAAGGCTTACTTTGTGCTAGGTGTAACACTGAGCCCTTCAGAATTTATCATTTAATCCTGACAAAGATCCCTACATAGCAGGTAATATTCCCATTTTATTAGGTAGGTGCAAAAGTGAAAGCGGCAAAAACCGCAGTTACTTTTGCACCAACCTAATGAAGAAACTGAGACTTAAAGAAGTTAAGTTGCATGTGATCACATAGGTACTAAGTGATAGACCCAGCATTGAAAGCTTTTGATGAATCCAGCCTCAGGCTCTTTCCCTTTTATGATATGGTCTTAGTCCATTGAAGTCAAGGAATGAAATAATTTCTAGGAGAAGAAAATTAGCCACTCTGACGAGAGTACTGAGGTAGGGGTCATCGTGAGTTGGTATATCCTAAGAAGGAAAATGCCATCATTGACAAGAGAGACCAGGTCTGGTAATGAGAATTAAAGTGATTTTGAGAGAGAAGCAGCTAATATATGGTTATGATGCCAAGATATTTAAGTGCATGTAGTATAATAGAGAGGAGTCCCTGTGGAATTGGGGCCAAGGAAATATGAAGAGAATGGCTGTTAAAGGTAACAAGATATAAACTCCATCAGAAGCAGCATAAATAGTAGAAAGGTAACAAGATATAAACTCCATCAGAAGCAGCATAAATAGTAGTTAAGAACATGGCCCTGGAGTCAAGAGAGCTAGGTTGAATTTTGGTTCTACCTCTCTGACTTTGGGAATTTCTCTGATTAGTTTCTTCATTTGAACAATGAGAAATTTTCTTCCACAGGTTATTCTGAGAATTAAATGAGTGGTTTTAAAGTGTTTAATACAGTGTTTGATACATAGTATGTGCTCAGTAAATGGTAAGTAACTTGCTAAAAAGAGATGAGCCATAAAGCTGTTCTGTGGTGGTGGTGCGTTCAGTCAGTGGGGACCTAATTGGACAGTAGCTTTCGATATTGATGAACAGAACAAATACTAGAGGGCTTTGTGACTGACAGAATTCTTAAGTGTGCATAATTGGGGGATATTGTTATGCAGTGATAGACGTTCTGTAGAAAACTGTACAGAAGCAAAAAGTATGTAAGGGCTAAATGTACAGATGTGCAAGAGTGTCAGTAGGTAAACTTCCCAAGTTTGAGTATAAAGGAATGTGAGTACATTGAGATGAAGAAACATCTGTAGTTACTTCATTCTTTCATTCATTCAGCAAGTGCTTATTGAGAGCCTGCTATGCACCTTGCACAATGGGCTGCTATGGATATAGCAGTTGTTCACCTAGGAGGACTGATACTTAGAATATAGCAGGGTGGTAAGAAATGTAAATGAAGTCAGCAAGTATTAGAAAAACAAAGGGACCACTGGGGGCTATCACCACATTTGTCACTCAAAGCTAAGGGAGAAATATCTCAAAGAGAAAATGATTCAAATAACACTACTGGATAGGAAATCATTTCAAGTTTTTAACTGGAGAGTAGATGGGGAAGAAGTGGAAAATAGTGCTTCCATTGAAGAAGCTGAGCAGTGAACAGTCATTACACATTACCCAAATCAGCTGAAAAGGGGAACAGTGTTAGCTATTGGTTAGGGCATTTTCTCTGGAGAATTGAATAATCATTAATTATTGAAACAATGTCATTATAATTGACATGTTTTTTATTGAGAAGTATCTATGCAAGAACTTTTTACTTTGTCATGTTCATATGTGTATATTATAGATTACATTCTTTAAGTTTTTCACCATTTGAGGTAGTTTCAAAAAAATAATATAAGTAAACAGTGTTCTGAATAGAATCCCCCAAATTCCTGACTTTTGGTTAGTTTTACACTGGGGTATTGAAGTAGTCTCCTTTAAAAGAAGATTCAGTGTGAAAGGCTCCACTGCAAGAATCCCTCCTTCCTAACACACGCATCCTCATACACTTTTCTTATCTGCTGGATCTTTTTTCCATTTAATCCATTTTCTATTTAACCTTCTTCTTTTGTATTTCCTACCCTCTTGCCCAAAAAGCATTGCAAAGTAATTTTAGCTATTTTATTCAAATAAGGAGAATATCACAAACATTCAGATACCTTTTGTAAAGAAAAGGAAAAAAAAAGTTTTAAATTACTGGTTCAATTCTGAAACTTATACTCCATGAAAGAAAAGTTCTTTGAGTGCAGAGATGCTCATTGCTTTTTCATTGCAAACCAATTTTAATCCTTATCCCACAAACTTTCTGCTTTAGAGGCAACACTGTAAACACATTTTGAGGTCACTAGGAATCATTGATGTTCTGCAGACTACACTGAGATGCAACACTTTAAGAAGAAAAGTAATAGACCTTGGGATTATCATAGTGAATTGTGCTCTGCCCCTGACTGTTTTAGTAAGATTAAAATTAATAACTTCATCAAATAGGCACATTTCATGTGTGTGAAAATTACTCAATTTCTTTTCCTTAAACTTTTTATTAAAAACACATTTATTGTGCTTGAATGTAATTTTGGAATCGTCTATCTGGTTTTGTTCAGAAGATTGTTTGTGCAACTTCTTGTTTAAATTGGATTAGTACCATGTTAATTTTACATTGCCTCTGGTGAATAGCCACGGGGCTGTAATCTCTGCCAGTAATTTGTCACATCAAAACCCTCTGGAGGGCCATACAAAACATTTGTGTAGTACGGATTAGATGGTGAAAGCCATATCTTAGATTGTTAATAAATGTTAATGACAAAACCCAGCTGGTAAAGCTTGGAAATAAGACCTAATGCTTGGTGCCCATTGCCAGAAGAATGTTTAAACAGAGATTTCCATTACTCAAAGGTGACCCAGGATAGTCTATTTGTGAATTAAAAATATAACCTAATTATTTTATAACCTTCTAATTATTTAGAAAAAAATCTTTTCTTTTGATTCACAACCGTACCAGTGGTAAGCTTTTTTGTTCTTTGGTAACTGGGAAGGCAACAGCTGTAAAATATAAATAAGCATAACATAAAATGAGTCCTGATTTAGAAAACGAGGAAGTGATACCCTTAAGTTTGATATCATGGGACAAAGTTAAAAGTTCTACTTGTTAGACTTGTAAGAGGTAATTTAGTTTGCTTTTTTTCTTCTTCAAGATATACTATAGAAATATTTTAAAACCAAAACAAATACTTGAATTGCATTGGTCTACAAATACTCAAGTGAAGTTGTCTGCTTTCCTACTTGTGCTCTAAACAACATATTTGCATATTTACTTAAAAACGTTTCTTGACATCTTAGAATATCATTAAGCAGAATAAAACCTACTTTTTAAAAAATAAATGAAGCATTGTTATGAAGTATGAGTTTGTTGTAGACAATTTAACATTTTTATGTCAGATATATTCAGAGTAGGTATGTTTGTTCCCAGGACAGGAAAGAGAATTAATGTTTTGGGAAGGATTGTGGGTCCCTTACCATATTTGTGCACAGTAGATCTGTTTAAAACTGAGCTGATATATTTAGTTAAAACAACACAGACTTCATTGGCTGACATCAGCACTATCTTGTCCAGCCTCCTGCTTATCCACTCTGAGTAATTAATTTGATTAATTTATAAGTAATTTAGCCAAGCATGGGATGTAAATCTTTGTTTAAGAAAACAGTTGGAGGTCCAAGTCTTGGTTAAAAACTGTGTCTTGAAACCATCCAGGCCCTCCTACTGACTTGTCAGCTCTGGGTTATTTTCAGAAAACTTTACTTGAGTTCCTTAGTTTAGTTGTAAGTTTTTTCCCACAGACTTACATGGTATGTGTGAGTGGGAGAGTAAGTAGTGGCCACTTTTTAGCCGCTGTTTAGTCTAGTGTATGTATGTTTACATCTCCTTTCTGGATTTATAGGCAGCCAAGGCAAAATAAAGATTATACTCACTTGATTGAGGAGCCTTTAACCCAGAGCACCTGGCACTGGAGAGGACTTCTTTCACTACCCTCTAACTTGTGTGTGTGTGTGATTATTATTAATGCCCTATACTTGATTAAAAATTCAAAGCATTTAAAGGATTTTCTTACGTTTTAGAAAATGTTAAAATTTATCAAAAACTTACTTTTATAGAGTAATCTAAAGCTAATAATCAACTTTTATTACTTATTTCCTGCTTGCAGTCATATTTACTCATTGTAAAAATTTTTTAAAAAGCCAATTTGCAGCACCATATAACATAGACACTACAGATCACCAGCAATCTTATCCTCTCCTCAGCCAAAGAAGACAGTTTGGTGTATTTTTGTCCAGATATGTTTTTCTTTTTAAATAACTTTAAAATGAAATATACATTTCAAAGAAGGTTCTTCTACTCTTTCCACCTGCCTCCTGGTTTAAGAAACAGAGCATTATGATGAATGCTTTGGAAGCCCTCTGTGTCCCTTTCTCAACTGTGTCTTCTCTTTCCAGAGGTAACCACTATCCTGAATTTGATATTTATTATTCCTTTGCTTTTTGTCATAATTTTGTAACATAAGATATATTAAAAGTCTTTTTGCAAACAACATTGCTTAGTTTTGTATGTTTTGAACCTTTATATACATAGAGTCATTCTCTATAAATATTGCACAATTTTATCCAGGATAAGAGAACACTGAATGTGTTAGTACCTGTAAGAGTTTCAGTAGTATTTATAGCTAAAAAGAGAATTTCTGGTACTAGGGGACATTCATTTCTTCAGCTTCACTAAATATTACATAATTATCTTTAAAGTGGTTATACTAATTTATAATTCCCAGTAGTAGCATATAATTGTTCTTGTCCTTCACATTTTTGCCAATAATTGGCTATTGTCAGATGTCTTAAATTTTTCAGTTTGGTTGGCCCCAAGTAGTGTCACATTGGGACTTACTTACATTTTCATTCCTCTAGTTACTAATAACTTTGAGCATCTTTTCCTACGTTTGCTTTTCAAACAAGGTCTGTCACCCAAGTTGGAGGGCAGTGGTGTATTCACAGTTCACTGCAGCCTCGACCTCCTAGGCTCAGGTCATCCACCTCAGCCTCCCAAGTATCTGGGACTACAGGTGCACGTCACCATGCCTGGCTAATTTTTGTAAAGACAGGGTTTTGCCACGCCACTTACATTTCTTCATCTGTGGAGTGCCTGTTTATGTCTTGTGCTCATTACAAATTAATCAACAAGTGTAATTCAGATTTTGGAATATCAGACAAGAAGTTTGAAATACTACCATTATTATACTCTAGAAAATAGGTGATATGATGAAGAAATGTATTAGAGAAGTGGTATATTTTGAGACTATCTTATGTGTAATTGGAGAAAGAATGGGGAGAAAGCAATATTTAAAGAGATACTGGCTAAGAATTTTCCAAAAGTAAAAAAGATATCACTTCATAGATTCAAAAATATCTATGAACTGCAAGCAGGATAAATACAAAGTAAGCCTACCTAGATGCATCACAGCAAAATTGACAAAAAGCAAAGAAAAACCTTAAAAGCTGTTGCAGGCAGGGGTGGACAGATACATTGCCTTCAAAGGAGCAATGATAAGACTGACAGATGACTTTTTAACAAAAATAAAGAAATTTGTAAGACAGTAAAATAGCATCCCTAAAGTACTAAAGAAAACGATTGCTGAACTAAAATTTTGTTACCCAGTAAAAGCATTATTTACAAATGAAAGACTTCAGACTGACAAAAATTGGCAGAATTTGTCATGGCAAATCTGAAGCAAAAGAAATACCTGGGTTCTTCAGGCAGAAGAAGAATGATCCCAAATGAAAGCTTTGAAATGCAGAAAAGTAAAGAACAATGGAAATTAAATATCAGGCTAACTGTAAATGGATATTGGTTGTAGGAAAACAACAATAACAGTATTTGTTGACTTTAAAATATACATAGAATTAAAATTTATGACAAAAATAGTGCAAAAATACAAAGAGAGAGAGTGAAATGTTTAAAGTATGTTGCATTATCTGAAGTTGAAAGGGTCCTAATTAGGTTCTGTTAATTGAGGGATACATATTTCTAAAAAAAAGAGTTAAAAATGATTTAGTAACAAGATTGAGGGTGAAAACTGAATGACAAATTATTTGATTAAAAGGAGAGAGAAGAAGGAACATAAAATAGGTGGAATGAATAGAAAATCATAAGATGGAAAGATTTAAATCTATATCAGCAAATGCTTTAAGTGGACCAAATGCTCCCATTAAAGACAGATATTTAAAAGCTGAATTTTAAAAAGCTAACAATATGCTTTGTAAGAGGTACACCTTAAATATAAGAACATAGGATGGGCAGTATGGCCATTTTCACGATATTGATTCTTCCTACCCATGAGCATGGAATGTTCAATGCCATTGCCATCAAGCTACCAATGACTTTCTTCACAGAATTGGAAAAAACTACTTTAAAGTTCATATGGAACCAAAAAAGAGCCTGCATTGCCAAGTCAATCCTAAGCCAAAAGAACAAAGCTGGAGGCATCATGCTACCTGACTTCAAACTATACTACAAGGCTACAGTAACCAAAACAGCATGGTACTACTGGTACCAAAACAGAGATATAGACCAATGGAACAGAACAGAGCCCTCAGAAATAATGCCGCATATCTACAACTATCTGATCTTTGACAAACCTGACAAAAACAGGAAATGGGGAAAGGATTCCCTATTTAATAAATGGTGCTGGGAGAACTGGCTAGCCATATGTAGAAAGCTGAAACTGGATCCCTTCCTTACACCTTATACAAAAATTAATTCAAGATGGATTAAAGACTTACATGTTAGACCTAAAACCATAAAAACCCCAGAAGAAAACCTAGGTAATACCATTCAGGACAGAGGCATGGGCAAGGACTTCATGTCTAAAACACCAAAAGCAATGGCAACAAAAGCCAAAATTGACAAATGGGATCTAATTAAAGAGCTTCTGCACAGCAAAAGAAACTACCATCAGAGTGAACAGGCAACCTACAGAATGGGAGAAAATTTTTGCAACCTACTCATCTGACAAAGGGCTAATATCCAGAATCTACAATGAACTCAAACAAATTTACAAGAAAAAAACAACCCCATCAAAAAGTGGGCGAAGGATATGAACAGACACTTCCCAAAAGAAGACATTTATGCAGTCAAAAAACACATGAAAAAATGCTCATCATCACTGGCCATCAGAGAAACGCAAATCAAAGCCACAATGAGATACTATCTCACACCAGTTAGAATGGCGATCATTAAAAAGTCAGGAAACAACAAGTGCTGGAGAGGATATGGAGAAATAGGAACACTTTTACACTGTTGGTGGGACTGTAAACTAGTTCATCCATTGTGGAAGTCAGTGTGGTGATTCCTCAGGGATCTGGAACTAGAAATACCATTTGACCCAGCCATCCCCTTACTGGGTATATACCCAAAGGATTATAAATCATGCTGCTATAAAGACATATGCACACGTATGTTTCTTGTGGCACTATTCACAATAGCAAAGACTTGGAACCAACCCAAATGTCCAACAACGATAGACTGGATTAAGAAAATATGGCGCATATACACCATGGAATACTATGCAGCCATAAAAAATGATGAGTTCATGTCCCTTGTAGGGACATGGATGAAACTGGAAACCATCATTCTCAGCAAACTATTGCAAGGACAAAAAACCAAACACCGCATGTTCTCACTCATAGGTGGGAATTGAACAATGAGAACACATGGACACAGGAAGGGGGACATCACACTTTGGGGACTGTTGTGGGGTGGGGGGAGTGGGGAGGGATAGCATTAGGAGATATACCTAATGCTAAATGACGAGTTAATGGGTGCAGCACACCAACATGGCACATGTATACATATATAACAAACTTGCATGTTGTGCACATGTACCCTAGAACTTAAAGTATAATAAAAATATATTTAAAAAAAAAACATAGGATGGTTGAATTCTAACAGAAGGAAAATATATACTACAATAATACTAAGTAAGAGAAAGCTGGTCTAGCGATACTTAATATTAGGCAAACCAGACTTATAGGGCGAGAGGCATTTTACTGTAGGTAAAGGGAGTTTTCATAGTTATAAAAGGGGGTTAATCCACCTGGAAGATGACAACAGTTCTACATTTGTACCTGGTAACACAGCAACAAATTAGATAAAAAAAATTAATAGAGCTAAAAAGAGAAATAGGTAAATCTATAATGATAGAAGATTTTACCATAACTCTCCTGAGAACTGATGGTGCAAACAGACCGAAAATAAGTAATAATGTAGAAGATTTGGGCAACACAACTAACCATTGGTATATTCTAGAACACTTCATCAAAAAAGTCCAGAATGTACACTATTTTCTAGTGCACATGGAACATTTAGCGAAGTTGCTTATATGTTGGATTAAACTACAATTCTCAACACATTCCAGAAGATTGTAATTTAGAATATGTTCTCTGACCACAGTGATATTTAGCTAGAAATAAAAAGATAATAAGAAATGTCCCCAAATGAGTGAATATTAAGTAGTATACTTCTCGTAACCCATGGTAAACTGGAGACCACAGTAAAATTAGAAAATACTTTGAACTGAAAAATAGTGCACATAAAACACATCAAAGTGTGGGATTTAGTGAAAGCTGTGCTTAGAGGGAAATGTATAACCACAGTTGTGTTTAGAAAATAAGACAATAAATCTGCTCTCTAAATATTCCTTTCAAAAACTCAGTAGAACAAGAAGAAAGTAAAATGGGAGCAAGGAAATAAGATGAATAGAATTAATGAAATGGGGGAAAATGTACAAGAAAAATCAATGAAGCCAAAAGTCATGTCTTTGAAAGGACCCCAACCCCGCCTTAGCAAGTATTCAAGGACAAGAATAGACAGTAACTACCCATATCAGGAATTGAAAAAAGAGACAAGACTATAGATCTCAAAGACATTTACAGAGATAAGAGGATAGTATGAACAATTTCATGTGAATTTGAAAGAAGAACTTCCAAAACTGATACACCAAGAAACAGAAAATAGAAATAGTCTTATAGCTATTAGAGAAATTGAATCTAATAAAAAACCTGCCCACAAAGAAGGCTCCAGACCCATATGTCTTCACATTTGAATTTTAGTAAACATTTTAGGAAGAAATAACACTAATCTTACACAAAGATTTTAGAAAATGGGAAGTGAAAAATGCTTACTTTTTTTTTAATGAGACTAGCATAACCTTGATCCTAAAAGCTTACAAGGACAAAATTAATTGGCCAGTCTTTTAAAACATTAAAGATACAAGTTTAAGATATTAAACTTGTAAGCATCACAACGAAGTTTATTTACTAAACAAATGCAAGCTTGGTTATTTACCACATTCAAAGATTAAAGGAGAAAAAAATCATATCAATAGCTGCAGAAAAAGTCATATTCATTAACAAACTAAGACTAGACAGGAAATTTGTTAATCTAATAAAGAGTTTTTACATAAAGCCTACAAAAAACATTCTTAAAATAATGGAACTTTCTTCTGAGATCAGAAATGAGAGAAACCTTCCCTCTATTACCGTTTCTTTTCAACATTGTATTAGAGGTGTTCTAGCCAGTGTAATAGGGCAAGAAAAAGAAATACTGTATCATTTGGAAAGGAAAAAATAAAACTACCCTTATTTGCAGATAACACAGATGTATTTAGAGAGCTAAAAAGTATCTACATTGACCTATTAGGAATAAGTGAGTTTAGCAAGTTTGCTGGAAACAAAGTCAGTGTGTAAAAATCAATGTTATTTGTCTACTAGAGGCAATTAGGAAGTGAAAATTGTAAAGCTCTACCATCTAAAATATAATCAAAGAAATATGTTAGTCTTAGCATATAGAGAACTATAAACTATTATCAAAAGACCTACATAATTAGGTAAACCATTCCATTGATTGAAAAATCAGTATTTTAAAGACACTGGTTTTGGCCAAATTGATCTGTGGATTCAATATAATCATCATAAAATCTCAGCAGGTTTTTTTTAGCCTTAGAAATGGAAATTTATGTGAAAATGTAAGAGCCAAGAATAGCTAAAATCATTTTGAAGAATAAGCAAATGTAGAAGAACTGTCGTATATTGAGACATTGTTACAAGAGTTACAGTAATTAAAACAGTGTAGTGTTAATGTAAGGATAAATAGATCAGTTTAGAGCATCCAGAAACAAAAACATACATATATGGACAGAGGTGATATGTGACAGGTGATAACTGCCAAGCAACAAGAGAAGAGGTGTTTTTCAATAAATGTTGCTAGGTCAGTTTGAGCTCTACATGGGCAAAAAGTGAAACTTCAAAAGGGTAACATAAAAGAATATCTTCAAGATTGAGACAGGCAAAAAAAATGTCTTAAATAGGAAAGAGCACGGTTAACCAAAAAGGAATAAACAGAAAAATCTGAACTATGTTAAAATTAAGGACTTCTCTTTATTAAAAAACATTAATGGAGTAAAAAGACAGGCCGAAGACTACTGGGAAATAGTTGTAATTTATATAATTGATGAAGGGCTTATCCAGTATTTATAAACATCAATAACAGAAGATGGACAACCAAGTAAAGTACCAAAAGCTTAAATAGGAACTTTATGAACAAAGATACCTAAATGTCATTAAAACTATTGAAACGTGTTCAACCTCACTGGTCTTTGAATAGTGCAAAATAAAATCACAATGAGATACTACTATGTAACCTGTCAAATGGCTAAAATGAAAAAAAATGACATTATGAAGTGTTGGCAAGAATATAAAGCATTGGAATGCTCAAGTGGAAGTATGAATTGATAAGACTACTTTGCAAACTGTTTGGAAATACAGGTTGAACATCCCTAATCGGAAATGCTTCAAAATCTGAACTTTTTGAGCCCTGACAGGACACCACAAGTGGAAAAATCTACACCTGACCCTATGTGACAGTTCACACAGAATTATTTAAAACATTGTGTAAAACGTTATGTAAAATTACTTTCAGGCTGTGTATACAAGGTATATGTGAAACATAAATGAATTTCATGTTTAGATGGTCCCATCCCCAAGATATCTCATTATGTATATGCAAATATTTCAAAATCAAAACACTTATGGCCCCAAGCATTTCAGATAAAGGATACTAAAACCTCTATTTACTAATGCTGTTGTAATTCTTATATCCTCTGACCACGCAATTTGAAGCCTATGTATATATCCAGTAGGAATGCATACAAATGTGTTCCAAAAGACATGTATAAAATCTTCACATCACCATTATTTATAATTCAAAACTGGAAACTGCCCAATGTCCTTCAGCAGTGGAATGAATAAATTGTATATTCATTCAATGGAATGCTGTATAATAATGTAAATGATTAACTACAGAGAACAATGAGTCTCAAAAACAATGTTAAATGAAAGAACCCTGACACAAATACATACTGTATAGATTCTGTGTTAAGTTCAAAACTTATTTTTGTTTTTAAAATTAGGGTAGTAGTTATTGTTGGGAAAAGGTGAATGGTTAGTGACTGGGAGGAGACACAGACTTCTGGGATTCTGGCAGTCTGATCTGGATGGTGGGTATGTGAGTGGTCTACTTTGTGAAAGTATATCAAAATGTACCTTGTCATTTGGCAGTTTTCTGTTTGTTACAATTCAATAAATACTTTAAAAAAATAGTTAACAAAAACCTATTGACTCAGGTCTCCCACTTTGGGATTCTGTCCTAAACAAAAGAAAATGACGTAAGGATTCCTGAGCTAACTGTGTGATAGATGACAAGGTGTCCTATTACAGCATTGTTTGTAGTAGCAAAAGTGTCTGTTATTGAGAAAGTGGTTGAATAAGTCATGGAATATCCATTATGTGGAATGTTACTCATTTATTTTAAAAGACTTTATCTATTGACCTGAAGAATTGTTAAACTTTTTTAAAAATGCAAACTAGAATGTATTGTTTGTTTTCATTTTTGTTTAAGAATATATGTGCATAGGTTTTTGTATGAGTCTGGAGAACAGAGTGGAAAGGCATATTTACTGAAGTAGGAGTGGAATTAGTGATTTGTATAGGGACAGTTATTGAATTTTTCTAGGTACATCTTTGTATAATGTTTTTCTCAGATGCTGCTCTTACCACTAGCCTTTTGGCTGTTCATTGTATTGACAGTTCATTGTATTGATAGCACCCTCTTTCTTGCCTTCAACTTCCGTTGTCCTGTGATAGTCAGCTAATATCAATCACTGATTGAAGGATTATGACTTATAGTAAAAGAGAATAGAGTGTTTAGAGAAAACCTAGCTGGGTATTTCTGGTTAATATATAACTCATAAAATTAGCAGTGCAAGGGTGGGCACACACCTTGGGCCCAGATACTCCTACTTGGGCCCAGAGGCCGAAGCAGGAGGATTGCTTGAACCTAGTAGTCTGTGGCTGTAGTGTGCTTCGTTGCTCCTGTGACTAGCCAGTGCACTCCAGCCTGGGCAACACAGTGAGACTCTGTTAAAAAAAAAAAGAATTGGCAGTGTGTGGCTATATCATGGGTGTTGTCAAATAGGATTATAATCACAAGTCAAAGTCATATAAAATATTTGTTCCTAATATTAAGGATATGACTTGTTTCTTTGTTTCTTTCAAGAGGGAGCAAGAAAGTCAAATGGCTCGTCTTAAAAAACAGCAGGAAGAATTGGAACAGATGAGACTACGTTACCTTGCCGCTGAGGAAAAAGATACAGTAAAAACCGAGCGACAAGAATTGTTGGATATAAGAAATGAATTGAACAGGTATAATAACTAAAAGTGTTTCTTTCAAAAGCCAAAGTTTGGTTCAGGGAAGGTACAACTTGAGGTCTCCCAAGGATAAAGTAGATCATATATAAAAATATATAAAATGTAGCAGACATATACAATAGAAAATCTATGCCAGCTGGGTACTGTGGCGCATGCCTGTAATCCTAGCACTTTGAGAGGATGGTGGGAGGATCGTTTGAGCCCAGGAGTTCCAGGCTGCAGTGAGCTGTGATCATGCCACACTGCACTCCAGCCTGAGTGACAGAGTGAGACCTTGTGTCAAATCTAAAAAGAAAGAAAAAAAGTCTATGCCAAAGACTATTAAACTTTTTTTTTCCTGTGAATACAGCTATGGCAAGTCCATTCAGCTCTTGTGTTTCCATTTATAGCATTACTACTTTAAAATTTATTTTTGTGTGATGATATCAGGATTATTGCTACTATTAAACTGAGTCTTCACTTATATAAAGTATAAGAAATTTCAAATTTTGTTATATTATTAATATCTGTAACAATAGCTCTTAATGAGCTCTTACTTTGTGCCAGGAGCTGTTTTAAATGTCTTATATTGCCCGGCCCTTTTTTTTTAAATCTTCAAAGCTACTTTGTGAGGAAGATATTTTCACCATTTTCAAGATGAAGAGATTGAAGATTAAAGACAGAGCTTAAACATTATTCAAGATCATGTAGCTAGTAAATCATGGAGCCAGAGTTCAGATCCGATTCCAGAGATTGCATTTTAACTACTGTGCTACACTGGGCTTCTCTGTAGTGCTGCGTTCATCTGAATCACAACTTCAAGTGTTTCATGTTAGAAAAGTAATCACTAGGAAGCAGCATAAAAATGAATTCTAGTCTTTTTGGAGGGTGGTTTTGGGGGAAGACTTCTTAGCTTAGTTTATCAAGGGTCTAGTATATTTTTCTTTGAGCAAAGTGCAGTTTTAGTTAACTTGGACTGGTTAAAAAAAAATACCACAGACTGGGTAGATTAAACAGAAGTTTATTTTCTCACAGTACTAGAGGCTAGAAGTCAAAGATCACGGTGCCAGTGTGGTTGGTTTTAGAGACCCACCTTCTCACTGTGTCCTCTCTCTGGTGTCTCTTCTTAGGAGAGCACTAATCCCATGATGAGAGTTCACCCTCATGACCTCATCTAAACCTGATTGTCTCCCAAAGGTCCATTTCCAAATACCATCACATTAGAGGTTAAGGGTTCAACATCTGAATTTGACAGGGACACAGTTCAGAGCCTACACATTACATTTAAAACAGTATCTTATTATATCTCCATGTATGAAGTGGAGAAAAATGTGGTCACTATATTAAGTGGGTTCCTAGCTGAATTAAATAACTATATTTAAAAGATAATTGAAGAAATACCAGTTGCAAAAGGTCAGCTTTAAGGACCGTGCTTAACAGCATTCAATCTGTGGTACTTTTATTCTCATTTATTCAGGAAATATTTATTTGGTATCTACCATGTTGTAGACTTGGAAGATATTACAAATTAATGAATTATAATATCCTTGCCTTCCAAAATATAGCACTTTCTTGGTTCTAGTTTAGCAAATATATATTTAGCTCCTGCTGTTTGCTAAGCACTGTTTTGGTGGGTTAAAGATATCCATGTTGCCTATCAAATTTGTAGATCATATACAATTGAATCTTACTAATGTCTTAATAAATTAGGATTCTGAGAGAACTGAAACCAACAAGATTAAATATATTAGAGACAAAAGCAGAGTCCTCTGTATAAGCTATAAGAAAAATCACTTAAGTGATAGATAAGATATAAAACAGTTCATGTGAAGAAGCCTAGGAGAACTTACGTGGCCTCTAATAATGGTGTGATTTGGCTACCGAAGAGTCAGTGCAGTTAGGGACGTTCATGGAAGTAGTGTTCAGTATTCAGTACTGGTAAATCACCTCTGGGGTGTTCTTACCACTGTGCAACACACTTTAAGGGAAATCAGCTACCTAGAGAGCTTCCAATGGCATGTGACCAGGACAGTAAGGGGCAATATATCATGCCATCCAAGAAGTGGTTAAGAGAGTGAGGGAGTTTGAGACCAGCCTGGAAAACATAATGAAATGTCGTCTCTAAAAACAATATATATATACAAAATTTAGCCGGGTGTGGTGGCATGGCCTATAGTCCCAGCTACTCGAGAGGCTGAGGTGGGCAGATCCATTGAGCCCAGGAGGTCGAGGCTGCAGTGAGTTGTGATCACACCACTGCACTCCAGCCTGGGCGACAGAGTGAGACCTTGTCTCAAACAAACAAAATATACTAAGTATTATTATTACTGCTCCAGTTTCAAGACAGTTTGATCAACAGTATTCTATTGGAAATACCCAAATCGCAGGTCAGCATCTACTCTCCTTTTCTTATCCCCAAATGAGATTATAACAAACATAACTTGAAGATATCCATACAAAACCTTAACATGCATATGCCCTTTGAACTAGGCATATGTAAAGAATTTCACTTTCTACAAATAGAGATACAACTCAACTCCATAATAGTAGGGAATTTTTTTCTTGGTTCACTGCACTATCCCCAAAACGTGTTTGGCACAAATAAATGTTTGTTGAATGAATTTTTAAAAATATGTTCAATACAACAACAAAGGTTTAGGAGCAACCTAAAGACCAATAATAAAGGATGACTAAATGATGATACCCCAAATGATGGAATATTATAAAACAATTTAGAGGAACATTTAATGATATTAAAAAATCTCTATATAAATGAGAAAAGTAGTATACAGAATTGCATATGTAGTATCAAGTTTTTCAAAAAATACATATTTTAAGTACATATATGCATTTTTTAAACTTGAAAATACAGAAAAATATTACTCAAATTGGGATCACATTACAGATGATTTTTATTGTCTTTACACAGCTCCAAAATATCTAGTTTTCATGTATTTTGTCACAGCTCCAAAATATCTAGTTTTCATGTATTTGTAATTAGAAAAACAAGTATTGTTTTTAAAGTTGCCTTTTATAAATGTGCAGACTCTGACTAGCCAAGTGGAACACTGGTTTTTTTTGGTTTGTTTTCTTCCTGAAAATATTACTAAAACCTTGTCTTACCATTGAATCATTTTGTTTTTAAATAGTGACATTAAGAAAACCAACACAGTTGCTACAGTGGCATTTGTTCTTGACTTCTCAGGTTAAGGCAACAAGAGCAAAAACAATACCAGGATTCCACAGAGATTGCAAGTGGAAAAAAGGATGGCCCCCATGGCAGTGTATTGGAAGAAGGTTTGGATGATTATTTGACTCGCCTGATAGAAGAAAGGGATACTTTGATGAGAACGGGTGTGTATAATCACGAGGATCGAATAATAAGTGAACTCGACCGACAGATCAGAGAGATTTTGGCAAAAAGCAATGCCAGTAATTAATAACATTTGGAAAAGCTTTATAGAGACTCTAAGTCTAAATTTTAATTTCTTTGTAAAAACCTCAAAAGTGAGGAAAATGGATGTTTTAAAATGGTATTTTCAATTTTTTATAAGCAAAATTTTGTATGTTATTGTATAGTATTTATTTGATCTTATTTACTTTATGCTACCTCTCCCACACTGGTTTTATTTGTAATTTGCATTTATATACTCATTTTAAATGACTTTTCAGTGTTTTTCATAGTTTATAATCTGATGGCTAACTAACTTTCAAAACAGCTTTTAACTAAGTTTGTTGTAGGAGAAATGACTGCGGTAATTTCCAGTTCTATAATGTTTCATGTTGAGCCAAAAGAGTATATCTTGCACTTTAAAAACGCTGCGTCCTATTCCATTTGAATGTAAATTCTTAAAAGTTGAGACCAATTGTAACCAGTTTAACTCATTTTAGATGACCTTTTTTTCTTATAATATTTGCAAGTGACAAGTTTGAAAACAAAGCAAGATCAGTGCAGAGAAGCCACATGACATGTTGGGTGACAGATTGGTCATTTATTTAAATAAAGTTAATACAGATTAAATTTGTTTCAAGAGCTATTGAATTTTCAAATTTTCAGTGTATTTATAACTTTTAAGAACATGAAGTATTAGCTTAATATAGTTTTCTCTGTTGGTTTCTTCCTCAAGTTTGCATTGTTTTCTTTTGTTAAAATTAGAGATTTCTTTTTATTTTCCAGTTATAGTAATACTAGCTGTCAGCTTAAACCCTCTGTAATAGAACATGGAAACAGACACATAAAGACATTAGCTGAAAAAATAGAGTGAAAATCAACTATTTTTTACTCCCGCTAATTTCAATCAATCGTTTTCAAAAGCGCACGAGATTCACTCATTGGATTTATGCAGTGCCCTGTCTGTATAAAAACTCTTAAGAGTTCCTTTATATCATATTCTTCAGAGCCAACATTTGTCCTCAAAGCAACGTTTCCCACCTCCTTTTACTGAGTACTGAAAAAGTTTTAGCAAAGTCACAGATTAGGTTGAATTTCAAAATATATGTACTTTAAAAAGTTCTGATTTCCAAATATAATAAAGTTAAAATTAAGTATATACTTTAGGAAGTTACCAATAACTTCCATCAAAGCAGAGTAGGATATATGGTAACATTAATTTTCGGTCATTTCAAATGAGGTATATTTCTTATTAGGGAAATTAAAGTCCCTATATTTATTATATATTTTTTCCTTATTAACAGAGTATTAATCTAGTAAAAAATAACCCAGCAGTAAATAATAAAGAAATTACTGAATGAGAGGATAATGAATCTGAATCATAGCAGGAATTTGCAATATTAATTATGGTTAGCTATTTTTCTCTCATTGATTTTTGTGCCACTTGAATGGAACAGAAGCAAGCCTTATGTTTTGGAAGGTCTGCGGTAAAATGCTGTGACTGTTTACTTTCAATTGCATTGTGTGTTGCCTGTGACTGCTTTCAAACGCTAGAGGGGGCCTCTGATTTAAAGAAATAAAAAGGACTTTTCTAAAATGGATGTGTAGTTTATTTTGCCTTTTGTAAAGCTCTTTTGGCTATTGTAACTTAACAAATAAAATCATAATTGTGTGCATCTCTGAGTTCTTGAGCAGCCTGTTACTTCTGTTTCTAAACAGAGTGGGCATAGTGTTCGGGTTTTCCTATTTCAAATGACTGTCTTTTTTTCTCAAGTGTTTACATACTATTTTTTGTCTTACAACTAGGGGAGTCTGAAATATTAACACTGTTTTGTAGTCCTTTTAGCAATACCCATTCCATTTGTAAGTGGCATCGAATGTTTTTACACTGATTTTGCCTAGGAGTTAATGAGTATGACCACAGTAGATAAATCAGTGAGTGGGTGCAGGCATGGGTGGGTGAATAAGTTTCCTAGTAACAGGAAAATATCAAATATTTTAGGGTAAAATCAGATTTACCTTTAAAATTTCTGTGGTTTTTCATGGAGAAAGTCTAGTTTCCATGTTTAATGCGGGCATGTACTGCATAGGAGGGGTGTGTAATCTACCAGGTATATCTAATACCATGTCTGTATAAACATAGGAGTTCCCTTGCAGATAAATCCTAGTAATTTCTATCTGGACCCGAATTCCTGTTGCTTCAAGCAGATGTGGGGGTTTGAGTGTGATTTAAGGACGTATTAGGGCCTCTGCTGATGGGGAGACAGTCTTGTCTGACCAGATGATTTTCTCCTCTACTTCCTGTCCAGATGCTGCCCAGCCTGAATCTGAATTCACAGATTGTCCCAGTATATACTGCTTGTTTGCAGCCACTTCAGAATGGACCGACCTGTTTTTTACAGTCCATAGGAAGGGCCCTCTGGTAGCTATATATGGACTTAAAAGATGTGTTCTCACTAATACCATTGTGTCTAGCTTTATTGAATACCTAAATTTTTTATTAAAATAATTGATATAATTCACACAACGTAAAATCACCATTTTAAAGTATAAAATTCAGTGTTTGATACAGTCACAAGGCTGTACAACCACCACCACTATTTAAGACATTTTTATCACCCCAAAAAGAAACTCCTGTACCCATTAGCAGTCACTCCTCATTCTCTTCTATCCCAGCCCCTAACTACTAATCTTTTGGTCCCTTTGGATTTGCCTATTCTGGGCATTTCATATAAATGGAATCCCAAATTGGATATTTAAAATAGAAAATATTAGAAAACCTAAAGCATATCTTTTTCTATCACTAGTTTCTATATGTTTTGTCAGATATTGAATTAAATGATACAGAGATCCAGAAGGCCAACATAAGGGCATAATATTCATCATAATATTCATCATCCATTGGGAATAGAGTTCAACTCTTCTTGTATCTATCACCTGTAAAGCACTGACCAAAAATAATAGTGAAAAGTAGATAATGTTCTAGCAATTCTGATGCTGAAAATGGGTTATTGACACAAGGCTTGTGTCATATCATTGGTATCTCATCAAAATTGCACACTCTTCCATGCTTTACAGAGTTTGGAGATAAAGTGAAGCAGTGTTAACCAGAATGTGAGGGCTGCGAGGGCAGCGACCAGGTCTATCTTAGTTTCTTCCAGAATTAAAAGAGTACCGGCCATAAGTAGGCACTCAGATAATATTCGCTAAATTCATAAAGAAATGAAAAGATTGTGTATGGTCTACCTGTCAAAATAGATGTAAAAAATTTGACGGCTGAAATGCAGGGGAAAGTAGGCCTCCATGGCCTCACTGACAGGTTTATGAACTTGTTGTCTGACTGCCCATGCCCTATAGAAGTGGAGGAGTTCTGTTTGTTGGATTGTTTTTTGCTTAAAAAAAATAATAATAAAAGTTTGCTTTAAATTCATAGATGCAGAAAGTAGACTAGCGGTTTCCAGGGGCTGGAAGGAACTAGGGGAAAAGAGGAAGGGGGAATTACTGTTCAATAGGTCCAGAGTTTCTGTTTGGGATGTGAAAAAGCTCTGGATATGGATAATGGAAATAGTTGCACAGCATTGTGAATAATTCCACTGAATAGTACACTTAAAAATAATTAAGATGGTGCATTTTATGTTCTGTATATTTTACCACAATTTAAAAGTTTGCTTCAAACTGTGCCTCAAATCTGCCTACCCAGTGTTCTTATGCTGAAAGTTTTCTGCACAAGAGTCACTTGTCAAGTCATTTCTGAAGATAACATCTTGTCATTTCTTGATTGTGGAAATGGATCAAAAATGCTTCATTAAATGCTTATAGCACCTTTACCAAAATCTGAAATGAGTGAAAACTAATGGCTACATTTATATCCTGAGTTCTAAAGATAAATTGGAGACTCCTTGAAACTTAGAATTGTAATGCCTTCATGTTTTATAAGATTATGTCTTGTTATTCTTAATGACAATTTAGAAAAAAAAATGGTTTTTAAAATTTAACAGATAGTCCAGACCATGGATGTAAATTGGAGAGAGAATTAAAAAAAAAAAAAAAACCCAACACATATTACTAGTACCCTAAAGTAGGCTTAGTATCTTTTTTTGGAGGTAGGTTCTCTTACTGTTGGTTCATGGTCTTATTAACGAATAAAGTGGTTTGTGTAAGAGTGTTAAAGTCTGGCTGAGTAATTTTAAATTATGACTTGAAAATTTAAATCCATCTTTGACGTTTGTGTTTTGGCAATTGTATTAACAGCATATCCCTTGGAGCCTAGACGTTTCGTCGTACACTTTTTCTGCCACTTGTTCTAGTGTACAATCATGCTTCTTCCTAGCTAATGCGCCCTCTGCTTCTAGGTCTCGGAGACACGCAATCCATCCATATTGGCATAAATGGGGAAACAGAGACAGAATTACTGAAGCACCTAAATGTTCTACTGAAACCAAAAGAACTAGATTGCTCACTGATTTTGTTACATAACCTCTGTTTGGCATCAAATTAGAATCTGCTGTTGTTAGGAATGTAACCGTAGAAAGGCTGCTATATACTTAATTCCCATTTTATTTGCTTCTCTGGGGGTTGTCTTAGTGTTTTCATTTGAAATGTTTTTACAGATGTAGGCTCTTCAGATATGAAGTTGCTGAAGTGGAGACTCCTCAGAAGTTTAGCTTTCAAATTGAAGGGGGGTGGAAATCTGTTTAGGAAGATTAATTTTTAGATAAATAATTTACTGACTGATACATTAATGTACAATAATCCCTAGAGGCTTTTAAAGATGTTATTGTATTCTTAAGGTTTCTAAGAATGTTAAACCTGTCATTCGTAATAGGAGAGAACTAAAATAGAGTCCATTTATAATTTCTTCTTGGAAACATTTCACTCACACATTCGTAGACAAATTTCTTTTCTTTTCCAAATAACTTATTTAATAGTTGGACGGCATAGCTCTTTTCTTGATTAACATGTTAACTAGTCAAAAACATGAAGATGCACTGGATGAATGCAGAATTTTCCCCAATAGTTTAGATTAAAATTTGGCTAAAGCAAATAAAACTTTACTATAAAATCTTGCTTTGACATAATTGTAAATTTTAGTGAATGTCAACCCAATAGTGAGAGTCTGTGTCTAGTAGGTTGCAGTATATTGCACAATTCTTCAGCAAGTTCTCATATTAGTGAATAGATTGAGCAGGATTAAAGATATTATTCAAGCACTAGTTTCATTTCTGTGACTAATTTGCAAAGAAGGATTTAGTTACTAAAATTTCTGTTTTCTTGAAATTTGGAATCTCAAGACTATTATCGCATTACTTGAATTCAGTTCATATTGTGAGCAAAATGTGATGCACTGCAGATGGTAAGTCAAATCAAGAATCTGAGGAGTTAATATTAGCATACATCTTTAGTCATTCTGTTTAGATCAGAGAAGATAGTATAGCAGTGTGCTTGGTGTATTCATTTAATTGTTGCCTTGAGGAAGGAGATTTCAATTCCTGATTTAGCTTCATTGTTGGCAGATGAGATTAATGGTCTTCTCTTGGTTTCTGGCAGAAGTTTATTTAGGTCACTGAAATTTGTAAAATTCGCACAAAGAAAAGTATCAAATAGGAAATAGATGTGTAAATAGTTTTCAGAAGTAATTTAGCCCGCAGACTTTTTTTCTTTTTGCCAATAAAAAATGTATTTGCAAGTTCACATTTAGCCTACCATCTTTTCGTCTATTATCAATCCTCATTTTTTATCTCTTCCATCTCCCTATCAATGTATAAGTATTTGCCAGGAACAATGACACCCCAAATTTGTCTTAAAAAGATTATTTAGAAAACTCACTCAGAGTGAGAGAGAGAGGCTGAGAGAGAGAGGGGCAGACAGACATAAAGAAAGAAAAAGAGACGGAGAAGAGAGGCAGAGCTTAGCGCCCAATTTTCATTTGGTCTATGTTTTCTTTTTCCTTCTAAGGTCTATAAAATTGTTATATGGTTCCACTGCTTCTACTATTATTTTTTGCCTCATATTGTCACTTGAACCTCAGTGTCATTATCACATCTATCTGAGCATGTCTATGATCCCAGCAGTGCAAATATGAAGAGACGCAATTGTCAACCTAGTATGTTTTGGCATGACTCCAGAATTTAAAATTTCCTCTATATGTGCAGTAGGCATTTTAACGCTACCCTCAGTGCATATACACACTTAGTATAATTCCCAATGGTGTGCCCTTCTACTAGATAAAAGAGAATAATCTGCCTATTTTACTGTGATCAAATACATTGAGGAATTCATTCAACCAAAATGTATATATTTAGCAACTATACGGAAGCTATTTATTTAGCCTAAAATTTTACATAGGTATGTATAAAGTATTACTATTGTTCTTCCCATTATGATATCTTGGAAAGAGATTTACACATTTCTTTGTTATTAAGAAATTATGAAAGTGTCAGAGGGCCTCCAATGCCTTCATGTAATCAATAGCAAAGAAAGAATAAGAAATAAAATAGATTTCTTCTTCTTTATCTACACTCACTGCTCTACCTTTCTAATGACAGCTTCAGTTGCTATGATGCACAGTATACAAAAGTTTCTAATCACAGCATTATTACTAAAAGCTCTAATTATACATGTTAATTATTTTATGTCAAGAGACACTTTCTCAGATTCAGTAAGAGGAGATACTAAATTTTAAACTACAAGTATTACCAAATCTATTTGAACCAGAGAAGCAATTTGTTATAAATTACATTAGATTAGCTGCTAGTCATAAGGGAACTTCAGAGGTAAGCCTATTGAGGAGACTAGAACACCCCAATCTATTTCTAGGCCTGTGCTCCAAGAAAGTTGGCTAGCAAAGGATGAGGGAGTGAGTATATGCAAACTCAGTTGGACTCTAAGGTACCCTTAAAATCCACAGGGTCCAATGCACTCTATGGAACATAACATTTTTGACATTTGGGGTACAAGTGATACTGTGGTCTGAATGCTTGTGTCCCTCAAAGTTCATTTGTTGAAACCTAATTACCAATGTGATGATATTAGGAGGTGGGGCCTTTGGGAGGTGATTATATCATAAAGGTGGGGTCCCCATTAATGGGATTTGTGACCTTATAAAAGAGGACCCAGAAAGCTGCCTTCATTCTTCTACCATGTGAGGACATGGCTATCAGGGACCATCTATGCACCAGACAGTGGACCTTCACCAGATACCGGGTCTGTCAGCACCTTGATCTTGGATTTCTTAGCCTCTAGAACTATAAGAAATAAATTTCTGTTATTTATAAGCTACTCGGCCTTTTGCATTTTGTTATAACAGGCCAAACAGACTAAGACAAGTGATATTAATGGTCAGTAAGAAAAAGCATTTGACAAATGGATACCAAATGGATATTGGTATCCATTCCTCATAAACAAACAAACAAACAAACAAAAAAACTCCCCAGTAAATGTAGAGGAACTTCCTCAATCTGATAAAGGACATCTATGAACAACCTACAGCTAATTCCCACTTAATGGTGAAAGGGAGATGCTTTCCTTCAAAGATCAGGAACAGAAACAAGAACATCTGCTCTATTCAATAGTGTATTGGAAGTTCATAACTATTGAAATAAAGAAGAAAAAAGAAACTAAAGGCATCTAGATTGCAAAGATAGGAGTCAAAACTATCCTTGTTCACAGATGACATGATTGACTGTCTCAAAAAATCCAATGGAATCTACAAAGTTTCTAGAACTAATAAGTAGATTTAGCAAGGTTGCAGAATACAAGGTCAATATGAATAATAACCAAAAATCAGTCGTAGTTCTCTATATTAGTCTCACACAGTAACAATACCATAAAAATATGCAGTATTTAGGAATAAATATAACAAAAATGTGAAAGACCTATGCACTGAAAACTATAAAACATTATTGAGAGAAATTAAAGAAGACTGAAGTAACTAGAGAGACATGCCATATTTATATGTCAGAACAGTCAGTGTTGTTAAGGGTGTCATTTTGTAATCCCTATCAAAATCCCAGCATACTTTTTTGTAAAAATTGAGAAACTGATTCTAAAATTTCTATTGAAACACAAAACACCTAGAATATCTTTATAAGTCTTGAAATCAGGTAGTGTTACTCTTCCCATTTTGTTTTTCTTTCAGAAAGAAGAAGTGGCAAGGCTAATACTACCTGATTTCAAGATTTATAAAGCTACAGTAATCAAGACTACACATACACAGACAGCTGATTTTCAACAAAAGTGCAAAGGCAATTCAGTGGAGAAAGGATGGTCATTTTGACAAATACTTCTGGAAAAATTGGATGTCCATAAGTAAAAAACTAAACTTTGATCCCAACTACACTCTGTATACACAAGTTAATTCAAAATAGTTCATAGGTATAAATGTAAAAGCTAAAGTTATAAAACCTCTAGAAGAAAGCCTTTGTGGCTTTAAGTTAGACAAAGATTTCTTTCATGTGACACCAAAAGCACAATCCATAAAGGAACAAACTGATAAATAGAACTTCATCAAAATTAAGAACTCTGCACTTCAAAGACACTGATTAGAGAATGAAAAAACCAGGCATGCTTAGAAGAAAATATTTGCAAATCATATATCTGATACAGGATTTATATCCAGAATACATAAAGAATTTTTGAGCGTCAATAAGAAAACAGCTCAATTTTTAAAAAGATAAATCATTTACATAAATGCTTCACTACAAAACGTATACGGATACCCAGTCAGTACAGGAAAAGAAGCTCAACATCCTTACTGATTAGGAAAATGCAAGTTAAAACCACAATGAGACACTGCTACACAGCTATTAAAATGGCTAAAATTAAATGGACTGCATAGACTGACCATGGACTCCTAGGTATTTACTCAGGAAATAAAGCATACATCCACACAAAGAATTGTACATGAATGTTCATAAAAGCTTTGTAGCTAAAAAAGAAATCAAATGTTCTTCAACAGATGAATGGGTGAACTATGACATATCCATACAATTAAATACTACTCTTCAATAAAAATGAGTTACTGATAACATGCAACAACATAGAGGAATTTCAGGATAATTACACAGAATGAAAGAAGCCCAACAAAAAGTACATTATGTATGCTTCCATTTATAGAAAGTTCTAGAAAGTGAAAATTAATCTATAGTGACAGAAAGCAGATCAGTGGTTGTTTCCCATTGGGATGCTGGGTAAGGAAATGAACAAGATGGAGGAATTATAAAGTGGCATGAGGAAACTTTAGGGGTAATGGATAGGTTTATTATTTTGATTCAGGTGATAGTTTTACAGGTTTATGCATGTCAAAATTTTCAAAATGCATACTTTAAATATGTGCCACTTACTATTTTGTGGCACGTATTTATCTTATGGCAATTAAACCTAAATAAAGATGTTGAATTTTTTAAAAATACCAGTACTAAAATAACAGCTGCCAACCCACCCTTGGTTGTCTTTTTGTATGTATGTATGTATGTATGTATGTATGTATGTATGTATGTATGTATGTATGCATGTATTTTTTTGAGACAGAGTCTCACTCTGTTGCCCAGGCTGGAGTGCAGCGGTGTGATCTCGGCTCACTGCAAGCTCCACCTCCCAGGTTCACGCCATTCTCCTGCCTCTGGAGTAGCTGGGACTATAGGCACCTGCCACCACGCCCAGCATGTACTTTTCCACATAAGTAGATTTTCCAGATAACTGAGGCTTAGTATTTACTCCATTGGAAACTGCTTATTTTAACCATTTTAAAAGTAAACCTTTAAAAAATGTATCACAGCCTCCTTTGAATGTTGAATCAAAGACTACAGAAACTGAGTTACCTTTTCTATATATCACAGACTACCATGACAGGCAGCTGCAGCAGAGGGGAAAAAGTATTATATTTGGAGTTATTTGATATTATGTTCAGGTTTATAGCTTGCTTCCTTTCACAGGTAATTTGAGGCGCTTTGCGAAATTATATTTAATTCAAAAGGAAAAGAACAAATTATCGAAGGAAAGAGAAAATACAGATTAGCAAGTACTAAAGCTAGGGAAAATATTAGTGAACTGGAATATTGTCATAATCAATGCTCTTATTGTAAGTGACAGAAATCCATTTTGAAATCGCTAAGCACCAAATAGAAAATAATTGCCATGTAAAAACGATGGCAGTAATGAAGAATGGTGGAAATGGTATTGAGATTAATACCATGAGGACCCTCTCTGTATGCTCTTGCTTCTGATTCTCTGTGTTTGCAGGCTTCTTTCCTTCACTGCATTAAGGGAGTGAGAAAAAAATAAGAACATAGAAGACCTAAATATTATTATTATTATTATTATTTTGAGACAGAGTCTTGCTCTGTCACCCAGGCTGGAGTAAAATGGCACGATCTCAACTCACTGCAACCTCCGCCTCCCGAGTTCAAATGATTCTCCTGCCTCAGCCTCCCAAGTAGCTGGGATTATGGGCACCCGCCACCATGCCTGGCTTATTTTTGTATTCTTTAGTTAAGATGGGGTTTCACCATGTTGGTCAGGCTGGTCTCGAACTCCTGACCTCAGGTGATCCACCCGTCTAAGCCTCCCAAAGTGCTGGGATTACAGGTGTGAGCCACCACACCTGGCACTAAATATTATTAAAAGGCATAATTTGCAGATATGCATTCTATAATCAGAGAACAGAAAATCAACCTTTACAAGATTACTTGAAATATTCAGAAAAAATGAGCATATATTAGTCCGTCGAAAATATTAAATTCTAAAAATATTGAGTAGAGGGTGGCTGGTAAGATGGCCAAATAGAGACAGCTCTGGTCTGCAGTTCCCAGTGAGATCAATGCAGAAGGCGGGTGATTTCTGCATTTCCAACTGAGGTACCTGGCTCATCCCATTGGGACTGATTAGACAGTGTCTATAGCCCACAGAGGGTGAGCAGAAGCAGGGTGGGGTGTTGCCTCACCTAGGCAGTGCAAGGGATCGGGGAACTCCCTCCCCTAGCCAAAGGAAGCCATGAGGGACTGTGCTGTGAGGAACAGTGCATTCCAGCCCAGATACTATGCTTTTTCCATGGTCTTCACAACCCTCAGACCAGCAGATTCTCTGTGGTGCCTATGCCACCAGGGCCCTGGGTTTCAAGCACAAAACCGGGCGGCCATTTGGGCAGACACCGCGCTAGCTGCTGGAGTTCCTTTTCATACCCCAGTGGTGTCTGGAATGTCAGCAAGACAGAACTGTTCACTCCCCTGGAAAGGGGGCTAAAGCCAGGGAGCCAAGTGGTCTAGCTCAGTGGATCCCACCCCCACAGAGACCAGCAAGATAAGATCCACTGGTTTGAAATTCTCGCTGCCAGCACAGCAGTCTAAAGTTGACCTGAGATGCTCCAGCTTGGTGGGGGGAGAGGTGTCCGCCATTTCTGGGGCTTGAGTAGGTGGTTTTCCCCACACGTTATAAATAAAGCCACCAGGAAGTTTGAACTGGGCAGAGCCCATCACAGCCTGGCAAAGCCGCTGTAGCCAGACTGCCTCTCTAGATTCCTCCTCTCTGGGCAGGGCATCTCTGAAAGAAAGGTAGCAGCCCCACTCAGGGCTTATAGATCAAACTCTCATCTCCCTGGGACAGAGCACCTAGGGGAAGGGGCGGCTGTGGGTGCAGCTTCAGCAGACTTAAATGTTCCTGCCTGACAGCTCTGAAGAGAGCAGCAGAGCTGCCAGCACAGTTCTTGGGCTCTTCTAAGGGACAGACTGCCTCCTCAAGTGGGTCCCTGACCCCCGTGAATCCTGACTGGGAGACACCTCCCAGCAGGGGTTGACAAACACCTCATACAGGAGAGCTCTGGCTGGCATCTGGCAGGTGCCCCTCTGGGACAAAGCTTCCAGAGGAAGGAACAGGCAGCAATCTTTGCTGTTCTGCAGCCTCCACTGGTGATACCCAGGCAAACAGGGTCTGGAGTGGACCTCCAGCAAACTCCAGCAGACCTGCAGCAGAGGGGCCTGACTGGTAGAAGGAAAACTAACAAACAGGAATAGCATCAACATCAACAAAAAGGACATTCACAACAAAACCCAATCCAAAGGTCACCACATCAAAGACTTTGGTATTTGATAAATCTTTGGAGATAAATCCATGAAGATGGGGAGAAACCAGCACAAAAATGCTAAAAATTCCCAAAACCAGAAAGTCTCTTCTCCAAAAGATCACAACTCCTCTCCAGCAAGAGAATAAAACTGGATGGAGAATGAGTTTGATGAAGTGACAGAGTAGGCTTCAGAAGGTGGGTAATAACAAACTCCTTCAAGCTAAAGAAGCATGTTCTAACCAAAAGCAAGAAAGCTAAGAAATTTGAAAAAAGGTTAGATGAATTGCTAACTAGAATAACCAGTTTAGAGAAGAATATAAATGACCTGATAGAGCTGAAAAACACAGCACGAGGACATCATGAAGCATACACAAGCATCAATAGCCAAATCGATCAAGCAGAAGAAAGGATATCAGAGATTGAGGATCATCTTAATGAAATAAAGCAGGAAGAGAAGGTTAGAAAAAACAGAATGAAAAGGAATGAACCAAAGCCTCCAAGAAATATGTGACTGTGTGAAAAGACCAAACCTATGTTTGATTGGTGTACCTGAAAGTGATGGGGAAAATGGAACAAAGGTGGAAAACACTCTTCAGGATATTATCCAGGAGAACTTTCCCAACCTAGCAAGACAGGCCAACATTCAAATTCAGGAAATACAGAGAACAACACAAAGATACTCCTCGAGAAGAGCAACCCCAAGACACATAAACATCAGATTCACCAAGGTTGAAATGAAGGAAAAAATGTTAAGGGTAGCCAGAGAGAAAAGTCAGGTTATCCACAAAGGGAAGCCTATTAGACTAACAGCAGATCTCTCTGCAGAAACCCTGCAAGCCAGAAGAGAGTGGGGCCAATATTCAACATTCTTAAGGGAAGAATTTACCCAGAATTTCATATCCAGCCAAACTAAGCTTCATAGGCAAAGGAGAAACAAAATCCTTTACAGACAAGCAAACGCTGAGAGATTTTGTCACCACCAGGCCTGCCTTACAAGAGCTCCTGAAGGAAGCACTAAACATGGAAAGGAACAACTGGTACCAACAACTGCAAAAACATACCAAATTGTAAAGACCATTGACACTATGAAGAAACTGAATCAACTAACAGGCAAAATAACCAGCTAGCATCATGATGACATGATCAAATAATAATATTAACCTTAAATGTACCTGCACTAAATGCCCCCAATTAAAAGAAACAGACTGGCAAATTGGATAAATAGTCAAGTCCCATGGGTGTGCTGTACTCAGGAGACCCATCTCACATGCAAAGACACACATAGGCTCAAAATAAAGGGATGGAGGAAAAGTTACCAAGCAAATGGAAAGAAAAAAAAGGGGGGGATGTTGAAATCCTAGTCTTTGATAAAACAGACTTTAAACCAACAAAGATCAAAAGAGACAAAAAGGGGCATTACAGAATGGTAAAAGGGATCAATGTAACAAGAACAGCTAACTATCCTAAATATATATGCACCTATTACAGGAGAACCCAGATTCATAAAGCAAGTTCTTAGATACCTACAAAGAGACTTAGACTCCCACACAATAATAATGGGAGACTTTAACACCCCAATATTTCTGTCAATATTGGAAAATTAACAAGGATATCCAGGACTTGAACTCAGCTCTGGGCCAAGCAGACCTGATAGACATCTACAGAACTCTCCACCCCAAATCAACAGAATATACATTCTTCTCAACACCACATTGCACTTATTCTAAAATTGGCCACATAACTGGAAGTCAAACACTCCTCAGCAAATGCAAAAGAAGAGAAATCATAACAAACAGTGTCTCAGAACACAGTGCAATCAAATTAGAACTCAGTATTAAGAAACTCACTAAAAACTGCACAACTACATGGAAACTGAGCAATCGGCTCCTGAATGACTGCTGGGTAAATAACAAAATGAAGACAGAAATAAAGATGTTCTTTGAAACCAATGAGAACAAAGACACAATATACCAGAATCTCTGGGACACATTTAAAGCAGTGCAGAGGAGGAAATATATAGCACTAAATATCCACAAGAGAAAGCAGGAAAGATCTAAAATTGACACCCTAACATCACAATTAAAAGAACTAGACAAGCAAGAGCAAGCAAATTCAAAAGCTAGCAGAAGACAAGAAATAACTAAGATCAGAGCAGAACTGAAGGAGATAGACAAACGAAAAACCATTCAAGAAATCAATAAATACAGGAGCTGGGTTTTTTTTTTAAGATTAACAAAATAGAACCCTAGTCAGACTAATAAAGAAAAGAGAGATGAATTAAATACATGCAAAAAAAAATGATAAAGGGAATATCACCATTAATCCCACGGAAATACAAACTACCATCACAGAATGTTATAAACACCTCTATACAAATAAACTAGAAAATCTAGAAGAAATGGATAAATTCCTGGACACATACACCCTCTCAAGACTAAACCAGGAAGAAGCCAAATCTCTGAATAGACCAATAACAAGTTCTGAATTGAGGCAGTAATTAATAGCCTACCAACCAAAAAAGTCCAGGACCAGACAGATTCACAGCCGAAATCTACCAGAGGTACAAAGAAGAGCTGGTACCATTTCTTCTGAAACTATACCAAACAATATAAAAAGAGAGAATCCTCCCTAACTCATATTACGAGGCCAACATCATCCTGATACCAAAACCTGGCAGAGACATAACAAAAAAAGAAAATTTCAGGCTAATATTCCTGGTGAATATAAATGGAAAAATCCTCAATAAAATACTGGCAAACTGAATCCAGCAGCACATCAAAAAGTTTATCCAGCATGATCAAGTCAGCTTCATCCCTGGGATGCAAGGCTGGTTCCACATACACAAATCAATAAAAGTAATCCATCACATAAACAGAACCAATGACAAAAACCACCTGATTATCTCAATAGATGCAGAAAAACCTTTCAACAAAATTCAACACCCCATTCATGCTAAAAACTCTCAATAAGCTAGATATTGATGGAACATATCTCAAAATAATAAGAGCTATTTATGACAAACCCACAACCGATGTCATACTGAATGGGCAAAAACTGGAAGCATTCCCTTTGAAAACCAGCACAACATAAGGATGCCCTCTCTCACCACTCCTATTCAGCATAGTATTGGAAGCTTTGGCCAGGCAATCAGGCAAGAGACAGAAATAAAGGGTTTTCAATTAGAAAAAGAAGAAGTCAAATTGTCTCTGTTTGCAGATGACATGATTGTATATTTAGAAAACCCAGTTGTCTCAGTCCTAAATCTTCTTACGTTGATAAGCAACTTCAGCAAAGTCTCAGGATATAAAATCAACGGCAAAAATCACAAGCATTCCTATACACCAATAACAGACAAACAGAGAGCCAAATCATGAGTGAACTCACACTTACAATTGCTAGAAAGTGAATAAAATACCTAAGAATACAACTTACAAGGTGAAGGACCTCTTCAAGGAGAACTACAAACCACTGCTCAAGGAAATAAGAGAGGACACTAACAAATGGAAAAAACTCCATGCCCATGGATAGAAAGAATCAATATCGTGAAAATGGGTATACTGCCCAAAGTAATTTATAGATTCAATGCTATCCCCATCAAGCTACCATTGACTTTCTCCACAGAATTGGAAAAAACTACTTTAAATTTCATATTAAACCAAAAAACAGCCTGCATAGCCTAGACACTCCTAAGGAAAAAAAAAAAAAAAAAGTAAAGCTGGAGGCATCATGCTACCTGACTTCAAACTATACCACCAGGCTACACTAACCAAAACAGCATGGTACTGGTACCAAAACAGATATACAGACCAATGGAACAGAACAGAGGCCTCAGAAATAGCACCACACATCTACAACCATCTGATCTTTGACAAACCTGACAAAAAAAAAAGCAATGGGAAAAGGATTCTCTATTTAATAAGTGGTGTTGGGAAACCTGGCTAGCCATTTGCAGAAAGCTGAAACTGGATTCGTTCCTTATACCTTATACAAAAATTAACTCAAGATGGATTAAAGACTTAAACATAAGACCTAAAACCATAAAAACCCTAGAAGAAAACCTAGGCAATACCATTCAGGACATTGGCATAGGCAAAGACTTCATGACTAAAACACCAAAAGCAATGGCAACAAAAGCCAAAATTGACAAATGAGACCTAATTAAACTAAAGAGCTTCTGCACAGCAAAATAAACAATCATCAGAGTAAACTGGCAACCTACAGAATGGGAGAAAATTTTTGCAATCTATCCATCTGACAAAGGGCTAATATCCAGAATCTACAAGGAACTTAAACAAATTTACAAGAAAAAAACAAACAACCCCATCAAAAAGTGGCCAAAAGATATGAACAGACACTTCTCAAAAGAAGACATTTATGCAGCCAACAATCTTATGAAAAAAAAGCTCATCATCATGGTCATTAGAGAAATGCAAATCAAAACCACAATGAGATATCATCTCATGTCAGTTAGAATAGCGATTATTAAAATGTCAGGAAAGAACAGATGCTGGAGAGGATGTGGAGAAACAGGAATGCTTTTACACCATTGGTGGGAATGTAAATTAGTTCAATCATTTTGGAAAACAGTGTGGCAATTCCTCTAGGATCTAGAACTAGAAATACCATTTGACCCAGCAATCTTATTACTGGGTATATACCCAAAGGATTATAAATACTTCTACTATAAAGACACATGCACACATATGTTTATTGCAGCACTGTTCGCAATAGCAAATACTTGAAGCCAACCCAAATGCCCATCAATGATAGACCGGATTAAGAAAATGTGGCACATATACACCATGGAATACTATGCAGCCATAAAGAAGGATGAGTTCATGTCCTTCACAGGGACATGGATGAAGCTGGAAACCATCATTTTCAGCAAACTAACACAAGAACTGAAAACCAAACACTGCATGTTCTCACTCATAAGTGGGAGTTGATCAATGAGAATACATGGACACAGGGAGAGGAACATCACATACTTGGGCCTGTCAGGGGGTGGGGGGCTAGGGGAGGGATAGCATTAGGAGAAATACCTAATGTAGATGACGAGTTGATGGGTATAGCAATCCACCATGGCATGTGTATACCTATGTAACAAACCTGCATGTTCTGCATATGTACCCCAGAACTTAAAGTATATTAAAAACAGAAAAAGAAAAATAATAATTCAACAAAGCCTCTAAGAAATTTGGGATTATGTTAATCAGCCAAACCTAAGAATAATTGGTGTTCCTGAGGAAGAAGGGAAATCTAAAAGTTCAGAAAACTTATTTGCCGGAATAACTGAGGAAAACTTCCCTGGCATTGCTAGAAATCTAGATATCCAAATACAAGAAGCTCCAAGAACTCCTGTGAAATTCATTTCAAAAATATCATCACCTAGGCCATAGTCATCAGGTTATCTAAAATCAAGGTGAAGGAAAGAACCTTTAAAAAGCTGTGAGACAAAAGAATCAGGTATCTATAAAGGATAACCTATCAGATTAACAGCAGATTTGTCAGCAGAAACCTTATCAGCCAGGAAGGATTGGGGTCCTATCTATAGCCTTTTTAAACAAAATAATTGTTAATCAAGAATTTTGTATCCAGCAAAACTAAGCTTTATAAATGAAGGAGAGATAGTCTTTTTATGACAAAAAGAAATGTTCAAACAATTTGTCAAAACCAAGCCTGCACTACAAGAAATGCTAAAAAGAGTTCTAAATCTTGAAACAAAACCTTAAAATACACCAAAACAAAACATCATTAAAGCATAAATCTCACAGGGCCTAAGAAACAATAACACAATGAACAAAAACAAGGTATTTAGGCACCAACTAGCATGATGAATAGAACAGCACCTCATATCTCAATACTAACATTGAATATAAATGGCCTAAATGCTCCACTTAAAAAGATACAGAAAGGCAGAATGGATAAAAATCCATCAACCAAGTATCTTCTGTCTCCAAGAGACTCACCTAACACATAAGGACTCGCATAAATTTAAGGTAAAGGAGTGGAAAAAAATATTCCATGCAAATGGAAACCAAAAGTGAGCAGGGGTAGCTATTCTTATCTCAGAAAAAAAAAAAAAAAAAACAGACTCTAAAGCAACAATAGAAAAAAAAAAGAAAGAAAGACAAAGAGGAACATTTTATAATTAGAAAAGGATTAGTCCAACAGGATGATATTACAATCCTAAATATATATGCACTTCACACCCAAATTCATAAAACAATTACTACTAGACCTAAGAAATGAGATAGACAGCAACACAATAATAGTGGAGGATTTCAATTTTCCACTGACAGCACTAGACAGGTCATCAAGGAAGGAAGTCAACAGAGAAACAATGGACTTAATTTGTTCTATACCCTAGAACAAATGGACTGAACAGATATTTACAGAACATTCTACCAACCGCTGCAGAATATACATTCCATTCATCAGCACATGGAACATTCTCCAAGATAGACCACACGATAGGCCACAAAACAAGTCTTGATAAATTTGAGAAAAATCAAAATTATATCAAATATCCTCTCAGACCACAGTGAAATAAAACTGGAGATTATCTCCAAAAGGATCCCTCAAAACTATACAAATACATGAAAATTAAATAATCTGCCCTTAAATGATCTTTAGGTAAACAATGGAATCCAGATGAAAATTTAAAAATTCTTTGAACTGAATGATAACAGTGACACAACTTATCAAAGCCTCTGGGATACAGCAAAAGCGGTGTTAAGAGGAAGGTTCATAGCATTAAATGCCTACATCAAAAAGTCTGAAAGAGTACAAATTTACAATCCAAGGTCACACCACAATGAACTAGAGAAACAGGAACAAACCAAACCCAAACCCAGCAGAATAATAATAAAAAAATAGCAAAGACCATAGGAGAACTAAATGAAATTGAAACAAAAAAATGGAAAAGATAAATGACACAAAAAGCTGGTTCTTCAAAAAGACAAATAAAATTGATAGACCACTGGTAAAATTAACCAAGAAGAGAGAAGATGCAAATAAGCTCAATTAGAAATAAAACAGGAGATATTGTAACTGATACTACAGAAATACAAAAGATCAGTCAAGGCTACTATCAACACTTTTACACAGACAAACAGAAAAGCAAGAGGAGAAGAATACATTCCTGGAAATATACAACCCTTCTCAATTAAATCAGGAAGAAATAGGAACCCTGAACAGACCAAAAACAAGTAATGAGATTGAAACATTAATTTTTAAAAATTGCCAACAAAAAAAGTCCAGGACCAGATGGATTCACAGCTTAATTCTAGCAGACATTTGAAGAAGAATTGGTACCAATCTCACTGAAACTATTTCAAAGGATAGAGAAAGAGAGAATCCTCCCTACATCATTTTATGCAGTCAGTATCACTCTAATATCAAAAACCAGGAAAGGACATAACAAAAAAAGAAAACTTCAGAGCAATATCCATGATAAACACTGATGCAAAAATCCTCAACAAAATACTAGCTAACCAAATCCAATGGCATATCTCAAAAAGTAATACAACATGACCAAGTGAATTTCATTCCAGGGATGGTTTAACATACACAAATCAATAAATGTGATACATCACATAAACAGAATTAAAAACAAAAATCATATGATCATCTCAATAGATGCAGAATAAGCATTTGACAAAATCCAGCATCGCTTTATTATTAAAACACTCAGCAAAATTGGCATAGAAGGGACATACCTCAAAATAAAAAAGGCTATCTATGACAAACCCACAGCCAACATTATACTAAACAGGGAAAAGTTGAAAACATTCCCCCCTGAGAACTAGAACAAGAAAAGCTGCCCACTTTTACCACTTCTATTTAACATAGTACTGAAAGTCCTAGCCAGAGCAATCAGACAAGAGACAGAAATAAAGGACATCCAAATAGGTAAACAGGAAGTCAAACTGTTGCTGTTCACCAATGATATGACGGTATACTGAGAAAACCCTAAAGATTTATTCAAAAAGCTCCTAGATCTGATAAATGAATTTAATTTTATTAAGATACAAAATCAATGTACACAAATCAGCAGCACTGCTCTACACCACCACCAACCAACCTGAGAATCAAATCAAGAACTCAATCCCTTTTAAAATAGCTGCAAAAAATAAAATAAAATGCTTAGGAATATACCTAACCAAGGAGGTGAAAGAGCTCTACAAGGAAAACAATACAGACCACTGCTGAAAGAAATCACTGATGACACAAACAAATGGAAACATATCCCGTGCTCATATGGATGGGTAGAATCAATATTGTGAAAATGACCATACTGCCAAAAGCAATCAACAGATTCAATGCAATTCCCATAAAAATACCATCATCATTTTTCACAGAACTAGCAAAAACGATTCTAAAATTCATATGGGACCAAAAAAAGAGCCTGCATAGCCAAAGCAATACTATGCAAAAAGAACAAATTTGGAGACGTCACATTGCCCAAATCCAAACTATACTACAAGGCTATAGTTCCCAGAACAGCATGGTACTGGTATAAAAATATGCATGTAGACCAATGGAACAGAATAGAGAGCCCAGAAATAAAGAAATAAATACTTACAGCCAACTGATCTTTGACAAAGCAAACAAAAACAAAAACATGGGGAAGGACATCCTATTAAAAAATGGTGCCGGGA
Source organism: Homo sapiens (assembly GCF_000001405.40). Lineage (NCBI taxonomy): Eukaryota > Metazoa > Chordata > Mammalia > Primates > Hominidae > Homo > Homo sapiens. The sequence goes on along the minus strand of NC_000005.10, from coordinate 123,325,849 downwards.
TAATTGGCAAGCCACATATAGAAGAATGAAACTGGATCTTCATCTCTCATCTTATACAAAAATCAACCTAATATGGATCTAAGCCTTAAGTCTAAGACCTGAAACCATAAAAACTCTAGAAGATAAAATTGGAAAAACTCTTCTAGAAATTGGCTTAGGCAAAGACTTCATGACCAAGAACCCAAAAGCAAATGCAACAAAAACAAAAGTAAATAGATGGGACCTAATTAAACTAAAAAGCTTATGCACAGCAAAAGAAAGAATCAGCACATTAAATAGACAACCCACCGAGTGAGAGAAAATATTCACAAACCATGCATCTGACAGAGGAATCTACAAGGAACTCAAATCAGCAAGAAAAAAACAAACAAACCCATCCAAAAGTGGGCTAAGGACATGAATAGACAATTCTCAAAAGAAGATATACAAATAGTCAATAAACATATGAAAAAATGCTTGACACCACTAATTATCAGGGAAATGCAAATTAAAACCACAATGAGATACCACCTTACTTCTGCAAGAATGGCCATAATTTCATAATCAAAGAATAATAGATGTTGGTGTGGATATGGTGAAAAATGAACACTTTTACACTGGTGGTGGGAACGTAAACTAGTACAATCACTATCGAAAATAGTGTGGGGATTCCTTAAAGAACTAAAAGCAGAACTACCATTTGATCCAGCAATCCCGCTACTGGGTATCTACCCAGAAGAAAAGAAGTCATAACATAAGAAAGAGTTGCACACGCATTTTTATAACAGTACAATTTGCAATGCAAAAATATAAAACCAGCCTAAATGCCCATCAACCAATGAGTGGATAAAGAAAATGTAGTATATATACACCATGTAACGCTACTCAGCCATATAAAGGAATGAAATAATGGCATTTCCAGCAACCTGGATGGAGTTGGAGATCATTATTCTAAGTGAAGTAACTCAGGAATGGACAATCAAATATCGTATGTTCTCACTTATAAGTGGGAGCTAAGCTATGAAGACACAAAAGCATAAAAATGATATGATGGACTTTGGGGACTCAGAGGGAAGGGCAGTAGGGGGGTGAAGAATAAAAGACTACAGATTGGGTACAATGTAAATAGTTTGGTTGGTGGGTGCACCAAAATCTCAGACATTACCACTAAAGAACTTATCTATGTAACTAAAAACCACCTGTTCCCCAAAAACTATTGAAATAAAATTTTAAAAAGAGAAAAAAGTAGATTGTTATAACTTTAGGACATATATGTAATCCCTATGGTACAAAAAATACCTGTAGAAGATAAATAAAAAAACAGATGACTTGAACGACGTTATACCACTTGGAACTAACGCACATATAAAGAACACTCCACTCGACAATAGCAATAAACATATTTTTCTTAAGTGCACATGGAACCTTCTCCAGGACAGACCACACGTTAGGCCACAAACTAAATATTCATACTTTTTAGAAGGTTGAAATCATACAAAGTACTTTTTCCAATAACAATGAAATGAAATTAGAAATCAATAGCAGACTGAAAAATGAAAAATCCACAAGCGTGTAAAAATTAAACAATGAATATGTCAAACAAGAAATCAAAAGAGAAATTCCAAAATGCCTTGACACAAATGAAAATGAAAACACAATATACCAAAATTATGGGATACAGTGAAAGCAGTGCTAAAAGAAAAATACGTAGTTACAAGTGCACAAATAAAAACAGAATAATCTCAAATTGACAACATAACTTTACCCCTTAACTAGAAAAAAGAACACTCTAAACCCAAGTTTAGCATAAGAAAGGAAATAGAAATTAGAACATAGACAAAATAAAGAATAGAAAAACAACAGAGAAAAATAAGTGAAATTAAGTGTTGATTTTTTGACAAGATTAACAAAATTGTCAAATATTTAGCTAGGTGACTAAGCAAAAGAAACAAGACTTAAATAACTAAAATCAGAAATTAAAGAGAAGACATTACTATGGATTTTACAGAAATAGAAAGCACTGTAAAAGAATATTATAGACAATTGTAAACCAACAAATTGGATAACCCAGATGAAATGGACAAATTCCTAGAAACACACGACCTACCAAGACAATCATAAAAGAATAGAAAATATTTTTAAAAACCTATAACTAGTAAAAAGATTAGATTAGTAGTGAAAAATATCCCAACAAAGAAAAGCCCAGGACCAGATGGCTTCACTGGTGAACTCTTAAGACATATTTAAAGAATTAAAACCAATCCTCCTCAAGCTCTTCCAAAATATTAAAGAAGAGGGAAAACTTTCATTTGAGGTAGTTTTCATTCTATTGGAAAACTTCCATTTTTTGAGGCAACATTAACCTAATCTCAAAGTCATGAAAAAACAGTACAAGAAACAAAAACTACAAACCAATATCCTCGATGAATACTGATACGAGAATCTTCAACAAAATGCTAGCAAACAGAACTTAATAGTACATTGAAAGAATTATACACTCAGACCAAGTGAAATTAATTCTTGGAAAACAAAGATGGTTCAACATACAGAACAAACAAAAATATTAGTTTAATACATCAGATTAATGAAGAAAATCTTCATACTATCTCAATTGATTAGAAAAAACATTTGACAAAATTGAACACCCTTTCATGATTACAACACTTACAGTAGAAAAACTTCAGTAGTTTTTCTCTATTCCTAGTTTGAGTGTTTTAATCATAAAATGCCCAATCTTACCACTCCTATTCAACATAGTACTGGAAGTCCTAGCCAGTGCAATTGGGCAAGAAAAATAAATAAAAAGCATTTATATTAGAAAAGAAGAAGTTAAATTATCTCTGTTCACAGATGATGTAATCTTATAAACAGAAAACCCTAAAGTTTCCAGAAAAAGCAATAAATTAATTTAGCAGGACCAGATGGTTTCACTGAATTCTACCAAATATTTTAAAAAGAATTTTATAAAAGCCTCCTCAAGCTCTTCCAAAATATTGAGGAGGAGGGAAAACTTCAACTAATAAATGAATTCAGCAAACTTTTGGAATACAAAGTTGACAAGAAAAAAATCAGTTGTGTTTCTATAAAACAACAATGAATGATCCAAAGGGAAATGAAGAAAACAATTCTATTTACAATAACATCAAGAAAGTACTTAGGAATTAACTTAACCAAGGAGGTTAACTTAATCTCCTTGGTTAAGTTTATTCCTAAGGACTTGTACACTGAAACTACAAAATGATGTTGAAAGAAATTAAAGAAGAAATCAATAAATGGAAAGACATCTCATGTTAATGGATTGAAAGATTTAATATTGTTAAGAGGTCAATACCACCAAAGCATTCTACAAATTCAGTGCAATCCCTATCAAAATCCCAATAACATTTTTTTCCAGAAATAGAAAATCCCATCCTAAAATTCATAGGGAATTTTAAGGAACTCTGTCTTAGTCCCTTTGTGCTGTTATAACAAAATGTTTAAGATGGAATAATTTATAAAGAGTAGAAACTTATTTCTTAGAGTTATGGAGGCTGGGAAGTCCAAGGTCAAGGCAATGGCAGGTTTGGTGTCTAGTGAGGGTTGCTGTTTGCCTCCAAGATGGCACCTTGCTGCTGCATCCTTCAGCAGAGGGGATGAACACTACGTCTTCATATGGTGGAAGGGAAGGATGGGCAACAGAGTACTTCCTTCAACCTTAAGCGTTTCTATAAGGGTACTGATCCCATTCATGAGGGCAGAGCCCCCATGACTTAGTCATGACTTAGTCACCTCCCAAAGGCTACATCTCTCAATACTGTTGCATTGGGGATTCAGTATCAACATGAACTTTGGAGAGGACACCACCATTCAAACATTAGCAGACTCTGAATAACAAATACAATCCTGAAAAAAAGAAATGAAGTTGGAGTTTGCACATTTCCTGATTTCAAAACTTTCTACAAAGCTATATAATCAAAATAGTGTGGTACTGGCATAAAGACAGACATATAGACCAACGGTCTAGAATTGAGAGCCCAGAAATAAACCCACACATATATGGTTAGGTGATTTTTATAAAGGTGCCAAGACCATTCAATGGGGAAAGTAGTCTTTTTGACAAATGGTGTTGGAAAAACTGGATATACACATGCATAAGAAAAAAGTTTGACCTTTACCTTAAATCATATATAAAAATTAAATAAAACCATCAAAAATCTAAATTAAAACCTAAAATTATAAAACTCTTGGAAGATAAAATATGAGGAGATCCTTATGACATTGGGTTTGGCAGTAATTTCTTGGATATGACATCAAAACCACAGTCCACAAAAGAAAAAAATAAATTGGACTATATCAAAATTTAAAACTTCTCTGCAAAGGACATAACCAAAAGAGTGAAAAGCCAACCCATGAAATGGGAGAAAACATTTGCAAATCATATATCTAATAAGGGATAAATATCTAGAATATATAAAGAACTCCTACAACTAAAACATGACAACAAAACAACTTGATTTAATAATGGCAAAGGACTTGAATAGGCATCTCTCCAAAGATATGCAAATGGCTAATAGGCCAACACACATGATTAGAAGACTGAGACTTTCAGCCTCACCCTCCCATCCTCTTAAGCTGATCATCAGTGGTCAGCAATTTAATCAATCATGCCTACATAATAAAACTTCTGTAAAAACCCAAAGGGATTAGATTTGGAGAATTTCAAGACAGCTGAACATGTGCCAGCTCCTGGAGAGTGAGGCATCTGGAGAGGGCATGGAAGCTCCATGCCCCTTCTCCCATACATCACACTATGTATCTCTTCCATCTGAGTATTCATCTGTATTCCTTATAATATCCTTTATAATAATGAGTAAATGTAAGTAAAGTGTTGCCCTGGGTTCTGTGAGCCACCCTATCTGATTAATGCAATCCAAAGAGGGGTCGTGAGAACTCTGATTTATACCTGGTTGGTCAGAAGGATAGGTGAGAGCCTAGTACATATGACTGATGTCTAAAGTAGGGGATGTTATTCTCCAGGTAGAATTAAATAAGGAGACACCTAACTGATATTTGCTGCACAATTGCTTGGTTGGTGTGTAGTTAAAAACAACAACAAGGGGATCTGGCAAGATGGCTGAATAAGAACAGCTCCAGTCTGCAGCTCCCAGTGAGATCAATGCAGAAGGCAGATTTCTGCATTTCCAACTGAGGTACCCAGTTCATCTCACTGAGACTAGTTAGGCAGTGGGTGCAGCCCATAGAGGATGAGCAGAAGAAGGGTGGGGTGTCACCTCACCTGGGAAGTGCAAGGAACTGGGGGACCTCACTGCCCTAGCCAAGGGAAGCCAATGAAGGACTGCTACCTGCCCTGGATACTACACTTTTCCCACAATTTTTGCATTCCGCAGACGAGGAGATTCCCTCAGGTGCCTACACCACCAGGGCCCTGGGTTTCAAGCACAAAAGTGGGCAGCTGCTTGGGCAGACACCGAACTAGCTGCAGGAGTTTTTTTTTCATACCCTAGTGGTGCCTGGAACCCTAGGGAGACAGAACCATTCACTCCCCTGGAAAAAGGGCTGAAGCCAGGGAGCCAAGTGGTCTCACTCAGCAGGTCCCACTCCTATGGAGCCCAGCAAGCTAAGAACCACTGGCTTGAAATTCTAACTGCCAGCACAGCAGCCTGAAGTTGACCTGGGACGATGGAGCCTGGCTGGGGGAGGGGTGTCTGCCATTACTGAGGCTTGAGTAGGTGGTTTTCCTATGACAGTGCTAAGGAGGCTGCGAGGTTTGGACTGGGTGGAATTCACAACAGCGTGGCAAAGCAGCTGTGGCCAGGCTGCTGCTCTAGATTTCTCCTCACTGGGCAGGGCATCTCTGAAAGAAAGGGAGCAGCCCCAGTCAGGGACTTGGAGATAAAACTCCCATCTCCCTGGGACAGAGTGCCTGGGGGAAGGGGCGACTGTGGACACAGCTTCAGTGAACTTCTACTTTTTTGCCAGGTGGCTCTGAAAAGAGTCACTGATCCTGACAAGGAGGATTCTCCCAGCACAGTACTTGAGCTCTGCTAAGGGATAAATTGCCTCCTCAAGTGGGTCCCTGACCCCCATGCCTCTTGACTGGGAGAGACCTCCCAACAGGGGTCAACAGACACCTTATATAGGAGAGCTCCAGCTGGCATCAGGCTGGTGCCCCTCTGGGTTGAAGCTTCCAGAGGAAGGAGCAGGCAGCAATCTTGCTATTCTCCAGCATTCACTGGTGACACGCAGGTGAACTGAGTCTGGAGTGGACCTCCAGCAAACTGCAGTGGACCTTCAGTAGAGGTACCTAACTGTTGGAAGAAAAACTAACAAACAGAAAGCAGCAACATCAACATCAACAAAAAGGACCCCCACACAAACACTCCATCCAAAGGTCATCAGCCTCAAAGATCAAAGGTAGATAAATCCACGAAGATGTGGAAAAACCAGTGGAAAAACACAGGAAATTCCAAAAACCAAATGCCTCTTCTCCTCCAAATTATCACAACTCCTCTGCAGCAAGGGCACTAAACCGGACGGAGAATGAGATTGATGAATTGACAGAAGTAGGCTTCAGACAGGGTAATAACAAACTCCTCTGAGCTAAAGTAGCATGTCCTAACTCAAGTAAAGTAGCATGTCCTAACTAAATTCTCAAGGAAGCTAAAAACCTTGATAAAAGTTTACAGGAACTGCTAACCAGAATAATCAGTGTAGACAGGAAAATAAATGACCTGATGGAGCTGAAAAACAGTGTGAGAACTTCATGAGGCATACACAAGTATCAATAGCTGAATCCATCAAGTGAAAGAAAGTATATCAGAGACTGAAGCTCAACTTACTGAAATAAGGCATGAAGACAAGATTAGAGAAAAAAGAATGAAAAGGAATGAACAAAGCCTCCAAGACATATGGGAAACAAAGCCTCCAAGTGAAAAGATCAAACCTATGATTGATTGGTATACCTGAAAGTGATGGGGAGAATGGAAACAACTTGGAAAACACACCTCAGGATATTATCCAGGAGAACTTCCCAAACTTAGCAAGACAGGCCAATATTTAAATTCAGGAAATACAGAGAACACCACTAAGATACTCCTCAAGAAGAGCAACCCCAAGACGCATAATCATCAGATTCTCCAAGGTTGAAACAAAGGAAAAAAATGTTAAGGGCAGCCAGAAAGAAAGGTCAGGTTACCTAAAAAGGGAAGCCCATCAGACTAACAGCAGATCTCTCTGCAGAAATCCCACAAGCCAGAAGAGTGTGGTAGCCAATGTTTAACATTCTTAAAGAAAAGAATTTTCAGTGCAGAATTTCTTATCCAGCCAAACTAAGCTTCATAAGCAAAGGAGAAATAAAATCCTTTACAGACAAGCAAATGCTGAGGGATTTTGTCACCACCAGGCCTACCTGACAAGAGCTCCTGGAGGAAGCACTAAATAGGGAAAGGAAAAATTGGTACCAGCCACTGCAGAAACACACCAAATTATAAAGACCAATGACACTGTGAAGAAACTGCATCAACTGACAGGCAAAGTAACCACCTAGCATCATGATGACAGAATAAAATTCACACATAACAATATTAACCTTAAATGCACGTGGGCTAAATGCCCCAATTAAAAGACACAGACTGGCAAATTGGATAAAGAGTCAAGACCCATGGATATGCTGTATTTAGGAGACCCATTTCATATGTGAAGATGCACATAGGATCAAAATAAAGGGATGAAGGAAAATTTACCAAGCAAATGGAAAGCAAAAAAACAGCAGGAGTTGCAATCCTAGTCGCTGATAAAAACCGATTTTAAACCAACAAATATCAAAAAAGACAATAAAGGGCATTATGTAATAGTAAAGGGATCAATGCAACGAGAAGAGGTAACTATCCTAAATATACATACATCCACTACAGGAGCACCCAGATTCTTAAAACAGGTTCTTAGAGACCTACAAAGAGACTTAGACTCTCACACAATAATAGTGGGAGACTTTAACACCCCACTGTCAATATTAGACAGATCAATGAGATAGAAAATTAACAAGGATATTCAGGGCTTGAACTCAGCTCTGGACCAAGCAGACTTAATAGACATCTACAGAACTCTCCACCCCAAATCAACAGAATATACATCCTTCTCAACACCACAAAGCATGTATTCTAAAACTGACCAAATAATTGGAAATAATTATGTATTCTAAAATTGACCACATAATTGGAAGTAAAACATTCCTAGCAAAATGCAAAAGAACAGAAATAATAACAAACTGTCAGACCACAGTGCAATCAAATTAGAACTCAAGATTAAGAAACTCACTCAAAACCGCATAACTACATGGAAATTGAACAACCTGCTCCTGAATGACTACTGGGTAAATAATGAAATTAAGGCAGAAATAAAGAAGTTCTTTGAAATCAATGAAAACAAAGAGAGAATGTACCAGAATCTCTGAGACATAGCTAAAGCAGTGTTAAGAGGGAAATTTATAGCCCTAAATGCCCACATCAGAAAGCTGGAAAGATCTGAAATTGACACTCAAATATCACAATTAAAAGAACTAGAGAAGTAAGAGCAAACAAATTCAAAAGGTAGCAGAAGACAAGAAATAACTAAGATCAGAGCAGAACTGAAAAAGATAGAGAAAAAAAAAACATTCAAAAAATCAATAAATCCAGGAACTGGTTTTTTGAAAAGATGAACAAAATAGACCACCAGCTAGACTAATAAAGATCAAATAGAGACAATAAAAAATGATAAAGGGGATATCACCACTCATCCCACAGAAATAAAAACTACCATCAGAGAATGTTATAAACACCTCTACACAAATAAACTAGAAAATCTAGAAGAAATAGATAAATTCCTGAACACATACACACCCCAAGACTAAACCGGGAAGAAGTCAAATCCCTGAATAGACCTATAACAAGCTCTGAAATTGAGGCAGTAATTAATACCCTACCAACCAAGAAAAGCCCAAGCCCAGACAGTGGGCATCCCTGGGATGCAAGGCTGGTTCCACATACACAAATCAATAAAAGTAATCCATCACATAAACAGAACCAATGACAAAAACCACATGATTATCTCAATAGATGCAGAAAAACTTTTCAACAAAATTCAACACCCCATTCATGCTAAAAACTCTCAATAAGCTAGATATTGATGGAACATATCTCAAAATAATAAGAGCTATTTGTGACAAACCCACAGCCAATATCATACTGCATGGGCAAAAGCTGGAAGCATTCCCTTTGAAAACCAGCACAAGACAAGGATGCCCTCTCTCACCACTCTTATTCAACATAGTATTGGATGTTCTGTCCAGGGCAATCAGGCAAGAGAGAGAAATAAAGGGTATTCAAATAGGAAGAGAGGAAGTCAAATTGTCTCTGTTTGCAGATGACATGATTATATATTCGGAAAACCCCATCGTCTCAGCCCCAAAACTCCTTAAGGTGATAAGCAACTTCAGCAAAGTCTCAGGATACAAAATCTGTGTGCAAAAATCACCAGCATTCATATACACCAATAACAGACAGACAGAGAGCCAAATCATGAGTGAACTCCCATTCACAATTGCTAGAAAGAAAATAAAATACCTAGGAATAAAACTTACAAGGGACATGAAGGACCTCTTCAAGGAGAACTACAAACCACTGCTAAAGGAAATAAATGAGGACACAAACAAATAGAATAACATTCCATGCTCATGAACAGGAAGAATCAATATTATGAAAATGGCCATTCTGCCCTAAGTAATTTATAGATTCAATGCTATTTCCATCAAGCTACCAGTGACTTTCTTTGCAGAATTAGAAAAAAACTATTTTAAATTTCATATTAAATCAAAAAAGAGCCCATATAGCCAAGACGATTCTAAGCAAAAAAGAAAAAACAAAGCTGGAGGCATCATGCTACCTGACTTCAAACTATACTACAGGCTACAGTAACCAAAACAGCATAGTACTGGTACCAAAACAGATATATACACCAATGGAACAGAATAGAGCCCTCAGAAATACCACCACACATCTACAATCATCTGATCTTTGACAAACCTGACAAAATAAGTCATGGGGAAAGGTTTCCCTATTTAATAAATGGTGCTGGGAAAACTGGCTAGCCATATGTAGAAAACTGAAACTAGACCCATTCCTTACACCTTACACAAAAATTAATTCAAGTTGGACTAAAGACTTAAATGTAAGACCTAAAACCATAAAAACCCTAGAAGAAAACCTAGGCAATACCATTCAGGACAGAGGCATGGGCAAAGACTTCATGACTAAAACACCAAAAGCAATGGCAACAAAAGCCAAAATTGACAAATGGGATCTAATTAAACTAAAGAGCTTCTGCACCGCAAAATAAACTATCATCAGAGTGAACAGGCAACCTACAGAATGGGAGAAAATTTTTGTAATCTATCCATCTGACAAAGGGCTGATATCCAGAATCTACAAGGAACTTAAACAAATTTACAAGAAAAAACAAACAACCTCATCAAAAAGTGGGGAAAGGATATAAACAACAGATACTTCTCAAAAGAAGACATTTATGTGGCCAAAAACATGTGAAAAAAAGCTCACCATCACTAGTCTTAGAGATACGTAAATCAAAACCACAATGAGATACCATTTTATGCCAGTTAGAACGGTGATTATTAAAAAGTCAGGAAACAACAGATGCTGGTGAGGCTGTGGAGAAATAGGAATATTTTTACACTGTTAGTGGGAGTGTAAATTATTTCAACCATTGTGGAAGATAGTGTGGCAATTCCTCAAGGATCTAGAACCAGAAATACCATTTGACCCAGCAATCCCATTACTGGGTATATACCCAAAGGATTATAAATCATTCTACTGTAAAGATACATGCACACATATGTTTATTGCAGCACTGTTAACAATAGCAAAGACTTGGAACCAACCCAAATGCCCATTAACGATAGACTGGATAAAGAAAATGTGTTAAATATACACCATGGAATACCACACAGCCATAAAATATGAGTTAATATCCTTTGCAGAGACATGGATGAAGCTGAAAACCATCATTCTCAGCAAACTAACACAGGAGCAGAAAACCAAACACCACATGTTCTCATTCATAAATGGGAGGTGAACAATTAGAACACATGGATACAGGGAGGGGAACATCACACACCAGGGCCTGTCAGGGTTGGGTGCAAGGGGAGGGAGAGCATTAGGACAAATACCTAACGCATGTGGGGCTTAAAACCTAGATGATGGGTCGATAGGTGCAACAAATCACCGTGACACATGTATACCCATGTAACAAACCTGCACATTCTGCACATGTATTCCAGAACTTAAAAAAAATAACTAAAAGACATATTATATGAGAAAGTGATTTGCATCCTGCAATGTGTTACATGCATTAGCAATTATTTTAAAAACTAACAACAAAACCAGACAAAACCAACCCACACATCTGTGTCAGAATGTTGTACTGAGCAACTGAGGAGTAGGAAAAACCCTGTTTTTTTTTTCTATCTTTTTAATATTCAAGAGAATTGAAAGCAGGAACTCAAAGAGATATTTGTACACTCATGTTCACAGCAGCATTAATCACAATAGCCAAAAGGTAGAAGCAACTCAAGTGTCCATTGACGTATGAATGGATAAACAAAATGCAGTGTGTATATACAACGGAATAGTACTTAGTCTAAAAACAGAGGGAGGGGTTTGGGCCAAGATGGCCACCTAGAAGCAGCTACAGTGCATGGTTCTCATGGAGAGGAACAAAAGGGGGTGGAAATACAGAATTTTCAACTGAAACATCCAGGTATTTGTCCCATGGAGACAAATCAAGGAAACAACTTGACCCATGGAGAATGAAGAAATGCAAGGCAAAATGATGGCCTACCTGGGAGCAAGATGGAACCAAGGCAATCTCCCCTGCTCAGAGAAGCAGTGAGTGAATGTGTGACCCTGGGAAACCATGCTTCTCCTTTGGACCTTTGCAACCCTTGGGTCAGGAGATCCCCTTGTGAATTCACTCTACTAGGGCCTTCAGTCTGACATACATTTCTGCATGGAGTCTCAGCAGAGCAGCCACTCAGGCATGCACGTTGGCCCCGGAGCTTTACCTACTCCACCTCTGGGTTTCCCAGCAAAAGTGACTGCAACTCCAGCAAGGCAGGAGGTTGGACCTCCATACACGCCCCAAGGAAGGGGTCTGAATCCAGGGTATCCACCAGCAACACTTGGCGGACCCCACTTCCACAGTGCCTCACAGGATAAGACCTGCTGGCTTGGAATTCCAGCCAACCACTGGCAACAATACTGACCCAGCACAGCACAGCTGCTCTACCAAAATGTGGCCAGATTGTTTCTTTAAGTGGGTCCCCAGTCCATTCTTCCTCACTGGGTGTGACCTCCCAACCAGGGCCTCCAGTCACCCCTGATGATGGTGTCTCACTGACAGAGATTTTAATTCTTCCTGGGATGTAGTTCCCAGAGGGAGGGACGGACCACCATTTTTGCTGTTTGGGCGACTTAGACAATGCAGTCTGTCGGCTTTGGGGAGCCTTTGCTGACCGGGGCAGAAGCAATACTCCAGTGCAGCACGGCTGCTCTATGAAAATGTGGCCAGACTGCTTCTTTAAGCAGGTCCCTAATCCCATTTCTCCTCACTGGGTGAAACCTCTTAACTGGGGCCTCCACGCACCCCTACTGGTGTCCTCCAGCTGACAGAGATTTGAATTACCCTCAGGACAGAATTCCCAGTTGGAGGGGTGGATCACCATCTTAGCTGTTTGGGCAACAGCCATTCCAGCTTGTGGGCTTTTGAGAGTTCAAACTGACCCCAGGTGGACGGGATCCCCCAGCACAGCACAACTGCTCTACCAAAACACGGCCAGAGCACTTCTTTAAGTAAGTCCCTGATTCATTCCTCTTCACTGAATAGGACCTCCCACCTGGGCCCTCCAGCCACCCCTGCCAGTGTTCTCTGGCCAACAGAGATCTGAAAACTTCCTGGGACAGAGCTTTGAGAGGGAGGGGTGGGCTGCCATCTTTGCTGTTTGGGCAACTTAGCTGTTCCAGCCTCCAGACTTTGGAGAGCCCAAGCCAAGTGGGGGCGGAAGCAGTACCCTAGCACAGCACAACTACTCTATGAAAGCATGGCCAGACTGTGACTTTAAGCAGGTCTCTGATCCCATTCCTCTTGACTGGCTGAGAGCTCCCAACTGGGGTCTCTAGCCACCTCCTTACAGATGTGTTCAGGTTGGCAACAGGTCCATACCTCCCTGAGACGGAGCTCACGGAGGAAGGGGCAGCCTGCCATCTGCTGTTTTGCAGCCTTCACTGGTGATACCTCCAGGTACTGGAAAATCTGAGGTAACTAGGGATTGGAGCAGGCCCCCAGCAAACCACAGCAGCCCTATGGAAAAGTGGCCAGACAGTTAAAAGAAAATGAAAATCTCATCCAAAGGTCAGCAGCCTCAAATATTGATGGTAGATAGGTCCACAAAGATGAGAAAGATTCAGCGCAAGAAGGCTGAAAACTCAAAAACCCAGTGTGCCCTCTTTCCTCTAATGACCACATCACCTCTCCAGCAAGGGTTTAGAACTGGGCTGAGGCTGAGATGGCTAAAATGACAGAAGTATAACTCAGAATATGGATAAAAACGAACTTCACTGAGTTAAAGGAACATGTTGTAACCTAATGCAAGGAAGCTAAAAACCATGATAAAACATTTCAGGAGCTCACAGACAAAATAGGCTGTATAAAGAAGAATGTAACTGAACTTACAGAACTGAAAAACACAATAAAAGAATTTCATTATACAGTTACAAGTATAAATAGCAGAATAAACCAGGCAGAATAAAGAATCTCAGAGCTTGAAAACTGTCTTTCTGAAATAAGGCAGGCAAGGCATGGTGGCTCACACCTGTAATCCCAGCACTTTGGGAGGCCAAGGTGGGTGGATCACTTGAGGTCAGGAGTTCGAGACCAGCCTGGCCAACATGATGAAACCCCATCTCTACTAAGAATATAAAAATTAGTTGGGCAAGGTGGTGCGTGCCCGTAATGACAGCTACTTGGAAAGCTGAGGCAAGAGAACTGCTTGAACCCAGAAGGTGGAGGTTGCAGTGAGTTGAGATCATGCCACTGCACTCCAGCCTGGGCAACAGAGTGAGACTCTGTTGCAAAAAAAAAAAGAAGAAGACAGAAAAAAGAATAAAAAAGAATGAACAAAGTCTCCAAGAAGAACTATGAGAATATGTAAAGAGACTGAATCTATGACTGATTGGTGACCTGAAAGAGATGGGAAGAATGAAACCAATTTGGAAAACATATTTCAGGGTATCATCCGTGAGAACTTCCTGAACCTAGCTAGACAAGCCAACATTCAAATTCAGCAAATGCAGAGAACCCCAGTAAGCTACTCCATGAGAGGATCCCCAAGACACATAATCATCAGATTCTCCAAGGTCAAAATAGAAGAAATAATGTTAAAGGCAGATAGAGAAACAGGCCAGATCACCTACAAAGGGAAGCTCATCAGACTAACAGCACACCTCTCAGTGGAAACCTTACAAGCCAGAAGAGATTGGTTCCCAAAATTTAACATTCTTTAAAAAAAGACATTCCAACCCAGAATTTTATATCTGGCAAAACTAAGCTTTGTAAGTGAAAGAGAAATAAGAACCCTTTCAGACAAGAAAATGCTGAGGAAATTTATTACTACCAGACCTGCCTTGGACACACTTTTACCTGTGTAACAAACCTATATATGTACTCATAAACTTAAAATAATTTTTTTTTTTTTTAAAAAAAGGAAGGGAATTCTGACACATGCTACAACATAGATGAAGCTCAAGGTCATTACGCTAAGTGAAATACACCAATCATAGAAAGGCAAATACTGCATGATTCCACTTATATGAGGTACCTAGTATAGTCAAATTCATAGAGACAGAAAACAGGATGATGGTTGCCAGGGGCTGTGAAGGGAGAAATGGGGAGTTAGTGTTTATTAGTACAGAGTTTGCAAGATTAAAAAATGTTTGTGGATGGATAATGGTGACAGTAGCACAACAATATGAATACTTAAGGCTGCTGAATTATACTTAAAAATGGTAAATGTTATGTTACGTGTATTTTACCAGAATTTAAAAATTTTGCACAGATCTGTACATAAACACACACTCCAGAGTACATGTAAAGCTGTGAAATCTAAAGTTTGGAAGATTATATCAATGTCAGTTTCCTGGTGGTGATATTATACTATGGTTATGTAGAATGCTATTATTAGGTGAGACTGGGTGAAGGGTATTCAGAATTTCTCTGTATTCTTTCTTACAGTTGTGTATATAAATATACAGCTATCTTAAAATAGAAAGTAAGTAGGAAAAAAAAGATGAAGAACACACATAAATTTCTATCTTTGTAAGAGGGATGGAGGATTCCAGGAGAGGTGAGTTTCTGTACTTCAGTTTCCTCACTTTTAAAATGAGGCTAATATCACCATTCTCTGGAAATGTAAGAGAATACTTATTATGAGGACATGCATACAGAAGTAAAAAGATTACAGGGGCATTATGTATGCTACCTACTCTAAAAATGTGCACACGTAAAAATTCTATATATCTGTACACGGAAAAAGGGAATGATAAAGCAAATATGACACAATGTTAACATTCTTGGTAATCCTAATTATTTTCAAATTTTCTACAAATTTGGAATTATTTCAACATGAAAAGTAAAAAAAAGCTGAAAACCAGATAGAAATCTTATGTCAAAATTAATAAAATTATATTTCTTTAAGGATACAAAATATAAATATTAAATTATGCTAAAAATTTTATATTACCAAACTTATACAATACTCAGAGGAAAAGCCATAATATCGATTGGTATTACCAAAAAAGACATTAGGTAAACATTTTAAAAAGTTAGTACACTCAGATAATATAAGAGCAGAACTAGAGGCCTGGGTGTGGTGGCTCACGCCTGTAATCCCAGCACTTTAGAAGGCCAAGGCAGGAGGATCACCTGAGGTCAGGAGTTCGAGACCAGCCTAGCCAATGTGGCGAAACCACATCTCTACCAAAAATACAAAAATTATTTGGGTGTGTCGACCGGCACCTGTAGTCCCAGCTACTCAGGAAGCTGCAGCAGGAGAATTGCTTGAACCCAGGAGGCAGAGGTTGCAGTGAGCTGAGATTGCACTACTGCACTCCAGCCTGGGAGACAGAGTGAGACTCCATCTCAAAATAAATAAATAAATAAAATAAAAAATTTAAAAAGCAGAACTAGAGAGTGGAATAAATATGAAAGCACAAAGACATAAAATAACAAATTAGAAAATAAAAGTTATAGAACTAATAAATCTAAGAACTGCTTCTCTGAAATAACATTCATAAACTGATGCCTAAATTAAAAAAAGTAAAAACACAGAAAATAAATTATCATAAAGGGGGAAAACAGATTCATAGCAAGTATTAAAATCTATTTTGGTCTATTCAATGAAAGTAAATTTTAAAACTTTGATGAAAGGTTTAAGAGACCAATCTTAATGATAGAAATTAAGCAAGTTGTCAAGTATCTAAACTCTAGAAATTGGTCTAAACCCAAGTGGTTTCAGAGGGGATTTCTACCAAACCTTAGGAAACAGATTATTTAAATGTTAAACTATCCTAAAATACAAAAATATAAGAAAACCTTCCCAAAAAACTTTTTGTGAAATAAGCATAATATTTACCCCAAAGCTCAGCAAAGTGATGAAAGAATATGTGCCTGTGAGCGTGCTCTAGAGCACTAGAGCTTTAGCTCACTTGTTTGCATGTCAACTCAAAATTCTTAAATGTTCCAACTACTAGCTAACAGAATCCAGCAGCACATCCAAATTATAATGTACCATAACCAAAATTACACTAGGTATGCAAGGATGTTTCACCACTAGAAAACCGGTACTTCACCATATTAATAAATCTAAGGAAAAAATAATTTTACAATCATATAATCATGTTTAGATGCCAGAACGGCATTAATAAAATTCAACATCCATTATTGGTTTTTGAAAGTGTTTCCGGAGTTGGTTCCTTTAGGTGGGTTCTTGGTCTCACTGACTTCGAGAATGAAGCCGCAGACCTTCACAGTCAGTGCTACAGCTCTTAAAGGCGACACAAACACAAAGAGAAAGCAGCAGCAAGGTTTATCGTGAAGAGCTAAAGAACTAAGACTCCAAAGAAGGGAACGGGACCCTACCAGATTGCTGCTGCTAGCGGGGGGTGGCCAGCTTTTATTCCCTTATTTGTCCCCGCCCATGTCCTGCTGATTGGTTCATTTTACAGAGCACTGATTGGTCCATTTTACAGAGTGCTGATTGGTGTGTTTTTACAGAGTGCTGATTGGTGTGTTTTTACAATCCTTTAGCTAGACACAGAGCACTGGTTGGTACGTTTACAATCCTCTAGCTAGACAGAAAAGTTCTCCAAGACCCCCGGAGGTCCAGCTGGCTTCACCTCTCAAAAGTATTAGTAAAATAAGAACAGATGGTATGGTAGGCTGAGATGGCTTACCCAAGATGTCCACTTCCTAACTCCTGGACCCTGTGAATATGTTGATTTACATAGCAAAAGAGATTTTGAAGGTGTAATTCAGGATCTTGAGGTAGAGAGATAATCCTATTATAGATTATTTTGATGGGCCTATTGGTGTAACCATGAGTTTCTTTGTAAGACACAGGCAGAGGGAGAGGGTGACAGCACTGAGGAGGAGAGGTAATATGAGGAAGGAAGCAGAGATCAAAGTGCTGCTGCTGTGAACTAAGAAACCCAGAAATTGCAGCAGCCTCCAGATGCTGGAAGAGGCAAGGAATGAACGATTTTTCCCTGGAGACTTCAGAAGGAACCAGCCCTGCTGAAACCTTTAGTCCCTTCAGGTTCATTTGCACTTCTGTCCTCCTATAATTTCTTTTTTTTTTTTTTTTTTTTTTGAGACTCCAGCCTGTTGCCCAGGCTGGAGTGCAGTGGCACAAGCTCTGCCTCCCAGGTTCACGCCATTCTCCTGCCTTAGCCTCCCGAGTAGCTGGGACTACAGGCGAGTAGCTGGGACTACAGGCGAGTAGCTGGAACTACAGGCGACTGCCACCACGCCTTGCTAATTTTTTGTATTTTTAGTAGAGACAGGGTTTCACCATGTTAGCCAGGATGGTCT
The DNA here is from genome assembly GCF_000001405.40 of Homo sapiens. NCBI lineage: Eukaryota > Metazoa > Chordata > Mammalia > Primates > Hominidae > Homo > Homo sapiens. The sequence continues at coordinate 123,307,675 of NC_000005.10, read as the reverse complement.
CAATCTCCTGACCTCGTGATCTGCCCACCTCGGCCTCCCAAAGTGCTGGGATTATAGGCGTGAGTCACCGTGCCTGGCCTTTTTTTTTTTTTTTTTGAGGCAAAGTCTTGCTCTGTCGCCCAGGCTGGAGTGCAGTGGCACGATCTCAGCTCACTGAACCTCTGCCTCCCGATTTTAAGTGATTCTCTTGCCTCAACCTCTCATGTTCCACTACGCCGGGCTAATTTTTGTATTTTTAGTAGAGGCGGGGTTTCACCCTGTTGGCCAGGCTGGTCTCAAACTCCTGACCTCAGGTGATCAGTCTGCCTTGGCCTCCCAAAATGCTGGGATTACAGGCGTGAGCCACCGAGCCCAGCCCTCCTATAGTATTATCTATGTGTTTCATTTCAATATAGTAAAAGGAGAGTTATAAATATCTGTTATATAAAGGAGGCTTTGTGTCTAATGGAGCTGAGAACCACTGCTTTAAAAAGCTCACCTGTGTGCCTGAGACAAAAACTAAAATCTTTGCCGTTTTGAAATAGGAAATAATGTAAATGTCCATCACAAGTAAACCATGTTTTATACAATGCACAATGAATATCATACAGCAATTAAAATGAAAGAATTAGAGCAGTAATTCGTGTGGCCTCTGAGCAAACAGCAACACTTGGGAAAATGAAATTCTTGAGCCTCAATCCAGATCTACTGAAATCAGGAACTCTGGTGGTGAGGCCCAGTAATACGTGGTTTAACAAGGCCTCCAGGTGATTTGAATTTAAACTTTGAGACCCACTGAACTAGAGCTAGATCTCCCTCTAAGAGTAAATCTTAGAAATATACTAATGATGGCCACTAATGTAAAACAAAAGACAATACAATGTATACAATATGATACTGTATATTATGGTTTCATAACAGAATGTACAACAAGATTCCATAGCAAGAGGCTGTATTAGGGTCCTCCTTAGTAACATAACCAGTGGAATCTGTAGCTACGTATATAGAGGGATGTATTTTAAGAAACTGACTTACATAATAGTGGGGACTGGCAAGTCCAAAATCTGCAGGGCAAGCTGGCAATCTGGATCCCTAGGGATGGGTTCATGTTGCAGCTTGAGTCTGAAGGCAGCGTGGAGGTAGAATTCCCTCTTCCGCAGAAGACCTCAGTCTTTTTCTTTTAAAGCCTTCAACTGATTGGATGAGGCTCGCCCATATTTTAGAGGGTAATCTGCCTTAGTCAAAGTCTACTGATTTAAATGTTAATGTCACCTAGAAAATACCTTCACAATGACATGTAGGCTGGTGTTTGACCAAATATCTGGCTACCATGGCCTAGCCAAGCTGACACAAAATTAACCATTGCAGAGAGCAAATTTGTTTTTTCTTATTGCTCTCAAATTGAAGACTTGGCCCCAGCTGAATACAGAGATGTTTAATTACCTCCTAAATAGAGGGCTTGCTATTGAAAGTGTGGTCTTTGGGACCACAGCATCAGCATCACTGGGAGCTTGTTAAAAATGCAGAATTTAAAAATATATGACACATAAGAACAAGGATGAATCTTGAGAACATTTTGCTACATGAAATAAGGCAGTCACAAAAGGGCAAATACTGTATGATTCCATTAATATAAGGTACCTAGAGCAGTCAGATTCATAGAGATAGAAAGCGGATTCTGGTTGCCAGGGGCGGAGGGTGGGGGGCAATGGGGAGTTAGTGTTTAACGGGTACAGAGTTTCAGTTTTGCAAGATCAAAGAGTTCTGGAAATCGATGGTGGTGATGGTTGCAAAACAATGTGAATGTGCATAATACTACTGAACTTGAACTGTACACTGAAAATGATTATGATGGTAAATTTTGTTATGTGTATTTTACCACAATTAAATGTTTTTTAAACTATGGAATTTCAGACCCCACCTAGACTTCCTGAATCTGAGTTTAACAAGATCTCCAGGCGTTTTGTATGCATATTAAAATTGGAGAAGCACTGGACTGGAAAGCCATCCTGCATAGGATCTGCTCTCACCTGCACAGGGTTACTCCTCTACACACACACAGTAATACTCTACACCTGGTTGCAGACTCATACCCAGGGATTACTAAGAATGAGCAGATATATCCCTATAACACCTAACTCAGGCATTCTATACAAGAAGACTGGGAAAGTGAGGAGGAAGAAATTGTTAGAGCTCTGAGCGATCAACCTAGGGGAGAGTACTGGGGCTTTTCTCTCCTTCTCTCTCCTCTCCTGTCTGGGGATCCAATTGTGAAGGGTTTCAAGGGAATTACTCATAGAATTTGATGGTTCCTGAAGAAGGAGAGACTGTCATTTCATTCCCCTATTGAATATCTGCTAAGGCATTGGACTTATGAGTGCAGCTTCCTGAGCAGGGAGGAGGGAATTGGTAAGAGATGGCAGGGTAAGGACATCAGAGGAGCAATCTGCATCACTACCAGATGTGTGAGGAGCTGGTGGGGCCAGGGAGGCTGTGGAAGGTAGTTGGGCCTGAGCCAACTTGCTGCAACCCACAAAGAGGACCATAAATGAGAGGCTACAGGGTGTACCCACACCCACAACCCAGGGATTAGAATTGAAGGTTGAAAGAGGTCAAGTGGAATGGATGTTTCACATCAGAGAATGGATCAGAGAGAGGCTCCACAGGTTCTTCAGCCTCCACCCCCACAAAAGCCTCACATATATGACCCAGGAGACAGCTGCCTTGGAACCTGCCACTGAGAGCACATTAGAGAAACCACAACCCCAAAAGAGAAGACCACAATGGCAGCCAGACAGTAAGACTGTCTCCTCTCTCCCACCTCCTCAGGTGGGAAGAAGGAGGTGGGGGTTCCTGTCTACCTGACCCAGCCACACCCTAAGGTCTTCTGGGAGGGTAAGGGCTGGAGTGAAAGCAGAAAGTGCTGCCACAGACTGAATGTGTCTGTCCCCCACACCAATTCATATATTGAAATCTAATCCTTGAGAACTACAAGTAAAATTATAAGTCCCTCTTACCAACCAAACTGACCCCCTTTTGGCCAACAGCTTTGGGATCCCAGAGAAACCTTAACCAGCCAGGATGTCAGACATGCCTCATTATACCCCTCCCATTTGCAGTGTAGACACAACAACTGACCAGCATTAATGTTAAAAGGAGATCATAACACTGACAGAGTGAACTCTTTGTAGCAATAAGATACCAAGTTATAAATAGGACTTAAGGCCATGCCAGGCAAGGGTTAAGTCGCACATCCCTACACTTAAAGAATAAATGTTCTAACTACCGCAAGGTTTTTCTTTTTCTCTAGCAGCTAAACAAGCACTGGCCTAAATAAGCAATGTTAAAACAAGCACAGCTCATCCACTGCCAGGTGACAACTGATCCCATGTTCTACAAGCCATAACTATTGCTTTGATTGGAAAAGGGGCTGATTTCAGTAACTTTTTTCTGTCAAGAGACCACTGACCTTGATCTGGTTCTGGCCAGTTTTACAGAGGTTGCACACTTGAGTACCTTTGTGTCTCTCCTTCACCTTTTGACATATATGGCCTGAACTGCAATGCATTTAAATGTTAAGTCTTCACCCCAGAGTGAACACCGGATGCATGTAACATGCATGTTTGCTTATCACAACTCCCTTTGATGAATATCCATAGCTCCTCCTATGTCCTGACGAATGTGCATACTTGGCCAACCTATTCAGCATAAATTCCTGTCTTAACCCCTCCCTCCCTCCCTTGAAGTGCCTGCCTTTCGGGATCTGCTGGAGGCTACACTTCCCATCCTGAGGATGGCCAGCCTGCAGGCTGTAATCTTTTACAAGAAATAATGTCTCCTTTCCAAATGTATAGATCTTATGATTTTGAAATTGACACCCCCAATGTGATGGCAGTAGGAGGTGGGGTGTTTGAGAGGTGATTGAGTCGTGAGGGTAAAACCCTCATGAATGACATTAGTACTGTTATAAAGAAACTCCAGAGAGCTCTCTCGTCCCTTCTACCATGTGAGGAAGGTGCCTTCTATGAACCAGAAAGTGAGTCCTCACCAGCTGGTGTCTTGATCTCAGACTTCCCAGCCCCAAGAACTGTGAGAAATAAATTTGTTTATAAGCCACTCACTGAATGGCATTTTGTTATAGCAGCCTGAATGAACTAAGCTAGGTGCCTTCTCCCCACTCAGAATACCCCAACTCATATGCCCTGTCTAAGCTAGGAGCAGGTCGGAGGTTCATGACCCAGTGAGTAATTGAGTGATTTAAAAAATAACTTCATTTTGTTTTTTTCAATAAGTAATATAATAACAACGTGGTTCAACAGTCAAAAGTAACTAATGATTGCAGGGTAAAGAGTCTACCTCCATCACCTGTGTCCCAGTCAAATAGGGGCTCACCAAAGGAAAACCAGCATGTTTAGATCCTTGTGCAGCCTTTTAAAGATATTCTGATCATGCCACTGCACTCCAGCCTGGGCGACAGAGCAAGACTCTGTCTCAAAAAAAAAAAAAAAAAAAAGATATTTCGGGCATGTACAAGCAACAATCACTATTAACCATTTTTAGTTTTTCATTTAAGAGTATAGGAAACAACCACAATATAATACTACTTCCCACCTGGCAGAATGGATAAAATAAGAAAGACTGACTCTGCCAAACATTGACTTGAATGTGGTAATGGAAATTCCCATATATTACTGGTCAAGAGTGTAAAATGTCCTTATAGAACGAGTTTGGAAGTATTCTCTCCTCTTCAGTTTTCTGAAACAGTTTGAGAAAAATTAGCACTAGTTCTTTAAATGTTTGGTAGAATTTAGCAGAAATTCTACCAAATGTTTAAAGTAAATCGATCAGATCCTGGGCTTTTCTTTGATGGGACAGTCTTTATTACTGCTTCAATCTCATTACTTGTTATTGTTCTCTTCAAGTTTTCTATTTCTTCATGATTCAATTTTGGTAAATTGTATGTGTCCAGAAACCCATCAATTTATTCTAGATTTTCCAATTTGTTGGCATATAGTTACTCATAATGGTCTCCTGTGATCCTTTATATTTCTGTGGTATCAATTGTAATGTCTCCTTTTCATTTCTGGTTTTATTTATTTCAGTCCTCTCCCTTTTTCTTAGTTTAGCTAAATGTTTGTCAATTTTATCTTTTAAAAAACACAACTATTTGTTTGGTTAACTTTTGTATTTTAAAACATCTCTTTCATTTATTTATCTTCTGATCTTTATTAGTTCTTTCCTTCTACTAATTTTGGGTTTTGTGTGTTCTTGTTTTTCTAGTTCCATGAGGTATGAAGTTATGTTATTTATTTAAGATCTTTCTACTTTTTTGATGTAGGCATTTATTGGGATAAACTGCTCTTTTAGAGCTATTTTTGCTGTGTCCCATAGGTTTGGTATGTTGTGTTTTCATTTTCATTTGTCTCAAGAATTTTTAAATTTCCTTTTTAAGTTTTTCATTAACCTATTTGTTGTTCGGGAGCATGATGTTTAATTTCCACATATTTGTATAGTTGCTAATGTTTTTTCTGTTATAAATTTCTAGTTTTATTCCATTGTGGTCAGAAAAGACACTTGATATTATTTCCACTTTTAAAAGTTATTTAGACCTCACACATGGTCTGTCCTAGAGAATATTCCAAGTGTTGTTGAGAAGAATGTATATTCTGCAGCTGTTGGATGGAATGCTCTGTAAATAAGGTCTAGATTGCAGTTTAACTCCGGATGTTTCCTTGTTGATTTTCTGTCTGGATGTTCTGTCTATTGCTGAAGGTGGGGTGCTGAAGTCCCTTACTATTATTTATTGTACTATAGTCTACCTATCCCTTTAGGTCTATTCATATTTGTTTTATAAATTTTGGTGCTCCAATGTTGGGTGCATATACATATACACCCACCCTCCACCCTCCGATAGGCCCCCGTATGTATTGTTGCCTTCCATGTGTCCATGCATTCTCATCATTTAGCTCCCACTTACAAGTGAGAACATGTAATATTTGGTTCTCTGTTCCTGCATTAGTTTGCTAAGGATAATAGCACCCAGCTCCATCCATGTCCCTGCAAAGGACATGATTTCATTCTTTTCTATGGCCATGTAGTATTTCATGGTGTATATGTACTACATTTTCTTTATCCAGTCTATCGCTGATGGGCATCTGGGTTGATTCCATGTCTTTGCTATTGTGAATAGTGCTGTAGTGAACATATATGTGCATGTCTTTATAATAGAAAGATTTATATTCCTTTGGGTATATACCCAGTAAAGGGACTGCTGGGTTGAATGGCATTTCTGTCTTTAGGTCTTTGAGGAATCACCACACCATTTTCCACAATGGTTGAACTAATTTACACTCCTACTAGCATACCACTGCATTTTTTCTCTGTGTTATCTGGTTGTTTTGAGGATATTTTTTTCTTCTTTTCTTCAGTTACTCTTCCTTTGTGTTCATGTGGTTTTCTTTAGTAGTATGTTTTGGTGTCATACTATTTATTTTTAGTGTATGTATTATAGGTATTTGGTTTGTGGTTACTGTGAAACTTACAAAAAATATTTCATAACAAATTGTTTTAAATTGATAACAACTTAACTTTGAGCACAAAGAAATAAAAAGCCTCTACACTTTAACACCATTCCCCACCCCCACATTTTGAATTTCTGATTGCTTTATTTACATATTTTTACATTGTCTATTTCTTAACCAATTGTTACAGTTATTATTGTATTTAATAGTTTTGTTCTTCAGTCTTCACACTAAAAATAGAAGTGGTTTACATGCCACAATTACAGTGTTATTCTGAATTTCTCTATATACTTTTATGAGTGATTTTTTTATACGTTCAGATGTTTCCTTGCTGCACATTAGTATTCTTTTCTTTCAGAATTCCCTTTAGTATTTCTTGTAAGACAGATCTGGTATTGATGAACTCCCTCAGCTTTTGTTCATCTGGGAAAGTCTGTATCACTCCTTCGTGTTTAAAGGATATCTTTCTGGGGTACAGTATCCTAGGCTGTCAGGTTTTTTTTTTTCTTTTAGCACTTTGAATATATCATCCCACTCTCTCCTGCCCTGCAAGGATTCTGCTGAGAAATCTGTGGAAAGCTGTACTGGGGCTTTGTTGAATGTGATACGTTTCTTTTGTCTTGATGCTTTCAGTGTTCTTTGTCTTTGATATTTAAAAAACAATTAGGTTTAGGGACAGGCTTTTACTATGCTGCTCAAGCTGAACTCAAACTTCTGGGCTCGGGGGATGTTTTCCCTTCAGCCTTCTAAGTAGCTGGGACTACAGGCATTCACCACCATGCCTGGCTCGTTGTCTTTGATTTTTGATAATTTGATTATTATGTGCCTTGGGTAATTCCTCTTTGGACTGAATTTGATCGGTGATCTCTGAGCTTACTGCACCTAGGTCTTATCCTCTTTCTACAGATTTGGGGAATTTTTAGCTGTTATTTTCTTGAATATGCTTTCTATGCATTTTTCTCTCATCCCCTTTGAGAATGTCTATTATGCATATGTTAGTTCACTTGATGATGTCCTCTAATTTTTTTCCCCCTTTAATTGGGAAATTTCATATCTTCTACCTTTGAGTTCACTGATTCTTTCTCCTGTTTGGTCAAGCCTGCTGCTGAGGTTTTCCGATGAGTTTTTCAGTTCCGTTATTATATTCTTTATTTCTAGAATTTCTATTTGGTTTTTAAAAATTGTTTCTATTTCTTTGTCAAATCTCTCATTTTGTTTCTATATTGTTTTCCAAATCTCATTTAATATTCTACGTGTATTTTCTTATGATCCCTGAAATTCCTTGAGAGGATTATTCTGAATTCATTGTCAGACATTTAATAGGTTTTCAAATTTTCTGGTTCAATTACTGGAGCTTTGTTGGTTTCTTTTGGTGATGTCATATTTCCCTGAGTTTTCACTTTCCTTGTGTCTTTACATTGGTACCTGCACATTTGAAGAGATGGCCACCTCTTCCAGCTTCTGCCCAAGTGTTATTTGGTGGAGTTAGACCTTCACTACTTTGTGTTGAAACTTAATCTACAGGCTGCTGTTTCTTCCCATTTGGGGGAGGATGTATAGTGAGTACCAAAACCAAAACAAGGCACTGGAACTCACTGCCCTGCCATTGTTTCCTGGTCTGAGGAAGACTTCTAGTGAGTATCAAAACTTAACCTCAGCACCAAAACCTAAACACAGAACTGCATAGTTTCCAAGTCTGGAGAAGACTTAAGCACCAGAACTTAATTCTGTCCTTTTAGTTTTTCTGAGTCATGGGAAGGCTCCACATTAACATCTAGGATGTGTGGAAAATTTGTCCAGGGATTTGATCATGCACCCTACAGTGCTATGGTGCCGGCCAGTCTCCTCAGTGTGGTGTCCCCACTGATGGGAATGCAGAGAAGCTGCCAAGATTCCTGTGCCAGTCACTGCAATGGGCACCTCCATTCTTTATGTATAATTCACTCCAGTAATTTTATATCATCTCAAGAGACATACAAACAAGAAAAGTTCAAATTATATCATTCATTCACTAAAATATGGATTAGATAAAAGAGCACCTATAATAGTTCATATTCAACACGTGTAATAAAGTATCAGCTGGCTGAGATCATTACAGTAATAATTTAGAATACATCATGTTAGTTGCTAAAAAGAGATGGTCAGATAATGTTGGTAACAATAACAAGTCATGAGAGTCTGAGATTTGGATTATACAAATTCCCAAAGGGAAATTCCCCAAACCTGCACTGTGGAACATTAGAGGAAGCATTGATGGCAGAATTAGAAGACGTGGTTTTTAAGTCTCAGCTCTGCTACTTTACCTCTTAGTACCTCCTCTGCTTTCTCATCTATCCAAATGGCAGTGACTCAGACCATGCCTCCTTCAAAGGGTTATGGTTTAAGCATCAACTATGTTGGGTCAATGTGCTTTATAAACTATAAATCATTATGAAATATAGTTGTTACTAGTCAGACATGACTTAAACTATAAGATGTATCCAACCAGGACTTTCCCCCTATTCTTGTTTTCACTAGAGCACTGTATAAATTTTGCTGAGAAAAAGCTGAAAAGTCCTCTTCACGGTAGTAAAGTTTTCTTCCACTCTGCTAAGCCTTTATTTCCTTGTCTGTAAAAGAGAGATAGTAATAGTATTTCCCTTCTAGAGTATTGTGAGAATTGAATAAAATATCACATTTGAGGTGCTTGGCAAAATGCCTTTCATGTGGTAAGTACCCATGAAATGACATCTCTTGTTATTATTATGTTGTTCCTATTATTATGAGCAATGAGCAAGCACTCATTAATATATTATGTAAGTGCTAATTGGAACACCAGTGTTCCACAGTTTGTGAATCTAGTTTGTACAGTTCCAAAGAAGCTGCTAAAACAATTAAATGGAAGTCCATTAAACTGAGGTGGCTGTAAGACTCTAACACCCTGTATTCCTATGTAAGCAAACCAAAACTTAGATTCATTTCCTGTAAGTGGCTAATTTAAAAGAAAATAAAACTGAAGCTCAGCCAATCACAGGCAGCCAACAGGGCATTAGTTGTATTGTTTTGAATGACTCACTGGAATAGTCCAAATAAGGCCATTGTGCAAACATTAAACAATCAAATAATTGCTTTGCTTCTGCATTCACCCTATAAAAACTTTCCTTTCAGCCACCTCTGGAACAACTCAAACTGCGTGTGGTTTGGTGCTGCCTGATTCATGAATCACTGTTGCCCAAATAAACTCTTTGAAATTTTAATGTGCCTTAGTTTATCTTTTAACAGAGCTATGAAAGAGTGTTTTGAAGTTAAGGGTTATATTTAAATAGCTTTTTCTGGAATTATGCATTTAGATATTTTCCTAACATGTCTCATTAAAATTTTTAAATTATATGTACTTATTTCTTTTCCTTGAAACAATTTATTTCTTATGTCATCTATCAGTTTTCTGATGGATTGGACATAGTTTCTTATGCCAAAGTAGGGAATGTTAATAGAAGTACCACTTTCGCTGTTACAGATGGTTTCAAGGAGTAGTCAGATCATTCCTGAATGACAGAATAACAAAATAAAGAAAAGAAAGGCCTATTGAAGTTTCACCAAGCCACAACTATTCCAAAACAAATAAAGCTGGTTCGCTAAATGTCATACCATAGGCCAAAATAAATCCCACCAGGGTAAAGAGTTAAACAAAACAAAACAATAAAAAACAACCTCAGGGTGCTAAAGGTCTTTTGAAACATAGAGACAAGGGAATAATCCCTTAAGGAAAGGATTGATAGATTTAATTTCTTTAAGTCAAAAAATAACATAAATAAAACTAAAATGAAAACAGCAAACTAGGAAAAATATTTGTAACATATATGACAGATTTATGTCTTTATTATATAAGGAAATAAACATTGTGTGCAATGATGTATGTGAAAGGATTTTATAGTAGTGATAAAAGAGACAATTCAGTTTATAAAATAGGGATAGTTTATAGAATGGCCAAAAATTATACATTTATTACAAATTAGGTTGTAAAATGATACTTTAAAAAAATACTTAAAATATATATATAATCTTACAAATAAAATACTTAAAATACTTAGAAAATGTTCACATATAATTAAATGAAAATTGTTATAACACAGTATGTTTAATATGATATGAATTTTAAGAGTATATTTTGACAAAACTGCTAAAATATGATTCTAAGAGATATGATGAGCATATTAAATGTTCTTTTGTTTTTGTTTTCCAAAATTTTGACAATGAATATATATTCTAACCAAACCCCTAATATATGTTATTTTAAAAACATACCATAAACATATTAAAAATAAACAATGAGTGGGAAAAACGTTCCAACATACTTAACAAAAAATTAACATTTTCTTACCTTGATGCTGCCTCTTATTTTCTGAGCTAAATCTTAGTTTTATTCTGTTAATTACATAACTTGAACAGAGTTTCCACAGATCTTATCTTTAAGAATGTATATCACAGAAAAATAAATATAAATGTCCAACCTTATGGTTAAATAAAATTATGCTAATTCATAAGATAGAATGTTGTGCAACTATTAAATATGCATGTTTAAAAGAATAATGCTGTGATCAAAGCAAATTGCATAGCAGTCTATTCAAAATAATCCCAATTATGTCTTTGTTCAAATGTCACTTTTTCAATAAAGCTTCTCCTGATTACTGCATTTAAAATTTGAACCCTCTCCCTTCTGTCCCCAAATCTCTGACCTCCTTCCTTAATCTGCACTATTTTCCATGTACTTCATACCTTCTACCATACTAAATTTTACGATGATTGTTTGTTTCTTCATAGAATGTTGGTAGGCACCTAATGAAAATTTGTTGAACGAATGAATGAATTTGAGTAGAGCCATAGAAAAAATTAGAAAGAAATACAAGAAATATCAGACAAATATCAATTGTAGCTGTTTTTAGATAGTGTGATTATGGGTAGTGATTATTTTCTTCTTTATTCTTCCCTAGCTGTACAAATTTTCTGCAACAAACATGAATCACTTTTATAATGAGGAAAACATGTTTGTGTGCATGTGTGTATGTATGTATATGTTTAAAGAATGTTAAACTATGTGTCAAGGTAGATCTTTACCCCTGAATCATTCTAGGTATTCTATGTTTTCAGAAACCTCCTGGGGAAATGATTTTACAATCTTTCTCATCATTCTGCATGAGGGTTTAACATCTGGGAGAGTCAAATATTTATTTCTGTCTCACTTAGTTCTGCTTGCCATTGGCAAGGTTAAATGCTGCTTGTGGGTCTACTGTCAGGCACTAAGGCAAGCACTGAAGACATGAAAAAAGGGGCAGGAGAGAGACACATTATTTTACAGTGATGGAGTAATGACAATGAAAAGGTAAGTAGGAGGGAAAGAGAAGAGTTATAAACATTTGTTTATCCTCTTTTATGTGCTAGCATCCTATGCTGGGTGCTGCAGTGTGCATAAAGAAGATTGTAACACAGTTCCTGTCCTCAAGAGTTTATAATGTAGTAGGGGAGCTTACAGTCTAATATTTACTCCTTGTCTCCACCCATAACCGTAGCAGGTGTTTATGGACTTACAGGGATCCTGCTCATTAGTAGCTGTGTTAAGTGGCCCCTGATGGGAATGGATGCTAGACAACTGAGTATAATAAAACTGCTTTGATACTGTAAAAAAAAAAAAGGTTTGACTACTTTAAATTATCCTTTATCCCCCTTATGCATTATCTGCAGCTTTACTTTGCTGGATCTTGTCTTTCTGCTCAATTTTGATCCTTGACTAGCTCTTCATTAGGACAATCAAGACACACACTTAAAAGTTTTCAAAATAACTTTAAGACTGGCCTAGGTGAAACATAAATAGGTCTGTCTGGAATAGGAAAGATAATCATGTTAAAATTACAGAGGCAAGCATAAATGATCTAAAGTTTTGTTGTTTGAGGTATTTGGTCTTAGGGTCTTTCTTTCTCTCCAAGAAATGGAGAATTGTTTGCAAGGCTGGTGTAAATCCTTCCTACTCTCTACCTTCTGGGAGATGAAAAAGACTCAGCTGATCATTGTCATAGGATGTTCTTGATAAGCAACCTTTGATAGTTTTCTTCAAAAGAACCCAAATTTATATTACTTTCTACCTTGAGTCATTTGCTTCTAACACTATTTATTTTTGCAGAAACATTTTCTAGTTCTTTGCACCAACCTGAAGTTGTGGGGCCCTGTCCTAACACCAGTGTTTCAGTTGAGGTTCTCATGGGGTAGTTATGTCTTGGCTCTGACTTTGAATTCTACTTCAATTTTTACATCTAGATAAAATATATTTCCTTAGGCACCAGTGTTGCCACAGTTACTGCTGATTTATATGCACCTTTGAGTCACTTGAGCCTTTCTGTCCTGGGACTGCTGAGCCTCTGTGGTTTGGTAGAATGGCCATGGGAACTGAAATTTAGAGACCTGGGTTTGGGTTCCAGCCTTACCCCTTCCTGTCACTGTGGCTTTAGTAAAATTTAATTTACGTCTCTAAGCCTACACTGGGTGTTTGTAAGCATCAACTAGGGGAGCAAATGTGAAAATGCTTTCTAAACTGGAATCAGAAATAAAAACATGTTCTGTTTCAGTTTTTTGGGGGATGAGCTTCTTGAATCTCCTCTTGCTCCTTCCTATCAAAAGGCTCTCCTTTGCTTTTCCAGGTTACCCTGAGAGGGGTTAATAACCCCAGCACTTTGGGAGACTGAGGCAGGCGGATCACCTGAGGTCAGGAGTTTGAGATTAGCCTGGCCAACATGGTGAAACCCCATCTCTAGTAAAAATCTGAAAATTAGCCAAGCATGGTGGTGGGCCCCTGTAATCCTAGTTACTTGGGAGTCTGAGGCAGGAGAATCACTCGAACCTGGGAGGCAGAGGTTGCAGTGAGCTGAGATTGCACCACTGCACTGCAGCCTGGGTGACAGAGTGAGACTGTCTCAAAATAAATAAAATGAAATAAAATAAAATACTCCTCCAGCCCCTTTTCACCTAGTTCATGCCTCCTGTTAAGATGCCATCTTAACAGTCCCTGTCTCAGGAAGCTAGACCTCTTACCATGGTAGTTTCCCCTTCAAATATGCTTAGTAGTACCACGGCCCTCTCCTCCTTAGCTCTTGGAATACGTATAAGTTTCCAATGATCTATGAGATTTGATCATTGAAATTCATTGTGGCTCAGGAGACAGATCGCCTGGATTCCACTCCTGGCTGACACTCACCAGGTATGTAACTTTGGGCACTGTAATGCATGCCTCTATGCCTCAGTCTTTACACCTGTAAGATATAGATGATTACAGTGCCTACCCCATAGAATTATTGTGAGAATGTGATGAGTCAGGGCATATAAACCATGTAAACTGTGCCGGGCATGTAGTGAGTACTCAGTGGCGGTCACCTGCCACTGTGTGAAGGCGACTCCTCTGCTGCATTCGCCACCTGTGTGGAAGCTCCATAAGGGACCACGCTTTGTCTTTGAAGAACAAGGCCTGACTTAGAATAAGTGCTTAATAAAGATTTGTTAACGTAATAATGAATTTATGGATTTAAATTCTAAATTTAAATCTAAACCAGTACTCTTAAAATGCTGGGATCATGATTTCATTATCCCCGTTACATTAAATCAAGTTAAAAAGCAGAAGAATTAAAGCCAAATCTTTAGAAAAATAATTCCCCCGATGTTGCATCTAAATCACTGGTAACTATTTGTAGATACCATGAACTTCCATTCATGGTACAGCCTAGTCAATTTGGTGTCTAAAATAATAATTAATAAATATTTGCCGGAGTACAAAGAACTCTGCTAGACATTTTGGATGAGACAACAAACGACTCTCTCTCCGTTCAAGATGTGGGCTGTGAAGTTAGAACATAGTCTCAAAATAAGTCTCCTTGTGATAAGTACCAAAAGAGGAGTAGACAAGCCCTCTCTGCTTGTGGTAGATGGTGGAGAACTTTGTCATGGGTCAAGGAACATGGGGAAATTCATAATTACTCAGGTATGCTTCTCCCCCCTCCACCACGTCCAACATTTTGTTAATATATAAATAACTCTGAATGTATTTTTTCTTACCCTTCTGTCCTGTATTTGCTATTTTTCCTTCTAAAGGTTTGTTCTATAGTTTTATTGATAGAGGCAACTCAAATCATTTTCACAGTCTTAAAAATTTTCTTAGTCTTAACAAAATATCTTAACAATTGTAAATATAAAGAAGAGCTCTCATTGAAACAGTAAATGTTTTAATTAGTTCACATAAAATATATTCTTTTGGAAAAGAAATTAATATCTCCAAGAGATGTTTATACTCCCATGTTTATTACAGCATTATTCACAATAGCTAAGATATGAAATCAACCTAAGTGTCCATAAATAATATTACTATTATTCAGCTTTAAAAAGAAGGAAATCTTGCCGGGCATGGTGGCTCACGCCTGTAATCCCAGCACTTTGGGAGGCCGAGGCGGGCGGATCACAGGGTCAGGAGATGGAGACCATCCTGGCTAACACGGTGAAACCCCGTCTCCACTAAAAAATACAAAAAATTAGCAGGGCCTGGTGGTGGGCACCTGTAGTCCCAGATGCTCAGGAGGCTGAGGCAAGAGAATGGCGTGAACCTGGGAGGCGGATCTTGCAGTGAGCCTAGCTCCCGCCACTGCACTCCAGCCTGGGCGATAGGGCAAGACTCTGCCTCAAAAAAAAAAAAAAAGGAAAAAAAAAAGAAGGATATCTTGTCATTTGTGACAACATGGATGAACCTGGAGAACATTATGTTAAGTGAAATAAGTCAGGCACAGAAAGATAAATACTGCATGATTTCATTTCACTGAAGTGGAATTTTAAAATACTGCATGATTTCATTCGCTTAAGTGAAATCTTAAGTCAAACTTGTAGGAGCAGGGAGTAGAATGGTGGTGGCCAGGGGCTAGAGGAAATGGCAAGGTATTGGATAAAGGGTACATTTCAGTTATTCAGGATGAATAAGTTCTGGAGCCATGACATGGTGACTATAGTTAATAATACCGGATTGTATACTTAAAATTTGCTAAGAGAACAGCTCTTAGAAGAAATATTCTCACCACACACACAAACAAAAGGTAACTGGGAGGCTATAGGTACGTTAATTAGCTTATTGTGATAATCATTCCACAATGTACATACATATCATAACATCACATTGTATACCTTAAATATATACAATTTTATTTGTCAACTATACCTTAATAAAGGTAGAAAAAATAAAATGTATCCCTTTTGTTTTAAAGTAATTTGGTCTCTGTATTAGTGAATTACGATCATGCCATTGCACTCCAGCCTGGGCAGTAGAGTGAGACCCTGTCTCACACACACATGCAGTCATCATGCTGCCTACCCAGTGGCCTTCAGCCCTCTGTCTTCCTAGTTAGTAGAGCTCATCTCCCTAGAGAGGCCCCAAATGCCAAATAGTTTGATTCCCAGCCTGCCTTATAACACAGGCACAGGATTCAGGGGGGTGTGAGTAGAAGTCTGCTGAGTGGCTTCTGGGAAAGGCTTTTCTCCCTAATTACAAAATGATAATTAATAAACACATTTTTTTTTCTGCCTTGACATTGGTACTGAAGAATGTGAAGCCTAGAGCCATAGCAGCCGTCTTGGGACTCAAACATTAAAAACCAAATACTGAACATACTATAAAAGAAAGGAGGAAAGAATCTGGGCTTCTGATGACATCTCTAACTGCTACGCTCACCTTCTTGGTGTATGAGAAAATAAATGTGCTTGCTACTACCTACCCTTAATTGACTATTCTGTTACAAGCAGTCAAAACTATATGATGTATCAGGGTCGCTTGGCTGTCATACTGCAAGACCAAATAGTATCAACTAAGCAACTTATTTTCAAAATGGGCCTATGTGAACCAGTGAAACATTTAGAACAGGGCAATGGATTGGCCCATGGGAGTTAGGAATTCTGGTTTCTATCATTTCAGCTGTGGCATCAACTAGTTAAGTGATCGGTACTAGATAAGTCATATAACCTCTCTGGTGTGCAGTTTCTTTACCTGTAAAATGAGAGATTTGGATTGAGAAAGCACTTAGGTCCTCCCTTTCATCTCTAACATTCTCAGATGCTATGTTTAAAGTAGCATCTCAGATAGGGTTCCCGAAGAAACCAACTGAATCTGACATAAGCTTGAAGGAGGTTTATTAGGGAGAGCTCTTGGGATCAGCATCTGTGGAAGAGGTGGAGAAGGTACAAGATTGGCCAGAGGGAGAATATTAGCTGCAATGAAGTCTCAATGGAGGCCTCAGCCATGGGATTGCGGAGACTGGGATACGGGAGCAGGGAGGCTGGACCTTTGTTACTCTCACATCCATCAGTGGAGGAGGCTGCCCCAGGAGGAGGGGTGGGGTGGCTCTCTCTCCAGCAAGACCATCCACATGAGGGGTGGATGGCAGAGGGCTTTCTGCAGGGAGCACTCCCAGCAGCTGCAGAATGTGCTTCATTCCTGAATGGGGATCTGAGTAGTGCACCCACCATGAGTAGGAACCAAAGTTTACCTGTGTTAACAACACAAGGTTGACATCTTTCATTCCATTTTAATTGCTGAGTTTTTTTTCAGTATGGAAAATTTCAAGCCTCCACCAAAGTGGAGAGAATAGTATAATGAACACTCATCTATTTCTCTCCCATCCTCAATAAAGATCCACATTCTACCATTCTAGTTTCACATATTCCCCACCTCTATATTTTTCCCCTCTGCTGGAATATTTTTAAGCAAACTCAAAATATTCTAATAATCACTTAGGGTTGATGAAATTCAACAGGCCATAGATTGTTTAGGGTGTCCACATGTGTCTCCAGTCGTAAAGGTGTCATTGATTAGAATATTTTAAATCATAACAGATTGCTTTTCCCCCATCCACTATGAGTTTATTTCAAGGACTTCTCATGAAGCCCTGAAGGGACACTTTCAAGCCTCGGAGTTTTCACCTTCCCTTTCTTTCACCCAGTAGTAGGAAACTACAAAGTGTGGCACTGGGTTTTAAACTGGGAGCAGTATGTCTCATTATGAGCCAAGCCAATTAGGGGCTCCTAGTCAGTAGTATGTTTCACCACAGTATTTAGATGAGCAATGGCAAGCTGCAAAGCATTACTTGGTAAATGATGATTTTTAGGTTCCCAAGATCAGTAGATCCAGGTTTTAAAATAGTGTTTGTTTTTGCCATGCCCTCACTTTTCAAAAATTCTTCCACATAATGGCCCTGTTCAATCATTTCTATTTCCAAACATTCATGTCCACTGACACTTCTAATAAAATGGAGGGTCTCAGCCCTATTGCCATAAAAGGGATCCCAGACAAAAAGGGATCACTAACAAAGTGAAATGTTTAATTCCTTTCAAAAATCAACTGGGAGGTGTAGAAAGATAGACATTGAAGGAAAGTTCAGATTGAATGCATCTCCCAAGCCATGTGCTCTCAGGAGTTCCTCTGAGCTATCTGCTACTTACTTGCCACTTACATTGTTTTCTAGAGGACGCATCTTTAATTCAGTTTTGTTTTCTTCCTTATGGGAAGCCTGGCTACACAGACAGACAAAGAAGTTTTAATTCTTAAGTGATTGTTCAGAAGCATGAAAGCCTGAGGCAGTCTAGTTCATGTGTATTAATACTATAGAAGGACAGATGAGGACTAAAGACTGCAGTGCCTATCCTAAAAAAGCATATAATTCAATTGTGAGGAAAAGCCAGGCAAGCATGGAAATCCAATAAGAACAGTTAGTTGAAAGCACAAAAATAAATTGAGTGTAACTTATACATAGATACAACCACCTTCATGCAGTCTAAGAAATTTAGATGTTTCTCATGCTGCTTGAAAAGTTGGTCAAATAATGAATTCAAGGTTTAAAATTCAAAGAATACAGAATATACTTGGGAACTGAAATACCAACCTTACATGGTGCTTCCATGATGCTCATGAAAGAGGTTTTTATTTGGAAGTATATGTTTCAAGGTCACAAAGTGGAATATAATTTTAATAACTCTTCTAAGGCTCAGTATCACTGGGACTAGGCAAACACTACTGAAATTATTTTGCTTCTAAGAAACAAAGACTTGGGGCCGGGTGCGGTGGCTCACGCCTGTAATCCCAGTACTTTGGGAGGCCGAGGCAGGCAGATCATGAGGTCAGGAGATTGAGACAATCCTGGCTAACATGGTGAAACCCCGTCTCTACTAAAAATACAAAAAATTAGCCGGGCGTGGTGGCGGGTGCCTGTAGTCCCGGCTACTTGGGAGGCTGAGGCAGGAGAATGGCGTGAACCCAGGAGGCGGAGCTTGCAGTGAGCTGAGATCATGCCACTGCACTCCGGCCTGGGCGACAGAGCAAGACTCTGTCTCAAAAAAAAAAAAAAAGAAATAAACACTTGGAATATGAGATAGAATAGTACTAAGAGAAGCAGACAAAATCCAACAATATAAAATAAAATTATATATCACAATCAAGTGTTTCCTAGACTACATTAGAAAATCAGCTATAGAAAGTTACCACAGTAATAAACACATATGATTATCTCAATAATGAAAAACTGTTGACAAAATTGAATGTACATTTATAATAAAATATCTTATCAAGGAAGGCACAGAGCTATACTTACTGAACCTGATAACGTATATCCACAGGAAACATCATAATTAATGGTATTGTTGAGAGCCTTCCTTTTAAAGTCAGAAATGAGAGAAGATTGCCTATTATTAATTCTATTCAATCTTGTATTAGTGGTCTTCTCCAATGCAGTTACAGCAAAAATAAATAATAAGTAAAATGTGTAAGAATTGGATAATAACAAAACTATCTTATTCCCAAATAAAATCATTGTGTAGAAGAAAATCTACAGAAAAGATTTACAAGTTGCTGGATATAAAAATCAATGTATAAAAATCAATTACATTTCTATACTCCCAGCACTGAATAGTTAAGAAAATTTTAAATAGATCCCATTAATATATCATTAAAAACATAAAGATTCTATGAATAAATTTTTAAAAATATGTGTAAAACTTCTATGAATAAAATGACAAGGTTTTATTGAAATACAACAGAGAAGGCTTAATCACACCATATACCATGTTCATGGATTGGAAATTTCAATATTTTTAAGGACAGTGTTCCCCAAATTGGTATTTAGATTCAATATGATTTCATTAAAAATACCAAAGGTTTTTTTTTTTTTTCTGTGAAATGGACAAGCTGATTCTAATATTTATATGGACCAAGGGGAATTTAGTTTAACAGATATCACCACTTATAATAAATAATAATTGATTCAATATCTTATCAGTTTAGGGATGGTCAAATTGATCAAAGGAACAGAATAGAGAATGCAGGAAAAAATATGTACATAATATATTAGTCTGCTTGTGATGCCATAACAAAATATTATAGACTGGGGGGCTTACATAACATTTACTTCTCACAGTTCTAGAAACTGGAAATCCAAAATCAAGATGTGACTAAGTTGGTTTCTGGTAAGGGCCTTTTCCTGGCTTGCAGATGAGTGCCTTCTCATTGTATCCTCACATGGCAGAGAGACAGCAATCTCTCTCTTCCTCTTCTTATAAAGCCCTATCCTTATAACCTCATATAATTCTAATTGCCCCCTAAATGTCCTATCTTGAAACACCACCATACTGGGACTTAAGGCCTCAACACATGAATTTTTGGAAGACACCATTCAGCCTATAGCATATGGATAATTAGTTTATGACAGTAGCTATTAAGTTGCAGGGACTTTTCAATAAATGACGCTGGGATAACTGGATACCCACAGGATAAAAACCAAAAATTGGGTCTATACCTTATGCCACATATGACATCCATTCTAGTGGTTAAATGTGCAAGGTAAATTTATAAAACTCTTAGAAGACAATATAGACTGTCTTTATAACCTAGAATTAGAGAAGTTCTTAAGACACACAAAACCCACAAACCATATAGACAAAGATTAGTAAATTAAACTGACTTAAAACTAAGAACCGCAGTTCATCAAACTTCACCATAAAGATAGTGAAAGGAAAAGCCACAAATCAAGAGATAGTATTTGCAATATACATAACTAACAAACGGAAATAGGCAATGGAAAACAGACCCTTCATAGAAGAGGAAACCCAGATAGCCAATACACACACAGAAAGTTGTGCAACCTCTTTAGTTAACTGGAGAAATACAAGCTAAAATCCATAATGATTTGTTTTGTTACCACTAAATAGGCAAAAAAAATCTGGCAATATTAAATATTGGTGAGAGAATGCACAATTTCTATATGTATATTGCTAGTGAGAGAGTGAATCTGCAGATCCCGTAAAGAAAACAATTTGGCATTATCAGTGAAGATGCCCGTACCCGTGGCCCAGCAATTCCACTTCCAGCAAGACCTAGAGAAATTCTAGGGTATACATTTGGAGAATTCTTTATAAGTTAACAACAGCACTATCTGAATAGAAGATAATGGGAAGTAACCCAAATGTCTATCAGCAATAGAACACATGGATGCAGGAGTGAACATGAATGAACTTTAGACACATGTAGCAAAATGAATGACCCTTAAGAACATAACGTCACTTGGAAAAAAATAAGCCACAAAGAATATATCTAATATATATGTATATAAAGTTCTAAAACATGCAGAAATTTAAAGTCATATAATTTTTCAGATAGAAGCATGATAAAATTACACATTAAGGTAGTAAGTGATGGCTACTGGAAAATTCAGGATGGGAAAGGAGATGGGGATCAAGAAGGAATTCAAGGATATTAAAACGAAGTGGTTATATTATTTCCTTATGCTATCTATTCATTGTATCATTATTATTTATACCTCACATATATTTTAAATATTCTTTTGTATCAACTTAATAATCGATAAGTTTTTAAAAAGAGAAATACTGACCTGCAGCAATCTTTACATTGATTACATCTAATTTGTGGTTTTTAAGAGAATACTTTTCTATAGATATCATTTCCTGACAATATTGGAATAGAAGCAAAAAATAAATCCTCGTTATCCCAATAAACACGACAGAAAATCTTCAAAGACGAACTTCAGGCAGAGGGAGAGAGACAGAATAAAATCACCACCCGCCTACACGAAGCCAAAAGCCTCCCTTGAAAAAAGAGTCTTCGAGACGCACATCCCCCAGCCGACATCGCTTTCAATTCCAGTGATAAGGCTGTAAATTCCCTTCCCGGGCCTGGAGTTTAGTGTAAACACTCCAAGAGCCTGCAGGACCACAGAGAGAGAGAAATGGCTGGTCTCTGGCTGTTTTTCCTCTTGGGGGAATGCTCACTATCAACTGTTGAATCACAAAACCCAAACTCCCGGCATCTACCAAGGGCGGTGCGTCCCTGGCGTGGGGGAAGAGGGAGAGGGAGTCGGGGTAGAGGGAGTGGGGGGAGGGGCGGGAGGGTCGTAAGGGGGGAAGGGGAAGGGGAAGGGGAAGGGGAAGGGGAAGGGGAAGGGGAAGGGGTGGGTGGAGGGCAGGAGGGGCTGACAGCGCTGGGGCCCCGGGCAGTGGGTTCCTGCGCCTCAGGCCCTGGGATCCCGCTGCAGCGGCTAGGTTCTAGCTCCACACAACTGCCCACACCCCGCGCCGAGACCTTTCCAGCTTGCAGACTGCACATCATTTTAGGAGCTGGAACTGACCACGCGCACCTTTCTGCTCCGGGTCTAACTGGCCTCGGGGAATGGAAACATGGATAACAGTTCAGAACTGCCACTTGGGGAATGAAGCAAAAAAAAAAAAGACGCGCCAGGCACAAGGTTAATAGATCCTTATTTCCATGTTCATGTGGGAGATTAAAGCACATCTTGCAATTAATTTGGTTGCCCTGTGATCCATTACCGAGAATGCACACAGAGCAAGGCCAACTATGTGCAGCTCCGGGAGAGCGTGCGTCTCCGCCGGCAGAGCCTGCCTGAAACGTCTTCTCAGATAGCAGTTGCCAACAACAGCTCAGCCTGTCGGCTGCAGCACTTAAAGCTGATGGATATATATTATTTTTGTATGGAAAAAAAAATCCATTCTACTGTTAATGACTCCTGGAGTATTAGCTCAACTATTTTATGTTAAAATAAAGGATGATTTAGAGAAGTTTCCCATGGCACCTCAGTAACTTATGTCAGTATATTTTTAAAAATCAACTTTATTGAAGTACAATTTACATACAATAAAATGCAGTCATTTTAAGTGTACGGGTTGATGAGTTTGGTTTGTGCAACTAAGTACGATTAAGATGTAGAACATTTCCAACAGCCAGAAGTTCTGTGCTTCTTTTCTGTCCATCGTCCTCATCCCCTGCACTCCCGGCCCCAGAAAATCACTGATCTGCTTTCTGTCACTATACATAACGTTTTGCTGTTTCTAGAATTTCAAATAAATGGAGTCAGCTAATATATTTTAAATTCAGGGTCTCCCCCATTCTGAGAAACTTCAATTTTCTGAGGCGTTTTCTCTTGATTCTCATTGCTCAAAAGTGCAAGACTTCATTTTATTTCCCCTTACCCAATCTAAATTTAAACTTAAGAACCAGAAAAGTTGAAGATTTCTAAATTGAAGGGAAAATACATGCAACTCACACAGAACTTTAAAAAAAATGCTTTTATTTTACCTGTTTCATGTGAATTAACTGGACATGAGTTTCCCAACCTCATGGCTGACTGCAAGTGTCAGCTTCTGCGGGAATATGACAAAATCCATTTACGATAGCCACAAATAGAATAACAAAGAAAACTCTGAGAAGCCAGCCAATTATAAAATAGTAAAAAAATAAATAAATAAAATAAAAAATAAAAATAAAAATAAAGCTGTCTATCAGAATTACCTATGGAAATTTCTTCTGTGTCCAGTCACTGACTGGGGCCACGGAGTAAGGTGGTAACTCTCTTCACATTTCTGAAAAGCCTCTGAGAGGTCAGGGAACTTTGGGTGATGTAATGATATTCCACTGATTAACACCTGTGCCCAGTTCCAATAGAGCAGAAAGCTCTTCACGGTGAGCAACTCCGAGGTTCCCACTGTTCACAATCTTCCTAGGCACAAGGCTTCTTAGGAACTCAAGAATAGACTTGTCCCCAGGCACAATTTTAACTTATTCCCTACATCTTCTAGGCCATCACCTTTAGAGAGTTTTCAAGAGGCTGCAAGTCACAGGATTATAGAACTTCCATCTACCATGGCGGAAAATGAGAATACGGACTGTTTCCTGCCTTCTGTTTTTGTTACTCAACATATCTATTTTAATGGCAATTAAACTCTGGTACCCTCCCTTATCTCTGTTGGCTAATGTATTTAATTCCACCACTCCCATAGGGAATAATCCCAAATCTACAGCCTGTACTATATAAAAGACTCATGAATGCTTAATCAGAGCAAACAGAGGATTTGGTTTGTATAAACTGCAAAAGCTTGTGTCTTTTATGTCCAAAGAGCAGGACTGAAAGAAGAAAATGACAATAAATCATTTCAAGAAACAGCCTAACGTAAATGTTGTATGTTTATTTAAAACTTCATACAATCATTTGTCTAGAGCTACAGCCCAGTTTCAGAAAGTGACTTGCCATAATGAGATTCAGAGGAAAGCAGTATTCAAGAGCCAAAAAGACATATTACCTCCTTCCCAAACTGGCTTATGGAGAAAATAATAAGCTCTTAAATAGAAAGAACCACAGCATCCAAGAGAGTAATGCAACACTAACACAAACCTTTGATAATTTTAAAATAATTCTTAGTTAAGGGATTGGGATACACAAAATTAACATAGTTTTAAAGAGGGTGGAAGGAGGCGACTTCTTTTTTGTCTGAGTTGAAGCGAAAAAATCCAAGTTGATATCATCCTTAAGTTTGCTTCCAATAAAAAGAAACAAGAAGAATAGCGGCACGAGTCAGAGGTGGGGTGGGGATTTGGTTGTTTGTTAGGTATTTATTAAGTAAGAGGACGTGTTGTGCAGGGATTTAGAGCTTGAGCAGGCTCTGACTTCAGGGTGCCTCGGTTTGAATCTTGACTTTACCACTTCTCAGCTGAATAGCTTGTGCACGACCTTTCTTTTTCTCAGTCTCTTCATCTTTCACATTGGATGATGATAAAAACACCAGCCTCAGAGAATTGTTGTAAAGATTAAACATATATGGAGCGCTTTAATAGTGCCTGGCACCTAGTGAGTAAGTGTTGGGTTTTTGGAGAGATCTTCCATGTGTTTTAAATATAGCACGAGGGAAACTTTGGCAGTGGTTTCACTAGAAAGTGGAGATGGGTAGAGGTTGACAAAAAGTTACTTGCTCTGTGACCCAAAGACTAGATTTTTTGGAAAGAGTGAGCAAAATTATTCTCAAATTATTTTTCAGGCAAAGCGCAAATATAATTCTGTTCCTACATT
The DNA here is from genome assembly GCF_000001405.40 of Homo sapiens. NCBI lineage: Eukaryota > Metazoa > Chordata > Mammalia > Primates > Hominidae > Homo > Homo sapiens. Next base: position 123,282,765 of record NC_000005.10, on the reverse strand, counting down.
GCCTCAAAACCAAGATATGTAAAAGCCAGCATCAATCCTTGTTTCATAGGTTTGCACTGTCTTTTAAAGTATGCATTGTTCTCTCTTTTATTGAGAACAGCATGGAATCAGCTGGCCATTATGTGCTTTCTCAATGCGCTATGGGCTTTCATAACTGGGTACACAGGATCACATAAATCCTGACTTCTCTAAGAGACAGTGCTGCCAACAAGTGCAACAAGGCTGACAAGTGCAAAGTCTGGCCCACAGCAATATCCTAAAATCTGGATTAATCTGTTTGTAATATCGTGCTGGCAGCTGATGTGGCGGTAGATTTTCTATTTTTTCTCATTGATTTGTTTGATTGGGAAGAAGGGAGGGGGAACCCTGATGAACTTTCAACTCTATAATAACCAAATAGAGAAGGTGGTAGGTAGTGGGGAGTTAATTTTATTATGTAGATGCTGATGTATAGTAATGCTTTCTGTCCTCACAGCTTCAAAGAGATACAAAAAATTTCTAAGGAATCAACCATAGAAATAGAAGACAGTTTATTTGTAGTTACATGAACTGATCCTGGGGAAGAAAACGGATATGAAGAATATATAATGCAACCTTACAAAAAAAAAAAACTTAAAATTTTGCAGTTTGTAAGGGTGTTAATAAAAATTTCAACATAACCATAAGGAAAAGTGCTATGTTTCATCAGTTTTACTGCCATCAAACACAGCTCTTCTAAATCAGAAAAAGTGAAGCTATTGTAATGCTAGGCTGCTGGCACTTATAGCTATGGATTTTCTTTTAATTTCCCCAAGAAAAGTCATAGCATATATGTGTGTGATTGTGCGTTGCTTGTCCAGATAAATAAGGACTATCCTGGTTTAAAAAAATCAATTATGTAATTCAATTGAGATTAGTGTGCTATAAATGATGAAACCGATTTAATCCAGCATATTCAAATCCCGTTTTTGAGACACACTGAAAGAGTAAGATAATGTACTTGGGGTCTTGATTTTTCCTTTCCCATTTAGTCTGCTTGAATATAAAAGTGAGAGTTTCTTATAAAATCCAATCAATATTTATATTTGTATGAAAAGCATTGAAGAAGCAAAGTTGTCAAGCCTCTACCTTTCTGACATTTATAATCCAGATGGGGAGATAAGATATAAACATATGGAACATTTTATGACAAAAGACAATATAACTAGCTTTTCAAAAAAACTTTCAAAGAGATTTCACTGTCTGTATATGATTAATTCTTCATAAAATTCCCTGTAGAAATTATATTGCTGGAGAATTTCAGAGGAGAAATTTACTTCCACTGGAGAGAACTGGTGGGAGAGAGAAGGTAGAAGGCTTGAGGGAGGAATGGGGATGCCAGAAAAGGGGGAGGTAAGAGCCTGGGGCATGCTCAGGAGCCTGCATTCATCCACCTAAGAAATACTGAGCTTTTACTACATGCCAGGCACTGTGCTCATGTATGAGTTGCAGGGGATACAAACAGGTTTAGTCCTTGCCTTCCTAGAACTTACAAAAATTTTTAAAAATATTTTTGTTATCGGACCCATTTGAACTTCTACTTTACATGTGCCAAATAGAAGGATACCTGCTGCTATTTACAATAGCAAAGAGTTGGAACCAACCCAAATGTCCATCAATGATAGACTGGATAAAGAAAATGTAGCACATATATACCATGGAATACTACACAGCCATAAAAAAGAATGAGTTCATGTCCTTTGCAGGGACATGGATGACACTGGAAACCATCATTCTCAGCAAACTAACACAAGAACAGAGAACCAAACACTGCATGTTCTCACTCATAAGTGGGAGTTGAACAGTGACAACACATGAACACAGGGAGGGGAACATCACACACCAGGGCCTGTCGGGGGGTTGGGGGCAAGGGGAGGGATAGCATTAGGAGAAATACCTAATGTAGATGATGGGTTGCTGGGTGCAGCAAACCTCCACGGGACATGTATACCTATGTAACAAAACTGCACGTTCTGCACATGTACCCCAGAACATAAATTATAATAATAATTAAAAAAAAGGACACCTGCTGGTTCACTTGCCTTCTCCCTCCTTTATAATCCCTGTCCTCACTCAGGAATGCAGGTCCTTATGGACTCCCTAATTATCTCCCTATTTTAAAAAAATGTTTTTATGAACACTTGGATATGTTCACATAGAAGCCTGAAGAGACTGAAGAGCTGTCTCTTTCAGAAAATGTATTTTAAAGGGACATAGTTAATGGTGTAATTCCAGGTGCCAGCAAGATGGCCCAGGAGGCAATTTTAGTGTGGGGAGAAGGGGGACAGTACAGAGAACCTTGACACCCCAATCCCCATATAAAATCACCTCTCCAGGCTAAAATACCTAGAATACTGATTTATCAAAGAGCTAATGTTTATTGAAAATAGCTTGAGTTTTTTCAACATGTCAACTAAGTTGTCCATCTCAAAGTATTTCTCAAAAGTCACTTAAGTAAAAAAAAAAAAAAAAAAAAAAAAAAAAAGATAATGATTTTAACAATAAAGTAAGAACCAAACTCTTTGGAGCAGATTTACTCTGGGCATATACCTTGTTTACCTTTTCTTTGTTTTCTTATTTGTGTTTCTTTAAACATTTTGAAGTACTATCCTTTTATTTGGGGAAACTTTTCACATGAAAAATATCAGTGGAAAATAACTTTAAATATTTTCCAAAAACAAGGGCAGTGCTGGAGTTATCTTTGCTAGAGACTCAGAGGAGGAGGGCCAGGAAGGTAATAGAATCTCAACGTGCAGCATAGCGTGGTGAGCCACGCAGGGCCTGTGGTTCGATTGCCCTAGATTGTATTTAGGTCTCGCCACTGAATAACTTGAATCACTTTGGGTAAGTTCTTTAACTTCTCTCGGCCTCAGCTTTCTCATTTGAAAAATGTGGATAATCCATCTCATTAGATTGGTATAAGAATTTGATGAACAAATTTATATCAAATTCGGAGCATAAATGAAGGGCTTTATAATTATTAGTTAGGATTCATTTATCTACGATGTGCCAGTTATTGTTTTAGGTATTGGGGATATTGCTGTGACCAAAAGTTTTTTCTCTCATGAAGATTGTGTTCTACAGGGAGTTCACAGACAATAAATGCATAAATATATAATAAGTAAAATGTCAGGGGTGATAAGTGCTATGAAGAAAACTAAAGCAGAAGAAGGGGACAGAGAATGGCTGTTGGGAAGAGGAATTACGGCAGATAGGAAGTTAGAGTAGGTCTTTCTGACATTTAGGCAGGGACCTGACTGAGGGGATGGAGGGAGCCATATGCACATCTGGAAGAAAACAAAGAGAGGCTGAAGTCACTGTTACAAGATTTTGCTTTCTTTTTGCCAGATCCGCTTTTGAGCTGTTCTGTGGCTTTTGGCATGTCTGTGGACACTTTTACATGTTTCCTTGGAATTACTGGGAGTGCTGAAGAGACAGAATCTGGGATGAGCTTTCAGGAATGAGCCCCAAAGTAACACCACAGCGCTACAGCCTGTGCTAGGAGGAGGAAGCAACCATGGGAACTAGGAGGCTTCCGCTAGTTGCTGGCTCCAGAACCATCCATGTCTGTAGAAATCTGCACCAGCAAAATGACTGTGCTGTTTCACATGCCTTGCTAACGTCGGGATACACCTCTCCATGACAGTAATCTTCCCCAGACCCTGAACCAGGAAACCCCTTGGCCATTTGGAATCTCAGTTAGCCTGAGTAAAAACAGGTGCTAGTAATAGCTTCCAAGAAAATTCGTTACCTAGCTGAATCCCAAATATGTTAAAACTAGTGTCAGTATCCAGCTTTGGGCCAAATATAAGCAATTTTTAAGCAAGAGGGTAAAGTTTCTCTTAGCCAGAGCATGATTCAATCCAGCTACCATTTATTATGTTTTTCTTATGCACCACTATGACTGTCGTAGAAGCTGGGGCTTAGGGGGACTTCACTAAAAGAGACCTTCCAAACACTCAGCGTGGTTAGTGGAAAGTACCTGATGCTTCGGGCAGGGATATCTGAGTATCAGGAAAAAGGTATAATTATTTTATACATGCTGCTCCCGCCTATTAGTGTCTATGACCTAGTTGACACCCTGCAATCTGTCCAGATTAATAGTTCCTCCTTCTGGGAAGAAATGAACCGGGAGATGGGAAGGGAAGAAAGGTGCGCAAGGTGTTGCAGAGTAGAGGAAGAGGGCTCTCTGTCCTGCTGCAATCGCAGTGTGGCAAGCCCTGGTTATGAGGCATGTATTGCATATGTCACGGCCCTCATGGAGTTATCCAAGTCCCTCAAAAGCCAAACTTGTGCAAGATGAGAGATGAGTCATTGTCACATTGTGTGCCAGGGCCTACAAGTGCGCCATAGCTTCCCACCTGCTGTTTTATCTTTACTTACAATGGTGTTCCCTGACTCCCCACCTGACAGGTGAGTTTCAAGGCTGCTCAGAATGTTTCCTCTTTCTGAGGCCCTACCCTGACCTCCCCAAGTCAGGGGGCTCCCCTGAACCACCTGCTTTCCCCGTTGGGCTTCTGAGGACTTAGGTCACATTTCTCTTAGAATGATCTTTCTGATCATTCCTGTAATTACTACTAATTGCTCCTGTAATTACTAGTCCACATGCCTGCCTTCCCAACTGGATTTGGATGTCCCAGAAGGGGGTGCCTATTCTAGAGTGAGGAGTCTCTGGTGTCAGGTGACTCACTTTATAATTTTCAGTCTTCACTTCAGTCTCTGAGGTAGGCCTTATAGCTACTAGCTTGTAGTGATAAGATTCACCCCCGGCCGGGCGCGGTGGCTCACGCCTGTAATCCCAGCACTTTGGGAGGCCGAGGCGGGTGGATCATGAGGTCAGGAGATCGAGACCATCCTGGCTAACAAGGTGAAACCCCGTCTCTACTAAAAATACAAAAAAAATTAGCCGGGCGCGGTGGCGGGCGCCTGTAGTCCCAGCTACTCGGGAGGCTGAGGCAGGAGAATGGCGTGAACCCGGGAAGCGGAGCTTGCAGTGAGCCGAGATTGCGCCACTGCAGTCCGCAGTCCCACCTGGGCGACAGAGCGAGACTCCGTCTCAAAAAAAAAAAAAAAAAAAAAAAAAAAAAAGATTCACCCCCAAGTCCACTCGGCTCCACCAGGAGCCTTATGTCATGACACTATGCTTATAGTGTCATAACACTTAGGAATATTCTGTATTAATTCTTTAACCCAAAGGAATGAATGAGGAATTTGATCAGCTAGTAGGGCAAAAAATTGCAGGAAGGTTTCCAAGTCCCACCGTCAAGATGTTCGCATAGTTGGGAAGGGGATAGGATGGGCTGAGGTATTAGAATAAAGGGCCACCCAAGGAGCTCAGGACCTCTAGGGTGACCTGGGGCTGTGGTACTTAAACACAGAGTGATTCTGGAAGCATCTCCTTCAGTGACTACATTTCTTTGTCACCCTGATGGAAGAGGTTTGGGCCCAGATAAATTAAATCTGTGCTATTTTGAAATCCACCTGTCGTAATTTCCCCTTTGCTTGACATGATTTGTGCTTACTAGTAGGTCCTTTCTATAGAGATTACCTCTGCTGTTAAGCTTTCCCACAGGTTGGAAGTTTGAGGCTGAGGCTTAATAAAAGCACACAGTGACATTTTCAGATTTGTAAACATAGTTTTTCTTGACCACTTTATCGAGTGTCACAATTAGGGCTTTGAGTTTTCTTTAATGGTTTTTACACACAGTGTAATGGGAAAAAAAAATCCACACAATAAGAGGTGCCGCTGGCAGGTGTTTTAACAACCCTAAAATTATAAAGCCAAGAGTTCATTCTCATATCTTTAAAAATGACCAGGTCCTTGTGGGCCCCTATTAATGTTTTCTCAATTCTATTAATAGACTTCCTTTGCTAGTGCCTTGCAATGTATAACACATGGCATGTTTTATGGAAACACTACCAGACTCTGTTTTGGAAGTTTCTTTTTCTTTCTTTCAGACTTGACATTACATGTTTGATCAGAAGGAATCATAATTTATACTTGTTTTTTTGGTACAAGCTACTTGTTTTAGTTTCTCAAAGTGGGGAATGTCGCTCCAGAGAAAGGTCTATTTGAGAGTTAAAATCCTTTGAAACACGGAACACATTTGATTCTTGAAAATGGTTCCAAAGTCTGGTTTCCCTCTTCAAAGTGGTCAAATGCAAGCTGAAAAGTGTTTCAAATGAAAATCCCTCTGCTATCTGACATCTCCCTTGCTTGACAAACACAGGCAAGAACTGAAAACTACTGGCTCGGCACTGTAGTGTTGCTGACAACCATTCAGTCCATGCCAATTTCCAAGGCATTAGTTAATTCAATTAGTTAATTTTTTAAAAAAGTAATTACATAGCTAAAATACATATACATAGCTAAAATTTCCAATGGTGAGAGAGGGTCTACAAGGAAAACACAAATTATTCTCTATACCAGACGTTGGTTCTCCAATTTTCCTAGTTTCTTAAGAATTCTTAAAATATTCCATGCATACAATAAACATTTTATTATACACAGACAGCCTGCTCTATATGCAGTCTCTACACACTATAACTTGACAATGGCATATTAGCACACGTAACTTTACAGAAATATTTTTAAAGGATTTTAGAATTCGATGACACTTAATGAGTCCCCTTCTGATGGGCATAGAGATCATTTCCAGTCTTCTGCTATTATAAACAGTGATTCAATAAAGCCTCAATTTACAGCGAGGGCAGACCTCTGGTAGCATGGGGGTGGAAGCCCTAATATAGCAGAGAAGCAGCTGCTTTTAACAGCTCATGGCAAGAGAAAGCCCTCAAAGGGTCAAGTATGGTTTCCTGGGCACACTTTCGTTTGAAGGCTGTGTAGCTGCCACACTAACATGATTTTAAAACAATACAATACAATAATTTGACCCCTTTTGACCTCAAAGGTATATGGCAGTGATTCCTGAAGTCAGGACTTACCATTTTGGAACAGATTTTTAGTGAAAATGGTGACCTTTGCATATTCTTTATTTCTTTCGTCTTGTTTTCTTTAGTCTATTTGAGTATTTGATATGCAAAATCAGATTGCCTCTACTAATTACCCAGGACAGTTTTCCTGTGTTGTTTAGTTCGCTTTAAAGGGAAAATAAATTGTTGGCTATTTCAGCATTTTAAAATTCAAACCTCAGTGAAATATTCTTGCCCAAAATACTGAATCTGAATCTAAACAAGCCCTCTAAATCTAATAACCAAATTACAGAAAATATGAGACAGAGAGAGAGAGAGAGAGACAGAGAGAGAGAAATTAACCTATATCATGAAGAAACAATCAGCCACTTCAGAACATAAGGTGTTCTATGGGACAAACGATCCAGTTTTTCTATAAATACAAACCACAAAAAAGGGGCAGGAACTGAGCTTTGTTCTAGAATAAGAGAGGCTTACAAGAAGTAATAATCAAAAACAAATTGGGTTTGGATTCAAACTATCTGTAAATGAATCACACCATCTGTGAGACAATTGGGGAAATTTGAATATGGCTTGGGTGATATTAGAAAATTATTTTTAGTTTTGTTAGGCAAGAAAATGACTTGATGAATATGTTTTTAAAAAGTCCCTAAACAGAGATGCATACTTCAATATTTATCAGTGAAATGATATGACACCTGGGATTTGTTTTAGAATATTCCAGAAGAGAACTGGAGACAATACATGAAACATAATTAGCAAATTCTTGATAGTTGCTGAAGTTAAGTGATAGGTAAATGGGATTCACTATATAATTCTTTGATTTGGGAGTACCGTGTTGGTTTTCTAGAAATTTCATAACAAAGTCCCATAGACTGGGTTTCCTCTGGGCATGTCTGTGTCCTCCCCTTTAAATATAGCTAATACTAATCATATTGGATTAGGGCCTACCCCAGTGGCCTCATTTAACCCTAATTACCTCCTTAAACCAAATCTCCAAATACAGTCACATTCTGAGGTTCTAGGGGTTAGGACTTCAACATGTGAATTTTGGGAGGTTACGATTAAGCCCATAACAGGTACCAATGAACTTTTCATAACAAACAAGTTTTATAAGTAAAAGCAATGTTAATTTGTGTAGGAGACAGTTTATCATGGGCAGCTTGTTTGCTAATACACACAACAATGTCAGGTGATCAGAGATCTCATGATCTCTTCTTCCCTGCTCTCCTCCCAGACAGAATAAAAAAGCCACTGATCACAACTGAAATAAGCTGATTTATTTGGTTCAGTTATTTGATAAGCACACAGACCTCAAACCCTAAAAACTCACTGTGGGAGGATTATGAATTTCATGATGTGAAAAGATCACTCCAGCCTTGGAAAGCACTTATATCTAAGAGGAGGGCAGCTAAGCTGTCCCCATTGAGACTGGGTATGTAGGGGTATGGGGCCAACTGGTTAAAGCAGATTGGTTATACCTGTTTAGTACCTGTTTTTCTTAAGTAAACTTTAATAGACTCCTTTAACCACACCACTCACTCTCCTTTTTCCTCCCGATGTTTTTTCCCCTCCCCATCTTACAAAGTAAACCAAGGACTCTGGATAAATTTTATACTGAGAATGATGTCAGACCTCTAGGTGTCAGTCTTTCAGAAACACAGAAAGGCAGTTTTCTTGGTATTCTCACAATTTGCTGGTGAATTTTCTTTTCGAGAAATTATTTTGACAATGTTTCAAGAACCATAATCCAGTAGTCCCATTTCGAAAATACATTCTTACCCAAAATATGGGGAAAAATTACATGTACACAGTTGTTCATCACAGTAGTATTTATATTACCTGAAAATTGGAAGCAACAGATACATGTTTAATGTTAAAATAGTTTAACTATAGCACATCTAATTGCTAGAAAATTCTATGACCCTTAAGGGAGAATCCTATTAAGAAAAGTCCATGAAATATTTATTTAAATAAATATTTTAAATTCTGGGAAAGAGGGAAAGGATAAACAAAGTCACAATACAGACAAATCTGTACAAAATTTTTGTGACACACAAAGAATTAACTTTCTTAATTTACAGCAAACTCTTACAAATCAACAATAACAGTAAAACACCGGTAACTCAATAAAGAAAGAAACAATGAGGATGAGCAATTTACAGAAAATGAAATATAAAGAGCCAACCATATGAAACAATGTCAAATGTACTCAACTAAAAATTGAAGAAATCCCTATTGCAATTACAATGAGATATTCTGTCTCACCCACATGGTGGCAAAGATCTGATGATCGAGGAAATGGTTTGAAGAAAGAGGAATCTTTGGTAGAAGCCTAAATGGGTGTGACCCTTTATGGAGCACAGTTTGACAATATCTATCAATTTTTAAATGCACATTCCCTTTCTCTTAGAGGTTCCACTGCTAATAATTCCAGAGAAACCTCTTTATGGTGCATAATGATCTGTGTGTGTGCATTATTACCACAGCATTTTTATGTAAATAGCAATCATTGCGGTATGGTTGGACAAATTACGCCATGTCTACATAGTGGAATGCTATGCAGCTGTTAATGGAAATGAGATAGCTTTGTGTTTACTGGCATAAATTCTGTGGGGCAGTAAGTATATATATATATATATATATATTTATAACACATAAACATATTTATATATAAAAAACACATAAACATATATATATATATATATATATGTGTGTGTGTGTGTGTGTGTTCATCTGTCCCTGCAAATGCTCAGCAGTATGTGAAAAGATGCACACTGGGCTGCAGGCATTGGCTGTCTGGGAAATGAAATGTGGTAGAGGAGAGTCAGATGGAGATAACCTTTTCCTTTCTGTAATTTTATGCCCTGATAGATTCAGGCAAGTATGTAGCACTTTTATAATACAAAAACTCAAAGTGACAGTTAAAAAGAATTTTTAGAGGATCATGGGAAATACTCAGAACGCTAAGTGATAAACAGGAGACAAAACTGAATTTGCAATGTATTAATAGTAAAAATTCACATGACAATTAAAAGGAATAGAACACTCCCAAATTATAATAGCTTATGATCCGGTAGTTGAATTATTGGGAAAGTTTTTTTCTCTATTACCTAAATTTTTGGCAACCTGTTTTCGTGACTTTTACTATTTCAAAATAATTGAAACAAAATAAAGCATACACAGTTTCTCGATTGACTTTAATTTCAAAAACTCACATGTGCACCTAGCAATGGGTCAGTGAAGAGCATATCAGAATGAGAGGAAGCCCACAGGTAACCAAGAAACCAAACTCTGCATCCAGAACCATCCTGAAATCAAGAAAAGGTTCTCAGAGGATTCTTGCATCCAGGCCATCCAGACTCACTGAGTGGTCTCAATTGAACATCCAAAGAAACCAGCATTTTTATCTTGAGAATTCTGAAAATTATCTAACTTTTCCTTGTCTCAAATCCATGGTGTCCTCAGCAATTTCTCAGGTTAGCCCCATAAACCGTAGCCCCATTTATTTCCCATAGTCCTATTGTAATTCTCTCTTGCCCTTAAATCAGTTCCTACCTTTCTCAGTATCCCACAAATCTCTTTCCATGTGCCATCTACAACTGTCCCATTTTGACCTCCAACACTCTGTCTTCAAAATCTTCTCTCGCTTCTTTGCCAGACATATTCATCAGGGTTCTCACAAGGAGGCTACTTATTTTCTCAGGTCCCACTCATCAGAACTTGGAGACAGGCCTACTTCTTTCTCTCCTGACGCTGCCACTTCCAAACCACCAAAACTCCCATATATATTTGTCTTCCAACCCAGTCTTCTCTTCTGAGCTCCAGATCCACATATCCTACAGCTCCCTTAACAGATCTGCTACTGGCAGATCTCATAGGCACCTAAATGGAAGAAATGCCTATTGCGTTTAAAAAATATGCACAAAATATCTTAAATGTGATCCTTCATCTTCTTTCCGCAATCCTACTTCTCCCTCTCTAGTGCTTTCCATCTTGGTAAATGGATCTGTTCATGCCAGAAAGCTGGGCTTCCTTGACACTTCCTTCCCTCTCACTTCTATATCTAACCATCATCAAATCTTACGGACTCCTAGATATTTCATAAGTCCAACCACTTTGCGCATCTTTACTCCATTATCCTGGTCCAAGCCCCGTCATGTCTCAAGGAGACTATTGTAATTGTCTCTACTTGGTCTTCCCATGTTTTCTCAGTCCTCTTTCTCATCTGGTCTCCACACAGTGGTTCTACATGTGTAACATGGAGATACGATCACATCCTCCTTGAGCCCCTTCAAATGCATGCCTTTGCTCACAGAATGAGACCCAAGCTCCTTAGCTGGCTCTGTAAGGCATTCCATAATCTGCCTCTACTCTAGCGTCCTCATACCCCAAATATTTAATGAAGAAACCCAGACTAATATGGGACCTGGCCTAGGAGAATAAATAAGTAAACAAAATAACTATGATCATGACAAGTGCTACGAACAGGCTCTGAGCTAGAGACTATCAGGGTGAGAAGAGCTGACCTCTTTGAGATGGGGTGATTAGAAAAGGCCTTGGGAAGAGACAACAGTTAAGTTCATCCCAGAAGTATGAGGAGGTATCAGGCATTGTGAGGACAGAGGGAAGTGTTTCAGCACCTGCAAATTCAGAAAGCTAAAATAGGTGACAGGATAGAGAAAAAGATAGAAGCCCATTGTGGATGGAGAAAAGTGAGGTGGGAATTTAGGCAAGGTCTCCTAGCCATGAGCAGGGAAGAGTTGGGATTTTATTCTAAGGACAATGGAAAACCACATCTCCTTCACTGATCATACTCTGTCCCGCTGGGGCTCTTTCATTTCTTTAAATGGTTCAATATCTTTCCTGACCCACAGCCATCCAAACATAGTGTTCTGTCTGGAACCCCATTTTTTCTTCTGTCATCCATTTGGTGCCAACACATCTTTTGGGTCTCAGCTGAAATGCCACTTTGTCCCAAAGCCCATCCCTGGCCTCCCAGTTGAGGTCAGGCCCTATCACATACTCTCATATGTCCCTCTGTTTTTCCTTCGTGGCTCTTCTCACAATAGAAATGACTTGATATAACATGTCTGTTTGCCAGCCACTCTATCCCTAGGACTGGGCACAGCCCAGATTCTTTAAAAGCATTCTTAAATAAATGAACAAATGCCTAAGTTAATGAAAATTGGGCAAGCTTAGAGTGTGTTTGGCCGAGGCTGACAATGACAATAGAAACTTTTAAAGTTGGAAGTGATCTGGAATCCCTTTAAGCTAAGCCACTCATTTATTGATAAATGATGGATCCAGAAAGGAGAAGTCATCTGTCCAAGGTCACTGAGCTGCTCACCGGCAGATCCTGCTTCTGGATCCAGAGACAGACCCTCCCATTTTTCTCATAGAACTCTGTGGCACTTGAAAAAGGTCCTCGGGGAAGTAAATTCTTTGAGACAAACTGTTTCTGGCTGCTAATAACTGACTAGGAAAGAAAAAATAACGTAGGCAGCATTAGTATTTTCCTGATGGATTTAGTTACAGAGATTAAAGTGTCAGCTTGGTAAAGTTCCAGCATGTCTCGGGTTTGACACTAGTTTTAGAGTGAAGGTAAAGACGTCCAGAGCAGACTTTTTGACATGTTGGGGAGCAGCGTCCCAGGGGTCTCTCCCTCAGAACCTAGGCTCAGTTTGTACGGTGGGTCTGGTTGGCTCTGGGAGGCCCACAGCTAGAAAGAATAACAGGGTTGTGCCGTCCAGGCCTGAGACCTGTTGGCACTGAAGTGTGGGAAAAGTTCTCACAAGGCCTGCCCACGGTCAGCCCTGTCCAGACCGAGGTTATTAATCTTTCATGTCCCCAAACACTCAAGTCACAGCATTTTGAAAGGGAAAAATAAAGTGGGATGTCATGGGGGCAGTGTGGTAGAGTAGAAAGAACAGCAGAAGGTGACTTGGGAGCCTGGACTTAAGTTCCTTGAAAGAAATCAAGAGTATTGGACCAGGTGATGTACAAGCTGTCTACTGGCTTTAGGATTGGGCTTGAAGCTTTTAAATCCTGTCCAAATCCAATATATCTAAACACGTTTTCAGGAAGTGGGAATAGGGCTTAGGATCATGGAGTCAGACTGCCTAGAGTCCAGTGTTGGCTTTACCATATATTAGCTGTATGCTTTTGACCTCTTAGTGCCTCAATTTCCTCTTCTGTAAAATGGGCTTCATAGGGTTGTTTTGAAAATTACAAGAGAACTCTATTAAGGTGGTTAACATATACTAAGTGTTTGATGAATGTTATCTATAACTAGTATTATCTTCTGACACAGGAAAAGCATGCCCAGAAAAGACGAGGGACTACAGCAAGCCCAAGGCTTACGGTCACTTACACGGAAGAAAGATAGTTCCTCAGCTGTCATCTGTATCCAAATCGTATAAAAAAAAAAATGGTATTCAGGACATAACAAATAGATAAGCACAGTCCAAAACTGTTCGTACAGCCTGATCTCATTTTTGAAAAATTCAATATGAAACCCAATTCTATGTATATAGGTAAGGAGGCACAAAAAAGAATGTTAGCAGCAATTACCTCTGGGAGGCGATGATGGGGCAATCTGTGGCCTATATTTTCTTTTTTATTTCTTATTTGCTTATTTATGCTTTCTAAATTTGCTCAGCAAACACTTCGTGAAAACAAGGATTTTTTTTAATGCTAACATCAGAGGAATTGGAGAAAATAAATCAAATTTTTGTCAATAGCTTTATTATACTTATAGGTTACTCATCATCTGGGACCCTGAATCATTCTCATTTTGTAACTTTTCATTTGGAAGTTATTCCTACAACTGCTTCTGGGCTTTTAGTTGCAAAACAAAACAATGCAAAAATTGAAGGAGTCAAGTGTCAGTGGGAAACTGAAACATGTGGAGAGGGAACACGACAATAACTATTCGTTAAATGGCCAGGCGCGGTGGCTCACACCTGTAATCCCAGCACTTTAGGAGGCCGAGGCGGGCGGATCACTAGGTCAGGAGATCGAGACCATCCTGGCTAACACAGTGAAAACCCAACTCTACTAAAAAAAAAAAGAAAGAAAGAAAAGAAAAAAATTATCTGGGCATGGTGGCAGGTGCTTGTAGTCCCAGCTACTCGGGAGGCTGAGGCAGGAGAATCGCTTGAACCCGGGAGGCAGAGGTTGCAGTGAGCCGAGATTGCACCACTGCACTCTAGCCTGGGTGACAGAGTGAGACTTTGTCTCAAAAACAAAATAATTATCATTTGTTAGATGAATGCAAGAATTAGCGAGATTCACTCAAAATCTCCATGGCATGGAAACTGATTGCACATGGGGTAATATCCATGCTCCTTAATATGAATCACAGTGTGACTCCAATCTTGCAGATACACACACACCCTGAGTTTCTTCAGGCCTGTAGGTACACACAGAGTTACATTAAAGGTAATAATTCAAATTCCACTGGCATTTGTCCCTACCTGCTTAACACAAATCCCCTGAAAGCAATGAAGTCAATGGATAATGAGAAAGTAGAGACTAAATAAAAAGAGAATTATAGTCTGCTATCTTTAAAATGATTTTCTCAGTTGTTTTCTAACATATCAAATTTTAAAAATGTATTTCAAAATGTACGCTTTGGAAGGACGATTACATATTTGTTTCTTTGAAATATGAGGGTTGCATGAATTTGGACGTGCATGTATTTCCTTTCCTATAGTTTGTGTACTTCAGGCAGTCTCTTCCTGGAAAAGGATGGATGGTCTTAAATGTGTTCTATCTCCCATGGCCCTAAGGCGATGCTGGGCAAATGATATCCCAGAATAATCACTTTTTTTTTTTTTTTTTCTTGAGGCAGGGTCTTCCTCTCTCACTCAGTCTGGAGTGCAGTGGTGTGATCATGGCTCACTGCAGCCTCAGCCTCCTGGGTTCAATCAATCCTCCTACCTTGGCCTCCCTAGTAGCTGGGACCACAGGCAGATGCCACTATTCCCAGTTACAACCACATTTTAAAGCTGGCAAAAAAAAAAAAAAAAAAAAGCTTCATGCTTCAAAATCTCTCCTGCCCTTTGACCTAGTGAGGTTACCTGGAATCTCCAAAAGCCAGATGGTCCCTTCATGGCAAGGCTGGGCTCTTTGTGCTCATACTGGCCGTTTTCTTTTTTTCTGCACTAAATACTTATTACAATTAATACTGAATTGAAATAGGAGCCCAAAGCAGTAGCTGGGAATGTCCCAAATCATTTCTCTCACGAAACCTCAATTCTTCTTCCTCCCAGTAATCCAAGGAGTAGAGTGGATCAGATTGAACTTAAAGGTATAATGAGTAAAAAAAGAAAAATTCAAAAGCACTTCTGCCTTTCAACACCTCATCCCTTCTGAAATATTTTAAATAGTGTTTTGGGGAAAAGCAAAGTTGAAGATGGGTAAATAAAGTGTTGAATTAAATTATTCTTTTCCTAGTCATCTGAAGTATTTTATTAGATTACTGCATATCTAGAAAGACCTAGAAACCTACAGGGCCCTTTGTTCTGTGAGGGCCTTCCCTTTGCATTCCTTCTGACCCACCAGTGCCCACTCCCCACCACTTATCCCTAACAGAGGCCTGTCTTAGTGCATTAATGAAATCACTAATGTCCAGCAATAGACACCCTAATACCACTGTTCCTAGAATGACATATATATTACGCTCTGCCTCCGTATCTTTCATGAGGGAGTTTTTATGTGTCACTAAAAAATACTGTATAACACTCTTTATTAGCCCCATGATACCCCAGCCCATCAATACTTGTCCAGGCCTGATGAGATCATGCTATGCTTCTTAATCAGAGTGAAAGACAGCAAGAAATAACTTTATTAAAAAATCAATTAAAAACCAGTTGCCCAGGTGAACAAAACACATCTTTGGGGCATGAGAAGAGGAGTAATAAGGAAATGAAGTGGCAGGAGGCACTGCTGAGAAAAAGGCCTAGTGATTACTGGTCATCTTGGTGTATGTCACTTTTCTTTTTGTTTTGTTTACATAAAACCCTTTCATTCAAACACAAAAAACAGTCACTATTCTCAGGTACCCTGAATGAGGTTTTTAGGAACAGCAATGGGTTTTTGCAGAACCATCTATAGACTCACCTGGTCCACAACACACCCAGCCACAGGCAAGAAGTCAAACTAAAAGCAAGGTAGTGCAGACCTTGGATTTCTGCTTCAGAAATGTTGCAGCAATGATGGCTTAGTATATGTGCTGCTGCTGAAACAAGCACAGAAATGATGGCTTAAAGTGCAGATTTCAGGGTCTATTCCTAGAGAATCTTTTTTAGTCATGTTGAGAAGAACACAGACATCTGAATTTTAAGTAAACATTCCAGGTGAGTTGCATGCAAAAATAAAGCCTGTGCACCACTCTTGTAAGAGGCATGACCCATAAGCCTGCAGTCTTCTTAGTGCAGAAAGTTCACCAGATAGCCACCAGATGGTTAGGTCTCCCAATGTATCCACCCATGTAACCACGCACCCCAACCAAGATATGGAACATTTTCCTCCCTAGAAAGTTCCCACAAACCCCATTACAGTTCTGCCTCATCCCCCGCCCAGACAACCAATGATCTGACTTTCATCTCCCTAGGTTAGTTTTGCCTGTTGCAGAACTTTGTACAAGTAGAACCATACTCTGTTGTGTCTTGCTTCTTCTGCACAGTCATATCTATGAGATGTCATGATATAATGAATGGATAGCACTTAGCACAGTGTAAGGCCATTGTGCATGAATGCCAGCTGCTATCATCATCATTATTAATATCATTGTATCCTCTGAAGATTTATTATGGTTTTCTTTACTATTCAAAAATAATGGGAGTAATTATGGTGGCTGCACAGCCTGGGAAAATACTTTTATTATGGGTTGTTAGGCTTCTTGCTAAAAGGTCAAACTTCTTTAGGAACACCCTGAGACAGCAGACGTAAGTTGGCCAGGTAGCTTGGTTGCAATACAGCTACCACATAGTGATCACCAGAGCTCTGAGACACTGCTCATAGCAGTTTTATCATGGGTTCCTAGAGAGCCAAGCCACAATTGTTACATAAATATTCCTGCTTAAGAAATACTGGCTCATGGAGCTCATGAGTAATGAAACCAGATTCCTTCAGAGGTAGGAAGAGGCCTTTAAGGAGAGAACAGCCCTACCTATACCTCGGCTTCTAGAAAGCTGACAGTGGAGTTGTATGTGTTCCTTTTAATTGTTTTCCATCTATAATTATGACACTTAGAATATAATTATTTAGAAAAACAGGAAGAATGTGACAGGACACAATTATTACTCTTGTGTTCATTTCTGGTTCAACTGGGGTTCTATGGGAATGTAGATAGCAGAGAAACTAGATTAGGCTTACTCATTTTATTATTTATTTATTTGTTTGTGTCAAGAAGGCTTTCAACCCAGAGCAGATTAGAAACTCTTTCCAGGAAAATTAAATCTGGGCTTAAAAAAATATATGGCACTAAGCTCTATTTAGCAAGGTGAATTCCCCTGGTAGAAAGCCCAGTATTAGACATTATGCCCTGCTTGGAAAAAATAACATTCATATTAAATAGTTTGCATTTGTTGGGGGAAGAGGGATAGCATAAAACGAACAAAAAAGCAGAAATAAGTAAGGGCAACATTTTGCTGGCATGCTAATGGTAACACAACAAACTAGCTCATGGAGATGGCATATTTTATCCCATGGCAGCCAATGTATTAGACAGTGATGGACCATAAGGGAGAGAAAGTGAGGAGTCTGAAACTCTCTCATGACACTTGGAACAAGCACTCTGTGGCCCTAGCAGTCCTGTTCACTGGTGGCTGCATTGGAAAAATCCCTTTGGTCTGCTTTTATTACATGATTTTGTGGGCATTCCTATTCAGTAATCTTTTTGATAAATATTTATTCGGTGCCATTTTTTTTTTGCCAGGTACTGTGCAAACTTCAAACTTCTTTTGGCTCTAACGGAAAAGCAAAAAAGAATATCATTTTAATATGGACTCTTATTTCCATGTAGCATTCCAATGTCCAATATAAACATGCTAATTCCATGGAAACTTTGTCTTGGGTGTATTTTTAGATTTGTAGAACTATTATTTCTTTCAAACAGATAAAACTGTAGAGTTTGATTTGTGTCTCGTTCCTTCATGGCCTCATCACATTGTGTTCTGCATATTTTACTCTGTCATCTCCCTTGGGATTTGATCTGCTTGAAGACAGTGACTAGGTCTTATTCTAATCTCCCCACTTAGCACAGGGCCTGGAATGCAGGAATTACTCAAAAACTTATTGACTGGATGAATGAACAAGAACAGAGAAGCTTTTCTAATTTGCCTCATAAAAATACTTGCAGAAATAAACACGTAGTAGTAGGTGGTTAAGAATCACCTGGATTTTAAATGTGTATCCTCCAGAAATTAGAAATCCTAATTAGGTCTAGGGAGGGTCTCAGGAATGCCAGTGTTTAACAAGCTCCCAAGTAGTTCTTATCATCAGGCACATTTGAGAAACTCTGCTCTAAAGTAAAATATTATTGACAGAAGATACTTTGGAAAATCAAGAATGATACTTCACCTGGAGCCATATTTGTACGGACAATAAGCATTCGTACCTAAAGCACACATAAAGATTAAGCTAATGCCAGTATTCAAGTAGAAGCTCTGTTTTAGAGCCAGCCTTCCTCTCCATAGTAGCATATCACTAAGTGATTTTGACTCTGACTCAGTGCACAGAGGCCTGAAGCCCCACCTTCTCAGGGTGCTGGACTATAGTAATCCCATTTCTACTACTTCCATCTCCTTGTTTCAATTTCTGATGTAAATGAGGGCCATTCTGAGGTTGTCTGAGAGGTAAATTTACTGCCCATTGATTTTCACAAATCCTGTGGGTCCTGTGAAATCCTCTTAAATGAGTATGAGATACAGGAACAAAACTGAGAAATTGAATAGGAAATGCCATAGTTCAGAGTGAAAGGCGAATGTTCATCTGTTCTGCTGAAAAACATAGGCCCAGTGTGATCTGGCATAAGCCCAGGCTGATGTTGGTAAACACATATTTTAAGGAAAAGCCTCAGATATGCCCCAATTATTGTACAGATGTCCAGGTTAGAGCACGACAAATGGGGCAGTGACTCTAATTGGCTCCTTGGACAAATTCAAATTTTGAATAAGCCAGGGAAAGGGTGAGATCGTGGCATCATATAGCAGTAACTTCTTGCAAAAGTATTACTTAACTGACATCCTAAAACAATATGGCTTCTCCTAGAATCAGTCACCAAATGCCACTTGCATGGTTAAAAAGCCACAGTGATATGCAATGATACCTCTGCCAGTGAATGGTTGGCAACTTGAGTTAGTCATCTTTCCCCCACCCCAGCCCCCAATGCAATAGGCTTTCATGCAAAATTGCCCATTTGCATTTCAGTGTAATTGAACACATTGAGTATAGCTACTCTGTTAGCATTTCCTCTGCTAGGTGCTAGAAGTATAAAACAAAATGAGCCATGATGTGTGACCATGCAGGGTTTATAATTTGATAGAATAGTTGCCTAAAATAAACAACATCATAAGGATAGAATGTGTTAAATCCCCAATTGTGACATAGACCAGTGCTTCTCAAACTTTAATGTGCATATGAATCTGGGGATCTTGTTATAATGCAGATTCTGATTCAGCCGGTGTAAGATAGAGCCCAAGGTTCTGCATTTCTATTATAACAAGGTGTCAGGCAATATGATGCTGATCTGAGGATCACACTTTAAGTAACAAGGCATTCAACATTCAAGTGGGAGTATCAGGAAGGTAGCCAGAAATATGCATGTGGAATTCAGCAGAAAGGTGAAGATACAATCTGGGGAGTTACAGATATCAAGATGACACTTAAAGTCATTAGATTGGCTGAAGTGACCAAGAGAGTGAGTGTGGAGAAAGAAGATGAAGGAGTGGGACATTGATGCTGCATTTTAAGCAAGCAAATTTGGCTGCGTCCAAAGGTTCTTTTTGAGAGTAGTGAAAAACAGGAGAGCAAGTCTGGAGTTCAGTTGTAAAGAGACTCAAATGCCACTTTAAGAAGTTTGGACTTGAAGGAACAATTCTTGTTCTTGACAGTCTTGGGGGAAACTAACTCATGGCAAGATGACATCAGCCTCATGTAGTAACACCACCCGGTCCTTACACAAACAGAGTCGTATAAAACAACTTAGGCTAATATGCTACTCTGGGGCTCTGATAATTCCACAAAACATTTAAGCGAGCAATTTTGAGTGACTTTCTCCATGTGGCAAACAAGTTATTCCTGTAACTGAGGGCAGACTATAAATATGACAAATCTCTGTTTGGTAATTGCTTATTTCGGATTAAGACTAGCAATTTTCTTGTCAGAGACAGGCATGCAGTAAAGGGAGTGGGGAAATTTGGACAGCGCAGGCAGTTTTTGCAACTTGAAAAGCCATCTGCAGTTATTTTCTTTTAATGTGGCAGATTTGGCATTAGCATCAACTTTCTTTTCTCTTGTGGTCTTTTTTGTTTTTTTTTTTTTTGGTTTGATACTCGGTAGAGCTCAAAACTTTATTAACTCTGTTAAGCACAGACTCGTTGTGTCTTGTTATTCCTCTCTAAACTGGACTCTATTCCAAGAGTTCTTGGTGGAAGTGGTTGAGAAACTTGGGAAAACCTGGATGCTGGTAAGGGGCACTCAGGTTTTAATAACCTTATTCACCTTAGTCATTAAACCAAATGTGCAAATCCCCAGAATTGCACTGAGCTCTGTGTAACCAGCTAGTCACCATGTGTTTAGGTGTCTTTTAGATCTTAACATGTGTGTGTTAATCCAGCCTTCCCACAGACACCTACTGCAGACATCCATACCCAGTGATGACGTGATCAACATGACTAACTCACTTCATTTACTGAAAAGAGCAGTCATCATTTTCCCAGAATTCTTGGCCTACTCTATTCTTTTTCAAAGCCATTTTTGGAGGTAGTAGAATGTACCAAGAGAAGAGAAGACAGGAGATTTCCCTTTACCTACAACATTCTACATTATTTACATATAAAAATATGATGCAAAATGATACAATATTAATATTTGTTAGTCCTGGGCAGTGACTAGTCTCCTGTTTGTTATATTCATCTTGCCTCCTTTTTAATATTGTGACTTTTTTTTTTTTTCAAAATAATAACAATGAAAGCTCTGCTGATAACTCAGGGTAAACAGACCTGGAGGCACAGAGCAGTTTCCCTTTGACTTGTCTTTCTTGCCTCCACTTGCCTTCAATCAGAAATCATGTCAAGAGATGAAACAAGTACTCATGAACTTTTGCACCTTAATTTAAAACTACTTTTGGATATGATTTTTAACACTTTTTTAAAATTAATTTCCATGCAATAAAATTCACTCTTTTTGATGTTCAGTTCAATGCATTTTGGTGAATGCAGTCTGTAGCCACCACGGTCAAGTTACAAGATGGCTCCATCACCTTTTGTACTCAACTCCCTCTCTCACCTTGACTATTGGCAACCACTGAACTGTCTCTGCTCATATAGTTTGCTTTTCCCAGAATTAAAAAAAAATGTACAGTCAATTCCTCTACTTTTTATTTTCAGGTGACTTCAATTTCCTGTATTCTAATTATGAGAGGATTCGGTAAGCACACTATCACTCTAAATTTTCCAAACCCATCATTGAGAGTAAAAGTCATTTGGCTTCTTATCATAAAGCACACACTTGATCATTCAGGCCCAAAATATCAAATCCGTATCTTCTGATATTTGCATTTAATTCACTTATCTTTTGTGTAAGTGGATTTCACATGGATCTCCCATAGAGAGCTAATTGCAGCTCGCATTTAGCCATTAGATTCTCACATGTAATTTCTGTCAACATCCCTGGGAAGGGTGCAGCATGAACTAAAGGCAAAATTTATTTCACCCTCAAAGGTTAACCAGCACTTCCTTTCCAGTTTCCATTTTGTGTCAGAGCCCCTAGTAAGCTGATCTGACACAAAGGTGACAGCATTTCTTTTATTCCTTTGTTCCATTTAATTATTTTTAAAAGAGACATAAAAAAGTTTTAAGATTGCTTTCAGCACCTCCTTTTCAAATGCTATGTTCCAAGTTTAAGCCCGAACTTAAGTGTAATGAGATTGTTATCAACACCTGGCAGAAAAAAAAGCATCATGAATGAATATATTCAACCTCCCTCTTGACAAGACCACTTACATCTTCTCTTATGAAAGCGCAATATAGATTGTTTCTGTCTGCTTTTTATGCATATCATTTTCATAACCTACCTAGGTGTCTAAACCATTCTAGGGATTTCTGAGAAAACTGACTTCATTCTACAAATGCTGTGGAGGGAAAAAAATAGAAATGAGGAGTGGAAAGAATCACTCCACCTTTGTGCTCCCTTAGAAGTAACTTTGAGTTTTTGCCAGAAGCAATTAGAAGACACATTTCTGTTTGGGAAATACATATGCTCTATCAATGGAAGTCAGGAAGCAAGCATGATTATTTTCTTTAGTAATTTAGAAAAGACAGTTTTACATCATGCTTTAGGAATTAAAAAAGCCCCAAACCGTCCAGAAATTCAGAAATCATAAGAGGTAGCATACAAACAGACAGAGAAATGACTTTGTAAGGACTTTCATCATTTTAGCACACATTATTTTAAAGTGCTTAATGTACATATCACATGATAGTTTTAATTTACCATAATGTTTTTATGATATCAAATGAACAGAAACTCATCTTTTTCTATAAGGAACAAATCTAACACATACGCACAAAAATTAATTTTATAGCATAAAATGCAAAAAAGAAAAACCCAGTAAACAGCTGTGTGGTCTGTCATGTTTTAATTTAATAGTAATGCATTGTTTAACGATAGAGATACGTTCTAAGAAATGTGTTACTGTTGTCACTGTGCAAACATCATAGAGTGTATTTACACAAACCTAGATGATACAACCTACTACACACCTAGGCTAGATGTATAGCACATTGTTTCTAGGCTACAAACCAGTACAGCATGTGACTGCACTGAATACTGTAAGCAACTGTAACACAATGGTAAGTATTTGTATATCTAAGGTAAGTTTTTGTTCAGCAAACATATTGTTAAAAGATACAAAATGGTACACCTGTATAGGGCACTTAATGGAGCTTACAGGACTGGAAGTTGCTCTGGGTGAGTCAGTGAATGAGTGGTGAGTGAATGTGAAGGCCTAGGATAATACTGCTACCGTGGACTTTATGAACACTCTACACTTAGTCTACACTAAATTTATTTTTAAAACCTTCTTTCTTCATTAAATTAACCTTATCTTACTGTAACATTTTTTACTTCATAAACTTTTTAATTTTTTAAAACTTTTTGGAGTGGTCAGGCAAGATGGCCGAATAGGAACAGCTCTAGTCTGCAACTGCCTGCAAGATCCACGCAGAAGGCAGGTGATTTCTGCATTTCCAACTGAGGTACCTGGTTCATCTCACTGGGGCTGGTTGGACAGTGGGTGCAGCCCATGGAGGGTGAGCTGAAGCAGGGCAGGGAGTCGCCTCACCTGGGAAGTGCAAGGGGTTGGGGGATTTCCCTTTCCTAGCCAAGGGAAGCTGTGAGAGACTGTTCTGGGAGGAACGGTACACTCCTGCCCAGATACTGCGCTTTTCCCATGGTCTTCACAACTGGCAAACCAGGAGATTCCCTCCGCTGCCTGGCTCGGTGGGTCCCATGCCCATGAAGCCCAGCAAGCTAAGATCCATTGGCTTGAAATTCTCACTGCTGACGCAGCAGTCTGAGATCAACCTGGGACACTCGAGCTTGGTTGGGGGAGGGGTGTCCACCATTGCTGGGGCTTCAGTAGATGGTTTTATGCTCACAGTGTAAACAAAACTTCTGGGGAAGTCTGAACTGGGTGGAGCCCACCATAGCTCAGCAAGGCTAACTGCCTGTCTAGATTCCACCTCTGTGGGCAGGGCATCTCTGAACAGAAGGCATCAGCCCCAGTCAGGGACTTATAGATAAAATTCCCATCTCCCTGGGACAGATCACCTGGGGGAAGGGGCGGCTGTGGGCACAACTTCAGTAGACTTAAATGTCCCTGCCTGATAGCTCTGAAGAGAGCAGTCGTTCTCCCAGCACAGCGTTAAGAGCTCGGATAATGAACAGACTGCCTACTCAAGTGGGTCCCTGACCCCCGTGTAGCCTGACTGGGAGATACCTCCCAGTAGGGGCCAACAGACACCTCATACAGGAGAGCTCTGGCTGGCATCTAGTGGGTGCCCCTCTGGGACAAAGCTTCCAGAGGAAGGATCAGGCAGCAATATTTGTTGTTCTGCAGCCTCTGCTAGTGATACCTAGGCAAACAGAGTCTGGAGGGGACCTCCAGCAAACTCCAACAGAACTGCAGCAGAGAGGTCTGACTGTTAGAAGGAAAACTAACCAACAGAAAGGAATAGCATCAACATCAACAGAAAGGACGTCCGCAACAAAACCCCATCTGTAGGTCACCAACATCAAAGACCAAAGGTAGATAAAACCACAAAAATGGGGAGAAACCAGCGCAGAAAGGATGAAAATTCCAAAAACCAGAATGCCTTTTCTCCTCCAAAGGATAACAACTCCTCTCCAGCAAGGGAACAAAACTGGATGAAGAATGAGTTTGACAAATTGACAGAAGTACGCTTCAGAAGGTGGGTAATAACAAACAACTCCGAGCTAAAGGAGCATGTTCTAACCCAATTCAAGGAAGCTAAGAACCTTGACAAAAGATTAGACGAATTACTAACTATAATAACCATTGTAGAGAAGAACATAAACGACCTGATGGAGCTGAAAAACACAGCACCAGAACTTCGAGAAGCATACACAAGTTTCAATAGCCAAATCGATCAAGCGGAAGAAAGGATATCAGAGATTGAAGAGCAACCCAATGAAATAAAGTGTGACATCAAGATTAAAGAAAAAAGAGTGAAAAGAAATGAACAAAGCCTCCAAGAAATATGGGACTATGTGAAAAGACCAAATCTACATTTGATTGATATACCTGAAAGTGACAAGGAGAATGGAACCAAGTTGGAAAACACTCTTCAGGATATTATCCAGGAGAACTTCCCCAATCTAGCAAGGCAAGCCAACAGTCAAATTCAGAAAATACAGAGAACACCACAAAGATATTCCTCAAAAAGAGCAACTCCAAGACACATTAATTGTCAGATTCACCAAGGTTGAAACGAAGGAAAAAATGTTAAGGGTAGACAGAGAGAAAGGTCAGGTTACCAACAAAGGGAAGCCCATCAGACTAACAGCGGATCTTTCTGCAGAAACCCTACAAGCCAGAAGAGAGTAGGGGCCAATATTCAACATTCTTAAAGGAAGAATTTTCAACCCAGAATTTCATATCCAGCCAAACTAAGCTTCATAAGTGAAAGAGTAATAAAGTCCTTTACAGACAAGCAAATGCTGACAGATTATGTGACCACCAGGGCTGCCTTACAAGAGCTCCTGAAGGAAGCAGTAAATACGGAAAGGAAAAACCAGTACCAGCCACTGCAAAAACATGCCAAATTGTAAAGACCATCCATGCTATGAAGAAACTGCATCAACTAATGAGCAAAATAACCAGCTAGCATTATAATGGCAGAATAAAATTCACACATAACAATATGAATCTTAAATGTAAATGGGCTAACTGCCCCAATTAAAAGACACAGACTGGCAAATTAGATAAAGAGTCAAGACCAGAGGAGCCAAGATGGCCGAATAGGAACCGCTCCAGTCTACAGCTCCCAGCGTGAGCGACACAGAAGATAGGTGATTTCTGCATTTCCAACTGAGGTACTGGGTTCATCTCACTGGGGAGTGTCAGACAGTGTGTGCAGGACAGTGGGTGCAGCACACCATGTGTGAGCCAAAGCAGGGCGAGGCATTGCCTCACCTGGGAAGCGCAAGGGGTCAGGGAATTCTCTTTCCTAGTCAAAGAAAGGGGTGACAGACGGCACCTGGAAAATTGGGTCACTGCCACCATAATACTGCACTTTTCCAACGGTCTTAGCAAACAGCACACCAGGAGATTATATCCTGTGCCTGGCTCAGAGGGTCCTACACCCACAGAGCCTTGCTCATTGCTAGCACAGCAGTCTGAGATCAAACTGCAAGGTGGCAGCAAGGCTGGGGGAGGGGTGCCCGCCATTGCCAAGGCTTGAGTAGGTAAACAAAGTGGCCAGGAAGCTCAAACTGGGTGGAGCCCACCGCAGCTCAAAGAGGCCTGGCTGCTCTCTGTAGACTCTTCCTCTGGGGGCAGGGCATAGCCAAACAAAAGGCAGCAGAAACCTCTGCAGACTTAAATGTCCCTGGCTGACAGCTTTGAAGAGAGTAGTGGTTCCCCCAGCATGCAGCTGGAGATCTGAGGATGGACAGACTGCCTCCTCAAGTGGGTCCCTGACCCCTGAGGAGCCTAACTGGGAGGCATCCCCCAGTAGGGGCAGACTGACACCTCACATGGCCGGTACTCCTCTGAGACAAAACTTCCAGAGGACCGATCAGGCAGCAACATTTGCTGTTCACCAGTATCTGCTGTTCTGCAGCCTCCGCTGCTGATACCCAGGCAAATGGTCTGGAGTGGACCTCCAGCAAACTCCAACAGACCTGCAGCTGAGGGTCCTGACTGTTAGAAGGAAAACTAACAAACAGAAAGGACATCCACACCAAAACCCCATCTGTACGTCACCATCATCAAAGACCAAAGGTAGATAAAACCACAAAGATGGGGGAAAAACAGAGCAGAAAAACTGGAAACTCTAAAAATCAGAACACCTGTCCGTCTCCAAGGGAACTCAGCTTCTCACCAGCAATGGAACAAAGCTGGACGGAGAATAACTTTGACAAGTTGAGAGAAGAAGGCTTCAGATGATCAAACTACTCTGAGTTAAGGAGGAAGTTCAAACCCACAGCAAAGAAGTTAAAAACCTTGAAAAAAATTAGATAAATGACTAACTAGAGTAACCAATGCAGAGAAGTCTTTAAAAGACCTTATGGAGCTGAAAACCATGGCACGAGAACTACGTGACAAATGCACAAGCCTCAGTAGCCAATTCAATCAACTGGAAGAAAGGGTATCAGTGATGGAAGATCAAATGAATGAAATGAAGTGAGAAGAGAAGTTTAGAGAAAAAAGAATAAAAAGAAACGAACAAAGCCTCCAAGAAATATGGGACTATGTGAAAAGACCAAATCTATGTCTGATTGGTGTACCTGAAAGAGACGGGGAGAATGGATCCAAGTTGGAAAACACTCTGCAGGATATTATCCAGGAGAACTTCCCCAATCTAGCAAGGCAGGCCAACATTCAAATTCAGGAAATGCAGAGAACAATGCCACAAAGATACTCCTCGAGAAGAGCAACTCCAAGACACATAATTGACAGATTCACCAAAGCTGAAATGAAGGAAAAAAATGTTAAGGACAGCCAGAGAGAAAGGTCGGGTTACCCACAAAGGGAAGCCCATCAGACTAACAGCTGATCTCTTGGCAGAGACTCTACAAGCCAGAAGAGAGCGGGGGCCAATATTCAACATTCTTAAAGGAAAGAATTTTCAACCCAGAATTTCATATCCAGCCAAACTAAGCTTCATAAGTGAAGGAGAAATAAAATACTTTACAGAAAAGCAAATGCTGAGAGATTTTATCACCACCAGGCCTGCCCTAAAAGAACTCCTGAAGGAAGCACTAAACATGGAAAGGAACAACTGGTACCAGCCACTGCAAAAACATGCCAAATTGTAAAGACCATCAAGGCTAGGAAGAAACTGCATCAACTAATGAGCAAAATAACCAGCTAACATCATAATGACAGGATTAAATTCACACATAACAATATTAACCTTAAATGTAAATGGGCTAAATGCTCCAATTAAAAGACACAGACTGGCAAATTGGATAAAGAGTCAAGACCTGTCAGTGTGCTGTATTCAGAAAACCCATATCACGTGCAGAGACACACACAGGCTCAAAACAAAGGGATGGAAGAAGATCTACCAAGCAAATGGAAAACAAAAAAAGGCAGGAATTGCAATCCTAGTCTCTGATAAAACAGACTTTAAACCAACAAAGATCAAAAGAGACAAAGAAGGCCATTACATAATGGTAAAGGGATCAATTCAACAAGAAGAGCTAACTATCCTAAATATTATATGCACCCAATACAGGAGCACCCAGATTCATAAAGCAAGTCGTTAGAGACTTACAAGGAGACTTAGACTCCCACACAATAATAATGGGAGACTTTAACACCCCACTGTCAACATTAGACAGATCAACGAGTCAGAAAGTTAAAAATGATATCCAGGAATTGAACTTAGCTCTGCACCAAGTGGACCTAATAGACATCTACAGAACTCTCCACCCCAAATCAACAGAATATACATTCTTCTCAGCACCACATCACACTTATTCCAAAACTGACCACATAGTTGGAAGTAAAGCATTCTTTAGCATATGCTAAAGAACAGAAATTATAACAAACTGTCTCTCAGACCACAGTGCAATCAAACTAGAACTCAGGATTAAGAAACTCACTCAAAACCACTCAACTAATGGAAACTGAACACCCTGCTCCTGAATGACTACTGGGTACATAATGAAATGAAGGCAGAAATAAAGATGTTCTTTGAAACCAACAAGAACAAAGACACAACATACCAGAATCTCTGGGACATATTTAAAGCAGCGTGTAGAGGGAAATTTATAGCACTAAATGCCCACAAGAGAAAGCAGGAAAGATCTAAAATTAACACCCTAACATCACGATTAAAAGAACTAGAGAAGCAAGAGCAAACACATTCAAAAGCTAGCAGAAGACAAGAAATAACTAAGATCAGAGCAGAACTGAAGGAGATAGAGACACAAAATACTCTTCAAAAAATCAATGAATCCAGGAGCTGGTTTTTTTAAAAGATCAGCAAAATTGATAGACCGCTAGCAAGACTAATAAAGAAGAAAAGAGAGAAGAATCAAATAGATGCAATAAAAAATGATAAAGGGGATATCACCACCGATCCCACAGAAATACAAACTACCATCAGAGAATACCATAAACACCTCTATGCAAATAAACTAGAAAATCTAGAAGAAATGGATAAATTCCTGGACACATACACCCTCCCAAGACTAAACCAGGAAGAAGCTGAATCCCTGAATAGACCAATAACAGGCTCTGAAATTGAGGCAATAATTAATAGCCTACCAACCAAAAAAAGTCCAGGAACAGACGGATTCACTGCCAAATTCTACCAGAGGTATAAGGAGGAGCTGGTACCATTCCTTCTGAAACTATTCCAATCAATAGAAAAAGAGGAAATCCTCCCTAACTCATTTTATGAGGCCAGCATCATCCTGATACCAAAGCCTGACAGAGACACAACAAAAAAAGAGAATTTTAGACAAATATCCCCGATGAACATTGATGCAAAAATCCTCAATAAAACACTGGCAAACCGAATCCAGCAGCACATCAAAAAGCTTATCCACCATGATCAAGTGGGCTTCATCCCTGCAATGCAAGACTGGTTCAACACATGCAAATCAATAAACGTAATCCAGCATATAAATAGAACCAAAGACAAAAACCACATGATTATCTCAATAGATGCAGAAAAGGCCTTTGACAAAATTCAACAGCCCTTCATGCTAAAACCTCTCAATAAATTAGGTATTGATGGGATGTATCTCAAAATAATAAGAGCTATTTATGACAAACCCACAGCCAATATCATACTGAATGGGCAAAAACTGGAAGCATTCCCTTTGAAAACTGGCACAAGATAAAGATGCCCTCTCTCACCACTCCTATTCAACATAGTGTTGGAAGTTCTGGCCAGGGCAATCAGGCAGGAGAAGGAAATAAAGGGTATTCAATTAGGAAAAGAGGAAGTCAAATTGTCCCTGTTTGCAGATGACATGATTGTATATTTAGAAAACCCCATCGTCTCAGACCAAAATCTCCTTAAGCTGATAAGCAACTTCAGCAAAGTCTCAGGATACAAAATCAATGTGCTAAACTCACAAGCATTCTTATACACCAATAACAGACAAACAGAGAGCCAAATCATGAGTGAAGTCCCATTCACAATTGCTTCAAAGAGAATAAAATACCTAGGAATCCAACTTACAAGGGATGTGAAGGACCTCTTCAAGGAGAACTACAAACCACTGCTCAAAGAAATAAAAGAGGACACAACATTCCATGCTCATGGATAGGAAGAATCAATATCGTGAAAATGGCCATACTGCCCAAGGTAATTTATAGATTCAATGCCATCCCCATCAAGCTACCAATGACTTTCTTCACAGAATTGGAAAAAACTACTTTGAGATTCATATGGAACCAAAAAAGAGCCCACATTGCCAAGACAATCCTAAGCCAAAAGAACAAAGCTAGAGACATCATGCAACCTAACTTCAAACTATACTACATGGCTACAGTAACCAAAACAGCATGGTACTGGTACCAGAGATGTAGACCAATGGAACAGAACAGAGCCTTCAGAAATAATACCACACATCTACAACCATCTGATCTTTGACAAACCTGACAAAACCAAGAAATGGGGAAAGGATTCCCTATTTAACGAATAGTGCTGGGAAAACTGGCTAGCCATATGTAGAAAGCTGAAACTAGATCCCTTCTTTATACCTTATACAAAAATTAATTCAAGATGGATTAAAGACTTAAACATTAGACCTAAAACCATAAGAACCCTAGAAGAAAACCTAGGCAATACCATTCAGGACATAGGCATGGGCAAAGACTTCATGTCTAAAATACCAAAAGCAATGGCAACAAAAGCCAAAATTGACAAATGGGATCTAATTAAACTAAAGAGCTTCTGCACAGCAAAAGAAACTACCATCAGAGTGAGCAGGCAACCTACAGAATGGGAGAAAATTTTTGCAATCTACTCACCTGACAAAGGGCTAATATCCAGAATCTACAAAAAACTCAAACAAATTTACAAGAAAAAAACAAACGACCTCATCAACAATTGGGCGAAGGATATGAACAGACACTTCTCAAAAGAAGACATTTATGCAGTCAAAACACACATGAAAAAAATGCTCATCATCACTGGCCATCAGAGAAATGCAAATCAAAACCACAGTGAGATACTATCTCACACCAGTTAGAATGGCGATCATTAAATAGTCAGGAAACAACAGGTGCTGGAGAGGATATGGAGAAATAGGAACACTTTTACACTGTTGGTGGGACTGTTAACTAGTTCAACCATTGTGGAAGACAGTGTGGCGATTCCTCAGGGATCTAGAACTAGAAATACCATTTGACCCAGCCATCCCATTAGTGGGTATATACCCAAAGGAATATAAATCATGCTGCCTTAAAGACACATGCACACGTATGTTTATTGTGGCACTATTCACAATAGCAAAGACTTGGAACCAACCCAAATGTACATCAATGATAGACTGGATTAAGAAAATGTGGCACATATACACCATGGAATACTATGCAGCCATAAAAAAGGATGAGTTCATATCCTTTGTAGCGACATGGATGAAGCTGGAAACCATCATTCTCAGCAAACTATCGCAAGGACAAAAAACCAATCACCGCATGTTCTCACTCATAGGTGGAAATTGAACAATGATAACACTTGGACACAAGAAGGGGAACATCACATACTGGGGCCTGTCATGGGGTGGGGGGAGAGGGGAGGGATAGTATTAGGAGACATACTTAATGTAAATGACGAGTTAATGAGTGCAGCACACCAACATGGCACATGTATGCATATGTAACAAACCTGCACGTTGTGCACATGTACCCTAGAACTTAAAGTGTAACACACAAAAAAATTAAAAAAAGAAAATGTGGCACATATACACCATGGAATACTATGCAGCCATAAGAAAGAATGAGTTAATGAGTTAATGTCCTTTGGAGGGACATGGATGTATCTGGAAAACATCATTCTCAGCAAAGTAACACAAGAAGAGAAAAAACCAAACACTGCATGTTCTCACTCATAAGTGGGAGCTGAACAATGAGAACACATGGACACAAGGAGGGGAACATCACACACTGGGGCCTGTCAGGGGGTAGGGGGCTGGAGGAGGGATAGCATTGGGAGAAATACCTAATGTAAACGACGAGTTAATGAGTGCAGCACACCAACATGGCACATGTATACATATGTAACAAACCTGCACATTGTGCACATGTACCTCAGAACTTAAAGTATAATAATACAAAAAAACTTTTTGACTCTTGCAATACTTACTATAAAGTTATTTTAAAAATACAAATACATTGTACAGCTGTAAAAAAAAGTTTTTTTCTTTATGTCCTTATTCGATAAACTTTTTCTTCTAATTTTTTTTGTTTTACTTTTTAAAATTTTTGTTTAAAACTAAAACACACCATTAGCCTAGGCCTACACAGGGTCAGGATCATCAATATCACTGTCATCCACCTCTACATCTTGTCCCATTGGAAAGTCTTCAGGGGCAATAGCAGTTCCATTATAATCTCATAGTATCACCATCATAGATGTGGTTCATCATGGACCAAAACATTGTTATGTAGCACATGACTCAGTCATGCCACTTATCATAGAGTGTGCTTACACCGACCTAGATGGAATAGATATTTTTATTTATATATTTTTAATATGGAAAACCAAATGTCTCAGGGCCATTGCTGAATATCAATTTCCCCTACTTGTTCTGCAATGCCAATATCAACTGTGACATATCAGGTTTCTATATATGTTCTACTATAATCTTATGGGACCACCGTCATACATGTGATCCATTGTTGACTGAAATACCACTACGTAGCACATGATTGTACGTATAGCTTTACATGATTTTTAAATCTTTAATATGAAAATTGTATTTGTATGCATTCTTTAGATAAAGCAAGAAGCAGTTTAATGTATTTTTTAAAACTGGAAGCCAAAATAATCAGCTCCTTATCTACATTCCCATTATAACACTTTGGACTTTTAAAATTTACACATATGGTCTACTTGAATATGCAAGCAAATACATCCCTGCAAAGAAAAGACAAATATTTATGTACAAATAAATAGTGTTTTAGCGAACAGGCACTCAGATGTGAGAGCTGATGTTTTATGGCTTGACTCTTAGCCTCAATAAAACATGCTCAAGAGGCAGCATTTTTCTTTAGGGATAAGTCATAACTTTGCCATAGAGGGCTATTAGGAGACCATTTACTGACATGGGACTGAACCTACAATTCCCACAGAGAAATGTTATTTTAAAAGGAAGGCTAATATAGGAGATTTTCGGGAAAATCCCCCCTGGAGACCTGAAGTTCCCCTGGTGCCAGGCATGTAATGCCAATTTTCCTTATTGAAATAGACAACATCTTGTTGCAGCAATTGTTCTTAAGTGAGATGTAGCATAAGCACATCACTTCTGCATGTACAGTATCTGCAGGTCTACACTTTGGAAGACTAGTAACATGAAATTGCAGGCTGTTTTTAGAGCTCTTCTGGCTTGCATGAGAGAATGTTTATTTCTTTATCTGTATATGGAGAGACATGTCGTTTAGTTTAAGGTCAAATAATATCTCCTAGGGGGAAGACCTGATTAACTGTCTAATGGGATTGAGTCCTTGGGGCTAGTAAATCAATTTCATCATAAAACTGCAACTTCTGCCCTCTAATGCTCCAGAGTGGTTTTAAAAAGTGGCCAGGGCCCTCTCCCCTCCATCAGTAGCTGGACCTGTGATAAGAACTTCAGGGCATAGATTCATCTGGCAGCTCCCTTCTCCTGTCTTCATCCAAACATGGAATCAGGCCCTAGGGAAGTGTATCATTTTTTTTGTCAGGGGACTAAAAGCAATATGGGTAATAACCGTTAATTGGACATTGTATTTAATATAGAATAAAGCTGGTAAAACCCTTTGTCTAGTTCCTCTATATCACTTGATCTGCTGAAATTTCTTTTCTGTGCTTTGAAAACAGCCAAAACACAGACTAGCTAGAGGGAAGCAACCTTGATTTGGCCCAGCCTTCTAGCTCATCGGAAACCATGTAATAAACATGGTAGGCAGGATCTCAAACACTGGGCAGAGCTTATCATCAGTCAGTGTTTACTGAAGAGTGAGCAAGAGGAAATGAGCTAAAGTCACAGTATGAAACTTTGGGTTTCATGTAAGATATAATTGGAAAATATCTTACATTTACATATGGGACTCCGTTTTCCAAATCATTATCTTGTTTGATCCATCCAGCAACCCATCATGGGAAGAAGGGGGCTTATGATGACTGTTAAGTTTACCATAAGGGCACTAAAGAGATTCTTCACTTTCTTCTCAATAGACAAACTCCTTGCAGAGTTCATCTACTCCTATGACTAACATTCCAAAAACAACAGCTAACATTTTTTGAGTGTTTACTATGTGCAAGTTATTCTGCTTCGTGCTTTACATGCATTTATCTAACTTATTCCTCTCAACACCTGTGAGATATACATAGGATGGCATAGAAGTGATAGATAAGACAAATGATGTCCTTTAATTGAAACATCTCTGGGCTCAGAGTCTGATTAAAAGTGTAGGTGCACAGGTAGTATGGCTTACAGGTAACCTAAAGGAAACCTAGAGGCAGCCTGCTTGCCCTTGAAGCCCATCTTCACCTCCCAGTTCTCTGATCTTTGGCATGTTACTCAATCATTGTTACCTTCCCTTTCCTCATCTGTTTAAATGTGGATTAAGCCTCACTGAGTTTTGAGTGGATTGAAGGAGTTTATACAAATAACCCGCTTGGAGCAGTGCTTAGCACATAATTAGTGCCCCGTTAAGTGTCAGTAACATTATTTTTACTTCTTGCTGGATGCCATTGGACACACCACTTTACCTCTCTGAACCTCAAGGTTCTTACCTAAGAAAATACTTATATTAATACTTGTTTACCTCGTAGGCTTAATAGGTATAATATATATGAAAATGAAAATAGTATTTTAATTATATAATTTTAGAGTGATTTGGTATCATTTTATGACTTCCAAGTTTGTCTCTAGCCCTGACCAGTCTCCTAAGATATACTCCTGAATTTTCTACTGACCATTTTCATGTGGAATGAAAAGGCATTAATTCCTTGATTTATTCTCTAAATAAATACTAAGCAGTTGCTCTGGGCCAAAAGGTGGGACATAGAGAAAAACATGCGGTATGTGTTCTCAAAGAGTTTGCAATCCTGGAGTAGACACACACAAGAAACCAATGTTAACAACACAGTATCCTAAATGTTATGAATGACGAGACTAAAGGAAGAAGACTCAGCTTGCAGGGGACAGAGGGACCACAAAATGCCCCACAGGAGGTAGCATTTCAACATCACTATGGCCCAAAACAACCTTGCGGTCGATATAATCATCCTTTCTTTCTCTATATGTCTTTTTAAAAAAATGTGAATTTATATCTGTCTCAAATGCCTTATGATGGCTTGCTATATACAACAGGAACAATGGCTAAGGCCCTTTCGAATAATTTCTTTATGTTGTAACTCTATTAGGGTTGGGCTTAAAGGATATGAAGAATCAAGCAACTCATCATAAACCTTCAACCACAATTTGTTTGGCAGGCAAAAATCTAGATTCTTTCAAACAGGTTTCAGAAAATGGAGTCTATGGCCATTCTTTCATTAGGTATCTTAATAACTTGATAATTAGCCAGAAAGAGTCATGGAATGATTATTTTTAACACACCTGATATCTCATTCCACCATTTCAAGACTTACCCCAGTGTTTCTCAATTTCTTTCTTGGAAGTGTACTAACGGCAGCCAACAGGAGCCAGGTATCCTTACAGGGCCTGGGCGGAGCTTGGGACCATCCACAAACACAATATTTTTTGAAGTTTCAAGATTACTGTGGATTTTGTAGCCTAAGCCATAAGCTACACATACTTATGTAAATATCCTATTATTTTACATCTTATACTATTTAACAATATAAGATTATTTTCTCTCCAAATCTGGTTTCATTTCTTAGTACTTTTTTTTTCAGTCATAAAAGCTATGTCATTGTGGGAAATTAGAAAACTACATCAAATTACAAATTTAAAATTAAGCGTTTCTGGCTGGGCATGGTGGCTCATGCCTGTAATCCCAGCACTTTGGGAGGCTGAGGTGGGCAGATCACCTGAGGTCAAGAGTTCGAGACCAGCCTGGCCAACATGGTGAAACCCCATCTCTACTAAAAATACAAAAATTAGCTGGGTGTCGTGGCACATGCCTGTAATCGCAGCTACTTGGGATGCTGAGGCAGGAGAATCACTTGAACCCGGGAGGTGGAGGTTGCAGTGAGCCGAGATCGTGCCATTGCACTCCAGCCTGGGCGACAGAGTGAGACTCTGTCTCAAACAAACAAACAAAAATTAAATTAAGCTTTTCTATAATATAATTCCCAAACTACTAACCATTGTTGGTGCTTTTCCTTCTAAGTATTGTAATATACAGATATAAATATATAATTATGTAAATACATACATACAATTTGAAGTCATCTCTATATCTTTCAGGGTCATATCCTGCTTTTTTTTTTTAACTTAACAGTAATTATTTGATGATTTGGTGCACATTTTTATTTAATGGTTTGATGAGTGTAAAAGTTTAAAGTACAGGATCTATAGCTTGGATTTGAATCCAAACTTAGCTCATTTACTAGCCTTGGGCTCCTCATCTATAAATGGAAGTTAATAATATTGCCTTCTGCAGACAGTTGTAAGAATGAAACGATTTAATGTATGTGAAGTGCTTAGACACAGCCTGGCACAGAGTGAAGGCCTAGATAAGGGTTAGTGCAATTTCTTCTAAATGATTTCAGAAGCTACTTTTGTCATATACTGAATTCCCTTATGTATTTTGGTCTGCTTCCAGATGTTCTGTTTTCTTCCATTGACAGCAATCTATTTAAGTAGCCAAACTACCTTGTTTTACATGTTCTTTATACAAAGAGGCCAAACTGGTGTAGCTAATTCTCTTGATTACTCTTCTTTTTCAGGATTTTTCTGGCTATTTTTGTGGTCCATTTTCCACATGAACTTTAGAATAACTTGCTTAATTAAAATACTTTTAATATTTGCCTTTAAATTGCATTTGTGGAATATCTGAATATATGAGCCTTTACAATGCTCTTATAACTTATTGCTCTTCATTTTCATTATATACGCCTTTATTTTTATCTTAGTCTACTCTATTATAGGGGCCTTTTTCTACCATAGTGGCTCCCAGCTCAGATACCTAGTTATTTCTTAAAAATTTGCTCTCAAACTTGACATTAAAAAAGAGAGAGAAAAAGAGAAACAACATTCTGGCATTTAGAAAGCAGCATCTATGCAGCTACGCACCAGGTAGCATTCCCAAGTATGCCCCTTGGAACTGGTGTTGTAGGATGTTAACAGGTTGTATTTTGCAGAAAAAATAAGGAGTTGTGTGATTAAACACATTTAGAAATTCTAAGTTAAACACAACTAAATACATTTTTTACTCTGTAAGAACATCCAGAAACTTTAATACTGGTAATTTTTTTTCTGATTCTCTAAAAGGAGATATATTTTGCATAAGGGCCCAAATTTTGGCTATGTGAGCTTTTCTAGAAGAAACAACTCTTCATAATTAAGCTCCTGGATATACTGGTTTGGGAAACTCTGCCGAAAGGGGCTGCCTCCAAGATTTTGGTACCGAAGGTGACTTCTTTTTCCTCTTTCTATAAGCACTGTTCAAAGAGGTGGACTAATGGTTTTAAAATCTAGGATAATTGATCTTAAATCTAAATGAAATTCCTCTCAGATTTGGTCTGTGGGTTGACTGAGTTCCCCTTTCTGATGATGATGCGCATTTTCGTTTCTTTCAATGTCTTTGTGTGTGTTTCAGTGGGAAGTCGGGAGAGAATAAACTGGTCAAATGCTGACCTAAATGAGAAACCTGGTCTCATATTCCATCAGTTACACACTCGACTAACTTAACACTAAGTCTGAATTGTTGACTAACACAGAGCAAATGGTTCCTAAAATTTACAGCGAATGTATTTTTAAAACTCAACATTTGATAGAGAATACTTTTTCTCCTTCAGGGAATTTTTATTATTTAAACAAAACAACAGCCTGCACAAGTATTAGGCAATGTACCAAAATAAAGGGTTTCTTTTTTTCTTTTCTTTTTTCTTTTTGGCAGGAGAGAAATTATTTTCATGTAGTCATTTGTTGGACCTTGGGGTAAAATTATATTTCATAGTTCCCTTGTTCCCAGGCTGTGGTTAAAAAAAAAAGAGATTGATGTCTGAAATTTCAAGTGTATTTGTCTTACAAATTTGTTTGATTCTCTTGAGAATAATTATCTCATATCATTTGAAGGTTAGTAACTCCTTAGGAATGACCCTTCTGTTATAATTAGTAACTTACATGCAGCTAAGAAAAGTGAAAGTTAATGGACTTAGTTTCTTGCATTGCTGTTTTATTAAACTGCTAATCTTTGAAACAAATAACAGTCCTAGAGACACTGCTCAGTGGAGTAATCATGTTTCCTTTCATTTGCTGAGAATAGGTAATGTGGACATAGATGGTAACATAACAATGGTCAGTAAGAAAAACCTCATTATATAATACTACATCTATATATACAAGGGAAAGGTGTGTCCAATGGCTGTTGGGAGGAACTTCCAATGATTTCTTCTTTCCCAATTTCCCAGACATTAGATTCAAGACTTCAGTGGAACAGGAAAGAAGGAAAAAACAAAGGTAGAAAGGAAGGGAGAGGAAATACAAAAAAAGAAAGAAAAAAATGATCTTATAAATGGCGAATCCAGAAAGTCACAATCCTTTAATAAGAAACCAAAAATAGAAAGAAGGAAAAGAAAAGAAAAATTTAAAAAAGACTTAGCTTCATGTAACCCACTCACAACATTGGTCAATGTATAAGCTAGAAAAAATGGTATGTGAATTTGAAAGAGTCTTCAAGTTCCCAACAGAGGATGGGAGCAACCTACCTTTGGGACTTTGAATGAAGTGGTTCTTTTCTGAGTCTTAGGTGAAGATTACAGTTTAATGTTAGATCTTTGCATACACTGAGATTTCTCCATAGTCACAGGCTGTTGGTCATATGCCCTCAGGACACCAAGAAAACTCTTTAACCCAGCCACAAGATAAATGGATTATTTTTCTTTTTTTACAGTTTTTACAAATATTGTTTAATAAAGCAGGTACAGACAACGTCCACTTAAAACCCATAGCCCAGGCCAAAAATTACAAATAAAATAAAGAAGAACAGTATTCTGTTGTATTCATTTCTACATGAAAACTTTTTAAATTGCTAATGAGAATTAGAACTTTTCTGGGATCTTCTGACAAGATTTTTTGAGATGGGGTCTCGTTCTGTCACCCAGGCTGGAGTGCAGTGGCATGATCTTGGCTCACTGCAAACTTTGCCTCCCAGGTTCAAGCGATTCTCCTGCCTCAGCCTCCAAAGTAGCTGAGACTACAGGTGTGCACCACCACACCCAGATAATTTTTTTTTTTGTATTTTTAGTAGAGATGGGGTTTTGCCATATTGGCCAGGTTGGTCTCGAACTCCTGAGCCCGAGCAATCCACCTGCCTCGACCTCTCAAAATGCTGAGACTACACGCATGAACCACCATGCCCGGCCCTAACAAGATTTTTAAAAAAATCTTAAAATGCCTTTTCTTCAATGAAGCCATCTTTGGAGTTAGACATTACTCTCACTTTATCTGTCATCTTGACTTCAACCTGATATTCCTCTTCTTTTGGTCCAGACCCTCAAATTTTTGAAGTAGCTTCAAGTTAAGAAAAGGTCATTTTTCCTCAGTCCAGTTCTCTGAAAAATTTCTACCTCCCACTGAAAGTCATAATCCAGGAGTGAAGCCATCACATGCTAGAACTTCAGGGCCAACTGGAGAGTCCTTATGAACCCTTGGATTGGTCAATCTCGTTTATCACCAAAAGCCCAAAAACGCATGGTTCTGAGAAAGCTGGTCTCTCTGTGCACATGTGTACTATTTTAAAAGAGGGGGCAATACAAAGGGGATGGGGCTTGATCACCAAAAGTCAGCACAATGAAAACAAACAATAATGGATAATGAGCACTAGAATTCAAATTAGCAGCTGTTTTAAAAAGATGGGTTTCCAGGAGCCAAGATGGCCGAATAGGAACAGCTCCGGTCTACAGCTCCCAGCGTGAGTGACGCAGAAGACGGGTGATTTCTGCATTTCCATCTGAGGTACCGGGTTCATCTCACTAGGGAGTGCCAGACAGTGGGCGCAGGTCAGTGGGTGCACGCACCGTGTGCGAGCCGAAGCAGGGCGAGGCATTGCCTCACTTGGGAAGTGCAAGGGGTCAGGGAGTTCCCTTTCCGAGTCAAAGAAAGGGGTGGAAAATCGGGTCACACCCACCCGAATACTGCGCTATTCCGACAGGCTTAAAAAACGGCGCATCACGAGATTATATCCCGCACCTGGCTTGGAGGGTTCTACCCCACAGAGTCTCGCTGATTGCTAGCACAGCAGTCTGAGATCAAACTGCAAGGCGGCAGCGAGGCTGGGGGAGGGGCGCCCGCCATTGCCCAGGCTTGCTTAGGTAAACAAAGCAGCCCGGAAGCTCCAACTGGGTGGAGCCCACCACAGCTCAAGGAGGCCTGCCTGCCTCTGTAGGCTCCACCTCTGGGGGCAGGGCACAGACAAACAAAAAGACAGCAGTAACCTCTGCAGACTTAAATGTCCCTGTCTGACAGCTTTGAAGAGAGCAGTGGTTCTCCCAGCACGCAGCTGGAGATCTGAGAACGGGCAGACTGCCTCCTCAAGTGGGTCCCTGACCCCTGACCCCTGAGCAGCCTAACTGGGAGGCACCTCCCCAGCAGGGGCACACTGACACCTCACACGACAGGGTATTCCAACAGACCTGCAGCTGAAGGGTCCTGTCTGTTAGAAGGAAAACTAACAAACAGAAAGGACATCCACACCAAAAACCCATCTGTATATCACCATCAAAGACCAAAAGTAGATAAAACCACAAAGATGGGGAAAAAACAGAACAGAAAAACTGGAAACTCTAAAACGCAGAGCGCCTCTCCTCCTCCAAAGGAACGCAGTTCCTCACCAGCAACGGAACAAAGCTGGATGGAGAATGACTTTGACGAGCTGAGAGAAGAAGGCTTCAGACGATCAAATTACTCTGAGCTACGTGAGGACATTCAAACCAAAGGCAAAGAAGTTGAAAACTTTGAAAAAAATTTAGAAGAATGTATAACTAGAATAACCAATACAGAGAAGTGCTTAAAGGAGCTGATGGAGCTGAAAACCAAGGCTCTAGAACTACGTGAAGAACACAGAAGCCTCAGGAGCCAATGTGATCAACTGGAAGAAAGCGTATCAGCAATGGAAGATGAAATGAATGAAATGAAGCGAGAAGGGAAGTTTAGAGAAAAAAGAATAAAAAGAAATGAGCAAAGCCTCCAAGAAATATGGGACTGTGTGAAAAGACCAAATCTACGTCTGATTGGTGTACCTGAAAGTGATGGGGAGAATGGAACCAAGTTGGAAAACACTCTGCAGGATATTATCCAGGAGAACTTCCCCAATCTAGCAAGGCAGGCCAACGTTCAGATTCCGGAAATACAGAGAACGCCACAAAGATACTCCTCGAGAAGAGCAACTCCAAGACACATAATTGTCAGATTCACCAAAGTTGAAATGAAGGAAAAAATGTTAAGGGCAGCCAGAGAGAAAGGTCGGGTTACCCTCAAAGGAAAGCCCATCAGACTAACAGCGGATCTCTCGGCAGAAACCCTACAAGCCAGAAGAGAGTGGGGGCCAATATTCAACATTCTTAAAGACAAGAATTTTCAACCCAGAATTTCATATCCAGCCAAACTAAGCTTCATAAGTGAAGGAGAAATAAAATACTTTACAGAAAAGCAAATGCTGAGAGATTTTGTCATCACCAGGCCTGCCCTAAAAGAGCTCCTGAAGGAAGCGCTAAACATGGAAAGGAACAACCGGTACCAGCCGCTGCAAAATCATGCCAAAACGTAAAGACCATCAAGACTAGGAAGAAACTGCATCAACTAACGAGCAAAATAACCAGCTAACATCATAATGACAGGATTAAATTCACACATAACAATATTAACTTTAAATGTAAATGGACTAAATGCTCCAATTAAAAGACACAGACTGGCAAATTGGATAAAGAGTCAAGACCCATCAGTGTGCTGTATTCAGGAAACCCATCTCACGTGCAGAGACACACATAGGCTCAAAATAAAGGGATAGAGGAAGATCTACCAAGCAAATGGAAAACAAAAAAAAGGCAGGGGTTGCAATCCTAGTCTCTGATAAAACAGACTTTAAACCAACAAAGATCAAAAGAGACAAAGAAGGCCATTACATAATGGTAAAGGGATCAATTCAACAAGAAGAGCTAACTATCCTAAATATATATGCACCCAATACAGGAGCACCAAGATTCACAAAGCAAGTCCTGAGTGACCTACAAAGAGACTTAGACACCCACACATTAATAATGGGAGACTTTAACACCCCACTGTCAACATTAGACAGATCAACGAGACAGAAAGTCAACAAGGATACCCAGGAATTGAACTCAGCTCTGCACCAAGCAGACCTGATAGACATTTACAGAATTCTCCACCCCAAATCAACAGAATATACATTTTTTTCAGCACCACACCACATCTATTCCAAAATTGACTACATACTTGGAAGTAAAGCTCTCCTCAGCAAATGAAAAAGAACAGAAATTATAACAAACTATCTCTCAGACCACAGTGCAATCAAACTAGAACTCAGGATTAAGAATCTCACCCAAAACCGCTCAACTACATGGAAACTGAACAACCTGCTCCTGAATGACTACTGGGTACATAATGAAATGAAGGCAGAAATAAAGATGTTCTTTGAAACCAACAAGAACAAAGACACAACATACCAGAATCTCTGGGACACATTCAAAGCAGTGT
This sequence comes from Homo sapiens, assembly GCF_000001405.40. Lineage (NCBI taxonomy): Eukaryota > Metazoa > Chordata > Mammalia > Primates > Hominidae > Homo > Homo sapiens. Next base: position 123,239,766 of record NC_000005.10, on the reverse strand, counting down.
GTAGAGGGAAATTTATAGCACTAAATGCCCACAAGAGAAAGTAGGAAAGATCCAAAATTGACACCCTAACATCACAATTAAAAGAACTAGAAAAGCAAGAGCAAACACATTCAAAAGCTAGCAGAAGGCAAGAAATAACCAAAATCAGAGCAGAACTGAAGGAAATAGAGACACAAAAAACCCTTCAAAAAATTAATGAATCCAGGAGCTGGTTTTTTTGAAAGGATCAACAAAATTGATAGACTGCTAGCAAGACTAATAAAGAAAAAAAGAGAGAAGAATCTAATACATGCAATAAAAAATGATAAAGGGGATATCACCACCAATCCCACAGAAATACAAACTACCATCAGAGAATACTACAAACACCTCTACGCAAATAAACTAGAAAATCTAGAAGAAATGGATAAATTCCTGGACACCCTCCCAAGACTAAACCAGGAAGAAGTTGAATCTCTGAATAGACCGATAACAGGAGCTGAAATTGTGGCAATAATCAATAGCTTACCAACCAAAAAGAGTCCAGGACCAGATGGATTCACAGCTGAATTCTACCAGAGGTACAAGGAGGAACTGGTACCATTCCTTCTGAAACTATTCCAATCAATAGAAAAAGACAGAATCCTCCCTAACTCATTTTATGAGGCCAGCATCATTCTGACACCAAAGCCAGGCAGAGACACAACAAAAAAAGAGAATTTTAGACCAATATCCTTGATGAACATTGATGCAAAAATCCTCAATAAAATACTGGCAGACCAAATCCAGCAGCACATCAAAAAGCTTATCCGCCATGATCAAGTGGGCTTCATCCCTGGGATGCAAGGCTGGTTCAATATACGCAAACCCATAAATGTAATCCAGCATATAAACAGAGCCAAAGACAAAAACCACATGATTATCTCAATAGATGCAGAAAAAGCCTTTGACAAAATTCAACAACCCTTCATGCTAAAAACTCTCAATAAATTAGGTATTGATGGGACGTATTTCAAAATAATAAGAGCTATCTATGACAAACCCACAGCCAATATCATACTGAATGGGCAAAAACTGGAAGCATTCCCTTTGAAAACTGGCACAAAACAGGGATGCCCTCTCTCACCACTCCTATTCAACATAGTGTTGGAAGTTCTGGCCAGGGCAATCAGGCAGGAGAAGGAAATAAAGGGTATTCAATTAGGAAAAGAGGAAGTCAAATTGTCCCTGTTTGCAGAGGACATGATTGTATATCTAGAAAACCCCATTGTCTCAGCCCAAAATCTCCTTAAGCTGATAAGCAACTTCAGCAAAGTCTCAGGATACAAAATCAATGTACAAAAATCACAAGCATTCTTATACACCAGCAACAGACAAACAGAGAGCCAAATCATGAGTGAACTCCCATTCACAATTGCTTCAAAGAGAATAAAATACCTAGGAATCCAACTTACAAGGGATGTGAAGGACCTCTTCAAGGAGAACTACAAACCACTGCTCAAGGAAATAAAAGAGGATACAAACAAATGGAAGAACATTCCATGCTCATGGGTAGGAAGAATCAATATCGTGAAAATGGCCATACTGCCCAAGGTAATTTACAGATTCAATGCCATCCCCATCAAGCTACCAATGACTTTCTTCACAGAATTGGAAAAAACTACTTTAAAGTTCATATGGAACCAAAAAAGAGCCCGCATCGCCAAGTCAATCCTAAGCCAAAAGAACAAAGCTGGAGGCATCACACTACCTGACTTCAAACTATACTACAAGGCTACAGTAACCAAAACAGCATGGTACTGGTACCAAAACAGATATATAGATCAATGGAACAGAACAGAGCCCTCAGAAATAACGCTGCATATCTACAGCTATCTGATCTTTGACAAACCTGAGAAAAACAAGCAATGGGGAAAGGATTCCCTATTTAATAAATGGTGCTGGGAGAACTGGCTAGCCATATGTAGAAAGCTGAAACTGGATCCCTTCCTTACACCTGATACAAAAATCAATTCAAGATGGATTAAAGACTTAAATGTTAGACCTAAAACCATAAAAACCCTAGAAGAAAACCTAGGCATTACCATTCAGGACATAGGCATGGGCAAGGACTTCATGTCTAAAACACCAAAAGCAATGGCAACAAAAGACAAAATTGACAAATGGGATCTAATTAAACTAAAGAGCTTCTGCACAGCAAAAGAAACTACCATCAGAGTGAACAGGCAACCTACAAAATGGGAGAAAATTTTCGCAACCTACTCATCTGACAAAGGGCTAATATCCAGAATCTACAATGAACTCAAACAAATTGACAAGAAAAAAACAAACAACCCCATCAAAAAGTGGGCGAAGTACATGAACAGACACTTCTCAAAAGAAGACATTTATGCAGTCAAAAAACACATGAAAAAATGCTCATCATCACTGGCCATCAGAGAAATGCAAATCAAAACCACAATGAGATACCATCTCACACCAGTTAGAATGGCGATCATTAAAAAGTCAGGAAACAACAGGTGCTGGAGAGGATGTGGAGAAATAGGAACACTTTTACACTGTTGGTGGGACTGTAAACTAGTTCAACCATTGTGGAAGTCAGTGTGGCGATTCCTCAGGGATCTAGAACTAGAAATACCATTTGACCCAGCCATCCCATTACTGGGTATATACCCAAAGGACTATAAATCATGCTGCTATAAAGACACATGCACACGTATGTTTATTGCGGCATTATTCACAATAGCAAAGACTTGGAACCAACCCAAATGTCCAACAATGATAGACTGGATTAAGAAAATGTGGCACATATACACCATGGAATACTATGCAGCCATAAAAAATGATGAGTTCATGTCCTTTGTAGGGACATGGATGAAATTGGAAAACATCATTCTCAGTAAACTATCGCAAGAACAAAAAACCAAACACCGCATATTCTCACTCATAGGTGGGAATTGAACAATGAGATCACATGGACACAGGAAGGGGAATATCACACTCTGGGGACTGTTGTGGGGTGGGGGGAGGGGGAGGGATAGCATTGGGAGATATACCTAATGCTAGATGACGAGTTAGTGGGTGCAGTGCACCAGCGTGGCACATGTGTACATATGTAACTAACCTGCACAATGTGCACATGTACCCTAAAACTTAAAGTATAATAAAAAAAAAAAGATAAAAAACAAAAAAACAAAAAAAAAAGAAATAACCATGAAAATAGCTAACTAGCAGCCCTCAGGGCTGCTCTGCCTACGGGGTTGCCATTCTTTTGTTTCTCCACTTCTCTAATAAACTTGCTTTCATTTAAAAAAAAAAAAAAAAGATGGGTTTCCAGTCTCAATTTCATTTTGAACACATTACAAAAACATTTTTAAAGATTGAGGGCAGAAGAAAAATAATAAAAAGAATATCTAAACTGTTGAATGACCCCATTGGTTCCTGATAAATTTCAATCACGTATTCTTCCTCCATTCCCATTTCTTTCGAAATATGATTATCAGCACTTCTCTGACTTTCAAAGAGAAACCCGAGTAAATTCATTGGACCGCTCTTTGACAGTATAATTCTTTGAGTTTCTTGATATGTGTTGTCATTTTCTCTTTGAAGTGAATCTCACTGTTATCCCATCTAATGACTTTGAGTTTAATGTATTTTGTTTCCTTCTTATTCCCTAAGTCCTCAGTTGAAGGTTTTGCCTCCTGGTCAATGGCGACAATGGTTTCACCCAGGGGATCTCCACACGGCAGCAGCCTCGGGTAGGGAGAACCTCGCTCCGGGGTTGACAAATCCATCTTCCTTCCCCATGGGACAACACCACAGCAGCCATAAATGAATTCTTTTCCTATGTGTCCTTAAGTTCAAATAAAAAGCTCAACTATGGAATGCATTATTCACTGTCGTTTATCTTATGGGTTTCAACAATTTAATGTAGGATCCATAAATAGTTCTAATCATCAGATAAAAAACTAAGACTTAGTAGAAACATCGAATGGATGGCATCTACTTTCATCTCCCACTTCATAAGGGGATGTCCTTTCATGCCAGGTAGGTACTAGCCTGTTGTGCTTAAGCTGATACAGTATTTCTCCAGGTCATGATGGTATCTGGCTGTAGACCCTATCTATTAGGATGAGCTTTTAAAGACCATACATGGGACCTGCATCAGTTGAAGAGTAGTTAGTGAGAACTTTTCATAAAGGACTGGTCCTCCATTTAAAACAAAAGCTCTTTCCCAGGGCAAAATGAATCAGTAAGAAAACTCCAATGTCTTCTAAGAAAAAATCCAGAAACCTGAAGCCTAGATCACTTGCAAATGTTGAATCTGAATTTATATCACCATGTGTTGTGGGAGTCTCATTCTGAAAATTTAAACACTGGTCTTGGGCCTATGAACTTCTAAGGGTACCCAACAGAAGCAAACTGTATGGGAGAATACTCCCATAATCTAGGATGTACTGAACTGCTTTAAAAAAAAAAATCCCTACTAATAATGAGTACCTTCTAAGAAAACCATAAAGCAATAAGGAAAAAATCCACAATAACTGAGAGTCATCAGACTTAACTAATAGGATAATCGGAGTTCAATAATGTTAAAAGAACTATAAAATAAGCCCTCTTTAACATTGTTAAAAAACAAAGAAAAAAGTAGAAACCATAATGAAGTAATAGAATACAATGAAATTAACTAAAACATTTTGAACAGAACCAAATAAAACTTCTACGAATAAAAATGTAGGCACTGAATTAAAAACTCAATGACTGCATTAAAAGCAAACCAGCCACTCCTAAAGAGAGAATTAATTAGGAGATGGATTTGGGGAAATTATCTGGATAATGGCAGAGAGAGATTCAGAAAATAAAGATGGAACACACAAGAGTTTAAGCAGCACACAGAATAGAAAGCAAAAGTCCAGCATGCAGACAAATTCTAGAAATAGAGAATAGGAAGAATGGTGGTGTGGAACTAAATTATCATAATCCCTGAATAATTTTAATGGACATTTGTTACAATTGTCGTTGAAAAGTAGAGGACATGTGTTTCATGAACAGTTAATGAAAATCATAGAATGAGAAGACAGCTCCAGTAGAGCTTTCAAGGATACAGAATACTAGGTTAGCCATTCATCTTTTAGTTTACTAACAAGAGTGAAAAACTTTTCTGTAATACACAATAGTTTCTTCTTTTCATGTTTCCAAGGACTGCTGACTTATGAACTTGAAACCATGAATATTTGTTTTAGGGAACTGCATGTGGTACATTGTTATTGCAGAGAATCATATTTGTTTACTTCAAATTGTGACTACAGCTTGTGATTTTGATATTTCCCATTTTCTTATTAAGAAAACAACACATTTTCCAACTAAAATAAAAAAGATTCAGTTATTTTAAAGACATTTTTTAGTTATAGGAAAAATATCTTATTCTTCCACAACTGACATGAGTGAAAAGCTGGAGAATATTCTACAATTGAGGAAAGACATGAATCCTTATGTTAGGAAGCAAATGAGTCCAGCAGCAGAAATAAGAATTAATGCACACCTAGATGTACCATAGGATATAGTAAAACACCCAGGATACAAAGAAAGCCTTCAAAATGACCAGGATGAAAAATCCAATTACCTACCAACGAGCAACAATTACAGTGGCATAAAACTTATTATTCATTTATTCATGCATTCTACATGGTCCCCCAATATTTCTCAAACCCCTACTTTATGCCAGACCCTATTCTAGGTAGCTCGGGTAAATCCGTAAACGGGAAAGGGGAAGGGGAAAGAGAAAGGGGGAAAGGAGAGAAAGGGAGTAAAGGAAGGAAGAAAAATAGAAAAGAAAGAAAGAAAAATAAAGAGAAAGAAGGAAGGAAAGAGGGAGGGAGGGAAGAAGGAAGGAAAAACAAGGGGAAAAAAGGAAAAGGTCAGAAGTTGAGAGAATAATATCTTTAAATTGAAATAACCTTGTGATAATTAACTTACTAATTGTAGCCTCTGTGATCTGGTTACATTGAACTCAATCTGCCTAGTTTCCTTTTTACTAATATACAGTCCTTACTGGTTGTAATAATTTTCTAGTGCTGCTGTAACAAATTATCACACAATATGGCTTAATACAACACAAATTATTACCTTACCTTTCTGGAAGTCAGAAGTCCAAAACCGGTCTCACTCAGCTAAAATCAAGGAGTCATTTTTGTAGGCTGTCTCCTACAGAGATTCTAGAGGTAAATCTGTTTTCTTGCCTTTTCTGGCATTTAAAGGCTTCCTGTATTCCTTGGCTCAGGGCCCCTTCCTCCATCTTCAAAGCCAGCAGTATAGAATCTTTCCATTTCTCTCTCTCTCTCTCTCTGCCCCCCTTTCTCTCTCCATCTGTACTTCTCTTCCTCCCTTTTCTCTCCCTCACATGCACATAACTCTCCTTCCCCGATCACATCTACTCCCCTACTTCTGACTTCCCTGCCTTCCTCTTATAAGGACCCTTGTGATTACATTCAGCACACCTGGATAATACAGGATACCCTCCCCCTCTCAATATCCTTAATTTGATAGATCTGCAAAGATCCTTTGCTATATAATGTGATATTCACAGGTTCCAGGGATTAGGATGTGGATGTAGACATCTTTTGGTGGGCGGGAGGGGCACTATTTTGTCTTCTAGAGTAGTTGTTTCACTGTCACTTTTGAATAATAGTCGTTCTAAAACTCTGTATCCAGCTAAAGTAAACCATTCAAAGAGTGAAGGTAAACCAATATTTCGGACAAAGACAGTTTGACAGTTACAGACCATTGCTGAAAGAATCACTAAGGGCTTTTCTGCAGTAAGAAGAAAATTGAATGCAGAAGGAAGGATTGAGAAGGAAGATGCAAAAATAAAATAAAATAAATATATGCATTATATTAAAACAAACTGGTGTAAAAATACTGGAAGGCAATAATATGGAAGATGAGGAGGAGGCACGGTAGTGATAGGAGTCACAGCACCCTGCGTTTCTTATGCGGCGTGGAGGGAAGGGAGCAAGGTTGATTAACTGCAGAGGTCAATGTTAACATCTGAATAACCTCCAAAAGAAAAAATAGCACTTAAAGAACACAGCAACCCTCAGACTCAAAACATAGCACATGCACCTAACAACATAGCCTCAAAATATAGAAAGCAAAAATAGAATTGCAAGAAGAAATTAATAAATGTACACTTCTAGTAGGAAGTGTGCATGTATCATACTTCTAGTAGGAAGTTTTTTTAACATACCTCTCTTAGAATCTGATAGACAAAGAAGGCAAAAAAAATTAGTAAGGCCATAGGATAGATGAGTAATCCAATTAACAGGCTTAATCTAATGAACATGTATACAGCTCTTTACCCACCAATGCGGTCTGAATTTCTTTGCAAGTACACAAGAATATTTACAAACATTGACTACACAGTGAGCCAAAAGCAAGTGTTAAAAATACAAAATAATCAATATCATTGCTGTCCAATGGACATATAATGTGAGTCATATATATAATTTTAGAGTTTCTAGTATCCACCTTAAAAATATTTTAGAAAGCAGGTAAAATTAATTTTATTATAAATTATTGTATTGATTATTTTAATAATATGGTGATTATATTACTGGACATTATTTTAATTAATAATATACTTTATTTTACCAATATATCCAGATATTACTGCTTTTTCATATTAAGTCTTAGAGATACAGGACATCTCAGTTTGGATAGCCCCATGTGACGTGCTCACTAGCCACATGTTGCTAATGACTATTATAATGGACAGAGCAGCACTGTGTCTTACAGACCACACTCTCCCACCTCAGTGTAATACCTAGAAATCAAATGATAGTTTAAACAATAATGAATTCTGATGCTTGGAAATTTCAATAATAAATTTAAACAAATTGTAAATCTAGACATTTGGAAAATTTAAAAACTTCCTTCAAAATAATTCAAGGACAAAGAGGAAATCAAATGAAAATTATGAAATATTTATAACTGAACAACAATAAAAACCTAGAAGACAAAATGTGGGGGACAAAATGTAAATATCTAGAGACAGGTGTATGACTCATATGGGAACTTGGTATATGACTGAGGCAGCATTTAAAGTTAGTAGGGAAAGAATGGGTTATTCATTAAATGGTGCTTTTCACATGGGAAAAACATATATGATTGGAATCTTGTCTCACACCATACACAGAAAATGATTTTTTTTTTTTTTTTTTGGAGACAGAGTCTTGGTCTGTTGCCCAGCCTGGAGTGCAGTGGCTCAATCTTGACTCACTGCAGCTTCTGCCTGCTGGGTTCAAGCGGTTCTCCTGCCTCAGCCTCCCAAGTAGCTGGGATCATAGGTGCGTGCCACCATGCCGGCTAATATTTGTATTTTTAGTAGAGATGGGGTTTTGCCATGTTGGCCAGGCTGGTCTTGAGCTGGCCTCAAGCAATCTGCCTGCCTCAGCCTCCCAAAGTGCTGGGATTACAGGCGTGAGCCACCATGCCCAGCCAGAAAATGAATTTTTTGTTGAATGGAAGAAAGTCTTTCTACTTGGAAAATGTAACAGTCCTATGAACCTGCTTAAATCATGAGTCAAGAATATTAAACGAGGCAAAAGATACTCGCTCTAGCCCCAAACCTTCAATGATTACATTATTCTTTCCCACATTATTGTGTGACATCAGCAGACAGAAAAAATGGCCATAACTTATAGCTCCTCATAGGGACCTAGAATTTGTGGACAGGCAACAGGAGACAAAAGTGCTTAGGCTTGGAATTATCTGGAATTGGGTGTGACCTTGGGCAAGAAATAACCTCATTTGTTTAGTCTTGGTTTTCTCAGCTGTAAAACAGTGATAATGATGACTACCTTTCAAGGCACTCATAGGAATTTAAATAGATTAAATGCATCAAGGGCTTAGAAAATATTAATTCACTTTCCCTAAACTGGAAGGTCCAGAGTGTATTGGGGGCATTTGTCCTAGTGCCCTGCATCCTCCTGCAACACTGCAAGGCCTGAGGGGTTCTGTAGTGATATGGAATATCGCAGGGGTGCTCTGAGGTGGACATGAAGGGCAAGGGCTCTGAAATTAGGCAGACTTGGCTTTGAATCCAAGGTCTGTCTTTCGCCAGCTCTTAGACCTTAGGCAAGTTACTTAACACCTCTCGCCTCAGTATTTACATCTGTAAGCAGAGTTGAAAATAGTTCCTGTGCTGATGGTGGGAATGTAAGTTAGTTCAACCACTGTGGAAGACAGTGTGGTGATTCCTCAAAGACTAGAACCAGAAATAGCATTTGACCCAGCAATCCCACCACTGGGTATATACCCAAAGGAATATGAATCATTTTATTATAAAGATACATACACACATGTTTATTGCAGCATTATTCACAATAGCAAAGACATGGAATCAACCCAAATGCTCATCAGCGATAGACTGGATAAAGAAAATGTGGCACATATACACCATGGAATACGATGCAGCCATAAAAAGGAACAAGATCTTGTCCTTTGCAGGGACATGGATAGATCTGGAAGCCATTATCCTCAGCAAACTAACGCGGGAACAGAAAACCAAACACCACATGTTCTCACTTCTAAGTGAGAGCTGAACAATGAGAACACATGGACACAGGGAGGGGAACAACACACACTGGAGCCTGTTGCGGGGTGTAGGGGGAGGGAGAGCATCAGTAAAAATAGCTAATGCATGTGGAGCTTAACACCTAGGTGATGGGTTGACAGGTGCAGCAAACCACCATGGCACATGTTTACCTATGTAGCAACATGCTGCACATGCACCCCAGAACTTAAAATAAAAAATTTAAAAAATATTTCCTGTGTCTTGGTCAAGATTCTTAGTTGCAGCAACAGACACCAACTCTGGCTATCCTTCAGCAGCAGAAAGAAGCTGTGTTAAGAATACTGAGTAGTCATGGGTTCCCCAGGCTTCACAGCTGGGTACTAGGTCCAAAGTCATGTCTCAGATTGGCCCCATGAAGATGCCATGTTGACTCCAGTGTTCACTGGCTGCTGACACTAGAATCATTTCTGCTATTGGAAACTGGCTGTGTCTCTGTGGGCCAGAGCAGGCTCCAGGCCGTCTCTGCTTTTTGTGTCATTGGCTCTCTGGTCCAGGTCTGACTGATGGAGCCTGTCACTTGTCCAAATCCTAGCTGTAGGGGAGGCTGAGAAAGTAAGTTTCCCACTTTTCTGTGGGAATAAGCCTCCTCCTGCAGAGACTCCCTGCCTCCACTGAGACCTCAGCTTGGGTAGCCCTCCAAGAGAAAGGGAGTTCGGATGCTGGTTGGCCACAGAGAATACCCACTACACCTGTCTCAAGGATTCCTGGGAGGATAAAATGACCTGGTGAATGTGAAGCACATAGCACAGTGTAGGGTTTCAGGGCTCAGCGGGGAGACTTTCAATACAGAGGACAGAAGAGCAGTTTTGGAAGAACATCAGAGCATGTTCTGACCAGGAACTGGGGTGGATTTGTTAAAAAGCTCTCCTAATGTTCCTTTCTGCCAACCTAACCAATGTTTCCAGAGATTCTGACTCCTAAATTCACATGGGAAACATGAAGGACCTTGAACAATGTTGAAGGTTAGGGAAGATGGAAAAAAAAAAACTGTGTGTGACTTGTTTTTGGAGTGGACTCACCTGTGACTGAGCCAACAGAGAGCAGTCTTGCTTCCACTGCTCCCAGATCATCAGCTTTACTGCGTGTGGCTTTTCTGAGCACAAGAAATAAACAAGTAAACCCTCCTTTATTCCTGTGAGTTTTCTTTTTAAAACAGGACTTTGAAGAGTTTTATGGAGATACTTTTAGCAGAAACATAGAAAGTCTTATAATTGCTTTTTAGGTGAAAGAATTGAATTCACAGAAAAAGATACTTCCTTCCAGATGCTTTTCTTCCTACAGAGAAGCTTAATCACACACACATTAGAAAGTGATGCTTTTCTTCCTACCAGGAATCTTCACCACACACTCACTTTCCATTGTCAGTTCTTCAAATGCTTTCCTGCATCAGAATGAAGCAGCAAAATATGAGTACTTTGAAGGCAGTGACCGATTGTGTGGATTTTCATAATTTTTATTAAAGTCATTTCTGCCTAGATCTGTTTGTTCAGCTCTGCCCTCATTTTCTGCAAACTCTGGGTCTAAGATTTATATTAGATCGTAAGCAGCTTTGAGGGAGAATAATCGTGAGTTCTATGTTCTTATTACTTCCCACAAAAGTTGGTGCAGGATCTCACTGCCCAAAAGGAGAGTTCAGCAAATATTATTTACTGTGAGCAGTCTGTGTGCTGCGTCTGGTGGGCCAGGCCCGGCACATGGCTCCCAGGGGCACGCTGAGAGCCCCACACTCCCATGCTGGGAGAGCAATCATCATTAAACAATATTTATTAAATAGCCCCATGCATGTGGCACTGGGCTATTTAAGTAAGGAGAGCAGTCGCAGTCCACACCCTTTGGGAGCTTACAATATCAAACAGGACATTTTTTAGAGCCTGAAGGTACCCCGGTGAGGTACGGCACTGAAAGAGTTCATTCACACCAGAGGGCTGGGCTTTTCTCTCAGCCTGTGGTTCACTCTGTCTGCCTTCCCAGGCTCTAGGCTGTAGGTCAGTTCACTTAAAAGGTCCATTATTGGGAGAATTCACTGAAAATCTCTATGCTAAAATAGCCCTTATACCAGAACCTCCACAAACCTAGCATTTCCTTTCCACAAGATCCATTGAGCCCCACGTGCAGGTTACAGAGGTAAATGTCACATTGTTTCTTCTATCCAGAAGCTGACTGGGGACCCAGTGGGAGTGGGGAATGCTCAGTTACCCTGGATTATGGGAGAGGCCAGTAGGTATAACACAGCCTCGGTAACACATGTCCTACACAGTGCAGAACATGTGAATGAGCACATGAAAAAGAAAACTGCTCATTCTGACTTGTGGGGATCAGAAAAGGCTGCAAGGAGAAGAGAGCACCTGAATTAGCTCTTGAAGGTAAGTGAGACTTCAATGGGCAAAGACCATGGCCAAGCATTCCAAACTTTTGCATGGGTCCTGGAAGAGTTGGGGGAAATGATGAATTTATTTAACTGGCTTTCAAATAGTTCCTCTCACATGGGGCCTGTTTCATCTATTTCCAAAATTCTTGGATCTATAGGTTGGAAGCAGAATTGGGACATATTCCACTTGGGGCTAGGAGCCAACTCCTTTCCCTGCTGCTACTGCTCACTCCCTCTGTCTCATCGAGGAGAATGCTCCACCCAGGAGCACAGAATGAAAGGTAAAGGAATGGCTGTAGCCCAGACTTCAGCTGTGCCAGATGAACAACAACTTTTGGGATCATTCAGAAATATAAAATAATCCAGCCCTCCCCGCCATTCTAGGTCACAGCCAGATGACTGAAAACAAGGCATTCTCATATGCTGTTAAACAGATGTGATCATTTTCTCCACATCCTGGGAGTTAACAAAGAGACCTCTAGGGACGTTTTGTCTGCCAGGTGTTTGGCAGTGGCATTGACAGGAAAAGAAGGCTCGTAATGTTTAGAGGTCAAGCGGACCTCAGTGAGCCCTTTAGTCCAGCCCTTGCCTTTAGTCCTGAGAGCACACAAGCCATGAAGCTGGGATAGTTGTGCCTTACTTACAGAGTGTCTCAAGAAGATGCAGTTTAGAAATTGGGGTGTCTAGCCTGATACTCGATGCTGCTCTCTCTTGAGCCTCCCTATACCCCATGCAACCCCTTTACTTTTCATGTTGATTTGAGGCCACACATTCAAGATGCACCTGCCTGTTCTTCCACTCCACTTTGCCATAGTTATCATGGAAAAGGGGGGTCTTAACCAAGTGTCACCCTCTTGGGACAAGAATCCTCTGCTTTGCCCCAATTCCCATGTAGTTTCATCCTACAACTTCCTCTGTACATGGTGATCTCAAATGACAGCACACAATCATACATAAGTCTTTCTATCAAAAGTAAGCTATTCTTACCTCTCTTTTTTTTTTCTAAAGCCAAAGTCAAATGATGCCTTAGTTCAAAGGACTTCACATCTTCACGTGCAAAACCAGCCAAGTTTTAATGAAAACATTTCATCTACATAAAATGAGACCTGTAACATGTGTAGAGCCAAGTCTGGAAAGGACTCCTTCTTTGTGTGGAAATTCTTGAAATTCTTCCCGACTTTGCTGGAAGCTTGCAGCCTTTCCATGTGTCTCTACATCTTAATCAGTCCAACTCACAACTTTTTTTATTTTTATTTTTTTGACGTTTGATGTTTTATATCATATCAATAACAACGTACTGTACAAAACCTGCCTCCCAGCTCGTGGGGCAGGCAGTGTGGTGGCCAAGGGCAGCGTAGAAAACCAGGGCTCTTGTCCCAAAAGAGGAGAGGAAAGAGGGTTTTGCAGTCAAGGAAAAACAGAATCAAAACCCAACATGATCGAAGAGAAGCCCTGAATCTGCATCAGAGGGAGGGGCCGTGGGCAGTGTCGCAACTTGGCTACTGCGGCGGCACCAGTACGGGGAGCTGTGATTGCTAGGAGGGGTTGGGGCCAGCTCACAAGTTTATTTATTTATTTTTTTGAGAAGGAGGAGTCTCCCTCTGTTACCCAGGCTGGAGTGCAGTGGCACGATCTCTGCTCACTGCAACCTCCATCTCCCGGGTTCAAGAGATTCTCACGCCTCAGCCTCCCAAGTAGCTGGGATTACAGGCAGCCGCCACCTAATTTTTGTATTTTAGTAGATATGGGGTTTCGCCATTTTGGCCAGGCTGGCCTCCAACTTTTTTTTAATGTGGTCACTTACTAAAACCAAGTATGTTCTGCTTCTATAATGTAGTAACAACACATGTTTGCATGCTATTTAGAAAAAATTGGATAGTGTTATTATAAATGGAGTTCCTCTGGAAGCCTGACGACTTGTACACTGTGATGCCATCTTTCCACCTATAAAATGGAAACAATCCTATAGACTTGATGGTATTAAGTGAGCAGTTGTATAGAAATTATTTGAAAATTATCTGGCAAATAACAAGTAGAATTTGGGGTTTTTTGATGTTATTGTTGTGATCTTTAAGTCTTTATTATAATCATGCTGGCTGACCTTGTTTCTTTTATCTGTAAGACAGATAAAAGTCAAGTAAAACAGATAGAAAGTTCTCCATCAGTAAATGTACAATTCAGGTCCAGCACTCCAGATTGAAGCTACCACTAAGATTTCTTTTCTTTTGAAAAATAAATGGTTATTATTTAACCAGGGTAGCATGAATAGAAGAAATAAATATTTTATTATTTTTATATTGTTAATATTTTGCTCTTTAACTTTTGAAATAACAATTTTTGGCAGATGAGTGGTCAAAATCATTAATCTAACAGTCAAGTATCTCCAATAGATGAGTGAAGAAAAGATTAGGTTAAAGACCATTCTCTGTTAAAAAATAAAGATTTTCCCCTTCACTGTAAACATTAAAAATGTACACATTTGTAATATTTACTATACATTATAATGTATAGGAAAGTAGAGGCAAAAATTATGCATAATTCAAACATCCCCAAAGCAACACAGTTTCAATGTTGGCCAATTTGTCTCTGCTCTTTTCTGTATTCATGGTTATTGGTTTATGAATGTTTCTGATCACACTGTATTTAAAACTTTACATTTTAATTTAACATTACAACATGACAACTCTCCAAGCCTTTATTAATTCTTTGTAAACCTTATTTTAAATGGCTGCATAATATTGCATTAAGCAAATGATTTACTTAAAGGCATCAGATTGTTTGGTCTTTTAAAGTTAATTATATTGGACTCTGTGCATAAAGCTATTTCCTTCTTTTTTTATTTTTTTCTGAGACAGAGTCTCACTCTATTGCCCAAGCTGGAGTGCAGTGGCACGATCTTGGCTTACTGCAACCTCCGCCTCCCAGGTTCAAAACATTCTCCTGCCTCAGCCTCCCGAGTAGCTGGAATTACAGGGGCGCACCACCATGCCTGGCTAATTTTTGTATTTTTAGTGGAGACGGGGATTCACCATGTTGGCCAGGCTAGTCTCAAACTCCTGACCTCGAGTGATCCACTCGCCTCGTCCTCCAAAATTCTGGGATTATGGGGAGCTTTTTCCTTCTTTAGAATTAATTTTTATTATATAAATTCTCAGAAGTGAGAGTAAAATGCTGGTGCATTTTTCATATTTATTTACAAGACTATTTAAATAAAGTCCATAATCATTTTATTTAAGTAGAATTTTTGTCCCTACCATAGTGAGCACTCATGAATCTGCCATATGAGAAGAAATGATCTCAAGGCTGCAATGTATAATTTTATAATTTTCAGAGGATTCCCTCTCCCAGTGTCCCCGTTTTTAGGGAAATCACATCATAATATGATTGCACTGTTCTTTTCCAAATTCAGCATTTCCATGTTCAGTTTTGAAAATATCTAGGGCTTGACCCAGTGTTTAGTGTAGAAAAGGAACTCATTAAAGATCTGAAGGGGAAAAAAAGAGAGAGAGACAACGTCTCTTGGCAGTACTAAAGCATTATTTATGCGGTGGGACCAGAGTAATTTTATTTTGTTTTTGCACCATTATGTTATATGTTTCCCGGGAAGAGTATGACACCAGGGTATGGGAATGTCCTTGTGCACACATTTCACATCTGCTTGTCCATGTGAACATAACTGTGCCAGGAGCCCTGGATGTTAGTTTTTAGCATAGAAATCATGACGTTCAGCTTTAGTTCCTGAGCAACTGTAAGGGAGATTCCAGCGGGACAAGTTCAAGAATGACTTAGAAATTATAGACCAGATCATACAACTGTCATAAAGCTATCATCAGTTAATAAAACAGGGTTTTCTTTTCATTTAAAAAAAGTTGGCTTTTTTTCCTCCTTTAAAAAAAATATTGATGTTGGACTCTTTGAAACTTTGTCTGACCTTCTTTCTGCTGATTTTTCATTTCCTGTTTCTTTTCTTTCATTTCTTTTCTTTTTTTCATATGTTGGGGAGGTGGGGTTCTAAAGCAATCTTCCAATGTGCTAAAAACAAATATACATCCCCTAAAAGTAGTATAGCTGCGATGTCCTTGCTCCCAGAGCCCTGCGCTGCCAGGGCCCATTTCTGCTGTGAATCAGGTTTCTCAAAAATGTGGTTTCTCACCCCTGTCCCTCTTCCCTTTGGCTCCCACAGAAACTAGAATGTGCAGACATTTGTAGGAAGAAGTCCAAGAATAAATACGAGAATATTCTGAATGAAAAGCAAATCTGTAGTAAGGATGATGATAATGGTATCTATAGAATGTTTCATAGATGAGCTTAGTTTAAATGCAAATTTAACCACACACACACACACGTGCCCACTCCAGCACTTCTGTGCACCAAATTGCCCAATAGTAAGATGCACCGAGACAGTGCTCCTGGAGCAGCCTAGACCCCACACTAATGGCTGGAATAGAGCAGTAATAAGACAGACGCCATCACCACCGTACAGAACCTGCAGACACTGAATAGCTCACAGCAAGTAGTTTGTAGCATGAAGTCCAGGGAAGGAGAAGTACAGGTGCTGTGTGAGGTCACAGAACAGGAGATCAGACCTTGTTGGGGCCATATTGAAATCATTCCTGGAACTTAGATAGCAGTTGGGCAAGGAGTGGGTGAGGGAAGAGCAATCCAGGCCTAGAAACAAGGTATTTGAAGAACCCAATGCGGTTCAGTGTGCAAGGAGCAGAGGGGGGTGGGCAGAGGAGCTGCAGAGGTGGGCAGGGATAACATCATGCGGTGGCCCAAAGACCATGAGAGATGCCAAGGGCAATAGGAAGCAAGGAAGTGGTGAGTGACGGCAGATTTACACCTGGGGCCTGACAGGCTTTTGGAACAGTTTAAGTGGTTTTTTCTTCTTTCCCGCATTTTCTTTATCTTTTTCCCTTCCAAATAGATATTTGACTGCACTTTCCATTACTTTAGGAGAGGTATGTGGGAGAGCAGTAAGATATACCATGTAAGAGTTTCTGGTTTTTATTTTCAAAAGCCTAAGCACTTAAGAGTGAACTTGGAGATTTGCAAATGAATTAGAAAGAATTGTGGGAAGAAGGGCAGAGACAGGGGCTCCCCTCCAGATCAGAAAAATAAGTTCCTCTGGAGTGACAGAAGATGGGGGAGTGGTCTGTGGGTCCTAGAATGGGGGTCTACGGGACTACCTCTCAGCAGCAGCCTGAGAAGGGAGCACCCCGAGACTCTGCATCACTCCTAAAATAGAAATGCACACAGGGCAATGGATGTCCAGAGGCCTCCCCAGCTGACCCCCAAGCCTGATCACACGAGACCTTGGAAGCCACAATTCCAGGGAGTCAGGAAAACCCTAAGAATATCTGATGATCAAGTTTCCTTCAGCCTGGAGAAATAGGGCTTCAAAATCAAGAGAAAAGTGATACATGAAAAATAAAGAGCTGGGATATTTCCTGCACTGCGGACATTGTGACTATAATTCATATCACGTATGCAGATTGAAAGGCTTATTCTGGCTCCCGTGTGAAAAATGGGTGAGAGAGAAGCATGAGATGATGCCGATGAAAAATCATAGTAGCCTCTACCGGGGTGATAGAAGTGAGAATGAAAAGAAGTGGACGGATTTGGAGAATATTTAGAAAATAGAAGAGCAAGTACTTTGTGATTGGTCAGATGTGACAGTGAATAAGTCAGAGGATTCAAGGATACCTCCCAGGTTTCAAGACTGAACAATTGGGTGGGCAGTAGTATAATAGATGAGTCCATTTCCTGCAGTAACTAACTTCACAGTGGGGTTTAAGGAAGCTCACTTGGAGATTTTACTGGGGTAGCATATGAACATAGAGTTAGTAAATACTCCCAAAGGCAAAAACTGTAGTTATTAACTGAGGGGAGATAGTCTCAGAGGTCAACACATTGCTGCAGATATCACCAGTCAAAGGGTCGTTTCTCTCCACCATTTCATACGGAAAATGAAATATTAATATTCAAAGAGACCTAAGGAATCCTATGGTGTTCTCTCAGGCAGGAATCTTCCTTCTAAGATATGTGATGGCAGCCTCTGCCTTTGTGCTCCCAGTGACCCAGCACTTCCTATCTTTAAAGCAACACTGTATGTGGGATTCGTTCCTAATTATAAAAAAGTTCTCACCTTCAATGGAAAACTGCCTCATTCACTGGCTGCTCCCAGTCTTGTCCTCTGGAGCTACACAGAATAAGTCCAATTCCTCTTTTACATTACATTTAGAAGTTTCTGTCACGTTTTTGCTAAGTCCTCTTTATTGCAGCCTAGAACTATACATCACTTCCTTCATCTATTATTTCCAATGGACATTCAGTAACAAGAACACCAAGTGTATTTATTGAGTGTTGTGAGCAAAGTGTGTTACACATGTGGCTGGGGCTGCTATGAGTTCATCAAAACCCATTTCCTTTCCTTCCTGGGCACACAATTAGACTATACCTCATGACTGAGTTCTCGCCAACAGAAAGCAAGTGGAAGCAGTGAGGAAGTAGAATTGTCTTCCTCAGGTAGCAGCATGGCTTTGCCACCTGCCAGCTGAGGATCAAGAGGTGGATGGAGACAAAAAAGATAGGGGGAGCCTGGGCCCCTTTACATAGAAGGCCACCCCACTTACACATCTGCATTAGACTCTCATGTGAGTAAGAAATAAAATTTCCATGTTAAACCACTGAGAATTTAAAGTTTCTGTACACCAACTGGTGTTGCCTTAACTAATACAGAAATTGGTAGTGGAAGTCAGATGCTGCCATTACAAAAACCTGAAATGTGTGGCAATGGCTTGGCAGCTAGTCCCAGAAGCTCTGGAATTAGTAGAAAGGGTCAGAGTGATGTTGCGTATTAGCTACTGGCTGGCTTTAGCACAGTATTACAAGAAAGAGATGAGCTCAGAAAAGAATTGGCCAATTTTCAAGCAAGGTTGGGCAGGAACAAAGAAAGAATCTTACAAACTTGAAAGGGTCAATTTTTTCTGGGCCTCCAAAGAGTAAGAAATGCTTTGTAATCCAAGAGTGCAAAGAATGCTTTGGTGATAATGGCCCAGTAAGACTTGTCAGTTAAACAAAGTGATGCTGCTCTAGAGTAAAAACCAGATTAAAGGTCACATTCTGTGACCTCAACAAAGCTGCCATTTAATTAATAGGGAGGTAAGGAGACAACAAGGCAAAGGAATATGAAGGCTTGAGAATAATATCTAAGAAAAACCTTGTGTGTGGTTGTGAGCACAAGGAACTGACTGAAGCAAACAAATGAGAAGCCTCCTAAGTTTAAGATAACATTCTATTGTCAAAGAAACTCTGAACCTGGACCAAAAAACAAAACCCAAAACCCCTCTGACCATTTAAACCTTAAACCAACTTTCAGGCCCCCAGACTTACACCATTAAGAAGCTGAACAGCCTGCAAAGGAGGCATACTCAACTCCCAATTCAGGTGTATTCATGGAGGCTAACAAATAGACCAGGACGATTCCCCAGAGGGTGGTGCCAGTAGCCATGGAGAACCATAGGCAGAGTTTCTCATCACAAGCAAGGCCATTGTTTCCATCTTCTATACCCGATGGAAAGAATTCGGGTTTACCTAGAGATCCTGGACTTCGAGCCAGATGCAGTTACTGGATGGAACTTGGCATTGTCTCCTTTGGGAAAGAGGTGAGTGTGGAGGAAGAAGGAAATGGGTAGCCAGTAACCAGAATGCTGGACTGTGATACAGATTTCTACGTGCTCACTAAAACTCATTTTCTTTCCTCCTAGGCACAGAGTATAGTTTCCAGAATCCCCGCATTTCAGTGTTCCCAAAGGGCTGAATTCTTGTCAATAGAATGTAAGTGGAAATGGGCTATGTCACTTTCCTGCTGAAGAGGTTAAAAAGAAGGTGAACTCTCTTCATCTGCAGTTCATAAGATAGAAGGATCCCGGGTCCCTGAATGACCTCATGGAAGGCCATCTAACAGGAACACCCACATTGGACTGTGATATGGGCAAGAAATAAACTTTAATTGCATTGGGTCAGTGAGAAGTTTTATCTGTTACGGCAGTTACTTCTACTTTAATAAATACAATGCATTATCTTATTTAACATCCATTTAATAGATGAAAGAATTAGAGAAGTTAGATGATTTGTTCAGGATGACTTATATAGTTAGAGGCGCATCCGATGCTAGAACCCAAGTCTATCTGGCTCTGAAGCCATGCTTTTAAAACGTGCGATACTGTTTCACAGAAGAGCAGGCGTCCAGATGTTGTAGCCCTTGGGTCTCCCTCTTCTGGATGTTCTTAGTCTGTCCACATTTTTTTTGTCAGAACTGAACACAATAATTTATGTTGTAATTTGGGGAATATGTGACATAAATTATTTCTCTTTTCTGGAATCATCGTCTGTGAATGCAGTCCAGGAGATCTCATTATATTAGAGGCCAAATCTCTAATCAATCAACTATTGACTTTAATCAATCAACAACTCCTAGACCTTCTCACCACTTCCAAGCCCCCACTCCCCATTAGAATGAGTAATTATTTTAAATCTGAGTGTAGATTTTTACAAGCAATCCTGTTTAATTTCTTCTTAATAATTTCAGCCTAGCATTCTAGCCTGTCAATATCTTTGCTTAGATCATCCAGATGACAATCCAAGTCTGGGACTATCCCACACTGGGATTGAATTATCCCAGTATGAAGAGTAGTATCTGAATTCTTGCTACCACCTGTGACTGTGGTAAGAACTTTACATGCTTACCTCATCCCACCTTTACAGATGAGGAAACTACAAAGGTTAAGATCACATGACTTGTAAGTGGAGCCCATCCTCAGCCCTAACTGCTGGAGGACCGCGATTTTTGTCCTAATACAATAGTACTATTTTTCCCTCTTAAAGTGGAAGAGAACTAGCATTTGCTGAGCACACATGGTATGTAAGGTGCTTTACTCACTCTACCACACTTAATCCTCACGATCATCCATCCTCACAAGGACACTGAGAGATTTTTTTTAAAGATTTTAAACATGGAAATAGAATTATTTTGAGAGTGTCTCTATATAGTAAATGAGTCTATATAAATAAATAATGAAAGCAGAGAGAAGCAACCAATGAGATATCTTGAGCCCAAACTCACTAGACTGTGAGTCTGTGGAGACAGATCTTTTCCACCCTCTATGAACACTATCTGGCACAAAGAAAGTGCTCGGTAGTGTTTGTTAAAATGAATAAATAAATGTATGTAGACCTCAGTGAGTAGATAAAAAACTCTACATGAGATAAAACTTCATTCATATAACAAGGATTTATCAGGCAGCTAATACATAGGACACAGGTTTTGGGGACTGTGGCTTCTTGCAGAAGGAGGAACACAAAGGGAAAGGAGAAATAATACAAATAAAACACATGCGCATGTGCGCACACGCACACACACACACACACACCACACACACACACACTAACAAGACATAGATATTGACATTCCGTAACCGAGTTTCTTGAGTGTTGTGGAGCTGAACTATATCCAGGCCAGCAGAATCAAGGAGTAGATGTGCAGATTACAGTTCTAGAATCTCTGCATTTAAGCCCAATACAAACACCCAGACTTTAGCACAGTGTCAGGTGTTGACCCTCTTAAATCAACATTAGCAGATAGTTCACGGGATTGGAATGATTTAAGCATAACCACACTAGGTGATAGGTAGGCAGACAATCTACCCAAACTTTCTCAATGCCACAGAAAATGTGGGCTCCCCGAAGTTTCCTCTGAAACAGACATTAGATAATGGATGCCATGTAAACCAGATGGTAAGCCTCATTTGACCTTCTTGAGTGGTGGCCCTTATCCTTAGGAGCTTTCCCCACTGTTGCTCCCACCTGTGTCCTTTCCCGTTCACCTTCCAGTCTCTTCCTCCTGCCTCTTTCTACCATTGTATTTCCTTCTGAGTCTCTATCTCCCATTAACTGTTTCCATCCCTCCATCCCTCCATTCTTTCCTTCCTGCCTTCCTTCTTTCCACCCCTCCCCTCCTCCCTTTCTCCCTCCCTCTTCTTCCTTCCTTCTTTCCTTCCTTCCTTCCTTCCTTTTCTTTAGTCTCTATTCTCTTTTCTATCTCATCATTCTTTATAGATCTCTCTCTAGAAGACAGCGGAACTTAGAAGCTCCAAAGAAGAGTTAAGCACCTCCTTGTCCTTGCTTTAGAGGCTGGGATTAGAGCTGGCAGGAAACAATTAGATTGTGATTTTAGGAGCAGCCATTCATGCTACATCATATTTCCTGCTCACAAATCTACCAGCTGAGCTATTCACATGCTGTCATTTTAGGCAAAATTGTTTATACATCACATAATGCTAGTCTATGTTGTGTCTGTTAGAGCCCTGGCGAGGAGTCTGCCCTGGATTGGACAGTTGGACTCAGGCGCATGGTCAACACAAAACATGAGCAATCTATATTTGGGCATGAGTATGCCTTAAACACTAATGGGGTTTGGCACAACTGTGACTCTGGAAATCTAGCCCACAGATCATCTCACACATCAGGGAAAATCAAAACAGAATTAAGTTGGCCACTTTTTCTCTGCAGAGACATGAGAAGCATTTCGAGTAAAGTCTGTGAAACCTTGTTTTTCATATTTAAGTCAGTATTTGGGAATGGCCAAATGTTATCAGTGCCCTATTTTTTACAACTTTTTCTCACAAATGAAGAAGGCCCAGATACAGACCCAAAGCATGGACTCACAGGCAGCACATGATCAGATGGTACTTTCTTCCCTAAGGAGCTTTGAGATCACTGGGTAAACACCCATCTGCCTGTGACAGTTTGCATATGTGCCTGCTCAGTGGATGGGGAAGGAATAGGATTGGACCCATGAGCCTCAGAAGTAGAAGAACAAAGCAAAATGTTTCGGAATCAATAGAACCTAGATCGCTGGCTCCATCATGCCTGGCCTGGCCCTTCATGGATCCTGAAATTTAGAACCTTTTCCTACATATCCCCCATGATTCCTCCTTATGAGCTCAAATCTCAATCACATTGGTCAACTCTTTGTTTGCCTGATTCTCTTTCCTTCCAGGTCTTAGCTAGTGTGTTTGTTTCTCTTTCTATTTTCACATTTCCAGGCTACAATCATCTTCCAAGTCTTAGGTCATCTGCTACTTCCAAATGGAAACAATGCCTCCTCTCTCTAACCACGTAGTGCCTTAAACTTCTTTAAAGATGCTTATCGTGTGCTACTTTGTGTTCCAATTGTAACCTGAGGGAATTCTGGTGTCACTAGAGGGAGTGCTAAACAAACAAACAAACAAACAAACAAATAGGAAGTCTGACTCCAGGGATAGATGTTTGTATTTCTTGGTGCTTCCAATGCTTCCACCCCACACCATGACCCATTCTGCACCACTTCCCTGAAAACATACACTTTTTCCCTCTCAGTATTTTGGAAGGAGGAGAGATTCTCAGCTGAACTAGAGTAAGAAAAATATCAGCAGTTCACAAATGAAGCTAAGGGAATTTTCTCTCCACTGTAAGTGCAGACTAAGGGTTTGCCTAGTGGTCTATTTAGGAAATTAAATGATCAGGGTCATCAGTGAGGGACAGAAAACTACAGATCTTAGATGAGATCAACACCAAAGCTTTAGACATTCCAGGCAATCTTGGGAATTGGGAGCTTTGTTATCCAAACACTAGCCGTGTGGACAATGACTCAAGCAATCATGCCTACACAATGAAACTAACAAACAAACAAAACTCTGGACATTAAAGCTTGGGCATGCTTCCCTGATGGCATTATGCTGCCTATTGTCACACATTGATGTGCTGGGAGAATGACATATCCTTGAGGACACAAAACTTTGCATTTGGGACCCTCTCAGACCTCTCCTTGGGCAGGTCTTCTTTTGGCTTTTGGCTGGTTCTGATTTGTATCCTTTGCTATATAAAACTGTAATCCTAAGTATAGCACTTTGCTGAGTTCTTCAAGTCATTCTAGCAAATTTTCTAACCTGAGAAGGTAATGGGAACTCTCAGATTTGTAGCCAGCTGGTCATAAGTGCAGGTGGTCTGGTGACCCTGAACTTGCAGCTTGTGTCTAAAGTGAGGGCAGTCTTGTGGAGGACTGTGCTCTCAATCTGTGAAGCCTAATTCTAGATTGTTGGTGTCAGAAGTCATTGCAGCAGGATAGTAGACATCTACAGGACAAAATTTGTGTCAGAAAGGTATCATTCCTGAATCCAGAGACCTGGGCTTCCCATAAACAAATCAGAATCCAAATAAGAGCTCTATGTTTACATATATCAGAGAAAGGCTATGTCTTAAACAGCTCTGCAGTTCCCTATAACCTGTACAACATTTTAGTCTGTTTGTAGAATGAAGTAAAAAAGCCTCGCAACTAATTCTACTCTTACTGATTTTAATGCAATCGGAAGTTTTATAAAATGTCATATGCTTGTCGTGCGCAGTGGCTCATGCCTATAATCCTTGCACTTTGGGAGGCTGAGGTGGGCAGATTGCTTAGGCCCAGGAGTTTGAGACCAGCCTGGACAATAAGGCAAAACTCTGCCTCTACAAAAAATACGAAAACTAGCCAGGCGTGGTGGCACGTGCCTATAGTCCCAGCTACTTAGAAGGCTGAGGTGGAAGGATCATCTGAGCCTAGGCAGGTCGAGCCTGCAGCCACTGTACTCCAGCCTGGGCAACAGAATGAGACTCTGTCTAAAAACAGAAAAACACACATACAACAACAACTAGAAATCATATGCCCTTTATGCCTAAGTTAAAAAGAGTGAAAGTATATGCATCAAAAATTAACAGCAGTTATGAGTAGAATAGTTGAGAGCTTCCAAAATATATATTGCTTTTGCTTGCTGATGTGCTTGTTTACATTATGTTTTGCTTTTATAACCTATTAAATAAGGTGAGGTAGAAGGGGAAATATGACAAGCTTCTAGTAATGAGGAATGCTTTCCAATGGCTGAATAAGCCAGTGGGCTCTTTCTAGTCCTACTTATGCATAACTTATATAATAACAATTTTCTCTTCTTGTCGTCATTTTGGCTCTGTGATCTTGGACAAGTCATTTTATCTCACTTTTGCCTTACGTTAAATCAGGGTTTATACAAGATGACTGCTAATATCTCTTCCTGCTCTAAAATTCTAAGTGCACATCTAAAGACTTAAGTTTATGTGCCTATAGCTCAAAAACATCCACAGCTGTGGGAGGTGAAGGAGAGGGGTTCTTGAGTAGGTGCGCCCCTCTAGGGGAAGATTTGC
This sequence comes from Homo sapiens, assembly GCF_000001405.40. NCBI lineage: Eukaryota > Metazoa > Chordata > Mammalia > Primates > Hominidae > Homo > Homo sapiens. Next base: position 123,214,528 of record NC_000005.10, on the reverse strand, counting down.
ATAAAGATGATGTAGCAAGTGAAAAATGGACTGTGACAGATTAATGCTGGGAAGCTTGATCTGCTCAGTATCTGGCCCACACAGCCTGGTCTGATCAGATCTTCAAAGTCATATGGTCCTTATTTGGTTTTACAATAAATAACTCAGACTTATGAGTTAGAAACCAATTAATGAAATCATCTAGCCCAGAGGAGAGCAATCCTCCTGGGCAGTCACTTTGGAAACATAGGCTGTCCATTAGGTTTGCCAAGCCTGGGGCTTTTGTTCCTGCTAGTGATAGAAATTAGAGGATTCCTCCCAATTCCAGATGACCTTTGCTCTGAAATACAACAGTTGTTGCTGTGGAGGTCAGAGAGGGCTTGGCTCCCACAGACATCGCTAATTCTAATTCTACTTATAGATTGGGCTCAATACTGAGAAGTAGTTGAGGACCATTGGGAAAAGACAAGAAACTTCTGATCAAACCACATTTACTTATTTGTTGTTGTTGTTGTTGTTGTTTATAACCATTCTGAAAGGATATAGGAATGACTCCAGGTAGAACTGTTTTGGAAAGTACTTAAGGCAGCATCCTGAGGCATCATATCTCTGGTTGGGAAAGAAAACTATTGATGTGTTCGTATATATTGAGAACCAAACCCACCATGGGTGCTCAATAAATATCAAGCAATCAATCAATTCTCCAGTCACAGAGAAGCTTCCTGTTCCAAACATGTAGTCACGGAAGAGAGCTTGGCCCAAGACCCATCTCCCTCTTCCAAATGATGTGACTCCAAACTCCAAGAAAAGTTCTGGGTAATTTTTTTTTCTTCATCCCACAGCAACTGATGGCACAATCCTTGGCAGCACTGGAAACAGCGATTTCCAGATCAAGACACCAAAGCAATGAGATCTTGCCGTACATTGGTCAAGTTTCTACAACGCAATGGAAACTTAATGGAAAGAGAATCTTAAATTATAGCCAGGCAGCTGATTGGAAGTGGCGGCACCTGTTTTCAGAAATGCTCTAAGTAAAAATTGATGTGATTTTGAAAATGGAAATCTATTGTATGGAACTCTTTAGCATCAAAAGCACTTGCTGGAAGATAGCCACAAACTGCATTTATTTAAGTCAGTTTTGCATCAATCAGTATGCTTCAAAGATGACATTCTGCATTTTTATTTAGTGATCTATATATTATAAATTTCACCTCTAAGTGTTGGGAAAAACAACATTAAAAGTCCACTGTAAGGTTAACAAGATACTAACAATTTCTAAACCAGGCTATTGCAAGAATGATTACCACTGAAGTTTAAACATATGAAGTTACCCGCTTTTCAACTTATAACATTGAGGTTTCACCAAATGTGAATTTCACTTTGGAGGGTTCCAGTTCTACTTCTCTTTAAAATGATGCATGTTTTAATGGTTCCTTGGGCACATATGATTTGCAGGACTGTTTCAGCTGTAACTTTATAGACTTTTTGATGGACCATTTGTCTTTGGCTTTTAGAGAAGGGAGCTACAGTTATATGGTCGTATATGTTTTCTATTTAATAGTCATGTATCAAATCTCTACATACTTCTTAGTGTGGTGGGATAATAATTTGATATATTAGTTATGTGGGGTTTTTTCTTTTGCAGTTTTTTAAGCCTTGCGACTCTGTGAGACTCTCCCATTAGGACTGTTAGACATATGGCCTCCACTGAAGGCCAATTTCTGAGGGGATGGGTGAACAAAGGGACACATTATGCATTTTTAAATCCAAAAGCCCCTTATCCTGGAGTATGACAGAGAAGTGGTGAGAATCAAACCGAATCAGTCTCTCTGGAGTTCCATTTCTCACCTCCACCCACAATAGCGATCCTTAGAGCTGGCAAGGGGAAGAGATTGCTGAGACAGCCATGGGTGGCCCTGAGATGGGGGTAGATGCCTTGCCCAGGAAGGGGGCTAGTAATCAGATGTAGAGAAATGGGCCTGTTTTCCATCATGGGTACTGAGAGATGACCAACCCCCACAGAATTCCTTTTGTCACTACACCCCTGGAAAACAACTAAAAACTTGTGAATTGTTTATTTATGGAATATTTCATTTATTTTTTTTTAGACTGGTTGACCAGAGGTAACTGAGGCCTTGGAAAGCAAAACCTCGGATAAAGGAGTTCTACTGTAATTCTTCTTAACTGAAATCTCAGTGTAACAGTTGCTAGTGTATCTTTTAGCACTATGATTTTAGTCACATGTAAATCCAGTAAGTGTGGAAGGGAAGACACACCTCACCCCATCTTCAACCAAAATGTTGGGAAGGAAACAATTAGAAATTGGTATTAGCCTATTTGCATTTGGCCCAGTGTGTTCACCTTTATTTTACAAGGCTGATTTCTGACTCATTATAAAACTAGTTCTTCATACCAGAAGAGTGTATTAAATAGATGACAACTCATCTAAATTTTAAAATGTCAATCCTCTTAAGTATCATCTCAAGGAAAGTAAATCAGAGGCCAAGAAACTACAAGATACTGCAAAGAAATGGGACCATAAAAACAGAACTGGATGACAGATAAACAAACTCTGGGAGTGAAGGCATGTGAATACAGAGGAATTATTTAGCCTTGGCCCCAGCGCCTGTGTGGCCCACACAGACACATGTCTGCGAGAAGAGGCCGTACATGCATACATTTAACTTAAAACAGCTCAGCCGCATAAAATCAGACAGAGTCTACTTGGCTTTTGTGCATTTAAAAATATTACAAATTATTAATTGCATATGTAATCTTTATTACATATTGTATTTTACTATATAATTAAACTTTTATACATACATATGACTATACTTTATATGCATTATAAGGGTTTGTCAAGGATGATTGGACTACGTACATTTTTTGCCTTAAATACTGACATTGGAATCAAATCTCCATACAAAATAGGACTTCATTACGTATCTTAATAATCTCTTCTCACTAAGTTGAACAGAGTTTTAAATATGGAGGAATCATTCAACTCTCTAAGGTAGAGCCATCTCATCTATATTTACCTACCTTTGGGCATTGACACCAAAAATCAATTTGATTCTGAATTGATTTAGAAGTGAATATCCATACTTGATGTACAGAGGTTTAGATAAGATTTGTACCTTTTTTGCTAACCTGTTTATTTCATTTACAGTTAACCCAATACCAAGAGTAATACTGTATTTTCAAAAGCTATAGAAATTTGGCTTCAAGAGGTGTTGGCTTCACATGTGGAACAGAAGGTAAGGTGAGTCACCCATTACTTGCGCAACCAAAGCCTGACATGGGGCAGAGGTATCTGATTTGAATATCAATTCATTTATAAGCACATCCAAAATTATTAAGATAGATATTCAATCCTCAGGAAGGGGTAGGAAGGAAGTCAGAAAATAAATGCCCTCTTTAGCTTTTGCTAACAGTTTCTGGAGACCCAAATGAATTTTTTGTGAGAATAATTCTACAGGTGCAGTGATTAAAAAAATATGTTACTGACATTTTCAATAGCCAAAAATTGTGATAAAATCTGTTTTTCTGATACCTTTCAGATTTCTAAACACCAGCAAATCTAGGAATTAGAAAGTGATTATAACAGGTATCCCAGCACCAGAGAGACCCTGTGTGAATTGATAATCCACATTCAATCACACCTTTGGGATGTTGGTACATAAAGTAACTGCCATGTTACAAGGCAATTGGAAAGTGATAGGAGCCAGTAGCACGATGTTTCTAACATCATCATTCACAGCAAATCAAGTCTAGAAACTTCATCTCTAGAAATGCTGAGGCTATAACGTTCATCAGCTATGGCTCCTTGGGAAAAGGATTATTGAAAATACCTGGTCTAATGCTTCCACAGTGACTAGTTTTTAAAATAATTACCTATAACACACATTTCATCACTGTTTTATGAAGCCAAAAGTGCTTCAAGTGGAAAAGAGGAGGTTAGTAGTTCCCCCCAAATACATTTCCACTTTTATCTGTTTCACATACCGTGATTTCATTCTTCATTTTTTAAAAGTTCCACTTATTTTAAAAAGTTGAAAAATTGTTGACCTAACCTGTACTTCCAATCATTAATGTTTTTCTTCTTATCTTGGACCTAAATACTACTCCCAGGCAATGAGTATTATAGGTTAATGATTCGTAGACCTAAAGAGTATATCCTTGAATCGATTTTCAGTGGAAGCCTTTGGATTTAATTGAATACTGTCTGGGCCTTGAATTATAAGAGAACAAATCAGAAACATCTGTGTGACTGTGCATTACTTAAATGTCTGTTATTTCTCCCTGACACATCTTATTGGCTAAATACTATAAACTGTTGTCTTCTAATTGGTCTTCTTTATTATTTTCATATCTTTATACTTTAGTTTCCTTCTAATAATAAGAAAAGCCTTGGTAAAATGAAAACTTGACCTCTTTGTTCCCATCAACCCAGGAACCTTGTAGACTTCTCTCTTTTTCTTGCTGATCAGTCTTGATGGTTGGAAACTTCATTTTCAGCCCATCCTGGAAGATGAATTAGAGCTATGAGAACAATCTTCACAATTTGTCTTGCAGAGAGTAAAACTCAAATGTCTCTCCAAAGTCAGAGCAAAATCCCATAGTTGTGTGCTTTTCCTGGCAGCAGGGAAAGATAGGTCTGTGCATACATCACTCTGATTCTTGGAGATTGGAGCCAACCAATGGCTGACCAGTTTTCACACCACTTTCAGCCTTTAGTTCCTAACACATAGCTCTCTGCACATAATGAGTCATGTTCAATGTTAAGCTTCCTTGTTCTGCTGAGTCATCCCATAAGAGACAGAAAGCTTGACACTTGTTTTGAGGGGAGAGCTTCATACAGGGGACACCAGCTCTCATTAAAGAAATGTTCTTTGTCTTTAGTGAGGGACATTTGGAATCCCCTTGAAGCCAAGTCACTTAAAAGATCTACCTACTAGTCCTGTGCAAGAGTGTCCATGCCAACTACCATGCACCTGGGAAAAGAGGCATAGGTAATAACTTCGGCAGCAGGTCATCCTGAAGAGGAAAATGTGCAGGCAGGAAAGGAGGGGCACCTTCTTATCACAAAGGCTGCTTTGATGGAATCAAGCACGCTAGCCTGGCTGATGAACCCCAGGCCTCCCAGGGCCAAACTCAGCACAAACCAGTGCTGATTCCTATTCTCTGAGCTTTCTTGCACTCTGAGGAGTGGCTGTCTGAGACAGCCTCATGAAACTGGAGCTAGTAATGTCCCAACGGAGATTCCATGAAGGCTCTGCCAGCTATAACATTGCTTAGGGTCCTTGGCTCTGCAAGGGCCACAAAAGACTGGACTGTAATATAGCAAAGCCCCAAAGGAAAACTTTTTAAAAGCCCATAACACTCCCCAAGACCCAGGCTTCTGACCTTGTCAGAGATGGAGCTGATCAAGCTGTTTCCACCCACCAGGCCAAATCCAGAAAAAGTCTTTGGCTGGACATGGTGTTGAGTTTTTCTGTTGGCTTCTCAGGTTGACCCACTGACCAAATATGATACCCACCACTGCTTAGGATTTTGCAAGTTTATAATCCATATAGAAGAAACATTGTTATATAAACCTTGCCAAGACTATAGGCCTTTTAAATTCCCAACTAAGAAGCCGAAGAAATTTATGGCAGTGTTGCTAGACGGGGAGGCCAAGTAAACTCACAATGTTGATCTTAGGTCTGTTTAAATTTCTCTTGCCTTCTGGCACTTTAAGTAGTAGTGGAAAGAAATCATTTACTCATAGGAGCATTAAGCATTTAGAAACACAGGGGTAACAGGGAAGAGCATTAGGGACATAATGGATGTGACACATGTGGTTTGGGCCTGTGGTGGGCAGGATTTCACTCTAAAACTAGACATTTGCATCACAGTGGCACAATAACCTAAAAGTACCTTCATGCAATAAATAGAGGGAATTATATGGAGGCTCAGTTTTCCTCCCAGTGAAGTCTTGGTCATTACCCAGCACTCGGTCATAGCCCCACTCCCCCATAAAAGGACACACTGCTTGGAAATGGAGCTAGTCATCATATAAGGAGGATCCAGTTGGCCTCAAAGTCTACAAATGTAGCTTCTTTATGCAGGTTTCCTCTGCTCCTTTGTAATTAGTTCTGGGTCTCTCTTCTGCTTTTTCTGCCTGTAATGATTGCAGGATTAGCAACAGGGATCACACAGTCTCGGGTCCTCTTAGGACTGTAGTTGGAGGAGAAGGAGTTGAACCCTAAAGAGAAAAACCAGCATTTAGCACATGATTAGGCCTTCATCTGTCAATTGCATGTTTCTGTGGGAGAATCTGAGATTCAATCAATGATGAATACTTTCAGCAAAAGGTCATGATTCTGCAGACCTTGTGGAGGAGTGTGAGGCAAAATGCTGCGGGAATCTCCAGTCTTGCTGAGAGCTGGAAGTGAATTGAGGGAGCTATTTTTACATGCCAGATTACCTTGATTTAATACAAGATGAAATGCAATCTGATATGTGAACTGGTAATGGACTAACAAATGACTCAAGTAAAAAGTCATTTTAATGTAAAGTCCTGGACATGATGTATAACCTTCCTGAGAGGCCTGCTAATTGTGTGCCCCTACGTTTGTGGCTACAGGAATTTTCTAGATGTGACGCCTAACGCTTATCTATCCTCCTCCCGCCGTCTCCACTTTAGTGCTCACTTGTGTGTAATCTGAGTATTTTATACAAGGAAAACTTGCTGGAGTTGAAACTGGAGAAAAATATGCCTTAATAGAATTTATAATTTAACAACCCAATAGGTAAGAGTAGAACTTATTGGAATAACATCTCCTAAGAACCTTTGAGATCCCAATAATCAGTGACTTGGCTCTTTAAAAGAAAAAGGAAAAAGTGCCTTAGTATTTTTTCAAGCTGAAAAAAGTTGAATTTATTTAAAGTCTATAGGGTTCTTTATAGACATAGGGAACGATGAAAAACAGAAAGAGAAAGAAAGAAAGAAACAGAAAGACAAAGAAAGAGAGAAAGTGAAGGCAAACGAGTGAGGGTGTTGGTTTTTAACATCCCTGTAGCAGGAATGACTTTCTTCTGTTTTCATTCCCTCTAGTCTCCACCCTACTCCCATTAAATTCTGGGATTTGTGTATCTTCAGATGCAGACACTCGAATGCTTTCTCTACTCAGGAAGTTATTCTCCTCACGCTTTGTGAGGTCTTGGAATAAAAATTAGTTGAGAAAAAAAAATTGCTGCTCCTCTGTGCAGAAAAAAAAATCATATTGCATCATGTAGCTCAAAAAATGTTTGGGTGTTTTGAGGGTGTAGGGGTGGGCGGGGGTGGGGAGGAAGGAGGAAGGGGAGGAGAATCTCATTTCCCACATGTGTAATTTTTTCTCCTTAAGGGAATACATGAGCCAACAGTCACCGTCTGCAAATGCAGTTTGTAGGGGAAAAAAACAGACATGAATAGATAGCATTTGACTGGGTACAACCTTCTAAATCAGAATGTTTTAGGTGTTTGTGCCCTTAAGTACTTTAAGTCTCCCTTTGTTGTTGAATTTCTGCATGTTATTCCTGGCTGTCACTCTCACTATCCTCGCCCCTACCCCAAATGCTGAGGCTTTCCTCAATAACAAACAAAAATATTTTATGAAAAGTAGGTTTTACACTAAGAAAGTTGATTGCCCACTCCCTAGCAAGGAGGGGTAAAGTGGTTTGGAAAGGATCTGTTTATTGATCTATAAATCATGATCACCATGTCTGACCCAGCTGCTGGGGTGCCCGGGGTCAAGGAACCCTTTCAGAGCTCAGAAGGTCTAAAGCTTCTCTCTTTGTAGGGCTCTTAATCAACCCTCCCAAGGCAGAAAGAACATCAAATAGTCAAAACCTCAGAGAAGGACTGGGGGTTTAAATGCCTCAACTTCTGCTTGGGAGAAAGAATTTCTTAGATTCTGCCACACTGAAAGTGATTTTTCTGATTATGTGGAGGCAGTTGAGGGCCTAACAGAAGAAAGAAGAGTTCTTTCCAAATAATACAAAGGATTTAAAACCAAGAGCAAAGACAGTAAATATCACTCCTCTGACCCAGTTCCCTCCTCTTTAAGATAGAGGTAATACTAATTGCCTCCCAGAGGTTCCGAGGGGCTCAGGGCAGCAGCCCAGCATGCTGTGATGCCGTCTCACTAGTCTGTCTGCCTCCGTCAGACCCTGGCTCTTTGTGCCTTAGTTTCTCTCATCTGTAAAGGAGAAATAATTATAGTCCCCACCTTATAGGGCTGTTACGAGAATTCAATGAGAAAAAACATGCAAAGTGCTTAAAACAATCTGGTAAGTGCTCAAAGTCAGCTATTATAACATAAGCCCCTGGGACAATATCTAGGCCCTCAATGAAAGCTAATTTCCCCACTCCTGATTATGAATTATCTGTGAATATGCAAAATTAAGCAGCATAAAATAATGACAAGATCATAACTTTTTATGTCAATTAGACCTGGGTTCAATCCCGACTTTTCCACTTACTAGCTGTGTAACCTTGGACTATGAACCTTGGCTTTTTAAAAAATCTCTAAACTAGATCACAATGCCTATCTCACAGGGTAGCTAGGAAGAGAAAATCTGAGACTCTACATAAAAAAAAGTTTCATTTGATGGTGATGTCTGGCTTAGAAGCTGTCAGAAACCAAAGATAAATGCTCAGTTTTGTTGGTCTGATAAAATAAGCATTTTCCAAACTCTCACTCTGGGCAAGCACTTCAGTGCTAGCCACTGAAGTTACAAAGGTGAATACCACACAATCCTGTCCTCAAGAAACTTCAAATCTAAGGAGGGAGACGTATAAGGAAACATATGATTTTAATTCTATGTGGCTCTTAATATTGTCAAAGCATATTCAGAGGACCAGAGAAGACTCAATATACACTGTTCCCTTGCGTGAAACTCATTCCTCCAACTCTTCACCAAACTAACTCCTGTTGATCCTTGAGCTTTCAGAATGGACTTCATTTGGTCGAGAAAGTTTCCTTAAACTCCAGGCTGTTATATACCTCAAAGACACCCATTTTTCCCACTTTCTCACACCATCACATACACAATGGCTTGTTCATTACGCTCCCTCCTACATCAGCCCACTAGCATTTTCAGATCTGTGTTACTCATTTGCTCAGACAACATAGTATAATTCTTTTATACAGAAAGAACTGGGCTGAGCGCGGTGGCTCATGCCTGTGATCCCAGCACTTTGGGAGGCCAAGGTGGGCGGATCACCTGAGGTCAGGAGTTCAAGAACAGCCTGGCCAACATGGCAAGATTGAATCTCTACTAAAAATACAAAAAATTAGTCGCTGTGGTGGTGGACACCTGTAATCCCAGCTACTGGGGAGGCTGAGGCAGGAGAATCGCTTGAACCCAGGAGGCAGACACACCTTTGCACTGATGGATGAATAGAGAAACAAAATATAGTGCATACATAGAGTGGAATATTATAAGCCAAAGAGAAAGGAAATTCTCACACATGCTACAACATGGATGATATCTGAAGACATTACACTAAGTGAAATAAGCCAGTCACAAATGGAAAAATATTGGATGACTGCATTTAATGAGGCACTGAGAACAGTAAAATCATAGAGACAGAAAATAGAATGGTGGATGCCAAGGGTTAGCAGGAGGGGGAATGGTGAGTTACTGTTTAATGGGTACAGACTTGTAGTTGGAGAAGACAAAATAGCTCTAAAGATGGATGGTGGTGATGGTTGAACAACAATGTGAATGTATTTAATACCACTGAACTGTGCACTTAAAAATGGTTAAAGTGGTAAGTTTTATGTTATGCATATTTTCCACAACTAAAAAAAATCAAAGTTAAATAAGAGATTACTTTGAACTGAAAGCATTTTGGTAACCAAAGAAGTCTAAGAATCCCAGTCCAGGTTTGAAGTCTGAGGTTATTTTCCATATGGGCTAAGTCCGGTTTCTTTGAAAAGCTGAAGGGCAATGGCAGTTCAAGCAGACAGAAGAGAGAAGGCAGGATGCAGCTTGGTGGTGTTTGGAGTGAGGCTGGAGTTCGGAAAACCAAAAGACAGTGGTCTGCATGAGCTTTACTTCCTGCTTCTTTAGACACTCAGCTTTTTCATGGAAATAGACTCCATCTGGTCTGAGTCATTAGCACTTTTTGAAATGTTGCTTTGAAGAGCTTGTTGATGTCAAGAAAACCTTAGCCTCTTCTTGACTCCTTTGTTTTTAATCAAAGGGGCTTCATGATTGGCCAGAAGACCACAAAGCAGTAAGACTCAAATTCACATCCAAAACACAGGCCTGTGGAGTTTGAGTACTTTCAAAACCTGACCCAGAGGAAAAGGGCTGCAAGGAAATGCTGCAGAATGACAGCTACAGAACTCTGGGTACCGGTGAGCTTGGGTGAATTCTAACTCCTTAAGGCTTCTCCTGTCAAAAGCAGGAGAGCAGGCTGGGATCCAGGTCTTGCCTCGTGGCTGCCATGTTCATGAAGATGCAGCCTGCCGAAGAGCAGTGTTGCCTTAGCAGGCTGGTGTTCAGGGCACACATGAAAACAAGGCATTCCAGGAAAGCCATCTTACATGGAAAAGGAAGCTGGAAAGTAGGAAGAAGAGCAGGGTGCAGGAGGATGCTCTTAACTGTAGGAGATGGTGTTTTAAAAGATGAGCCAAATCTATTCATGGTTCTTCTAACCTGACTTTGTGAGCCTCAAAGAATTTCCACAATGAATCCAGCTTATTTGCTTCATCTGGGGGTACTAGTGGCCCTCTTTTTTTATTTGGTCCAACGCATATTCATCAAAGTTGCCCCCAGTCAGTAGCAATGGGAGATATCAAATATATTTGTCCCATGGACAATGTCAACTTTTAGAAAGCAAACTATTTCCAAACCTGAAAACAGATCTCATCCAGCTGTGGATATTGGCCTATTTCCACGTGGATTCATCGAAGAACAATTTATATTAGAGCACTTGCTTTGGCCTGTTCTATGTAGGCGGTGCCCTCATATTGAGGACTCAATGGATCAGATCTCTTACTGCTCCTAAAAAAGGGGGGTCCAGTCAAGAGATACTTGAAGACTCAAAGTCAGGGAAACTGAGGAATGAGCAATGCGTGCAGAACTAAAACAGAATATGGTATGAAGAGGTATTTTTTTTCCAGAGTCATGTACAAGATTTACTTGGAGAAGTAACAGGCCCAAGAAATAGCGATTCATTTCCCAAGTCTAAGGAAAGGCTGAGTTGATCTGAGGCAGTCCCTAAGGGGAGCTGTTTAAATGACTTGTGGTTGCAGGACTAGCGAGACTTCCAAGCATCAAGGAGATGAACTTTTTACTACCGATGGCTTTCAATAAATTTCACTGGATTCTCCTCACTCTTTCGAAGTTTTACCTGATTTCTGAGTTTTCCTTGTCCTGGCCCTGGGATATTTCTATTATAAAAGACTCAGAATAAACCTCTGTGAATGGCTCACATGGTAAAACATTAGACCTTTACAACAAAGTTATAGAAACTAGAATTGAATAGCCTAGATATACACATCCCAGAGGAATGTTTCTACAGATCTGTAGTAGTTACTGGAATTCTATTAAGTGTTCTGTGGCAATTTAAAAACATGGCCCCAGAATTCTTTGACATTTCTCCCACTAAGAGGTGGGGTCAATGGTCCCTCCCTTGAATCTGGGCAGGCTTCAACCAATAGAACATGGCAGAAGTGATGTTATGTGACTTCCAAGGCTGGTCCTCCTGGGATCCTCACCCTGGGGGAGCCAGCCACTATGTGACATGTCAAACTCCCCTAAGACTGTCACGCTAGCAAGGCCATGTCTAAGCACTTTGTTCAGTAGTCCCAGCTAATCTCCCAGCTGATATCCAGCATCAACTACAAGCCACACTAGAATATCTTGGACATCCAGCCCAGTCTAACCTTCAGATGATCCAGCACCATCCAAATGCTGGTTGCCATTGCTTGACGATTCCAAACAAGAACTGACCAGCAGAACCCTTCTCAAATTCCTTATCCACAAGATTGTAGGCAAAATATAAAGATTGTTTTAAGCTGCTAAAATTTAGGGGAATTGGTTATGCAGCAATAGTAACCTGAATGTGGTCTGCCAGTAGTAGAGGAAAAGGTAAGAGGCAACTTTGTTTATATACAGGTCACAAATTTGCAATGTAAGGTTAGTTATAGGTTTTAAAAAAATCTCATTCTGGCCAGGCGTGGTGGCTCAGGCCTATGATCCCAGCACTCTGGGAGGCCAAGGCATGTGGATCACCTGAGGTCAGGAGTTCGAGACCAGCCTGGCCAACATGGCGAAACCACATCTCTACTAAAAATACAAAAAATAGCCAGATGTGGTGGCATGCATCTGTAATTCCAGCTACTTGGGAGGCTGGGGCAGCAAAATCACTTGAACCTGGGAGGTGGAGGTTGCAGTGAGCTGAGATTGCACCACTGCACTCCAGCCTGGGCAACAGAGCGAGACTCCATCTCAAAAAAAAAAAAATCTCATTCTGTCCTCAATAACTATTATGTTCCTAAAAGTCATATAAACACTATTAGGATTCCATGTTGTCATTTTGTCGTGGTTAACTTTCAGTCAACAGGGTACAGTTCTTCATTATATTTACGTATTATTATTTACAACTGTTACATTTTCATTTTTGTTATCCATACATGTTTCATTTGTTAGATGGCAAGTATTTTCAAAGCACTTACTATATGCCACATACATATACACCAGATATACTTGTTTCAAGTGAACACATTTAATTTTCAAAATTAATACCTACCTCTCATGAGGTAGGTATTATTATTATTATTATCTCCATTTTATAGATGAGAAAACTGTGTCAGGGAGAGATCAACTGCCGAATTTGGAATTTGACTCCAGGCAATCTGGCTTAAATCCATAAACTTTAACTCTCTGCTGCCTCTCAATTTTGTGTTATTTTATTCCCAATTCAAACACACACACACACACACACACACACACACACACACACACCCCAAGGGAGTATACTGAAATGCAAAAAAAGTAATAAAATAGTAGTAAAAACATACGACTCAGGGTAATGTAAATGCAAATGATCACCAAAACTCAAGTATAAATATTTTACCTCTCTCTATATATAGATAGATATATGAGAGATAGGTAGATAGATAGATAGATAGATAGATAGATAGATAGATAGATAGACAGACAGACAGAGAGACAGACTGGGACAAGTAAATCCAATAGATTTTATAAGATTATTCATGCATTCACCCCTTGTCTCTAGTGCATTTTCTGTTATGAATCTTTCTCATATAGGGTCATGAAGTAACTCAAGCTTTCCCCTTATTTTTAAACACAGCATAACAACCTTCCTGATAAACCAACAGAGTTTTTCTGAAACAAGTGCAAAATAATACTTTCCAGTAAAAATTGGAATACAAATTGTGCTGCCAAGGCATAGGTGAGACCAAAGTACAGAGCTGTCATTTAAAGTGTCCTTCTCTACAGCAAAACAAGTCACGTCATTGCCAATAAGCCTCTAGAGCCAGCTAAATACTTACTGATGGATATTGTGTTGGCAAGAAAGCAGAACAAGCTACTGGAGAAGCTCCCTTTTCAAATGGTATCATGGGTTTCACGTCATAACAATGACATGAAGTGTGGAGGAGCAATTACTATCACGTGCAGTGATGGAAAACACGGACTGTGGAGTGGACTTCAGAGTGCCTAAATCCACATCCCAACTCTACCACTTGCTAGCAATATGAACTTGGGCAAGATACTTAACGTCTCTATGCCTCAGTTTCCCCATGTGTAAAATAGGGATAATAATAGTACCTACCTAGAGCTGCTAAGAGGACTAAGTAAATCGATACTGTAAAGCACTTAGGACAGTGCCTGGCACAAGGTACCGGCTATATAAATGTTTGTCAAGTAAGTAAACAAAACATGTGTGAAGATATTTCACCTTGCAGTTGGACAAAACCACTGCTATACAGTATACAAATTCAACATATATGTAATACAGATTGGGGAGAAATGTGATGACTTTTTCTTCTAATCAATAGTGAGAGCAGGCCAGGCACAGTGGTTCATGCCTGTAATCCCAGCACTTTGGGAGGCCAAGGCGGGTGGATCACTTGAGGTCAGGAGTTTGAGACAAGCCTGGTGAACATGGTGAAACCTGGTCTCCACTAAAATCCAAAAATTAGCCAGGCATGGTGGCACGCACCTGTAATCCCAGCTACTTGGGAGGCTGAAGCAAAAGAATTTCTTGAACCTGGGAGGCAGAGGTTGCAGTGAGCCGAGATTGTGCCACTGCACTCCAGCCTGGACAACGGAGCAAGATTCAGTCTCAAAAACAAACAAACAAACAAACAAAAACAGTGAGAGAACATACTACAGAAGAGATTTTGTTAATAATTATTTTATGAGCTATGATATAGATGGAAAGATGAGTTAGTTTGAGTATTGAAGGGGCACTAGCTACGCATGCAGCAAGAATAAGAGTAAGATAATTGTCCTTAAGTATCAATCCATATCTAGCTTCATTCACAAAGAACAGTAGGTGGCCAAAAATGTGCCTCCAAAACTTAATTAAATGTTGAAGGAAACAATGAAAACTGTAAACATAATCAACTCACAGCCACTGACTGTCTTTTGCATGAGCCGTATAAAAAGGCAATGGCGAATACAAGCATGCTGGTTCTCCACGCCAAGCTCTGTTGGCTATGGTATTGATGATCTATTGCCATAGTTATTCCAGGCAACAAAGGATCACAAAAACTCTGTGGCAAGCACAATTTACATATCGCTCATGCAGCTGGAATCATTTGGGGATTAGCTTGGTAGCACTGTTGAATTTGGCTGGGCTCATATACATTTAGGCGTTGGCTGGTGATCAGCTGGGGCTACTGAGGCAACTTGGCTCAGTTCCAAATGTCTCTCCTCCTCCAGCTGACTACCCTAGGCATGTTCTCATGGCAATGAAAGAGGTGCAAAAGAGCCAGCAGAAACATGCAAAACCTCAAGGCCTAGGCTCAAAACCAGCATATTGTCACTGCCGCCACATTCTATTGGCCAAACAAGCCAAAATTGGCCCATATTTGAGGTGTGGGAAAATAGACTCCACCTCTTTAGTGACCCAAACTACAAGCTTACATGGCAAAGGAAATGACTACAAAGAGGGACAAAATAGAAGGACATGTCCATGATTCAAAATGTTACACCCTCATCCCAAGATTTAATATCCCAGTGATGCATTTTTTAAAGTGTACCTAACATTAGTGGGCTGTATTTATATGGACTGCTCACAATGAGCTCTGTGGTTGTCAAACAGTTGAGAACACTCTGATTCTATAATCAATGCTAAGATATTGTAATTTTTAAGTTGAAACCATAATTCCTTAATAAGCCCAAACTGGAATGCAAATGTCTAACTGCCAAACTTATCTGGTACTTGATCATTTTTATCGTTTGTTGGAGGGAAAAAGACACAATGCTGTATTATTGGACATGTTAAAACAATAAACAAATGCTACAACAGAATAGGAAGAAGTACCTTCTCTAGCCATATACAACTAGAGTAGATTAGGAAATCACTTGCTTTTAACTCTCAAATTGAAATGAGAGTTCTTCAGGTTAGAGTCCAACAGAGTGCTGACAGTAACTTTCAGTGCGAAAATTCTCCTTAATTCTTGGGTTCGTGTTTAACCTGAATGTCAACAACTCTCACAGAGCGATTAATAGCTGTTGCCATTGCCAATAACTTACAATTGGGGATTAAGGGTTTTGAATGAAAGGAAATAAAGAAAAAGAAAAGAAACTGACAAGATGAAGAAACAGACCTACAGCTCAAGCTATCTATCATGAAACCGAATGACCAAATGCCTTTTCAGGAAGATAATTTGGGGAAAGTTTACAGACACTATCATTCCTATAGTTTACATGAAAAAAATTATGACTAATTTTTAAATGTTTTATTTTTTATTTTAAAATGTATAACTCTTTTAAATATATGCCTAAAATCGGTGTGCTACATGTATGCTCTCTGCCATTATATGCTCTGCAAAGAGTAAAACTTTAAAAATCAAGTAATTGTCAGTGTTATGGACTGAATGTTTTGTGCCCCCAAAATTTGTATGTTGAAGCCCCAGTTTACAGGTGGGGTGAGAAAGTGGTCATCTGCAACTTAGAAAGCATGCTCTCACCAGGAACCGACTGCCAACACCTTGATCTTGGACTTTCCAGCCTCCAGAACTGTGAGACATAAATGTCCACTGTTTAAGCCACACAGTCCATGACATTTTGTTATAGCAGCCTGAACTGATTAAAAAAAGTAATGAATGGCCAGCCGCCATGGCTCACGCCTGTAATCCCAGCACTTTGGGAGGCTGAGGTGGGTGGATCACTTGAGGTCAGGAGTTTGAGACCAGCCTGGCCAACATGGCGAAACTCCATCTCTACTAAAAACACAAAAATTAGCTGGACATCGTGGCCCATGCCTGTAATCCCAGGTATTTTGGAGGCTGAGGCAGGAAAATCACTTGAACCTGGGAGGTAGAGGTTACAGTGAGCCGAGATCTGCCACTGTGCTTCCCGCCTGGGCAACAGAGTGAGACTCTGTCGCAAAAATAAAATAAAAGTTATCAAGTGAATGAAAATGAGTTTGCAAAAAGAGCTTTGCCCTGAGGTCAGTGGTACACAGATTCCATAAAATCCAAGTACTTGCAGTCATATTTAAGAACAGTTGTCATTAGAGAGTGTTATCATTCTGTGTTGCAAAAGCAACATGCCAAGCCTTATTGACCAATAAGAGTAAGAGGAAATCAAATTATCTTGATGAAGAGAATTTCCTAAAAGTGAATTTGATCAAAATTTAACTATTACCCATTTCTTATTTGCAAGATGTTGGGTTATGAACTATAATGGTGTATTAGTTTTCTAGGGCTGTCATGACAAATAACCGAAATGACAGAAATTTATTATCTCACAGTTCTGGAGGCTTCAGGGATCTGAAATCAAGGTGTGAGCAAGGCAATCCTCCCTCCAAACGCTCTAGGGAATAATCTTTTCTTCCCTTTCAGTTTCTGGTGGCTCCAGGCATTCCTTGGCTTGTGGATGCATAGCTCCAATCTCTGCCTCTATCCGTGGACTTCCCCTCGGTATGCCTTCTCTTCTTCTGTGTCTTCTAAAGACCCGTTGTCATTGGATTTAGGACCCACTTGGATAATCCAAGATGAGTTCAAAATCCTTAATTTAATTACATCTTCAAGAACCCTTTTTCAAAATAAGGTCAAATTCACAGTTCTGTGAATTATCTTGTGGGCATAGGGCACCATTCAACCCACTGCAAATGGCAAAGATGGTAAAAACTCACAAGAGCATATAAGTAATGGAAGCTTGAAATTCTCTTATTACAGAGGTTAAAAATAAAACAATTATTAATATTTCTTGTATGTGTGTGTGTGTTGTGTGTATGTGTGTGTGTGTGTGTGTGTGTGTGTGTGTGTGTGCTACCTGAGAGCAGGGAAAACTGGAAGAAAGACCCTGTAAGATTACTCTTTATTGCATGAGAAGTTTGGGATTAAATGTTCTGTTTTACCTGATATTTGTCAAATAACTAATTTTGGTTATAACTGGGATTCCAAATAATTAGTATCTCCTTACAATTGGGCACATGTCATGCATAATTTCTATATACACATTTGTTTTTAACTTGAGGATAGGAAAAGGGAATAATCTCGGATGATAACAAGCGGGGAAAATCTCTGCCTGGCCATGAGCTACCCTTATAAATGATAACAAGGTGATCTCACTAATAGGTTGATTAGGCTGGTTTTCTTTCTGGGTGTCTATAGGATCATACTAAACCATAAATAGGGAGAGAAGCTTCTGCTTCCTAAGTCCCTTGCCTCCCTAGCTTTGAGAGTGAGCCAATCAACTCTCTGTTCTTCCTTGTTATTTAGAGTCATCAAGAAATACATCTGTTTTTACTATCTACTAGGGGTCTTTTATTTTCATCTCTGCTCAGTCTTTTGAAGCTATAATTGACTATTGAAAAGCACCATTCCGAATACAAGATCTTAGATTTAGGGGTCTTGGAGTGCAGCCACCCCTCCTTGAAATTCAATAAAAAGTTCGGCGTGTTTCTGAAACTTTTCTGTGGAGCAGTCTATTTTAAAATCACATTCCCGAAGAAGTCCATTACCTCAAAAAGGTAAGAATATCCACAAGTTGGCTCAATGCCATGAACCATGTTTGCTGTTGACCTTTGGAAGATTCTTTAGTTTCCATGTGCAATAGTATTATTCACACAGGAATAACAACAATTATATGTGTGTGTGTGTGTGTGTGTGTGTGTGTACAATAACAGAAAAACCTTTGATTCACATGTGAGACAAATGTCCCAGGGAAGGGCACACTGGATAGACATCAACATAGTTGGCAGATCTTCCAAATGAGCCCACGTGAACCGTACCTTATGGTTGCTGTTTAGTAGGGGATTCAAACACTTGTCTCTGTTCATTTCAACTCACATCTCAGAAAGCAACTCCTTGGATTTACCAGACCTCCTCCCTCCAGGGAGAACTGACTACTCACTCAATTCTGTCCCCACTGGTTCCTGTATAGCTACTTACAACCTCTATAGTTTACTTGATTACATGTCTTTCTCTCCCATCCAGATTTTGTAACCCACCAAGTCCTATTCATTTTTGTATATAAGCACTTTAGCACATAGATTTTTGAAACTCTTTGTCAAGAGGATGTATGAATGGATGGATGAATGGCAAACATTAGTTGTGTATAGACAAGATGTCTCATTAAAGGTGCTCAGAATCGTCCCATCCAAGAGGCTGAAAACCACCAATCACCCCTGTGATTGGCACTGCCTTCCACACTGAGCCTACAGCGTAAGCAAAGAAATAAGCTAGACACGGTAAAGAGTCCATGTATATTCCCAGAGCACCCTGTCCTTAAAAAATTTCCAGAATGAGGCTCAGGTGCCCCGTGGATGGAGAGTGCCACCATTTCAAAAGTATATCTTCACTTCTGATGTAATATTTTTTCTCAAGAAACACAGGCATGCCATTCTTGGGCAATGGAATAACCCTGTGCTACAGTGGAAACAGCAAGATGAGATTCAGCTTTTTGTTCCAGGTGGGGCATGGTGCTAAGCCTGGCTACTCTGGGACAGTCAACAGTTTTGTAAGATAGCCGCCTGGTATGCACTATCATTTGCACATTTATTATACTGGAATAGTCCTGGTACTTATGGAAAAGGACGAGTAACGCAAAATGGAGTGTAAACTCCCAAATCTAAAATCTCCACCTTTTCAGTTGCTTAGACCAAAAAGTCTTAGAGTGATCCCTGATTTCTCTCTTTATCTAATATCCAGCATCCAACCCATCAGCAAATACTGTTCAATTTTCAAATTATATCCAGAATTTAACTACTTCCTGCCACCTTCACCATTACTGCCCTAGAGGAAGGTACCATCATCTATCTCTCAGCTGCGTTGAAATCTCCTCTTAAACATCTCCTGTCTTCAGTCTGTGTTCTCCCACAATCTATTCTCAACAGAGAAGCAAAAATTATCACTTTAGGTCAGATAACATCCTGCCTCCGCTCAAAATGAGATTTTCCCACCTCACGCAGAGGAAATGCCAAGTTCTCACAATGGTATTCAAGGCTCTATATGGTCCAGCCCACTTTGACTCTTTGACCTTACCTCCTGCAATTTCCACCTCTTTCAATCCACTCCAGCATCAGTGTCCTTCTTGCTATTCCTACATGCTCACATATTTTTTCTAAGTGAAATTTTATTTTCCAACAGAACAAGAGACAAACAGCTGACTTTGGCTTTCTTTCTGAGAGCCCCCAATCACATACATTCAGAAGAGTCATAGCCCCAGGCCACTCTCCGGGCAAGTGCTTTCTGCTGTGCTCCAAAGCTTATGGGGTTAGAGGTCAAATATCAAGTCCAGCCTGCCACAGATTTGTGGCTGGGTCTCTGCGCACAGTTTCCTTAAGAAGCTGTGCACCTGACTTGGTTGGGCAAATGAGCATGTGAGCACATGAATAAGGAAAACAGTAATCTCAAATGCATCCGAATAAACCTCAGGGCTGAATTTTAACAACCTTCCTGCTTGCTAGGTGTATTTTCTAGCTTATACTTCCCCAACAAGAGTTTGTTGACTGCCTACTACCTAAGCTGCACACTAGAATCAGATGGTGCTTGAAAAATGACTGTGGGACTGGAAAAGACAGAATCCAAGGGAAGATCGAGTCATCATAAAAACGTTTTATTAATCAAATATATTTACATTTCTTGGTCAATGATCTCTAAATGTGTACCTGTTTTTTCATTTAAATACAACTTAATCCTGGTAGATTCCATCACAAGAATACAGCAGCATGCATGATCTCATTGGTCCTTTGCAGTTATTTTTTCATTAAATAATGTGAGTTTAATAAAGTTAGAAAACTTTATTAAGTTTTACCCATTCTTACTGTGGGATAATCATTCTTGTCATATCAGTGGCCCTTACAGCAAACTACACACTCCTTATCACCCACAGTGAGATTCTTCTCATTCTCTTAACTGACTTGTTTAAGCTTTCCAAACTCCAAAAGGCAGATGTGAAACTGGGCATTCACTCTAACCATTTTATTTGGTGGAAAGTTGGAGAGAGACATATTTCTATTCCAGTAGGGAACATTTACAGTCCTAAACTTAAAATAACCACATTAAAGAAATGTATACAATGTCCTAATAGCATCTAAATATCACACTTCTATTAGCATCCTACAGAACTGGATGTCTTCCCCTTGATATAAAAAAAATAATTAACTTGGGACATTAAGTTTCCAAAATAATTTTGCTGATCTGAGCCAAAGTTTTCCTTAATTCGTTAGTCATCACCTTAGCCTCTGCATTTAAACTGGGGGAAGGCTTTTTCATGAAATACTTAGAACTGCTAAGGAGAATAATTTTGCCTCTGGCTTTTGCTATACATTTTCTCCAGGTTGGGAGAAACTAGAGAAGTGTACTAGATTGTTCAGAGAAAGTAAGTCTACAAGTGCTGATTTTGTTAACATTAGACAATGCCCACATGTGGATCAACAGGGACTGTGGGTTGGCAGACTTTTGCTCTAAGATGGCTGCTTTCCCCAACATGTGGCAATCACCTGATACGGCATAATTGCTTTTAAACATGAAAGAGTTGTGCTGTAGAAATAGATCTCCAGCTTGTTAAAGTTTATATCTAGACTGTTTTCAGTTGGGAGTGATGTACCAAAGTGGGAGAAAGGCACCAACAAGGATGTTTTTCAAGGCAGGAAACAGGAGATATCAACCAGGACCCACCATGTTTGACAAGGAAAATATATTTATCATTTCAACAAACAAATGTGCCCATTAGAATCAGAATCTGGAGGAAAGTAGTATACATTGTGGTTTCAATAAACCACGGTAAAGAGTTGTAATAAAGCCAGTTCATGATGAAATTTTGTACACTTACTTTTTGAACAAACCTCACAGTTTCATCTAGATTGTGCCCCAGAACTTGAACTGGTTCCTTGAGTACCTCATGCATGTAACTACACTATCTGTGCCTTTGACAAACCAAACCTATAATGACTCCAGTCTTTCTGCTGCACTGCTTTAAACCAACAGGCTAACAACATAAGCCCATATTCTTAATGCACACAACTGCGTAATGACTCCATTGATGCCTGGAAAGTAACTCACTTAGCATTCAGTCAGAACAAAGAAAGAAAACGAGATTTCACTTAGCCCCGTTGAGGATGTGTTTTTACCTGTCGATAGTGTTCGAACCTTATTCTCTTCTGGCCACCCTCCAACACAACCTGCCCTTCCTGCCTGTTGCCATTTGTCCTAATGTATATCACACTTGAGAGGGTTATTTTTTTTTCTTTCAATGTGGAATTTTAGATTCCTGCTTAGAAAAACAAAAACAATGCCTGACAGCAATGGAATAGTTGAAATTCTGTCCAGCAATGAGATTTGGGCATGACAAAATCAGCATCTATAATGATACGTGTTTTAATAGCACTTCAGTATTGTTTCCACAAACACATTTTATAAATAAATTATACTTGTGTTTATTAATTTTTAAAAGCTCTTGTTCTCAAAAAAAAGCTTTACATAGAGAAGTATTTTCCTCTTTTAACAATTGCCTGTTTATGGCTTTGAAGGAGGAAAAAAACTAAAGAAGCTACAAAGCTAAAACTGTTAAGCATATATGAGAAGGGGATAATGATAGTATCTTTGTTATAGAGTTACTAAGGATTAAAAGAGATAATCCACATTAAGCATTAGAACAAGGCATGGCAGTAATTGCACAATATAATTTATAATCATCATCATTCCCATCAACCTCTGTGGGAATAAGCGCAGAATGTCCTTATTTTTCCATTAAAATTTCCTCCATAGGTTTTCTAAGTGCAGTGGTGGCATATTCAGTCTATAGGAAAGACAATTCAAATGTTTCATGACTTTGACCTGTTTCCGACATATTTTTTGTTATCGTTTTACATATTGATCTGATGAAACATCTGGCATTTATTATTTAAAGGAAGAAACTAAATAAATATTTTAAATGTCAAACACAGCCATGGACTACAGGTTAAACATCTGTGGCAAGGTTTCCACAGATAAAGCAATATTCTTTTCAGTTTGGCTCTGTCTGGCCAGTTGTACCTGACAGCTGATCTCTGGGTTTGTAGAATGCAATCTTGGGGAGGGCTGAAATAGGTGCCTTCCTAGTAACCTGCGTTGTTGTTTTGTGGTAGTTCAGATAAATGCTAGTGAGGGGAGAACTTTAAACTTTGGGTTGATGATCACCCAGGTATCTAGTTAGCGCATAAAATTTTCCAAAGCTCTTCACCTTAAAAGGATCCTGACAAGTGAATAACATTTCTGGAACTTACAGTTATCATTTAAAGAAGCATATATCTCAGTATCTTTTAAAATCTGATGTCAGGATCTAGTAAAGACTCTGGGAAATAAAAATTAAATTCATGTCAAGGAAGAAACAGATAAACATTTCAGGAAATGTGATTATTTATTTCTTATTCCTGGCCTGGTTTCTGTAGGCATGCATAGCCTTAATATGAGAGCAATGAATTTGCTCCTAAACGCAGGCTGCTGGGTACACTCAGAGGGACCCGTTAACCCTGCTGTTCTGGAAATGCCCTCTTTGTGAGACGTGCCATGATTCCCATTTTAAACAACTCAATAGATACTTGCATTTTAAATTTTAAATTAGTGCAAAACAAATAATGTTACTTCTGCACACCGGGGAAAGGGACTACACTGCCAACGCTTACCACTAATGAGGCAACTCTGACCCATTCAGGGTCGCAGATCTCCTTCCCTGAGCAACTCCAGCCTTGTACCCAACTTGTTGCCTTATCATTGAAAGGGGGGGTCATAAAAACCCAAGACCCAGGCCCTAATCCTGGTCTCTTGATACTGCTGCTAACAACCAATAGCCCAGTGAGTTAAGCAAAGACAACCAAGTTGTGCATCTTAACTTGTTTTGCAATATGCTATTTTCTGGTCCCCAGATGAATTTACCTCTCTCAGATTTTCCCAGTTGGAACAAAATCTTTAACTTCACTGAGACAATGGTCTAAAGGACTAAAATACCCATTTTACTAGCAGCCACTTAGGAGGAGAATATTATTTTATCATGAATAGTCACTTAAATAATGCTGCTTATGGTGAACACATAAAATGGGGTCTTTATATAAAATAAGAGTTCAATAAATACTTGTTGAATAAATGAATGAAACAATGAACATCTGATTTAAAAATTGATGAACTGCTAAATGTTCGTATAAATCTTTGCATACCTGAACCAGAATGAAATTTTTACAAGGTAAAATTCAATTATGAGCCCTATGAGGACACAATGATGTCATGATCTTTTCCTGTTATACATAGTTTCCCAAGAAGGCTACATTTAAATGAACACAATAAAAAATGTACCAACTGAATCAAATTATATAAATTATATGAGATTAAGTTTCATAGCTTTAATTAGCCATACAATAACTTTTTAGAAGTATATCTCCTCCAAAAAAGTCATTTTTAAAGATAAAAACAAAACAAAAATGAAAAGCTTATCTATGAAAAATGTATGCACATATCCTGGGGAAAATACAACTTTGCCTTGGGATATTGAGATTTTTCTAGAAATGCAAAGGTCTGCAGCTCCATCTCTCATCCTATTGCACCCTGACTTTTCCCTGGCATTACCTTTCGTCTTAGACTCTGCTAAATAAAGGAACATACGCTAGGATGAAAAGTCTTATTCTGAAAAAATTATTATTATTTTATCCCCATTGAAAGAAAAGAGTAAAGAAGGATTGCTTCAAGAGCCAAACCCTGATTCAGCTCTGACAGACTACCTTTCTTATCTTAAATATCCTTTCCCCAGTGATTCAGAGCATTTACTCTCTTTATAGCACTACTAATTAGGAAGTTACTAATAAGAAAAACTGGCAAATTTTACGACTGCAATTTCTACCACCCATTTGCTGTATCCCAGGGGACTGTGTGTCCACTTTAAATAGAAAAGGCTAAAGCAATTGTTAGGAAGTTTCAAAGAGAAACCTCCTCCCCAGCATACACTTAGATTAAAATCATTTTGGACCCAAATGATCTCAGTACCTGCTTCAGGGTTCCAAGTCAATGTCCAGGTGTAAGCCTGTCTTTGTGGACAGACAGCCTAGGCTGGTCTGCTAGAAGCTGGCAATAGGACAGCAATGTAAAAATTGTGAATGTGCCCACATGCCTGGAAAATTAGAGTATCCAATTTTCTATTTGTTAGGCAGAAAATATTTTCTGACCAAATTTGGTGGAATATATATGCCAACAATTTCTCTTAATAATAGAGGATAAAAATAGATTTAAATGGAGCAGAACACTAGAAGAGTGTTTTGGAGTACAGGTTACTGCCACATTCAGTGGAAGTTTGGGATCAGCTAGCAAAGCTATCAGGGTGGCAGAGAGATCATTGTTAAGGAAAACCTTCCCATGCCAGACATCAAGGGAGGAGGGAAGCCTTCTCATTCTCCCACGTTCTGAAGCTCATGAGAACTGAGTAGTACATGGTGTTCCACTGTGAAATGTGGCAAATGGCTGAGCTGATTTTTCAAATGAAAAAAAAAATTAGAAATATACAGGTGATTCCCTACTGTTGTTTTCAAAAAGTTTGAGTAAATCTTTCAACCTTAACAAATGGAACAGCTTACTCATCTGTGAAGCTGATCTGTCCTTTTCTTGCAGGTTTCAGGTTAATATGGCTACATTTCATTCACACTTCCCAGTGACGCACATTGTTTGCAAACGTATCCATCACTTAGGGCAGGGAATTGTAAAATCAGAACACATTCCTAACTACCAGAGAGAATAGTTTCAATCAGCTACTGTTATACAGCAGCATAGATTCCTTACTACTTTCATGACCAGGAGATAGTAAGAACTGGAGGAAAATTCTAGGTGAATGGCTTGAGATTGGGCAACAGAGGTCAGAATTAGCCATTTTTTTCTTTATGGCCCAGGGTTCTAGAGATTATTATTATGTGTATATATGTATATATACGTATATAAATAATAACTGTAAACACTTATTAATTAGACCCTGTTGAATTCCATTTAAAATGTGGTAGCTGGGGTGCTAAGGAATAGAGAAGCAAAATTAAAAGGGAAGAGAGATTTTCTCAGAGCCAGATACATAATAATAGATTAAACTAAACCACACAGTATCCTTGCCTTTTAGTAGTGAGTTCAGTTATGTGTCTCATTTTTATTGAGGGAAGACAATGGGAAAGCTCAAAGACAAGGAGTTCCTTAAAAGACTGTGTCCTGATATCAGGTGATGATGAAATTTACAAACAGAAACTGTTGTTATTAAACACTCTAGATAAAACTGAACAGTTTTTATCTAAACTGGCCATCAAGGTAGACAGTCGCTGAGATGCTGCTGGGAGCTATCAGCTCTTCCCAAAACTAGATCATTTCATTAAATGTGACCCAATTTCATTGAGCACCACTGTTGAACCACCAACAGGCTAGCTGAAATTAAACTCACATTCTCAGCACTCAAAGAATAGTGAAATTGTGTGGAGAATTCCTTCTCTTTCAATTAATCAATCTCAAGAAAAGACAAAGTAATCCTATTGATAAAATTAGCTGCTCCTGGGCTATCTGTTCTAACCACAACCTTCTCCATGGTTCCTCCTCTCAAAGTCTCCTTGTCTGGGCTATTTTCACTTGTGTTTGTAGACATGCTCCTCCCACACTCAGGAGAGAGGAAAGGGGGCTCCTGGGGTTCATCTGCAAGAGGAAGAAAGATAAAATTGCTAAAAGGGCCTTGACGATGGGGTTTGGCACTATTTTTGTTCACATGTTCAACACTTTCACAGAAACAACTAAAAAAATTACAATGAAGCCTAACACCTTATCTCCAGCCTTAAACCAAAGAACTTTATTTTCATTTTCTTTTTTTTTTTTTAAGCTAAAATGTTATTGAAAACAAATGTTTCTCAACGAGCTGCTTCGGAACAATATAACGTATTATGAAGCTCCGTACATTTTACATGTTCTTGCAATCTTGACAGGACAAAATAAGTCCTCAACTTTTTCCTTTGAATTTTGAAACTGAAACCATTTTCTTCCTTTTCCAGACTCTCCTGCATCAAGACCGGGCTGTTTGGAAGAAACCGTGTAAAAAGTGCATGAGCAGTGAGCATGGAAGACATGGAAATGGGATGCGTCTGGGGCTGAAGGTAGCATTGACTCAGCGAAGGCTCTCACTCTGCTTCCGTGGTCCCCGCTGGGGCAGCCAGTGTCAGGCCAGGCCAAACTGACACAGCAGAATGAAGGGCTGTACAGTGGGTCCCCATGAAACATGTTACTAAAAAAAGGTGCAACGAGAACCAAGTCCCTGTGCATTCTTAGTCACAACGGTGGGCAGAAGAACCCATACGATTCCTCCCTTTGGTATTAAATAACAGTTTTTAAAAAGCTTTTTAGAAACAAAGCAAAATACATGGTGGGACTGGAAATGTTAACCATCCCAGGTTAGTTGTCCACTGAAATAAGTCTCATCCCTAAGTCATAAATAAATAATCTCTTTCCTGGTCTGACTTCCATGCCAGGATCAATATCTCTTAACATCTTACTTATTTTATTACTGCTTTTGGTTTTCTGGGACTGATTGAAAGTTGCTCAGAGGAAATCTTTGGTTTTGCTTAAGTGTCCGTGACATTTAATCATGACTTTCCTTGCAGTTTAATTCCAACCAGTCAATCCGTTAATCCACTTCGATTGATTCTGGGCTCTCAGTTATTGGCTTGCACTCATTGGGCATCCGCTGGTGTCGGCTCAGCTGGGTGGCCTGCGTGAAGCTCCTCTCACACCTCTCGCACCTGGTGGAGGCAAGAGAGAAAATTGAGACCAGGGAGCGGGGCCTGCAGGGTGATGGGCTTCCTCTCATCCTGCCTAATCAGAACAGACACTCCAAAGTGGCTTCAGATTTTACCAGCTCAAGAGGTTTAATTGGTGGCTCCTTCCAAGGCCTGGATGCCTGTGATGGGACAAAGCCCGTCTGATGCAGAACAGAGGGATCTGTCAATAGGCAGGGGGAAGGTGATTTCTCCAGAGAGCCCTGTCCTGCTGCAGCTCTGATCACTGTCAGTTCAAATAGATAAAGAACAAAAAGAGATTTTTAGGAGTGAGCCATCAAAGAAGCAGCTTGCCTGCAGTTTTCTACTCTGTAACCCCAAAGAGAAATTGATGACAAATAGAATTTCACCTACTGCTAATTTACAATTGGGAATTCTACTCCCTTCAGAACAGCAGCCAAAGAGTGTACATCTTGGAATTTGGAAACTAGAGGAAGCAATATGTTAGACTGCAGTGACTGTGAGGGGCAGTAGGCGTGGTCGCTGCTTTTTTGCAAAAGCTGGTTACAGTGTCACAGCCTAACCAAACTTAGGGTTAAAATAATTTATAAAACTAGAATTTGCAGTGGCACAGTGGAAAGGATGTACCTATGGGCTAGAATTAAGGGCAGTGTGTCTGATGAGGAGAAAATGTCACACTTCAAGATTTATCTCTTCTTTTTAACTTAAATGAGAAACAACAACAAAAAAAGACTGTAATCTAGAGACTTTGAGTTCCTCCCTATCTCCCATGTCCATATCTTCCAAACAACCTTCACTTACTAGCTTGGTGGCTACTCAATCTACAAAAAGCAGAACACACATTCAAAATCTAGTGGGAGCCTGTTGTTTTTCTGTGGATGTTGTCCCTGGCTGATTGTGATTGTGTGTGTAAATACACACACCCACAGATGAACTGTGGCAGCTGGCTGGGCACAGACAGCGACTTCTCCATCACCACCTTACTTACCTGGGCTGCCTAGAGCACTGGCCCAGCATCTAATACAGCTCAGAGGCCACCTCAGCCACCCCTAATGCCCTTTCCTCAAACCTTTGAAGAAAAAGATATTCAAGAAGAGCTACAGACAATTGTCCCACTTTTAAATAATGCAACCTCCAGTTTGTGAGCCCCTGCACTATGAAAGCTGTGGCAAAAGCCACCATGACATAGTCTCCCTGCCTTATCACAGACAAGAAAGCCACAAGCCCTGTTATCTGTTAGGCATTCCACTCTTTCTCCTCTTCAGTAAATTATATTAAGTGCCCTGTCTTGGAAATAAGTACCTATAAAATAGAACACATCAATCCACTCTGGGAATTCTTGCATGTTTTTGAACATTGGGAGGCAGGAGCTTCACTTCGCATTTGGATTTTTCAGGGCTCCTGCACCAGCGGAGTGTGTCAGGGGGAAGAACTTGTGTTTCTTTGATTGTCTTTCGGGGAATATTTTTAGCAGCCTGTTCCACTGTTAAAAACTGCACTGTGATCTTGACAAATGTATAATGTCAGCTTTAATGTATCAGACCTATCAGCTCAATGAAAATAACTCAGAAGTATTGATCACCTAATGATTTTTGGTGTATTCATTAACGTCCGTGGGCAGCTCATCCCCTCTCCAGAGCTCCTGGAGTGCTGATGACACGTTAGCGAACTGCTGATTGTTTATTAGAAAACTGATTAGTTACTGGATTAGTGTGTCAAAATATACTACCTTTCACTGCTTGACAAACTTTCAAATTATTATATTCCTTTTTTTTATCTTGAAGCTCTAGAATCAATTTCAAAGAGAGTAGAATAGCTTGAACAATTGTGAGAAATGAAAATGTGCCTGGGTCATGGTTTTGCATTTTTAATCTTGTGTATTAGAATATGAGGAATACACGAGTTGGCAGTTTAGTGCTTCATATAAGGCAAAAGTGTATGTCTATATGTAATATTTTAACATCCAGATTGGATGGAGACACTAAGAGAAAAACACATTTTTCTCAAGTGTTTGCCTAAATGCACTGCAGATATTTACACAAATGGAACAATTTGTTGTAATAGTCAGAAAATTTGTCCAATATATAGGGTGCATAAGAAGAGTATTCCAGAAAAATCATTTCTAGAGCCATCTGCACACCAAGTGTGAGTAAAAATACAAGCAAACGTGTAGAAATTACCTTAATTTAGAATCTTTTCTCAGGGAGTTCTCCTTGAGGAAAGAAGGCTACCAGAAATAATATCTATGTTGTCTGGGAATGACAAGAATGCAATTTATATATTTGAGGAAGTAAGAGCTAGATATAAAAATATTTTTTAAAAATAAGAGAAGGACTTCAGTTTTATGTTCATTATCTTACATTTTAGAGAAATCTCTTCCACAAAATATTTTCATACTTTAATGAAACTCATCTCAACAGAACTGACTCAACAGAAGTCAGAGCCAGACTTCACTTGGTTGGCATCTAAACTAACCCTGAATTACAGTCCCTGATGACTGACTGGCAGGGGCATCTCTAAGCCTGGACTTCGTGCAGTGTAACAGAGTAAGAAGGAAGAAAAGATGCAGGTAATGCGTCAGGAGGGAAAAGCGCCCTTGCACTCAGGGGCTTCGTTGTGCCTTCCCTTAGCATAGGTGCTGATGCCACAGCCTTGACGGGAGTATCTCAGGAACAATGAAGTGGAAAGTCTACTAAGTATTTCAGCTAAAAGAAACTCCTCATTGTGAGGAGTTTCTATTATACCATTGTGAGCATCTTAATTAGACTTAATTACCTCTAAAGTTTGAGATCATTCTTTACTTACTATGATGGTTGACTGGATTATATGTACGAGGAGCTTAACAAAGCGATGTCAAGTTCTGTTACCACAGAAAACCTGCAACAAGCTTTCTGTGCCTCTATGATATGCCACAAAATACTTTTTGAATTGAACCAAATTGCACAGGGCTTTGTATGTATGATGTGTTCAATGCATATTTACTGATTTGCTTCTTGGATTTGCTTTAATTTTGCCTAGATCTTGTTCAAATATTAGATGTCCTTTGGAATTTCCTTTGATTTTTTTCATCATGAGCCAAACTCCATTTTCTTGATGAAAGAACATAGCGATGAATGATTCTCCTTGCTTCTAACAATAATGAAGAACCCCTCCTAAGGAAAATTCTGGCCTGTTCTCAGTTTCCCAGGTTCAGAAAGCCAGGCTTCGGGCAGCTCACACAGATCCTCTCAGGCACAGCAGGGCAGCCCACTGAAATATCAAGACACTGTTTAGTAAGAAGGAGGAAGGAGTCCTTGCTGCATAGAATAATTTTTAGACTGCCAACTAACTTCTTTATTTCCTTCCTTCCTGCCTGCCTGCAATAAAATGCTTGGCCATTGCTGTTAAATGATATCTTGCGTTTGCTCCTTGTTTTCCATGACTTCCAGTATCATAGAGCAAATTGAAAGCCAAGACCTTCAATGTGATCCTCCAATTTTTATTTTTCGTACATGCTCCTTTATCTTAGAAATCCTAAGTCTACGGCCTAGGGTAGCTGCTGACAGGCCCATCATCTACCTAGAACATGGGAGATGGATTCTTTCAGTGGAATTTCAGTCAATCAGATATGAGGCAAAGCCTGGATTGAAACTCTGACCTCTTCATGCCAAATCTTCTGCAGCCTTCTTTGGATGGCAGTAATCTTGATATGCCTTCAAAAACCACTTCTCAGCAGAAGATTTTAGAAGTTGTAAAGGGCTTTCTCTGACATGGCAAGCTTAATCTCAGCTCAACCCTGAGAATTCTGTAAAGGCCTCCTGAGCCCTGGATGGGTGGGACAATTTGGGGACTGAGCCATCTGGGGCATCTATTTGGAAACTCCCCAAGACATACAGTTGAGGGTTATGTGCCTTTACAAGATTCTTCTCCTTCTTTGTAACATTGTGTAAGCCAATACCCATTAGTTGAAGTAGTAAAATTAACTGTTGTAGAGAAACCCATTTTATTGACTAATCTGCAAAAAAAAGGTTTTTAAAAATGTTTGTTTTATAAGCTTGTAAAAGGATATCTTCATAATATTTACAAATGTCCATGGGATGAATATCCATGAGCTATGGTTGGAAGATTCCCAAAATTCCCTTGGGATAGATCAATTCTGAAAGACCTGGTTGTATACACTAAAGGATTTAACTTTCCATTTCCTAGAAGATGTTTAAATCTTGCACTTTCAAAATAAGCATACACTCAGCTCTCCCCTGGGAATATCTATTTGATAAATTAAAATAAAAAAAAACAACTACAGCATGTGGCTGTCTAGATAAAAGTAGGAACAGAAAGAACTAAAACATATACACAGAATTTAAGCCAACAACCTTAGTTGTTTCCTTTTTTTTCCAGATGAAAGTAGGTATGATCAAAACATATATTTTTGGAAAAGGAAAAATACAATCAGCAAAGCCCTTCAAATATTAATCTGATGAATTAAAATTAAGTTAAAATGGCAACTCTATTGGAAACATGACAAAAACAGATGTTAAAGGAAAAAAATTGAGTGAAGTCAACAAGGTTACACATAAGTAACACCTTAACATTAATAGAAATCTATTTCCCATTTTGACCCTGAAACCGCTTCAATTAATTACTAAAATCTATTTACACAGCAACAAGATAAAAATCAATCTGACTCCTGGCACTGTATTGGTCTGGCTGCCCTTTCTAATATAAGGGGCCAGAAGGATCCTGAACCCTCCTGTATCTCTGCTTTTGAAAAGCTCTCTTGCTCAAAGGCACAGGCAACGTGCCACTCATTGTCAACACCCTCCTCCAGAGCAGTGAAGCCAGAACCTAGGAACCCTACGGGGCTCAGGCCTGAGGGCAATGACAAAGTCCACTAGGCAGGATACAAGCACTGGTGATAGGGAACTCCTAGGACTGTGGTAGCCCATGCAGCTCCTTAGGGTGGATTAGAAAAAGATGCCCTCTTTGGGCTATTGCAGCCTCAGGCGGCACAGCATGGGTGGCATAGTACAGACTTGATTTTAGGCCCCATCCTGCCCACTTAGCCAGATGC
This sequence comes from Homo sapiens, assembly GCF_000001405.40. Classification (NCBI taxonomy): domain Eukaryota; kingdom Metazoa; phylum Chordata; class Mammalia; order Primates; family Hominidae; genus Homo; species Homo sapiens. The sequence goes on along the minus strand of NC_000005.10, from coordinate 123,182,039 downwards.
TCTTATGCAGTGAACAAGCTGCACCTATGTACCGCAACAAAAATTATCACTATTTTGATTATTAACACCATAAATTAAACTATGTTGGAGAATAGTTAAGAATGCTGAATAAAGTAACTAATTATTGAGGAGAAGAGGGACAATGACTATCTTTTATGAACTTCTCCCTTCACTGGCAGACAGAGAGGAAGGCAGGACCCAGACCAGAGAACTCTGTTTCCCAAGCTGAGCCTGGCCTCAGGCTGAGCACAAAGTGCGCCACGACAGCAGGTCTGGATGGAAAATCCTGGGTAATGAGGCTCTGGGAAGACTTCTTGGCTGAGACTGAGCAGGGGGATTAGTCTCCTACTGCCTGAATCATTTCCTCTCTTGCTTGATCATGTCCTACAGAAGGTACATAAGGCGGTAACTCTATGCTCTTTTAATTCTCCTTCTCAAACAGAAAAAGCCAGTAGAGCAAATGAGTGAAGAGAGCTGTAAGAGGGTTGAACTGAAAAGAGTTCATCACACAGACCATAAAAACTGCTCTGAGAACACCAATCAACCATGCATGCTGACTCACACTCTCAGGCCTTTCCACCTGCTGTTTGGACGGCCAGAAATACCTTCCCCCATGCCCCGTATGTCTAGAAATCTCCTACTTATCCTTCAAAACATATCTGAAACATCATTTCCACCAGATAGCATTGATTACTCCATTTCTGTGCTACTGTGAAACATCATACATACATGTCTTACTGTTGTACTTTTCACCCTATAATACGTTTACTAATTGGGCTTCCCCTTAGACTATGAGGTTTTCAAAGATGGAGAAAAGGAGGAACAGCTAAATGTCATTCACCTTTGTATCTCTTGTACCTACCAGGGTGCCTAGCAAAAAAGTACATACTTGGTAAATACCAGCTGAATGAATGAACACATACATAACTGAATGAGTAAATGAATGAATGAGTGAATAAGTGAATGAATAGACCATCTTGCACGGATTCAGATGTCCACCATTTGGATAAGTGTGCCATGTGTAGAAACACACTCTCTTGCTCAGATGCCATTATCTTGCCAAAGCCCTTAGAATTCAATTCCATCTGTTTCCACATTCCCTGAATCCTCAAAAAGTCAATGTACTCTGGGTTTGGTTTTGTTTTTCTTTTTTCACCAACATGGTAATTCTAAAGTCCAAAGTATACACTGAAAAGTCACAAGTTGGCTGCTATAATAGGTTCAAACTCTTTAACACATAGGAAAGAGGAGGATATATTTCATCAGAATCCTGAAGGGTTCAAGTTCTCCAAAAGGGGATTATTCGGATGTTCTAAACTTGTGGTCACCTTTCTGATGATCGTAAGGCTTGCTGATGGCCACAGGAGCTCTGTGTCGCTCCTAGATAAAATTCCAGAAGCACAGATCATCAGGGACTGAAAAAAATATTAAAATTATTTACTCCTACCTCTTTATTTTAATGATGAGAAAACAGACCCAGAAGATTTGTCTCACGACCAAGGTTGGCAACTTGAGCTAGGACCAGTGCATAGGTTTCCTGACTTCATTTTTCAAATGTCAGCCACTAAACAAGGAGAGATTCGTTTGCAGCCTGGACACTGGCCTTCCAAGTAGCCTGTGCCAGCTGGCTAAGCCAGGCAGCACTGTGCTGATGCATCAGCTGGCTCTTGGGAAAGGCTAAGAGAAAGAGAGGGTGGAGGGCTAGCCACTACTTACTTGAAGGGCTTTTCTCCAGTGTGGGTTCGGATGTGGTTGTTGAGGGTGGTGGCCCCGGCAAAGGCACGACCACAGTAGCCGCACTTGAAAGGCCGGTCACTAGAGTGAGTGACCACGTGGTTCCTCAGTTCTGAAGGCTGGGAAAAGGACTGGGAGCAGTGGCCGCATTGGTAGGGTCTGAAACAAATAAACAGACTGTCTGGTCATTGTTTTCTGCGTTGGTCAGTGGAAGTCAGAATCATATGACAAGGGGCCAAAACTTATTGGTGACATTTTCTCAGTTTCTAAGACAGGGCATAGAGCTTTGGCCACTGGATTCCCACTACTTTACTTGTTGCCACAGGAACAAAATTCACAGAGCTGCTGAGACACATCAATTCCCGAATGAATACCCCTTTCCAGTACTAATCATACCATTTTGGAAACCCCTACTTTCTTATTTTTATCTTTCCCCAGGCAAATGTTAGGGTACTTTTGTAAGTAGGGAAAGTATAGACTTCATTAAGCAGACTGTTACAAGAGAAAATATATAATTGTCTCTTGTGCTTCCATAGCACTTTCATCTTTTTAAAGTGCTTTAAAATCAGTTATCCAGTTTAATCTTTATGATAATCCCCTGGGACAGAGAAGGCAGTTGCTATTATCTCTGTTAGTTCAGAAAACTGAGGATAAACTGTCCTCCCGGGACACAAGCTCTTGATACTAAGGCCGTTCTAGGATGTTTGGACCTCATCCTAAGTACCAGGTAAACACACAGGCAAGTCAGCAAGTTACATGTGTGTTTTAACGGATATTAAACTGTGGTGGACTTATAGCATAATCACTGGTATTGCACAGATGAACACAGATGTACACCCAGATGTGTCTCTTTGTCAAAGATATCCTGACTTCTACCTACTATTCCCTCCTCCAAATATTTATCCATTAGATCTTTCTCTTGAACATCACCTCCCCAGTTGAATCTGGCAGCAAGGCATGATTTATAGCAGCACAGAAATGATAGGATGTCATTGTGCTTGCAGAAGGATGATTCTGATGCAAAAGCAAATGGAAGGAAGTGGTGACAAATACCTGATAATTAGCAAGATTATCAGAGCACATTCTTCCCAGCTCACGAGAAGTAAATCAATTTTTGGTTTTCATAAAATAGATTAAAATTCTGTCTTCTCTACAGAAGTTCTTCTGCTTACTTAAGCAGAATCTGGTGAGTGATATAAAACCCAGGGAGTTTTCCCTATTCAAAGCTATTTCATATCATTCCTTGACAGGATTCTAATTTGTTTATCAAAATTTTTGTTCAGATAATTAATAATCTGTCGTGAGGGATATTAACAGCATTCACTAAGCCCTGGCTTATGAGCCAGACATTTCTGGCTGCACTCAGAAACCAATGGTGAAAGCAGACTTAATTGCTCAACCTTTAACAAATGCACAAGCTCCAATGACCAGAAACCAAAATGAAGGGCCGGGAGACAATGGTGACTGAGCATGTACAACAATTCAATTAAGTGCAAAATAAAGTGTACCCTCTCATTTGTCAAGTGAACTGCTTAATTGTGGCCACTTGCCTCACTGAACACAAATACTATTATTTTACCAGGCTTCAGCACACTGAGCCCTGATTGTAGAATTTTTTAGCTTGACTAATAGCCAAGGATTGGTCAATAACTCAATACTATACAATTTTAATTACTTACATTTAGAAATCTATCTAACTGCTCTCAAACAAGTTTCAAAGAAATATATAAAAAGTCTTTGGTAAGGAGTTTATCAATCTTGCCAAATTACACATGCATTTTATTATAATCATAAAATAATCCTTTGAAAACCATTAAAATTATATGTAGATGAAAATGTCCTCCTGCCGAATCTGTTCTTTGTGGCAAACATTAAACTTGAAAGGGTTCCTGAAAAAATAATTCTCTCAGGGTTGAATTTTCTAAACTGTTATTGAAGATTATAAACAAAATAATATATTAATATATGCTATATTCACTGACAATTGATTTTTCTAATAGTGAAGGGACCATTAACATTTATTAGCCTCTGGTTATCTATTTTTAATGGCTATCACAATAAACAATAAGCCACTAAATAAAACCAATTAATCTTTTCTTTTTTTTCTAACTCTGCTGTCAAAAGTTGGGGTGATTTATTTCTCACAGTCAGAAGTCAATCCATCCTTTTTATGTTAATAGTTCACGGTGGTAAAGGTTTACACACAGGAGAACAGAAATGACCACAGAGAGGCTTATGTTGAATTCTTATATCAAAGTAACGCCAATGGAAGGCAAATCGGATTCTAAAACATCACCTTTGCCTGGCACTGGCTTGAGAGGCATATGCTAGGGATGCAGTGACCTATGGCACAGTTTTTAAAACTTCGCAGAACTCAGGTTGACTGAATGGAAGGGGCTAGAACGGGAGAGATAGGACCCCTGACTCTGATCAGCTGTGGCATTTGGACAAGCCACTCAACTTCCCTGACCTGTCTTCTCATCTGCCTGGTAAGGGGAATGGACTGAAGATGATGATCTCTTGCATCTCATGCTTGTTCTTGTTTTCAGGTAATTGACAAATGTGCATGACCCAGGAAATCTGTACAATACACTGCCTCCCAAGATACAGCATCACCAATATGATCTCTATTCTCCATCATGTCTACAAGTCAGCTCCCTATACATGGAGCTTTCTATGGTTGTGTGTGTGTGTACATGCTCATTGGAATATGGAAAATTTAAATGCATTGGTAAAAAGTTGAGAATTCAGAGTAAGAAAATCTAGTACCAAAATATAGGACCAAACCTTGTTTTAGTTAATCTCTAAAAGCAAAGCAATATTCCTTCATTCTTAGGTACATTGAAAAATAAGATTTTAGAATACTTGGTCACATACACCTTTGCAGAGGCTGATTCTGTATAGAATTTAGAACTGAAGGATGTACCTCACCTGCCACTATAATAACAGTGTCTCTTTCAGCCTAGAAATTTATAGAAAGTTAGCCCTTAGAAAGTACAGAAGTTACACTGTAAGTAGACAAGATTCCTTTAAACCCCCTTTTCTTGTATTTTCAATATTTCCTTAAAATATGAATAAAAGAAAATGATCAAAAAGTAATTTTAAAATTGATTATGTGCCTAGGGTTTCATCCAGGGAAACAGGAATACGTTCAAAAATTAAATCTTCAGGCCCAACAGCAGAGCTTAGGAAACATTTTCATCACTTTGGAATCTCAGGCATCACAACTTCTTTTGGGACAACTGGCCACAGGAGTTAAGACTATGTTTGCCCATTTCAATTAGCACATCCTAACTCCACGTCTTTCAATATACAGCCAAAGGGCCTTTGGAGCGCACAATTAATTGTCATTACTCAGCTTTTTATTCTGACAACCAACATTCCCATTAATTTTCCAAGGTCTGACCAAAAGGTAAGACTTATTAAATTTTTGGATATAATCAGTTCTGAAGTTCTGCCTCCCTTGATGTGTCATACTCGGAGACACTCTTAAGAACTGACATTCTTGAGTGCTGAGTTTAGCTTTACTCTTTCCAGGATCTCATGACATTGCACAACTAAATGGAAATCTTCTTTAATTTTTTTAATTTTTTGAGACAGGGTCTCGCTCTGTTGCCCAGGCTGGAGTACAGTGGCGTGATCGTGGCTCACTGCAGCCTCAAACTCCTGTGCTCAAGTGATCCTTCCACCTCTCAGCCTCCTGAGTAGCTGGGACTACAGGCACGTGCCACCATGCCCAGCTAATTTTTATATTTTTTGTAGAGATGGGGTTTCACCAGGTTGCCCAGGCTGGTCTCAAACTTCTGGGCTCAAGTGATCTGCCTGACTTGGCCTCCCAAAGTGCTGGGATTACAGGTGGGAGCCACTGTGCCCAGTCCCAAAATCTCCTTTTTAAAGCACTTTATTCTCTCTAAATCATCATAGACATATAGCACTTCACTCTTCTCAAAGCAAAGGCAAACAGTATGCCTCACAAAAGGACAGTATCTCACAACCACAAGTAACTTATGGTTTTTTTTTTGTTTTTTTTTTTTTACCATTTGAGATCTTTAGTAGTGTTGTCTAATGACGGAGCTGTTCTGTATCTGAGCTAGCCAATACTGGAGCCACAAGCCACATGCAACTGCTGCACACTTCATGTGTGGCTAGTGCGCCTGAGAAACTGAAGTACTATTTTACTTAATTTGGATTAATTTAAATGTAAATAGCTTTGTGTGGCTAGTTCTGACACAGAAATACCCAGCTTGATGAAAAAACAGAAAGGTGCTCCTTAAGAAAGAAAGAACTGAAGAACAGAAAACACCTGGGTAGATTTAGTTGGTATATATCAATGCTGGTAAATGTTTAAGCAGAAAGAAGGCAGAGAGACAATCTTGCACATCTCCTGGCACTCCTGGTCACTGGCACCTCCTTTGCCAAAGATAACTCCAGTAAAATGTGCAATTCATTTGCTTTTAATCTGTAATTGGTTTGGTGTATACATGGGAAAAGGATGAAACATTTAACAAAATTAAGTATGGTTTGGCTTAAAAATATTAATCCTGCTTTAATTTTTTCTTCCATGGCCTCCAGGACAAAACTTGTTCAGTTGGGGCCACAATCTCTCCTTGTTCAACATCAGCCAGCCCAAGTGCAAATCTCTCAAGACTTCAAAGAGAGATTACTTAGGTCACTGCTGGCTGGGTGGAGTGAGAAAAGAACTCAGTTCTACGTAAGGAGAAAAATATTTCAGGACAGTGACAGAAGTGCAAGACTAAACAGCCTGAAGAACATCAAAGCTAGAAAGAAGATAACCTTCACACTTGGGGGATGGGGAAGAAGTGGGACACAAGAATACTGATACATTCTAAGAAACTATTATGATGATGAATTCTCTCCAGGCCCTCCTATCAGAGAGCCCCTTCTAATGTCATTTTACCCTCTGATCCCACCACATCTCTTACAAACAATGATACTTAAAACACAAATGTGAATAGGTGATGGTGTGCCCAGGAGGCTGAAGGCAGACTTGCCCCATGTGGCACAAACAGTCAAAAAGGAGAAAGGAAAAGAAAAGGGATGCAAAATAAAAATAAGCATTATAAAGACACTTTCTGCAGGAAATAAAAGAGAACATACTTGTCAGAAAACAATCCATTGTGATTGAAGGCTTTGCTTACCCCTTTCTGGAGCATACCCCCCACCACCATACTGCCCCCAATGGGAGTGCTGAGCAAAAGCACTTTTGGTTTGAGCAAAAGCAAGAAAAGCTACTTTGGCCTAGGCAATAAGCTTATGCAAAACCCCAAATGTTTATAAAGTTCCTGAACAAAATGTTGGTTGATTTAGATTCCAACAGCTGCTTCTCTTCGAATTTATTCAGGAAAAGAAAAAGTCAGTAGCCTGGGAAAAAGGAGGAAGAGATTTTTGATTTTGCTTAACAGAACAAAATCAAGTAATAATAATTCCATGGTTCCTGGACCCTCATGGGTGTGTTTTTTGTCTTTAGTGCTGATTTCTACTTTGCCAGGTCAGACAGATTTTTTTTTTCTGTGTTAAATGTGAATAACACAGTGGTTAAAAAAAATAAATAAAACAAAATAAATGGTGAGGCTGGGATCCCTGAGGATCTACGGATTTCTTTCCTTTATATCAAGGCATAGACTTTTGATGGTATCTCACATGAAAAAGCTCATGAATACAGACACAAAGTCTCTTGGATGGAGGTTGAAATATCTGGGGTTTCATGGCCAAATATTCAGTCCATTGAATAAAAAATCATTTGGACCTCAGATTCAAGGGCCTGTTTCAAATTTGGACTTGTTTGAAACTCTAACCTGTTTTACCTTCTGACTTTCTCTCCTGTGTCCCCCTTTCTTGCCTTTCTTGTACCTGGTTCTAGCAAGATTTTCCTATCAAAATAAAAGCTTTTGAGTTTTCTGAGCAAGGGAAATGCATTCTAACTATCCAGCCTTTTCACTGTAAGTGGCTGAATGGGCATATATTGCTAAAGACTAAAGGCCAGCTGATCTTTGGAATCAATCACTAAAGAATATACGTATACAGGTTGAGCATCCCAAATATGAAAATCCAAAATGCTCCAAAATCCAAAATGTTATGAACAGCAACATGATGCTCAAAGGAAATGCTCAATGATGCATTTCAGATTTCAGATTTTCAGATTTGGCATGCTAATCCAGTGAGTATAATGCAAACATCCCAAATCCAAAACAACCCAAAATCCAAAACTCTTCTGGTCCCAAGAATTTTGGACAAGGGATACTCAACCTGTATTCAGCAGTAATAATCCACGTGGATAATAACCATAAAAAGGTTCCAAACGTAGCTACTGTCATGAACAAATTTGATGTCCCATTACAGTTCTGTACATTTTTTCCGTTTAGCAATTCACCCATGTGGTTAAGAAATTACGGAGAGTATCTCTTATCTCCAAACTTTCTGGTACAAACAGAGCATACTGGGTTCCGGAACAGAAATGAGCCATTCCAGCCCTTTATACTAAAAGCAAATTATGTAACTAGAATGAAATTAGGGGGTCCAAGTGACTGGATATCTCCCTCTATTTCCCCTTATCTTCAACAATCAACTCAGATGTGATGATGTAAGTCAAGCATTTCCTCATCATTACTAAGAAACATTGTATTTTATTACTTTGCTTATAAAGGAACTGATCTTTTGAAGTAATTTTTTATTTTAACTTATTCAAGAATGATGGTGAACACCTCTCAAGTCTTTACCAACAAACTGCAGGGAAGGAACCCACTGCTTCAGTAATTTAATCCCACTCTGGCACCTTCCCAGATAACAAGCCCATTACTTCACCTCATCTGGAAAGGCTGGCAATTCCACACTTGGACATCTGAATCAAATAAGCCCATCAGGGTCCATGATAAGACAGGAGTCTCATGCCGCCTAGATTTTTGCCAGTAACTCTAAATTAGCTTGGAATCAGTATAGACCTAACAATCTCCCACTGAAATGTATTTTGAATACGTAAGCTTTCTAGTTTTTCAGGTATTTTTTCTGATAATATACATAAGTATATTACGAATTATGACATTATTATTTTACAGGACAGACATCATAACACATACATATAATTTTTTTTTTTTTTTGAGATGGAGTCTCACTCTGTCGCCCAGGCTGGAGTGCAGTGGTGCGATCTCGGCTCACTGCAAGCTCTGCCTCCTGAGTTCACACCATTCTCCTGCCTCAGCGTCCCAAGTAGCTGGGACTACAGGTGCCCGCCACCATGCCTGGCTAATTTTTTGTGTTTTTAGTAGAGACAGGGTTTCACCGTGTTAGCCAGGATGGTCTGGATCTCCTGACCTCGTGATCCGCCTGCCTCGGCCTCCCAAAGTGCTGGGTTTACAGGCGTGAGCCACTGCGCCCGGCCCCACACATATGATTTTCTAAGCGTAACTGAGATCAGACAAAACAGTCTGTTTCAGTATCTACCTACCATGAAATAGTTTCATTGCTTTATATGGCATTCAGCATAAACTCATCTCATCTTCAAAGCTAAACTTTTAAAGTTCTACTATCCAGAAATTTTTCAACTATTATTTTATTTTACCTGGTATAATTAGTTATTATGACTATAATGAACCTTTGCAAATAATAGATCCAACCATCTGAATTCACTCTATTTAAAAAGCAAGTTTATAATCAGATTTTAATGCATCTTTTGTATTTTAAAGACTACTAAAATGCTTTGCAAACTTAAAAGAGACATATCTTGAGGTTCTACGTATACTTGCAAGGAAGGCAAATTTTGAAAAATATCTTTTCTGAATGAGGAAAACATTTTTAACTTTTGTATCACCTCTACGCCAATAGTACTAAGATGTGCAGAAGTCTGTTGATACTCTCACCAGGGGGCTCGCCTATTGAAAATAAAGATTGTGAAGACATAGCTGCCTTAACAACCCTAATTAATGTTTCAACATTAATTAGCTACAGCAATGTTGATGCTAAGCAAGTAGTTTTTCCAACAGCACAAATAAAAATGTATGCATGTGTAATGTGCACATGTATCCTGTAATTGATTATTATTATTTTACAAAATATCCACTCCCTCTCCCCGCCACCTCCATCCTCCCTGCCTCTGCTTGGGTTTTCTAGGCACACTGTGTACCCTCCAGAGCTGGGAGGGAAGAGCTGGGTGTACATTATTAGGCGAGGAGAGCCAAGTGGCTTGCTTAAATTAGTGGCAAAATTAAGAAAATAACCCAAGAGCCCTGCTTCCAAGTCTCCTACCCCAGCTTCAAAAATTATCTTCTGCTTTTATATTCAAAGTGCATTTTGAATGCTATTCTTAGATACTTGGATTTTAATCAAGTTTTCATAGAACATGAAGGAGAGATAAAAACACAAGCAATCCTTTCTTATTGAATTAATTTGATTTTTGTCTTTTGCGCTCCCAGCTATCAAAACTGTCAAATAAACCGGTTTTGATTCATAAATAATAGTTCCATTATATCTACTGTGCCACTCATCAGAGTACCTGAAATTTTAATTCACTTGTTCAGCTAAATTTCATCCTCAGTTCATGGCCATAAAATTCTTTATTGACAAACTTTCAAACCAACTTTGACTCTGAGGTATCTAGTCAACATTTTTCTTCTGTGTGGATATTAGTTTATTGAATAAGTGGCATCTGTTTTCCTCCACATCACTAGCAGAGTAGGTATTTCCTTTTGACAGCTTTGCAGGATTTATGGGTTTGCATGCTCTGAAGAAAAATAGTACTAAGCAAAAAATTCCAATTCATTACCTCTTAGTACTTAATTAAGTTCATACCCACGGCACACTGGAGGTGAACCCTGAAATGACTGTGACAGCAGCAGAGCAGCCAGCTATATTATCTTTGGAAGACAGAGAAGATTCTAATTATCCTGACCTCATTTTTCCACCTATGATATTCATAAACGTTCCTTCTATTTCTCTCTCTTTTAGGCTTGGGCAGAACTGTTCGGAAGGCAAGTGCAGATTCCTCTCTGCAGCCACCAACCTGTCTGTGCAGCCCTTATATGCAAGAAAGTCAAGCAGTGGTCTTGCATTTCTCTCTGACCTTCCAGAATGCAGACACCACAAATCACAGGGCTTCCCCTGTGGAGGTGCTCAGAAGTTGGCGGGAAGGCAAGCAGTGGGTCTCACTAAGCAAACACACTGTCAGCAGTGAGAGTCAGGGTTACCTGTCGGGGTTCTGCGTGCACACGTGCATCTGTAAGAGGATCCGCTGGGTGAAAGTCTTAAAGCACTGCCCACATTTCCAAAGATGCCAGTCACTGAACTCCGAGTGGAGCTGGCTTGTGGAAGTTGGGCTTGCCAGGACTCGCTGGTTTTTCACGTTGATTTGATTAAATCCTGATTCAATGGGCCCAGACTTATCCAGAAGAGAGAAGTTCCTGCTGCACGGAGTCTGGGGGAAAACAACGGAGCGCTGCTGGGTGGTAGGGGCGAGTTTGCTGCTTTTGTTGAAGGGCTGCAGGGCGTCTTGTCTGCACATGGCTTCCATTACCGTTGAAGGGACATTTACTAGGAGAATAGCAACAGTTTAGAAGAACAGTTTTATTAGCCTTTAAAATAAGCACAATAACACATACTTTTAAAAAATCAAATAAATCAACCTTTTAAGAATTTGTGTTTCTGGACTCAGAATTAACATAACAAACCATCTGATTTGAGGGGAAAAAACTATTATCACAGATTAATAACTCATCTGATGCCTATTTATGAAGCAACTGTATGCTCAGGATTGTTTTACATGGTCTTTGCCCTCATGGAGTTCACTTATGACTTCAGACATACAGGAGTCCATAGTGAGCACCACACTGCACCTATGCCTGGAGGGAGTTTAGATGGGAGGCACAGCAAGAGAGAGGGAGTGAGCAGGGGATGTTGCCCAGAGAGGGTAGCCCTGAGCAGTGCAGAGAAAACGGATTCAGCTTGACTGATGGAGAATTTCAGGCTTTCCTCCAGATCTTGGCAGCACAGGATAGGTATCCAGGAAAAGCTATTTGAAGAGATGAAGGGAACAAGACGAAAGACACCTGGAGGCAGGAGAAGTCTAGCATGCAGGTGGGAGGAGGCAGGAGGAGTGTCGCATGCAGTAAGGGAGACGGGCTGACTGAGCAGGGCATGGGATCTGGTCACTCTAGGAATAAGGATTGGGGGTCAGAAGGAGACCTCAGAGGGCCTTAAAAGTCCAAATAAATAAATAAGATATTTCAGACCTAGGAAGTAGACACAGACCATTCCTGAGCAGAGGGATAGCAAGAAAAATAGAACCAGTGTTCAGGAAGGGCTTGAGAGAGACCTGATTTATAGATGGGATGCAAGTGGATAAGGAAAGAGTAGGAGGCAACCAAGTGTGGTGCTTGTGACTCGGGCTTTGGAATCTGAAAGACCTAGGTTCAAATCCTGCCTCTTCCTCTTATTAGCTAAGTGGTCTTAGGCAAAGTATTCAATAGCTCTGGGCCGCAGTTATTCCATCTATAAAATGAGGACAGTGGTACTAATGCTTCTAAAAATAATAGCAGCATGGTGTGGTGGCTGAGATGGCTGAGGTTTTAACTCCACTATTTACTAGCCTTGGGCAAGTATGGAACATCTAAATCCGTGATTTGGTCCCTGGTATAATGTAAAATAGTCACTCTCAGGACTGAATGACATAACATAGAGACAGCATTTAGTAAAGAGCTTGACCTATGGTTGACACTAAATAGATGTTCGGCCCTATGAGCCTTAGCATCCTCATCTTTAAAGTCCCCTTTTACAAGGTTTAAATACACCAATGAAAGTACTTATTACAGGGCCTATCATGAACAGCAACTACCATTTTTGTTATAGAAGGAGAAGCGACGGGTGTGAGGGAGATGGCCCTAAACTGGGGTGGTGGCAGTGGAAGTGGGGAGAGAACTAGAAGAAATACTTCCGAGGAGATAAATCTAATAATATAGCTAGAATTTGCTGTTCTTTTTATTAAGACATTAGTGAGTTAATAATATTTGTAAACTATTTGCTGGTCATTTCATAGGTCCAGAAGTGATTAGAACCTAATAGGCTTAAAAATTCTTCTTTTTTTATTTTAACTACTATATCTATGGATCATTTCAAGGCTGAGAGATTAAAGTTACCAGGTGGTCAAGAGAATGAAATTAGAGACCAAAAATTTTGAAAAGGATATTGGCAAAAAGACTGTGATAGCAAGTAACAAAATAATGCAGACTATGGCCACTGGCCACCAGTTCAAGGCCGCGTGGCAGGAAACACATGACCTGGGAGCACTCCTCATGCTGTGCCACAGATCATCTCTGAGAATGCTACATGGCACGAAGATGCAGGCATCCTCAACGGTGGGGGACTATGACTGCCACGAAGCTCTGTGCTCAAGTGGACAGGGAGATGCCATGTGTGGGCACAGAAAGGAGTAGGTGTGCTGCCTAAGCACTCTTCAACTGAGAACATTCTGCAGCATCACATGTGTTAAGCAAATCCAACCAGAGGACTAGCTCTGTCTGCAGGGCTCTGTCGGCATAGCCCATACTGTCTTAGGAAAGAAAAGTAAAGCAAGAGACTTGCAGACCTAGAAAGAGCCTAGCGTTTGTCTAGTTGGCAGTTCTTAACCTTGGGTACTGCACATTAGACTCACACAGGAGAATCTTTAAAAACTACATTATAATCTCTCCATAGGGCCTGGGCATCTACATTTTTTAAAGTTTCCCAACTGCTTCTAAAGTGAAATCGGGGCTGAGAATCACTGATCTAATCCTACCTTCTCCTGTTACAAATGACAAAAGCCGAGTCCCAAGAAGGTCCAGTAACTTACCCTGGGTCACACATTCACTTAAGAACATATCTAGGTGGCAAGTTTTAGCTTTCAGACTTATAAGACAGAATTTTTTTTTTCTGACCATACATTCATAGCATCTCTGCTCAATAGCTGTGTTTCGAAATTTAAAGGATGTTTTTACAGCTAGTACATTGTTTTGTGTGTATTATATACATAAATATACATGTTATATATACTTACGTTATACATATACTTATATACACCTACGTACGTATGTTTGTATGTATGTCTTTATTCTATATACAAATATTTATGTATATTTCAATTCTGGGGCAAAAGAATATAATCAATATAGAATTTGTGGACAGTTTTTACACTTAAAAAATATATTATGGCACACAGATTGTTACTTTTTAAATAGGCACTGAACGACAAGAAGGAATGTTTTGCCATGCTCTGGCATTTTTTTAAATAAAACATAAAAACAGCAGCATTGTCAGAGATTGGGGTAGAACCACCTTGTTTGGCCCTTTCATTACTAATCCAGGAGAGGCAAAGCACAGGGAAGCCCACGAGGTTTTAGGCAACATTAAGCTTTTACAGGCCAGGCAATTTCAAACTAACAGGAAGTAATGCATGGTGAGAAAAACCATAGAATGAAGATGTCATCAACATGCAAGAGAGTGGGAAATACTGGCCAGCTGCCTCACTGTAAGAAAAGGAATAAAATGCTTCTGGGGGTAAATAATACAAATAATACTCTAAGTGTAGATGATAGATTCTGAGCTCTGACTTACACTCCTAGAAAGTAACCTAACTGAGCCGGATGTGGTGGCTCACGCCTGTAATCCCAGCACTTTGGGAGGCTGACGCAAGCAGATCACCTGAGGTCGGGAGTTCAAGACCAGCCTGACCAACATGGAGAAACCCTGTCTCTACTAAAAATACAAAATTAGCTGGGCGTGGTGGCACATGCCTGTAATCCCAGCTACTTGGGAGGCTGGGGCGGAAGAATCACTTGAACCTGGGAGGCAGAGGTTGCGGTGAGCCGAGACCGTGCCATTGCACTCCAGCCTGGGTAACAAGAGTGAAACTCCGTCTCAAAAAAAAAAAAAAGTAACCTAATTGATTAATTCTAAAAAATTGTTAAGGTCACATAACCTTTTATATTAAAACAAAAGAATGTGTGGGTGACAGGGGAGTAGGGATGAAGAGAGATTGATTAATGGGTAGAAATTTACAGTTTGGTAGAAGAAATAAGATCTAGTGTTTGATAGATCAGTAGGGTGACGATAGTTTACAATGCTCTATTGTATATGATCATGCCACTACACTCCAGCCTGGGTGACAGAGTAAGACTCTATCTCCTAAAAAAAATTTAAAGCAGCACTTTTAGGAGACACACAAGATTATTCTTCCTAAATATCAGCCTCACTGACTATGTCCATTAAAGGTATAAACTAAACACAAGAAATTTTCAGAAAAAGGACAGGAAATTTCATCCCAACACAAGAAAGACAACATAGACAACGGCAAAAGGTGCAGAGATGGGTTATTAAAATGACCAAAAAGATGAAGTGGTTTCTGCAAGAAGCAATATTGAGCTAGTCAATCTCTTCAGTCTGGAAACGCAAAAATTAAGGGGAAGAGGGCAAACTCTCAAAGCCTTAAAGGATACAGTCAAGGAAGAACATGAACGCATGAAATTTGGACAGTTAAAATATTGAGAGAGGCAAATTCAGGATCTATAAAACTAAGTTCAGTTTACCCCTTCCTCGTTCATTCATTCAGTCCACAAATAGTTGCTGAGCATCTATTACATGCCTGACCCTGTGCTAGGCACCATGGATATAGGGGGATCAGGAAAACCAAAGTCACTGCCCTCTGGCACATAAACTCTAGTGGGAAAGACAGTTATTAAGCTGATGTTTTTACAGATAAATATTTACTCAGTTTCATCAAATGTAACATTCCATTAATTTCACCATTATAATCGTAAGTCACCATTAATTGCAAGACACTTGCCAGTTTCAGAAAGATTAAAATGTAAAATAAAAAACAAAAACATAAATTTTAGAATTGACAAAATACAGTTAAGACAAGTGTGGTAAGTGCTGTTAGAGAAAAGAAAGGATATCAGGAAATGATAAATCAGAGAATCTGGGTTCCTGAGGGGTACACGGGCATCATACAAGTGCAAAGGGAGGAAAAGGCAATGCAAAAAGATGGAATATCGGCAGCTTTGCCATAGAGTCTTGTGCCATGCTGAAGTAGGAAGGAGCTCAGGGCACTAAAGGAATGGAAAAAAAGGCAATGTGGCCAGAGAGAGAAGAGGAGATGGGCTGCAGCCGAGGCTTGAGAGGAAGGCAGCACAATTGCCAATGCCTGTGGGAGATGGACAGGCCACGGAAATATCTGACGGGGTGACGGGAGGCAGGTTAACACAACAGAGGATGGTGGGGGCGGTCACATTCTGAACAGGGCACGGCCAGTCTAGAGATGTTTAGAATCTAATCTTGTAAAATGCTATATGGGCCATAGAAAATGTTTCTGGAGACTCTATGTGACCCATAGGCTACCATATTAAGGAACTGGGGATTTAGCAAAGAGTAATGGCAAGCCAAAAAAAGATTTTAGGCTTGGGTGTGAGATGATCAGATTTACGCTTTAAAGGCATCATCACTCTGTATCGGTAAATAAAGAAACAAAGTACAGAACAGTGTATATAGTGTGCTACATATACATGTGGGAGAATGACAGCCAGAGAATAAAAGGGGGAATACGATTAGATGCTTGAATAGGCAAAAATTATCTCTGAAAGAATACCTGAGAATCTGCCAACATTACTGATGGCATCTTGGAAGGAGACTAGACTTTTATGTCCACAGTACTTTCTGCATTTTGATCTATGGGACAGAGCTACCTATTAACAAAACAAGTGAATAAACTGAAACAATAAAATAAGCAAGTGGTTGAAACTTCACTCTGGCCACCATGAACTAAAGAAAGAAAGTGTGAAGTCATGCAGAAGGCTACTGCAGGGGTCCAAGCCAGAGTGGATGGTGACACTAGTCAGGTGGCAGCAGAAATGAAGAAATGCATTAAGAATATGCAATCAACAGGACTTGGTGGCTGATTGGATAGAAGGGTGAGCAAGAGTGAGGTGTCAAGGTTTCTCGACAGAGCAATTGGATGATTGGGAGTGAGAGCTGCTGAAAGATGGGAGAGGCAGTTAGTGGGAGTGAATAGAGTGGTTTTAGTTTTACGCAGGTTTAGTTGGAGTTGCATGTGAGACATGGAAGTGAAGATGTTGCCAAGACAGCTGGAGAGGAGTCTGGCGCTCAGTAAGGAGGTCTGGATTGAAAATGGAAATCTGGGAGTACCTGTCTCAAATTAGGTCGCCCAGGAAACAGATTCTGAAATGGGGATTTGGGGTTTGGGGATTGCTCTCAGGATCAACACCTGTTGGGAAGTGAGGCAAGCAGCACTGAGCTGAGGGAGGAGTTTAACAGCTCTGGAGCTGGATGGAATGAATGTCCTTTAGGGTTGTCCTGGTTTGAGGCAAGGGAACAGTCCTTTATACACCCCACATTGACCAGTCATTGGTCATGGGCTACTGTGGGAGGAAGTATGACCAAGGGCGAGGTGGTTCAAGTGGGCTAAAGGTAATTCCTGGAAACAACTCATCCGAGATGTCAGCCCCCTACACTCCCACAAACAGTCGGAATGAGCACCTCCATCCAGTAGCAAAGCTGGGCTTGAGGCAGCACACCACAATATCCTACAGCACGCAAAAAGTCAAATCTCTCATAACAGTGACTTTCCCTGAGACCTTTGTCATTTGTCTCTGTCAACACCTTTTTAGTGGGTGCTGCCTTCTTGTTGGAGTCTTGCAGAAGAGTCAGAAGCATCCCTGCGGAGTGACTTCTTTCTTCTTCTAGGAACCTACAGGTTTCAACAGCTCTAGACCAATTTTTATATTAGTTTCTTGGCTCAGGGTTTCCATAGCTGGCAAGTAGTACAAAATCAAGCCTCATAACATCCTACGACTAGGGCTAGGTTTTAGAGTGTGACTTTGTTTTCACCAGTGCCCCAAGATGGACAGTTCCTTAGCTTACTGGCTTGAGGGCAGCATTTTTCTATTCCCCATTCAGGGACAGGAAAGTATCTTTTGGTTCCTGGTTCTAAGCCAACCCCAGCTTTGCACTGTACACAAGAGGCCTGGAACCTTGACTTCTCCCAGCTGAATGACTTAGACAGCCTGACAGCCCCGAGCTCAAGCTCTCTGCTGTGGCCACCTCACACAGCATCTGCACAGTGTTTGATATTGTGGTTATGTGCTTATGTGTTCTCTTGTAGACTGAGCTCCTCCAGGACAGGGCCTGGCTTTTTGCACCCATCACAACGCTTCCCCTGGGGCCCTGCACAGATGGTCTTGTGGACTGAACTATACATTATCTTCTAAAGGTCACCACTAAGGGCTTGAGTAGGGCCTTCCTGACTCTGACCTAGTTTCTCGCTGTTGGTGGAACGGTGGGGGTGAGGGGCACCGTGAAGAGGTCCCACTTTTTATTTTCTGCTCTTTAAAATCAAAAGAAAAAGGCAGGGCTCCTCCAGGCAGGGTTTACTCCAGTGCAGCAACTCCCCTGTTGCCATCAAGGTTCACATTCTGCCACCTCAGCTTCATATGCTGAGACAGAAAAAGCAGCAGGAAGACTTGTTTAACATTTATTCCCAGGATTTTTTTTAATTTCCTCTGAAACGAATATGAATACACTAAGGTCTTTACACTCTGCAGGAGCTAATCCCCCACTGGAAGCTTTGGGGAACCTCATTCCTTCTTGCGGATGTGATCTGTCGACACAGGCGTTCCTTCAGGCTCTTTTGAAAGGCCCACAGTGGATGGAAAGGCACTCTCTTTGGAGCTCTATTACATTTATAATACGACTTTTTAAAAAAGAAAATAACATGGGAATTGCTTCCAGAACCCAAATGCCTGTGTGAACTGCTGTCTTCTCTGAGTCAAGGCAGCTTTCAATGAGCTGTCCGGGCAGTGAGTGTACCCACGGCCGCCCTGCTTTGGGGCCGCCAGCGGAGGGGGCACGTCCTGAACCCAAACCCACCGCACACTCTCGATAGGAAATGTGTACTTTCAATGTTGAAAGAACCATGGGAAAAAAGTTATATTTTTATAAGTGAAAGTGCTTAATATTACTCACTAAGTAAAATCATATTTTCCTTGAATGCCTTGGTCCAGGTATCAATTTCATTAACAACAACAAAAAATCTGCCTGAAATATTTAATCCCTTCTAATAATGGTAATAGAAATTCTCAGTATTTATTCAGTGCACATTTCTTCATTGTTCACTGTGCGCAGAGCCCTATAAAGAGGCTCTGTGGAGGTATTTTATTGAAAAAGTCTTTGATCTCAAGCTTCTTTTTAGGTACCTAATTTATTTTGTGGCTAGCTCAGTGGGATAAAAATGTCTTGGAATTGCTAATCCAGTGGAGATGATTTAAATTACTCAGGGCTGTGGAAGGCTATCTGTTAAATTATCTGCCCATGCCCTTTTACACATTTGTGCTTTCAAATCACAAGAGTATTTTCTTAGCACAGAAGAAGGAATCCTCATTTAGGTGTTTCCAGGTCTCCCAGTGAATCACATGGAATGAGAATCCATCTTAGAGGCAGTCAAAGTCATATATCTCCCCCACACGATCTGATGAAGCCTTCTGCTGGTTTCTTGGGTGGCCAATCACATGACAGATATATGACTCTGAGACAGGAACTGAAATAAAATTCCTATAATACCCTTGGGGGAAAGGGGATTGTCACTGTTGAGCACTTTAGTCAATGGCTTAATTCCTTTTAAACTTCCCTCAACCCTTACTTAGAGCTCTGAACGGAACCCAAAAGAACTACTTAGTTTTCCTACTGAGTCTACAATACTTCAAGCTGTTGTAGCTTTGCAAATTTTCTTTCAAGGACTTCAGGTGCTAAATGATATATCATATATCCTGGTAGAGTTTATTCAATACTCTAATCATCAATCTCAAGAATGCTTCACTCAGGTTAGACACTAGCAGAAAGAAGAACTGAAAAGCAAACTGGTATGTTTTTTCCAGAAAGTACATTTTTGGCACGGTGGCACCAAATCTGAAGGCCAGTGGTATGCTCTTAGACACCCATTTTCAGGTGGCTGTGAATGGCACAGAGACCCAAAAATGCTCTACTCCAACCCCTCAATGCCTCCTGTCCGTGTGACAGCATTGTCAGGTGGAAGCACCATGTGGATATGAGTCTCCCACGCCAGAGATCCAGATCGAGGGTAAGAAATGCATTTCCTAAGTGGTCACTCCACAGTTTCCATTTCTGGCTCAGAGCTTAGTAAGTGGTCATGCCATCCTTCCAGCTCCTCAGGCCAAAGGCCTCAAAGTCATCCCTGACTCCTCTTTCTCACTCAGCATCTAATGTGTCAGAAAATGCTGTTGGATTTACTTTTAAAACATATCCAGAATCCAACTACTTCTCACCACCTCCACCACTTCCATACTAGTCCAAACCACCATCATCTCTCCCCTGGATTTCTGCAAGAGCCTCTAGCTGGATTCCCTGCTCTTCCCCCTGTCCAGTCTACTGTCCAGTCTCCACTCAGGGATTATTCCTGAAAAAAATTCAGTCAAATAGTTCTTTTTCTCAAAACCCTACAACAGCTCCCTTTGCCTAGCTCACACAGAGTTAGAGCCAGGGTCCTGACAATGGCCTCTAGGGCCCTACAAGGTCTTCCCTGCCCTAGCACGCACCCACATCTAAGTTAACCCCTCTTCACCTCACTCACTCAGCCGCACCCATGCTGACCTCTGTGATGCTCTTCCAACATGCCAGGAACATTCCCATCTTGGGACTTATAACTGTCTGGCTGCCAGGAATGCTCTTCTACCTACTAACACATGGCTTGTTCCTTCACCATCTTAAGTCTTTGCCCAAAGGCCACCTTCCCAGTGAAGCTTACCCTGTTCACTCTCTGAAACTGTAACTCCCAACTCCTGGCACCTCTTTACCCCTTTTCTGCTTTATTAGCCCACAACACTTATCACCATCTGACCAACTATTTATTCACTTATATATCTGTTGATAATCTGTCTCCCCCCATTAAAATGTAAGCTCCATGAGGGCAGGGATTCTTTCCATTTTGTTCACTGCTGTATTTATATCACCCAGCAAAGACACTGGCTCATGGTAGGTGTTCCTTACACATCTGAACAATGAATGAATAAATGTTTGGCCTTGATATGTTGTTTACTCTAGACATCCCTCAACACACACACCACAACAACAGCTTCAGAGTCTGTAGCAGGTTGTAGTAAAAGAAGAAACAGAGGATCTCGTGAGATTTCTAGAATCCTTTTGGATCAAACACTCTAGATGGTTACATCAAGGTTCCAACCTACAGACAAGTACATGTTAGTAGATGGGGAGGCTGGCTGATGCTGACACCTTTCTGTGCATAGATAAAGATCTAGTTTTGGGGGCATGGGGCATGGAGTCATTCTGTTTGAGGCAGAGCACAGTGGCTTCTATGTCTACATTTGCCTCTCACTGCATACTCATGGCCAACACTGAGATTTTCTCCTATGAAAACAGGAACTCCCTCAAACAGGAATATGGCTGCAGAAAAGAAACTTTCCAGTGGAAGCTTGCAAAATCAGAGGAATGTACTGTATGTGCAAAGATTTATTTTTTGATTTGAGATTGGTTTTGGGGTTAGGGTAAAATAGAAAAGGAAAGTTGATAGTAATAGGCTTTTTGACGATTTTTCTTTTTACAAAGAAATTAAAGACAAAATGGGAAAGAAATATCTGACGATCAGCATTTTGATCAGTCATAATATGAGCGTTTTTAAATTGCAGTTTTTGTGTGAGTGCATGTGTTAGAAAGTGGAGAAGAAAATTTTAAAAACCCACTTTTTTCAAAATGAAGTTTCTTATCCATTATCAAAAGATATCTGTTATCTTTGTTTCTTTTTGTAGCATAACATCAAACTATCAGCTCACAAATTAGTCAATGTGGTGACAAGAAAACACAATATCACTGAAACCAGTGTTTCTCACTGAAGCATATCAGAATAACCTAATTCTGTTCCAAATACGAAATCACTTTAAAATACTTTTCAAATAACTGATAGAGCAGAAATATAAAGTTTACATGAAAGTTGCTGCAAGTTCACATTTGCCTAGATGTTAATTCTTTTAAAGATAATGGTTGGCACGGTAATAAAGATAGGAGAAAATTACATGTTTCCAGACATGGTTTTAGACAAAAAATTTAGAAAGACACAAATTCCTCAGTCACATATCTACCATTTTAAATATTATTTCTCATGCAAATGACTATGTAGGAGGAAGCACACCCAATCAACTAAAGGGGTGTTACCCCTGATTAAATGTCATTGCTTTCTTATTACTTCATTTTTGCATACAGTGTGGCTCCCACAGGACTGTACATCCCTTCAGAGCAGAAGGTGAATCTTACACTGCTCTTGTAATCCCTAAGGTGGCAAGCATAGAACCAGACACATAGTAGGTACTCAGTGAATACCAGCTGACTTAACTTGCTTCAACTATTATTTAAAATTCTGGCAAAGGCTTTGAAGTTGTTGATAAGTGAAGGACTGGCCCATACAGGTTAAGATGCCCTAGAGAAAGCAGATGACATGCAGGGAAAAGAAAACGATGGAATAGACTTGTATATGTTTGTGTTACTTATTACAGTGAACCACGTTTCATGAGTTTCAAAAAAAGCTCTTAAAAAGTTAGCTTTGAAATAGGTATATTGAAATGTGAATTCAGAGCTAAAATAAATTCTTACAGTTTTCATCCTGGGCAATGCATTGTAAGGGGATCCCAAAGAAAGACGTATAGCTGTCATTGTACCACACCAGAAGCTCGGTGCCCCTAGGGATATCTATACAGGCTCGGTAGAATATATTCGACCTATTCAAAACAAAAGAAAACCCAGCTTAGTAATACATAGGACTCATGTGCCCCCATCCATATTTTTATTGCCCTGAAAAAGTTCTACGCAGCTCCATCTAAACAGTTTCTGTTTGTAATAAATTTACATCCAACTGATTGTCCCCAGCAACCAATTAGAGTCTGTAACTCAGTGTGATAAACAGCATTCAATTTATTTCCACAATGACCCTCCCTAGAATGAACTGGCTGAAGAGACAGATATTTAGCCCAGGAGACATCAGAAAGGAAGAATTAATTTTAAAAAAATTTCATCTCACACTAATGAGAAAATTCCCTCCTGGAAAATTGCAAAGACACTGGTGCCCCAACCTCATATATAAATACTATTGATTTCTTATTTGAAGGAAAAGCATTAAATGTATTATTGCAACTTGGCATTGGGAATTCCAAAATTTGTAATAAAATTAAGCAGCTTTGTGATATAAGGACTCAGGGAAATAAAAATCTTCTCCACTGCTCTTCTAAAGTTTGATACAGGAGAAGAGAAAAACCCTCTGATGTGAAATGGATGGAAATTCAATAAATACAAGAGGAGCACTTTACTCTGGCTGAAAGATTACACTCTGAAACGATACAGTGAAGGTACTGAAAAATGAACATTTTTTATAATAGCTTTGGTACTGTAAAAAAAAAACCTACAGATTAAAAAAATGAGGAGACTGAGACTGGTTTTCTCAATGAAGAACTGCTATTACAAATATGAACCTCAAGTTCAAGATAAAAGTGTGTAGGGTTGGTGGGCCTTAAATTTCTCCTTTCTGTAAGGAATTGGCTGTAGCAGGGCAATTTGTTCCTTGTATAACACTGCAGACATAAGGCGAATGCTTCTCCACATTTTTCATGGCAGTGAGATATGCACTTGTCAACATATTTTGTCACCACAAAGTGGCTCTTGGCAATAGGATCATAAAGATCAATAAAAAAGTGCAGATTCTCAATATTGTACTTGCAGCTGCAAAAATTTCATTTATCTTGTTATTTTCCTTACTTGCTGCCATTCTGTCTCATGAGGGCACTGCTAGCTAAGCAGAATGTTTTTCCCAACATTCTATGAATATCTGACAAAAACTCCAGCCAGTTGCCTAGCTCTTGCTACCCTTCCTCCCTCTGCATCTCCAAGAGCTCTGCATTTTATTAATTCTTTCCACTGCTACATAAAAAAATCAAAATTGGAGCTGAGCTATAAATCACTGGCATCTTCTAACTTGAGAAAAATTGAGTCTACTTTGTACTTCACCCTTGCAACATTTCATCTCTCGGTTTGGCTTCCCTTAATATAAACACTGCGCCCAGCAAATGAATGTGCTAAAACCAAATGACACACTTTGCTGCTGAAAGAGCAGAACTGTTTTCGAGCAATGGGTGGTCTTCTGAGGCACCGAATAGGCCGAAAGGCGGAAAAAAATGTGTAAGCGTACACCATTCCTTACAAGTGGGCAGAGCTTCCAAAACTCGCAGAAATCTCTGCATGTTGAAGCACATCAAAGGGATTTTTCCCTTTTCAGATAATATTTCCTTTGCTGACATGTATTTAGTATTGTGGTTGGATGACTCATAAAGATAGCTTCATGGCGTCCCAACGCAGTTGAAGTGGAACACATGCCAATAAACATTATTGTCAGCCTCAAAATAAAAACAAAACGTTCAGCTAAGGGTCAATCAATCAAGTGTGCTTTGAAGAAAATTCCATTTAGATATTACAAATCATAACAGAATGAATTTAAACCAGCTGACTTTTTGTGAAGAGGACATTCATGTACAATAAAAATTAGCCTGGCTCTTCAGGGTCCAACTTTTCTATTTTCTTACTCTTGGACGTGGTCACTGGTGATGAATGCCAGTTTTTAAAATTGGGCTTTTGTATTTCATTTTGTAAAGATCTGAAGTAATCGAAAACAGATCGGCAGAGAGAGCTCATAGTGTAAGCGCCGTCATGAAAGGGGGAGTTGTAAAAAACCCACTTAATATTGACAGATAGGCAATGACTTACCCGTGCCCACCTTCCTCTTAGGGGGTTCTTGTTTTCCCAAATTCAGAATTTGCCTCTATAGCTCCCTGGGTACCCATTACAGAACCAAACTATCTCTTACTAAGTGGACAAGTACAATCTTCACTAATTTTCTAGCTCAGAGTTTTATAAAAAACCTCACAACAGAAATGCAGCTGTAATAAAGGTGAATAAAGCCCACATACAGCAGTGTAATGAAATACTGTCTTGTGCTACTTCATTTAAACTGTTATTTAATGAAATAAAACTGCACTGAAAACCAAGGCGGTGAGTCACATACTGCCCACATTTTTTTTAATTGAAGACCTCAGAGAGCAAGCCAAATTTGTGCAGCCTTTAACCAACAAGGGGAAGAAAGTTAAAAAGAAAAAACTTAAGCTTCGTTTAAAAAAAAAAAAAAAGGAAAGGAAAATAAATAGCCATAGGCAGGACTCCAAGTTGCTGAGCACAGAGCCCTCTGCTTTGATGTGTCTGTGGTGCCTAATAAAGCTAAACAGTTGCTTCTGATTCTAAAGAGAACACGGCTGTTTATAACTGAGGTCATATATTTATATAGCACACGTTTTCGAGGGATTTTGAGAGAAGAAGGCTTAGTGGTGGGGCTTTTTTCCTATTTGATTTGTTTTTGCCCTCTCATCTCCACTCCAGCCTTCCTTAGCACTAAGTGGAAATGCTTCACCAGCAGGTGCACTGAGAAGAACTGGCTGAGTGTCCGGGGAATCCACCCTGCTTCTCAGCTCCCCAGAGGCCTCCCTATGTGGACCCCCTAAGGGAAATGGGGATGGCTCCACCCTGCCTTTGTTATCCTCTGTGTTTTGCCCATACCTTTCAGGAAACCAGGGGCTTCTCTATGCCCGGAAACTGCCTCATCAACTGAAACAAATCCTGAATCATCAAAGGGCCAAACCCACTGCCACCTTTAGACGGAGCAGGAGAGTTACCCTGGCTCTGTCACTGCCACTAAGTCTAACGGTTTTGGAAAGGTATCCTTGGGAAGGTAGCGAGTTCTTGGTTTCCCATGCTGTTGTGCAAATAAAGCTATTCCTCAAAGGAGACAGCATGAAGGAGACTGAAAGCAAGAGACCTGAGGCTGAATCTCTGACCTTCTACTTATCTGTGTGAAGACGACTGCTTGGGAAAAGCACCCCAAGTCAGTGGGTTTGCTGGGCTCATTCAGACCATTCTGGAAGTTCTAATGATGTGGGAGTAACTTCACCATGTGCACGGAGTGAAGGAGGCCATCTACGAGCACTTTTAATCCTAAATGTTCATGAATGCTCTTACTGTCATAGGAACTAAGGAGGTTTCAGAAACCTAGCAAAAAAAAAAAATGTCTGCCAGTCCTTGCAGAGTTCTGCAGGATTTTTTTTACCCACCAGTGGCAAGCCTGAATTTGTATATGCAAGCCAAATGGCTTCAGCTCTGTAGGTGGTAAATCAAGATATACTTTACCTGTACTGAACTACTGTTAGATTCTGTTCTCCGCAGTGCCTTGCACATCGGATATACCTCATCCAGCTCGACTTACTAGGTTCCCCACCATCAATAAAGTGCTGTAGTGTCCCATCCTGGTCATATATCTGGAGAAGAGGTCAGAAGGTCAAGTAGTTAGAACGAATCATCAGCAATCATTTTCCCTACTTCCCTTGGTGTCTTTATGTGTCAGCTGCAGAAATTTATTGCCCTTAGGTTTGCTAGTGCTTATTGATGCTTGTGGACAACTCAACCGGAATAACAGGAAAATATGTTTTGATGATGCAAGTCGATCATGTTTTTCTTATCAAGCCAATCTTCTCTGTATTAAACATATTTGTGGTATCTCACGGATGTGACCATATTTCCCAAAGAATATTTAACTTATTTTGACAGGCTAGTCTTAAATAATGAGCTGCTGGATAAACAAAGCAAGCTGAAAGGAGAGGCCGCACTGACATTGTTGGAACATCCACATTCGAGGCCCCCCAGTCTCAAACACACAACTGCCCAGAGGCATTCGGGAGGCAGTAACTGTCTGTTCAACAGGCTGGGCGACACCCAGCAGAAGGCAGTTGGAGAGTTATGGAGCCGTAAAGAACTGGCAAAACAGACTCTGATTTGGGTGAAATAAATGGACTCTCACCTCAAAGAAGATGTAGGGCTTCAGTTTTCAGGACCTGAAACTAGTAGGAGAGGAGTCATTAAAAAAAAAAAAAAAAAAAAAAGAGAGACCCTCAAAAAAGGAAAGAAAAAAAATGGCTGTCTCCTATGAATCCTACATTTCTTAACCGAGTTGTCTAATTGTTACTGCCTCACATCAATTCAAGCAGATTTCCTTTCAAGATAGCATTTGAGAAAATGAAATCTGCTTCAAACCACTCAATAAGCATGAGACAAAAAGTCTTGTGAAAGCAACTAGGGAGCCAAGCAAACACAGAGTCAGTGCCAACAGCAGAGGCAACAGCTTGCCTTTCCAGAAACGACTTCAGATTCAGGGCACTTAGGGAGACATGGTATCTAGAGGAGTGGGAGATGAGGCGGTCATGTATCCACAGCAATTCTAGAAAGTCACTCCCAGTCCTGGGGCCATCCAGGAAGCAGGGACAGTTAAAGAATTTCCTAAGGGTATGGTTCTCAGAAGGACCATCATACACTGCACCTTTTCAGATAAAATCAGCAGTGGGATCCTTCTGCTGGTAGCTACTTCTCCAGAGCATCCTGACAAATCGTGTCTCTCACTCTTGCTAGTCCGCCCTTCCAATTTTCCTTTTCAAATAAGCATGGAAAATAAGTGTTAGAGAGAGCCTCACTGGTTACATTTAGGCTCCAAAATTAGTATGGTCATTCATATTAGTTTAGCTCAGCAGTTCTATTCCGGGGGAGGGGGTGCAAACGGGCTTAGTGATGACAGTTTCTTTTTACTAGTCATTTAAAAACAGCTGAGTTTTTTTTTACTTTATTTATTTTATTTTATTTTATTTTTTGCTTTTCTTGAACTCATTCCTCTCCAACCCCAACCTTTCCACTAACCCCACAATGAAATTCAAACATTAATCTGTTAAAAACAATTGAGAAGTTATGACTGGGTAAACACACCAGGGTGATCACAGCTGATAATCAATTTAGCTTGAGCAGAGTGAAGAGATTCTTGGATTATATTTATTTAAGGCTAATGACTTCTTTAAATTTCTAGGTTTTGGATAATGGCAAAAAATGGAAACATTGCATGGGGTGGCTACATCTGCTACATGAACAATCTAATGATAGACAACATATTTAGGATTGATTACACTGTAGTTGTTTCTGTTTTTGTTGTTGTGGGGTTTTGTTTTTGTTTTTGTTTTTCTAAA
This sequence comes from Homo sapiens, assembly GCF_000001405.40. NCBI lineage: Eukaryota > Metazoa > Chordata > Mammalia > Primates > Hominidae > Homo > Homo sapiens. The sequence continues at coordinate 123,154,137 of NC_000005.10, read as the reverse complement.
AAAACTAGTTAAGATTCAAAATTTCAACTCTGAAACTGTTGTTGACAGCCTCAGAGTTGAAATTTTTAATCTTAACCAGTTTCTTCAAAATTGCAACATTGACCAAAGCCATTTGGTTCCCTTAATGCCACTGTTAATCTTTGATGGAGTAAGAAATGTTGATGACCCAGCCCCCTACCCTCCCTTCCCTCAAGAATAAACCTTCCACAGGGACTGCTGGTGAAAATTATTATGAAGCATTTTGAGAAGTGCACACAACAATCCTCCTTTGTGCATGAAGCCACTATCTTCAACAGCAAGTAAAATCCTCTAACATGTCTAACTAGTGGGGGCTGTCTTAACCGTTGGCTCATTTGATCACCAGCCACTAACCAGTCCACCTTGAAAATTAGTATGAAAAGTGTTTCCCCCTACACTCTTGTTTCAGCAGTAATCTTAACTAAGTATATCGTGACTACAAGGAAATCTACAATTTTTGCCTGCCTGATATAAACTGCTACTTGCCTTGAGGAAAAGTAAAAGGCTATTTGTCAGGCTTTTCCCAAATATCACACAATGTAGCACATGGCATGAGGTTTGGTTTTCCTGGCTTTAGCTAATACTAACATTATAATATTTCACATGAAACTGTGACGCAAATCCCATGCACCTACTTAAACCCCACGACTACATACCCAGAGTTGAACAAACTCATTCAACCTTGATACTGCTTTCTCCCTCAGCCCCCAGAGCCTAGCCATCATCAAATCCAGTTGAATTTGTCTTCTACGTACTTTTCAAGTGCATTTATGTCATTCTCTCCACTGTTAACCATTTTAGCCCAAATAAGATGTTTTTTCTCACCTAAAGTATAGCAAGAGTCTCTTAACTGATTTCAAAAAACATCAGAGAAAAAAATAAATGAAAAGAAAACCTAGCCCTTTTTTTTTTTTTTTTTGTAGTTCAGTTTTTGCATGCATTGTTAAAACAGAGAAGCTATGTTACCTAATGTTAAAAACTATCTGTTATCCTCTTGGGAAAATATTTGTAATACATATCACTATACTATCAGCCTCTGATTTCTTTTGTGATTGTTGTTGCTGCTATTTTCAAACCATTGCTTTTGGTCTGTTCTTTCTCTTTTATCAATAGGAGTAGAAATATAAGAAAAAGGGAGACCTAATTCTTACCTGTTTAAGCGGATTTTAACAGTATTGAATCTAATTCTATTTATTGGGACATCACACATATGGTTGAAATAATGATCACACAATTTCTCACTCATTACAAATCATGCATGGCATTAACCGAAAGCTACCACAAGAAAGGAGTTGTATTGTGATCCTGGATATTAGGAAGTGCCACTCTCTCCCATGCTCTTATTTTCCTTGCACAAAATCTAGCTTTAAATGAGAGCAGCAGGAGTAAATTATGCACCAGGGTTGCACGTTACAACAACTGTCTGTGAGTGGCTTGTCCACTGCTTTGTCATTTACCAAGGCTGCCAGCTTATGATAACAACAATAATCATAGAAATGGTGTAAGCCAGTGACTGATCTAAGCTCGTTTTAACATAAGCATAATACCATCTTCCAAATGATAGGAATTGTGTGTATTGGTGGCTCTGAGCAAAGTGTTTCTCCTTTGCAAACTAGTGGCTCTCAGGCTAAATTCAAGCAATAGACCAACCTTGTTTTTCCTGAACAATGTTTAAAAATTTTTTTAATTTTATCTAGTTGAGATTTCTAACTTCTGAAAAATCAAAAGATGGGTCCTCGATCTCTGGCAGTGATCCCCTTAAGATAAGAAAAGATGGCTCCCTTTAGACTGGGCTTGAGCTTTTCCAGTTCTGCAGTCTCTACCTCTCTACTGTCTTACATGCTACTTACTTCACTAATTTACTTACCTGCTTGGCCTCATTAGACATTTACATTTGTAAGCCCAGCTGTAAGGGAATTCCTGCCACCACTGAAAATCAGTCCATTACAGCTGGGGGCACTTTCAAAGAAAACTGTTTGAAGTGACAGCCTAGAAACACTGCAAACATTCATCACTCCTGTGCTTCCCAGATGCCATCATCTGACCCAAGATCCAAGCTTTCTGTCCTGTAGTTTTCCAGTGAAGGGGAGTACAGAGTATTGTTTTTTTCTGTTTTTTTTTTTAATTTCCCTCCATTTTTACCAGCACAGGCTTTCAAAGATCTTTTTAAGTGAAGGATCCCCTTTAATTCAAGGACGTCTTAAATGTAATTCCACTATAAAAACAGATGAAATTTGCCCTGGTTAAAAAATGAGGGGTTGATGAGAGCACCTCACCAGCACAACTAACCCCACTATGACTCTCTGAGACAGTTCCCAGGACACCTCTAGGGGCCCAAGGTGAGCTGGGGGACCCTGTGTGAAAAAGCACAGGCAGCACATTTCCTCCAGTAGATAAGGCCTCCATGAAAAACTCAGTCACCAACTCTTCTGCCAGAATGCCGAGCACTGTGGCTAAATTTAGAGCCCAGGAAAATCAGATTTGGAAGGGACCTCAGAGACCATCTGTTCCAACCCCATCCATTTATACAGAAGGAAATGGCGTCTACAAAAGTTAGTAGTCTAAGCAAAGTGAGACGACTAGTCCATGACAGAACCAGAACTCATCACCAGGCCTTCTCACCTTCTCTCCACTTCTCTGCCTCCCCATCTGGGAGTGTGCTGAGGCCTTCCTCACCTCATTCAGTCCTGTAAATATCCTGAAGAGAGCTAATGACCTCAGACAAAAGGAACTTGAATTACAACTTAATCATGAATCTGCTCCTCCCCGAACGGGTTCCCTGGATTTCAGCATGGGGAGGGGGAAGTGGGATCCGAAGGTTTCATATAAAAGGGATTAGCCAGTTTTCAGGGAGTGAGGAGACATTTCAGACGCCCTCTCCCATGCTCCCAACCCTGGCATATCCCTGTGCCAAGGCTCCAGATACTGGCATTTGGTTGTGTGTTGAAGTGCCAGCCTCCAGTTTTCGCCAAGCAGCTGAGGTGAGGAAGCATATTTTATGCCCATACATCTAATACAGGGCCCAGCACATAGAAGGAACCCAATGCATGCCGAAGTAATTGAATTCTCACAATAATTCTGTATTTTCTTAAAGATCTTGGATTTTACTCAAAGCTTAAGAAGAAATTACCACTAAACGCAATTAAACCTTGATTCTAAGTATTAACAACTAGGATTAAAAAATATTACATGCTTTTTGAAGCCAATCTCTTTCAACTCTATGAAATACAAAGGTGAATTTCATATGATGATTTAAAATGGAATAAACAATTACCACAGAAAGGGCCCAGAAAAGGTCGTTGGAGATTTCCAGTTTAGACCTGTGAACCCAGCGCTGTTTACAATCCTTTCACAGCTCATGGAGTATCCAGGGAAGACCAGATAAAAAGACACCGTTTCTCAGATATCCTCTACCTATTTACACAGTGCCTTTACACAGCCCCATCCTTCTATAAAATTCAGAAAATTGGGGTTCCAATAGTCAAGTGTATTAGAAATTTAAGAAAGCATACTGTTTGCCAACATAGATAAATATGTTTTACTACACAATTCCTCTGCGTGTCAGGAGGTAGAGGCCCAGTATTTTGTAGTCCATAAGACAGCTCTACAACCATTTACTCAAAAAAATGATTCTTGGCTGTTTTGACTATGAAAAATTAGTAACCAGATTTCTTTTATTGCTAAATAAAAGATTTTTAAAAGGTGAACGGTGGTTGTTAAAGGAGACCTTCTTAAGTATTCTCAGTGAAAACACACGATATAAACCACTATGGTTAAGGGCGACCATAGGGTGTAGAGTACAGAGGTTAAGAGCTTGCATGTGGGTGTCAGTTTCAATGCATGTGAGTTACAATTGTGATGACGTGATTTTGGTCAGTTATTTAACCTCTTAAGGAAACTGAGACTTTCTTTTTCTGAGAAAAAAAAATGGTGCTAATAATAATCCCTACCTCAAAGAGCTGATATAAAAACCAAATAAGTGAGTATATGTAAAGGACTGAAAACAATGCTGGACATCTAGTAAGAGCTCAAAGAACATAGCCAGCCTTAGACCAACACTATTATTAGATGAGAAACGTCAGTCTAGACATAATCTACTAACTTGCTCACGGACACTGGCCACAATATATTATGCGCAGCATATGCAAATAAACTATTTCTAAGGTTACCAGAGCATAAACTCACTGAGGGCAGGAGTGCATTTTAATCATTTTGTAATTTACTGATAGGTACCTTACACAGGGTTTTGTACACACCAGGAAATCAACTTTTGTTGAAAAAGAAAAGAGAAAGAAGAAAAAGATTTGGAATGACATCAAGGGAATACAGGAGTAAAACAGTTGACGTGTTAATAGTTTATATTTTATCTCCCAGATGAATCTATTTTTAAAATAAAGCAAACTATGTCAAAATAAGAAATGGTATATGAATGTAAATACTGTTCAGAAAACGGTAAGGAAGCATTTCTTCAACTCCACACTTTCCTAAAGTTAATCAGTTTTTAGTTCATTGCAGTGTCGCTTGTCATGCAAAAGACATAGGCACCCACTATACCTTTGAGAACATTTCTGGAGCATGCTTGAAATTAACAAGTACAAATGTTTTAATTAGCTGTGGCTTTAGAACCCCAATATCCCAATATCTCTCACTGAACATCACCTACCATATAGGATTGCTTGATCTCTGAAGTCACTGACATTTTTGACCAGAGGGAGCCCCAACTTACAGTGCCATATTCCTGCATGAACACTCAATATGTTCAAGGTAGGTGAGCTGTCTGTGCAGTCACATGTACCTGGATGCAAAGCCCGGGACATTTGTGGATTTCAGCCTGGAGCCTCAGATCCACAGAGATCCAGCACTGCTCCCCAGTCTAGAGAGGAAAACAGCAAATACCACAACAGTGTGGCCTACTAACCTTTCTGGTTTTAAACTTTCAAATAAAGCTAAATCAAGGCTTGAGAAGAAAGATCACAAAATGAAACTTTCAAAATAAGTGAAAGCATCTGCCTCCACCTTCACACAAGCAAAGAACATCAGTTAATGACCAAGTCATACATATTCGTGTGGCATTTGAGTTTATAAAATACTTTTACAGACTTATTTATCTGTATAACTGACCTGCAAGAGAAGCTGAGAATATTATTCTGTTTTACAGGTAATAAGCCTTGGGCTGAGAAAGATGAAATGATTTGCTCTCAGTTATATGGTTGGGAAATGTGAATCATAGGCCACCATGTTATTGCTTTTTTCATCACATCCTATTTGCCCTATCAGAGAGAAATGTAGAGCTCTTCCTTTAAAACTAACTGAAATTCTCCAAATGAGGGTCATAAAAACATTCATAATGATTAATAAAGTTCTTTATCAATCAAATTTCTATTTTTAGAACAAATGTCAATTTAGTGAGAATTAATGTTATTAAAATGTAAACAACTAGCAATCATGCAATGGATAAAGACACAAATCCCCATTTCTGCTTATCGCAATGTGTCATAATGACCAGCAACATTAAAAAAAAAAAGACAATGCATAAGACCGTGAATATGCATATTTTACAATAAAGCTTCTTCATTAAACACCGACTAGTGTGCCCATATTATGTGTGTTCAGCTTTTTATTTTTTCTCAAATATATATTATACATTTTTTCATTTTAATAGTTTCTCCCTCCTCCACCTATTACAATTAACTTACTTTGTTGTTGTTTCTAATAAGGAAATCCTTTCCTTTCACTTTGGTCTGGAATATTTTGGAATGTCTCGAATGCCAAGATTCTAAAATGTGGCTTCAAAGGTCAAGTAATAAATACCCCATAAAATAAGTGAGTAATGGTTATATACACCATTGCTGTATTTTCAGTAATGCTGATATAAAGCTATATACTGTACTTTGTCAATTCACATTCATCAAGTTCCAGAAATATTAGAAAATCATTAGAGGTTTATGTTGAGTGTGCAGATAATACTAACATATAAGTCAAGACTGAAATATGGTAATCAGAAAAACAGTTGAAAAGTGTCAATGAACTGTAAAACACCTGTGGTGTTGTTTGCAAAGCCTTCATCAGAGAGCCGGCCATGTGAAGAAATGGAAATGGGTATTTTGGTCACACTGTGGGTCAGCTACTGCTAAGTGTCAAGTTAGCAGAGGAGAGTCGGTGACTCTGAGGATTATGACATGGGGACTCAGGCACTCCTGAGAACTGTTGAGCATTTGGTGAATTCCACTTATCTCTGAAGGCGGCGGCAGCCGTCGATATGAAGCCTGCCATCCATCATTCTGGAGTCTTCTTCAGGCATGCTCTGTCTGTTGATCAGAGGAAGACTTTGGGGAATCAGGCTTCCATTATCAGGATTCTGTCTGTGATCTGAACAAGCCACTGAACCTTTAACTTTTCACTTGGCAAAAGCATATATGCTGGAAAAGTCCTGACAGTTCATTCATTTTGCTCCATCCTGGAGCCAGCTGATGTCTGACTGGTGAGACCCGCCCTCTTTGATGTTGTACTCTTTTGAGAGTGCCCTGCTGTGAAAAAAATTTTATCCATCCAAATTAAAGAGAAATATTTCTGCATCCAGCTGTTAGCTGTGACATGTTTGCCATTTTTCACGGCACTGGCTTGGTGCCATCCACAGGCCCTGCTACAAACCTATCTTTTTCCCTCTTCTCCGTTGCAGCAATAATATCCACAGTGCACAACTGTCTCCAGTGTCCACACAACATCAACACTAAAAAGGAAAAAAATGGTAACCCTACATTGCTAAGAACAACCTTGGAAATATTTGCATGGAGCAGTTTCTTGTTCGTTTTCTCTCTCTCTCTCTCTCTCTCTCTCTCTTTTTAGTATCAGTGTTAATGTATTTCACAGACTGCAAAATTCTTTGACACAATCTACCCATTTAAAAATTGCTTAAATCCAGTCTTTAAAAATCTATCTTTAATTAAAGCAGTCAACAAGAATTCTTGACATCTATTAAATAATTTACAAATGAAATGAATTTGGATCCTGCGAAAACTTATTTTGTATATAGTGAGTTCACATTAAAAAAACAGACATTCGTTCACGCGTTCATTTGAGCAGAGAGAGCTCTGTAAAAATAAAGAAAACTCTCATGAAAGCTTGAGTAAACATTTATATCTAACTAATCAAGAAAACCTGTATCTTCTTTTATTTATTAAGTGCCATTTGGGGGCTTATAAAGATTGCTGCCACAAACTGTGTGTATTGTAAACAAAGGGCAGCTTTCATTATTACCACGTTTGTATCCATATCCTGAGATGAACGAGTAAGCACCACAGTTTCCAGCTTCCCTCCTATTCTGGCTTTTCTCTCTCTTCTCTCTCATATACACTTTTGCTGAGATGGAAGGGGATCAGTAAACTAGACCTCAGCCCTTGGCATCAGAGAATCCTGCCTTGCAAATAATCTCAGACTGTGGCTAGCAAATGTGAAGAGCTACTCAGCATCCCTTGTCGTGTCAGTGAAAGATGGATTTTGGAAACAACAACAACAACAACATGCTACATATGAGAAAGTATCAATTTTGGAAAATAAACCACAGAGAAATTTGTATTAACATCTTCCTCCACTTTTAAAAATAAAGCCTTAGTTTTATACCAAACAGGAAATGGAACTATTATTTTGTTAAAATAATCCTACAAATAATAGTAGTGTGAACTGATGGGATTTGCATGTTACATACAATCGTACACCAAATAGTTCTGCACTAGAGAACTATAAAATGACACATTTAAGTTAATGCTCACACTGCGATGCACACTTGAAATCTCCATATGCCTCGTGCAACACGTCTTATGGAGTACTATTTAACTCTTTATTGTAGCAGAAATTTTGGTTTATATAGTCTAGTGGGTACAATACCAAATAGACCTTGCTGAAACCTGACTATACCTCAGTTACTGACTACACCTCAGCCTGGTAGCTACTGAAAAATATGATTTCCAAGAAGCAGCTTGGACCAAAGCCTAGGTGCAAACTGCTATGTTAGACAGCAATCGTATTAAATACTTACAAAGTATTAAGTGGGAAATGTTTGTAAAGGGAACATCTCTAAAAAATAGACAGACTACTTCTATACATGCGCAGACACACACTATGCCCTAGAGCTCACCCGCTTTTTTTTAGTGAGAACTTTCTAAAGACACAGAATGTTTGTCCCAATGAAGTAATGGTTTCCTATGGTTTTACTTCTTTTCAGAGCAGGCAACAGCTTTATTTCTTTGCTGAAATGTGTCACTCTTTAAATTATTATGTTTTCCTAAGTCTACGACATTCTTTTCCTAACCACACCAACAAAGTGTGATTGTCAGACATGCTTTATTAAGGGAAAAGTGGCCGTCTGTCAAGGACAGAAAACATATTTTTAGATCTTAAATAATTGAGAAGACATTTCCTTATGTCACGTTGGGACAGTGCTGAGCATGCACTCAGTTCCCAGTTTACACTGTCCTGCCCTGGATCAGACAACTATGCAAGAGATGAAGCCACCCCTCAGACTCAGGGTGCTCAAGAAAGGGAGTATGTAAGAGCCACTACTGGCCTACATCAAAGACATTTACTTGCCATAGGTTTCCTCCCCATCAAGATCCAAGAGATGAGGCACCAAGGATAGAGGGTGATGACAGTAACGATGAGTCTTGAATTTAGACCTCTGACTTCCCAGACAGCATTCTTTCAACAAAAATTTAGTAAGCAGCTACTGTGTGCCAGCCACTGTGCTTGGTGCAGAGCATTAAAAACCTAAGACCCACTCCCTGCCCTCAAGTAATTTACAGTGCCATAGGTGAGAGACATGTAAAACAAATCATAAGACATCTTATCTGGTACCAAATCTGTAGATTTTCCCATCCAACCTTTGGATATTTGTTGTCTAGAATGGGATTCCTACATGTGGAAAAGGTAATCCATTACAATTTTGCAAAAAGGACCTCAGGACTTAAAGAGAGGCAAAGCTAATCATTTAAACCAATGCTGGATTTAAAAGGCAGCATTAAACAAGCATGCAAGGATATAACCTCAATGAGGGCAAGGATAAAATCTGTCTTGTTTGCCATGGTATCCCTAGGCATTAGCATGGTGCTTGGCATATAGTGCCTTGTGTTGGGAATGTCTGTCAGTTGGTTGGTTGTTTGGATGGATGGCTGCTTGGATGGGTAGCTGGATGAAGAGATGGACAGTCAGATGGATATAGATAAAAGGATACGACGCCTGCCAGGTACCCAAGCATTAAGGGCCGGGCCATGTCTCTCTGCTCTGTGAGTGAGCCAAAACAGCTAAGGCAGAGTTGAGTATGCCCTGGGAGAATTCTATGGGATACAATGTTGCTTTCAAAAGTATGCCTTGCCTAAATGGTTAAAATGAACATTTCCTTTAAAAATGTCCAAAAGTGTCTGCAGAGTTGAGGCTGCTACAAAGCAGCAGGATAAAGACTTCACCCAATGGAGAGGCCTAGCATGTACCTCTCTCTCTCCAAGTGTTGGTTCTCCTCCCATTCCAATCCCTAAAACTGTCCCACGCTGAGGACTACTGCTACCATCCCTAGTCTTCCCTTTCACTGACTCCTCAAACCATCCCCCCACCCCATTCATGCCTCAGTGCTTCTCTTCAGGCCCCAGTTCTCCTCTCATAAGGATCCTGGTAGCTGTAATTTATACCTAGTTGTGAAGGTGGGTCAAGGAGCTACTCTTGAAAAGAATATTTGCACTTTGATCTTTATCCTTAAGTGAAGTTTGAAAGGAGGCAATGACCTTTTAAAGGAATTCGAAAATGTGTAGTAAGGGCTGAAGTCATCCACTATGGGGGAGAGCAGCTGGCCATTCCCAGGATCCTTCCCATTGCATAGATGGCTGTGTTAGTCCTCATAGAGCTCTAGGGGAAGCTGTCCTAGTACAGGAGCACAGGCTCCCTGAGGAGGGTGAGACTCAAAGGAGAAGGCGAGGGATTCTGGTGACACGGGCAACCCCAGCTCCTCCTCAGAAGAGCTTTCTGCAAGTCCTCTCCAGGGGGTGCTAGCAGGGCCACTCAGCTCCACTTTCATAAAGAGCCTCAAATTTAGACCTTTGAAGCCATTTCCAGATGAGGTTATGCATACAATCACAGAGATAGACTGACAGGATTGAAAGAAGGAGGCCTTCTTTGCACAACTCTAAATTGGATCCCCTGACTGGACCACACTGCCTGTAGCAAACCATAAATTAACATTTTTATAAATCCTGTAATTAACTTATGAATAGCACAGTTCTATGTTTCTGGTATTAAAAGCATTAAGTTGTTAAAGGTAAACATTTAAAGTATACCACTGTTTTTGTAACCCTATTTTGGCATTTTTTTCATTTTTCAATATATCAAGAGCCTCAGAAAATGGAAGTGGCCCAGGACTCCAAACAAGCCTGGTTTGGGCTGGCTAATAAAGCTCCTTTCACACAGCTGGGTGGGAGGCTGGCAAGTGTGCAGCCAGCACTGGGACACCATGCTGTCTCCCAGAGAGACGCCCTGTGTTTCTGGATGGGCATTTGCGTCGTAAGGTTTGGTTCCCAGGAAATCTAACCAAGAGATCCCGTCAACTTGAATGTCTGGGACACAAGGTTTGCCGATCCTTTGTTTTGCAGAGGTTATGGCTCACATCAGACCCCAAAGAAAAGAAGGCACCTAGTTACACATTGTTATAACCTGTAGGCTTCCTAAATTCTAGACAGGACGTGGGATTGATTCCCTTCTTTCCACAGGAAGCATCTGTGGGCTGAAAGGAAATAATGGATGAAATCTCTTACGTCGGGTCTATAGAGAAGCTTCAGGCAGGGCTACAAACACCTTGAAACCACAAGAAAATGGTGTGTGTGCATATGAGTAACCTTCTGGGAAGAAGGTTCATAGTTTTTATTAGATTCTCAAAGGAGGTGTGTATACACACACCCACATACACACACACACACACACACACACACACACTTTAAAAACTACTGCCAAATCCCATACTTTCAGATAAAAGGATAGTACTGACTGGAGAAATGGAAATGAGAACATCCGTGACTGAGTTAGAGTCCTTGGGATGTTTAATGTACTTTCGAGGAGGTTCTCTTCAAAGGTTGATGGGTTTCTTCGGTCTCTGAAGTACGTGATCTCACTCTCATTTCCTCCTTTCCTGAGCTAGAAATCCTGAGTTTTTTTTTGTTTTGTTTTGCTTTGGTTTGTTTGTTTTTTTTTTTTTTTTTTTTTTTTTGGTCTTCACTGTGCTTTCATTTTGAATTTGATTGCAATTGTGTTGTGATATACTGGTTTTACCTAAATCCCTGACCACATTTTCAGGATCGCTAGAAAAGCAAACTGAAATAGAATCCTTTGGTTGGTTTATTTCATAAGACAGATATTTTTAGGTTAGAAATCATGTGTGTGGGCCAGATTACACTGGGCTGCTCAATATTTCAGCTTTGTGAACATTTAGCACTGTCTATTGCTGGATTTAGTGAGTCAATGGTTATTAAGACACCAAAGCATTCCCTGTCAGCTTTGATCAAATCCTATGATGCCACCATTTTTCCTACTTTTTAAAAAGAAAACATATAATCACATTAAATTAGCTCATTCAATAGAATCATTTCCTTTGTGAGCTGTAAATTTTGTATAAATTAGGCATTGTTAATCTTCCTCTGGCTTACCCCCTCATATTCCCTAGTTAATTAGTTGCTAGATGAGCTACAGATGAGGAATCCTATGTTCTACTTCTTACTCTGGCAGTATTAACTGTATGACCTACTAAGTCACTGAACTTGAATCTCCATGTGCTCCATTGCATGGGCTTTAAATAAGATGATCTTTGGGATTCTCCAGCCCATTTCCATGACCCTATGAATTGATGACTATGTAAATATGTCTTAATATAAGTACTTGACTGTTGGAACCCAGAAGGATAAGAGTCAAAATGCAACCATTTCAAGTATATAAAAAAATTTCAATACCCAGTAAGAGGGAGGTGGGATAACCTAAGTCGCAATCTTTTATTAGACCTAGGCAAATTTAATCATAATTTATGCCTTCCGAGCCGTTGAGTCAAGAATAAACTGTTAAAAAGATGTATTTTCTAAAAGTCCACATAATTAAAAGTGAATTCAGTTATGCAAATGTTTAAGCTGTGCATTTAGATTTAAATGAAAAGGAGGCATGGTCATGGAGTGAATCAGCCTGGTTCTGAATCTGAGATTCAGCAAAACACTTAAGTCATTTGTAAGATGACATATTACAGAGTTTCTGTGAGGATAAAATGAGATTGTCCATGTGAAGAGCCTGACACACACTAAGTGCTCAAACAGTACCATTATCATTATTTTCTATTGGTGGGTTTTAATTTCCCTTTCCAAAACAAATTTCCTTCTACTTCAATATTTCTGAAAAACTAGGCATAGCTAAATACAGAAGAAATGACAGAATTTTGGGCCCTTGGGTATTGTGTATTAAGTGGAACTGGGCAGAGCAGGAATCAAGTCTCAGCTGGGTGACTTCAGATAAGTTACTTAATTTCTCCAAGCTCATTCTTGTGTATAAGAAGAGAATAATAACTCTATAGAGTAAGCAAAAAATAAAAGAAATATGACATATCAAGGGCTGCAAATAGTGCCTGACATACAATTACAAAAGAGAATTTCTAGAAAAATAAAAACCTTTTTTTCTGTAGCTCAGTGATCCCCTTTCACAAATCATAAAAAATTCTGAAAAATTCCTATACAATTGCTTTAATTATATAATGAATTAATTACATAAATGCCAAGATATTAAATAATGTTTAATATGTTAATTCAGGCAAATTCAAACTTGAAAATTTTCTTCAAAATTTCTAAATCATTTCAGATCTATCTCATTGCAGCACATCATATTTCTTTTTAAGTTAAAATAATATTTTAAAGGGAGGAAATAATATTACTCCCATATCCTCAAAACAATCAGAATTTGATATATTTATTTTATAAAATAATGTTGAGTTGGGATATAATTTCTCAAAACTGGGTTTATAAAACCAAGGAAGTATAATCATGATAAATTGCACATGGCTTATACTTTTCTCTATTTAATTTCTATAATCACCCTTGTAAAAATTATCAGAATTAACTCTAAAAAATAATTGACTTTATAAAAAAAATTTTAACTTAGAATCTGAGGTTCAATTTAAAAGGGGGACACGCCTGATGAAAGAATAGCCTGTAAACAACTTTAAAAATAATAATACCTATAATTAAAATTTAAGAATTAACAACTTGCCTTCTGTTTATTAGTAAGCCATTTACAAGCCTAAGTCTCAGCAAGAGTAAACACATAAAACAATCCTATGCACCAGAAGAAAGACTGAATGTAAAGATTCTGTCTTATTCATGAAACCTGTTTTTCAGACATTTACTTTGTAACAATTTCATCGGAAAGCAAAAATTCATAGCCTATCAAGATATGTGCCATTTTTTATTAGGTAAGAATTTGTTTTTCTGTAAGTCATCTTTGCATTTCTTTTGTAATAAATTTAATACATGTCAACATCTAAATGGTATAATTAAAATCCAACAAATATCTTTTTTTCCCTTTAAAGTGAATAATTTTGCCCTGCTGAGAAGCTGCATAAATCTTGGCTAGTTTGTACATTTTTGCTTTCAAAGATGTAATGTAACCATCAGAGCTGTTACATCATGTAAATAAATTTCAAAGATGGTATTAATATAAAAACTATATCACATAACCCTAAAAATTTAATATAGCTGCCATGGCAATAACCAGATCATTTTTCCAAACAAATATATATTCCATCATGTCATTTTGAACTTTTTCTGACCTTTTTTTTTTTTCTGAAAGAAAGAAAACTACAATTGGGACCAAATGTTTTGTGAAAGAAAATACAGGAAAGCTGATTTGGCCAAGCGCAGATAATTTCAGATTAAAGATGTTACTACATCTTAGAACTTAACCCATTTTTTTCATAAGCCGCGGTAATTATGATATTATTATGATATCACTTGGGAAGTCTACGAGCTTGCAACAGTGCTTAGAAAATTTTTGAATGGTTTGATATAAACTATTACCAATTACACAGTTCATTTACACAGAAAAATCAAGTGCAAGATTTGCTGCCCTTTGAAATAAGGGTTACAAGTGTGTCAGCATCTTTTCTACAAACAAATCATAAAAACATTTATATCAAACAGAAGCCCTTCCTGCAGCATCCTTTTTACCACCCATCCTTCCTCCTTCCAGGTCGTACTCCCACATCACCCACCCCATCCCTCATGCTCCTCTCCAACCACATCTTGATTCCAGAATCTCTGATATCTTTCAATTCAATTCTGTACCTGTAATAAACCCAAGGTCCCCAAATCTTCACATTTTAAAAATTGGTTGGATAAGTCAAAGGAATCAAAACAGTAGATGCAGTGACCCTATAGAAATAAAGTCACCAGGGTCCAGCACAGGCCACACACAGTGAGTGACACCTGCATCCCTGAGGACTGGTTCAGCATATACCAGTAATGATTCTCTAAAGACCCTTTCAAGAACAACAAAGAATCTATGGACCACACCATCCATATGCTAAAATACACACACACACACAACTCCCAAAAAAACAGATACAAAATCTAATTTTCACTGAATATCATCCATAAACTATTAGGTGCATCTCTTCTGAATGTTTCCATGAGAAGATCATTTCACAGACTACCTAAACAAGAACATATGCCTAATACGGAATCCACCAAGAGATTCTATAGTATACTTTAAAGCTCACTTCAGCCAGTTTAGACCTCTACTTTAAGAAATAATAAATTCTTTTTCTTGTCAAAGAACTGCTAATTTAATATTAGAATTTTCATTCATTTAAAAACTGAACTAGTGTACTATATTAGTCTGTTTTCACGCTGCTATAAAGAAATACAAAAGACTGGGTAATTTATAAAGGAAAGAGGTTTGATTGACTCACAGTTCCGCATGGTAGGAGAAGCCTCAGGAAACTTAGAATCATGGCAGAAGGCAAAGGGGAAGCAAGTACTTTTTTCACAAGGAGGCAGGAGAGAAAAGTGCCAGCAGGGGAAATGCCAGACGCTTATAAAACCATTAGATCTCATGAGAACTCACTATCAGGAGAACAGCATGGGGGAACCACCCCCATGATTCAATCATCTCACTCCCTCGACACGTGAGGATTACAGTTCAAGATGAGATTTGGGCGAGGACACAGAGCAAAACCATATCATGTACTTTAAACGGAAGGCGCAGGAAACATGGTGCTTAACAAGGCTAAGGAAGGGCCCTGCTGCTTCTCTCCTTAGACCAGGTGACATTTCCAATAGCTTCTTTCTATGCCTTCAAAAAGAAACAGCAAACAACTGAAACAAAACCAAACACTTGGCATCTAATGTGTCCAAATATTGAAAATTCTATGATTATGTTTGCTTTGCTTTTTACAGATGTGATATATAAAAATCCAAATTTACCAAAGAGATAAAGGAATAATTTTGTTTGACAAAAAACTTTACTAGTTTTCCTGAAAACATTCAACTTTCCCAAATCCCTAAAGTATGACTTGAATAAAGCAAATTCAAATTATAATGTTTCAAAAATATAGTTGCTGTGTGAAATAGGTTTTACCTTTGTGTACACACTGATAAAGAGCAGAGATTATATAGGTGCTTAATAATCTCTGCTGAAAGCAAATGAGTAAATGCTCATATGCATGTGATTAGATAACCTGCTATCAGAACCATTCCTGACATTTTGGTTTTCATATCTGTCTTTTCCCTCTAAAGTATGTTTCACACTTCTCTTAGCTTGGTACAATTGCCAACAACTACTGCTTCCTTTTGCATTTAGGATTCCAGAACATGGATTCCTATGTTTTGGTATCATAAGTCATATTATTTACCAATATTCACTCATGTGCTTGTTTTTTAAAGTCGTTAGAACAGGGAAAACTCCCCAGGCCTAAGTTTCTTTTCTTTGGGCAAGAAATCATGAGTGAAACAGAAAAATTCTTACATCATGGAAAACCATGTGGGCTGTCACATAATCCTGGCCTATATCAGTATTTGAAAGGTGCGGGGGTGAACCCAGAGTAGGCAGGATTTCCCATACTTCAGCATCAGCATTCGTGGTTTTTGCTGTATCTTTATACCACCCATACCATCACATACTTAATATTCTTAAAATGACTTGAAATCAGTTTGTTCCTCGTACTTAGCCTCATCATAAGCAATATTATTTGTAAAACTGTGGGTTTGATGTGCCAGGTATATTAAGAACACTTTTCTGTGTATCACCTAAAATTATTTTTTTCTATTTTTATTATACTTTAAATTCTGAGATACATATGCAGAACGTGCAGGTCTGTTACATAGGTATACACATGCCATGCGGGTTTGCTGCACCCATCAACCCATCATCTACATCAGGTATTTCTCCTAATGCTATCCTTCCCTTAGCCCCCCACCCCCTGACAGGCCCGGGTGTGTGATGTTCCCCTCCCTGTGTCCATGTGTTCTCATTGTTCAACTCCCACTTACGAGTGAGAACATGCAGTGTTGGTTTTCTGTTCTTGTGTTAGTTTGCTCAGAAGGATGGTTTTAAATACAACAACTTACCACACTTTGGGAAACACTGGCTTAAGAAGCAAGACACTGCACTGGCTTCCAAGGCCGGCTCTGCCCTAGCAATGTGTGCTAGAGGGTGAGTAATTTTAAGCTCTAAGGACTTCCTGACTTGCTCATCCATAAGTAAAATGCCAGGGTAATATGAAAATTTTTAAATCCTAAAATTTGATGATCCCAAGACACCAATAGTGATTTGCAGTCACCTTGCACACTGACTCACAGCAGAATCAGATTCAGGTCTTGGAATTCTCAACTCCCAATTTCATGTTCCAGTTTACTCTTCCACATCCCACTGTCCACACATATGTGCAAGTAACTTAGAAATGGGTATATTGTGAAATGACAGCAAACACATATCTGCTGCTTACCTCATGTCAGGGACAGTCTGAAGGATGCACCATATATTATCTCACTTCATCCTCACAACCATCCATTAACCTATTTCACATATAGGAAACTGAGGCATGAAGAGAAGAAGTGTCTTGCACAAGATTATACAGTTAGAAAGAGATGTAGCTGGGAATTAAAGCCCCAAGAGCTTGGTTGCAGAGTGTGGGTTGTTGCCACCAAACCACAATGCAAACTTGGGATGCCCCTCAGCTGCTAAGGTTCCCATGCACATTGCCAGCCAGACTCTGGGAAGTGAGGAGAGCAGTGGGTGAGACAGAGAGAGAACGCTGAAAGTAATATGGAAAGTAAAGACGGAAAATGAGAAAGAAATGGAGAGGAAATACACTGAAACATGCAGTCTTTTGCCTAAATTCAGCACACATAAAATCACCTCTATTAAACCTTTTTCTACCACCATCGGCAAATTAAAAAAGCAATTCAAATAACATCTCCAGCCCCTTATTCTCAAATAAGAGAATTAAAATTCAGAAGAAAAATTTGGTCAAAAGGCTCCAAAATAGAGTCAAATGTGCTAAAATATATGTGTAATCTCTTAGATGTACTGGCTACTTAGTTTCTAATTAAGTTATTTTTTCTTTTTATATTTTCATTCTTTCTACAAAATAAAAGAAAATAATAACAGTGAAAAACACTTTAGCCTCTCGGGTGTCTACTTTGCAAAACAGTCTGCTCTGTTCGGTGAATAACGTCCCATATCTCACAGCAGTTCTCGGCCAACATGAACCCTATAAACACATTAAAACGACCAGGACAGAAATAAAATAGAAGTGGTGGGTCACCATGTAACATGCCAAAGAATATATTCAAATTGTAGTCATATGATCATAGTCTTAAAACTCGTAAATGGAATGATTTCCAAAAGGAGATAAAGGTCTGACTTCAGAGAGGGATGGGGTTGAAATATAACCTTGTAATTGAAATCTTCCCTGAAACTCACAAGAAATCTGGTCACTCTCACTTCAAAGAGGCCTCTGCAAAACCCATGCACGTCTAGCAGAACAGTGAGAGTTGGCCCAACAAGAAAGTTTCATTTCTACCGTAAGATCTTAGACCGTCTGCAAATAAAATTTTCATACTTTAATTTCCTTTACTTTAGTGCGAGTGAAAAAGTAATAAAAAATTATTTTAAAATATCCCAAGGCAGTATGACAGTTAACAAAACAATCTAACAAAACTTTAAAGTGATTATGTTGATCTCCACTGTCCAAGCGGATTGGTCTGATTATTTTAATATTTGTGTATCATGGATAAATATGGGGAGGGGAGAATAAATGTGTATGAATACATTCTTAGGAATTTAGAAATTCATCCAAAATTCAGCAGTTTGAGATGACTTAATGAGTTTGATAATAGGATACAGAAACTTTAATTCTTAAATCATTTGTTTTATTTAGAAGCAGTCAGGGTTGATTAATCAGCTTTAGTAATAGTTTAATGGCTTAGAGGGCTCTAGGCTAGGGAGTTGCAGGGGGTGGAGGGAGGGTGGTTGTTGTAATGTTGTGTTACTAACTTCCCATCTATAGCAACCATAAATTGGTTCACCCTAAAGTTTTATTAAATCCACAGGTCTTTAATACAAAGCTGAGCTCAGCCCTTGGACATGCACAAGCCACCTGAGTGGAGAAATGTCTGCATTCACTCTTACAGTTAATGATGTCTTTCTGTTCTGTTTTATTTTTGTTTTGGGCAACAACCTCAGCTTTTTCAGCATGGTGAACTTCAGAAGTCTTAATGTTGCCTTAAAGATTTTCCACTACTTGTGTCTGAGTTGCTGGTTTCTAAACCTTCATCTGATAGAATAAATAAAATGTTTTAAATGCACACAGGCAAAGGTAGCTTCATTCATGTTAATATGATAACACTTCCCACTTGTGTAGCACTTAATTGTTTTCATAATACTTTGATATATGTTTACCTCACCACAGTTTCCGGCCTATGTAAACCATCTAATAATTGCTAATTCTGAGGTGATCATGAACCTGTAAGTCAAGAAAACCACAGAGATAATTTGCTTTCAGCAAAAGTTTTTAATTATTTAAGGAGTACAGGGATCAGTGACTTGGGTTTTTTTTTTAAGAATACTTTTGCTCTTTTTAATGCATTGTTTTGATAAGATCTGGTTGTCCTTATTGCCTGTGGAGGCTGAATGTGTCAACCACTGCAGGTTAAATGTCCCTGCATTGCGATGTGATTAGCTTCTTAAAACACTGATGTCTTAGGTAACATTCTATTGCAGATCTCTGCCTTCGGAGCAGTAACTTGAGATGATCCAATTTATTTAAATGTACTCAAAGAATTAATTCCTGGGAGCTAAACCACACACTGTTTAGCAGAAATCCTATATTGAAAATGATTGGTAGAGATATGAGGTTAATAATTTTTATGTCTGTTTACAGTTATTCTGGCTTAATTTCATTTAATTAAACCATTTTATGACAGACACATTAAAAAGCTCAGTTCCTTTTAAGATTAAATTAAAAAATGCCCATAAAATTAGCTTTCTGTGTGTGCTATAATTTAAAATACATAACAATTTAAATGTTTTCTAAATAGATGGGGGGATCTAACATCCAAATCTATCTTCTTATATCAATTCATATTTGGTTAACATACTGTACCAATTCCTTTCATTAAAATAAACTTATTACTTTGAAATTAACATATACAGTTTTTACTCAGTTTTTTTCTAGATGCTAGTTTGAAACACTAAAATAAAGATCTATACTGAAAAACTTAACAGACCTTTAATGCATTCACATTCTTTTCGGTGTTACATTTTTGAGCTAACATCTCTAATAACTAAGGCCGTTACCATTGTTAAGAAAAAGAGAACAAGGAACTCAAATGTAGTAATAAAATCATGCTGGGAAAAGCATTATTTAAATCCCACATTTATTTTTCAGATAAATTTCGAGTTTTTATGAGAGAAAAAGAAGTACAACTTGGCTAACAATTAGAGAAGATTATTTAGTAAAAGGACAAAGTGACTTTGAGTTGTTGGAACTATTTACACAGAAGTAACCCAAAAGTTTGTAAACTGATCTTTAACTGGCTTGATTAAAAGAGGGTAATTAATAAATGACAAGACAGAATGAAAAGTTCGTGTGGCATTTGATAAACCACCCAAGAAGTTAAATCAATGCTTTTCTTTCTGTTTAACTTCACTATTTGTTTTTCCATTTGAGCTGCCAACTTTCTAACATGCTACAGAAGGAAGAAGAGACTTTCCTTTTTTTTTTTTTGATTGATAAACATCACAGATTTTTGTTTCAAATCAACTGAACTTTTTCAAGATGATCCTTGCATTTGCTGTCACACTTGTGGTAAAGCCATTATTCCATCAAAACTCTTTAAATAGCCACCACCCCACTTTTTTCAGCTACTTTGACAAGAACACCATAACAGTTCACATCACCCTTGACCTTCAGGGTGTATATCATCTTGTCAACATATAAACAAACACACTATTGGTTGTATTTTAATAGATTTTGTAAATATCAGGATCCAATTTATCAAAAGGTTCATGCTAAGTGACAGCTCTGAAGTTCTGGATTGTATTTGCAATGCTAATTCTGACTTTTAATAAAAAAGGATATTTAGGTTGTGTTTTGCTCTTTTGTCTTTTTTTTCAGGAATGTGTAATAAGCTACTAGAAGTTTTCTTCCTTCCTATGATGGAAGCTTTCACTAACTCAATTCCAAAAGGAAAAGATTACTAGTACTATCAAAGGTAGTTATTTCTTTCAGTTGTAGGAAAAACATACGTGTTTGCATAGGAAGGATTTATATAAGATTCCTGCTTCTATCCCCTTTGCTTGGCAAAATGCATTACCTATAATAGTAAGAATACTTTCTTTTAAATGGAAAAGGAGATTATGACAGAGATAACTAACAGTATGTCTGCAATCAAGTAATTATTTCCTTTTTACTTTCATATTCACAGGCCTCTCACACTGTATGTCACTGACTTTATATCTTCTTTCCAAAACAAAATGTGTTATCAATATCAAGGTGCCCTCTCTCCTGACATAGCCTTTACTAGGGAGATAACTATTAGAATACTGTACATTTTGCAAGCTAGGAGAATTAAATGGACAAAATATACTTTTTGTCAGAGAATAGTCTTCATGATAATATTTGTTAAAGATAACATGTAAGAGTTAATCAAATTTCAACAACTGTAAAGATATAATTTCTACATCCTGGCAAAATAGGAAAAAACATCAAAAAGCTAATATATCTGGGACATAATTTTTTAAATAATTAAAACAATAATTTTTAATTTAAATGAACTAAAAACTTCCAAAACAATGATGTTAATAAAAAAGGAAGGTGCTTCTAAGCGATATTGACCTGCATATACACATATGTGTGCACAACTACAATTCTATGATGTTAGAAATCATACTTGGAAATTATCTTGTGTAGGCACACTTTTTTGAGTCTGGGCCAACCACTCAGCAGAAAACACAGATGCATTTAGCAACATTCAAGACTTCCTGAAATGTCAACACACTTGGAGAGTGCTTCACCAGAGATATGGGGATGATATACCTGCTCTTGTGAAAAACTAAACAAGGAAACCCATTAGAAAGCGCTTATAGAAAATCCAAGATTTCAAAACTTCTCTTTGATAAGTTAGAAAGAGGAAACACACACACACACACAACCACCCACATAACTTGCTGTTACTTCAACAGAGGAATTTGTTTATCCTACTTATGTGAAAATTGATAACTTTAATTTAATTACAACTAGGAATAATTCTAATTTTGAAAGGCCTAAGATGTTTCTCTACATTTATACACCCCACGTGGTAATGCATGGGATTCTTAGCACTGAAAATACTACAATATAGAAGTTTGGCTCAAGTAATAGACAAAGGAAGTTTGGAACTCTCTACATAAAAATTTTTAAGTATGACATAAAGTAGGATAGCTGTTATGAAAAGGGCACATACGTCAGAAGGGGATATGTCTAGGTTGGAAATAATAATGATAGTTAATATGCACAAGCTGCCTGCTCTGTGCCAGGCACTGTTCTAAGTGCTTTATATGTTAACTGACGTCATTCTCAAACTGCTTTATGGAACAGATACTATTACTATTTCCATTTTGTCTTTGAGGCACCCAGGGTACAGAAAGGCTAAACAACTAACCCAAGAACTCACTTCTAGTAAGGAACAGAGCTGATATGCAACCCTAGGTAGTCCTAGAAACAAAACATTTGGCACTGTACCAGACATATAATAAGCATTCAATATCAATAAGTAACTCTTATCATCATTGTTCATTCAGAAAATATGAATCAAAACTTGAGAATATACATTTGAGTCAGACATGACCTTTGGCCTCAAGTTACTTTTATCCAATCTGCTGAGAAAGATAGATATTAAAATTTATGACTCCGATGCATCATGGTGTTGTGATAGACACAGCCACTCGAGGCTTCAGTTTCTGACATAGTAAATGGAAATAATTACACCACCCTCAAAAGGAAGATTCAAGGATTAAGGTGGATAGTATGTGCAAAGTGCACAGAACAATGCCAGGCATACGGTAAATGCTGTCAACATTAATAATAATTTCTTTAACTTTTCTTTTTTTATATAATACTGGTACATATTTATAGAATATATGTGAAATTTTGATGTAAGCATACAACATATAGTAATCAAACATGGGTAACTGAGCTAGCCATCACCTCAAATATTTATTATTTCTTTGTGTGGGAAACATTCCAAACCTACTCTTCTGGCTATTTTGAAATACACAATAAATTCTCATTAACTATGGCTGCCCTATTGTGCTAGTGACCACTAGATCTTATTCCTCCTAACAGTATTTTTGTGCCCATTTACCAAACCCTCCTTATCTCCCCTCCCTACTAGCCTTCCTAGCTTCTAGTAACCACCATCTTATTCACTGCTTCCATTAGATCAATTTTTTAGCTCCCACATATGAGTGAGAACACGTGCATCACCATAATTTTTAATATAATGAAAAAAGTAGCAGACAATACTGTGTGCTATTAAGAATAAAGAAATGTAAGCAGGATTGCAGTGGCACTGAATTCCCAGACCATCTCTTGAGAGAACTAGTAACTGTTTATTGGCTATCATTTGGCTCAAAAGCAATTTTTAATCACTTAATGCCATAAACACTTTAATGGAACACATGGGCTTTATCATTTTAAAAATATTCCTAGGCTGGACGTGGTGGCTCACGCCTGTAATCCCAGCACTTTGGGAGGCCGAGGCAGGCGGATCACCTGAGGTCAGGAGTTCGAGACCAGCCTGACAAACATGGAGAAACCCTGTCTCTATTAAAAATACAAAACAATTAGCCGGGCATGGTGATGCATGCCTGTAATCTTAGCTACTGAGGAGGCTGAGGCAGAAGAATCATTTGAACCCAGGAGGCGGAGGTTGCAGTGAGCCAAGATTGCACCATTGCACTCCAGCCTGAGAAACAAGAAAGAAACTCTGTCTCAAAAGAAAAAAAAAAAACTAAATAAATGACAGAATTTAAATAAAGTCACTACAAAAAGATTCTGTGTGCCTGATTCTAACCAAAAAACATATGTGTACTGCTAAATATATTAAGAAAATAGTTATTCCTCATGCTTGAAAATTTCTTAATTCTTTAAGATAACCTTTCAGGGCTAACTGCTGTTGAGAAAGAGATAAAGAGAGAAAAAAGGAGGAGGGAAGAAAAAAAGGAGGGAGAGAAAAAGGGAAGGAGGGAGGGAGAGAAGGAAGGGAAGGGGACGGGAGGGGAGGGAAGGGAAGGGGAGAGGAAAGGAAAGGGAGGGAAGGGAAGGGGAGAGGAAGGGAAGGGGAGGGGAGAGGAAGGGAAGGGAAAAGGGAAGGGGAGAGGAAGGGAAGGGAAGGGAAGGGGAGGGGAGGGGAGGGGAGGGGAGGGAAGGGGAGAGGAAGGAGAGGGGAGGGAAGGGGAGAGGAGGGGAGGGGAGGGGAGGGGAGGGAATAGAAAGGAAAGGAAGGGAAGGAAAGGAAAGAGAAGGGAAGGAAAGGACAGGGAAGGGAAGGGAAGGGAAAGGGAAAAGGAAAGGGAAATGGGAAGGGAAAGTAAAGGGGAAGGGGAAGGGAGGGAAGGAGGAAGGAAGGTGGACAGGCAGGCAGGCAAGCTGCCAATCAGTGCAGATGCTATTTTTATAAACAGGAATTGCTTAGGTTTGAAATATTGAATTTTCTGATTCTCCCTGTCTTAGATCCTAAGTGGAACACATCTTAATACTCCAGATATTTTTTAATGAAATAAAGGAAAGGAAATATTTATAGACACATGATGATATGATAAGCAGTGTACCTTTATTTAATGTCCTCAAATTTTGTGCTTGTTTACAACGCAAGGTGTTTCTCACACACCTAAATTCAGTGAATTTAGGATAGACCTACAGGTTTAATAAATACCCCAGGAGATTTTTGCCATACTTAGAATTTGAAGATGTTATTTGTTAATGATAATTATAGTTGATGATAATGATATACCAAGTCCTGAATTTGGTATGTTTTATATGGTTTCACGGTAAAATATCACTCCTCCCTTTTCTTCTTACCCTGCTCTATAAGAAATCCCTCAGAGGATGTAAAGAAGAACTACAAATCACTGCTCAACAAAATACAAGAGGACGCTAACAAATGGAAGAACATTCCATGCTCATGGATAGGAAGAATCAATATTGTGAAAATGGCCATACTGCCCAAGGTAATATATAGATTCAATGCTATCCCCATCAGGCTACCAATGACTTTCTTCACAAAATTAGAAAACTACTTTAAAGTTCATATGGAAGCAAAAAAGAGCCCGCATTGCCAAGACAATCCTAAGCCAAAAGAACAAAGCTGGAGGCATCATGCTACCTGACTTCAAACTATACTACAAGGCAACAGTAACCAAATCAGCATGGTACTGGTACCAAAACAGAGACATAGACCAATGGAACAGAACAGAGCCCTCAGAAATAACACTACACATCTACAACCATCTGATCTTTGACAAACCTGACAAAAATAAGAAATGGGGAAACGATTCCCTATTTAATAAATGGTGCTGGGAAAACTGGCTAGCTATATGTAGAAAGCTGAAACTGGATCCCTTCCTTACACCTTATACAAAAATTAATTCAAGATGGATTAAAGACTTACATGTTAGACCTAAAACCATAACCCTACAAGAAAACCTAGCCAATACCATTCAGGACATAGGCATGGGCAAGGACTTCATGACTAAAACACCAAAAGCAATGGCAACAAAAGCCAAAATAGACAAATGGGATCTAATTAAACTAAAGAGCTTCTGCACAGCAAAAGAAACTAACAGAATGAACAGGTAACCTACAGAATGGGAGAAAATTTTTGCAATCTACTTATCTGACAAAGGGCTAATATCCAGAAACTACAAAGAACTCAAACAAATTTACAAGAAAAAAACAAACAATCCCATCAACAAGTGGGCAAAGGATATGAACAGACACTTCTCAAAAGAAGACATTTATGCAGCCAAACGACACATGAAAAAATCCTCATCATCACTGGTCATCAGAGAAATGCAAATCAAAACCATAATGAGATACCATCTCACGCCAGTTACAATGGTGATCATTAAAAAGTCAGGAAACAACAGGTGCTGGAGAGGATGTGGAGAAATAGGAACGCTTTTACACTGTTGGTGGGAGTGTAAATTAGTTCAACCATTGTGGAAGACAGTGAGGCGATTCCTCAAGGATCTGGAACTAGAAATACCATTTGACCCAGCCATCCCATTACTGGGTATATACCCAAAGGATTATAAATCATGCTACTATAAAGACACATGCACACGTATGTTTACTGTGGCACTATTCACATTAGCAAAGACTTGGAACCAACCCAAATGTCCAACAATGATAGACTGGATTAAGAAAATGTGGCACATATACACCATGGAATACTGTGCAGCCATTAAAAAGGATGAGTTCATGTCCTTTGCAGGGACATGGATGAAGCTGGGAACCATCATTCTCAGCAAACTATCACGAGGACGGAAAACCAAACACCGCATGTTCTCACTCATAGGTGGGAATTGAACAATGAGAACACTTGAACACGGGGTGGGGAACATCACACACCAGGGTCTGTCAGGGGGTCGGGGGCTGGGGGAAGGATAGCATTAGGAGAAATACCCAATGTAAATGATGAGTTGATGGGTCCAGCAAACCAACATGGCACATGTATACCTATGTATGAAACCTGCACGTTATGCACATGTACCCTAGAACTTAAAGTACAATAAGAAAGAAAGAAAGAAAGAAAGGAAAGAAAGGAAAGAAAGGAAAGAAGGAAAGAAAGAAAGAAAGAAAGAGAAAGAAAGAAAGAGAAAGAAAAGAAAGAAAGAAGAAATCCCTTAGAATAGCATTTCTCTAAAAGCACTGTTTTCGGATCAAAAGCCTTTGCTTTATTTCATCCATAGATGTTCCAGGCATAGATTTAAAAGTTAATAAAACTTGAATGGGATTAAGTCTCACAACTAACAATGCTTAAATTTTTTCAACCCCAAAAAAGTAGTCAATTCTCCACTTACTTCTCTCAACGATGCTACACACAGAGACTGAATTTACAGTTCCAGAGATTAGAAATGAGAACTTCCCAACCTCTTGTTGTGTTTTCCTTCCTCCCCAACTGTTATATTTTCCCAATGCTTCCAGTAAATAGGAGTAAAACAAAGTAAGTGTTGGGGCCAGGCACGGTGGCTCATGCCTGTAATCCCAGCACTTTGGGAGGCCATGGTGGGTGGATCACCTGAGGTCAAGAGTTCGACACCAGCCTGGCCAACATGTTGAAAACCTGTCTCTACTAAACATACAAGAATTAGCCAGGCATGGTGGTGTGTGCCTGTAATCCCAGCTGCTCTGGAGGCTGAGGCAGGAGAATCACTTGAACCTAAGAGGTGGAGGTTGCAGAGAGCAAAGATCACACCACTGCACTCCAGCCTGGGCAACAGAGAAAGACTCCATCTCAAAAAAAAAAAAAAGTTAAGTGTTGGGAGTGGGGTAGGGTCAGTCTAAGTTCTGGGAGCCAGGGTTTTCCTGGAAATTTACTGGTAGGTCATTTGCACCAGGGCAACAACAATCAACATTCATTGAACAGTCCTCACCCCAAAAGAAGACTACTTTGTGTCACGTTATAAAACATAAAAGGTTTATTAATAACTATATAGACAGAGATTATGATAGTAACTCCTGGGGGGCTAGGATTAGGTGAATAGCTAGAAGGCTTTTCTTGGAAACGAAGGTAGAAACAGGTGTAAAACTTCTGGAAATTCTTGTTATTGGCTAGGAATAGCCTCCCTAAAATTAAATCCTATTTCCTACATTCTAAGAAAATGTAGAAATATGTGTCATCTCTTGTCCAGCAGATATATCTTGCTTAAACAGACAAAATTTGGTCAACATGGAATCCAAGAATCTACTGGCATCTTAAAAAGCACCAGGCTGGTTCTGAGAGCATGTCAGAACCCAGGTATGTATGGTGGTGGCTGGCATGAGGCCAATTCCATAACTAATTAGCTGAGCCCAGAGAAAAGACTCATCCCAAATAGTACTGATCCACTGCTCACTGCTGGAGTCCTGGCCCTCTGTTATTAAGGAGATGCTATATTAATTTCAACAGAAAAAAAAAAAAACACTTGGTGCATCAGAGCCCAGACTTTTAAGCGGTCACTCACCTCCTTTGACATTTCATGCTAAGCAAAAGAGATATAGTGATTGCCATCACTGTGACATAACTTATGGAACCCTGGAGGCAGCCTCTGTCCCCTCTTTCTGCCCTCATTGATACTACCCCTCAGATTAATGAGGAAGATTGGGCCTACTTATGCATGTACAAAAGTGGGAAGCTGAAATGAATTTGTGAGGGATGACTCATCATTCCCAGAACTTGTCTGTTATGCCAACGTGGTCCCTATGCACTAGCTATTAAAATGTAAGTAATTGAGTTCTTAAAGCAGTAACTGTTCATCCATGAATGAACTACTACATCTTCTATTCCTGCTCCCCTCCCCCCAACCCACCCACACACACATATAAGCACAACAAAGTAAACACATACAGGGAAAAAGACCCTATAAAGTTTTGATAAGATCCTGAAAATTAGCTTACATATGTTGTTCTCCAAGATCTCTGAGAAAGAATATTCTACAGTTTCTCCCCAGAACCTGCATGTTAGAGGACAGTGTCTTCCAGTGCATGAAACTCCCTGTCTTCAATGAGACTCTTTTGGGGAACTACCCCTTCTTCAGATATTTAGAACCAAAAATAATTTCTTTTCCAACTTTTCAAGTCTCTCCTATTGGAAGTCCCCCAAAAAGTCAAAGAAATGGAGAAGAAAGTGTTCCATTCTGAATACAAGGTAACTTCTTCCTTAATCCTAATTCCAATTTCCCCCAGCCAAGAGTATCCTTGCTTACATTCTGCCTTGAACCTATCAAGCACATAGGAGGAGTAAGATTGGAGGATGGGCCATGTTGAGCAGACTTTGAATTTCTGGCAAATGGCTCACTGTATATTTCATTTCAAAGGGCTAATTATGTCTGCATAAATAAACTGTGCTACGCAGCTTGATGCATGGCCATTTGTCATATTAAAACAATGGGATCCAAAGTAAACCTCCATTAACATTGTTAACTTCAATGCTTTGGGGTGTTTGCTACTCAAATGATTAAAAAATGAAATGATTTATGATGCCACAATTTAAATGAGGCAACACAACAAACAGACTATGAGTCACCAAGACTTAAAATGTACTATAAGCCCAGCTGAGTTAGGAACACAAAGGGAACCCACAGCTGAAGTCCCTGGGATCTATGCACTGTGGCTTTTTTGCCACTCATGTGTGTGTGTGGCGGGGCCGGCGGGTGGGGGGGAGGGGGTGCGGTATGTAATTATACAAATTGAGCAAGGTACTAGGAGGGTTTTCAGAAAAACGCAACACAAGATTCAAAAAAAAAAAAAAATGTTGTAAGTTGCCTGCAGTCAGTCTCCAGGGTAATGATGAAATTCTGGCATCAAACCTTCAGAATACACAAAACGTGAATAGAGAAAAAGGAAAAGTTTTTCACAGATCTGGATGCAATATCATGGACCTTTTTTCCCACTTTGTTTTACTTTTTTTTTCTTTTAGAAAATTGTATGTAGAATATCTTTATTTTACACGTAGAAAAAAAATACAGAGTTTGAAAACATATCCTTTCAGA
This sequence comes from Homo sapiens, assembly GCF_000001405.40. Lineage (NCBI taxonomy): Eukaryota > Metazoa > Chordata > Mammalia > Primates > Hominidae > Homo > Homo sapiens. Next base: position 123,124,821 of record NC_000005.10, on the reverse strand, counting down.
GGTCGTAGATCAGTCTTCTAAAATAAAAACATCTTACATAGGCCAATAAATTAATAAATGACAGAGCCGTCCAACTTTCCAGACTTCTCCAGTCTTAACCATAAATTTTCCGGATGCAGCAATGTCTTGGGTTTTCAGTGCTGTCAAACTTGTCTACTTTCCTCTTGGGAAGAGCCATTTTAATCCCTGATCCCTGTCCCACCTAAATCAAGGCAGTGTGATTGCCAAAAACAGCAAAGTTTCTAAATTAGACACCGTATCAGTAAAAGAACAGATTTATTCCATTTAATGCCAGTGCTAAGTTGGGCTATTGTCTGAAATAACAGATTTGGGTAAATACATTTACCAATGGAGCAATAATATTTTTGTCTTAGCCCTTTAGAACCAAACTTCCCGTGTCTGTCTGTTCCATAAAAACACTTCGAGGTCTTTTAAAGCACTATATGAAGTGTGTCTGATCAGCACAAAAGTAAACTGAAATTTGGCAACATTCATTCTACAAATGCGAGTGTCTAAAGTGGACTTAGGGCGTCTGAATTATCCTGCTGGACATCTACAATGAAATAAATATTTAGAATACCACCAGATTGGCTCTTCCTGTTGTGCTACATAAACAGTCATATATGCAGAGAATTATGGTATGATTGCTGTGCTGCAGGACAACGGCAGCACAAAATAAGGATGCCCAACCCAACTTGCCTTCAACACAGAAGGAGCAGCCATTCAATCTGGCAAGTCAGTCTCTAAGGTTGGCCTGACCTGGACCAGGTCAAAGTTTGGCAGGAACCCTGTCTTCCCTGCCCTTGCTCATGTCACTCTAATGAGTATCGTTTAAGGAATGTCACCTACTCTAAACCATGGATTCTCCAGTTTTTCAGAATATTCAAATACCCCAGCTCTCCCTTTCTCCACCCATACCTCAGCTTTCTCCTTTTCTTCTCCATGTTATTTCTCTTTCAGTTGCCCTCTAACGAGAGCCCATAGAACTCTCATCTGATACAAGAGACAGGACTGAGGCAGCCAGAAAAGCCAGATAAGAAATCAGAAGTACATCTAAGGGTTTGTATCAAATGGGCCTAAAGTTTCCAATGTTATCAGAGTGGCATTAAGAGTTTGCATGGGAGGAACGAGAAATCATGCCTATTTAAAGCATCAGTATAAATGTGGGAAGAGAACGAAAGGCAATAGAAATGAAAATAAAACAACCAATTGTAAAATATTTTTTTTGCAAACGTGGATTCCAAGGATCCCAAAGACAATTGAGAAAGTTTATTTGTTTTGGATTTATTTTAAAGCCTACCAATGAAATGCAGCCACTTCCAGAACCAGGGCATTTCATGATCTCTGTGGCAATGCAGTATGTAAAAGTAACCGACTACATGAAAAATCTCAATAGCCAGCCACATGGTTCTACACATCCTTAATCTCTGGAATGAGAGCCAAAAGCTTTGAACTGACTACAGGTGGCTTCCCAGACCTCCAAAAGGTGTTTTCCAAACACTCAAGAGTCAAAAGGGCCAAATACTGGATCCTTAGGTGTGATGTGCCTGGAAAGCATATAATCAGGTCATCTGTTAAAAGCCACTAATATGAAAGAGGAAAAGATATACAAATGGTTTATAATAGAAAAAGTAGCGAATATAGACAAGGAATCAGAGAAGCAAATACTCTCACCCTATCAGGGGAGTGTAAACTGATATAACCTTTCTGAGGGTAAATTAGGCAAAATTAAAAGCTTTTAAAATATATAAGTATTTTAACCCAGAAACATAAAAAATTTATACCAATAAAATAGTCATAGATATGCCAAAAGAATCTATAAGAATCTATAAGGATTCAAATAAGGATTTCCATTCCAGGGGAAAAATTTAAGCAAGTCAAATATCCAAAATTAGGCCATATCCATATGCTGGGATACTAGGCAATCATTAAACTCGTAGTAAAGAATGTTTCATAATTTAAAACATTTTACAATATACTATGTTTTAAACATTACCAAAATTCTTGTAGTCGGATTTTAAACTTTTTTTTTAAAGGTTTATTGCCACAAGAAAAAAACTAGAATTAAATACAGTGAAAATACCAAGTTATTACCTCCAACTAGAGACATTATAGGTAATTTTTATTTTCTTCTTACTGCTTAACCTCTTCCCAGTTTTCTGTAGCAATTATCCTATGTAATAAAAAAATTGCAATGAAAAGATCGATAACTACAAATATGATGCAAACACATTGAGGGATTTAAGTAGAGAGTACTCAAGAGAAAGCAGAAAAACACCTATAACGAGAAATGATCACCAGGAACAAAAGAAGCAATCAGAGAAAGAAGCCATAAATCATCTCAGTCATCACCCAAAGAAGAAGTTAGTCCCGCTTCAGAGAAATCCAATAAATAAAATGTTTACATTCACAAGATAAATAAACTAGGGAACTAGATGGTAATTATATTTCAAAAGGTTGACTACTTTACTAAAACACTCATTTTAAAGGTATCTTAAATTTACTCCTTTGTACTGAGGTTCTCAAGGCTGTTTGTCTATCAGAATCCCCACTAGAACATTTATAAAATGTCTGCCATCAGACTACACCCCTGATGATTCTGATTCAGCAGGTTACAGGTGAGACTCAGGAATTCTTTTTTTTTTTTTTTTTTTTTTGTCAGATGGAGTCTCGCACTGTCGCCCAGGCTGGAGTGCAATGGTGGGATCTCGGCTCACTGCAAACTCTGCCTCCCAGGTTCACACGATTCTTCTGCCTCAGCCTCCCTAGTAGCTGGGATTACAGGCGCCCGCCACCACGCCCAGCTAATGTTTCCTATTTTTAGTAGAGACGGGGTCTCCCTGTGTTGGCCAGGCTGGTCTCGAACTCCTGACCTCGTGATCCGCCGGCCTTGGCCTCCCATAGTGCTAGGATTATAGACATGAGCCACCGCACCCAGCCTCAGGAATTCTTAAAAAAAAAAAAAAAACTAAAAAACTCCCCAACTAAACTGTTACATATTAAAAGAGATGCAAGAGATTTTTCAACAATGTGAAGACTTTGTTTTTATTGTTATTGAAACAAACTAACTATAAAAAATATTTGGGGGGGAAGGAAGAGACATGGAACTTAGACAACATTAAGAAGTTATTGTTAATATTATCAGGTGTGAGGATGGGATTGTGGTTATGTGGTGGTTTTTTAATCTGTGTCTTTTAAAGACAGATATTAAAATATTTATAGGTGAAATGTTAAGGTGACTGGGATTTACATTTACATAGTCCAACAAGAAAACAGGCTTGGTGTGTGGCTCACACCTGTAATCCCAACATTTGGGGAGGCCAAGGTGGGAGGATCACTTGAGCCCAGGAGTTTGAGGCTGCAGTGAGCTATGATTGCACCACTGCACTCCTGTCTGGGTGACGGAGTGAGACCCTGTCTCAAAAAAGCAAAACAAAACAAAAAGAAAAAACAACACAAAAAATGAAGCAAAAAAAGAAAAGTTGGAGCAAACAGAGAAAACAAGAATAGAAAGAAAAAAATATTCAAAATAAGTTGCCGGTGCAAGAGAACTTATTCACTATTTATTTCTCTGTACTTTGGGGCATGTTTGAAATTTCTATAAAAACATAGGTAAAAAAAGCTTCTTGGTGGCTTGGGAGCCAAGTGGTTTAAAGATACTCCGTTTTAAGTGTGCAAAACTGGACCTAAAGCAACTTTTCAGGACCCTGCTCTTTTGCACAAAGTAAGAAATTTTACATTTTTGTAATTTTCATTTTAAAAACATCAGTGAGTTAACATTTATAAACATCAACTCACAGATCTTTAAAACAACAATATTAAGCCCAAACATAAGGAAAAAGGTCCCACATTTAATAAGTACCCACTATTTATCATTTATTACCTTATTCATTTCTGCCAATAACTCTGTAAGAGAGATAATTCCCAATATACAGAAGCCAAACCTACGGCTCCAAAAGATTAACTAACATGTCCAAATATGCTCACTAAAATAATGAAAATCTATTAACCTAGATGCTAAGGGTTTAACAGTAAGGAAACAGTTAAGCAAATTCTGACTTGTCCATTTAACGGACAATATTTTAAATATAATGGTAACAAAGAATACAAATTACACTAGGGCATGTTTAGATAATAATTTAAAGTTAAAAGTCTATTCAGCATACTACATGCCCATAGGCATATGTAAAAATTTCTAAGGAAAAATACATTTAAAATTTTAGAGTTTGCCTCCGGATGGTGAGCTGTGAGAATTTAAAATTTTTTCCTGTAATTTTTGAATTTTTGGTAATGAACATCATTTACTTGTTTAATAAAGGAAAAGCCCTTAATTTTATATTAAAAAATAAAATCCCAGCTACCCCCACCACCCCACTGAACTGCTCAACTCCACACCTCTCACCCTGTCCACTGTGTGACGCTGCCTCCAGAGGATAGGACAAACATCACATCATGATCACACCATTTCCACTCAACAACCAAACAGCAGAATTCCTAGAGGAGAATGACACCAGGTAACTGCATCAAAACAACACTGTTTGGACATAACACAGGACGGCTTCAAAACAGCATCTAGAATATTTTTAAATTATGCACATTTGTTCCTCTTTAAAATTTTCCATTTTCATCTTCTCAAAACATTTATCCATCTCTAAACTTCGGCTTTCTAAGACCCACTTTAAATCTTTTTGGAAAGAAGTTAACTGAGGATAAATAAATACCCTTAACAGAATAAAAAATATTCAAAATCAACCAATAACTCTTTGTAAGATACCTAATGTATATTAAGCATTCTAGGAGAGAGGACGAGGGAAAAACCTTAAACTTTTTTTAATGGAATGAAAAAATTTTAAGTTAAAAAATGCAAATAAATTAAAATATAATTTTTTAACCTTGTTTAAAGCTCTGGAATAAAACTGACTTGACTTAACTTGGTAGTATAACCACTCATGTATTTTCATTTAAAAAATGCGTCTACTTAGCTTGACTGTTTGAATTCCTTTCTGTTGCTTAATTTCCAAACAAAAGATATTACTGCTGGTTTTAAATGGCTGAATCATCTGAGAAGGGTCTCTCTGACACCGCTGACAATGTAGTTCTAAAAACAGAAAATTATAGATTATCAGAGAAGGAAGTTTAGATGTATCAGCTTAGGGTCTGAAGCATGTCTTGTGAGGCCACCCAAAAAGACAGCTTTCCTCATAGTCCCCGACCCTGGGCTCTAATCTCCAGCCCACAAACAGATGCATTCCTCTAATTCCAAGAGGGGGCAGGGCCAGGCATCACCGGCAGAAGTTTCTGGTCACTGTAGCAGGAGTGTAGATGTTGCAGCTGAGGAAGCCACAGAGCCGCCCTGAAGGTGGCAGGACTGTAAGCCCTTCCTGCAGTGGGCGCCTGAGCACCAGCGGCTTTCAGGACCTGTCTCTCCCTTCACTTCTTTCCTCACCTTCTCAGAAACTGTCATCATTTTGCCCACGTCCTCTTCTCAAGTCCTAACCCTTATCACTCATTTTGTTCTTGTTTCATTTTTTTAAATCTCTCATCTTGTTTTTTCCCTACTCTAATCTCTACTCATTTAAACATTTGCATTCCTTAGTTTTCTTATTAGTTTGGATGTCGGTTTAGGCTAGTTTTTTTCTTGTTTGTTTATTTGTGGGTAGGAGATAGTAACAGTTAATGCTACCTACTACACATCAGTCACTCCAGTGCATTATTCAACTTTTTCTGCTACTATCATATGAACACCATCACCCCTATCTTTGAACTCCAAGCCCCTACACAGGTGGGGTCTTCTTTGTTTTTTGTTTGTTTCCTCCATTTTTGAACACAACTCAGTGCCATTTGTGGAAGGATGCATAAGAGCCAAGATACTTAGCTCCCAAATCTAGCAAGATGCATTCATTTGTCTCAAAACCTAAGACACTCCTCTTTTGTTCCAACAGAAGGTCATATACCTGTGCCTGTGCGTGATGTTACCACAATCACCATCAGAAAAGGAAAGAAAAGAAAAAAAATTCTAGGGCAGAAAATTGCTGCCTTAGACTCCTCTTCCCCATTCCAGCACCATTCTACCCATACTTGTTTGCTCTCTACTTCTTGTCCTTCTACTTAGAATGCTACCAAATGTAAGACATTACAACACTCAAGTGCCCTAAAAGTGCTGTGCACCCTGACTGACAGCTCATGTGTAAGACAGTCTGTGCTTTGGTCATTGAAATTCACAAGGGTTCAGGGATGTCCCCAGACTTATCGTAATCTTTATCAGCCCAAATGAAGGGGAGAGCTTGGATGGTGGTGAAACTTGCAAAACCTAGTTTTACCTTACTTGTTGAGTCAAACCCATGTTCTCTTCATTTGCAAGCTGCCCTCCTCAAGTTTTCCTCCTAAAGATTATGTTGTAGTTTCCTATTTGCATCTCAAACCGCAACTCTCTACCTAGTTTTCAAGAAGTTCACTGATGCGACTCCAATTTATCAGCCTTATTTCTTAATATCAGCCTATTGAGAGACAGCCACACTCCAAGTCAACCTTCTAAACAAAACAACTTGCTCATTCCTCCTCTGGGCTTTTGCATTTGCCATTTATCCCAACTTGAATTCCATCTCTCTTCATGATTACTATTCCACATACACTAATCCTGAAAAACCTGATTGCAAACTAACATCCAGAGGAGGCTTGAGTTGACTCACCTCCCCAACTGGCTCTTCATTCATCTCCTCAGTTATCCCTCTGGATTTTCAAAATCAGGTGCCCAGGTTCACTTAAACATCTTCCTCAGGTATCCAATGTCTCCCTCACAGACTGTAAGCTCCATCTAGTCATGGACTGTGTCTTTCTAAGACAATGCTATCTTCAGACAACCCTTTAAAGTGCCTGGCACATTGAGAAGCTTATCAAATATATGTTGAATAATTGAATGAATGGCTCACCCCTATCACATTGTAAGCTCCTCCAAAATCGGAACTGCGCCCATTAGCACTTTACATAATCCACAATTTCTGGTCCAGCTCTTGGTATGATAGTCACTGCACATGCAAAGCAAATGAGCAAATGCTGTTTAGGCCTTCACATTCATCCCAACGTGACACACTCCGTGGCTGCTCTTTGCTCTGGCAACTTTGGCAAGATTAAACAGAACTTTAGCTTTAGAGTTCTTACACCAGCAGGACGAATCTGAGGAAAATCCATCAGTGACTCTAACCAAACAGGAAAGGTGATGGGGACACCAAAAAGAAACCCATCTTCCTTCCTGCTGGTTATCTAGTCCTTTCTCATGTGTCCCCATTTTTAAACTTTTCAGACACAAACTTGCTGTGATCCAGTCAAGATTATGAAAATTTCCATCATGCCAGGCCACTAAACAGAGTTTTCGGAAGTAGAAGCCACTGCCTTGGCCAGAGGAAAAAAAAATGCCAAAAACCAAAGGTACCTCAAATGACCCACTGCCTTCTAGGGCAGGACAATCCGAGTTGTGACTACTTTAGCCATAAGCTCCCTAGTAGAGATAACCTGGGTATGGGTATGTTTATTGCCTTTTTCCCCAGGCCCCACCCCTACCCCCTTACTAGGAGCTCTAAAACTGTTAAAATTACATAACCCTAGAGTTACTCTGGACTTGGGTCCAAATTTAAATGAACTGTTGGGTTGCCGGGCAGTCCTGGAGGACCCCTGGGAAAAGTCATTAGAAAGCTTAAAGCTATTTGGGGGCTCCAGAGCTCCCTGGCAGGGACCAGTTATGTGCATAAAAGCAGGAGGCAAGACAAAATCTCACAATAGAACTTAGTGGCTGCAGAGCCAGCTTATTAGGGTACAAAACAAAGGAATTTTCCAGCTACAGAGAAGTGAAGTAAATTAGGGAGAACAAGGAAATTACTGGCTGGGAGACAGAGTTATTATGGAAAGCTGATTTCACTGTCCAAAAATTTAGCCTGCACTTTTTCTTGAAATTATCCAAATATTTCAGCAATTATCTATTTATATGGTTGTTTTCTGGGCATTTCCTTACTATTTCTCCCCAGTCTATTATACAGTGTTAAAATTATTTGCTTTTGAAGTCATTTTTTCACTTCCATCACAACTTACAAAGCCTAGCCTGACCGTCCCTCTAGGTCCCAACAGGTCTGGACTTGGAAAAGGTTTTCAACTGGCCTAAAGCAAATTGTCTTGTAACAGAAAAATAATTTTTTTTTTCACTTATGCTACATAATTGAGTTTGATTTCCATACATATCCCCTCCAATAACTACTGTATACAGTGATCCAAAGGTGTTCTTAAAAGATATGACGGTTTTCTTTGATAACTCTGGATCTGGAATACAAGATGTGCAATGACAGGAAACCACTTTCTTAGTTTGAAACTAGTTTAATATTACCTTGGTGATGCCGAGTTTGCAAACCAGCTCCTCTCTGTTTTGTACATTTTAGAATGCAAAGCTCCTAATAATGAGTGCATGAGTCATTCACATGGAGGTGACTTATAATTCAAACTGAATTAACTGTAAATGCAAGCAATTTGAAAAAAATTAAGGCCTTATGTTCAGTGTTGTCACTACATTTGTTAGGGATTTCATCACTGTGTGGAGGCGTTTAGTTCCAGGCTAACATTTGGACAGATGGAAAGCTCCCCTGGAGCATGTGGGTCAAAAGAGCCAGCTCCACCCGACCTTCAGAGGAACTGAGCAAGCAGCCTCCGGGATCCACAGCTTCCCTATCTCACTCACACCAGGCAGCACGGAGCACTCCCTGCATTTGAGAGGGCACAGCAACAAAACAGTCAGCCAGTTGTGATGAAATCTCTTGTAAATTAAAAAGTGATCAACAAAAATGATCACTGTTATTCCTACTATTATTGTTGTTAGTATAGAGGGAGTTCCTCTGTGTCTTTTCCTGCAGGTATTTTGGCAAGCATGATCCAATATGCTCAGGATAACAAATGATTAGTAATATTTTCAAAATGAGGAGAGAGGGATCAGGGAAAGGAGGAGAGAAGAAAGAAAGGGAGAAAGGGAAGAGAAGAGGGAGGAGGAAAGAACCAACACAAATGTTGAGCAATTGGATTCAATCATATTAAGAGTATGGAGTCAATAGAAATTATGTTCACAAAGATTTTCAATATGGGGAAATCTTATCATGGTTTTATGATGAGGACAAGCAGCATGCTTTCATCTATGAATTTAAAGAAAATACTAACTGCAATAAGAATTACACCAAATTTGTTTTTCTTGTTTTTTTCTTTTTAAAATATTTTTCTACACTTTCAAAATTCCATTTTATAAATATTTTCAGCCCTTGTAATGATAAAACATAATTAAAGTGAGGAAAAATACTGCAAAAATTTTGATAACAGTGTGTGCGTGTGAACGTGTGCCCATGTGTATCTGCACCCATGTGTGGCTAGCATGGCTCACTATGAGTAGAGGAGGTAAAAGAGATTTTCAGTACAACATTTAGGTATGTAAGATTAGGCATCCCTTTCCTTGGAGAAGGATTCTGGTATGGCCTCAGTTGGGAAGTATAAAGGCCCCATGGTTCACAGATGCAACACATTTAGGAGTGGCAGCATCATTCCAACGTCACTACACTACTGAGTCACAGCAACCATGAAGGCAAACGTAAGGCTCTTCCCTTTATTGTCAGGGGAGGGGAATGAGATGAGGCATCCACAACTACACCTGCTACATGGTAATTAGCCCACATTTGACTTGCAGATCTGACTCACACAGGTTTACAGAACTACAGATGTCTTACACCTCCTCTAGTCAAAGCTCTGCATACCCTCACCCAAGCAGACCTCAAGCAGTCTTCTGGATGTAAACAACAGCTATGCACTTACAACTCCTAATTTATTTCTCCAGCCACGTCCTGTCCTCTGAGTGTCTCCTAACAACATCCACCCCTGTTCCACTACAGACTGTTCTCCACCAAGCATCCAGAGTGGTCCTTTGAAAACATAAGTCAGCTCATGCTACTACTGCCACTCAAAATCTATTTCACTTGGAATAAAATGAAGTCTTTCCCACAGTCTAATTTATCTGACCCCAACTACCATAACCTTATTTCCCACCATGCTCCTCTGAAAACACCAGGCTTTCAGCACCCTGGCCTCCCCAGTCACAAGAGTCATTCATTTTTCTATCAGGTGTCTGTCCTCAACTGTTACCTTAATCTTAAACCTGAATGATCAAATTTAGCATACAAAAATGAAGGACCTCCAGTCAATGTTGAATTCTACATTTAAAAAAATTAATTTTTTAGCAGAACTATTTCCCAAATAAGCTTACCAAACTGACTGAGGCTACAAGTAATATCGGGAGAGAAAGCAAAACCTCAACAAGTCTCAAGGGGATGCTGGAAGGAAAGTGAGTGTGGAAAGGGTGGTGAAGACCTGGGATTAGCCTGGAAGGAATTCTTGGGAGATGTGACTCTAAAATAGTAAAAGAGATGGGTTGACCAGAATAAGAAGAGAGTCTTGTGGGTAAATAAATAGCACAGGCAAAATCACAGCAGTGAAAATTAGCGAGACATTGGTAAAGAAACAGAAGTGCTTCTATTAGTTTGCATGAAGTTGCTGACAGAGGAAGCAGACCTGGGCTTGGAAAGACAGTGGAGCCCCACCAATGAAAGGCTGACCCTCTCCCAGGGGCATCTTTCCTTCAGATCCTTGACTCCATGAATTAGCCATCTATGTTCTCCAGGTCAAACTCTCCCTCCTTCCCTAATCTTTCTGGCGGGAAGTCACCTCTGCCTCCTCTGTGCACCTCAAAAGCACTTTTTGCACACTGCTCCCAACTGGAGTTACTCATGATCCTCTACTACTTTACTATCTTTGAAAGCCAGAGTTGGTATTTTCCATCCTTGTGACCTGTACAATGCCTCATGCATGGTAGGTTCTCCATAAATGTGTTTCTCTGAATGCTGAGTTTAAACTTTCTAGGATAATAAATATGAAGCCCATGGCCCTGGAACACAAGGTAGGCTAACCATGTCAAGGGCCTGAGCCATGGGGTCTCTGTGAAGCTATAACTGCTCTGTCTGAAAAACCAGTGCAGTGTCCACCTAGAAAAGAAAGCTCACCTCCGGGTCCAGAGGCCAGGGTCAGCTGAATAAAGAGGCCTGTGGCAGAGGCTGAGGCCCTGTAATTTAATGGGAGTACAGGCCAGATAGTGAGAAGGGGCAGAAAGCAAAGAGCAGACCGGTGAAGAGCAAGAACTCTACAGTCCACAACACCTACATGGAAATCCTGCCTTTACTACATACGGCCTTGGGCAAGTTACTTACCTGCCTTCATCTAAAAAAGGCTCTCAGTGCCTACATCTAACAAGGCTCTTCATCTGAAAAATGAGTACAGTAGTCTTTACCTTATTGTGTCATTGTGAGAATAAATTAAAATAACCCCTGCAAAGCTCTTAGCAGAGTGCCTGGCAGATAGTCTCAGCTTAAGTATGTTAGCTCTCGTTATTGCAATCAGATAAAGAGAATTTTTAAATGCTCTATGTATGCTAGGCATTCTTGGCTGCTGGGAATATAAACATTTAAAAAAAGCTTTTACATGGTGATAAATGACATTATGAGTTTGTCAAAATCCATAGACTGTACAACACCAGGGTGAACCATAATGTAAACGCTGGACTTTACTTCATAGTAATGCATCAGTATTGGTTCAGTCATTGTAACAAATGTACCACACCAATGGAAGATGTGATTAAAAGAAAAAAAACTAGTGGGGAAGGGATATGAGAACTTTCTGCACTAACGTCCTTCAATTTTTATGTTAATTCAAAAGTGTACAACATAATGTCTATTAATATTTTAAAACCTGGCAACACTGTTTCAGGAAAAGATCCATTTTAGCTAATGTTTAACAATCAGCTAAATGTCTAAACATTAGATTGAGATGTTGTTTACTATAAAAGTGAACCAAATTTTAAATTGTCAGGCTATAGTTGTGGCACTAATGATTGACTTCATAAATTTAAATTTGCACACATGAAATAAAAGAAGAATACAGCATAGCAAAAAAAAAAAAAAAAAAAAAAAAAAGAGCCATTAGAGTAACTCTAAAATGTTGGGTTCACAGGTTAAAAAGGACTAAGAGAGCACCATAAATTAAAGATAAGGATAAAGATTAGGGGAGATGTGAGTGCCAGCAGTTAGTGAACTCAGTTTGAAACAATGTCAGGACTTTCAGATGGAGATGTTCACAACTAAGGATATAAGATTTAAGACAGATCAGTGCGGGATACTGAATCTGAGAGCATCGCTTTTGGGGAGCAATTGAAACAAGAAGAACAGGTGAGCTCTCCGGGTGTGAGAAAGAACAGAAAACAGGCTACATGCTCGGATGACTTCCATCAACAGCAGCAATGGGAAGCCGAGGAGGGAAAAAGATCAGCAAATTAGCAGATAAAGCTGGCATATGGAAAATTAACAGACTGCAAATCACAAATGTCATGCAAGGAACATATGGGTTCTCCATATGATATAGGACTGCACTGAAGGGGCTGGCAGGAGAAGTGGAAAGGCCAGTGTCGCTGGATGCAGCACTGCTAAGAGCTTAGGGACTTAAGGTGTGCTGCAGGTGGTCACATAGCTCACACCCAGTGAGAGCTAGAACCCAGGCCCTTTGTACACTGCCAAACACCTTCCAGTGGGCCACTTCCTCTGGAAGTACACCCTGATTACTTAGGAGCTAATTACACACAGCAGTTTACACGCAGTGTTTTCTGCCCTTTTGGCTGCCTCCTTATGCTTAGCCAGGCGGAGTTCTGAAATACAGAAAGATGGAAGTCATGGGAGTTCATTTTGCTGTCTGTTAGTAGTTCTTTAATATGTACATCTATCATCTATCTATATCTGGGGAGGTGGGAGAGGTGATAAGGGAGGAGATTGGAAATGTCCACAGGAGATTAGCCAAGATGTAGCAGGGGCGAAGGCAAGGTAGAGACTGGAATTAACACAGGATTATTAACAGAACTAAACCAACTGTGGACCTGAAGCAGAAGAGAGGCCAGGTGAGCTCAAGAGTAGCAAAGACAAGGGAAGAGGCAGGAAGCGGGGCAAACAACCACAAGGGGCAAGGAAGAGAAAGGACGAGACTGGCATTTTGTTTTTTTTTTGTTTTGTTTTGTTTTGTTTTCTCGCTCTGTCGCCCCTGCTGGAACGCAGCGGTGCAATCTTGGATCACTGCAAGCTCCGCCCCCCGGGTTCACGCCATTCTCCTGCCTCAGGCTCCCGAGTAGCTGGGACTACAGGCGCCCGTCACCACACCCGGACAATTTTTTGTATTTTTAGTAAAGACGGGGTTTCACCGTGTTAGCTAGGATGGTCTCGATCTCCTGACCTCGTGATCCGCCCGCCTCGGCCTCCCAAAGTGTTGGGATTACAGACGTGAGCCACCGCGCCCTGCCGGCGTTTTGTTTCTTAAGGATAGTTTCAGGACTGCCTGGGACATTTGTTAACAAAGTAGATTCCTGACCCCCAATTCAGGACCACTGAGTCCAAATCATTTAGGGGCAGGTCCCCAGACTGCACTATGCTTGACTCCCTGCTAGAGGTTGAGACCTACTGAGCTGCAGGAAAGTCATTGAAAACATAGATTTTTTTAAATTATGGCAAAATAAATATACCTAACACAAAACTTACCATTGTAACTATTTTTAAATGTACAGTTTAGTACTGTTAAGTCTATTCACATCGTTATGCAACCAATCTCCAGAATGTTTTCATCTTGCATATCTGAAACCCTACACATAATATATATTATTATTATTACTGTTAATTTGTTGAATAGCTTTGCTGAAGTTCAGCCAGCTATCCTAGATTCAGAGCTGATATGCAGATCATGGGGCACAGATATTACTGTGGGAATCTAGGATTATGTGAGGCTCAGGGACTAACCTGGATTGGTCGTGACATAGTTTGAGTATCACCCCTGCTTAGGTTGCCATAAAAGTAAAAACTGCCGGACGTGGTGGCTCACACCTGAAATCCCAGCACTTTGGGAAGCCGAGGCGGGCAGATCACTGAGGTCGGGAGTTCGAGACCATCCTGACCAACATGGAGAAACCCAGTCTCTACTAAAAATACAGAATAAGCTGGGCCTAGTAGCGCATGCCTGTAATCCCAGCTACTCAGGAGCTGAGGCAGGAGAATAGCTTGAACCCGGGAGGCGGAGGTTGCGGTGAGCCAAGACTGTGCCATTACACTCCAGCCTGGGCAACAAGAGTGAAACTCCATCTCAAAAAAAAAAAAAAAAGAAAAAAAAAAAAAGTAGGCCGGGTGCAGTGGCTCACGCCTGTAATCCCACACTTTGGGAGGCTCGTGGATCACTGAAGGTCAGGAATTTGAAACCCGCCTGGCCCACATGGTGAAACCCCATCTCTACTAAATACACAAAAATTAACCAGGCGTGGTGGCAGCTGCCTGTAATCCCAGCTACTCGGGAGGCTGAGGAAGGAGAATCATTTGAACCTGGGAGGTGGACGTTGCAGTGAGCCGGGATTGTGCCACTGCACTCCAGCAAGACTCCATCTCAAAAAAAAAAAAAAAAAGGAAATGATTAATATGAAATAAATATATATCAGGAAAAATATTAATTTTAGTCAAAATTTTTGTTCTTTATGACATGTTTTGGCAATTATGTTTATTTTTTCATCTAAAATTTCTAACTGCAGAGTGTCACTTGGAATTCTTGCTTTTCACAGGGTCAACAGTGACATATATTCAGAATTTGCATGATATACTGTTATGTCTGTATTCACAAGTACACATATGGCTGCACACACATTTTTACAGACAGTGCCAAATATGCCACTATGTTGATTTGTTGTCATTTAATATTTATGGACAGGTCACAATACTCTGGACACTGAGATGATCTTCTATTCAGAATTCAATATCCAGTGTCAAACCTACCTAATGAATTGCTCCTGATTTGAGGTCTGTGGTCAAAAAGGCTTCACATGTTAGGGCTTCCTTATGATTTTTCTGGATGTTACTGAGTAATTCTCGCATTTTCATCTTGCAAGTTGGTTCTTTGTTGTGAGGATTTTCAGCTAGCATTTTGCTTACTGAAATCAGGTACATTTAGGAAATATAAATGTGCCAACATTTGTAGTCATCCTTGTTGCCCTCCATTAAAAATACAGTTTTAAAAATGAGAGCCATCCAATGGGGTTTTTTTTAACATCCATGTTGCATGGTATCCCTTTAGTACATAATTGTTTTTTATTTGTAAGCATTGCTAAGTAAATTTACACTGAAATATTACTTAAACTTGAGTTTTTAGTAAGTAATTAAATCCAAACGATGTATCATGGTCTACCATTAATACATACAATCTTTTGTTTTATCAAATAATGATACTCTTTATATCTATGTGCAGAGTCCACTAGAGACAAAATTTACCATTAAAATCGAACTGAAAACGGGGGAAAATCTCAATTACTACACAAAAGTCATCAATATTTTCTCTGTAATTTACATAGCCATCAATATTACTCTCCTTCACATGTGGGGAAAAAAGAGGTATAAAGAAATTAAGTTGTTTCACTAATGTCTCACCACAACTGGATAAATTAATGTCTCCCTACCTTAAAAAGCATTTCAAAGATACTTGATCTTTTTTTGTTAACACTTTCATGTATAAAAAGGAAACAGAAATTTTCTCCTTCCTTTCCTGGAGACCATTATAATCTCCTCATAGACCCCAGAAACGCTTTGTTTTTATTAAAGACACGTGCTATAAAATATATGAAGATATTGGTAGAAGTGTTTTTATAATATCAGAAGGGTCTGCAGGCTGTTAATAAAATTTTCCACCAGGAGAATACAGAGTGGAGAGGATAAGACTAGACAAAATGAAAATCTATTCATGGGTGAGCCAAATTTAAACATTTACTGGAACCCTGTGAAAACAGTGCCATTGGTTGCAATTTCCAAGATGTTTTGCAGTATCAAAGAGATAGTGCAAATATCTTTTACCAAAACTGTGACTCAATGAAATAAATCTATATATTATATAATCATGTCTCAAAAACCCATTATGAAAACCATCAACAATGGTTACCACTGCTTTATACCCTTACATAGTTCGACTTTCCAATGAGCACATTATTTGTAATATAAAAATTAATTTCCGCTTTTTAAGCTTAATTTTGAGATTTTCCACTTTGTGGATTATCTGGGTCAAATTTTACTCTGCAATTAATTGCAACAAATTGAAATTAAGTGCTTTCCTTAGTAGCCCAATATTTTTCAGGACTCTTATCCCCAGAAACTATTTGTGTATTTTAATATCATAAATAAATTTTAATATTAGTTTGGGACAAACACAACAGGTTCCAAAAGCATTGTATTCTAACCTTGAATTTGTTTAGGAGCTATCTACCATTTTGAAGTATACATGGATATCTCATAATTTAATGCTGTTCTTTTGTGATAAACATTAATATTTCCAGGTGTGCTAACAATATTTAGCTCTTGGTGCTTTACAAGACATTGAAAACATGACTTGACTACATTTAATTTGATTCCAATTAAAAAGCACTTAAGACGTTTCTACTGAATTAGATTACACTGGATGTTTCTATAGAAGATACTTCATTATCTGAGGCAGCTTTAATTTAAAATGACCACAGAGAGTGAAAAACACTGCTCATTTTAATAAAATGGGCCAAATCCCATATCATTATTTCACAATTGCATGCTATAGATTTTGGTTTACTAAATAAATGTACAGAGGCACTGGGAAAAGCATGTGTTATACTGAGTGCCTCATCACAGTTCACCCAAGTCAGAGCTAACCACGCAGCTTTTAAGTCTTAACAGAAACCAGAAATGCTGTGAAAAAAAATTAATTAAAAATGAGGAGATAATATCAAGACACTGACTGAAAATATTACGTTTTTACTAAATTTCTAAGTAGTCAGTTTTACAACTAACTAAAAATGAAAATGAACTTCTGACTTAGGCAACATTAGCAAATAAAGGCAAGGTGCCACCAAACCACTGGACTTCCTGAAATACAACATTTCCCCTTTTAAACAAAGAACTACCTTGAGATCAAATTACTATGTATTCACAAACAGGACAAAAATCAGAACAAAAATTGTTTGTATTCCCAACACTGTGTTAAACAATTTTCTAAAGTGTTATTATTTTACAAGTCCCAGTTTGTGTTAAAGTTTTAAAGGGAGAAAAGGATGACTGAAAACAAAAGGATGATTAGAAACAAATGTCTCAAAGTCAGTTACTTTGTACTAAGCATAAACCACATGGCTAGCTTTCATTGGAAAGAGCCCTGCAGATTCATGTGGCATGCCCATTTCTGATATTTCAGGAATAAAAGCAACTCTGTGGTTTGTGGCTAGTGATAAAGCACCAAGTGAACTTGATGTGTGTATGTTCTTATATAGGAAAACCTGCAGCATTTTGAGCATTTCACACTTGTAACAATGTATTAGGCCTTCTAAAATTAATTGACCTAAAATCCAGTGATTCCACAATATATCTGTTGGATAATTAGAATTCTAAATACCAACAAAAATAAATACATTATTGAATTTTAGATCTGCAATCAAACAAATATTTACAGGTGCAATTTGCAAAAATTATTTCCTTTTAAATTGGCATCATATCAAAATCTGTGCTACTGATTTGAAGCATATACGTATGATCAAAACCCTCCCCCAAAAGTACAATTCAACTCCAAAAACAATGATGTAACCTTTAAAACAATCTGCACCTGCTCTCACAGCCTAGGTGGGTCTCCTCTGAAGACAAATGAAATTTCATAATTGTAAGATTCCTTGAAAAGTCCACCTGACCTTGAGACCAAGAACAGCAGGGTGGGGGGAAGAGTAACCTGGTTTAGTGACCAGCAGCTATAGATGTCAGGGAATGTGCTTGTTGTCAATGATCATTGCTGAAATCTGTCTATACCACACTGGAATGATCAATTTTGTAAATGATTGCAATAATCAAGGAAATTGCCTAATTTATAAATCCTTGCATACAGCATTTTAATGGATTCCTCTGTTTTCATGCTGATGCCTTCAAAGCTAAATGAATTGTTGTCCAGGCTGTCATTACACAAAATGATAAAAACATTCCGTCTGGTGGGGAAACCACATCTCATGGATATTCAGACCCTCAACCCATAATCACGCATTAGTGACTTCCATGAAAGTTTCACACTGCTGAGCCTTTGGAAGAGCAAAAGAGCAAGCTTATTTGTGTCTGTATCTTTGTGGAAATCCCTGTTACAGTTTTGGAATTTGAACAAATTACCTGTCATTGAACTGTAATGCACTGGATGTGTCCCCCAGTTCTGACAGCCTCGTACTGTAACAGTTTTCCTCTCTCTCTCTTTTTTGTCTAATGCTGCGCCATTTTTTACCACCAAGCCTCAGAGTCAGGAGGCCCGGCCACACTGAACTCCCGGATTGTGCATCACATCAACATGGATGATGCTGGATGCGCTGAAGCAAATGTGTGTGATGTCCCAACCCTTATGCTCCCACTAACCAGTAAATCTATGGAGTCTACCTGGAAACCCAGGCTGCACACTATGCTCTTTCCCTAAGCCCGCCACACATAGATTGCTCTTCTCAGTTAAACCTTGGCCAATTGATTCCAGCCAATAGTGTGCTGTCAGTACTTTACTTACTGCTCAATCTCACTAACCTGACATTTATGGTGCACTGATTGGCCTCTGTCAGTGGTGCTGGTTGTAAATTCACTTTGAAAAGCTTTGTGTTAACAGCCTTCAACCAGGCTCCAAGAAGAGTACGAACAGGCAGCCTGACAATTGCTCGACCTCCTGCCCTTATTACAGTGAGTAAATCAGGGTTTGAGCCATTAGGCTGGAGCCTGGGGCCTACACAAAAAGGATTGACATGACGAAAGGTCAACCTCTGTCACACATGTGTAACAATTTGGATAATGGAATTCTGTAACTTATTTGAGTGAGGTGGCAAATGCTTACAAGGAAAAGTATATTCTGCTCTGGCTTCTCTGACTTTTATGCTAAGTACTTATACCGAAGTCTGTATTTCCTGTGTAAATATACAAGGAATGTCTGAACTAATGAAATCTTGGGGTATATACGATCCTAAAAAAGAATGAAAGAAAAAGAACGAAGGAGGCAGGCTCATAGTTGTTCTACATATAGGGTTCTTTAGAATAGCAAATGGTTTTTCCCATACTACCAGTGTATTAAATCCATCTTCTGAGACAAGAGGACTTTGATATTGTAGGCATATTCCCCAGCTGAGTAATGTGTAGTTTTTCATATTCAATCACAACAATTTTTAATCCATATTATACTACAACTGTAAGTGATTTCTGGGTAACACAATAGATATTCTCAAATTAAAACTGCTTTAATTTACACAGTGAAATAAGAAGATTCCCCTGCAGGCTTCTTGGGACCAGTGTTATGGTATGACATTTCCATCAGATCACTTGCTGCCAGGCAGTGACTGGGGAGGGCAGGTTTCATTTACCCACTAACCTCTGAGATACTGATTTCTCTTTTTATACCTTACTTTTAAGTCAGTGTGGGAAAAGAAAAAAAAATTACATGGTGTAAGAAAATATGCAGTTATGGACCAGTAAATATTTGTGAATTATTTTCTTCATATTGAGAAAATGCTATTGATAAAAGAAGCAATTTGTAAAAATAGATAAACTGAACTAATGAGAAAAATAATCCGGTGGATACAGAACTCATCAGTCTTTATAAAGTGTTTGCAGCTAAAGCACTGTAGTGTCACATGCATGTTGGGATTAAACCTCACTGATGTGAGAATGTCCAAATGGCTGTTATAATTTTTTTTTAAAGCAGAATTATTCTCGGACTTAGAAAACCAAGGGTGGCACTGTGCAGCATGATACATAAACCAAAAGGACCAGAACTTTAAATGGACATTTTCAAAGCAACTTAAAGTACTAAGTTTTGACTTTTAACACAATGCTGGAAACCATTCCAAGAGGTGGCAGATGGTTTTACAGTTTATGTAAAACTACAAAATGCTCACACTCTATCAAATAGGCACCACTATAAAAGACATCTTCAAATCAAATGAGGCAAAGCCAGAGAGATACACCAGCTGTTACTCTGCATAATTTAAAACATAATAGTAGCATTACTATGGTTTATTTTTAAGGAGAAATTATTTGAATTTCACAAATTTGACATATTCAAAACCAAACTGACAGGCAGACTATTATATTAAATGATAAATTGCTGAAAAACATGATTTTTACTTCAATATAACTGCGACAGCTACATAATTCTATCCCCTAGTGTCTTGGTGAATCACGCCAAAATGAGCCAAAGTCTATAAAGCAGAATATGGAATATATAATTACAGTACTATCACTGCGACAACTTTTAAGTGATTCTAATTTAATTGAAAATGATTAATTTAAAATAATTTTTTCAACATCTAAATACATATAAGTGGGTATAGTACTGTATATATGAAATTGAGTCATTTATAGAAACATACATAATATATTTAAAATATGAAATCAATTCATTTTCTTCTAGAACCAATTACCTATGATGGTTTTGAAATATAAACATTTAGCAATGTGTAATATATTTTTAATATTGGTTTTCATTAATATATTTTGACTTAAGCTAAGCAGTAATGATGAAAAATAGACCATTTGCTTAACAGCAAAACTCTTATTAAATCTAAAATATTATGGCACAAAACCAAATCACAAAAAGGCTCACATTATGTTATCCCCCTTGATTTTCTGAAGAAAAATAATGAAGGTTTCCACATAGTGCAAATGAAAACGAGACACTCAAATTTACTCAGGCAAAGAGAAGACAGGTTCTGTAAAATTAAAGCCCTTTCTAGTATCTTAACTGTATTACTAACAAGTCACTACATTATTTCAATTAGCAGGATAATTTTTCTAGGGTGAAAATAAGTGCAATTTATTTTGTCATTCTTGCTAAAATTTCTTGTCAAGTCAGGCACTGAGTTGAAAGGCCTGAGTAATTCTAGCCTATCTTAAACTGTAACCTTATTTTAAACTTCCGTATTTTATTCCAGTAGAATTTTAAGTATACACTGGGTACATTCCTCAGGTCCAGTCATATTAAATTCTGATGTTAAGCAGAAAGAGGAAACCGTGTGCAACTAGATTAATTTATCTCAAGAGAAAGGGGGCACATTAATAATTGAGATAATGTTTTCATAAATGTTGGAATCAAATGTGCCTTTTCACTTCTTTATTGGAAAACACATTAGGATAAAATTATCTCATTCTCATCAATAAGACCTAATTGCTGAGAAAGATTGTTTTCTTTGGAAAACATTGAGAAAGATTTTATTTCATATGATGTCCAAATAGCTAGAAATGTATCATGCATCCAAGTCTTGGAATAAATATATATAACCAAGGCAAGTCATTGTCTGATGCACCTTGTAATGTTTTGTTTTAAAGTATCTGAATTTATTATTGTTTAAAAAACACATTAAAATTCTGATTCTAAAAGAAACTAGCAAAAATAAATGACTAATTATTTGGCTTTTAGCTTGTAATCTTCTTAAACTATAAAAAATAAAAAATTACCTTGGCTTATTGCAAAAAAAGAAAAAACAACTCTCTTGGAATTTCCCATAAATACCCAGAAGAGTCAAAATGTACTGAATATAATGAAATGATATTTAACTTCCTTTAAATTGCTGTATTTTGAAGAACTATGATTATACACAAAGAAAATATTAACTAAAACAATGATTGCATGCTTACAAACCAAACAAGCTCTCCATGGCTGATGTATGTTAAATAACAAAAAGTCATTTTTCTACAAAGAAAATAGAGCTTCTAATGATTAAATAAAAGGAGTAACTAAGGTGAATCTGATTGTTTCTGTAATAAGCCTTCATGTGTATAATAAAGTACAACCATACTAAAAACAATGAAGTGTAAACTGAAACAAAAATCCATCATCTACTTGGAAATAGTGACAGGAAAAGATTAGCAATCCATTTATTGTACTGAAATAAAGATAAGTAACCCTGGTAAGATCCATCAGGACCTGAGTATTGAACTTGAAATAAAAAGACATTTCTTCATCAGCAAATGACTTGAAAAAATGTGAGGAAGAGAAATGATTACAGTTGCCTTTTAAAATAAAATAATCATGATTCAACTGCTTTTAATTTTTTTAATACATTTTGTTGACTTGCTATTCTGGAAGACATCTAAAAGAATAAGTTTTTGAAATGGATAATTATTACATGAGTCATTAAACAATTATTGCCAAACATTTCCGATAGACCTACAATGTATTCTACTTACTGATTCTAATGTGAATAATATGATGATTTTTTTAAATTTCAGAAGAAAATTTAGCTTTGAAAGAAAGAACTAAAATTTAAGGAACAATCTAACATTTGGAATATTGTATTATAAATGTAACAATTCAAACGGTCATGTTTCATAAAAATAAATCATAATGCTTAAAAATTTTAAACTCATATTCTATATCTTAAAAATCATTATGCTAATAAAAATCTGAAACCTATTTTATAAAGTAAGTATTTTATTTTACAAATGGATATTGGCACTAAGTTACCTGGCCCCAGTTAGTCGCATTTCACGTGATCTCCCAGGAGACTGACACATTTTGTATGGCTAAAGTTTTAAAATCCCTTCAATTCCCAAATGTACCTTATTCTAACTGTTGTTACAGATAATTAAAAAAAATAGATTATGTCCTGAATTTAGGAGTTGGATCCTGTAGATCATCCAAGCATACACCCAGCAAGTCTTTTTTCTAACAGAGAACCAACTCTAAGAACCATCCCAGCACACTCAACTCACATGCCCTGAACAATAGATAAAATTCACTTTATATCTACTGAAGTATCAAGAAAAAGAAAAACACTGACTAAATTCCCCAGTCTCTTTACTACAACAAAATTTTAACTTCATCAAGTACAAGTAAAGGTAGAAAAGAAAGGTTTCATAGTTTTCAGTGTTAATATGCATTGTTATAGTCTATATGTGTAGTGGCCTCCTGCCAACATCCCAATCATTCAAAGCCTTCTGGGGGGGAAAAAACCCACAATGAACTATGAGATTTTTGTTCATGTTTATGTCTTTGTCCCCTGGCACTCTAAAAATAGATAGGCATCAAAGGGCAATATAATAGTGTTCAGTTTTAACATTTTCAGGTAGAGTAAATTTGTACTATTGAACAATTGCTGTACGATTTTCTTAGAAAAATATTGGCAGACCTTTAACTATATGATATTAGAGTTCCTAATAACACTACTGGAACATGAGAAGTACCTAAAAGTGTTTTATAAACTTTAAACCACATTGGAGGTTACAATTAATTAGTCAGAAACAAAAACCAAAATGTTTCCAAACCAGATGCTTTGAGCCGGGGCACTCCAGCAGATAACTATAGGGTAGGTAGTTCATTGGCTTCCACGTCCTCATTTTGGGCTGCTGGGCTGTAGACTCATACACTCAGCTCCTCCTCCATCAAAAGAGGCTTTGCAGACACAGGCCTCAGGACCCCATCCCCAACAGTCACAGGAGGGTTCCGGATACCAGGTCTGTTTTTCATACTGTATCTCCATGGCCTAATATAGTGCTGGCCAGAGTGGGCACTCATCAAAAATTTGAGTGGATTAATGAGTCCCATGAGCTTTATTTAGTGAATATAAGGCAGCTCACAGTGAAAAAGATCATTTTGACAGGCCAGCAAGCCAAGTATGAGAGGCAATCTCTTGCAGAAACGATGCATTAATGGAGCCCAGGGGTTCATGTCAACCTGACCCCTGGCATTTAAGAAACTTTATTTTCTAGCTATTCCTACTTTATTATACCACTTGCCCAGTTAGTCAGATTTACATATTGTTTAAGGGTATGACTTCTGTCATCTTGTATTACATAAGCAACTTTCCATGGATGGAGGTGGCTAAGATTGGTAGGGGGATGACCTAATGATAGGCATCTATCTCTTCAGAAGTGAACCTCAATAATCCACCATGATGTTTTGGGAGAAACCTCAGGCTGACATTTTTCAAATAGGTTATTTTTAAATAATTGCTTCAGGTAAGATTGTGCCATTAAAGTATTACCCTCAATTGGGTTACACCAAAGTGCTCACACTGTTCCCATGTTTTGATTTTCCATATTGATGAAGATTACATAATTTCCGTTCATCAGAGAAGCAGCAGAATTTGCGATTTCTGATTCCCAATATAATTTGCTTAATTTGGGCCCTTTGATTCCCAATATAATTTGCTTACTTTGGGCCCTTTGAAAGTTGTGAAACATGTGATCTCTCACGTTCAACTTTGACAAAATTGTTTTTATCTGAGAAAAGGGGCCAGCCTCTCCTTCCTCCCCTCTATGCTTCTGTTCCTTTCTGCTCACTACACAGAAACACACTGGAAGTGCTTGGAATGGGACATAAAGGTCACCCAGCTCAAACATTCTAATGCCCACCCTCCGCTGCTCCATCTCCTCAGCTGTTTTCTCTTTTTCTCAAAATTCACAGAGACCAACGGTCAAATCCATTCCAGCTGGAATGGAGGCAGCTTAAGGTGACTCTGTCTTCAGACACCTGTAGGCTGTTTCCCTGGCTGGGTTGCTATTGTGTCAGTCCCAGCTCTGTCAGCCTCCTTACTGCAGGTGCTTCAGACACCAGGCATCTACAGGACCAGAGAAATCTATTCTCCGCTACCCTCTGGGGGCCAAGGGAGGCTCTCTTCGCAGTTGCCACAGCCAAAGGCCAGGCTCCCTGCCGGCCAAGGCTCCCTGCTGGCCAAGGCTCCTGCTCGGTGGGGAGGCGCTGTGCAGCCGGCCACTTACCTCCCAGAGATGCTGCGTGTTCCTCACGGCGCCTGCCTGCACCTTCTCTGGGGGCAGAAGCACGCCTTGGAAAGGTCCAATCCAGGTGCCTTGCTGGATCCTCTGCGCCGCGCAGATGCCGTAGGCCAGGCCGGGCACAGTACTGGTGCAGAGGCACACCTCGCGAGGCAGGTCCCGCAGCCACTCCGGCAGCTCCGGCGGGGGCGCGGCGGCCGCAGCGCTGCTGGTGCCCACAAGCCGGCGCAGCGAGTGCAGTGGCCCATGCATAGGGCACTCGCCGTTGCGGTTGTCCGCGCACATGTCGCAACCTGCGGGAGACAAGAAGGAGGAAGGGAAGGGAGCGGGTTAATCCGGCCGCCCCGAGCGGCCCATCTTTGAGTAAACTCCCGAGACAACAGCATCACCGCCCGCCTGGGTAAGCCACCTTCGAGGAAGGTGATGCCTTGGGGGCACCGAAGCAACTCAGAGGAGGAGGAGAAGAGAACCCGCGCCGCTCCCTTGGAATTCGCCGCACCCAGATCTGCCTGGTACCGGGCCAGGACTCTAGGCTCCCCAAAAAGCCTTCGGATCTGGGCGCAGATAGCATGTCCGCTCTCCACGGAACCGACAGTTCCAGGCTTCTTCCTCCCGTTTCAGTCTCTCTGCATCTCTCCCTCTGTCTCTGTCTCTCTCTCTCTCTTCCCTACTGTCTCTCGTTCCTTCTGACCCTCTCGCCCATTCCTGAGGTTTCTATCTGGAGTTTCAGGATGTGTTTATCCTTGTATTGCGAAAAAAAGCCCGTCTCTTGCCCAATCTGCTGTCTCGAAGAGATTCTATACTGGTCGTCTGGGTATTCAGCTTTCCTCTTTTTACAATTACACAGGAGACGATTTAAAATCACCAGACGGGGCGGGGTGGGGGAGACGGCCAGTCTATCGCGGGTGCCATTCGCACTTCCTTCGACCCAGAGACTCGGAGGCTTCCTCGACTGCCTCCCAAACGCCACGGGACGGGGCAGAGCAAGCCTGCAGCCCGGTAGAGCAGGAGCCGCAGCCCCAGGACTCCAAGGGCGCGCCCGAAATGGGGTCCCTCAAGCGACCAGTCAGTTCTCCCTCCAGGCACTGAAGCAGGGCGGGGACAGGTGGGGCGGGGTGGGGGACCGGGGTGCTGTTCTGGAGGGTTTGGTGTGCACGCTCTCCCTAGACGCCGGAAGAAAGGAATAGCAAATTTAACGATCAGCCTAATTGTTAGAGAAGGCACCAACTCCTGCCCCGACGGCTGTTCTCCAGGCTAAATGCGATTCTGTTGTGCTATACAATGGGTGAAGCTGTAGATAAAGCTGTCTCTCTCCGACACTCTCCAAAGCAGCCTGCGCGAGAGGGACCCCCACCCTCCGGGCCGGGCGGTAGTGGGCGCCCAGTATCCCTCCACTCGAACTGGGCTGGAAGGAGGCAGGCGGCCACGGGAAATAGAGCCTGTGGCGACTGCGCTGTCGGATCGCAGCGCCCTCCGGGTTATTAATGGGCCTGGAGGAGCCGCCGTGTCTGCGCCTCAGCGCGGATGGCCTGCCCCGAGAAGGTGGCCTCGGCGCCCGCCGGCGCGACCCAGCCTCCTTGGCCCAGCTTCCCTGAGGAGCCACGGCGACCCCGCGCAAGTGTCAGGCTTATGGCACTGAGCCTGACACCTGGCGAGTCCCGCCTGGCAGACACGGTGAAAGCTGGCCACTGATGGATGCGCCAGAGCGGGGCGGCGGGTGGCCCTCGGGGCACCCGGGTACCTGCCGCCGCCAGCCTTGGCCGCAGCCAGGCCTGTTGGATCACCCTGGATGTGCCCTATCTGCGCTGAAATGACCGAAATGCCCAAGAAACTTGTGAGTCTGTATGAAACGTTTGTGTCAGGAACAGCTAATCGCAACCCAGCATGGTAAGGGAGCCCTCGATTTGCCATTTGCTTCACAGCAAAGGAGGGCTGACTATGTAAGCCTCCTGTCTCACTGGAGGGGGCTCTAGCCAGCCAAACCTTTGCCTCAGTCAGCAGCTACTCCTCTACTCCTCCCAAGAGAGCTGGAAGAATGAGGGCTGCAAGCTTCTCAGAAATGTCCCCAGACCTCTGAAGTGAAAAGCAACAACTTGTTTCGGAAAGCAGAGAAGTGTCCATGCCGCTGGGCCTCCCTTGCACAAAGGCCCTCTTCTGTCCTTCCTCTGCCAGCAACACAAACTATTGTTAAAATTCTCCCAGACTCTGCTTTTGACCCCAGGGCCTGGATGGGAGTATTCTCACACTTATCCATATGTCAACTCCTCTGAAACACACACACTTCACACACCCTCTCAAGCTTATTGATTGTGAAAATAAAAACTTCAAGACATTTTGGGAATTACATGAAAGACAATAAACACAATTACAGTGCATACCATGTGTCAGACACCTGTCTAGAACCAAAAACCAGCATATTATCTAAGTATCATGATTCCCATTCTGCAGATAAAGCAATTCCCAAGCACTACTACTCCACCAAGAACCAGAAGCTAGAAAGTGGCAGAGAAAGGATTCACAGTCAAGGCTGCCTGACTGCAAGGCCTCTAAACCCAGAGATTTTTAAAAGACTAATGAAAGCTGGGGAAATTTAACATTCAAACTCATGACTCAATTGAATTGAAATATTTCACTGAAGTAACTTTGGGGGCCATGAAAATTGCTGTAGCATGATTGAGTTATAGAGGTTTCTCTCTTTCCCACACTCTTGTGTTTTCGGACATTAAAGTAAGAGATTGGATAGGAAAATACATAGATAATGTCTATAATTTTGAATGTTACTGTCTGACTTCAGAGACAGCCTTTCAGCACCTTTGCAAAAATAGCTAAAAGCAAATGACAATAAGCAAAGGCAATATGCCCATGGAAATAGAAATAAGTCACTCCAGGGAGTTACTTAACTGATTTTTTTTTCTGCTTGACTCAATGATGCAAATGGTCAGAAGAGTGTTTAGTTTTCATTCCCTAGCAGCCTGTGCCAGAGACAGTCAACTTCCAACATGCTTCTCCACACGTGTCATCCCATCAACGACATCAGCATAGGTACCAACTCCAGCCACTACCTCCATAGACAAAAAGCACACTTCTAATATTTGTAATGCATGATAATAAAACTGTGGCTAAGGCCTTTCTCCAAGAAGTCCTCTAAAGCCGTCTTCAACTTATTGTTTCATTTGTCTCCATAAAGAGTTGAAAAACTTAATAGTAGCATTATGCTACTATTAAAAGTGAAAAACTGAGGCTCTCCCAATATCTAGAAGACTATCTGTGTGTTAGGTCCACAGCAGGCTAGACAAAGTCAATCAACTTTAATTAGTCCACCCAACAGGGGTCTTCTTAATTTGTGAACCACTTCATGCTATATCAAAATATTCTGCCAGAAAAGTTGACCAACTGCCATCAAGATACATGTTATATTCCAATGTTATTTTTTAATACACAAAATCCCCCAGCTGAAACATTTGGGTTCTAACTTATGTCTGAGTCTCAGGGTAGCTTGAGGATATTAAAAACAAGTAACATTTCTTGGGATTGACAAATATGCTTAAGAAGACAAACATTCTAGCAGAGTATAAACACCTACATGAAAAGGTTTGAAAGAGAAGCAGGCTATATGAGAGGACCAAACTATGTATAAATGTATATAATATATGTCATTATATTATATATACACACACAGAGCATTCCAAGCCAAGCAATACATAATACAACTACTTAGGTTCCTAACAAGGAAGCAAGTAAATGTTCATACTTTCTCTTAAAATCAGGGGAAGAGTTTTTGTACAAGTTCATAATTGTTATTCATAAATACTCTTCTATCTTGAGTAAATCTGTCAATGCTCCTGTCTAAGCGTCTCTGAGTAAAGGAAGGTGCTGTCATTAGGTTACAGACTTGTTCGCCTCCTGGCATCAGAAGGCCAGGCCAAGTGCAGTTAAGAGCAGACTTTCACTCTTCATTTCCTATCCTTCTGTGTTGTTTCAATGTCTTTAAAGTGCAATAGATCTTTACAATATATCTATTTTAAGGTAAAGGCGGCAAAGCAGGCCATGGTTTTCTTTTCTGGAATTTCATTTCTCGTTCTAGGAAAGGTGAAATATAAAACGCTTCCGGGCTTTTGGTGTGTGGAGAGGCCAACAGTCATGTGTAGGCGCGTGGGGAGTGAGAGCTACATCACATCTTCACTCCCCAGTACCTGCCCGACGCCTTCGTTGGCTCTCACCCGCCCTGCATATAGGAAAGCAAGGAGTAGGTGAAAAGCCTGCTTCCCCGCCTGGGCGCCACTATCCACCCCGGCTGTAAATCCTCCCCTACCGCCGCCAAGGTCGCGGCCCTCAGTCTCGCAGGCCGAGACCCGAGGGGCCGGCGCCCATCGATCCCAGCCCGGCGACTAGGACCCGGGAGTGCCGCCTGCTGGCAGTGCCGCGTGCGCCCTAGGCGGGGAGGGGCGTGGGGGCTGGGGAGCCGGGCAGAGGGCGGGCAGGCAGAGCATCCGGGCCCGAACTTCTCGCGTGGGGTTCACGCCCCCGGGGCTCCAGCCTGCGGTCCCCCCACTGCCTTCTCGAGCTATAGGCTAGATGGGATGGCTGAAAGGGAGCGATGGGCGGGGTGGGGCGCCCAGGCCTCAGCGCCGAAGGCTGAGTTTTGAAGGTCCCACCCCGCTCCTGCCCACGAAAGGCTCTCTTCTGACATGAGGCGTGGCCGCCGACACCACCCACGATCCGACGTCCCCACTGCACCCCGCCACCCACCCGGCCCTCCTCCTCTACCCGGCAGGGGTCTTCCAAGCCCCGGGAGCGGGTCTAGAAGCAGATCCAGAGGCGAGGCAGGTTTGCCTGGCCGCCGGAAGGGGAGCCAATTGATTTCAGTCTCGACCCTGCGGGGCGGCCCAGCTCCTGGGAATTCTCTCAGGAACTCTCCCTCTACGCGAGTTTAAAGCTCCCCGCGAATCGCAAAAGCTCTGGGCGTTCTCTGCCCTGCCTGGCTGCGGGCTTGACCCTGGGACCAAGAGGGAGAGACAAAAAGAAGAGAGCAAGAAGGTGGGAGGGAGAAAATGTGGGTCTTATTTGTCTTCCGATGACTGTATTAATAAATTAAATGGGAGCGCCAGTTTGTGAGGGTGAGAGAATATTGCGCAGAGATAAACCTCGCCGGCCCCTGCCCCTGCGAGGCTGCCATATACAATGCGGAGATGATGAATAGGAGCCGCGAGAGGAGATCGAAGCGGGTCTGGGCTGGCTCCACTCTCTCCTACAAAACTATAGGGCAATTAATTGTGGCTTGTCCCCTCATCCTTCATCTCCTGGTGGCACATATCGATGGAGATTACTGCTGATGGACCATTTTATCACCTTGAATAAACAGTCGCCACCTCTTCTAACCTCAATCTAATATATGGCTGTATGTTCGGTTTCAGGGCGCTAGATAACGAAAGATGTAAAATAGCTAAATCATGTGTGTTATGGGATGAGGCTGGGCTTGCACACACGCGAGAGAGAGAGAGAGAGAGAGAGAGAAACACAAAAGCCCACGCACTGAAGCCAAAGCTCCCTCCCACCCGGACCAGGTCTGCAATCTAAGGCGCTCGCTGGTCTTTGACAGAGGAGGCGCAGGGCAGAAGGGGCGCAGTGGATGTTCCTCGGTTGCACAAAAAGCCTGCTGGTGTGCCACTGGGCTCGAAGTTGCCCAAACAGGACCTGCGTTTTCCACCTGGGTGGGAAGGGATTAGGGAAGGTCAGAAAACACTCGCCCTCCTTTGTCTCTTTCCTTGACCCCTTAGCAAGCAACCGGACAAACCAGTGTTAGGCCCAGACTCCCTTTTCTCTCCCCAGCCCCTCTCCCTAAACCCTTGGAAAGCCTGGTGTTCCCAACAAGGAAGCCTCAAGCCCCGCTCCCACACCCATGCACACACCGGCGCTGTTTCCAGCCTGTTCCCTGCGCAGGAGGGTTCCAGTAAATCGGGAGGGGACAGAGACCCCTCCCCCAACTGGGGAATTTGCAAAGTGGTCCAACTCTCCCCCGAGACACCCAAAGTGGCTCAGTTCCCGCCTCCCTCCCAGGTCCTAGGGAAGCACATCTTTACAAAAAAGGCCTGAAAAACTAATGGGCTGTGCTGAGAGAACAGCCGGGATGCTACTCAGAAACGCCAGGCGCGCCCTGTGACTGTCTCTCTCTACTTTTCAAGAGCAGGCAACGCACCAGCTCCCAGAACCCGGGAAGAGGCCACTCCGATGGAGCCTGACTAAATCAATGGCTTCAGGCAGCCCAGCAGCAAATGAGGGCAGTAATATTAGACGGGGAAGGAAGGGCCCCATCCCCCATTTATATCGCAGGAGGCACCACTTGATTTTTAAGAGAAGGCGGCAGCAGCAGCAACAGCAAAGCATTCAGAGCTTCGGTGGAAACTGTACTTCAGTCACAGGGTAAACTGATACGGAGTTAGGAACATACTGGAAAAGCTCACCCGGGTAGCTTGCAGTTTCTGCTGTTTTAAAATCTTTTAGAACGAAAGAGAGCTACAAGCCCCATCACTGTGACATTTACCATAGATGCCAATAAAGTTTCAAGGTGAAACTAGTGTTCCTAAGTTCTTTTCTTACAGAGCAATGATATGTATTGCTGATCCTAGGCAAAAAGTTACTTTGCTAAAGGGAAGGGAGAAGTAAGGAGGCACCCCCGCATCCCGCCCTTTTTATTTCGCCTTGTGAGAAAAAGAGAAAACAACTCAATACCTATCCTTTTAAGTACGAAGTGACAAAATGAAGCAATGCTAAGTGGTCACTTCACAGAATTCTTTTAGAGGGAGATGGTAAAAAAACTAAAAGAAAAACTAGGGAAATCTATACATGATAAATTAATAGGAGCTTCCCTCTGCCTCCACCCTTCCTTTCACTCCACCTCCACTCACATACAACTCGAGAATGAGGAGAAGCTTCTGTTTTTCACAGCCTTTCAATAACCATTATGCCAACTTCCCCTGCCAAAGGAAACGAGTTTCCCACTATTTGCATTTCTGACTTGTTTTAAGCCCCTACTTAGATTAAACTCAATCACGTTTCATCTTTGTAAAAGTACATCCCATGGCTTCAAATGAGTGCCTAAGCTTGCTTGTCCAGAGAAGTTCCTGGAAGAATGGGAGATCTCGTCTCCCAGCATTACACAGCGCTATCTCAGCTTTCTATTTTCTTTCTCAATTGCCCTTTAATTAGTGAGCAACGTGGGGTGTAACTCTAATAGGACAATCTAATTTTCTTTCCCTTCTGTCTTTTCCCCTGCACTTCAAACACTGAAACAATCCAGTTGGCTCAAAAGGAGATACCAGAAGATTAACACAATATAAATTATTTAAATAAAATTGTAATTTATTTTCTCCAACCAGAGAAAAAAGTTACCCAGGCAATAAACTGGTTCAATACCCATATATTAATTAGGAATCTATCCTAATTCTTTCTCGAATTAGTCTGTTTTCTCTGGTGAAAACGTATTAATTTTCCAGACTGCATTGTAAACAGTACAGGAGCTCAGCACACAGCCAGGGATTTGGGGTGTACTGCTGGTGACTTCTCTAGCATATATTTAATTCAGAAGTGAAATTGCAAGATTGATGAAGCATTCTCAGCCTGCAATGGCTATATTTCACTTAGCAGTAAGACATACCTTTTCCAAGGCAGTTTAAAAATCTTTTTATTTCATAATTTAAAATACTTGCTTCAAAAACACACATTCAAGAAATTCAGTAGGAGATAAGTATTTTTTGAAATCTGTTGGGAGAGTATAATGTTGTAAAACTTTCTGAAACTCTGAAATACAAGTCTTCTCAACTGCACAGCAAAATTAGAGTTGAAACCACTATTTTAAGCCAGTGCTTTACTCTCAAACTTCATAAAGAAAAAAGTAAATACGATTGCTCTTTCTGTTGGTAATTATTATCTCCATCACAGCTATGTCCAACATAATGAAAATATTCATAGACCTCAACCACGAGGCAGTTGCCCAGTGTTTTTTTTTTCATCAAATCAACGACTTAGGGAATCCTTTAAAGAGCTATAACTGAACTTATTTTGCTTTTACAACGAATTAAGAAGTTCACAGAGCGGTAGACATTTTGCAAGAAGCAACTTATTCAAAATTGAATAAAAATAAATGTTTTAAATTAACTTTACTCATACAGAAGCCAGACGAAGGAATGAGATGAAGAAAATAGCTGAATGAATGCTGATCTTTCAAATCCTGTATTGCTTTCAATCTGACGCTCTTAACACACTTTAATGTTATCTCCAGAAGTCTCTGGGAGCACGTTTAACACTCCCAACACAGTATAGGTGTAAACACAGTATAACTTCTGAAATTATCAAAAAGAAGCAGGTATAAAGCAGTACATATTGCTTGATCTTCATTTAGAGTTTTGCTTCAAAACCGCCAAATGGAACTGTACTTGTGATAAGCGTTTCAAATTGTGAATATAGAAACCGAAGCTACAGGAATTCTGATGTTTAGTTAGGCATTTGCTATTAACTTGGAGGAAGAGGGGAGTAAGCGTCTTTTACTAAATTACAGTCACCCTAATTTCTAAAAATAAATACATAAACCAACATGGGTTATGAATGTTTGCGGGGTCAAAGGTGCGCGGATAAAGCGGGATCAGCGGAATCGGAGGAGAACAGAAATTTTCTTCTCAGTAAGTAGCAGTCATTTTTTTTTCTTTTCCTTCTTTTTAAATGAATAGTAGATCTAAGAATACTGCCTGCCTTCAAGGAGAAACGGACTCAGTTTCATCTAAAATTCCTACTCCAGTGAGGCCTGGCCAGCGAACAGCTCCCGCCGGTTCCCCCACAACCCCGCGGCCCGAAAATGACCCCTCCAGAGGTGGGGTGGAGAGTAGCAAAAACAAGCCCTGGTCTGCGTGCTCCCCAGAGACGCTGAGGGTCCCTCCCTCGTCCCGGCTAAGGCCAGGCAGGGCCTGACCCAGACACCCCCTGTCACACGCTGCCAGTACCCGCCTGGCCCCGGGCACTGTCCGGCGGGAGGGCAGAGGTCTGTTAGGCCGGGTCCACGGTAGACTCCGGCCCCAAACACTTGGGACTGTGAAGCAGGTGAGGAGAGGGAGGGAGAGGGAACCCCAAAGTGCCACCGGCCGTCCCATCCGTTCTCTTTCCTTCTCCAACGCCAGAAAACTTTTGTCACAGAGATCGGGGAGGCGCGGGCCAGCGGCCAGGACCAGGTGCTCCCCACCCACCCGGCCCCGTGTCACTCCTATCCGACCCGCCTCCCTGACAGGCACCCGCGCCCGCCGGCGCCGGCGCCGGCGCCCCGGGAGAGAGCGCGCGGGCTGCGGCTACGTACGGTTGTTGGGGTCGCTGGTGTGCTGGTTGAGCGGGATGATCTCCATGCGCTGCTGGCCATACAGGTAATAGTCCAGCTCCTCTGCGCTGCAGCGGAAGCGCGGGGCGCCGCGACCCTCCCCGCCGCCGCCGCCACCACCACCGCACTTGACGGGCCCGGGGCCGGAGGTGGCGCCGAGGCACAGTTCCTTGGGGGGCAGCGGCTCGGCGGCGACGGCAGCGGCGGCTAGAGGCGCGAACACCGGCAGCTGCGACACCGGCAGGGCCGAGAGACCAGCCAGCGCGGCGGCAGCGGCCGCAGCAGCGCAGGAGGAGGCGGAGGAGGCGGAGGTGGAAGAGGAAGCCGGCGTGGACGAGGCGGAGGAGAGAGAGGCGGGCCGCGGGCGCAGGCTGTCCGGCGGAGGCTCAGCGCGCTCCGGGGGCGGGGGCGGCGGCGGCGGCTGAAGAGGCTGCGGCGCGCTCAGGAGACCCGCGGCGCCGCTGCCCTTGAGCGGGCCTGCGCCTCCGTGAGGGAAGAGTTGCTGCCAGTGCTGCAGGTAGGCTGGGTCCACTTTGAGGAAGGCCGAACCGCCGGGGTCTCCGGGCTTCAGCATGTCCGGCGCCTCGAACTGGGGGCAGAGGGCAGGGAAGAGGGGGCGCGTGAGCTGGGCGAAAGGGGCCGGGAAGAGGGCCACTGGGACCCTGGAGAAAGTGCCCGAGCCGGTGGTTCAGCCGGCGGCCGCCCGGTTCCGCGGCTCCCTCTTCCCAACTCCGCTTGGGCGCAAAGTTTACTCCGAAGCTGCGGCGCCGCACAGAGGGAGCTGTGTGCACCCTGCTCTGCCTCCCCGATCGCAGCGTCCAGCTCCCATCCAGCAATGCTGGGGCCCGACAGGAGGGCGCTGCCCCGTAGAACTCGGCTGCAGGACGCAGCCCCCGCCCTCAGCCAGCGCCCGGAGCCGACCCGAGCCGGCGTGGCGCAGCGCCCGAGCCGCGTTGGCCTCAGGCGCCAGGAGGCAGAACAGTCTCGCCGCCCGCCCCCAACCTAGGACCACCAACCTTCCTATCTACCAAGCCCTAGACTCTTAAGTCCCAGACCAGCCTCACCTTACCTGAAAACTCGGTGCTGCCGGTGGGTGCGTGCGGGTGTCTCGGTGAGCGTGCGGGTGCGCGAGAGTGTGCGCCCTGCGTGCGCTACATGCCCCTGAGCAGCGCGGGAGGAGAGTCCTAGAGATTGTGCCGCCCGGAAACCTCCCGACCTGCAAGCGAGAAAATTGGGAGGCCCGCGGAGGGCGCGAGAGTGCGGACGGACCTGGGCGCCCGACTCAACCGCCGTGGGCTGCTGCGCTTGGCCGCTGCCGCGTCCTGGCTCCTTGGTTCCACGCTCTGGCAGCTTCCCGGCTGGACACGTGGGTTTTACGACAGCACAAAATAGAGTGAGTGTGTGTGTGTGTGTGTGTGTGTGTGTGTGTGTGTGTGTGTGTGTGTGTGTGTGTGTGTGTGTGAGAGAGAGAGAGAGAGAGAGAGAGAGAGAGAGAGAGAGAGAGAGAGAGAACGGAGGGGGGAGGGGAGGCAGGCCAGAAGAAGGGGAGGGGAGAGGGAAGAAGGAAGTTCTAATTCGGCCCGACCCACATCGCCAGAGCGCCTTTCCCGCACAAACTCCTCCGCCCTCCCATCCCCTGTTTTTTTGGCGTGACGTCTGCCGCTAGCCTGTTGTCTCTTTCTGCCCATGATATGTCTTTTCTGGGTCCCAGCTCAGTGCCCTGATCTTGAAAGCAGTGGAAATGCGGCAACGGGAATGCATCTCCGCACACGCTGTGGTGTCCGCGCTGGAGCAAGCCCGCGCCGCCAGGACCGGGTTTGCGCTTTTGCCCGGCTCAGTTTTTCCTGAAGTGCTTCTGGGTGCCAGAGTCCACTCGCCCGCCACGCAACCTCTAACATAAATCCTCCGGGGAGAAAAGTTGGGGGCGGAGCGGGACGGGTTGCGCGCTGCAGTGAAACCCTCTGTCTGCAGCCCAGGAGGGAGGCTTGTCGGTGCAGGGAGGCGTAGGACCGAGGGTCCTGAGACCGAGAGCAGCTGGTCCTGGAGGGACTCAAGCTTGGCCGTGGGGCTGGGAGGCGGCTGCAATGGAGTCTGCACTCCACCCAGCGCTCTGCTGACCCCTTCTCGGGTTGTCTTCTGGAGGGCTCTTTCCCTCTCCTTCTTGGGGCCCGGAGACAAGTATCCAGTGTTACGTCTGGTGGCACAACTGCTCCGGGACACGGGCGAGGCTGTTTGCGGTCAGCTGCCTGCGGCTGCCGCAGGAGGTCACGCATAGGTTTCTCTACCCAAAACCTGGTGTTAGAGGGGCAGGGTGGGAGTGCAGCCCCACCTCCACCATGTCCTCTCCCCAGACTTTGTGCCAGGGCAGCCCTTCGATGCAGTCTCGCACCCACGAAGGAGGCACTTGCCCCCCAGCTCTTCCTGGCATTTTCGGTAGTAGATGGTAGAGGGCACAGGCAGGGTGTGTGAAATTGACCGACTCAGGAGGTACTTTCCCATCGCCGGGGTTCTGGCCATACCGTAAAGAGAAGAAACGGCATTTATCTTTTTCCAAACAACCTAACTTATTTAGCACTTGCCAATCTGAGCAATTAATAGCCATTCTTTCCTGATTTCTGCTTGTTTCTTTTTCTCTTCCCACCACTCAAGTTTTCTGAACCTGGGAAACGTGCTGTTCAGACTTCATCCGGGTCTCATTCAGGATGCTTCGATGTTGGTTGGAAGAGAGTTAGACCGAAAATGTTTTGACTGGCGTCGTTATGACAAGGTCATCCGTCATTGTTGGATAGATTGATAGCACCCAAGTTTAAGGCAGACACCACGAGGGAAAGCCCACGGCGCTGTGGTCCCGGAGGCTAACCAGGCAGTGTCCGCAGACCTCCAGCAACTCCATCGGGAGGAGAGGATGAAGTTCCAGGCCCGTTTCAATTAATCTGCTCGCAGAACTGCCGAAGAGTGGCTTGTCGGGCCACGGGAGAAGAAACAAATGCTCTTTCTCACACTCTCCTGGTTCATTGCTGAGAAACCAGGACACTCCTCTGTTCCCTGGGAGAGACAGTGAACTCCAGGGATGGAAGTCCGGACTCCGGCGGCGGTCCCGTCATTTGCCTTCTTGTTTCTGCCCAAACCCAGCTAGTTCCAAGCGCTTGGTCCCCAAGACTGGAAGTCCCCAAGAACCTACCTCTACCTGTCCCAACCCTGCCTCCCCCCTACCCTTTCACCCCCTGCCACCATTAGAAAGTCTCTGGATTTTGAAATGCTAGTTGCAGCAGCTGCTTCCGTGGCCTCATGCCGCCCACACTCTGGGAAGCGGAGGAGGGAGGGTTCCTCTCGTAATAAGATTAGCTGACCTGTTAATGAGAGTTTTGGACGTGCCGGGCGGGGGTAGGCGCTTTATGTCCATTTAATCCACCTACATGCGGAGAAGGCATTATCATTAACCCCCATATTGTAGATGGGGACCGCTGAGGTTCGGAAAGTTTAGATGGGTTGCCTAAGGTCACGCCATTAATGAGTAATGGAGACGGATTCAAATACCGTTCGGTAAGGTGCCAAGTGCATCTTCTGCCTACCCTAGTCCAACCTGTAGCCACTCGGTCCAGACTGACGCCAGAGGGGCTATCATGGGAGAGATTTGGTTCCCCTCGCTGCGGGGTCCAGGGAAGAAGCTGAGAAGGTAGCAAAGTCCCCCTCGCCCACTACGTCTACAGGTGGCGTACCTGGGTAATCCGATTCAAGCTTCCGCCACACCCACCCCGGGCACAAGTCGATCCCGAGGCTTACGGGACCCTAAGGCCCAGAGGCTACAGGAACCTCCCGTGAAGGGGGCAGGAGAAAGTTTGAGGGAGAGCCCTGAAGGTCCGGGAGCGAACGAAAAAGTCTGGAAGGGAATAGACCAGGAGTCAGGACCTCCCCTGCACCTCCCCAGCAGGCCCACTGCGCCGAGCGGGGCCCCTGCCTCCACCGCGGCTTCCGGGATGCCCGCAGAGCTCGGCATCCTCACCCGGTGCGCACAAGGGCGCGCAGCGGCGTAAGCTGGACCCCCGACGCTGCGCGCGCTCTGAGGGGCGCTTCCCCCTCACACAGTTGACCCTGGGCCCGCTTGGTCACGGCCACCCTGGCGC
This sequence comes from Homo sapiens, assembly GCF_000001405.40. Lineage (NCBI taxonomy): Eukaryota > Metazoa > Chordata > Mammalia > Primates > Hominidae > Homo > Homo sapiens. The sequence continues at coordinate 123,086,464 of NC_000005.10, read as the reverse complement.
ATCTCAATAGTTTTTAGAAAGTGAGCCCACCGACGGCAAGGACATGCACCCCCTCAAATCCGCTTCCCCCACCCCCTTCAATACTGAGAAGACCACGGAAACAAATCACTTCGACCACTTAGAAAGCGATCAAACCTTTATAAAAATCCATCGCTCCCAAATCGATGGGTGAATATTTGCTGGGAATTTGTTCCAGAGGAATAAATGAGGAGCCTTGAGTGTATTAAATGCAAACGGGGGGACACGGTGGTGTTTTTCTTCATTGATTAATGACCTCTAAAATAAAACAAGTGGGAAGAGGAGCCAGGATCGATAAATTACCCAAATTCATCATTTTCTCGAGCATTTTCGCCCCGAAAATTATCCTTGGGAAGCCCATTGTACCCTGAGCTGGGAGGGGAAGGATGTAGCTGGAGGCCAGGGTAGGGAGGGAGCAGCAGAAGGGGTAGGAGGAGAGAAGGGGGTTCTGTCCAGGAGACCCTCTATCTGATTCCGTTTAACATACAATTCAAAAGTTTGCCTTTCATATTATTTTTTCTTGATGGGGGAGTGGAACAAATGGTCGGTTGCCTTTGACAGGACTCCAATAAAGGATTCAGCAGCTCTCCGCTCTGCCCTGGGTGCTCCTGCTTCTAGTAGGTTTAAGGTCACGGGTGGCTGAGTTAATAATTCATTAATATAGACATTTATTCAGAAGGGTTCGCTGAGATCCACTCTTCCTGCCTCCTCCCAGAGATTTGTTTTCCTAGGAAATGGATGGGGGTGGGGGGTGGGCTGCAGGTGAAAGGAGGGGGGCGGGAGGAGAAGGAAAGGCTGGATGTAGCTAGGAGGAATCTTTGCTGAGCCGTATTAGCAGACAGGTCCCTTGAGCCTGCCAGCAAAAACTTGGTTGAAAATGTGGTATCTAAACAGCACAGAGACTCTGGCCTGCGGTGGCCCTTTTTCCTTCCATACCTGTTCATTCGCTTGTTTAGAAAGCTCCTTTCCTCCATGGTTTGGGACCAGGGAGGAGCCTTCTCACTGAGGATCTTGGATTGCAGGCAAAAGGGAAAGCTGTGAGAAAAAAACAGGACCCCACCCCCATCCCTATGAGGTTCCCAAGGGAGGAGCTTTGAAACTTGCCCAGACTTGGAATCTAAGGGAACCTCCTCTCCTGAGGGCACAGGCAACTTTTGGAGGACACTCCACCCCTCAGAAATGGGATCATGGAGAAGGGGGTTGGAGGCGGAGACTGAAAGTAAATAGTAAGTAATAAATCAGTAATGGTTAGATGGGAATAAGTGCTATGGAAAGCAATAAAGGATAGAGGGAAAGGGAGTGCATGTAGGTGGAAGGAGTTACTGTTTTACATATAGTGGCCAGGGAAAGCTTCTGTTAGAAAGTGAAATTTAAATAGAGACTTGAAGCAAGAAGATGCCAGTTTTCTGTCCAGAGCGGGATATTCCCTGCCCTAACCTATAGCCAGTGGCTAAAGCAGTAAAAGGGGCCTCTCCTGAAGAACTGTCAAGGATTTGCCTCCTCGCTACTGGCCACACTTGCTTCCCTTAAGCTGCTGTGTACTACTCGATATTCTTTCAGTACCTCCATTGACTGTTCTCATCAATTGGAGTCGCCTAACTTGCTGGTAACTTAGACCCTGACACGGTGACCGACCTCCAACTATCTGGACCTCAATTTCTTCAACAGTCCAAAGAAGAGGCAGGACAAATGCAGTGTTCTGTCCTAAGCTTTTATGAAGCAGCTACCGAATTCTGACCTCCCCACCCTATTACATATTTTATACCCTACTCCTGCATGCTGTGAGTCTAAGATGAGCAGGGTGTAAAATGTATTGCCCAACTAAAAACTAGAAAACCCTCACCATTAATTTTAATCACTGCAGTCTGCCCGTTGATCCCTTTGCATCTTCACTTGTTCATCCTTACTTAGTGACAGAAGACAGCGCCAGCCACCATTGGAAAGAAAGGGTGCGAGGAGTGAGGCAGAGGAGATAGAAGGCAGTGAAATGCTTAGCACACAGAAGCCAGCTCTGGCCTCAGGTGATGCAGCAGGTGCCTCGCCATTCATCTGACATACCCTCCTCTTCTGAGGCCTTGGCAATTTAGACATGTCCTTCCCTCAGCTTTCCTCCTCTCACAAAAGTACTTGGAAGTTCAGCTCCTCACTTTGCCAGGTCAAAAATGGCCTCTGGGTCCGGGAGACCAAGCCCAGGAGATTTGTGACCACTCTCTTTCATCCTCCGCCAGGACCCTGGCAGACAGCACCTATTCACGTTACTTGAAATGCAGCCGAAGCCTCCAGTTCCTTTCACCCTGGTCACCCAACAGCTGCCAGTCAAATGATGCCTCTCAGCCACCTCAGGCCTGATTTGGATTTGACCTACTGACCTTGAGGTGAAAGGCTCTGCAGTCCATTATGAATCCCTGGGGCCAGTTCATTCTCCCAGGAAAGCCTCTAAATATATCCTTTCCGTTTGCAGGGAAATCAGCTATTATAATTTGCAAAGGTCTCGTGAGTTTAAAACATATTGGTGGCAGTTCAGTCCCATAAAGATTTAATGAATAGCAACTGGGTGAAAAACAACTCCTTTTTTTTTTTTTTTTGTCTTGACAAGTCAAGGAAAAGAGAAATGATTAGACAAGAATAGCTATCCCTTCAGAAACTCACAAATTCCCTTCACTATCTCCTTCCCATCCCACCCTTTCCCCAGGAATTTAATCTTATATTTTTCCAAGTATCTGTAAGAATAGACAAACCCAATTATAGTTACCTACAATTTAACAGCTGTACAGAATATCTAATGAACACATACTGTGTGCACGAGACTATTGGTAGGGATCTCTGGGACAATCTTCTTTGAAGCTCTTCTAGCAAATGCTACCTGGTTCAGACACAGTCTTCTGTTGGTCACCAGATTGTTGCTTAAATTAGTTGAAGCTTATAGGACTTCAGTCATAACCAGGATGAGGTAAGCATGTTACAGTACATCTGTTCGAATTAGAAACATATGCTATGGTTGATTCACCTTCTGAGGGTTGGCAGTTCCTAGTGCATGGTAGGTTCCCCTGAGTGCCCAGCAACAGTCTCTAGGAGCAGCTTCCAGCTACCCTCTAAATGAGGGGGTTCCTGAGACTTCCCCCCTCCCAGGGCGGGTTGAGGAAAGAGAATGCATATTCTCACAGCGGCTCTTACATATACCTAGAGGAACCTGAGGAAGCCTGTCTGCCTCCCTCATCATACACTTTCCTGTCTGGCTGCATGCCTTTACCCTCCTCTGAGCTGGGGTGTCAGAGGGTGACACTAAGGCTTGTTTTTATTGGATTGTTTCCGGTGAGTCTATGTTCTCTATGTAAAAGCCTCTCAAAGAAAAAAATAACCTATTCTCCGTTTCCTTTTGAAACTGGAAAACTTGTCTTTAAACCAAAATAAAGACACTGTGCAGGTCACTGTGAGGAAAACCAAAAGTGTGTAAATTGTGGTACCCCTGCCTTCCATAATCTTCTACTGTGGAAATCTTTCAGAGACCTAGTTTCTCTCTCTAATGCTCGGGTTCAAGAGCTGACAAGTGGCATAAGAGTTCAGAAGAGAAAGCCATCCCTTTAGGAGACAATCAAGCAAAGCTTCACAAACGAGATGGGCCATAAAGATTGTGTGCATTCAGGTGGGTAGGGAGGAACTGAGGAAAAGTGTTCCAGGACGGGGGCTGCCTGAGCAAAAACCCGAAGACTGGTCCCTACACAGTCTGAGAGGCCCAGGTGACTTTTCTTCCTCCATTCACGAGAAAAACTGGATGGCTGGCTGCCCTCCTTAAGAACCAGGACCTCATCTCCCTGGGGGTCCTGAAGTCACATTCCATAGATTCTGAAAGATGCTTTTATGAGAATGTTGTGACCTAAAATATGCTCAGGCTTAAGTCTGAGAATCAACTCACAATTAGGGAAACTGAAAAACAGTTCAGGGCTCCAGGATAAAGCCATCAGTACAGCACATATTCTCCTGGACTGTGATTTGGTGAGCTTGGCAATGCCATTTCCTAGCTCTGGATGGCACACACTATGATTTTCTGAGCTGCTCTTTTTAAACTATAAAGAACTACAACAAAAAAAAGGAATGAAATGCAGTTTAAAAGACTAGTGATCCAGATACATCTGAGGTAAAGACCATGTAGGAAAATGTTTTAGAATAAACAAATACACTTCCCAAAGATCCTTACAGATTAACCGTAGTTATATAGCTAGACTGCATCAGCCCTGCTTCTTTTTAACATGCCTCTCTCGCAGACTTTGGGGACAAATGACCACGGTCTACTAACCTCACATACACACAGATGCACATGCATACACAGTCCCTCACAGACTTACACCAACTTGGTCTTCTTTCTGTAAGGGAGAAGGGAGTGGAGGGGCTCCTACTCTGTATTCTGGAATGAAACAACAGAGACAAAGAGTGCCAATCTGTAAGGTTAATCTGTAAGGAAAGGATCTTTGGGAAGACTCCAAGTTATATAGTTAACCTCCCTTCAAAAAAGAAGAAGAAGAAGAAGAAGAAATTGCAAAAAAGCAACTTAGGATTCCTGACTCTCAAAGAAAAAAAACTATTTTTGCATTGATAAGACTGCCAGATTCTTAAATAGAATGTTTTAAAAGATGAATAATCATAAAATACATCCTTAGTCTATTTTTATAGTACAATAATTGACAAGTGATACTGGAACATTGATTGGAAAATTACCATCTTGACAATTCAGTGGTTAACAACTTGATTTTTAAACTATTGCTAAGTTTGACCATATTTTGGGCATTTCCTTCTGCTCTGTCTACAATGGCAAGCATTTTTCATTGAAACATATGTTTGGGTGGACAAGTGTTTTATTTGGCAGAAACCTAATAGTTTAAGTATAGATTTTTAAATCAACTGTTTGCTCCGTAAGCTAATGTTTTCAAACAGAAGCATTTTTCACAATTGTTTCCTCAAAACAAATGTTTGTCTTGGAGCCAGTAGAGAAGGTCAAACATTCCAGTAACCTCCTCGCTTAGGACTGTCACTACTATTCTGTCACCTTCAAGATCTTCTGTTGGTCTCATTCTCTTACAGATTTCCATGAGTTGCTTTACAGGGCTAGTCCCCCAAAAAATGATTTTTTAAGATGAGTGCAAGCATTTCTTAAATGACTTTTTTCTTGGTAAAAATGAATTGGAAGTACATTCACATTTAGCAATGTTGCATTTCATTTGTGTAGATGCCATTTTACTTGTGACATGATTATTGGCACTCTTTGTCTTTTCATTGCCAGATACAGAATGGGTGGTATGAGTCCTCCGCTCCCTTCTCCTTGATGAAAAAGGAGAGGATCAAGTTGGTGTGAGTCTGTGAGTGACTGTGTGTGTGTGTGTGTGCGCGCGCGTGCGTGAAGACAGAGGACCACTGTGATTTATCCCCAGAGTTTGAGAAGGGTGTTAAAAAGAAGCAGGGCTGATCTAGTTCAGCTATATTACTGAGGACTCGTTCAACTGCAGGTGGCAGAAATTAAATTGAACTGATCTCGACTGGGAAAAAAAGGATTTGATGGCTCAAATATTAAAAAAAAAAACAGGTTATGGGTTTTGGGTATAGATGCATTCAGAGGTTCAAACAACATCATGAAGTCTCAGTCTCTTAGTCTCTTCATTCTGCCTTCCTCTGTTCTGAATTTAATGTCAGGCAGAATCTTTCATGTGGTTGCCTCCACCTTATTCTTCTAGAATAAGATAGCAATCCCAGAAGAAAAACTTCCAACAGAAATTCTGGAATTGAGTCTTAGACTGATATGGTCACCCTATTATCCCTGAACTAGCCATTACAGCCAAGGAAATAGAGTACATTGACTGGCCAGGTCTGGACCTGAGCCCTAACCAAGCCACACAGATTGAAACAGCCTTCAGGACATGGCACAAGGAGGAGGAAACCAGGTGGAGACCAGCAACTTCTTGAGTCTAGGAGATGGAGCCAAGATTCTGGGGAGGCCAAGGTGGCTAGAGTGCAGAACAGAGGACTCAAGAGGATAGTCCAGATAGTCGCAGAGTCCTGGAGAGTGTTCAGCAGCATGCTGATCAGGTATGTGGATGAGTCACCCATTTCTCCTCTCCTGAGGAAATAAATGATTCTAGTACCTTAAATATCCTTCCAGAGATATTCTGTACATATATAGTTATACCTTTTCCTCAAATGTTGTATGATACACTGCTCTGCATCTTAGTTGTTTCCATTTAAAAATATAGCTTAGAGATTGTTATATACTTGTAAATAAAGATGATTTTCAATTTGTTTTTATAATGTTATGCTCCAATTAATTTAAGCAGTTGTCTACTTTGTTTCTCTGCCATCTGTATTTTAATAAGCAGTTCTTCATTGATAGCCATTTAGATTGTTTCAAATCTCTTACTATTACACATAATTTTGCAATTTGGCACATATATCCTTTTGCATTTCCTGATGAATATTCAATGGTGTGCTAAGATGGGTTTGTGACAGCCATTTGTGAAAAGTTCAGGAATTCTGATATCAGTTGATGTTAGGACAGTAGCTTGAAATTGGTGTGGTGGAACTACTTACACCACTAAAATTGGCAAAGTCTACAAATAAAAGGCTTCCATTACCCTTTTTTGTGGGGCGAATTGATTGTTAAGTATTTACAGTTCCCACTGAATACCTTCCCAGTAGTAGAATTGCTGGGTCAAAGGGTATGTGAATGTGCAATGTTTTTATATAATATATATATATATATCTCCAAATTGCCCCTCATTTATTTTATTTAGTTACATAAAAAGCTTTGAATAATCTGCATTGCAAAAGCCATAACAAATTTAAATAGAAAACAAAATTCTGGAGAAAAAAATTATAGGCAAAAACTTTTATAAAGTTTTTCCTGAATCCTCACCAGCACAGTGTTATCAAAATTGTTGATTTGTGCTAATCTGATGGTTGAAATTGGTTTCTCTGTGAGGTTGTAATACTTATGTCACTTATTATTGGAAATTAGCAACTTTTTATATGTTGAGTTTTCTTTTTATTAAAAAACTCAATTTATATCCTTTGCCTATTTTTCCCTTTAGATTGTGTGTGGTTTTGTTTTTTGTTTTTGTTTTGTAAAAGCTCCTTTTATGTTAAGACAGTTAGCCTTCTTTGGGTTCTGGGTTATGAGTAGCCCATTTTTTTTCTCTCCAGAATTTTGTTTGCTATTTAAATTTGTTGTAACTACCTTTATCAATATTTTCTCTCATGCTTTTTAAAAATAACAGCTTTATTGAAATATAAGTTACATATTATAAAATTTTCCTTTTAACTGTGTGCAATTCAATGATTTGTAGTATATTTGCAGAGTAATGCAACAATTAGCACTATCCAGTTACAGAAGATTTTCATCACCTCAAAAAGAAACCCATTCTTTTTGATACAGGTTTCTCATTGTGATTTTTATTTGTATTTCTCTGATAGCTAATTATGTTAAGCATCTTTTTGTGTGTCCTTTTTTCTTTTTCTTTTCTTTTGTTTTTGTTTTTGTTTTTGAGACAGGGTTTTGCTCTGTCACCCAGGCTGGAGTGCAGTGGCATGAACACAGCTCACTGCAGCCTTGACCTCCTGGGCTCAAGTGATCCTCCTGCCTCAGCCTCCCCAGTAGCTAGGACCACGGGTGCACATCACCACATCTGGCTAATTTTTAAAATTTTTTGTCAGTAGGGACAGGGTCTCCCTGTGTTGCCTAGGCTGATCTTGAACACCTGGGCTGAAGGGACCCTCCCGCCTTGACCTCCTTGTAATGCTGGGATTACAGGTGTGGGTCAGCATGCCTGGCCCTTTTTGTGTCTCATGGGCACTTGTAAATTTTCTTTGGAGAAATGTCTATTTAATTCCTTTCCCCATGTTTAAATTAGGTTATTTGTGTTTTTGTTGTTCTAAGAATTCTTTGTGTATTCTGGATATGTTTCCTCTCAGATATATAATGTGCAAATATTTTCTCCCAAACTGTGCGTTGTCTTTTCATTTCCTTGATGGTGTTCTTTGAAGCACAAAAGTTTTAAGTTTTCATGCAGTCCAGTTTACCTATTTTTTCTTTCCCCACTGGTCTTTTAGGGTCATATTATGACTAAGGTCATTAAGATTTACTCCTGTATTTTATTCTAAGAGTTTTATAGCTTTAACTCTTATAGTAAGGTCTATGATGCAGTTTGAGTTAATTTTTGTAGATAATATGAGGTTGGGGGTCCAACTTCACCCTTTTGCATATTCAGTTGTCATGGTACCATTTCTTGAGATGACTATTATTTCACCATTAAGTAGTTTTGGTATCCTTTTGAAAAACCAATTAACTATAAATGTAAGGGCTTATTTCTGCACTCTCAATTTTATTCCACTGACATATATCTCTTCTTGTACTAGCGCCACACCGCCTTGATTATTGCAACTGTGTAGTTAGTTTTGAAATCATGAAGTGGGAGTTCTCCAGTTTTGCTCTTCTTTTTCAATATTTTTTTCTTTGCTATTCTGAACTTCTTTACTTTCCATATGAGTTTTAGGAACAGCTTGTCAAATTCTGCAAAAAAAGCTAGCTGAGATTTTTATAGGGATGTGTTGAATCTGTAGATCGATTCAAGGAGTATTATATTCTTAGCAATATTAAGTCATCTGATGCATTAACATGAGATGTGTTTTCATTTATTTGTCTTCTTTAATTTCTTTTGACAATGTTTTGTAGTTTTCAGTTACGAGTCTTGCATTTTTTGTTAAATTTATTCCTAAGTATTGTATTATTTTGATACTATTATATATGAAGTTGTTTTCTTAATTTCATTTTTGCATTGTTCACTGTTGTATATGTAAATACAATTGATTTTTGTGTGTTGACCTTGTATCCTGCAACCTTGCTGAACTTTATCATTTAAAATTTGTTATTTTGTGGATTCATTAGCATTTTCCATAAAAGATCATGTCATTTGTGAATAAAAGTAATTTTACTTTTTGTTTGCTGATCTGGATGTCTTTTGTTTCTTTTTATTGCCTAATTTCCCTGGCTAGAGCCAGTACAATATTGAAGAGAAGTAGCAAGAGGAGACAATCTTGTCCTTCTTCTTAACCTTAGGGAAAAACGCAATCAGTCTTCTACACGGTTAGCTGTGAATTTTTCAAACATAGCTTTTATCAGTTTGATGCAGTTTTGTTTTTTCCCAGTTATTTTATTTTATTTTGTTTACCATGAAAGGATGTTGGATTTCGTCAAATGTATATTCTGGTCTATTGGAATGATCATGTGATTTTGTCCTTTATTCTGTAATACATTGTGTTGTGTTGCTCAAGTCTCAAATGTTAAGCCACCCTTGCATTCCCAGGATAAATCCATTTGGTCTTGATGAACAGCCCGGAATTATTTATCAAATAATTCATCCTGAATTTGGTTTGAAGTATTTTGAGAAATTTTTTCATCTATACTCTTGAGGGATGTTAATTTGTAATTTTCTTGAGACATCTGTCAAGTTTTACTATCAGTAGAAGTATAGTGGTTAAGAGGATGAACTCTGGAGTCTGAATGACTGGGTTTGAATCCAAGTTGTACAACTTATTAGATGTATAAAATTCTCCCTCCTACAGTTTGGATGTTTGTCCTCAAAAACCTTGTGTTGAAATCTGATCCCCAGTGTTGGAGGTAGGGCCTAATAGGAGGTGTTTGGGTCATGGAGGTAGACTGCTCATGGATAGATTAATGCCCTCTCTGGAGGGCAGGTGTTCCTGAGAGAGCTGGTTGTTAAAAAGGGCCTGGCATCTCCCTCCCACCCCTTTGCCTCCTCTCTAGCCATGTGATCTCTACACAGCCAGCTCCCCTTCACCTTCTGCCCTGAGTGGAAACAGCTTGAGGCCTCTACCAATAGCTGAGCAAATGTTGCCATCATGCTTCTTGTACAGCCTGCAGAGAACTGAGAGCCAAATAAACCTATTTTCTTCGTAAATTGCCCAGCCTCAGTATTCCCTTATTGCAACACAAAATGTATTAAGACATTCTGGGCCTTTTTCTCATTTTTAAAAATTGTGAATACTAGTACCTATCTGATAAGGTTATTGTGAGGATTATATGAATAACATAATGTGCTTATGAGAGTGCCCAGCATATAGTACTATGTAAGTGTTATTATTGCATTATTATATCTGTTGTAGTTTGTTCTTTTCTAAAATCATCTATGGGAATTTGGACATGTAAGTGGTGCTAAATATTTAAGGATTATGTAATATGTTAAATATGTGAGTTATGTGAACCTTAGTCAAAGAACAAGAAAAAGTGATTGTCGTCAACTTTATATGAAATTACTGAAGTTGTGCATTAAATCCTCCCTCTTGCCCTGAGCTATGTGAGCCAATACATTCCCCTTTTTAAATAAGCCACTGCACAAAAGGATATCTCTTACTGGCAATTCCTGTTTGATTCAAATTTACACATGCAAACCTATGTCAGAAAGTTGGCCGGGCACAGTGGCTCACACCTGTAATTAATCCCAGCACTCTGGGAGGCCAAGATGGGTAGGTCACTTAAGGCCAGAAGCTGAAGACCAGCCTGCTCAATATGGCAAAACCCTGTCTCTACTAAAAACAAACAAACAAAGAAAGAAACAAAAACAGCCGAATGTGGTGGTACACACCTGTAATCCCAGCTACTTGGGAGACTGAGGCACGAGAATCCCTTGAACCCGGAAGGTGGAGGTTGCAGTGAGCCAAGGTGGTGCCACTGCACTGCAGCCTGGGCAACAGGATGAGACTCTGTCTCAAAAAAAAAAGAAAAAAGAAAAAGAAAGCCCTTTAACTTTTCACATAGGGTTAGAAAAATCACATTATCCTCCCTTTTGATCCATTTCCCCTTCCTCTTCTCACTACTTACTAGGGGGCTGCCTGTGTCAAAGCTCCCCTCCCTACTGTACTTCCAGGAACACCATCTGATTATTTGGGTAATGGTGGAACCCCTGAGCTACTGTAAGCTCTTTGCAACAGCATCACATTTGTACTCAAGACATGTGCTAAAGGTTCTCAAAACCTATATCAAATAAAGTCAAAACACGTTGTTTCTCTCATTCAAATTCCTTCACTATCTGGCCCTCATCTAATTTGACATTTATCCCTTATTACTCCAAATATGGTACCTTTCCTCTTGCCAGAATAATCTCCTCACTCTCTTCTATAAACGGTATTATCATGTATGACTTTCTGCCTCTGCTTATTCTGTGTTTTTTTTGTTTCAAGGTCCCTCCTCTCTGTTCCATTCCTGCTAAAAGCCCCTATCTTTCAGAATCCTGCTCAAGTCCCATTTTCTCCTGGTAACCTCCTCTGCTTATGTTCACCTTCCTGGGAATTCCCATAGTTCATACTATCTGGGTCACTTTTTTGGCACTGACATTCTGAACTGTCGTGTATTATACTAAACTCTAAAATATGTGCTAGGTTTGTCTCTTAAATAAAACCATAAAGGGCCAGGTGCAGTGGTTCACACCTGTAATCCCAGCACTTTGGGAGGCTGAGGTGGGCAAATCACTTGAGGTCAGGAGTTTGAGACCAGCCTGGCCAACATGGCAAAACCCCGTCTCTACTAAAAATACAAAAATTAGCTGGGCATGGTGGTGCACGCCTGTAATACTAGCTACTTGGGAGGCTGAGGCTGAGGCTACACGGGAGGTGGAGGTTGCAGTGAGCCAAGATGGTGCCACTGCACTCCAGCCTGGGCAACACAGCGAGACTCTGTCTCAAAAACAAAAACAAAAGCCCATAAAGTTCTGGAGAACAGGGATACAGGAATTGTGACTTACCCTTATTTTCATATACCCCTCATACACCACTCAGTTCCTGACATGCCACTAGGCACATGGAGGCTCTCATCAAATACTTGTTAAATCATCAATAAATGAATGATTGAGTGCATTAGTGAATGAATGAATGAACAAGGGTACACATAAATAAATGAACAAATGAATGAATGCATTTACCCCAAATTCCTACCACATGGAGGTTTGTCACAGACAAAACCCAGAGAGTCAAAGCCAACAGGAGGCTTGTAGTTCAGAGACTATGACAGGGCTAGAGGGTGGAGCTGGCAACCTAGAGAGTTTGAGTCCACCTGCCCTCTGTGTTTTAAGAGAGTGCATTCTTGCACCCTGCCTATGTATACAGGGCTCACTGTCTTTCCTGATGCCAGTCATAAATAGCTACACATTGAATTATTTCTGCATTAGTGTCTGTTTATACTCCTAAGTCCTTTCTGAAGCTAAGGGTTTCTGCCCGTGAGACCCCCATGGAGCCCTCACACAGCTCTTTGGAGTCATTGAACTATACGTTCATAAACAGTTCTTCCAATGAAGGAAGGAAAATTAAGAGATTCTTCCTCTCAGATGGAATGAACTGATAAAATTACTACATTACCATTATCTCTTGCAAGTCTTCCCTATGGTCTAATAATTTCCATTCAGACTTTGTAAGCACAAGCCAGAAGTGTGTGGTCCATTTTCTCTTTAATAAGAAATGCCAGCACACGTCTGTGGACTCGCAGAATGCACTCATATCTCACACAGGAGCAACGCCAGGACATTCTAAATGAGCTCCATGGTGTGTAATCATGGGGCCAAGAAATGAAAGTATAAAACATTATGTGATCTGATCGACACAAACGAAAGAAATGGGAACTTGGCTGGTCCTAGCAAAGCCCCAGATAACCTGAGAGAATAATCAAATTAATTTTGAACTACATGGCTTTCATGAATTCTACATGGAATACAGAGTTTGGAAATAACGTAAGCTACATCAGCTCCTGGAAGAATGGAGGAAACTTTTATTTATTTAATACACTCAATTTCCAGATTTCTGAGTCAAACATGAACAAATATACACACTCAGAAGGGAAAGCTTCACCACTGGATGTTATGGGATTGGAGTGGAGTGGGGAATATGGTAGACCAGGGCAGATGGAAGTTTAATGAAGAAAGAAATGAGTGGTGACAAAAATCAAAGAACTCCTCTCACTTATCCAAAGGAACAGAATGCCAGGGGCTGGGAAACTTCAGTGTGCCTACCATTCCCATGGCCTCCCTTGTGAGGAGTTTGTTACCAGCAGGTGTAACATATAAGTGTATCATTTAAAACCAGTACACTGGCCACAGCTAAGTTGACCAAGAATGGGAGGTTAACCCAATCACAACTATCTACACATGACTAGGTGACCTTGTCTAAGATCTCTGCCTAGAGGCAAACTCTGTGCTGGCGGGGATTGACTGACCAATCAGATTTTTTCTCTTGGGTAATGTGATTTGGGGATAGAGTCTCTGGGTCCATAAGAGCAGGTTCTTTGGAAGAAGAAAGCAAGAAGTTGACGCACCTCATAGTAGCACAGTAGAAAAGTGAGGCATAGAAAGATGCCAGCTCTTGAAGAAACAATAAGGTGTCCCATTCTCTAGAGTTGTTTCTTAAAAGACATTTTAGCCTCGGTGGGGCAGGGCTGTTTAAGGCATCCTAAATGAGTGTCCTTCTTTTCCATCTGAAGTACCAACAAACATGCTACATAACTGTTCCCCATCTAGGGTCTTTGAGACGGATAGAGGCTATTCAAGCATCTATGAGCTTGACAGAAAGAAAGTCTTTAATGGTCCTTCTGACATTTTCTTGTTTTTATTTTAGCCTCAGATTTAAAAAAAAATGAGCTGAAATTCTTCATCCTCACCTCTTTGTCTGTATTGAAATGCAATACATATTATATAATATTCAGGGTAGACCTCTACCATCAAAATTAAATTAATGGTGGGCAAAATGAGAGATTTGAGAAAGGAGAATGTGTGTCTTTAGAATTCCATATGGTAGCCTAGAGAGAAGAGGGAAGCATTCTAAAGTAGGTTAGCACATCCAATTACCTAGCAAAGTTAAGAGGGAGTTTTCTATAAACAATTCCCCTGAAAAACTAGGATTAGAAATGCTTAAAGCTTGCTTGCTCAAAAATGATAACGATCCAATATTTGTGATTCCAAAGTTCTAAGTATTGAAAGCTCAGATTGAGGCATGCTGGTTTTAATGATCCATATTTTATCCTAGACTTGGGTCATGAATTACTCACAATTTCTCTTCGTAGAGCACACTTATACTCTTCATGGATCAAGAGCTTCATTAGACTATTTTCTTACTATAAAAACTAGCACAGTTTCACCAGATAGCAGGGCAGTGTGTTGATCCTGCATGGAATCTGAGCTGTAATCTCATCTGACATGTGTTAAGGCATTTCCATCCATGTTTAGGAGGTGCTTCTATAGCTGAATATGTACATGGAATCTAGAAGCTTCGAATCACATTTAATGTGAAGTTCACACTCTCTTTGTTATAAGGTCCACAGAGTAGCCACAGCTTTAGATAGAAGGATGAGCCACATGCTAACATATTAGAACAGGTACCAGCAGAGGTTACCAAGGCAATATTAGGAAAAAATATGTAATTCCATGTGGCAATCTAGAGAGAAAAAGGAAACATTCTAAAGTAGATTAGCACATCCAATTAGTAAAGGAGGTGAAATTTGTCTCTTTCTCACATATGGTGTTCCCTCATTCAACAAACATGTGGTTGAGTACCATCTCTGTGCCTGGCACTCTGAGATACAGGGTCACCAAGATGAATAGGAGCAGCACTTGCTCAAAGGTGTGCACAGTCTAGTGACTATCAAGGGTAGACTGCACAACAGTATCTGGACGGGTCCTTCACCAAGTCAGGAAAATTAAGTAATGTACAAGGTATCTGGCTCATGCTAGATGTGGGGTTTCCCCCCTAGTTTTATTGAGGTATAATTGACAAATAAAACTTGTATATATTTAAGGTGTACAATGTGATGATCAGATATATGTATACCTCGTCAAGTGATTACCACCATCAAGCTAATTAACACTTTCATTGTCTCACAAGTAACCTTTCTTGTGTGTGGTGAAAACAAAACATGGCTTTTTTAAATGACAAGAATATATTGCATTTTAGAAAATGTAAAATTTTTTAAAGTTAGGGAAAAGGAAAGAGAAGACTTCACAGTTTAGGATCTGGCAAAAACAAGGTGAGAGCAAAATGCATAAAGACATATTAATCTTCCAAATTCCTTAACATCCCACTTTGCCCTAGACAATTCCAGTTTCAGCTATTATACCAAGGTAATTATTAATTAATCAATAATTATTAATTTTTAGAGACAGGGTCTCATTCTGTCGCCCAGGCTAGAATACAGTGGCATGACCATAGCGCACCATAACCTCATAACGTGGGCTCAAGCCATCCTCCCACCTCAGCCTCCCCGGTAGCTAGGAAGGACAACAAGCATATGTCACCACATCTGGCTAAGTATTTTTATTTTTTTTATATTTTAGAGATGCAGTCTTGCTATGGTGCCCAGGCTGGAGTGAAATGGTTATTCACAGGCACAATCCCACTACTGATCAGCGCGGGAGTTTTGGCCTGTTCTGTTTCCCAACTGGGCTGCTTCTCCCCTCCTTAGACAACTTGGGAGCCCCCTGCTCCTTGGAGGTCACCATATTGTTGCCGAACTTAGTGTGGATACCCGATCAACAAAGTGCACTATAGCCCAGAACTCCTGGACTCAAGCGATCCTCCCACCTCAGCCTCCCGAGTAGCTGGGACTACAGGCACACACTACCACACCCGGTGAGTTTTTTTGTTTTCTTTTGTTTCTTTCTTGTAGAGACAAGAGTCTTGCTATGTTGCTCAGGCTGGTCTCAAACTTCTGGCCTCAAGCTATCCTATCCTCTCACCTCAGCCTCCCAAGTGCTAGGATTACAGAGGTGAGCCACTGTACTCAGCCGCAATGTAATTACTAACTGCTCTCCTTTCACTCACAAAAACTGTGCCAACTTGACCGTGAATTATATGGTCGCCCAAGTTTGAAGGAATTCTCATGGGCACAACAGAGAAAAAGTTTATGTTTCACACAGGAGCCTAAGCTAGAGGAAGTAGAAAACATCATAGTTGTAGCTCAGCCATTCTCCCTAGAGAACTGCATTTTGTTTGTGTTATTTGCATTTGTTGTGTATCTTTAACATACATGCATGTTGTTAGTCTGCATTACAATTCTCTACAGTGTAGAAGAAAAATTTAATTGGTATTAATACTATATAGTACAATACCCACAAAATACTCACTGATGTATTTAATAATTAGATGATGGGTGTTCTGAATACTTTAATATGATGTGGAAATCCTTGGTGGATTGTTACATAGATGTTTAAGATGTTTGGTGGTGGCTGGGCACGATAGCTCATGCCTGCAATCCCAGCACTTTGGGAGGCTGAGGCGGGCGGATCATTTGAGGTCAGGAGTTAAGACCAGCCTGACAAACATGGTGAAACCCCGTCTCTACTAAAATACAAAAAAATTAGCCAGGCATGGTGGTGAGCACCTGTAATCCCAGCTACTCGGGAGGCTGAGACAGGAGAATCACTTGAACCCAGGAGGCGGAGGCTGCAGTGAGCCAAGATGATGCCACTGCACTCCAGCCTGGGCAACAGAGTGAGACTCCATCAAAAAAAAAAAAAAAAGAAAAAAGAGACGTTTGGTGATAATTGGACCAAATTGATTGCAATTTATTTTTGAATAAGCCCATTTCAATAATGCTCTATCTGGCACATTTTCAGGAATAAATTAAATTGATAATGGGGATATTACCTCATTGGGTTGTGAAGATGAACTAGAACAAGCATGTATAAAGCATGTGGCCCACAGTGGATGCCCTCCCCTGAAGCAGAAGTGAAAACATTGGTGTGTAGAGAGTAGGAATTTCAGCCCCCAAGCCCAGTGTGCAAGAACGATTACTTCCTTTATGGGTCCTATGGGCTAAAATTAAGGTGTCAGTAGAGCTGGTTCCTTCTGGAAGCTCTAGAGGAGAATGCGTTTAACTTGCTTTTCCCACCCTCTAGAGGCCACCTGCACTCCTTGGCTGGAACCCCTCAAGCCAGCAGGGCAGCATCATCACGACTCCTTCACTGATTCTGCTCTCCAGCCTCCCTCCTATAAGGGGCGTTGGAATCACATCAGGTCCATCTGGGTATTCCAGGATACTTCCCCACCTCAAGATCTTTCACGTAATCACATCTGTAAAGTCTCTTTTTGCCACATAAGGTAACACAGTTCTGAGAATTAGAACGTGAACGTTTTGGGGGGACCATTTGTCCTTGCACCTCCCACACACCCGTTTACTCCCTGGGGCCTCACTGCATCCAGGATCTACTGGAAAGCATGGTGAAGGCCCCTTTTGGACCTCCACTTCTGTCTGCATTCACACCCATGTACCTCCTTAATTCTACCCCACCGTGACCCAGGAAAATCTTTTTCACGTTTAGAGGAAAGCTCCTCCCTCTCCCAAACATTCTGTTCAAACCCAGAATCTATTGTGTCCCTAAAGATATAGGCATTTAGAGCACAAAACAAGTAACTTACCATCTGCTTTTGCTTTTTGGCCAGTTTGCTGTCTTCTCCTGAGATTATGGATGACTGCCAACTATCTGATTGAAAGGAAGGAGGCAAAGAGGGGAAATATGGGAAGAGAAAAGTCTGTAAATTACCATCTCAAAGTATTGTCCAGTCACATTTGCAAAAGAACATCCAACCTTCTGAGGGCCAAACATAAAGGATGTCAGGGAGGGTCCCAGAGGAAATCTCTTCCTTCCTCTGGTGTCTTCTCATCCTTATTTCCACTGTAGCCACCCCCTCACTTGGCTCTGGGAGCATCCTGCCTCCCCACTACCAAATATTGCCCAGAACCCTTTTCTGTATTCTCCCTAGCATACCTGAGACAGACTGGTGTTTTCACAAAGAGCAGTACTCAGTGCCAAGACAGACAAAAAGGAAATTGTTACTCAAAATACAAACACCATAAAAATTATTAAGACTTCCTTAGAGAATTGTCTGGCCCAAGATCATACTCTCTGGCCAAGGAGGCTGTTCCAGCTAGTAGTGTGTCTGGCTTTCTCCCTTACTCTCACTCCCACTGACACCTGCATCTTACCTTTTACTCCAAAGCAGGTGCCACGTTATTCTCTGACACAGGGCAGCACATCAGTCAACTACTCTTCCTCCTGGCCCAAGTTAAATAGCGCCCACATTCTCACACCTGCCATTGTCCCTGCCGTTCAGCCTGGCTTGTCATCTGAGCGACTTCCCCAGCCTAAGGACAGCACCACCATGATGGACAAATGGATAATCTCACCCTTTGCATCTTAGGTTATCCATTCCGCCCATGGAACTCACCTCCTGTGGTAATTTCTATATCTACTCATAGATAAAGATAACTCCACACCACACCACACACGCGCGCGTGCGCGCGCGCGCGCGCACACACACACACACACACACACAGAGCTCTACAATATCAAAGAATCTCAAGAATGTGATAACTACATTTTTCTTGCATAACTATACAGTTATGGAGCAAGAAGGTAAATTTTCCAAAGGCACACTGTGGAATTTTAGGAGGAGAAAATATAATTTCTTTAAAAAAAAAAAAAAAAGAAATACAGCAACCCAATAAAAAATGAGCAAAGGGCTTAAATAGACATTTTCCCTAAAGAAGATACACACATGGCCAACAAGCACATGAGAAGATAATCAACATTAGTCAACAGGGAAATGCAAATCAAAACTACAATGCAATGAGATAGAACTTCACAAGCACTAGGATGGCTATAATTTTTTAAACACACAAAATGCAAAGTAACAAGTTGGTGAGCCTTAGAGAAATTGGAACCCTCATCCATTTCTGGTGGGAATGTAAAATGGTGTAGCTACTATGGAATATAGGCTGGTGGTCCCTCAAAAAGTTAAAGATAGAATTACCAAATGACTCAGAAACTCTACCCCAGGACTCTACCCAGAAGAACAAAAAACAGGCACTCAAATACTTGTATATAGCAGCACTGTTGACAATAACCAAAAACTAGAAACAATCCAGATGTTCATCACTGGACAAAGAAAGTGTGATATGTACACATGTATAAAATAGAATATTACTCACTCATAAAAAGAAATGAAGTACTGATACATGCTACCGTGTAGATGAGCCTTGAAAACCTTCTGCTAAGTAAAGGAATCCGGATGCAAAAGGTCACATATTATATAATTCCATTTTTATGAAATATCCAGAAAAGGCAAAACCATAGAAACAGAAAGCAGATTTGTGATTACCAGGGGCCAGAGAAAGGGGATGGGGAGATGACTATTTAATGGGTATGGAGTTTTCTTTAGGGATGATGAAAATGTTTTGGAGCTAGATAGAGGTCATGAATGCACAATATTGTGAATATACTAAATGTCACTGGATTGTACATTTTACAATGGTTAATTTTATGTTATGTGAATTTCATCTCAGTCTTTTTTAAAAAGGGGAAAATTACAGAACTAGGAGTAAGAGGACCAGACATTGAGTCCTGACTTTAGTGCTTATTAGCCACTTCACTATAGGCAAGCAATTTAAATTCCAAGTCTCAATTTCCTCATCGCAAAGCAAGACTAATAATATTTGTACCACTTGCTTCATATGATTATTGTAGGAAAAAGATGAGATATTGTTTGGTATAATTATGTCATGTAAAAGTGATATAAAATGCTAGATATTATCATTATTGAGCTAATAGTCATTAAAATGTATACTCAGTAAGAAAACTGAAAGCTCCCTTTCATACTTTTACAAAATCCAAGTTGTGATAAGTGTACTCACAACTGCCTATTTTGTTCATTTTCTCTTGAGACATGATCTCACTCTGTCACCCAGGCTGGAGTGCAGTAGCCCAATCATGGCTTACTGCAGCCTCGAACTCCTGAGCTCAAGCGATCTTCCTGCCTCAGCCTCCCAAGTAGGTGGGACTACAGATGTGCACCACCACACCTGGCTAGTTTTATATATATTTGTAGAAACAGGGTCTTGCTATGTTGCCCAGGCTGGTTTTGAACTTCCAAACTCAAGCAATCCTCCTGCCTCAGACTCCCAAAGTGCTGGGATCACAGGCGTGAGCCACAACACCCAGCCACAACTTTCTATTTTTAATTTATATATTGTAATCAAAGGATTGCAATAGATCACTTTTATTCAGACAAGAAGGCAGCATTTAAAAAATTTCATCTATAATGTCAAGTCTCACTGTAGAAGTGATCTTAGGCAAGGAAGATTAAAACATACATCATAAATTCTTTACATATGAGTGACAGAAATGTGAGTCATTTTCTATGCCCAACAGGCACAAGTGACACATGAGTATTTGTGGTGTATAAGTTCTCCTTGAAGCAGGTGATATGGTTTGGCTGTGTCCCCACCCAAATCTCATCCTGAATTTAACTCCCACAATTCCCATGTATTCTGGGAGGGACCCAGTGGGAGGTGATTGAATTATGGGGGTGGGTCTTTCTCATGCTGTTCTTGTGATGGTGAGTGGGTCTCGTGAGATCTGATGGTTTTAAAAAGAGGAGTTCCTCTGCACAAGCTCTCTTTGCCTGCTGCCATCCATGGAAGATTTGACTTGCTCCTTCTTGCCTTCCACCATGATTGTGAGGCCTCCCCAGCCATGTGAAACTGTACGTCCCATAAACCTCTTTCTTTTGTAAATTGCCCAGTCTCAGGTATGTCTTTATCAGTAGTGTGAAAATGGACTAATACAGCAGGTTTTCACAATATTTTCAACAAAGTAATGATAAAAATACAGGGGGATATTAAAACATCTTTAGTTTAAGAAAACATAAATAGGACTTACTCCATGGTTGCAATGGCTTAATGTTTAGTTAGGAAATACTAACAAAAGATCAAGTTTCTCTTTCTCTCTTTGTTTCTTGAATAACATAAGCAGTCTCAAAGAAATTTGGTTATAAAGAAGTAAAGTCTGATGAAATAATTACAGTTTTATAGCATATTTATGAGACTGGTAAGTAGTTACTCTTCTCTGACTTTATATCTCTATACTATCTCTCCAAAGTATGCTAGCTGATAATTTCTTGAAATACTTTTTAGGGTAAAATACAAGAGAGTTGAGGGTTTTATAGGATTTTACAAGTAGTCTAGACTATTCAAATATAAATCCATTTTTCTTGATAATGTCATAGTCATTTCATGCCACTGTAACATTCTTGCCATCTAATAACCAAAGCCTTACTGCACCTGGCAAATTTTTTTTTTTTGGTAACAATTATTCATTTTGTACTATTTGGTAATTAGCAATAAAATTCTTGAACACAGACTAAATATATGCAGTTGTCATGAGTTTCAGGCAAAATTATAATAGTTCAGTCCATTCAGAATATGTAATGTTATTGTTATGATACTGGTTCTGTTTTATTACTAAACACACTACAATTGTCCAGTAGCAAACACGTCAGTCCCCAAAATTCTGTAAATCCATCACGATTCTGGAGTTGGAAGCCAGGGTCAAAACAGGTGGTTGGAAATAACCAAGGAGGGTGAGGGTTGAATTATCTGTTGGGCACAATGTTCACTATTTGGGTAATGGGCACCCCAGAAGCCCAATCACCACCAGTATGTAACACATCCATGTAACAAACATGCACATGTACCCCTGAATCTAAAATAAAATAAAAAATTTAAAAACGGACTTCTTGGAATCCTAAGTAACCAAGGACACCTCATGAACTCCACATCTGGGTTTTTATATACCAAGTTACATATATAAATAGTTCATTTTCCTATTTTTAATTAATCTAAGATGTGTATGCACCAAGAAAGACTGCTTGCAAGCATGGGATATGTTAATACATTTCCCAAAATAACTTAACATTTTAGTTAATATTATTGTAAGTAAATATAATAATTCTATTAGTCTTTTTGGACTATTAAAAATAGTTTTCAGCCCTTTATTACTATGTCCAAGGAATTATATGCATCAGTAACTTGGGTAGTAAACAGAAAAGATCTAACATTATTGAGTACTTATGATATGCTAGATTCTGTCCTAGACACTATGTATATGGTTCTGGCACATATATAAATATAAAAATCTTATTTAATTATCACCAAAATCTTGTGAAGAAGGTGTTATTATCACCTCCTTTTTAGAGATGAAGATACTAAGGCTCACAGAGTTTAAGTAAATTGTCTGAGGTCCCATTGCTAATTGGTCAAATTGTGGCTCAAACCCAGTGCCCTTTGAATTTAAGGACAAGGCTTAAACACCAAAATTAATGACTTAACTAAGGAACCTAGCATCCCAACATCAAGCAAGTCTCCTGGATGTTGAGAATAGAAAACCAGAACCAAGCCTGGATTGCAGGGTGGATGAATGCTCCTCTAACAAGTATTTTCTAAGCAACCGCTATTGGCCTTGCCTTACGGAGTGTGAATGAGACAGACTTGTCCCGTGCCTTCACAGAGCTTAGACTCTAACAGTTTGGTTAAGACACTGAACCAGTGATCAAGTGGCTCTAAAGACCTATAGAAGTGGTGGTGAGAACATGCCACGGGAGAAGAAACTTCTGGCTCTCAACTAGATTTTCAAGATTATGGGGAGGAAGGTGAAAATAAATCCTGTAACAGTGGCAAACAATACATTTAACAAGACGCCTTTGAGTCAACAAGCATGACAGGGCACCAACAAAGTGCAAGGTACCAAGCTGAGCCCTGCTCTTCATAAGATATTCCAATATTTCATGCATCTCCTATTTCATATATACAGGCGTCTCCTAGGGAAAGTTGTATTTTCGCTGAAAGATCACACGTTTTGTTAAAGATTTCATTGGTTATCCCAAAAGTAGCATGGCGATAAGAGTGTCTTCCATGTGGTGAGCCTGGCTGGACTTGAGGACACAAGGGTGGGGTGCTCCAGACCAGATTACATGCAGGCACTAACCACAGAATTGGAGCATTCAGGTCGTGTCTCCCTCCAATGCATCTAACTGTGGAAACTCAATCAGGTCCAGAAATGAATCAATTTCCTTTGCCTGTGTCCTTAAATTTGATGAATAGAGCCTTTGCTTAGAGCTACTGAAGCTGCTATTCATCTCAGTTAGCTGCTAAATAAAACGTTGTTCTTGGATGTAATTCTGGCGAATATGACTTTGGAGATTTTTCATGTAACTGTGTAAGTCCAAGTTATTCCCCAAGTGATCCTACATTCGAGCTATTTTTGTTCCACGTGCTCCATATTTTTTTCCATGTTAGAGACTAGGAATCTAGAAGACCAGGTTTTCTTGTTGGATGGTGAGGAAGATAAATCTGAGTACATGTGCAAATTTTTGTGAAATAAACAGCTAAAGTTATCCTCATTGAAAATTACCTTTCTAGTCAGTGCAATTTGATAATCTGGAAATAGTTTTGGACTTTTAGACACATAAATTTAAAGTAATGAAAGACAAAGTTTGAAAAAATAAATAAGCCTGTGTCTGATCAGAGAATCAATGATTTTTAACTTGAAATAATTGAACTTTCTTCATACAACAGTCCAGAACCCTGTTATCCTCTATGGTTAAGGGTTTGCCCAGGGTCATGTAACTAGTTACTGGTAGAATATAACTGGACCATGAGTCCTTTTTTCCCCTTTCTTTACATCTTTAAATAAAATTTTGTTTTCAATCTAAGTGAGGCACATTCATAGTTTAGAAAGTAAAATAGTAACAGCTACAAGGCTTCTCACAAAAACACCAATCCCTGACTCACCTTTCACTACACTCCTGGTCTCTGTCTTCAGCGAGTAACACTTTTGAGGTATTGTTTGTAGCATTTACACATGTTAATTTTTCTAAGTCATATGTTGTTATCCATAACCTTCATTATAAAAAAATTTTTAACTTATATATATACATAGACAACCATATACACCCATGCATTTGGTATATCCTTTAAAAGTAAGCTGCAAACATCATACTTCACTCCTAAACACTATATAGTAATACTAAATATAAAATTGTGCTGTCTTTGTGTCCTCTGTTTTAGACAATATCACTTGACTTTCTATTATGGGAGTTGAGGATTTCATTTTCTTTTTCTTTTTGAGACAGTTTTGCTCTGTCGCCCAGGCTGGAGTGCAGTGGCATGATCTCAGCTCACTGCAACCTCCACCTCCTGGGTTCAAGAGATTCTCCTGCTTCAACCTCTCTAGTAGCTGAGATTACAGGTGTGTGCCACCACGCCTGGCTAATTTTTTATTTTAGTAGAGACAGCTTAGAGACATAAGCTTCACCATGTTGGCCAGGCTGGTCTCAAACTCCTGACCTCAGGTGATCCGCCGGCCTCAGCCTCCCAAAGTGCTGGAATTACAGACGTAAGCCACAGTGCCTGGCCTGAGGATTTCATTTTCTTCCACCACCATCCATCTGCTTCACCTCCTTCATCCTCCCAGTATATAGTACAATTTTAGATTAAATATATTCAACATCGTACACCCTTTGTTTTTCCTGAAGTTAATAATTGCCTTGATTTTTCATTTGCTTACTTTCTTTGCTAGTTTCTTCTCAATTGTTCTTATATCTTCCAAAAACCTTTTAAAACATTTCACTCACAGACCCATCTCATCCAGCTAATCTATCAGATATATTTCTATATGTATAGATATACATAATTGTTTTAAAAAGATGCCCTTCTAGAGGACTCCACTCTCCTATCCTTCCGTCTAAGCTTATTACTACCAGGCTTACTGGCAGCTGCCATCTTGAGACCTCCTTTGGCTGTCATCCCTGAACTGCCTTTGCCCATCTCTGGGTTTAGATTCTCTGTCTCGTGGGTCTCACATCTTCTTCTTGCTTGGTGCACTCTCTTGTGTTGGTGGGACACAGCCTCTAACAGCATTATGAGGTGGAAAGGGCAGCAGAATAGCACTAGTCTATCTCTTGAGTCACACTGCTCCAGTCAGGACTGGTTTCCCTCCTCTCCTGCTGTGTAACTACCCTGACATCCTGTTCCCAATTATCCCAAGGATTCCTGTTACCATACTCCCATGTTCAAGCTTCCTGGTACCATATACTGTGTCTTAGTCTTTCTTGGTTTATTTACTCCCTTGCTTTGGCAAGGTACAGCCTCCAGAAGCTTCCTAAGAAAAGGTGCAGGGGAGGTAATAGTTTTTAGAGCTTTCAAGTCTGAAAAATGCCTCTTTTTTTCTATGCTAGATAAATATCATGACTGGTAATGAATTGTAGGCTGGGAATAATTCCTTCAGAATTTGCAGTCATTCCACTACTGTCTCTTAGCTTCTAGTGATGCAGTTGAGGAGTCTGAAACCATTCTGACCCTTGATCCTTTGTATGTGACCTGTTTTGTTTATCCTTTTTTGTAACTTACAGAATCTTCTTATTTCAAAATTTTAAATTGATATGTTTTGGTGTGGGTCACTTTAATTCATGATGCTTGACACCTCATGGGCCAATTAAGTCATGTTCTTCACGTCTGGGATTTTTTTTTAAAAGTACTTTCTTAGACTTTCTTCCACTCCTTTTTCTATGTTCACTTTGTGAAAAAGAAAAAAGAAAGAAAAACTGCTATTATTGGAACTTCTGTACTAGTTATACAATTTTATTATCTTTTATCTTGTAGTTTCCATTTGCCTTTTTTCTCTATTTTCTGAAAGATTTATTCAACTTTTTCAGTTATTTTACATTCCAGCCACAACATTTTTGCTATTATACTTTCAATTTCTAAAAATTAATTTTTGTTCTTTGAAAGTTAGGTTTTTGTTTTGTTTTTTGGTTAAAAACACTTGTTACCTAAAAGTAGTATCTTCTCTTAACATTCTGTACATATTAATGACCTTTTTGGGGTTTTGTTTCATTTAGTTTTCTTCTTTCTGCGTTGCTTCTGATTTCTCCAAATTGCTTTTCTTTCTGTAGGTTCCTTTTCACCTCTATCTTCTGGGTTAGTGACACCCCTACACGCCTGGCAATCTTTGGCTGTCTACTTATGTTTAATATGGGGAACTGGAAACCTGATTGGAAGTTTTGAGACGTTTGCTTTGAGTTTATCCATGACGAACTTAATTGAAGAATTATCTGGCTGGGTTATTTTGGGACAACTTTTGGCATCAGTCAGTATCTTTAGGTCTTTTTTCTAGGGTTGGTCAATTTCCAGCTAGGATACTTTTCTCTCTTCCTCCATAGAAGGAAAAAAATAACTTTCTGTATTCTGAGAGTCAAGTGGGAGAAAAAAGAGAAAGGATTCAGCATCTAGTGCACAAACATTTGCCTAACTTCCTTGTTTTAATATGGTAGCCCCCAAAAGCCCTGCCTGGCATTTCCCAGTCCAGATACAATCAGTTCACCCTCTGCAGGAAATAAAGCTCCTAGGCTGAAGGACCAGTTCCCAGGGTGGAGTGGGCAGCCAGCAGAAGGGCCTGCTCACTCCCTCAACAGCTGTCATTTGAGCCTCCGTGTTTTGCTCTTCACCACCCAACTTCTTCCTTCTGGTCCAGCCCTCCTCCTCCTCAAACCAAGCCTTTGTGCTCAAACCAAATGGTGCTGCCACTGCTCAAGGCTTTTGAGGACTGTGCTTCAAAATCAGGTTGGTTCTCAGCTTTTTCCACCACAGGCTTAGATTTTGGTTTCTTGCATTTGCCTCCTGTCCGTCTGCTTTCTAATTTACAAAATGTTGTTCTTATCTCTTGTTTTGTCCACTCTGCCCTGATGAGTTTACCTTTCACTTTAAATCTCTTTGCTATAGTTTTTCTAGGGTTTCAGGAGGGAGCAAAATTAGACAAATGGGTTCAACATGCCATGTTATCTAAGAAGCTCTATTGTGTTTTTTCTACTCTATTATAGATATTTGTGCTAATTATATGAAGCATATAACTCAAGAATATGTAATAAAGATAATTATGGTACTTTCACAAATAACCACCTTAATCAGCTAAAGTGGTTTTATGTCAGATAAAAACCACAAAGTAATGACCAGAGGTTATGAATTTTAAAAGGAAAAAAGGGTTGAAAAACAGGGGAGGAAAGAAAAAGAATTTTAATTTGTGGATGATGTAAGTTCCAACAATTTTGTAGAATAAAAATGATTATCTAATACAAGAGCAGTCTTAAGAAGCTTATTATTGATTCATGTTATGGACAAAGAGGAAAAAGAGGAAACTCCAGGAAATAAAATGCTCCAAGTTTGGGAATTCTGCCTTTAGGGATATGCAGCTAATAACAGTCATGACATGAAGAGACCCTTCTCCAATGGTGAACTGCCTGGACTTGTGCCATGGTGGATGCCATGGGGATTGAGCTGGGGCTCAATGGATCACTGAAATCAACAAGCTGTGTTTCTTTTTATTTCAATAGCTTTTGTGGTACAAGTGGATTTTGTTACATGAATTATATAGCGGTGAATTCTGAGATTTTAGTGCACCTGTCACCCGATTAGTGTACATTGTACCTAATGTGCAGTTTTTGTATCCCTATCTCCCATCCCACCCTCCCTCTTCTGAGTCTTTAAAGTCCATTATATCACTCTGTATGCATTTGCATGCTCATAGCTTAGCTCTCACTTATAATTGAGAGCATATGGTTTTTGCTTTTCCACTCCTGTGTTACTTCACTTAGACTAATGGCCTCCAGCTCCATCCAAGTTGCTGCAAAATACATTATTTTGTTCCTTTTAATGGCTGAGTAGTATTCCATGGTGCATATATACCACATTTTCGTAATCCACTCATTTGTTGATGGGCACTTAGGTTGGTTTCACATCTTTACAATTGTGAATTGTGCTGCTATAAACATATGTGTGCAAGTGTCTTTCTCATATAATGACATATTTCCCTTTGATAGAGACCCAGCCATGGGAATCCTGGATTGAATGGTAGATCTACTTTTCACTCTTTAAGGAATCTCCATACTGTTTTCCATAGAGGTTGCACTAATTTACATTCCCACTAGCAGTGTAAAGTGTTCCCCTTTCCCCACATCCACACCAACATCTATTGTTTTCTGACTTTTTAATAATAGTCAATTCTTTTTTTGTTTTTTTGTTTGTTTTTTTTTGGTTTTTTTTTTTTGAGACAGAGTCTCACTCTGTCACCCAGGCTGGAGCGCAATGGCAGAATCTTGGATCACTGCAACCTCTGCTTCCAGGTTCAAGTGATTCTCCTGTCTCAGCCTTCCAAGTAGCTGGGATTTCAGGCATCTGCCACCACGCCTGGCTAACTTTTGTATTTTTAGTAGAGACAGGGTTTCCCCATGTTGGCCAGGCTAGTCTCGAATTCCTGACCTTCAGTGATCCACCCACCTCGGCCTCCCAAAGTGCTGGGATTACAGGCATGAGCCACCACACCTGGCCTAATAATAGCCATTCTTACAGGAGTAAGGTGGTACCTCATTATGGTTTTAATTTGCATTTCCCTGATGCTTAGTGACATGGAGCATTTTTTCATGTTTTTTGGCCATTTGTATATCTTATTTTGAGAAATGTCTATGTCCTTTGTCCACTTTTTAATGAGATTTTTTTTTCATCCTGATTTGTTTGAGTTTCTTGTAGGTTCTGGATATTAGTCAGACACATAGCTTGCAAATATTTTCTCCCATTCTGTGGGTTGTCTGTTTATTCTGGTGATTATTTCTTTTGCTGTGCAGAAGTTTTTTAGTTTAATTAGGTCCCATTTATTTATTTTTGTGTTTGTTGCATTTGTTTTTGGGGTCTTAGTCATGAGTTCTTTGCTTAGGCCAATGTCTACAAATTTTTTCCAATGTTGTCTTCTAGGGTTTTTATAGTTTCAGCTCTTATTTCAGTCTTTGATCCATCTTGAGTTGATTTTTGTGTAAGGCAAGAGATACGGATTCAGTTTCATTCTTCTATATGTGACTTGCCAGTTTTCCCAGCACTATTTATTAAACAGGGTGTCCATTCCCTAATGTGTATTTTTGTATGCTTTGTGGAAGATCAGTTGGCTGTACATATTTGGTTTTATTTCTGGGTTCTCCACTCTGTTCCATTGGTCTACATGACTACTTTAATACCAGTACCATGCTGGTATAACTTCGGTAACTACAGCCTTGTAGTAGAATTTGAAGTCCAGCAACATGATGCCTCCAGATTTGCTCTTTTTGCTTAGGATTGCTTTGGCTATATGGGCTCTTTTTTGGTTCCATATGAATTTTAGGGTTGTTTTTTCTAATTCCATGAAAATGTTGATATTTTGATGGTAATTTCATTGAATATGTAGACTGCTTTGGGTAGTGTGGTCATTTTCACAACATTGAATCTTTCAATCCATGAACATGGGATGCGTTTCCATTTGTTTGTGTCATCTATGATTTCTTTCAGTGATGTTTTATAATTCTCCCTGTAGAGATATTTCACCTCTTTGGTTAAGTATATTCCTAAGTATTTTATTTTATTTTATTGCAGCTGTTGTAAAAGGGATTTAGTTTTTATTTTGATTCTCAGCTTGGTCGTTGGTGAATAGCAGTGCTGCTGATTTGTACACATCAATTTTGTAACCTGAGACTTTATCAAACTCATTTATCAAATCTAAGAGTCTTTTTTGAGGAGTCTTTAGGATTTTATAGTTATATAATCATATCATCTGCAAACAGTGGTAGTTTGACTTCCTCTTTTCCAATTTGGATGCCCTTTATTTCTTTCTCTTGCCTAATTACTCTGGCTAGGACTTCCAGAACTATGTTGAATAGGAGGGGTGAAAGTGGGTATTCTTGTCTTGTTCCTGTTCTCAGGGGGAATACTTTCGACTTTTTCCCATTCAGTATGACGTTGGCTGTGGGTTTATCATATGTGGCTTCTACTATTTTGAGGTAGGCCCCTTCTATGCTTAGTTTGTTGAGAGTTTTTATCTAAAGGGATGCTGATTTTTTTTTTCAAATGCGTTTTCTGCATCTATTGAGGTGATCATATGGTTTTTTGTTTTTAATTCTGTTTATGTGATAGATCACATTTATTGACTTGCATATATTAAACTATCCTTGCATCCCTGTGATGAAACTCGATCATGATGAATTCTCTTTGATGTGCTGTTGGATTCAGTTAGCTAGTATTTTGATGAGGATTTTTGCATCTGTGTTCATCAGGAAAATTGGTCTGTAGTTTTCCTTTTTTGTTGTGTCCTTTCCTGACTTTGGTATCAGGGTGATACTAGCTTTATTGAATGATTTAAGGAGGATTTCCTCTCTCTCAATCCTTTGGAATAGTTTCAGTAGGATTGGTACCAATTCTTCTTTGAAAGTCCAGTACAATTCAGCTGTGATTCCATCTGGTCCTGGGCTTTCTTTTGTTGGCAATTTTAAAATTACTAATTCAATCTCACTGCTTGTTGTTGGTCTGTTCAAGGTTTCTAATTCTTCCTGATTTAATCTAGGAGGGTTGTATGTCCCTAGGAATTTATCAATTTCCTCTACGTTTTCTAGTTTGTGTGCATAAAGTTGTCATAGTAGTCTTAAATGATCTTTTGTATTTCTATGGTGTTGGTTGTAATGTTTCCAGTTTCATTTCTAATTTAACTTAGTTGGATCTTCTTTCCTCTTTTCTTGGTTAATCTAGCTAGTGGTCTATAGATTTTGTTATTTTTTTTTTCCAAAGAACCAGCAAGTGGTATTTTGCAACTGCATCTTCCCTTGCCCCAAAAGGCTTGGTCCCCTCTAAAAACTCCCAAATCTACCTGTCAATCAAAGAAAGGCCCCACAATTCTCCTGGACAGGGTTTGTCCCATCAGAAGCAATAATCTAACTTTGGTTTGCTTTTGCATCTTTCTATTGGCTCTACTTTATCTTACGTATAAGATAAACTATGGCAATACTTGGAATTAAAATATTTTTATGACATGTTGGCTGACTGAGACAAATTAACTCTGACTCATTTTACATTTTAAACCAAAATATCTGATATTTGAGTAGGAGATACCATTTTCTCATACCACAGGGGCAAAGGTCACCAATTAAATGTTAAGACATGTCCTCATGTCCTATATATATGAGAACATGTACACCTGTGGGTGGTTGGGGCTAGGGGTCTTCACAAAGGGTTTCTGACTTGGCCAAATACTGTTCATGGAACTCAATTTAGACCTGGTGTCCTGGCTTTTCTTCTCAAACCAACTTGATCTTGATCTCCAAATGTAGATTCCCTTGTTCATTCTGCTGAGGCCTGAAGTCCCTGTGGGTTGATTTTGTTGCTGGCTTAGCCTATCCCTGACTCAATATTTGATCATTGAACCAGGTTTTTTGTTTGTTTGTTTGTTTTTGCGATGGAGTCTTGTTCTGTTGCCAGGCTGGAGTGCAGTGGCATGATCTCAGCTCACTGCAACCTCCACCTCCTGGGTTCAAGTGATTGTCCTGCCACAGCTTCCCAGGTAGCTGGGATTACAGGGACTTGCCACCATGCCCGGCTGATTTTTTTGTATTTTTAATAGAGACAGGGTTTCACCATGTTAGCCAGGATGGTCTTGATCTCCTGACCTCGTGGTCTGCCTGCCTCGGCCTCACAAAGTGCTGGGATTACAGGTGTGAGCCACCGCACCCAGCCAAACCAGGTTTTATGGGCTCACTCCTATTCTCTCCATCATGACCTCTGCTTTTCCACTGTTACATTGGAGCCTACAGGTGAAATTGGAATCAAAGGGAAACCTTGAGATTACTCATATGGAAGTCAGGGTGCTACTGTATTCCAATGTGCTTCATTTGTAGGGACCACTCCTATGGTTGGGGGTGCAGTATCATCCTGTATTTGTCAGGATTTTTGACTGTAGACAGCCGAATCCATGTTATCTAGTTGAAGCAGAGAATAATTCATTAAACAGTAGTAGGTACCTTGTAAGAATTTCTGGAAAGACAAGAGAACTGGCCTTTGGAATCCAAAATCCCCAGAGCAGCTGTCCCAGGAAATCCAGGTGTCTTGTTCTCTGCACTTGCAAGATCTGATCTCTCTCTCTGCAGAGCTATCATTCACATTTAGCATCTCTGCCTCCTAGTCTCAAGCAATATGTCTTCTTGGTGATAGCTAGGTCACATGCAGAAACTAGCTACAAGGTAGTCTTGGAGAATGTAGTTGTAGCATTCCAGCCTGCATAGTATAAGAAGGAAAATTGAAATGAAATTAGAAAAGGTGCTAAAATCTAAATGAAATTAGAAAGGCAATTTACAGTATCTGCCAAACCCTAAAGGGAATGGGAATTCCCCATATTACACATCTGGGATGAAGGAGCTCCCACCCTTGGGCCTGGACTCTAAAAATTTAGACAAGAGGGTGTCCCTAGGTAAAGGAGGAAGAACAGTGTCTGGCCCAAGGAGGCAGGCTGCAGTTAGATAAGGAGCCAGTGCAGCAGAAAATCCCATTACAATGGATTGGTACCTGGGGGCTCCTAAAATAGCCACATCTAGAAGTCACACATATGACTCTTTGTGGCAGTGGAGTGCAATTGTTAATAGCACAGACTCTGAAGCCAGACTGCTGGGTTCGAATCCTAGTTCCTCTCTTTACTGGTTTTGTGACCTTGGGTTTTCTATATGTGTGTATGATATATTTTTTATATATTACATTATAATATAATGATATATAATGGTTACTATAGTATATAATGATATATATGTTAATTGAAGTGTCAATTTGAGTGAGCCATGGGATATCCAGAGTAAACATTTTTTCAGGGTGGATCTGTGAGGGTGTTGCAGATGACAGCAGCATTTGAATTGGTGAACTTAGTAAAGATGATTGCCCTTCCCAGTGTGGGTGGGTGTCACCCCATCTGTTGAGGGCCTGAAGAAAATAAAACGTGGAGTAAGGAGGAAGTTACCCCTTTTTCCTACCTCACTACTTGAGCTAGAACATGTCATCTCTTGCCCTCAGACTGGGACTTATGTCATTGTCTCCCTGTCTTCAGACTTGGACTTAATTATACCACCTGCTTTCCTGAGTTTCCAGCTTACAGATGGTAGGTTGTGGAAATTCTCAGTCTCCATAATCATGTGAGCCAATTCCTCATAATCTCTCTCCCTCTCTCTTTCTCTACACACACACACACACACACACACACACACACACACACACACACACACACTCTCCCCTCCCATTGGTTCTGTTTCTCTGGAGAACACGAATATAGTACCATGTGTGTGTGTTTATGTGAGTGCATGTGTATGTGTGTGTGTATTTTCTCCTTTCACTTACTCCCAAGTCTTTGGTAGGTCCAACTTCACCTGGAGCTGGGTCTATATCCATGCCAGGGTGGTGATGGTGATGAGAAGAAAGGGAGAAGTAGCACTCCGCATATGAGATTCTCCTTCCTCTACTAACCTTCGAAGTTCAGAGTGTTCTCTTATTAGGCAGGCAAATAACATTCATTACAGAGAGAATTTCTCTGCATGAGGAACAATGCAAGAATGCAGAGGAATTGTAAAAGGTTCCCTTAATGAAATAAGCTCTTGTAATATAATTACAGGTTAAAAGATTATGACAGGCTGTGTCAGCTATCTATTACTATGTAACAAATCACCCCAAAACTTAGTGTCTTAAAACAGCAACAGTTTATCATTTCTCATACTTCTGTGAGTTGGCCGGGCAATTTCTCTGCTGGTTTAGCCTGTGCTTTCTTAAGTAGCTCCATGCAGTTGGATGATTATCTGGCTGGAGGGCTCAGATAGCCTCATTCACATGTCTGGCAGTTGGTGCTGGCTGGAGTGCCTCGATATTTCTCCAGGTGGCTTTCCAGTCTCCTGTAGACTAGATTAGCTTCCTCACTTAGCAGTTCTGAGCAGTGTTCCAAGAGGTGAAAGCAGCACTTTCGAGGCTACTTGATACCTAGGCTCAGGAACTCAAACAACCTCACTTCTATCACATTCTATTGATCAAAGCAAACAAAGTCAGCCAAAATTCAAGGGGCTGGAGAAATGGACACCACCTCTGGATGGGATGTGAAGCAAAGACATATTATAAAGAGGAGTGCATAACTGGAATTGGGAGGTAAGGGAGGTGATTTGGGGTCATTAAACAATCTACCACATGGGTAAATTCAGAGCTAATACAGTTAAACATTCAGTGACTGCTATGGTCTGAATGTGTACCCCCAAAATTCATATATTGAAACTTAATCACCAATGTGATAATATTAAGAGATGGGGCCTTTAAGAGGTGATAAGTCATGAGGGCAGCCCTCTCTTGAGTAGGATCAATGACCTTATAAAAGAGGTGCAGGGAGTACTGACCTTATAAAAGAGGTGCAGGGAGTACAAGAGGAAGATGGACTTAAGGTGGAGAGTTTTATAGTTTTTTTGTTTCTTTTCCTTGGGATCAAATTTGTCATCTATTTAATATAACTTGTTATAAGATATTTTTTGTAAGCCTCATGGTAACCGCAAATAAAAACCTATAATAGATACACTGAAAATAAAAGGCAAGAAATGAAAACACACTACCAGGAAAATCACCTAACCACAAGGGAAGAAAGGAGGAAAGGAGTTACAAATCAGCCAAAATACAAGTAACAAAATGGCAGTAGTAAATGCTTACCTAACAATAATAGCACTTAATGTAAATAAATACATTTCTCCAATCAAAAGACATAGAGTGGCTGAATGGATAAAGAAGCAAGACCTAACTATATGCTGCCTACAAGAAACTTACTTCACCTATAAAGACACACATAGATTGAAAATGAAGGGATGGAAAAAGATATTCCATGAAAATGGAAACCAAAAAAGAGCAGGAGTGGCTAAACTCATAGCAGATAAAGTAGACTTCAAGTCAAAAACCATAAAAAGAGGCAAAGAAGGTCACTATATAATGATATATGGGTCAATTCAGTAAGTGAGCATAACAATTCTATACACACACACATACACACACATACAATACTGGAACATCCAAATACATAAGGCAAATATTAATAGAGCTAAAGGGAGAGATAGACTGTAATACAATAATAGTAGGGGACTTCAACATCTCACTTTTAGTAATGAACAGATCATCCAGACAGAAAATTAGCAAAGAAACATCAGAGTTAAACTACACTCTAAACCAAATGGACCTAAGTGATGTTTACAGAACATTTCATCCAAGTGCTGCAGAATGTACAAACTTCTCATGAGCACATCGAACATTCTCCAGGATAGATCAAATGTTAGGCCACAAAACAAGTCTCAACAAATTCAAAAAACTTGAGATCATATCATGAATCTCTTTTGACCACAATGGAAAAAAACTGGAAATCAGTAACAAGAGAAACTTTGGAAGCTATAAAAACACATGGAAATTAAACAACGTGCTCCTGAACAATCAATGGGTCAATGAAGAAATTAAGAAGGAAATTAAAAAATTTGTTGAAACAAATGAAATGGAAACAACATACCAAAACCTATAGGATACAGCAAAAGCATCTCTAAGAGGGAAGTTTTTATCAATAAATGCCTAGTAGAAAGTAGAAAGGCTCAAATAAACAACCTAATAATGCATCTTAAAGAACTAGAAAAGCAAGAACAAACCAAATCCAAAAGTTGGTTTTTTGAAAAGATAAAATTGACAAACATTTAACTAGACTTAAAAAAAAGAAAAAAAAGAGAAGACCCAAATAAAATCAGAAATTAAAAAGGAGAAATTACAACTGATATACAGAAATACAAAGAATTCTAGAGACTATTATGAACAACTATATGCCAACAAGTTGGAAAACCTAGAAGAAATGGATAAATTCCTGGACATATATGACCTACCAAGACTGAATTGTGAAGGAATGGAAAACCTGAACAGACCAATAACGAATAACAACAGAAGCAGTAATAAATAGTCTCCTATCAAAGAGAAGCCCAATACCTGATAGCTTCATGGCTGAATTCCACCAAATATTTAAATAACTAATATCAATTCTGCTTAAGCTATTCCAAAGAATTGAATAGCAGAGAATACTTCCAAACTCATTCTATAAGGCCAGCATTATCCTGATACCAAACCAGACAAAGACATAACAAAAAAAGAAAACTAGGGCCAATATTCCTCATGAACAGAGATGGAAAAACGCTCGACCAGATACTAGCAAGCCAAATTCAACAAGACATTTAAAAGATCATTCACTGTGATCAAGTGGGATTCATCCCAGGGATGCAACAATGGTTCAACATATGTAAATCAATAAATGTAATACAGTTACAGAATCAAGGACAAAACCATATGATCATTTCATTAGATGCAGAAAAAGCATTCAATACAAGTCAACATTACTTCATGATAAAAATTCTCTACAAACTGGGTATGGAAGCAACATACCTCAAAACAATGAAGGCCATTACTGAAAAACTCTCAGCTAACAGCACACTGAATGGGGAAAAAGCAAAAGCCCTTCCTAGGCAAGCATGCCTACTTTCACCACTTTTATTCAACATAGTGCTATAAGTCCTAGACAGAGCAATTAGGCAAGAGAAATAAAGGGCATCCAAATTGGAAAAGAAAAATTCAAATTATCTTTGTCTGCAGATGACATGATCTTATATTTAGAAATATCTAAAGACTCCACTCAGTAAGTTTTAGAGCTGATAAAGAAATTCAGGCCAGGCACAGTGGCTCATGACTGTAATCCCAGCACTTTGGGAGGCCAAGGTAGGGGGATCACTTGAGATCAGTAGTTCCAGACCAGCCTGGCCAACATGGGGAAACCCCATCTCTACTAAAAATACAAAAATTAGCTGGGCGTGGTGGTGGGTGCCTATAATCCCAGCTTCTCTGGAGAACTGCTTGAACCTGGGAGGTGGAGGTTGCAGTGAGCCAAGGTCTCACTACTGCACTCCAGCCTGGGTGACAGAGTAAGACTCTATCAATCCCAGCTTCTCTGGAAGCTGAGGCAGGAGAATCGCTTGAACCCAGGAGGTGGAGGTTGCAGTTAACTAATACTGTGCCACTGCACTCCAACCTGGGTGGCAGAGACTCTGTCTCAAAAAAACAACAAAAAAAAAGAGATTGAGTAAAGTTTAAGGATACAAAATCAACATACAAAAATCAGTAGCATTTATGTACACCAACAGTGTATATAAGTCAAAAGAAAGCAATGAAGAAAGCAACCGCACTTACAATAGCTACAAAAAATACCTATGAATAAATTAAATCAAAGAAGTGAAAGATATCTGTAATGAAAACTATAAAATACTGATGAAAAAATTGAAAAGAACACAATAAAATGGAAAGATATTCCATGCTCATGAGTTGGAAGAATTAATATTGTTAAAATGTCTATACTACCTAAAGCAATCTACACATTCAATGCAATCCATATCAAAATATCAATGACATTCTTCACAGAAATAGAAAAAAAATTCTGAAATTCATATAGAACCACAAAAGACCTCAAATAGCCAGAGCAATCACAAGCAAAGAGAACAAAGCTGGAGGCATCACACTACCTGACTTCAAAATATACTACCATAGTAATTGTGATGGTTAATATTAAGTGTCAACTTGATTGAAGGATGCAAAGTATTGTTCCTGTGTGTGTCTGTAAGGGTGTTGCCAAAGGAGATTAATATTTGAGTCAGTGGACTGGGAGAGGCCGACCCACCCTCAATCTGAGTGGGCACCATCTAATCAACAGCCAGCGTGGCTAGAATAAAGCAGACTTGCTGAGTCTTCCAGGCTTCATCTTCCTCCTGTGCTGGATGCTTCCTGCCCCCAAATATCAGACTCCAACTTCTTCAGCTTTTAGACTCTTGGACTTATACCAGTGATTTGTCAGGGACTCTCCCACCTTTGGCCACAGACTGAAGGTTGCACTGTCAGCTTCCCTTCTTTTGAGGTTTTGGGACTTGGACTGGGCCACTACTGGCTTCCTTGCTCCTCATCTTGCAG
Source organism: Homo sapiens (assembly GCF_000001405.40). Taxonomy (NCBI): domain Eukaryota; kingdom Metazoa; phylum Chordata; class Mammalia; order Primates; family Hominidae; genus Homo; species Homo sapiens. Next base: position 123,048,702 of record NC_000005.10, on the reverse strand, counting down.
ACAGCTTATCATGAGACTTTACTTTGTGATTGTGTGAGTAAATTCTCCTTAATAAACTCCCTTTCATATATACATATATCCTATTAGTTATATCCCTCTAGAGAACCCTAATACAGTAATCAAACAGCATGGTTCTGGCATAAAAGCAGATATATAGACCGACAGAACAGAATAGAGAGCCCAGAAATAAATTTACACATTAACAGCCAACTGATTTTTGACAAAGATCATACGTTAGGGAAAGAACAGGTTATTTAATAAATGGTGCTGGGAAACTGGAAAACCATATGCAGAAGAATGACACTAGATCCTTATCTCTCACCTTCTACAAAAATCAAATCAAAATGGATTAAAGACTTAAATGTAAGACCCCAAACCATAAAACTATAGAAGAAAACATTGGAGAAATGCTTTAGGACATTAGCCTGGGCAAAGATGTTTTGGATAAGACCTCAAAAACACAGGAAACAAAAGCAAAAATAGACAGATGGGATCACATCAAGCTAAAAAGCTTCTGTACATCAAAGGACATAACAAAGTGAAGAGACAATCTATAGAATGAGAGAAAATATTTGCAAACTATCCATTCAACAAGGGATTAATAACCTGAATATTTAAGGAAACCAAACAACTGAATGGCAAAAAACAAACCCAAGTAATCTAATTTTAAAATGGGCAACAGATTTGAACAGACATTTCTCAAAAGAAAATATACAAATGACCAACAAGCATATGAAAAAATGCTCAGCATCACTAGTCATCAGGGCTATGCAAATCAAAACCACAATGATATATAATCTCACCCCAGTTAAAATGGCCATTACCAAAAGGAAAATAACAGCTGCTGGTGAGGATGCAGAGAGAAGGGAATGCTCATACATTCCTGGTGGGAATATAAACTACTACAGCCTCTACGGAAAATAGAATGGAGATTCCTCAAAAAACTGAAAACATAGCTACCATATGATCCAGCAATCCCACTGCTGGGTGTATATCATCCAAAAGAAAGGAAATCAGTATATCAAATAGATATTTGCACTCCCGTATTTATTATAGCACTATTCATAATAGCAAAGATGGAAAAACCTTAGTGTTCATCAATGGACAAATGGTTAAAAATGTGTATATATACACAATAGAATATTATTCAGCCATAAAAAGAATGAAATCCTGTCATTTGCAGCCACATAGATGGAACTTAAGGACATTGTTAATTGAAATAAGCTGGGCACAGAAAGACAAGTATCATCGCATGTTCTGACTCATATGCATGAGCTAAAAAAATTGATCTCATAATAGTTGTACATATTTATAGGGTATATACATACATTGTGTAATGATCAAATCAGAGTAATTGGGATACCCATCACCTGAAATATTTGTCATTTCTTTGTATTGGGAACATTCCAAATCTCTTCTAGCTATTTTGAAATATACAATAAATTACTGTCAATTACAGTCACACTGTTCTCTTGGACATTAGGACTTACTCCTTCTATCTAACTGTATGTTCGTACTCATTAACCGACCCCTTTCCATCTCCCCCTACCCACCTCCCACCCTTCCCAGCCTCTGGTAATCACCATTCTATACATTAATTCCATGAGATCAATTTTACACTGCTACTTTAGAATTCAGTTCAGAAAAATTGAAAAACTATTTCTGCAATAGTTTTAGTTGAAGGCAGGAATGTTTAGTACCCTCTTGGTGACAGAAGTAATAACTTCCTTCTTTTTTCTAAACTGTGGCTTAAAACTCATAACAAAATATCACCTTTATAAAGCTCTTTCCAGCCCCAAGGGTCTAGAATTCCAGGGTTTCTGTCAAGCCTGAAGGGACAGTAGGGCTTTATTGGGTTCTGTTACTGAAAATCTTAGTTTTTGAGTTCCTCTGGCATGTTTCCTCATTGAATGGAAAACGTAGAGGCTTTTCAGAATCATTCAAATGGACTTATGATGTGCCCTTGGTAGAAAGGGAGGTTGAAATCCTCCTTTGCTATTTAAAAACTTTCATTTGGGCTTATGCTTGAAAACAGGCTGACTTTGGCCCACCACTGCTGGGCAGTTCTCTGCAGGCAGCTGGAGGCAGCAGAGGCACCTGCGTAGAGAAGTGGAGAAGCGGCCCGGTACCCCTTCAGATGCCCAGGGAGGGAGGACTGCTGCCTAGTGACAGAGCCAGCTCTGTGTTGAGTTATTTCACTTCCCTGGACCTCAGCATTCTTATCTGTTAAGTGAGAGGCACTGGACTAACGTTCTTCCTGTTCTGATATCCTTAGAAGGAGGGTGGATGGGGCATCACTGCCACATTCCTCCCTGGGCCTGGCTGGCTGCAGCAGCTGACCAGTGCAAAGCAGGGCAGAGAAGACACCCCATGGTTTACCAGGGGCTGGTGTTGCCTGAGAGCAGGTGGGGGACATAGGTGAGTGGATCTCCATACCCTTCTCCACCAAGGCTGGGATTCTTTTCACTTCTCCCTGCTACATTTTCAAATTCAATTTTTAGTTCCTGCCCATGAAAACTACTGTTTGGTGTTTATAAGATTTGGAAATCTTTTCTTTTGAACAATTTTGTTGTTGCAGGAGAGATACTTAAAATTTTTTCAATTCTGTAAATTTTCTTACATTTTTCAAAAGACTGTTTTAATTTTCATTTAATTTGTTAATTAAAAATATTTTTTCAGAGGGCCTCAGTATTTTATCTAGGCTGGTCTCAAACTCCTGGCCTCAAACATTTCTCCCACCTCAGCCTCCATCATCCCTGGGATTATAGGTGTGTGCCACCACACCTGGCTCAAAAACATGTTTTAGGCTGGGTGTGGTGGCTCATGTCTGTAATCCCAGCCCTTTGGAAAATCAAGTTGAGAGGATCATTTGAGGCCAGGAGTTCAAGACCAGCCTAGTCAACAGAGTAAGACCCCTGTCTCTACAATTAAAAAAAAAAAACAGTATTTACTTTGGGGGATTGGGACTTTGAAAATTTTCTCCCTTTAGTTTCCTGAATTTTAACATTTTTATTTATTTATAAAAAGTTACATACAGGAAAAATAAATGTGATCAAAAATATTTGTTATGATCATCCCATACCTTGAGCTACGTCTTTAAGGAGCAATTAAGAATTTTGTTTTCACTCCTAAAATAACACATTAGCTTGTGTGTATAGATTGATGTGAAAGGAGTGGCTTGCAGTTCATCTTATATTTGACTCTAATTTTATGGCCATGGATTAGCCCTGTGATAGTGAATACAGGCTAGATTTACAATACCAGTGTCTTTTCTCTCCCAGGAAAGCATATTAAACTGCCACTCTAGTGCCCGGGCGACCTCAACCTGAAAGCTCAGTAGCCTTTAGATCTACCCTCAAATATGAAAAAATAAACAGCAAGCAACAACAAAACACAGAACAAGAAGAGAAGGAATGTTTTGTTGCAATTTCAAATATGTACTATCAGCTTGCTTTCTTTGAGCCATGTTCTTGACCAGAAATCCTAGGAGTGACTAACTTATCAGTTGATGGAGGAAAGATATTCAAGGAGAAATCCACACAGACACTGTTAGTCAGTGGCCAGCGCCGAACACACAAAATGATAAGAATGTCAATGTTTAAAAGGACTGGGACTTTTTGAAACAGAGAAGTGTATGGACTTTGTCAATGTGATGTTTTAACGAGGAGATAGATGCCACCATTTTGCTTTGCCAAACGTTTTTCTTTTCTAGGGGCAGGGATATTTGTTTCTGAGGATACTAATTATACCTCAAGTTGCAGTCAAGAAAAATTTTTTCCTAGAATACTGTTGCTATCACAACTGGGCTCAGAATTGGATATTTTTGTAAAACAATAATACTGGAAGTATTTTACTATCACATAAAAATATTAATAATTCGAGCTTTCCTAAACTTCCAACTTGTAAAGAAAAATCATTCAGATAATTTAACAAATGACATAGGAGTGTTCAAAGTGAAATTTCTCTCCTCTACAATAGTAGGGTTTTCTCAACACAATAAGTCATTACCAATATAAAAGAATCAATTTGTATTTTACCTTTTAAGTTAAACATAATATATAGCATGATTCAGTCCCAGAAACGTGTTCTGATGTAGATAAATCTGCTCATAGTAACTTCACAAATGTTCCTTTGACTTTCAATTTATTATTTCAACTGTCTCTGGTGAGGGCATTTCATATGCTTATAAATCTCTTCAGTTTCTTTTTGTGTTTTAGTGCTTCATGTTAATGGACTCCGTAACTGTTACATAAAACACATCTATCAGCAAAGGTTTAGGAACAAACATTTATATCAAGACTGTTTAAAAGTTGGCAGCCTTGGTGAATAGTAAATAACAGTGAATAGGACAGAACATAAATACACAGATCAATTTAATAACAGATTGTCTCCAAAGAATTAGAATCAGGGTTGCCTGAACTGTCAAGGAAGACACATCTAGCTCTCAGATCAATGCAGCATGAAGTAGGAATCATCAGGGTTTTACAGCATGAGATTTTTGTTCTTTTGCATAATTAAATTTTCCTTAATTTTTGGAATATAATCAATGTGTAATCAATCTCCTATTTCACCAGTTGCAAGAGCCATATTTACTCGCTCTCTAATTCTCGTCACTTCCTAATTATCATGCTCCAGTGCAACCGTGCTTCCATGTTCTCTAAATTAACCATTTTTGACCAGTTAAGTTAGATATTTGCGAAATCTCCATCACACCTGAACTTCACAGATGCAGACACATTGAGGTTTTCGATGAACTTCAACTCCTCAGTTTTATCAGTTTCCAACAATACCTCCCTCTCAGGATTATAGAGGATATTGTATACAAGATGCCTTGCTTAGTATTTCCCTTCTGCAATCTTTCTCCGTGGGCTGAACCCGTTCCTTTACATAGTTTTTAAACCCTTCTCATGTACACATCCTACCTTTGAAATTCCTTGAGGGCATCTTCGGTTTTGTACCCCAGTGCCCAGCCTGGGTAAGTATCAATGCTGCTGCTTCTCTTCTGGCTGATTGCTGAAGGAGCTCAGGGAGGGTGAGAACAGAGTATCTTAATGATACCTGTCATTAACAGTGCTAGTTGGTTTTGTCCAGGTTGGCAAATAAAAGCAAGATTCGTTTTTAATCCCTTAAAGATTTTGTCACTGAAAGTTTGGCAGGGGCAGGTAGTAAAGGAGCAGAACATTTGCCTAAATGATTAGCTCCAGAAAAAGATGCTAGGCACATTAAAGACAAGAACAGTATGAGAGCCCCAGTAACTTCAGCCCTGATCTCGGGTTCTAGCTAGGAGACCCTAGTGCCTCCTGGATGATCTCAGGTCACTGTACATTTCCCTCATTCTGACATTTAAAGGAAATTTCCCAAGCAGAATTCATCATTCAAATAAATAGCTAGTAATTAACAAGGGTTTAGGCATTTACTTGCTAAAAGTGAATGTAATTTAACAAAGGCATTTGTGCCAGTTCCGTCTTAGTTTGAGAGGAAGGTAATATTTGACTTAACTAAGATGTTATTTACATAAATGAGGGAAGAAATTGATATAGCGGACAAAAAATAAATAAAGAGTTTTATAAAAGACATTGACATGCAGCTTTGAGAGCCACATTTATTTTACAAGTAGCAGAAATCTAAAACTTGCTTCTAATAAGCTAGGGGGAAAACACTAAATGTGACAAAACTGTACCCTTTGGTACTCATAAATGATTAATAAATGAAACACAAACAGTCTGTGATGGATCAAAACTACAACAAAAGAAGCAAGCTACAAAAATGTTATGCTGCCATTGTTTATTTTAGTATTACAAAAGATAACTGCTAGCAGATTAGCTAATCTTCTTATAATTCATCCATGTACTGTTTGGATTTCATGTCATGGTCTTACATTTTATTTATAATTTTAATTGTACAGTTTTACAGTATATTACTTCAAATGTCTTGTGCATGTAAAAGACAGTATAGAGAAATATGCATAAATGAAAGTAATTGGGCCAGGCGCAGTGGCTCACGCCTGTAATCCCACACTTTGGGAGGCTGAAGCGGGTGAATCACCTGAGGTCAGACATTCAAGATCAGCCTGGCCAACATGGCGAAACCCCGTCTCTACTAAAAATACAAAAATTAGCCCAGTGTGGTGGGAGGCACCTGTAATCGCAGCTACTTGGGAGGCTGAGTCAGGAGAATCACTTGAACCTGGGAGGCAGAGATTGAAGTGAGCTGAGATCTGCCACTGCACTCCAGGCCTCCAGGCATGGGGTGACAGAGTGAGACTCCGTCTCCAAAAAAAAAAAAAAAAAAAAAAAAGAAAAGAAAGTAATTGTACGAGGGTAGTGAGATTGATTATAATTGACTTTTCAAGAGTTAATGACTGGGAATTTTCTAAACTTGGTAAAGAGTCAGAAATCCTGAGTCCCAAGTAGGATAAGTAAAAAGAAATCTACATTTAAGCAAATTCTAATAAAACTGCTTTAAAATCAAAATATAGAGAGATAAATGTTAAAATCATTCAGATTTTAAAAAACAAATCACTTTCAAAGGAGCAACAATTAGACTAATAGTGGATTTTCCAACAGAAATAATGGAAGCTAGAAGTCAAAGGAAGTAACATATTGATACTACAGAAATAAAATAGTTTTATACTGGGCAAAAATATCCTTCAGGAATAAAGTCAAGTAAAGACATTTTCAGGCAAATAAAAATAAAATAATTTGTTGCCAGCAGACTAGCAGTTAAGGAAATACCAAATGTACTTCTTCAGGCAGAAAGAAAATGGCCACATAAAGTCTGAAATGCAAGAAGTAATGAAGAGCAATGAAAATGTAAATATGTGGATATATCTAAGTGTATATAACTTTATTAAACAATAATAATTGTGTCATGGGGTAAAATAAAATACATGACAACAAAGGCATACAATTCTTAAGAAGGGAAAAGGAGGTAAGTGTCCTGAGCTTTTTGCATTACCCAGAGAGTAAAGGTGACAAGTAATGGTAGGCTTTAAGGAATCAAGAATATATACTGTAATCTCTAGTATAACTACTGAAAGAATAATAAAAGAACATATAATGGACCAATCCAGTAGACGGAGAATTAATATCAGACTTTAAGGCAAAACACATTATTAGAAATAAAGAATGATACTACATAATGATAAGATAATTTAATTAATCAAAAGATAATTTTAGATGTGTTTGCATTCAATAGGGTCTCAAAAATATATAAAGAAACATATAAAGAAAAAATTTACAGACCTACAAGGAGAAATAAACAAACTAGAGTCAATGATGAAATTGATTTTTAACACACTTCTCTCAGTAACTCTTATAACAAGCAGATAAAAGTAAGGATAGAGATATGAATTGATCTAATGAACACATATGTAGAATACTATATCTAACGAGGGCAGAATCAAATAAATTGTTCAGATCCTATGTGATAATGCAAGTCTCTACATATTTTAAAAGAATGAAATAATACAGAATATGTTCTCTGACCACAATACAACTAAGTTAGAAATCACTAACAAAAGGATTTTTTAAAAATCATGTTTGGAAATAAAGTACTATACCTTTATATAACACATGGGTCAAAAAAGAAATAAAAATATAAGTTAGAAATTATTTTCAAAGAATAATGAAAATATGACATATCAAAACGTTCAAGAAGTGCAAGGGGAACTTTATCATTTTAACTGTATACAGAGTACTATATAAAAAAAGGAAGGGCTTTAAAAATTGATGAGTTAAGAGTCTATCCAAGAAGACAGAAAAATAACAGTAAATTAAACTCAAAGAAAGCAGAGAGAAGGAAATAATAAAGTTAGAACATAAATTAATAAGATAAAATATATTGGATTCATCAGCTTCCTTGGTGAAACTGTTCAAGGAAAACAAGAAAAGAAACAACCAATGTCAGGAATGAAAAAGAAGACATTACTACAGGTCCCGCAGACCTACAAAATCATTAAAAAATGTTTTAAACAACTTTATAAAACAATATTTTAAAATATAAATAAAATGGATATATTCCTTGAAAAATACTTCAAGTAAAGGAACAGAATAGAGAATTTGAATAATCTCCAACTATTTTAAAAGTTAAATATATAATTTAGAATGTTACAATAAAGAAAACTCCAGGCTCAGATGGCTTCTAAGAAACATTCAAGGAAGAAATGGTAATCTTACACAAACCCTTTAAGAGTAGGGGAAAAACAGCTACCATTTGCCAACTCATATTAAGAGGCCAGAACAACTCTAATACAAAAGCTGAGAGGAAACTCCAATAAAGGAAAATTTCAGGCTAGTCTCATTCAAGAATTTAGATGCAAATATCCTGAAAATAAGATTAGCAGATTTACCCACTAACACTGAAATGACATGTGGGTGACGAACTCAGTCTCAGCTGGACAGCCAGAGCCACATTTTACCCACTCTTTTCTTCCTGAACTTCAGAAGATAGTCTATATTCAGTTTTTGGCAACTTTGTTAATAAACTGATATTGCCAAACCACATCTAGTAATATATAAAAAGGATAATCCATGTTGGACACATTCCAGAATGTAAGCTTGGGTTAAGATTTGAAAATCAATGCAATTCATCACATTAACAGAGTAAGAGAATCACATAATTATTTCAATTGATTTCAATAGATGATGTTAATAAAATTTAAATCAAATATATGCTAAAAACTCTTAGCAAACAAGGACTAGAAAGGAATTTTCTGAATCTGAAAAAAGATATCCCCCAAAAGGACCTTCAGCAAATATCATGCCTAATGGTGAAACACTGAAGCTTTCCCTCTGACACTGGGACCAAGACAAGGTGTATGAGCCCCCTAGGGCTGCTGTAACAAAGTGCCACAAACTGGGTGACTTCAAACAAGAGAAATGCATTGTCTCACAGTTCTGGAAACTAGCAGCTGAGATCAAGGTGTTGGCAAGGCCATGCTGTCTTTGAAGGCTCTAGGGGCAAATCCTTCCTTGCCTCTTCCTAGCTTCTGGGGGTTGCCAGCAATCTTTGGCATCCCTTGTCTTGTAGATACAGCACTCCAATCTCTGCCTCCATCCTCATATGGTGTTCTCTGTGCGTGTGTCTGTGTCTGTTCCCTTTTTATGAGGACACAAGTCATATTAGAGTAGGGCAAACCCTACTCCAGTATGATTTCATCTTAACTTGATTACGTCTGCAAAGGCAGTCCAAATAAGGTCACATTCACAGATACCAAGGTTTAGGACTTCAATATATCTTTTTGGAGGATAATTCAGTCTACAATACAAGGACTCCCACTGTTGCCACTTCCTTTTGTACTGCAGATCCCAGCCAGTGTAAAAAGGCCAAAAAAGAAATACAAAATGTAAAGATTAGAAAAGAAGAAATAAAACTGTCATTATTCATGGATGACATAATTGTCTATGGAGAAAATCCTAAACAATTCACAGATAAATTATTAGAATATGTTTAACAAGGTTGGTATATACAAAGTTAATATATAAATTAATTTTACTACAATACATGACAATAGCATAAAAAAACACTTAGAAATCAAACTAATAAAATACGTGTAAGACCTCTGGGCAGAAAGCTATAAAATCTTATTGAGAGAAACCAAAGAAGACTTAAATATGCTATGTTCATGAATTAGAAGACTCAATATTGTAAATTTGCCAAGTCTTAAATGGTCTACAGATGCAGTGCAATCCCCATCAAAATCTCAGTGTGTGGAAACTGACAGGCTGATTCTCAAGTTATATGGACATGGAAAAGCTCAAGAACAGCCAAGAATTTGTTGAACAAAGCTAAGAGGGTATGTATTACTGAATATGAAGAGTTATTATAAAGCTATTTTAATGAAGACAATGTAGTATTGGCACAAAGACAGACAAATAGGCCAATGGGACAGATAGGGTGCCCACAAACACACCTATGCATACATGGGCACTTGCTCTGTGACAGAAGAACAGTATGGAGCGGTGAGTTAAAGGGGAGAATTTTCAATAAACTGTACTGAAATAAATGAATATTCTTATGAAAAAAATGAATTTGCTTCCTACTTTGTATTAGCCACCAAAATAGTTATATGCAAAAATATAGATGAATTTCACAAAAATTTAAGCAAAAAGAAATACATACGGTAATACCCTATTCAAATAAAATTAAAACAAAATTAAACTATAGTACAAGAAAAGTCAGGATTGCAGTTAATTTGGGCAGAAAAAAGTGTTTGTAACTGGCAGAGGGTATAAGAGGAGTTTCTAGGGAGCTGGGAAAGATTTCATTTCTTTGCCTAGAGGGTGAGATGGTGGTAGCATAAAAAGTAGTTGGACACATTCATTCATTCAACAAATAGTTATTGAGAAATCACTATATATCAGGCATTGCACTAGATCTGGGTCATCAAAGGGGAATAAATATAGGCCTGATCCCTGCCCTGGCCCTGCTTACTTCTGATAGCAGACAGACAAAAACAATTAATGAACACAGATAAATATATACAATCACCTCACAGTCACCTCGTAGGGTAAGTGCTCTGAGAGATACCCTTGTCTTGCTACACAAGGGGGACTCTTTCCTTATTGGGGGTGGGGATGAAGAGGAAAGCCATTAGGTCTTTCACTGGACTGAATCATAAAAATAGCTCAGAATTGCATTTCTCCTTTTTCTCACCCCAAAGAAGTAGTGGTTACTCCTTTTATCTCTAATGGTTCCAATGTCATTTTAGATCTACACTTAGGTACACCTAGGAATCCCATCTGACATTTAGAAATTCCATCTCTTAATCCGAGGAAAATCTTGGCTTGAAAGTAATGGCACCAGCCCCTTAAAATGGCACCTATGTGCGAATACCACTAATTTTTAGTTAATTTTAGGGCTGTTACTCTAAAACAAAAAAGTTCTTTTGAAATTCTAATTCAAAAAGCAATGAGTTTTAAAATAACCCTTTCCATGTTATAAAATACTTATATGCTCATTGTAGAACATCTGGGAAATCAGAAAACTGTAAAAAAAATTTTTTTAAACCCTCAAAAATCCATAAGTCTATCAATAGCTATCAATTCTATCTATAGCTACTGTAAACGTTGTGGTACATCTCTTTCAATATTTAAGTGCCTTGATATATTTATTTTCACGGTTGAGATCAGAATTTGTGGTTTTGCAACCCGAATTTTCCATTTAAAAATATAATAAGAACTTACTTCCCCAGTCATTAATCTTCCTAAACATAATTCTTAAGTTTGTAAAAAATCCATCCTACAGATACACCTAAAAGTCAGTTTATTTACTTTGTTTCCCCAGGAAAGAATCCTACATGACCATGGTTCTGGGCCTGTGTAAGTGCTGCCTTGTGAACAGTGTAGATAAGATCACAGAATCATCCTCCAAATAAAGTACTTAAAGCCAATGTAAAAGTTTTTCGAAGGCAAAGGGGCACTGTGAATCCAGCATTTTCCAGTGTTCCCTAGACGTGAATCATCTCAAAGAGAGGCCATTATTCGAGTGCAACAGGGCTCCACGCCTCCAGCGATGTCAAAGTTCTGCTAAGCGTCCAAAACCTAGCAAAAGGTTCCAATGGGCCATTGGAACTCGGCGGCCGCGGCGGAGGCTGCTCCCAAGGCGGCAGCAATCACACCGGGACCGGCTGCAGAGTTCCCAGTCCCGCGGAGCGCTAGCTGCCGGGCGGACGCGGAAGCCCGAGAGTCCTGGTCTTCCCGTCCAAGTTTAATCCGCGCCTACGCGGTAAATTCCTGGAGGTGCTCCCAGCCTAGCCCGCTGCGCCCGGCTCCGCGCCTGGGCAACCCGGGCTCCCTCCCGTCCCTGGCGCCCTCCGCACCCGCCTAAGGCGCGGCGGTCGAGCCCTGGCTGCGCCCTGTGGGCGCGCTCCTCCGAATCCCAAGTTCGGGTCGCGAGTCTGAACTTGGGAGGAACGCGCCCCGGGTCCCCGCCCTTCCCGGACTGCCCGATCCCCATCCCCCGCAACCGGGAGCGCGCAGGCGCAGCCGGCCGGCAGTCCCGTCAGCTGTCCCAGAGCCTGTGTCGCGCCCGTGCCGGTAGCGCCCGTGCCGGTAGCGCCGCTGCCACCGCTCACCATGGGCCCGGGTCCTCGGCTGCTGCTACCTCTCGTGCTTTGCGTGGGGCTCGGCGCACTTGTGTTTTCTTCGGGGGCCGAGGGCTTCCGCAAGCGAGGCCCCTCGGTGACGGCCAAGGTGACCGAGAGCGGCGGGCTGCAACTTCCCCTGTTGCGGGCGGGGCCCTGGGGGCGCTTTGGATACTGGGACCTCGGTGTCAGGGCGGGCGAGGTGGAGGCTTCCCGGGCGCAGGGGGACTGGAGGCGGCCGCGGGACTGGGTGGGAGGGGGCTGCTCGCGTGCTGGGAGGCCGGCGCTCCGGGGGAGACCCTGGGGGAGCTGGGCTGAGGCCAGCCTACCTCCGCCGCAGTCTGCTTGGACTTCTTGTCCCGGGTCGGTAGTCCGAGGTGACCAGCCTGGGGGTAGGAGAGGCTTCCGGAACCGGCGGGCCCGTTCTCCAGGAAAGAGACTGCCCAAGTACTTCCTTCAGCGTGGCCTGGGCTCGGGAGCAGAACGAGAGGAATGCGGGGAGGGGGGCGGGACCCGCACAGGAGAGGCGCTCGGAGCCCAGGGCTTGCAGCCGCCCGCCCGCTGCGTGGTCTCCACGCTGGCCGCGGTGGCTTCAGGCAGGCATTAAAGCGCCTGGTTCAGATGAGAGACTACCCTCCGCCTCTTTTGGGGAACCGTCGTCCTTCCCGGGAAGGGGAGGTGCGCCTTCAACTTCGGCGGGCGGGCGGCCCCTGCTGTGGGCTACGCGAGGCCGGGCGAAGGCGGCACCTGTAGACCTGGGGCAGCCTCCACTGCGGGGAAAGGGGGCGGGGGGCTGCCAGAAAGTGCGTCTTTAAGGCTTCCTCGTACTTAACTCCGCTTCAGTTCTTTTTTCAGCGTATTTAACCAAGGGTAGACGATAATGGGAGAATGCAGGGAGAGGGAGGGGATAATTTGGTGCCCATGATCACCACTTCTAGAAAACCCACTGGCAATAGTGTCTTCGAAGCTGAAGCTGGAGGGGGCGGGCTGCAGCTGAAAGTGGTCTTCATCAGTCTGGGGTTTGTCAATGGAAACGATACTAATCAACGAGTAGAATGCTTACATCCTCGACCGCAGACGCCACCTGAGGACGGGGAGGACTAGGGGGTGGGGAGGAGGAGGTCCAGCTCAGCATCTGATGTCGCAGAAAGGCCGTGCCACGTTGTGGGCGGGGCTGATAAACAGCCTGATGGTTTCGAGAAGCTCTGATCTTACTCCCAGCCTCTTGATCTTGTAGGCATGTCTAACTTTGGGAAATGGTTTGTGCAAGGCCACAGAGCTGAACGGGGTCTCTTGGGATAAAGCCATAAACATAAAATTCGCACAATTATGAAATGTTGGAGGAAATAAACTGTAATATACTTTGGGTGACATTTAAAAATAGCTGAAAAATGAGAAAAACCAGCGCAGAGAAGACTAAGGAGGCAAAGGGAACTGCATATGCATAGGTCCTCAAACAGGAAAGCCCTCCCTGCATTCAGAGGATGTGGAGAGGACGGAATGGCTTCAGCACAGAATGAGAGGTGACTTGAGATGAGGTTGGAGGGGTGAGCAGCAGCGGAATCACACAGGGCCTTAGAGGCTGCAGGTAGGCATGCGGGTATTGAGGCAATTCTTAAAATTTGAAGTGTTATTCTGCAGTCAGAGCCACTGAAGGGTTTTAAGCATAAGAATGGCATGATCTCAATATATACTCGAGAAATTTATGTGGTCACTCAGTGGAGAGTGAAATGGGAGGTCATTCAGGGCACCATGCCAGAGTCCAGATGGTGGCTTGGATTAGGGTGGTAATCATTGAAATGGGGAGCAAGGGAAGGACTTGAAATAGATTTTGGAGATATAACTAACAGGAGTTGCTGACGGTTTAGAAAGGGGGCGAGGGAGAGGGAATAGGATTGCCAAATAAAATACAGGATGCCCAGTTAGATGTGAATATCAGATTAACAATGAATAAATGTTTTTAGTGTAAGTACGTCCCCTGCAATATTTGGGAACAGGTTTCACCTGGGAAACTTCTTAAACTTACTGATGCAGTGACCCACCCCAGAGCAAGTCAATCACAATCTGTATGGGTGGGGCTCAGTATCCTATCTTTTAGAAGCTTTTGGTGATTCTGATGTGCAGGCAGTGTGGGCGGGGAACCACTGGAAGATGGAGCCAAGAGAGGAGGAAGCTGGTGGCTGCAGGAGGGGAAGGGTTTGAGCATCCTAAACCCTTGTCTGTGACACTGTCACTGAGGGAGAGTTTGCATGCACCCTACTCTCAGAATTGTTACTTAACATGTCTTTTTTCCCCCTACCAAATTTGTCATTAAGTTTTTCTAAAAGCTGATTGTGTAGGTGCGTCTTAAACAGATTCTGCTCTGTTAAATTACTTTTTCATGAACTTGTAAAGACAACTAAATCTATTGGAAAATGACGTTAAAAATAATTTCTCTGAGTGCAGACAAGTACATTAATTGGCCATTGCTCTAGTGTATTGTTTTCCCCAGCAGTGTTTTTGTTTACCTCTGATTTCATTTAAAAATAGGAATCTGTAAATAAGAGAGGTGTGAGGTGCTATTCTGCCCACATGGCCCATTAGTGGCACTAACTTGGTCCACAGATCCTGCTGCTGGGCCAGCCTGGCAGCTTCCTGCCCCAGCCATAGAGGCTCAGGTGGGGGCTCTGGCTCATTGGGCTCCAAATCCACAGAATTACATTTGCTGACCTATATTTCTGAACCAATGCCATGGGATCTGTGCAGGATCCGGCATCGGGAGTGTATGAAATAATGCCACCATCCTTCCAGCTGCACACATATTACAGCTTGCAAGCACATTAGCATGTAGTGGCCAGGAGGCTGTGGCTAGATGGCCTTAGACAAGTTATCTAATGTCCACAGCTCAGTTTCCTCCTTTGTCAAATGGAGATAGAAATCATCCCTACCTGGGAGGGCTTTGCACATTAGATGTGGTAAAGCAGATGTCTTAGTCCATTTATGTTGCTATAAAAGAATACTTGAGGCTGGGCAATTTATGAAGAAAAAAGGTTTATTTAGCTCACGGCTCTGCTATGAGCTGTAAGATTCAAGACTGGGCATCTGGTGACAGCCTCAGGCTGCTTCCAGTCACGGCGGCGGAAGGTGATAGGGAGCAGGCAGGTGCAGATCACGTGGAGAGAGAGGAAGCTGAAGGGGGTGGTGCCAGCTTCCTTTTAAAACCAGTTCTCATGGGAACTAACAAAGTGAGAACCCATTCACTACTGAGATGGCACCAAGCCATTCATGAGGGATCTACACCCATGACTCAAACACCTCGCATTAGGCCCCACCTCCAACATTAGGATCAAATATCCAAACCATAGCAGCAGGTAAAGCACATAGTCCATAGTCCCTGATTTCAGAAGTCACTTGTTAGTGTTATTTGTGTTTATCTTCTTAATCCTACTGTGACAGAGCAGACCTGAAAGGAATCATCATTTATTTTACAGATGAAGAAAGGGAGTTCAGAGTTTAATTAACTTGCTGAAGTTTCCATGGCCATTGAGTGGTGGAGCTGCATTTGAGAACAGTTTCTTCCACATCGCAGCTCATGTACTGGGTGTGTTCCCTAGTTACTTTGGAAATGGAATCAGGATTAATTCCACAGGGGTTTGGGTCAGGCTGTGTAAGTGCCTCCTCCCTCTTCCTCTACCTCCTCCCATCTCCAATGCCGAGTAATTTTCAAATGACTTTCAAGGGCAGCCTTGAGGGAAAAAACAAGTGACTGAGGTGCTCACCCCAAAGTCTAGCATGGAATCCAATATCACCTTTCCCAGGAAGCCCACACTTATCTCCACAGATAATCACCACCCCTTACCATGACACCTTATCTGTACTTGTCTTATAAAATCTGACTTCTCATTATATTATAGCATTCATATATGTGTTTTCTGTTGGACTGAAGCTCCTTGAGGGTAGGAGCTTTGTAGCCCCACCCCACCCCTGGCCCAGCACTGGGTTTTGTTCCCAGAGGCACTCAGCAACATCAGAGATGAATCCAGTGGTGAGAGGGTTTAGAGTGAGAGTGTTTGCTGGCAGCTGTCTCACCTCCTGTCTAGGAATGTGTGTGCCCAGGTCCTCCTTGAGTATCATTTGACATTGAATCTTTTAACATTTCTTGACTGCCTCCTCCTGCTGACCTTTAGCTGGCCACTGGGGAACTAAAAACACTGTTTCTACTCCTTAGGGTTTCCCTGGCTCGACCCGGAGAGCCCTATTAACAATAAACCAGTTTAGCTAGAGGCAGCCTTGAAATTCTGGCTCTCACACTCATAGTAGGGAAACCTTGGTAAATCACTTAACCTCCCTAATTCCCACTTTTCTCATTTGTAAATTAGTGATAATAGTTCCTGTCCCACCTTTCCCAGTGTGGTGAGGATGAATTATATAAGATGATGTGGGTTACCCACACTGAGACCACCACTAAGTCATGTTTGCTTCCTTCCCTCTTTCTTCCTGCTCCTCCTCCAGTGTCTGCCCCTTTGTTTAAACGCCTCTCCTGGCTGGGCGCTGTGGCTCATGCCTGTAATCCCAGCACTTTGGGAGGCCAAGATGGGCGGATCACTTACGGTCAGGAGTTCGAGACCAGCCTGGCCAATATGGCGAAACCCCGTCTCTAGTAAAAATACAAAAATTAGCCAGGTGTGGTGGTACACACCTGTAATCCCAGCTACTCTGGAGGCTGAGGCACAAGAGTCACTTGAACCTGGGAGGCAGGGGTTGCAGTGAGCCAAGATTGTGCCACTGCACTCCAGCCTAGACGACAGAATGAGATTCTGTCTCAGTAAATAAGTAAATAAATAAATGCCTTTTCTGTCTCCCTCGTACATTTCCTTCTGCCACCACCCCAGTGCAGGCCATTATGACCTTATTCTTCAACTGGTATAAGAGCCCCAGATTCTCTTTCTCTCCGTTTGAGTAACATTCCCAGAGCCTCGCTTGACCTTATTCTTTGTCTTCTCTCTTTTGCCTAACAAAACTCATGCTTACGTCAGCATCTCTCCTCTGCCTTCTGGAACTGGTGGGCAGCTTCTTTCCTGGCCCCCCACCCACTCTAACCCCTAGTTGTGGTCAGAAGGGCAGCTTTGCTTCTCTGCACACAGGTCACATTTCCTGCCTAGGTGCATTGGTTCCAGAAAGAAGTCTGCCAGGCAAGGCTCACCCCCATCCTTGTTTGGGGAGATGGCTCCCCTCCTCCCAGGCCTGCCTCCCTTCAAGCCTTCCTCCTTAGCCTCACCGTTCCTGCAGGCCTGGGCATACAGTGTTTGGGGGGCATTTGTCACACACTGCCCTGTACTGTGGTTATGGGTTTGCCTATCCTATCTCTTTATTTTAAACTGCCTTAGGACAGGGACTCTCTTATACAGTTTGTGCCCTCACATTGCCTTTTACATAACCTTGCATAAATACTTATTGACAAAATGAGATTGGATTTTATCCTTTCCAGTAGAGTTGGCAAAACCTGCTGTGTGTTCTTATGCTCACTCATGAAGCTGAAGGATATTTCAATTTGGGGAAAAAAATTATAATAATATGTGTGCTAGGCTGTGTGTAAAAATATGTGATTTTTGCTGAAGAGTTATGTTGGGTGACAGGTACTTTTTCTTCATCTGCTCATGCTGCTCTCCCAGATCTTATTCCCTTCCTAAACATTCACAGGCTTTGTTTTCTCTTCTTTATTTTAAAAGTCTGGAAGGCTCTTCTAGTGTCTCGTATGATGTTTCTTTAAGGTTTCATCTCTGGCTTCCGGGTGCTGCTTCGTTATTGCTGGTTATTGAATTTACACCTTGGCTTGCAAATCCCTTTGGAGAAACTGCTTCTCTTGTAAGCCGGCTCTGCACTGACCAGGCCCATGGGTGTGTTGAAGCACCTTCCTATCCCAAGCCATGCTGAATTGCACTCCTTTAATACACTGCCCCTTCTCATGCATTCTATAAAGCTCTTCTATATAAGTAATAATAAAAGTTTTGCTGCTTTGGCCATGTAAAAATTGTAAAATGCCACATGGAACACTAAATATCACATCACCCTGTGACAGATGTACTGATGTATTGGCAGAAGCTCTTGACTTGAACTGAAGCTTGACAGTCTTTACTTACTGATTTTTCTAAACTGTAAGACATCTTTTTTCTTTGACAACCGTTCTTATATTTTTTAAAGCCATCTCTTGAATGTCTTTTTTACCCATTCAAACAGTAAATTGGTTCATATAATCTAAACGCGCTAATAGAATGCCCTTTGACTCTGTGGCCTTTTCAAGCGTTCTATTTCAGAATCATCTTAACACAGTGATTTGTGAAGCAAAATGCATATAATTTTGTTTCAGATGAGACAGTTAAAAACAAGTCCAAGAGAACTTTTATGGTTTTACCTGCAAAAGGTGGATTCACACTCACTCCTGGCTATGTGTCTTCTTTTTCCTGTTGTAAAATGTTGGGTTAGGAAAAGCAAATTCTACTTGGGTAACTTGGGAACAAGAGGACTGAATTCAGTGTCTGAGTTTACAGGGTGACGGCTTTGTCAGCGTGATGACCCACGCTTAATGTTTGCTGTCCTTTGGAAAGCTGGGGACCTGGTGCTTTATTGTGCTTGGACATGAGTGGCAGGCCTTTTGAAGGACTGCTGTGTTTCATCATTTTTGCCATCTCCTGGATGGCAGACATCTATTGAGAACTCATTGCAAATTTAGGACTGTTTGAAATTTAAAAAAATAAATTTTGATGGTTAGCCTGTTTCCTCACAACTTTTTTCTTTTGTCCTGCCAAGATTAGAGAGCATTACTTTCTAAGAGAGCAATATTTTCCATTCTACTCTTCATCCATAAAGCCAGGAAATGGGAAGTAGCAGCAGCGTTTGTCTGGGGTATGGGAAGAGAAGAATTATTGAAGACTTCATTGGCCAACACTGACAGAGTTGAGTCAGCCTTTAAACTCAATACCTGGTACAGTGCCTGGCCCATGGGTGGTGCTTAATAAATGTTTCTTGAAAGAATATTTGTGAGTGAAATGCACCCACACAATAGTTTTAAAGTACCTTTAATTGATGTCATGCTCCTTTACAAAATACTGATGGGCAGGGCTTTTGTATGTGGGTCAATTCTCAGATTTTAATTTTGACTTACCTTGTATTTGTGCTTTTCCACCTTATAACCTTCCACTTTGCCTTTCAACTGCACACAGGTCTTCTTTGATGTGAGGATTGGAGACAAAGATGTTGGCAGAATTGTGATTGGCCTCTTTGGAAAAGTTGTGCCCAAGACAGTGGAAAATTTTGTTGCTCTAGCAACAGGAGAGGTATGTCTCAATTTTATTTCCTTTAAATTGGGTCTTCTTTCTTTGAAGCCAAATATAAAGATGTCATCTGAGAAAATAAGTATTAAATTAGTATGTCAGATGAACCTTACCACATTTGACTTTATTTTCCAATTAAATATGTATTATTTGGGCACTCAGTGCCCTTAGGCTTCTGGAAATTGGGAGAAAATCATCATCAAGTGAAAATATGGTTTGCTCTCTTTTAACTTATTCACATTAATACTCTACTTCCATAACATATTTATTTTTTGGTCAGCTAATGATAAATTTCTCTCAGTAAACCATAGCTGGGATAGAATCAAGTTCTGTAGGCATTTTGTTTAATTTTCTCAGTTTGTCCTTTCTAGATCAACACTGAGTTTATCTTTCAGTATGGCCTCTGTTACTTGTTATTCAACTGAAGTAATCTCTTTAGAAAGGATATGGATATAAAGGAAGCAAGTTTCATCGTGTCATCAAGGATTTCATGATTCAAGGAGGTGACATCACCACTGGAGATGGCACTGGGGGTAACGTCTTTGCATTTTTCCTTTCCCATTTACCAAACCGAAATCTAAGGTTAAGCCAGTATATGAACCCAGTCTGTTGAAATCCAGAGCTAAGGAACACAGTTGTAAAGACGACTGTACCTCTTTGAGAAGGATGGAGTTTTGGGGACTCATCTAGCAGCATCTCGACAGGTATGAGGGAGGCGTCCTTATTTTAAGCAGGATTGTTTTGGTGTTTATTGTCTTTCCGTAATTGAGATGTATTCATTTTGCAGTTATTAAAATACCAGACTACTAGTCAGTAGCCATACAGAAAAATATCTTTCATAGGAAGGAAAAGGTGTGGAACATGAAGCTGCGTTCCCCTGGGATGGCAGCGTGCGGCAGAGGTGGGCGTTGCAGGAGGAAGACGGGCCTCATGCCAGGAGATTGAGACTAGAGTTAGCAGCAGGGTCACAGCGCACTTTCCTCCTTCTTTCAAAATCTTTCATCATATTGACAAAACAGTGAAAAACAAGTCCAAGAGAACTTTTAAGATTTAACCTGCAAAAAAGTGACTCACACTCCTGGCTATGTGTTTTCATTTTTCTGTTCTAAAATGTTGGGTTACAGAAAGTGAGTTCTACTTGGGAAACTTGGGAACAGGAGGACTGAATCCAGTGTCTGAGTTTACAGGGTGGTGGTTTCGTCAGGACCCAAGCTTACTATTTGCTGTCCTTTGGACAAAGCTGGGAACCAATACTTTTTTAAAGTTAAAGCAATAGCTGAGTTGTCAAAATTGTAATAGAAACAAACTCTTACAAACAAAGTTGGAGTTCAATAAAGTAGAGATAGTTAAATTTAGAGAGTTTCAAATCTCCTTCAGCTTATTGTTTCTCATTCAGGATTATAGCTATCCAGCTCCATACACTGTTTTCTCTTAAAAGTTTAGTTCTTTTCTTGAACATACACCATATATGTAACTCCAAATAATTTAAATTTACTTTAGATTTAAGATTTTTAATTCAACAAATACTGGTTTCGGTGGATATTTGTTGTCCATTTTTAAAGCAACAGGCCATTTTCAAGCACTATTTCTAATTTTATGTTTATTGCAATGGTTTGTTTATAACCAAAAATGGCTACTATTAAGTGCTTTGATTTGCCAGGCACTTTGTGAAGATTACTTCTAGTTCTTGCAAGAATGCTGAGGGGTATGGGGATGTAGACTGGAGTGGAGGAAGGCATTTAGGTTGCCCCAGGCAATGGGATTTGCTGAGGACGCTCGTGGATCTCATTGGAAAACCCTGCAGCGCTGGTGCCCGTGCCCTCGGTGCTGGCATCCCACCTTCCTGCCATAGGAATGGTGCTGGCAGGAATGGTGACTGAGCTTCACTCTGCCCTCTTTTCTGCTACCTTTTTTTTCTCACTACCTTCCCTGCCCAGTGTGCATCTTGCATTAAAATTCTCTGAATTTTGGACAGACAATGTTTTGGGCAATTTAAATATAGTGTAGACCCTTCTGTAGGAGCACTCTCCTACAAGGCCACTTCAAGTGTCACTGACCAACCAGTTATAAATTGCTTGGCTTTGATATCCACTTCTGGGCTTTTTTTTTCTTTTGAGACACAGTCTCACTCTGTCACCCAGGCTGGAGTGCAATGGCATGATCTTGGCTCACTACAACCTCTGCCTCCCAGGTTCAAGCGATTCTCCTGCCTCAGACTCCCAAGTAGCTGGGATTGCAGGCGCCCGCCACCATGCCCGGCTGATTTTTTGTATTTTTAGTAGAGATAGGGTTTCACCGTGTTAGCCAGGATGGTCTCAATCTCCTGGCCTTGCGATCTGCCCGCCTCAGCCTCCCAAAGTGCTGGGATTACAGGTGTGAGCCACTGCACCCAGCCTACTTCTGGGTTTTCTAACTGAATCAGAATTTTGAAGTTGGCAACTGATAGATAAGGGGCCCTACAGAAGGGGAGGTGGGCCTGGTAGACCCTTGAGGTATTGGAGGATGGTCAGATCCTTCTTATGGTCTGTGGAGAAAGGTCTTCCACTCTGCCTGCCGCTTTGCTAGAACTCCAGACTTCCTGCCTTGCTTTGGTTCTCCTGTTCAAGGTTGACCACTGGGTGCTCCCAATTGTCATCATCCTCTGTGTCCTGATGGGTCCTGAAGTTGCTGTGACCAACAACTTCCAGATCAGCTGCTATTGCTCTTGGTGCTGAGGCAAGAAAAAGCACCAGCTTTAGAATCAGAAAGTCAGATGTTCAAATTCTGCTCTGCTATTTTCAAGTTTTGTAACCTCTGTTTCCCATTGTAAAATAGGACGGAGAATACCTACTCTTCAGGGTTGTTATGAGAATTCGGTGTGGGTATATATTGAATGCTTGGTGCATCCTGGTTGGGTGCTGAGTAACACCCAATCCTGGATAAGTCACAGGACTGTCCTGAGCTTTGAGCCTCAGGAAACAGGTGCACAGCCACTAGGATGGCTCAAACACCTTTTCATCTGGCTTTAGGATGTTTTCCTGCCCTTCAGTTCCTTCTCACTTCAGAGCGAAGTCATGGACCTGCTTGATCAAGGTTTGGCCCTTGGTATGAGGCCAGAGAGTATCCCACTATCCTGTGCCATATTTAAGGCTTTCTTTGTTCATTTTAGGCCCTAGTGCCCTGTTCCCTTAAGGAGTTAATTTTATTCCCTCCTTCATGTCTGCTTATGTTTGAACATGTCTTCCCCATCCCTACCTCCTATAGGGTTCTAGTAATTGATTCCTCTAAGGCCTTATGTTTCCCTTTGAAGAGCTGACTTTTGGAAGACATCTGTTGACTTTCTTCCTTGTTTTGTCTCAGGTGTGAGCATCTATGGTGAGACATTTCCAGATGAGAACTTCAAGCTGAAGCACTATGGCATTGGGTGGGTCAGCATGGCCAACGCTGGGCCTGACACCAATGGCTCTCAGTTCTTTATCACCTTGACCAAGCCCACCTGGTTGGACGGCAAACATGTGGTGTTTGGAAAAGTCATTGATGGGATGGTAAATTGATACATTTTTTTCCTTTCAAAGCTTTATATTTTTATTGAGAGTACTTTCAGTGATTTATTTTAATCTTAAAATATGCTTGTTAGAGATCCATTATATAGCTGACTGGCCTCTTCAAAGGTGAATAAATTATATATGGTATGGCATTTTAATTCTTAGGGTCATTGGCGCAGCAGCTAGGGACTTGACAAGGAGAAATTAAGGACTAAGTTGATTTATTTTACTACTTGATATAAATGTAAAGCCCTTTTTAATGGAACCAATATATACCAGGACCCCATATATACACACAATGGAATATTATTCAGTCTCCAAAAGGAAAGACATTCTGAGGACATTATGCTAAGTGAAATAAACCAGTCGTAGGAAGACAAATACTATATGACTTCATTTATATAAAATATCTAAAGTGGTCACATTGATAGAAACAGAAAGTAGAATGGTAGTTGCCAGGGGCTGGGGATGGGGTAAATGGGATGTTGTATTTAATAGGTATAAGGTTTTAGTTTTGCAAGATGAAAAATTCTGGCTATTGGTTGCACAACAATGTAAATATACTCAACACCACTGCACTGTGCACTTACAAATGAGTAAGATGGCACATTTTATGTTATGTATTTCTTACCAGAATTAAAAATAAAATAGTTGAAAACAAAGCAAAACAAAACCACCCCAGAATCCCATCTGGTTCAGCTCAGACACCTAGGTCACATTCACAGAGACACGCATCCAAAAATTATTGAAGAGAATTTGAATCTATACTGTTGGGTCTCAAAGAATGTCAAAGCAGTCCAATTCACAACCCGTAGGAACACTTCTTAAAACCCTCATTCCCTTTCTTTCTCAATATTTCTGCCTTACAGGTGCCTGAAGTAGCTCTCTCAGCTCCTAAACTGGTTACTGTAAAGTCTGTCCATCCCAGGCCTGGACCATCCTTGTCTCCCTTTCCCTCTTCCATGTTTCATTTTATTTTGTTTTCATGTGACTTATTCTACCTCCCTCATCCAAATGTAAATAAACCAGTCTTGCTCGCTGCAGTTCCTTCACAACTACCTGTTTTTCTGATTCTATCTAACACAAGTTTGGGAACTGAGCTAGTAGCCTCAATGCTGTCTGGGAAACCCACCAAAAACCTACTTTCTTGTTCCTTGCCCAGTCCTAACCTACTTCAGTGTGAAATACTGTACTGTTGGGCTTGTGAAGCCTTCCAGGGTAGAGAAAGGTGCCTTCACAGCACTGTGGGGGGCTGGGGTTACATTAGTATTGGGCTCAACTTATAGGTTAATGGCTTGGGTCACCTTTAAAATGGACAAACCTAGAACTAGGTCCATTTCTGAATCTGCTTTCTGGCCCATACATGTGAAGACCTATTACAGGATGGAGCTGAAACTGACTCAGACTTCATGTTAACTGTTACGCTGGCTTATACCAGGTGAATGGAAATGCCTTTTACTAGAGCTGGGTGTTTACAAAAATATCTACTTTTTTAGAATATAAAATGCTTATTTAAAAAGAAGTGAGGAAATATACCAGTGTGGTCTCTGAGTAAGAAGGTCATGGGTGAATTTTATTATGTGATGTATATATTTTCTAAATATTCTAAGTTTTCCACAGTTAGCGTGCATAAAAAACGCTTAGTAGTCATAAAAAACCAACCAACCAACCAACCTTATTTCCTTCCCACTTGGGCTTTTGGAGTTGGCTTTGGTTTAACCTTTGGATTGCTATAGCTGCTGGTCAGAATTAAACCATGTGTCTACTTTTCTCTCACCAGACAGTGGTGCACTCCATAGAGCTCCAAGCAACTGATGGGCATGACCGTCCACTCACCAACTGCTCGATCATCAACAGTGGCAAGATAGACGTGAAAACGCCTTTTGTGGTTGAGATCGCTGATTGGTGACACAACTGGCAGAAAACAAGGATATGCTTTGGCAGGGGTGTGTGTGTGTGTGTGTGTGTGTGTGTGTTGTGTTGTCTTTCAATTATTTGCTTTTTTTTTTTTACTTTCTTTTTGTATTCTATCCCAGATCACAGGAAAGTTATAAAAATCAAACCGTCACCCTTTAGTTTGCTTGAACTTTAGTAAACCACCTGCTTAGGGACTTTGAACTTAAATATATCCCCTTCCTCAAGTGGTGCTATTTTAAAACTAAAAAAAACTTTGAATTGGCTATTTTTTTAATGCAATATTTTTTTTCTGAATTCATTATGATCCCCATATTGGGTAATGCTGAACATTTATCTGAAACAGATGAGGATATTATTATTTTGTATCCAAACAGAAATTCAGATAAAGGGAAATTTGACTAGTGTAATCTGAGATATGTCATAGGGATTTCTTTCTGACAAAAGGGTGCTTTGCTGTTCTTTATATTAAATACTTTTAGATCAACTCTTTTTGCAAGACTTTTTAAAAATGTAAAGTTCTTTAAGAAATATACAAAAATACACACACTCTAGCATTAACAGTGAACAGATTAGAAAGATTTTATAAATCAAACTACAAACATAATTAGATAACTCAGAAATTATGCCCATCCACATCTCATATACTTAAGGTGATTATTTACTTATTGTTATTCAATGTAACATTTTTAGAAAGTTATCTTTAGCCCAGTTGCAATAGGAATATTTTTTGTTACTTACATAAGGGGATTAAGACTCAGGCTATAAGGCCTGGGTATGGTGGCTCATGCCTATAATCCCAGCACTTTGGGAGGCTGAGACAAGAGAATTGCTTGAGCCCAGGAGTTTGAGACCAGCCTGGGCAACATAGTGAGACCCTGTCTCTAACAAAACTAAAATTAGCTGGTCATGTTGGTGCACATCTGTAGTTCCAGTTACTCAGGAGGCTGAGGTGGGAGGATTGCTTGAGTCCAGGAGATCAAGGCTGTAGTGAGCTGTGATTGCCCCAGGCAACAGAGTGAGACCCTGTCTCAAACAGCAACGACAACAACAAAACCCACTCAGGCTATATTTAAACTAGATGAGGCCAGATGTGGTGGCACATGTCTGTGGTCCCAGCTACTGAAGAGGCTGAGGTGGGATGATTACTTAAGCCCAGGAATTCGGGGCTATAGTGAGCTATACTGATGGGGTATCTATACTGTTTGGCATCAATATGGTGGCCACTGGGGAGCATGGTACCACCAGGTTGCCTAAGGAGGGGTGAACTGGCCCAGGTTGGAAACAGAGTGGGTCAAAACTTCTGTGCTGGTCAGTAGTGGGATCATGCCTGTGAATTGCCACTGCACTCCAGTCTGGGCAACATAGCAAGACCCCATCTTAAAAAAAAAAAAAAAACTAATGGGAAAGTGAAATTCTACAGGGGCCTTGTTATAACATACCTGGCTATAATAGAGAGTGCTTGATCTCTGTTCAGATGGGAAGTGTTGTCTGTTAGAAAACAGTGCCATTGCTTCTCCTCCAGGACTCAAGCAGTGAGGATCCATCTCACCGAGTTGTATTCTAAAAAAATTGCCTCAGTGAGAGATGAACTGAGTATTCCTACTGCTGATTTGCAAATTGCTACAACACTCTTGGAGAGCAATTTGTTAATTTTTTTCCAACAAATATTTTTTGAGGGTCTTTGATCTGCCAAGTACCAGTTTGACTTTTGGGGATACAACAATGGACAGAAAAGGGCCTCATGGGGCTTACAGTCTAGTGGGGGAAGACAGAGAATAAACAAGGAAACAAATAAAAAGGGTGATGAGTGCTGTGAAAAAAAAATATGCCCATGTCTGCCAGAGAGGCCGGGAGAGAAGCATCGTCGGAGTGGAAGGCCTCTTGGGCCCCTCTTGGTTCTCTTGGGCCTCTGGAGGGATGGCATTTGTGCTAAGGCCTGAAGGAAGGGTAGGAAGCAGCAAGAAGGGCCTTCCAGGAGGAAGGAAGAGAAAATATGAAGGTCCCAAGATAAAGATGAGTGAATTCCAGGGCAGAAGAGAAAGCCAGTGTGTTAGGGCCTGGTGCAGAAAGGGGAGCGGGATAGGGGCGCGGTCAGAGGTAAGGCTGAGACTGGACCAGTTTGGGCCTGGGTGCCAGGGTGAGTCTTTGGTCATGGTACACGGAAGGGTTATCTGTTTGAAGTTGCGGAGGGGCATGATGTGATGCTCTGCGTCTAAGAATTATTATTTTATCTGCTATAAGGAGAATTTTTGTAGGGCTAAAAGTGGAAGCAGTCCTTATCAGGAAACCCAAACATTTATAACTTTTTGGAATTTCTCACTCCTGGGACTGGCTTTAGAAAGTGATCCAAAATTGTAAGGGAGATCATCAGTGTTTTGGTCAGCCTGGCATTTAGTCCACTTGCTCTGGTGATGGCTGCCCAATTTCTTATTTTTCTTTTGAGAAATCACATCCTTCCCTCACCCATCTCTAGTCCTTAGGGTGGGCTGACCCTACAGATGGGTACACACCTGGCCTGGCAGACTCGTTCATTAACTCACTTGATAAATATTATCAATATTGTAGGGTGGGATAGAGCTGTAAACAAATGGTGTCACCCCTTGTGGTTCTTGTGAAGGTGACAAATTATACTACATGAATATATAACACAACATCAGGGAGCAATAAGTCAGTGAAGTCAGAGAAAGCGAATAGACAGTGAAGGGGTGGTCAGCGGGGACTGAAGGAAGTGAGGGAGCACCAAGCCATGGGGACGGGGGGGGAACTGTGTGGAGGCAGAGAGGATAGGAACAGTGGTCATCAGTGATGGGCAGGCTGGGTGGGCTCAGGAAACAGCAAAGGGGCCAGATGAACAGAGCAGGGGAGGTGCAAGAGGGAGCAGGGCTGTCCTGTTGGCCATCCAGAACATTCCCTTGCCCTGGCTCCAGTGACTGGCTCAGGCCTAGGTGCTGGACCTCAGTCATGTGAATGAGCCATCATTGGACTTCCAGAATGATTGGGAAAGAGCTGCCATCTTTCTGAAAGAATGTAAAGGAACAGGCCTAAGAGCGAAGCCAGCACAGAAGGAAGTGGCCCAGAAGACAGAAAGGTTCCGAAAACAAACATCATTTAGCTGCTGTGTCCAGCTGTGCCCAAAGCTAATCCACACTTAGCTTTTCGCTGCGTAAACTAATACATTTTCTTTTTTCTCAAGCCAAGGCAAACTGATTTCCTTTGACTTGCAACCTAAAAGTCTTCACCAAATATAGCAATATTGAAAATTTTTTATGTGTAAAGATGTGAATTGCAGAATATTTATGGTAGCAAAATACTGGGAGCAACTTCAATGTCCCAAAATGGTTATAAAACACACATCCCATAATAGAATAGTATGCATTCATTAAGACTGATGTTAGAGAACTCAGAGTAACATGAGAAAATGATTGTTTTAAAGAAAAAGCAGAAGTTCTATATGCAGCATGATCTCAATTATGTAAACACATTCTCATAAAGCAAATACAACAAAATGCAAATTCACATAAGTAAATGCAAATGGTGGGATTTTTTAACTATAGTTTTACTTTTTTCAGTTTTTAATTTTTCTCTAGGGTACATTTCTTTTTAATAATCAGAAAAAGAAAACAATTCTCTTTAATTTTAAATAAAGATAACATGGAGGAAAAATTGGAAACAAATGACCTCTTGTACATGCAAAAGTGCTTTACATCACAATGTCCAAGAGCACATAGACACCACTCTCCCCCATGCAGAAGGACATGCGCTTTACGCGATACATGCCATCTAGTTTTTTCACTACTGTGAGCATACCTGACTTCTCTCTAGTAACAAGGCAAAAAGTGCTTCATTTTGGAAGTGCTGAAATTCTGAACCCACTAGTGCACCAGTGGTAAATTATCATGTTACCTGTTATGCCAGATGACCAAGAGCTAAGGACATCCCCCTGCTAAAAGCAGTTTATTTCTTGTACACCAAGGGTCAGGCCTCATACAGAAAACATGAGCAAACTGATGACTATGAAAATAGGAACTGTTACTTTTTAATGTTTTCTGCAAAAGCTTTTGAAATAAATAGTTCACTGTTTTGCAGATCACGTTACTAGAAGGACACATTTATAGTTGTGGGCGGATGTGGAATCAGAGGGAAATTTACACTGGACACCACCACCAAGCCCAAATTATTATAATTTAGTCTTGAATCACTTTAATCAACACTTTAAAATATTTTGGTATTCTTAGCCATAATTTATTTTGTTCTCTTACAAGTGCTCTTTAGCAGTTTTCTGGATCATCAAATAAGAGTTCAGTAAAATTTACTTTTGGGTCAATTAGTTGGAATGACACTTTTGGAATTATCAATTACTTTATTTCTGATGAATTTTGAACAGGACTCACCAACCTCATTTCTTAGTTTAGCCGTTTTGAGTTACATAAAGACAAAAACATGGCAAGGATTTTACAGCAGGAAAATGATTTGTTTTTGTTTTTCAACATTCCTATAATCCAGAGAGCTGAAGAAATCTTTGATCTAGAAAGCTTGGAAATTCAAAGCCCCTCAAGGCACTTCTTTTTTTTTTTTTTCAAATTAAAGAAGAATTAAAAACAGTATTTGTAATGGAAAATTTTGGTGCCATTAAGTACATAATGGCTTTTACTTTAGTCTGTAATTCATCCTGTGGATTTAAGATTTTGGCCAAGAGTAAGTTTTAGGTGTGATATAACATAAGTGCCTCCAAGGTTTGCTAGTGTTACTGACATTCTAGAGTGGTGGAAAAACAACTGGCATTAATGCAGAATTGGAGTGACTAGTCCCAGGAATCAAGTCAGAAAAAAAGACCAACTGACAAATAGAGTTAATACAAAATGAATTTTAAAATCCCACCCTAGGCCAGGCGCGGTGGCTCATGCCTGTAATCCCAGCACTTTGGGAGGCCGAGGCGGGCGGATCACAAGGTCAGGAGTTCGAGACCAGCCTGGCCAATATGGTGAAACCCCATTGCTACTAAAAATACAAAAATTAGCAGGGCATGGTGGCAGGCACCTGTAATCCCAGCTACTTGAGAGGCTAAGGCAGGAGAATTGCTTGAACCCGGGAGGCGGAGGTTGCAGTGAGCCGATATCCCACCACTGCACTCCAGCCTGGGCAACAGAGCGAGACTCTGTGTCAAAGGAAAAAAAAAATTCCCACCCTAGTTAGATTAGGATGCAGAGGACTCACAGATTTGGAGGATTTGGAGGACCCAAATTACCAAAACCCCTTCTATTACACACTTGTAAAGTTTTATTAGCAGTCAGGTACGTTTTCAGGTACGTTTCCACCCCCATTAACTTTTCAGAGCATGTGAGGACTTTCTTCCTGGAGCATGGTGGGCCTTCAAAGCGCTGTTAAAACTACAGCCGCCATTTGTCCGAGGTGGTAACATTATGTCCTGTTATAGATATCCTGGATCTATTTCCAGGATCCAGATATCTCTATTTGAAAATGACCGTTTTTCTTCCCTGGTCTTAAAAGACAAGCCTGCTTCCGGTGCCTCTGCTGGACACCAGGAGCTGCACTCTGACAAACTGTCCAGGGTAAAGGAGGAAGAACTGGTCAGCCTAGGGCACAGAAACTCCAGACTTGATTTAACCGTGTCTGCTTGAAGCATAGCCTCTCTTACAAAGACTTCAGAACTCCTGAATTGGCTCCAAGCCTTGTGTGAGGTGCTCTCTGCTTGCCACTGGCCATCCCTGGGTACTCAATGTGGGGCTCTTTTGGGAAGCCATCTCCAGATGCTTCCTTACTCTGAGCTGTACCTGCTTATGGCCCTGGTGTCTCCCATCTCCTCCCTGGACTGGAAGCTCCTCTCTAGGGCAAGGATTAGATCTCATTCATAATCTACCCCCAGACAGAGTATTTCACACCTAATTAATGTTCAGTAAGTATGTTCAGAATAAATGTATATTAGTCCCTTTTCATGCTGCTGATAAAGACGTACCCAAGACTGGGCAATTTACAAAAGAAAGATGTTTAATGGACTCACAGTTCCATGAGGCTGGGGAGGCCTCACAATCATGGTGGAAGGTTAAAGGCACGTCTCATATGGTAGCAGACAAGGGAAGAGAGCTGATGCAGGGAAACTCTCCCCTACAAAATCATCAGATCTCCTGAGACTCATTCATCACCATGAGAACAGCATGGGAAAGACCCACCCCCTACAATTCAACCACCTCCCACCGGGTCCCTCCCACAACACGAGGGAACTGTGGGAGCCACAAGTCAAGATGAGATTTGGGTGGGGACACAGCCAAACCCTATCAAAATGGCCAAAAAGAATATGCTCAAATTTAGACTATGAGGTACTTATAATCCCTCAAGCCCCTGAAGATTGTCAAACACTGGACTTGCCTTTCAGCTATTTCTACTATTTTTCAAAAGACTTATCTTAAAAAAAAAAAAAAACAACTTTTTATTTTCTGAATTGAGGTTTGAAGGGCATGACAGAAGTAGACTGGCAAAAATGAGGTGAGTGGCAGATGGCAAGAGGAAAGGCCCAGGGGAGGTGCACATGAGCGGAGCAGGTGAGATTTGACCTAAGAGGTGAGAAGGAACCACCCTCCCTAGAGTCTTAGGTACTGTGAAGCATGGCATCCACTCTGCAAACCATTAAATTCGAATCCCCATTTGTTGGGTGATTTATGTGGCACTCCTGGGGCCCCATGAAGCAATTATATACAATCATACCGTTCACC
This sequence comes from Homo sapiens, assembly GCF_000001405.40. Taxonomy (NCBI): domain Eukaryota; kingdom Metazoa; phylum Chordata; class Mammalia; order Primates; family Hominidae; genus Homo; species Homo sapiens. Next base: position 123,017,138 of record NC_000005.10, on the reverse strand, counting down.
ACTTGTGAATTCGGTAGCAGTATGATGTATTGACTGAGGACAAAGTCACAGGTTTGATCTCGGTGCTCTGCTTTGTTCCTGACCAGATTAAACTGGGGAAAAAGTTGGAAATGGTTCTGCAAAAATCTGTCACCATGGTGGGAAAAACCTAGGCTCATTTCCTTCTGCTGATGGGTCTGTGTTGCATCTAGTTTTACTTTCAAACAGCTGCAGATATCCTGGAAATGGGAAGTGGAAGTGTCTGAACTATAGAGGAAACAAGGCCCAGGAAAGGATTTCTCCAGCCACGTGGAGCTCCCTGAGCTTCCTAAAGATAGGAGTCCCACCCTTCCAACCTCCATCCATGAATAGCACCAACATCCACCCAGTTGTTCAAGCCAGAAACCCATCCTTCACTTCTTCCTCCCTTCCCTTTACCTTCCACATCCAAATCCATCAGCGAGTTCACTTATAGCGCTGCAATACATCCTGAATCTCTGTATCTCATCCTCTCCACTGCTGCCACCCTACACCAGGTCACTTCTCATCTACTCAAGTGGCCTCCTAAGTCTCTCTGCTTCAAATCCTGAGCCTGTCCAGTCCACTCTTCACAAGCAACTGCAGTAGTCTTTTAAAAATAACTCAGATAAAGTGTGAGCCATTATATACATTACCCTAAATTGCATAGTTTGCCCACCTCACTAGCCGTAGCCCCTCATTATCCTCCAGGCTCACTGGCTTTCCTTCAGGACCTTGACTGAAGCTCTCTTCTGATTTGGGGCTTTGTAACTTGCTGATGTCCCTGCAACACCCTTCCCCTTCCCTGTTGCTTTTCCTGGCTAATTCCTCCAATATTCTTTAGGTCTCAACTTCAATGTCACTATCTCAGAGAAGGGCCCTTGCCTGCCCAAATCTAGGTATCTTACCTATGTACAAGTAAACCTTCTTATTTTCCTTCATCAACACTTAACACATACTTTATAATTACAATTGTTCAAGTATTTATCCAGCCAATATCACATTATTCTGTAAGTTTCATAAGGGCAAGGATTCTAGTTTACCAAGGTCGAATTTGGAAAGATACCAAGGTTTTAGAAAAACACCATGTTGCCTGCTGTGATGAAGAAAAGTTACTATAACTAGGTATAAAATTCATGTAAAATATGGCAATTTCTAAGTGAATGGTATATTTTTTATTACATTTAAAATACCTTACTTATTTTGTCCAGTCATCCTGTTATTTGCTTGAGTTGCTGAGCACTGGACTGCTGCCTTAAAGGGTGGCTCATGCCTGAAACCCCCACTACAAAGTCACCAGCTTCTTGCAGTAGCCATGCTGGCATTCTGTTTGATTTTGTGCCCGCTCCTTCTAGAAGTATTGAGGTGTTTTTTTTTCTTTTTTAATTAAAAAGAAATTGAACATTTAAAAATGCACAATATGAAAATAATTTGAAGTGCCCTAGGACTGTGGTTCTCAAACTTTATGGTGCATCAGAATCACCCGGAGGGCTAGTCAGCTCTCCAGACTGCCTGATTCAGCAAGTCTGGGGTAGGGCCTGAAAAGTTGTACAGAGTTCTTGGGTGATGCTGATGCTACTGGTTCAGAGTTCACACTTTGAAAACCACTGTCCTGGGGTGTCACGAAGCTATGGTTTATAAACACTGAATTAGCTTAGGTATTTGTAAAAAGAATAGACATTTAAGAGATCATCCAAATATGTAGTTACATAATCCATTAACCACTCTTTGTCAGACTGGTGAGCAAACTATACACAGTCACTGTTTTCAGAACAAGGAGGATGTAACAAATCACACCTGGAATCCGGGAAGATGTTAGCCAATCTTGATTTCAAGGTCATTTACTCAAAACACAGTTCTGAAACCCCTGCTATGGAATATGCAGCCAGCACTGAACTGGGGGCCAGAACATAGGCTGCCATCCACCCACCCATTCAACAGTTGTTCTTCACATTGACTCTGGGCCTCACACTAGAGAAACTGTTCACAAGTCAGACGCTACCCCTGCTCTGATGGAGTTCACATTCTTTGAAGGAGAAAGGCAGTAACAAGTTCACAAATAAACAGGATAACTTCAGATGGTGATAGCAGCTCTGAAGGAAGCAACAATAGAATAATGGTATGGAGTGGGGCCTAGGGTGCTACTTTAGATGGGGTGACTGAAGAAGAACTCTTTGAAAAGATGACATTTAAGCTGATACCTAATGGGTGAGAATGAGTCAGCCTTTGAAGAAGGATGAAAAGGGTTTCAGGCAGAGACTGGCAGGTCCAAAGGTCTTGTGGAGAGACCAAGGTTGGCATGTTCTAGGAACTGAAAGGCCACTGTTGCCAGTAAGCACCTGCAGGAAGAATGTAGAAAGAACTCGGAGAGGGCAGCAGAAATTTAAATGTTTTTCTTAGTGGGAATGGAATCTACTGGAAAACTTTGAGCAAGAGAGTGATATGATCTGATCAACATTTTAAAAAGATCACCCTGGTTTTTGTGTCGAGAATGGACTGCAGTAAAAATGAAATCAAAGAGCCCTGGGAGGAGGCTGCTGTTAGCATGGAGCTTGGTTTAATCAAGTGAGATGGGAAAGCACTTTGCAATTTATAACATTGTGGAAATATTAGCAGCTATTGCAATACTAGTTCTGATTTAAGCGTTCATGTCTGGTTCAGAATTGCACATAGGCCGCACAACTATAATCCCAGCACTTTGGGAGGCTGAGATGGGAGGATTGCTTGAGCCCAGGAGTTCAAGACTAGCCTGGGCAACATGGTGAAACCCTGTCTCTACAAAAAAAAAAAAAAAAAAAAAAAAAAAAATCAGCTGGGCACAGTGGCGTGTGCCTGTAGTCCCAGCTACTTGGTACGCTGAGGTGGGATGATTGCTTGTTTCCAGGAGGTGGAGACTGCAGTAAGCCGAGATCATGCCACTGTACTCCAGCCTGGGCAACAGTGGGAGACCCCATCTCCAAAAAAGCACATAAATACAATTCTATTGTGAGGCTGATTAGGGACTGGATTCGCCCAAGCTTTATTAACTGGTATCCTTGGTCAAGCTATTTCACTTCTCTAAGCTTCCTTTTAATCACTTTAAATTGGAATAAGAATACACACATTTTTAAAGATGTTGTGAAGCTTCAATGAGATGGTCCATTAACATGATTTAGCCCAGTGCCTCTTGGCCCCTAAATTAGTATTCATTCATGTTAGCTACTATTTTTATTAATGTCTCTGATCTTCAATTTCTTCTTCAGTAAAATGGGGCACTAAAAACTACTCTGTAAAGAACTTAACGTGATAAAATATGCAAAACCCTAGTCCAACAATACATGACATCCAGTAGAAACTCAGTACATAGGAGTTCATAGGAGTATCTAAATGACATAGAATATTGTAGCTAGGGACACCAATGTCCTAGCTGTCACTGTAACTACTGTTAAGTGTAATGAAAACAGAAAATGGTTCACATTTTATAGGCCAGATTTACAACCACATTCTTAGGACACAAAATTTTCTTCTAGTAAATTAAGTGTATTCCAATGACTTAACATAGATAATATGCCCTCCTTCCCGTCACACAAAAATAGACCTTCACCCTCATCAGAATCCAGTCTGTCACTATGTATCTGCACAGACAGAAAACATAAACGTTGCAGACATTTTGGTTTTGAGTTACTGCCTGCTACTTCCCTGTGTTTCCGCTGCTGAATTCAAAATCTGTAATTATCATCAAGAATAAAAACCAAAACAAAGCCAAAATGAAAATAATTACTTGCAAGGAGTAGAGAGACTGGAAGAAGACAGCCTTAATCACTGAACTTTATGTCCAATTCATTAAGATGGAAAAACCCTTCCTAGTAAATGGCCAACAATTCCAGAAGGCAAGGATTACATCTGTATTCTTTAAGTAATTAACATAGTGCCTTAATCCAGTGGGGGGACCCAAATGCATTTCACTGAACAACTGAATGAATGAATATACAACTTCCCAATTATGTATAGTGCATCTATTGAGACCACTACCCAAACTTGTCCTTCCTGCTTCTTCAGGGTCTTTTCCTGTGACCTCATATAACAAACACCCCCAAGAGTTGAACAGATGTTCTCTTGGTACTGGATTCTGAAGGAGTTATGAAAGTCAATAAATAATTCAAGATGGCTAAAGGGTGGGTCATAAACCATCTCCATCAATTGGTGGTCCCTAATACAGGTGTGTATCAGAGTGAACTGGGTGGTGTTTCTAACTACCCAAGGACAGGTCTCTGGCCAGATTTATTGATTCAGAATCCCAAGTGATTCTGATGCAAATCTCTGGTTTAGAACTACTGTTTCAGGATTGTAGAGGTTGCCAGGGATGTGAGACTAGTAACTGGTATGTGTGCCAAAAGCTCTCCTGCACCCACGACAGACAGTGCTACCTGATCAGTACAGCCTTATTCTCTGAGCCTGCAGTCACTCAAAAGCCTTTATTGTTTTTATTGTGGTAAAATATACATGACATAAAATTTATTTTAACCATTTTTAGTGTACAATACTATGGCATTAAGTACATTACATTGTTAAGCAATGATCACCACCAGCCAGCTCCAGAATGTTTTCATCTTCCCCAGCTGAAACCTATTAAACACTAATTCTCCATTTCCTCTTTTCCCCCAGCCTCTGTCAACCAAAGTTCCACTTTCTGTCTCTATAAATTTGACTACGCTAGATACTTCATAGAAATGGAATCATACAGTATTTGCTTTTTTGTGACTGGCTTATGTCTCTGAATGTCTTCAAGGTTCATCTGTGTTGCAGCATGTGTCAGAATTTCCTTTTTATCCATTCATCCATTGCCGGACACTTGGGTTGTTTCCACCTTTTGGCTACTATGAATATATGCTATGAACATGAATATATGTATTAGTCCGTTCTCATGCTTCTATAAAGGACTGCCCGAGAGTGGGTAATTTATAAAGGAAAGAAGTTTAATTGACTTACAGTTCCACATGTCTGGGGAGGCCTCAGGAAACTTACAATCTTGGCAGAAGGGGAAGCAAACACATCCTTCTTCACATGATGGCAGGAAGGAGAGGTGCCAAGCAAAAGGGGGAAAAGCCCCTCATAAAACCATCAGATCTCACGAGCACTCACTCACTATCATAAGAACAGCAGCATGGGGGTAACTGCTCCCATGAGTCAATTACCTCCTGGCAGGTCCCTCTGACGACCTGTGGTGATTATGGGAACTAAGATTAATTCAAGATGAGATTTGGGTGGGGACACAGCCAAACCATATCATTATACAAATAGCTGTTTGAGTCCCTGCTTTCTTCTTTTAGGTATATATCCAGAAGTGGAAGTGCTGAATCACATAGCAATTCAATGCTTAATTTTTTGAAGAAGTTATACCATTTCCCACAGAGGCTGCAACCATTTCACACTTCCACCAGCAATGTACAGTTACAAGGGTTGCAATTTCTCCACCTCCTCACCAACACTTGTTATTTTCTGCTTTGATAGTAGCCATCCTCACAGGTGTGCCAGAATTCTTCTTGATGCAGCACTTCAAGCAGCCATTGTCAATCGATCAAAGTTGACAAATGAGATGAAAACCATCTGTTATTTCAAAAGTGTGATCATATTTCTCTAAACTGATTAAGAGAGCTCAACTTCTTTTCAATGGGAACTTATAACTGTAACTGTAGGATTTACCAGGTATTGATGGTCATGGTGATATTGGGGTTGTTCACATGGCTGATTGTAATGGGGGCAGTAACAAGGACACCAGGAGAAAGGACACGAGGGCTGCCAATATGCAGAATGAGTAGGCAGAGATGAGGCCTGAGAGGCACTGCATAAGGTAGCATCGAAGACAGTCCAGGCAAAACACCAAGTCCAGGAACCAGGCAGGACAAATGATGTCCCCACATCCTGACTTAAGTGGTAATGGGATTTTTTTTTTCCTTTTCCTTCCTCTGGTTTCCTTTCTCTGTCCTTTACTTCTCTATTGCCTGTGAATCCATGGTTTGAATGATTAAAGTTTTTGATATTTCCCCAAGTGCAGGGTTCCAAGCATGACTTGGAATACTATTAACACTGTGGTCCATGTGAATGACACTGCTTGGACTTGTGCAATGCACAACCTGTAGAGCAATATGGGCCAGGCATGCCTAGTGAAATCGAAAAGTAAAATGTCTATCAATATGGTAGTGGTTACACAAATTATAGAAGATCCATACAGCTTTTTTTTTTTAAAAAGAGAATAGCACTTTATATACTGATACAGAAAGATTGCCAAGATATTGTTAAATAAAAAAAAATAGAAAGCAATGGGTATTGCGTGCTACCATTTTTGTAAAAGAGGAGAAATTAAATATATGTACACTAAACATACAATATCTGCTTGTATGTAGATGAAATATTACTCAAAGTAGACACATTAAGTACAGACACATTAAGTACTCCCTTCTGTGGAACGGGAATTCGGTATTAGGAGATGAGATGGGAGACAAATTTATTTTTTATCTATAGTTTTATATATTTTTTATTAAATTTTCAACCATGGAAATGATGGAAATATGTTCTGGCTGGGCACGGTGGCTCATGCCTGTAATCCCAGCACTTTGGGAGGCCAAGGTGGTTGGATCACGAGGTCAGGAGTTCAAGACCAGCCTGGCCAAGATGGTGAAACACTGTCTCTACTAAAAATACAAAAATTAGCCAGGCGTGGTGGCATGCGCCTGTAATCCCAGCTGCCCAGGAGACTGAGGCAGAGAATGCTTGAACCCAGGAGGCAGAAGTTGCAGTGAGTTGAGATTGTGCCACTGCACTCCAGCCTGGGCAACAGAGCAAGACTCCGTCTTCAAAAAAAAAAAAAAAGTTCCATCATCTTTCCCATGTGCATTCCTGAGCTGTAGAAGGCTAGCAGCTTCTTCCCAGACTCCCTGCACCTGGGATGGAGAATAAGGTTCTACAAACTGGATGTGCGTTGAAGGGAGCTATGGAGTGGGAGGTGGGAGTGGGCGAATACCATCCTCCTGCCACTTTGGGCTGTGGTTGCTGGCAAGCAAGGCCACGGATGTTGATAGGCAATTGTGATGCAGGCCCAGTCACCAGCTTCCTGGGTGCTGCTATGAGGCCGCACCTCATAGAGAGATCGCCATTATATTTCCTGGGAGCTCCGTATCTCATGGAGATAACAGGTCCTTTTTGATTCTACTTGCTGATCCCTGGATTGCAGCTCTCATGCTGTTTACCTCAAGAGCTTCGCTCACAGCCCCCTAACTCCCTGTATTCCTGCTTACAGCACAGGCTGTAGCTCCCCAGGCAGGTCAGTGCTAGAAGTTGCTGGGGCATTCTGGAATTTGTTCTTGGACACCTACCAGGAGTGCACTCCTCTCACCCTTCCAACAGATTCTGTAAGCATTCAGTTTTCAGCATTATAGCCTTTTCTGCGTAAAAGACCTACACTGGTTTCTAGTTCCTTCAATAACCCTGACAGAATTACACATTAAAAGTTTAAATAGATATGATCCTTGTGTAGTGCATAAGTGTGATGACTGGGTTTTCCCACTCTTGTGAGGTGTGCCTCCTGCAAATCTTATGATGTCTGCATATGACTTGTTTGACATGGGAAATAAAATTTACATAAATATAAAAAGCGAAAGTCATCACTAAGAAAAAACTTAATTCTCAGAAAAGATTTCTTGGGCAGTGTACCACTATAGATACTTGGTTTTTTCAAAAAAATTCTTATTATCTTGGTAAATCATCAAATATTTAATGAACATCTACTGACTTAATAGATGAGATAATTTATTATAATAATTTATCTTATCATATTAGAAATAAACATCTATGTGAATGTGTGAGAGGTTTTGTGTGTGCACATATGTGTGTGTGTGTGTAAACAGACAGATACAAACCATGTTTCCAGTGAAATCTTAGGAGAAGACAAACTCAAATGTTTCCTTGTTCTGTTTTTATTTAACTCCAAATAGCTAATAACATAAAAACATTTTAAAAAAATCTCCAATACCCAACTATTACTTTTGGTTGACAACATTTGATTATTTAGTTCTTGCTTGTTTCCCACATGTAGTACAGAATCTATCATAATATTTTAAAAGTTTGCAGCAGGCTTAAAACCTGAATATTTAGATCCTAATCAAAAACCATGATGTAGTTATTAGTTTTGATTTTAAATACCTTGCTCCCACAGAACTTACTAAAACGAATAACCATAAATAGGCTAGCTATTAATTAGATCTCAATGAAATGCCCACATACAGCACATACATATAGGTAGTATATATGCTTTTATCCTTTACTACTCAAAGGATGATGTACAGTGGAGTTATATCATAAACACATTTAACTTACATTAACTCAACAAATGAGGTCAGTGAAAAGGAAGCCGTAAGGAAAATAACATGAAATCCTGTGGCGATCCCACCTAAAATGAATGCACACCCTTGAGTAAACCCAGGTGGGTGCTGTCCATCCGCTGGGTGGGCGCTTCACTCCTTGTCAGTTCACATCTGCCACTAGCGGGGCAAGCATCTTGCGGGCTGATTCTAGTGTTAAAAGTTATGTGCTTTTTTTTTTTTTTTTTTAACAAAATGGCCCCTAAACAAACACCAACAACTTCACTTGGTCTTCAAACAAAGAAACAGTCTTTTTTTCCAACATAGGAGGAAAAGCTACTTGTTGTGGATGTACAGGTTTCCAACATGGCACCCTTCTAAAGGGCTTTCAAGGATCATCCTAATAGCCCATTTTACCTATGTACTGACCTTGGAAGCTAACCCCTGAGTATGATGCAACTCCACTCTAATGTAAATTAAAATGCCATGATCTTAAAAATGCCATAATATTGTCAGTATAATTTAATTTCCAGTTTAGTTCCATCTTCACATTTAGCAGTGTGTGTCTGTGGCCGTCTCCTGGTGCCAGCATTTCAGAATGTACTATCACTGGCTGAGAAAATCTCACGGTGAGAAGAGTAGTGTGTCATAAGATCTGAACAAAAAAGCTACCAAAGTTGATCAGTCTCAGTATGATTCAGGATATGATTTTCAATTAGCAAATGGTGCGACTGAAGCAGAGAGTGGCTTTGTTTTGCTACACCCAGTGCTCCCAGGAATCTCCTGTGGCCTCCTTTTCATGGGTTTCTACGCTGGCAGCTACACTCTACTTCTTAAACACTTGGCCTTAGCCTGACCACCGCCCCGGTTCAGTTTCTATTTTTAAGAGCACCATTCTAATGGAAATGTCCCTGCCCTGAATTAAGCTGGGACTGTGCACTTTACCACTAGCTAGAGCTGTTATATATCATAGCGTTTAGGTTAAATTGGTAGGTATTGATTTCCTTGACTGTGACTTCGAAACTTGCTTCTGCTTCTTTTAGCCATGTAGGATTTCTACCTGGGCTGTAGATGAGGGTAAAATATCCCATGGAGGACTCCTTCAATAACCACATTTGGAAAATCTGAAAAAAAGAAAAAAAAAAAGAAAAAAAAAAGAAAAACTGCTTTTCTTATGTGAAACAAAATATAATTGCATTCTGTAGAATGGAACAAGGCAATGCTTACGGTAAACACAGGAATCTGCATCGCCAGGCATGTGCCTGGTTGAGGATGTGCTATCAGTCATGCTGCTTCAGCCTAAAGCCACTTGAGCACACCACCAGGCGCGGCAGGAATGTGCGGCCAGATTTGTAGCTTATTGATTTAAGGGATGTTCTAACAGTTAATGCTGCTAGGCCTCAGCTCTTTATCTGAATGTTTTCTCAAAAGGAAGATGGATTACACTGGCAATTCAATTTCTAACAAAATCTCAATATACTTGAAGGAATTCCAAGATTTCTACTGGGAATACCTCACTGCAGTTTTTCCATTGTGGTTTACAGTGCATTTAGTCCAAGTTGTCCTGAGTCTACTTGTTCCATTAGACTAGCTTCGAAAGAGAGCAGTAAGATGGGGGTCAGTCTTCCTAACTTAAAAGGGCAAATTTCCAACAGAAGCCATCCTGCCAAACTTGAAAACACAGCTCCATTATTATAGGAGACAGGAAGGGAGGCCAGGGGTGCAAAGTATGTTACAGCACATTCCAGTCATTACAGTAGGTAAAATGTGAATGGATTACTTGAATGGGAACCAATCTATCTCATGGTTCAGAAGTTTAATTTTTAAACTTTAATCTGTACATAATGATATCCAGGAACTATCCTAAAGCACTTTAAATAAATATCATTATTATGTAAGAAAATAAAAGTAGTCCAATATTTTAAGAAAAAAAATATGCATCTAGCCTCTATTGTCTACTGTGTAAATAAAATCATTTACTAGGGGATTGGGCCTCATCAGAGGAGGCAGAAAGGCTCTCAGAGGCTAGGGGTAGGCAGAGGGAGCTAGCCAGGTGGCAAGTCTGTGGCCAGAGGGAGCCTGGAGGGTTCAGAGACCTAAACGAAAGCCAACATAGTGAGAAAAGTGGGAATGAGGAGGCTGGAGGGCACGGGGTGCCCCATCACACCTGGGAAGAATGGATAGGAGTTTGGGCTTTATCTGAAACTCAATGGGAAGCTACTGAGGGAGTTTAAGCAGAGTGGGACAGAGTTGAACTGTGTTTTGAAAAAGATGATTCTGGCTGCCAGCTGGAGAATGGACTGGAGAAGTTCAAAGCAGACACAAGATCAGTTTGGAGACTACTGCAGTAGTTCGAGAGGGCAATGGTGGCAGCCCAAACGAGGTTGAGGATGGAGAACCATGGAGGAATTCTAGAGAAATGAAGGACGGGACCAAGTGACAGGTTAGATGTGGCTAGTGAGGGAAGGGGTGAAGTCAAGGATGCCTCCTGGGTTTCTGGCTTGCATAATCAGAGGGTGGTGGGAGAAGACCCAGAAGAGGAGTAAAATAGAAGATCATCAACTCTGTCTGGAACTTGTGTTTGAGGCACCCGTGAGACTTGCCAAAGGGGAAGTCAAGTAAGTGATAGAATGTGGTGACAAGTTTACCTCAACATATATTTATTGAGAGGCCTCTGTTTCCTGGATCGACCACTTAATACCTGTGTGACCTTAGGTGAGTTATTGAACATCTCTGTCTCTCTCTTTCCTCAACTGTGAAATGGATTTCATAATAGTATCTACCTTATAGGCTGTTTTAAAAATTGGGGAGACAAGCGAATGAACACACAAACTATATCTTAGAAAATCTCTAATACATGAATATCCAGTTATTTCTGGTTGATGACACTTGATTTTTTTAGTGCATGCCTTTCCCCAACATGAAGTAATGGTTTTTCATGAAATATATCTTTGAAAGCGTGTGATAGGCCTTACACATGTATATTTAGAGCCCAATAAAAAACAATAATTTAGCTAAGTTAATTTTAATTCTAAATGTATTTCTCCCACATAGAAGGATATTAAAATCAATTGCCATAAATAGAGCTGTTAATTTTCTAAAAGATACTCAAATAGGACATATTACATGACGGTGGCAGACATGCCTTTATTCTTTGCCACTCACAATATAGAAGTCGATTTGAAGGTCAGTGAAATTACATTGTAAGTATATTTAGCTTAAAAGGATTCAACTAAATAAGTTAAGCAAAAAAGACATAAAGGAAAATAACATTACATACTATGGGTAACTCTACTGCGCTGGTAACATGTTAAGCAGTGACAAGAACAGGGCAAGGAGAAAAATACAGCAGGGCATGGGCTGGAGAGGGCCCAGAGACAGGGAAGTGAGGGAAGAATTTGAGTGATGGTGCCATTTGGGTGATGACTTGCAGGAAGGAACAAAGCAGCCCGCTGGGAGGGTGTCCGGGAGAAGGGCATTCCTGGCAGAGGGAACAGCAAGTGCTGAGGCTCTGTATGTATGTCCACCAAGAGCTGAACATATGCTAGATGCTGGGGATTTAGAGGACAAAGCCAAAGAACAAAGATAAGATAGTCTGTGACCATTACTATGAAGGAAGCAAATAGGGTTCTCTGACAAAAAGTGAATGGGATGGAGGTGTTTTAAAGCAAGGTCCACCAACTAGCGATCAGAAATAACATAATCAGGGTTTTGGGTTGTTTTCTCATCCGTTCCACTCTACTTTAAACTGTGGATTTTGGCTTCATCATATGCATGATTTACTACAATGTCCATTATTGCCAGCATTACTCAGTAAACTGTCCTTGACTTTGATTCTCATTGAGAGGTGATGAGAAGGAAGGTGATTTAGGGCAGGTTTTGCTGTTATTTTTGTTGGTTTTTGCTTATTTAATGAACATGTATTGTGAATGGGTAGAGGGGCTCGTGGAGAGGGAGAATCAGCACAGGCTCTCTGAAGCCGTGGCATTCAATGTGAGCCCTGGAAGATGAGAGGCAGCCGGCTATGGATGGAGAAAACAAGGCTCACGGTGGAGGAAACAGCACATCTGAGGCCCAGAAAGAATTCCAGGGTGGCTAGGGCAAAGTGTATGAGGAGGTCCAGTAGGAACATGAGCCTGGGGCAGGCCACAGAGGGCCTTGCAAACAAACCACAGGTAAGAGTCTGGAGCTCCCAGGACAGAGTTGAGATGGAGATACAATATTGTGACTCAGGTGTATACACGTGGTAGGCAGGCCACACACAAGGAGATTATCTGAAAGGAAGTGTAGTGAGAAGAGGAGAGGGTCTATGACAGCATTCTGGTCAGCTGCTAGAGAGTGGAAGGAAGTGGGAAAGCCAAGGGGAGACACTGTTTGAAGGAGGAGAAACAGATCAACATGTCTAAAGTCCATGAGAGGCCAAGGAAGATGAGGACTGAAAAATATCCATGGGCTTCAGCCACACTGAAATCACTGGGGACTTTGGCAAGAGTTGTTTTGAGTTTCCCAGGAAAATCAAAACAAAGACCAAAAGGCAAATGCTTTTCAATCTGTTAAGAGAGTACTCTCCTGATTTCTAATGTTAAAAGCTAAGGGATATTTGATTATTAGTATTTTATAAGAGGATAATGCTTAAATGTCAGATCTTTGAAGACAGACACTCCTCTGACTTTGTAGGGGGCGGGGTCAGTACATCTGTGAAGAAATTTCCATACGCAATATCCTCTGGAATAATAACCTTAATATCTTGCTAAGAGGCATCATAACAAAAATGTGATGCAAGTAAAGTTTCTCTTTAAATTAAATGCTAAAGATTTGCAAGAATATATCATTAGTATAACACTTCTAAGATCACAAGAATCTGATTCGTGAAACTGGATTGGTCAAAATTCCAAGAAAACAGATCTGGTGACTGGTCCTTCCATACCTCCCATCCCATCCATCAAACCTGTGATCCATTTATTCTCAAACAGGAGTTCCCTTATTTTGCAAGTCTTCATCCATATTACCATGCTACCAATGATACATACGTTTTACTCTTTCCAATTCAAGACATTTACCCCTGATGTTTCTTCCCAGAAAGTTCCTCCTGTTCTTCACTGTCCAAGCCAGGCATAGAGCACATGGTAGGCACTGCTCAATAAGCTGTATGAATTGGATTTAAAGGTCATAAAATATCTTCCCTCTTCTATCAAGTATCTTGGCTATTCTAGTCCACAGTAACCATTTCACTGTCTACACTTCTGCAGGAATTTCAGTCAGATGCATGACATATCTGAGCATAAACAATACATGGAAAAAGTGCTTGTGGAGCCATTTTTCAAAGATAATAAGAATAATTTATAAAACTATCTATTTAATCTATATTAGATTGCATTATGAATATTTGTTAAATATGATATTTTAACATGACATCAACTAACATGTATATTTGTTAAACATAAGAAGCAAACGTTACAGAGAGAAAGTTATTCTTCACTGCGAGGATCTTATAGGAAAAAGAATATGAGGTCATATTCCTATACAGCAAAGGCAGCTCACTCTGATCGGGGTGCTACTAGGAAGGGTCCCTCAACCCTTCCTAGGGAGGAGCAGGGCTGCGTCCTGGCCACCCTTCTTCAAACTGACAGCTAAGTGGGTGATGTGAGTACGTGTATCCTTGCTATAGAGAGCAGTTCCCTTTCTCCTGCTCATAAGGTTTTATTGTCAGAAACAGGGAGGGTTTCAATGGATTATTTATCTATTACTATTTAGTGACTCCCAGAAACAAGATTCACTATATGCAAAGAGCACAGAAGGAATACATAGGCAACAAGAGGTCCACCCATCAACCATCTGAGAGTGGACAAGTCAGGGACTTCCCTGGACCCCAATTTTCTCATTCAGTCAATGATAATATCTGCCCTGCTTAGTTCACAAGGTTGTTAAGGAAATTAAATGAGATAATGTATGCAAATGAGCTCATAAAGAGATGCATAACAGAACACTTTGAGAGGGACTCTGATGAATTTAAATTTCTTTGCACAGAGAAAAGACTCAGTCGAAAATATTGATTACAATTATACTTAGATCAATTAATTGTATTTAAAATATGCAACTTTTAAAAATATATAGTTTGCCATCAAAGATGCTGCAATGTATATACACATAGTTTCGGGGAAGAGGCTTTTTTTTGAGACGGAGTCTCGCTCTGTCGCCCAGGCTGGAGTGCAGTGGCGCGATCTCGGCTCACTGCAAGCTCCGCCTCCCGGGTTCACGCCATTCTCCTGCCTCAGCTTCCCGAGTAGCTGGGATTATAGGCGCCGGCCACCACGCCCGGCTAATTTTTTGTATTTTTAGTAGAGACGGGGTTTCACCGTGTTAGCCAGGATGGTTTCCATCTCCTGACCTCATGATCCACCCGCCTTGGCCTCCCAAAGTGCTGGGATTTTAAAAATGCCTGGCCGGGAAGAGGCATTTTTAAAAAGGACTAGAGCCTTGAATTTGAACCTTGGCATCTGGACAAAAACAAGCAGAGGCCAAAATGACATGATCAGAAAAATTAAGGACCATAAATACCATTCTTCCTTATTACTCTAATTCAAAATAGTCTGGTAAGAGAGAAAGAAAAATTACATTTCCTCCTGAAAGGCCAGCCCCAATTAAAATTCTAAGTGTCGCTTATACCAAGAGCACTGGTTTATTGGCAGATTATTAAGCCCGGGACCAATGTCACTCTGTTAGACCTGTATTAAAAACGTGGTTTATGTGGTGCAGGGTCAGATCAGTAAAGAGCTGTTAGCAGATGACAGGTTTGATTACCGCTGGCTGCAGGCAAGACATATGGATCCCTGAGGAACAGCAGCACAGGCTGGTGGGACAGTTTGCTGGAAAGGTCAAGAACAGGCATGTCAGCATCAGGGGACGATGGTAAACAGAAAACACTACAAACTAGCTTTGAGGGGATCAAACTGCTGTGCGGGGACGTCTCAAGGTTTATGTTCTAACAGTGTGGGTGAATAATAGCACGCAGAGTAAGAGTGAACAAATGGGCACTGCTCTCATCTTCTAAACATTTCTTTGTGGAATTTGAAGCAAATATACAATCTATACAATAAATCATTGCTGAAACGTGATTTCCTAAAAATCTTGTAATACGATTGTTGATAAAACATTCTGATTACTTGCATGAAACAATGTAGGGCTCTTATTCCTCCACTCTTAATTCTAACTGGTTACTCCTGTAATTCCCTATCAAATATTTATAATCTTAAAACCAATTTCCAAACAAAGGTTCTTAAGAAAAACATAACTTGAAACACATCGTAGGTGATTAAACATTTAGCAAAACCATAATCCTATTCCTGGCTGATGAGGATTAGTCCTTACCTTGACTCTTCAGACTCTGTTTCATCAAAAGATCTAAAAGTTTTGAAAAAGGAAAAAAACAAAAAAACCACATATGTTGAGTCAATGTTTATGCCAACAAAGGAAAAAATACCCAATATTATTAGATGACTGAATTGGTAGTTATTTTTTAAAAGAGCTGTGAGTTTCCACTGAGCCACAGCATGGCTATGCCCCATTCTAAGGAATCTGAAGACTGGAATATTCTTTGATTTCTCTTAAGATTACTTAAAAATCCTCAGGTTTTATTACTACTTTTGGGCTTGTATAATGGAGAAAACATTTCGCTCACTGCCATTGCTAATGTCTATTCTAAAAAATACATAAACATATATGAAGCCTAACCTGCCCGTAAATACATACAAGTTGGAACAGAACACACTGACAACACAGTATTTGCCAAGTGTATAATTTTTGTTATGCAATAAGTGGAAAGTGGCTCTGAGTAAACAGTGCTCATGAGGAGCTGTGACAGGTGTTTGCAGCCCCATCATCCAGCAGATGGCTGGGGTTTAACATGACTTTGGGTGTGGCCTGCTTGATTTTCTTGTAGTTAAGTGTGGTTCCTTCAGGCAGCAAGAAAATGGGTAAACCTCTCTCCTGCATGGATTTTCAGAGAGTTTGTGATGATTTTTTCCCCTGTAAATGGATACAGTATGCCATGGATGTTCCTGAAGGCCTTCTGAGGCTAGCTCAGCCCATGTCATGTGCTGTTGCTGGGCCAGTGGCTTATTTCAGAGTTAATTCTTCGGGAGAGCTTTTCCTAATTGCTGATGATATCAAACCTCTGGGTCCTTGGGTTAGGACCAATGGGTTTAGACCAATAGATAGGGATTAGGATTTGTAGTCCTGCCACTGGAAGTTCCTGAGAGAGGCAGCTGGACAGTAGAGGAAGAGGGCTTGCCTTGGAAGGCCTCGGTTCTGCAAGCTACAAGGCAAGAGATCTTGGGAAAGTCATTAAATTCCTGTGTCTCTGTTTGCTCAACTACAAAATGAGAGGAGTTGCATCAAATCATCTCTAAGATCATTCATAACTTTAAAATTATATGAATGTGTACCACCAGGATATGAATTTTGTTCGAGTTTCCACTAATAAATGAGCCCATAACAAGTTAATTAGATTCATAATTCCCATCAAGTAACATCATTCTATGTAACAGTGTAATTGAAAAGATTGATTCCTTGAGTCTAAACATGGGTTACCGAACCATGGCCATTTGGCCGCAAGATGGGCATAAGGACTCAGAGGAATTCTTTTAACCAAAAGCAGGGGGCGAGCGAGTGCTGCAGCAAGCCAAAAGAGTGGGCGTGGCCGGCAGGCTACTCGGGCATCACTCTGGGCTATTTGTTAGATCAATTGGTCATTGAAGAGTAATTTAAAATACACATCCAATATGCAAACATGATTCTTACCCACAACTTTCTGCCTTTGGTAGAGAGGGCAAGTGTCGCACATTTAGGAAATCAAGAAACAGTTTGGGAAGTTCTTCATTTTCTAAAATGACAGCCTGTGAAAGCAGAAAACAGAATTCGAAACTGAAGTGAAGTTTGCTAGGTGATCAATCAAATGAACTATTTCAAAAAGTCATAACCGTCCATCAAAGTTCTTACCAGCAACATTCCTCACAGTCAAGATGAGGAGTGGTCTCTGTTTTGCCCACCAGGAATTCGGGCTGACACACATGCTAGGGATTGCCGGCAAATCCTGCAGTTTATCTGTTCTTTCATTCAACTGGCATTTATAGAGCACCTACTATACACTAGATGCTGACTAGGGGACAAGACAGTGGGGAGCCAGGTAGAAATGGTTCTTGCCTTCATGGAGATTCTAATCCAGAGTGAATATTTCAAAACCTGGCAACATCAATAATACTGTTAAGATATGTATATCAAATTTTCTTTACTGAGTGATAAAGTGGTCTGATATACATTATGTATACATGTGTGTGTGTGTGTGTGTGTGTATCTCCCCACAGGAGACCACTACTATTTAGGAAATATGATAAATTATTTTTTAACTGGAAGATTTAGTCAAGAACCCTCAACTATCACCTGTTTTGGCATTAGAATCAACTGACATTTATTGCCATTTGGACAGCTCCACTTAAAGGGTCAGTAACAACTTTACTGCTAAGTGTAAATCAGTGTACATGCTGAAAAAAAAATCTATAGAGTTCTTCCATTTAGTGAGCTCTGCTACATAGCTGGCATGATGGCATAACCATGTCAGTAATCAGAGATCCAGATTATGCAATGTCAAGGAGAAATCTGACAAAGAAGTATGTATCTTCTTATCTATGTATTTTTAAAGTCTACCAGAGTGTGTGAACTGAATATAAGTTTGCCACCTCCCCCTCCCCCTCCCCCTCTTCTAAAAGACCACAGGAGAAAAGCATCAAAGGTTTTATCATAATCTCTGACTTCAATACAACTATTCTTAAGGGTCATTTTTCATAACTTATCATGGGTAAATTTTGTCCAGTAAGTACATGTTGTTTAAAGAACTATGAGAATCAGTGGTGAAATATCACTCACACAACTGATCAGGAATACTGTGTAAGGGTGGTGCATAAGATACATAACAAGTAACAAAAGTGAGGTGAAATTATGTACCTTGTAGATACATAGTTCTATATCACATCTTGTTCTTAGCCATGGTTCACATACTGAGTGGCCCCAATTCCTCATCAGGTTTTGTAATACTGTTACCCAGTTCAGGTCATACAAATGAAGTGGGTAACTATACAGGTTGCCAGTCCTCCTAGGCTGCCCTCTGTCCCACACTAGAGCAGAACCCTCCTGGTGTTCAGTCCCTGGAGAGGGGTCATCTAAAGAGCCACTTCCACTGGGGGCTGCTACGGTTCTTTACACAGCTCACCATTCCCATGGAAGCTTAAGGAATAAAAGATAGAAGAAAAAATTGGGGTGTTATACTTTATTCACTAAATAATAATTTCCTGGGCATCTATTATGTTAGGCACTGGGACATGATGATAAATCTTACAGGTCCAGTGGAGCATGGGCTGAAGAAAGCTAGCAATGAACAAGTAAACACACACACTAAACAACAACTTAAACTTGCCTTAGAATATAGTGAGATAGAATCGAAATAGCGTATCACTCTCTAAGCGTTTTCCCATCTACCAATGCATTCATCCGTCCATCCCTCTGTCCCTCTCTCCATCCATGTGTGTGTATGTGTTTACTTTCTCCTGGTTATAAAAATAGAAAAATAAAAAGTTCAGAAAATAAAAAGAAAAAAAAAACCTCCTTTATCCAGAGGCATAATTTCATTACTATTTCAATTAAATTTCCTTAAATCATTTCACTTTCATCTCAGTTTTTACCTATTCAAGGACATTTTTTAGGTGCCCAGAGGTCATTATTTCAGTGCCTGTAACTCAAAAAGTTCTAGGCGTCATCACACATATAAAACTCCGAGGTATTTTGGCTATGACACATGTTTCAATGATTGTTTTTTTTTCTAGATATCTGTTTAAGAGGATGATACAATACTTATTTGAATAATAAAGCCTAATTTGTAACACATGCAGACTTGTTACCCCAGGCAATAGTTTTAATTATCTGTACAAGTGGTTGCTTTCAGATTTAAAAAAAGAGGGGAGGGTATAACATTCTTATCTCCACCCCCACCTTCTTAAAATAAATTAAATCAATAACAAGTGTGGGACACTTTTAATGACCTGAACTACTTAATTTCCAGGATCTTTAGACGTGTCATCCATCACCGCAGTATGGAGGAAGACATCTCTTGAGTGTTCAGGGGGTTACTTAGGTTTATTAATGCAAGATTTAGGGAATTTTAACAAGGTGAATTGTTTATTTGCCTTGACAGATCGGCTTACAATGCACTGGCTACATCTACGGCATGATCATTAATGACAAAAGACAGGAAAAAAGCTATTTACACTGCAACACAGGGACGGGAATTAATCCTGCTCAGCTTCCCCAAACAGAGTTCTCCAAACAGATGATCACATTGCTTTACGTAAGATATACTGGCAAAAGCACTACAGAAAACTCCAGAAATTTGCATGAATTTACTTTGCTAAATTTTCACCGAATATTCTCAAATAATATTTTCCATAAAACAATGACCAATATGTACTTTGGGATTTATAGTTTTAGAGAAGGCAGCATTGAGAGTTAGTTAAGCATTTAGTTATGTGGGCAGGAATATTTCCTAAGCTCTGTTTTAAAAGCTTGGGAGAAAAGAACTAATACTTCAGAGACAAAGTAAAATACAGAAGAATTTACCTAATGTAATATATTATGTACAAATGACTGTCATCAACTGGTACAGAGATACAAAAGAGGAATTAAATCTTTTTGTTCATACACACATGATCATATTCATGAGAAACTGAACAGTAAGGCTGGACCTCACAACTGTTCCATTTACAACTTCTTCAGTTTCTTGAAAGGCTTTTGCTCTGAAGGAACCACCCCTTCTTGAAGCTGTACCCTGGGTCATCCTATAGAATAAATGTCAGTTGGGTTTAAATCTCTCAACTTTGCTCAACAATAAGCTCCTAAGTTTTAAAAAATCAAATTTTTGAATATCAAATCCTATCTCCCTATTGTTTTAGATTGCTTATCTTTATTTTTTATTAATATCCAATGGTTAATCGCTTTCATTCTTTAGAGAGGCAGTGTGGAGTAGGAAGTATGTGGGCTTTCAGGAAGACCTGAGTTTGAATCCTTTCTCTTTCTATCTTAAAATTAGGTTATTGTGAGGATTAAATGTCTCCAAGAATCTCTGATACACAATCAGCGATGGATAGATGCTAATTCTCTTTTCTTTGAGTATTGTTGTTGTATTAATTTCCAACAACCTATTTTATCCATTTTGAAGTTTGGATAATTGTTCATCGAGCAAACAGAGCTTCTTGGCCCTCTATATTTCAGGGATATTTTTGAGTATCAGATAAAAGCTGAGTATCCTGCTTGCTGGAAAACATACATACATCTATAATTGTGCTTTCAGTGGCAGGGGGTTTGCAGACCCCTGACAGCCCAGCCAAGAACACCTGCTTTTAGCTTAGACAGGGCAATAGCACTCACTGCTGGGCTCACTTTTCTTTGGCCTGGAGCCTGATGCACTGTGGCCGGTGCTGTGTGCCAGCTCCCCAAAGGACACGCTGGCCTTCTTGTTTCAGTTTTCTATCTCTTTGTCAATTAGAATCCCACTGGAGGGTATGCTGCCTTGCTATTAGAATTCATTAATGCCTTCAGCTCTGGGCTGAGTTGAAAACGTTTGGCATTGAGGCTACTGTGGTAAAGGATTCTTTCTAATACACCAAAATCTATTGCTGCACCGATTCTAGAGAGTAATTCATATTCATGATTTCCATGTCTTCTATATATTATTCTAAAATGCAGCAGTCAGTGGTGTGGAGGGCTCCCAAAATTAACAAAACATTAAGGAAAGTATGATTTTCCACTCTATCGTTGCTGGGTTAGAGTACAGCTGATGAAGTACTACCATGCTGCCCCTGTTATAAGAGGGGCATTCTGAACTGCAGGGTAGCGATGGGATCAGGCCCAGTGCTATCTACTTAATTACCCAGTGACTCTGGTGGTGAAGTTCTGATGCTGCTCATCCCATTCCTGGATGCAAGTTGGCACACATGGCCTGTCAACTAATTTATGCAGTAAAACATCAAGAATTCAAAATTAATATGACAAGTTTGGACAAAAAGCTAGAAATAAATCCCAATAAATTTTACAGGTATACACACAGAGTGAAATACTGTGAGAGGCAGAATTAATTACCCAGATGCAAGACAGAGAGTAGCTGTTTATGTGCGAGAATCATGGGTCTCAAATTGTAGGTCTGCAAGAAGTGTTCCTTCCACATGGTGTCAAATGCGCTGAACAGTTCTCTCACCCCACTTAAGGCAATATTATCAAGCACCCCCTGCCACCACAAAAGAGAAATAAGAATAAACCTAGGAAGAGCTAGAGGCAAGCAATGAAAATAACTAAAAGATTTCAAAATAGTTTCCATAAAAACAAGTCATCCAATAATGGGTACCAAGAATGGAACCAGGCAGTGGAAAGTCAAGGGGATAATGATCTTTTAAGTTAACTAACTGTT
Source organism: Homo sapiens (assembly GCF_000001405.40). NCBI lineage: Eukaryota > Metazoa > Chordata > Mammalia > Primates > Hominidae > Homo > Homo sapiens. Next base: position 122,995,298 of record NC_000005.10, on the reverse strand, counting down.
CTGTTAAGGAGGGTGGCCACTGGTTATCCAGCATTTTCAAAGCTGCTGGAAGAAGAAGAAAGTACTGTCAAAACTAGCAAGGAAGGAGTCATTTTCTAATTGAAGCGTGTGCAATAAAAGTAGTAAAAGTGACATAGTATGAAAAGAATAGGCACTGAAGAGCATCAAAATATCCTGGACTCTTTAATTGACTTGCAGATTGGAGATGGTATAGAATTAACAGAGAAATGCACTAAAGAAATTTCCATCCAATCTGTCATTTAGGAATATAGGCAGACAAAAATCAGGTTATTATTATGGTGCACGTAGGAAATGGGGTTAAATGAAAGAACTGTTACAGGTGTGTGACAGGCTATTTGACTCACTTCGATATTACTACATCCAACTCTGATAAACAGTAAAACTGGGCAATAGAGTGTATTTTGTAAAAAACAAAAAAAAATTATTTTTCTTTACACAATGTTACTCACTCTTGTAAGAATAAATGACTTTCTCTAAAGCAGACCAGATATTTCTTCAGAAATATCACTTTAAATGAAGAATTTTTAAAAATGTAAACTCTATGAAAGCATTTATAAAAAACTTCCTGCATGGGGCAGAAAAACAACAGCATTACCACCAACAGCCCCTGTAAGCTCAATGTTTACTTCAGAAGAAATGCTCTTTTTATTGAAAAGGTACAATTATCATCATGTAACACAAATCACAAAATCCCAATTTTTCTACCTTATCAGCTTTATAAAATCATGTTCCCAAAGGATACCATTGATTAGTTGCACATGTTCTTTCTGTGACATCCCAAATACTTAATTGTCAGTTATCTTTTCTTCTTCAGTAAGTAAAATGTAGTCACAAAATTACAGAGGGACTTGTTCTGCCCTAACCTTCGTGAGATGCCATCATGCAGTGGAAAACACTGGTAAAATATCACAGGATAACGCCGTCCGACAAGGGAGACATATAAACACTGTAATGATTTCCCACGAGTTTCCATTTTAGAAAATTGTCACTAAGGCGAGCATAAACGGTGACACATCTCCACTGAGAACACAGTGAAATCGAACGCTGGCATTCTAGTTAGGTCCAAACCTACCCAGCAGCCAATTATAACAGGAATGGAACATCTTGTTGAAAACTTGGACAAGACCACTTTGCTAACCTTCTAAGATCATAGCACAGGGCTGTGTTGTTTTCACTGATTTGATCCTTTTATTCCCTTTTCAAAACACATACACACACACACATACACACACACACACTTCTTTCCATTGTCTATCAGGGTTGTTATAAACTGTAGAGAACCTCTTTGTCACAAAAGCTAAGGTACTGAATTAAGTCAAGAGGTTTACAAGAGCACTTTAAGCTCTTTCTCCATTCCATCTAGTTTGGTTTGAAATGTCCGGCTGCTGGGGTGACAAAGTTCACCACTGAAGCTTTTCTTCTCTTCACCAGGAAAGATGCTTCATACCATATCTACTTCAGAGATACGGCTAAAAACAAGGAGGGAGAAAAATCAATACCTCCTCACTGCAGTAAATGGGCTGCAGTGTCACTGTCCTCTGGGACCCAAACCTAAGAGCTCACAGAGGCTTTGTAGTCCTCAGTCTTCTACTTACCACTTCCCTGCACCTGGTCAAAATTTCACAAAATGAGCCATAATCAGGTTAGCAAAGGAACACTTTTAAAAAGGCAGCCAGTAGGCCGGGCATGGTGGCTCACGCCTATAATCCCAGCACTTTGGGAGGCTGAGGCGGGCAGATCACCAGGTCAAGAGATCGAGACCATACCTGCTATCACAGTGAAACCCCGTATCTATTAAAAAATACAAAAAAATTAGCCAGGCGTGGTGGCAGGCGCCTGTAGTCCCAGCTACTGGGGAGGCTGAGGCAGGAGAATGGCATGAACCCGGGAGGCAGAGCTTGCAGTGAGCCGAGATCGCGCCACTGCACCCCAGCCTGGGCAACAGAGCAAGACTCTGTCTCAAAAAAAAAAAAAAAAAAAGGCAGCCACTAAACAGATTTAAGAAGGATCCTGACCACCTGAAAAATAAAAATCAGATGTGCTCTGAAGAACCCATTGTACCATGCATCCCCCTTTTTGTGTGTGACACCATTTGCAAGATGTGTCTAGCCTGTGCCTTGGTAAAAACTGCACTACTCAAGGAATTCAAATGGATATCTGCTATGGTTTCACAGGGCTTTATAGAGTATCTTGCAAGAAATCTGAGGACCTGCACTAAACGCTGAATGCCGAAAAGGGCCCATTTAAAATAATAATGAATCTGTGCAAAGAAATAATATAATTTGGCTTAAGAAGATTTGAAAAAAAAAAAAAGGAATACATTTCTGATAATGTGGCTAAAAGGAAAAACTAACCAGGGAACAAAAGAAATTGGAAAATCAATAGTCTTTGGAGCTATTTTAATATCAAAGCTTACATTCTGTGTTTTTCTGGAATCCAATCATATAGAAGTATTTGTTTAGCACCTACTAACTACAAGCATTATGCTGGGGACACAATGGTTAGCCCAACAAATATAGTCCTGTCCTCCCAGGGTTTACCATTGGGTAGGAAAGATGAATGCTGATTCACAGCAATGAATGTGAAATTACAAACTGAATTAGTACCTTAAAGGGGAGTAGCTAGTTTCCTTGATCATTAGTAACAAAGCACCCCTATTAACCTGTAGGGTGAAGGAAAGCTTCCCTGGGGAAGTGACCCTTGAGCTGGGAGTTGAATTAGCTAATGAGAATAATGTGAGTAGGATATTCCAGCTTGTTCAAAGGCCTGTGGAAAGTAGAAGCATGACATTAAAAAAACCCTTAAGGAAGGTCACAGAAAATAATAAAGCTAAGCAATGGGGGCACCTAACCTGGAGAGGTTAGGAAGGGCTTCTGGATCATGTGAAGGATTTTTTTCTTTTCTCTGTAGACTTGGGAGTCATTGAGTGATCTTATGTGGGTGGGTGGTAGATGGGGTATCTCACTGTACATGACACAATCTGATTTGTATTTTGACTACAACTACAACATATGTAGTAGTGTTCATCAGATCCAGGGACCACGCATTAAATCCTCTCTTTGGCTATCTCTAAACTGCTTCTTAACTAACTCATTGAGCTAATTTTAATGACTATATGTTTCATTTCATATTAGGTGTCTCTAGCTTCAAAACTACTGTTCGAATTATGTATCATTTCAGCGTCATTCATTCATTCATTCCCCAAATATTTACTGACATTTACTGCATGCATAATAGCACTATGCTACATAGTTTAATTCTTTTCTTATTTAATTTTATTGGAATATTTTATCTTTCCCAATATTTTTCTATTATATTTATAAACTTAATTTATTCCACAGATATATTTAAGGGAGCCATTGAAATTGGTTCAATTAAAACACATTCTTGATTTTCCTTGGATTTTATCTTAACATCTCAACTAATTCTTACAAATATATAAAGACTTTCAGACTAAGAAAGGCAACACATTCCATTAATCTTTCTATTAAAACAACAACAACAACAACAACAAAACGACTGGGTGCAGGGGCTCACACCTATAATCCCAGAACTTTGGGAGGCCAAGGCGGGTGGATCACTTGAGGGCAGGAGTTCTGGACCAGCCTGGCCAACATGGAGAAGCCCCATCTCTACTAAAAATACAAAAAATTAGCTGGGTGAGGTGGCACGTGCCTGTGATCCCAACTACTCGGGAGGCTGAGGCACAAGAATCACTTGAAACTGGGAGGCAGAGGTTGCAGTAAGCCAAGATGGCATCAATGCACTCCAGCCTGGGCGACAGAGCGAGACTCTGTCTCAAAAAATGGAACAAAACTAAACAAAACAAAAAACAAAAGGATCTGGACTCATAACATTTCAAAACCTGTTTGACAACTTCTGAACAGCTCAATTCTTTTCAGCAAATAACTGGGTACAATTACTTTAAAGTCACATATTATACATATTTGATCCACTTAAATTACCTGTGTATTGAATAAAAATGCACTTCAATTACACATAATAGATAATGCCAGGATTTAAGAGGCATTTTCTGGATGATGGAAAAAAAAAATCCAAATAAATTTTAAAAACAATCATAGGCTGGGCACGGTGGCTCACACCTGTAATCCCAGCACTTTGGGAGGCTGCAGTGGGTGGATCACTTGAGGTCAGGAGCTTGAGACCAGCCTGGTCAACATGGTGAAACTCTGTCTCTACCAAAAATACAAAAATTAGTCGGGTGTGGTGGTGGGCACCTGTAATCCTAGCTACATGGAAGGCCGAGACAGGAGAATTGCTTGAACTTAGGAGGCAGAGGCTGCAGTAAGCCAAGATAGGGCCACTGCACTCCAGACAACAGAATGAGACTCTGTCTCAACAATAAATACATAAATATATACATACATACATACAATTATAAACTAGCTACGTACCTGTAAGAGAAACCTAAGATCAGGAGACTACGGTATTTAATATTAGTGTTTTACAACAAGCGAACCAAAACAGATTTAATAATTCAAATAATATGGTAAGGCATTTAGTTAAATACAAACAATAGAATGGAAATGCTGTTTTACTACTTTATAGAAGAAACAGTAATCAGAACTAGGCTTATAAAATGTTCCCTACAGACAGCCTTAGGAGACTGGTTTTTAATAAAAGATTTACAATTAGCACAGCCCATATGTGTTGATGAATTGATGTTTTTAAAGTGTTTACGGTGCTTTAAAGCAATTTGCTCTCTCAGGCCCCTTAAACATTCCCCCAACTACCTAGTTTATTCAGCATTCTCTTTCTTTACATACTGTACACTTTGACCCAGCTCCAGCACAGCTGGATTTCAAGTGGTATAGTCTAGATAGATGAGGACTTTCTAGGTATATATATTCTTACTGTACTATAGTTTAGACATAGTATACTAGGCTAACATCATTTTTTTAAATGAAGACTTCCAACACCATTTTATATTTGTTCGGTTATAACAATATATTTAGTCACCTGTTTAAATGCTACAGTAATGTAATTGATGCTTTACATGAATTTAGGAACCCTCAATGAGCAAACTTCAAAGTGCACAGTACTTAGTGGGAAAATAGTGGGAAATGGTTAGAGAGTGTGACAACAGACTTATAAGATGTGTAGCTAGTCCTCAGAGAAACAATGTATGAAAAGTGGCCCTTGTGGAGATGGCTCATAGGCTATAAAATAAAAAACATATCTATAAAGAAAGTTAGGAGGAGGGGCTTGGCCTCTTGGCTGCAACAACAACAAAAAACAGTCAATGAAGTTGTTCACTAAAATACACAGGTAGGAATAGTAGCCTACTGGGACAGAACACAATAGCAAGAAAGATGAGAAATTAGGGCTGTCTACACATGGCTGGTAAGGACTACACAGGGGGTCCAAGCTGGAACCTGTTCTCTGAGTTCAGGGAAAGAAAAACATATGTACCCTAGCCCTTCTCCCAAATCTAACATTGAAATGAATCCTTCTATAACTTGGGAGTTAAATTACAGACATTTGTTCAGGGACCTATACACAAGAATGAATATACCCTTTTCTGGGAGTTTTCCAGATTACACCAGTCTTTTTGCATCTATGCAAGATCCAGTCTTCCCTTCTTCTTTACTAATGGAATACCAATTTTCTTGGGGTATGTGGCAAGCTGCCAAGCTAAAAATAACAAAGAGCAATATCAAAAACTAATGAAAATAATATACCCTGCCCTACTCTTCCCCAACATTTCCCAATAACACCTGCCCCCGCCCCCCCACCCGGTCCCTTAGCATGTGACACAGATCTAGCCAACAAAATGTCAGAAGAAGTGACTGGATGGGAAAAGTCAAAAAGCTTCCTTAAAGTGACTGGTCAGGCTGCAGTGGCCCCCATCTTTTTGCTCATTTCTCCACCCCTTTCCTCCTTCCTCTTGGCTAGAATATGGGCATGGTCTTTGAGCTTAGTTGTCATCTTATAATTATGAGGAAAAGGCCAAAAGAATCAAGGAAATGCAATCCCTGATAATCTTGAGCCAGTGAGCCAAAACCCACAACTACCTACCACTTTCCTTCTGAGTGCTTAAGGTTAAAACTCACTTTTAGTTAAGTCCTTGGATTTGGCTTTTTATCTATGGTAGAACACATAAACCCATACTGATAGAGCCCTCATGCTTCTGCAGATTGTAAAGTCCTGTTTTTGGCCCATAGAACAGAATACTAAGTAGCATGATTGCTATAAAAAGAGAGAGAAAGAGAAAAGAAAAAGAAATTCTGATATTCTATTTTTAATTTACTGCTTTAGTACTGGGTAGAACACTTAGGGGAAAAAAGAAAAAATAACGTTGATATGCTATTTTTAATTTACTACTTTAAAAAAGTCCATAACACAAATAATAGCATATGAAAAATAAAAAAGCAATTAGGTTCATGCACAGTCTATAAAAAGAAAAGGCCTAATACATAAAAAGTTTGTAAACCTAACTCAGCAGGTGCCAAGAACACCCATTACAGGACAGTAAAGAAATCAAGAATATAGGTAATGAGATGAACCTAAACAAAGAAAAATGTAAGCTGATTATCTAGAAAAATATCCTCCCAAATTTGGTCTTTTAAACAAATCATAGACTGTATCCCTATGGAAATGGAGTGTTTTGTTAAACTTACTTTACAAAAGAAATGGCCAAACCATTGTAGAATGAGCCACAGGGAATAATTTAGCATTGGCTGGTGGAAAAAAAATACAATTCTACTTTAATAGGTCTTTTTAATCACAAATTTTATGATGATTTAACAGCCTTCCATTAAGAGCAATTAAAGGGGGATAGCAAGAATTTACACTAATATTCTAGCAAGTTAAAATGTCTACATACATCTTTGAGCAAACGTTTCCTATCTTGAAGTTCTTAGCTGAGTTTGAGGGAGATATACTAATTTAATTAAAAAATAAAAAGCTGGACGATGTGCCTCTGGTATCTCAGGATCAAGTTTTTGAATTCACTTCTCCTCCCTGCCTATGGTTATCCCTAGTACACCCCCGACTAAGGAGCCAGACATCACTGGGGCTGGGCAGAAGCTCAGGAGACACAAAGGTACTCCTAAAAACAACAGATAAACCAACAACCTAGATAGCTTGTCAGGCCTATTTAACCACTCTAGTTGGCCAGACAAACTGTACCAGGCAGTGGTCTACTCAACCACCCTCACCTCAGTCTGTTCCAACCGTGTCCTGGAAAGGGGGGCAGGGAAGTACCTGGGAACACCTGACAGGCATGCTCCTTTTTCCTGAATAATTTAAAGAAAGAGAACATTTTCTTACATGGTTTTATTTACATTATGATTAACTTCTCTTTAAAAAGCTTGTATTTTATATGTAATCCACTTGTGTTGTAACTTCCTAGCCCCTTAATGCATGCACACAGGCCAAAGAAAGTATTTGTTCTATAGACTTGGTATGCAAACTCATTTATTCAGATCTCAAAAAGCACTATCTCTGTGGGCCAATAAGTTCCAATAAAGGCCTTCTGTGCAATGGTGTTGCCCCGCTACTATTGGCGAGACTTCCAATCTACTGACCCAGTACTTTCTGACTCCCATTAGCCCCCTCTAAATTTTCTGCCCTCTTGTCCAGCTTAAGGAGCTGTGATCTACCATCAGAATCAGTCCCCTGAACCACCTCCAAACCCATCAGCCTCTCTCCCTCTGCTGTACTCGGGACAGCTCAGTTCTGGCTGAATCCCAGCAATCTCTCATTCATGCCTCTACCCAAGCTGCTAAACACTGAGAAAAATCACAGAATACAAAAAAGACTGGTTTCACTTTAAATTTAAGCTCTTATCCTCAAAATATTGTCCAGAAATCTTGTTACTTTTCTCTAGAACAGTAGTTCTCAAACTAATCAGAATCGCCTAGAGGGCTTGTTAAAACAGTTTGCTTGGTCCAACCCAGAGAGTTTCTGATCTAGCTGGTCTTGGGTGGGGCCTAAGAATTTTCATTTCAAATAAGTTACCAAGTTTCTAGGTGATGCCGAAGCTACTGATCCAGGAACCACACTCGAAAACTATTGCTCTAGAAGAATCAGCCTTTACCCATTTTCAAAACTTATCCTCTTCTCCTTTTATCTCCCTCATCCCTTCCTCCACCCTCTCTCCCAGCTGATAACCACGCTTCACACTTCAGAGAATGCAGAAGCCACCTGGCTTGATCCTCCTCATCTTTATCCCAACAACTCTACCTATACTGCACTTCCATCGATCTTCTCCTCCTCCTGCTATAGCGGAGAAAACGTCCCTCCTTCCATCAGAAGCCAATTCCTATATCTCTGCTCTGGCTCTCAATCCACTCCTTGACTTTCTCAAATATTCATTTCTTTAGTTATTTTGCTCTTCTTTCTCCTAGTTATTCACTAGTCCCATCCATCCCTCCATCCATCCATCCATCCACCCACCCACCCACCCACCCATGCATTTACCTATCTGTCTCTTCACCTTTCCATCTCTGCTGAATCATTCCTATCAGCACATAAACATGCACTCTCACTATAAAACAACAGGAAAAAAAAAATCCCTTAGAGGCTATAGCCCATTTCTCTGCTCTTCATGGCAAAAGTTTTCAAGAGTGTTCAACCGATGCTGTTTCCCTTTCTTATCTCCAGTTCATTCACTCTTTCATGCTCTGCAAATTGGCTTCGGCTTCCACCATCCTCAGCTTGCCATGGCCACAGGTTGCTTTTGAGTTGCTAAATCACTTCTAACCTCACTTTACTCAGCTTCTGAGCAGTCACCACTCACCCTGAAAACCACCCTCCCACTTCTCTTTTTTCTGTGACTCTTTGGGTTTGTTTCAGATCACATTCTCACTCTCCTTTGTAGCCTCTTCCTTTTCTATCTGAACTCAAAATGTTGGGACTTTTCAAGGCTTAGCCAGCATCCTCTCCCTAAGTCCACTAACTGCCATGGATTTTAAAACCTTAAGGCTGATGAGGTGAAAATTCACATCTCCAGGCTAGACTTCTTGTCTGGGATCCAGACTCATCAAAACTAAATACCTATTTAACATCTCCACTTGAATTTCTTACAGACATCTGCAATTCAAAATGTCCAAAGCAGAACTCAGTATTTCTTTGAACAACAATAAAAAACCCTGCCTCTCTATGACCCATCACTGTCCACTTTCCTCATCTCTGCCAATGATAGCCACATCCACCCATCTGCTTCCTTTCTCTCACCTCTGACAACCAGGCTATCACAGCATCCTCTGGAGCTCCTCTTCCACTCATTCTTACTCTCTGATAACCTCTTTCTTGCTCCCTTATTTGTTTCCTTCAGAGTGCTAGCAATTATTTCCTTGATAGGTTTACTTGGCTTCTGTCCACTGGACTCCAGCTCCAAGAGGGCAGGGCTGAGTCCGCCTCATCATCACTGTATCTCTGCAGCAAAGAAAGGGCTCTGAACGCATGAGGGTTGTTCCAGAGGCAGAATCAGGGCCAAGAAAGGTTAAATAGTGAGAAAGCGAACTTTGGCTTAGTATAAAGAGAAACTTTATGCTGAAGTCTCCTCATGGAATGCTCTGCTTTGGAAGGCAATAGATGCCACCGCAACAAGTGTCTGACCCAAAGCAGCTGGAGGCCCAGTTCACATGAATGCTGAAGCAAGAACTTAGAGACTGATAGGAAATTAAGCAAGGGATTTGCTGAGGAAACAATAATAACATCTAATATCTTCATAACGTTTTATGGCTTGCTAAGTGGCCTCACATATAATGGGTCGCTTAATCCTCTCAACTACCTTTGAGGTAGATAAGCTCAAGAGCACTTTACAGATGGAAAAACTGACTCTGAGAAGTTAAATGACTTGCATTTCTTCCTAATAAACCAAGCCCAGATCCACCAAGTGGACAATCTCTGTGTCTTTTTGGGCAGGAGAGTTGAGAATCCAGGTCTTGAACTCTCCCTGAAGTGCTCCTAAGAGTCCTTCTCTCACCACCTTCTGGTCCTTCAATGGTCAGCTGTTCCCCCTCATCCTCTGGCCCAGGGCAGGATCCACAGTGCCTCTCTCAAGCTCTGGTGAAAGGTCATGCTGTGGCTGACTATGTACATAAGACTCAACCAAGGAGGATGCCACAGGGAAATAAATAAACACGGTCATGACATGAGATGATATGGTTATAAGTTACCACAAAATAAGCCATTGTTCATCTAAATCTTGGGAAAAATAATCCAAACAGAACAGTAATGCTCTCGCTTTGTATCAAATGGACTCTGCTACCCAAAGAAGTCCCTCTCTGACCTCTTTATTATGGCTCATTACAATCTCAACTTCAATAAGGACAAAAAAGAGAAACTAAAAACAGCTTGTTCACTATACCTTTTTTTCTTTTTCGTTTTTTCATTTGTTCACTAAACTTTTTAATGCATAAGGAAAAAAGCAGGCTAAAAATTAGGTTAATTTGTCTTTAGTTTTTAAATCCTATTATCCTAATAAGTGCTAAAAACTCATGTCAAAATTGCAAACATTTCCTGACTTTTTTTACACAGTCCACTACGTCTTCATTTCTAATAGAGGAAAATAGCTACTCACTAAAGCAATCTGTCTTGAGTACAATTTTGCAACTGGAATATAACTGAGTCAGACAGCAACCTGAACTCTGTTAAAGCATAACTTCAAATAATGCAGTGAGAAGAAGCTTCCCAACTGCGATAACTTTTCTTGTTTTGTCTCACTGATATTTCCTTATGAGGGTTTTTGGGTCAGAGTAAACTCCTGAGGGCTGATTGACATTCTCTTTGAAACTAATTACATTAAACAGCAGATGCCCACTTCAAGTTTGAGCAGGAGAGTACAAGACGTTCAGGGAATTCAGTGCAGTTGGGGTTAATGCTCTCATTTTTTAGGAGCTTCTTTAAGCTTAGACATCCTTTGCTCCATTAACTGTGTCATTTATGTAAAGAAAAAAGAAGGATCAATCTGATAGATTGAAGTTTAAAAGTATAAAATGCAGTGGATTTTTTTTTTCTGTATTGTAGCTATTCTAAGAATACAGTCTGAAATGCCTACATACTTTTAATTACATAACATGTTAGCTAATCATATTTTCAGGGAAAAAATCTGCTATTCAAGTTACAGCTTCCAACAGATTGCTGTGATGATCATATGGCACATAAGAGGGGAGCAAGCTACAGAGAGAAGAGTGATGGATCTGTGTCTGTGACTGAACTCTCCATCAGTAAACCCAGTTTTGATAGAATAGGCATTTCTTCACTAATTAATACTAATGATTACTCTGGAAAAAAACATTGATGCTGATGTTACAGTAAAGCAACAAATATCAATTATTCTTTAGTGGCCTTCTGTTAGTAATCTGATGACTATCACAATAATATGAATATTTAGCAAACCTAAAAGTACACCTTTTCAAACATACCAACTTCACTCTAAATATAAATAGAAGCAATACAGTCATAGTTTTAAAATATTTGCTCATTGTCTGGGAAACACATAGTGAGACCTCATCTCTACAAATTTTTTTAAAAATTAACAGGGCATGGTTGCACACGCCTGTAGTCCCCACCTACTCAGGTAGCTAAGGCGGGAGGATTGCTTGAGCCTAGGAGGTCAAGGCTACAGTGAGCTATGATCTTGCCACTGCACTCCAGCCAGGGCAACAAGATGAGACCCTGTTTCAACAACAACAAAAATTTTTCACTACTTTGTTGGTTATATGTGAAGGATTTTGATAAAGTCTGAATAGCCAGTCATTCTAACACTGAAAGCTAACTCTGAGTCCTGGCTAAGTCTGCTCTCATCAGTGACTCCAATGGAGTTGATTTTGAGATAAACAGAGTCTAAGGTAAATGGTTTATATTTTATGCAGATGGTATATGGTATAGGTAAATATTCAAAAATGCTTAAAAATCACAGGTTCTAAGTGTCTTAAGACAGAGAAAGAACAAAAGAGAAGAGAAATTATAAGGTGCCTTTTAGTTATGCAAAAGTAAATAAGAATATGCAAAATTTAAATTATATTCCATTTAAGAGAAAAAAGGAAGGAATAGAAGGAAAGAATAATCAAAATACAATCTAAATTGTTGCACTTGCAAAAAAAAAAAAGGCTGAAAAATCTCACTTGAGAATATGTCTCATTTACTTCCATCTTTGGGACTAATTATATAATTATTCACTTAACTATTGAGAATAAAATATTACTTACTGAAAAATAGCACCAGTGGTCTTATTTCCTCAGTTTCTTGGTGAATTAGGTGTGTTTTAGAAGCAGATATTCAAAATTCTATTTGGAGAAGCAGATCAATAACTACGGATAGCCTGCATTATTATTACCAGTACTAATACTATTAATACTATTCAAATGTTTTTTAAAAAAGAGTTAATATTTTTTCAAATAAAATATCCAATGCCTACACAATATTTAATGTATTATCCATTATAGATAATACAAGAAAATCTATGGACAGACTTAATTTTTATTATTCTTTTAAATTTAATGTCAGTTTTTATTCTACTAAAGGACTTCGCTGAAAGCAAAGTAAATTCTTTGAGCCACCTACAAAGCAAAGCAAACCCCTCCCCCTTTAGTAACTGTATCACTGTACATATTTCTTTCAAACACACATATTACATTGTAATAATCTGTTTAGGTATCTAAAAGGCCAACCTAAATTCCTCAAAGGCATTATGTGTTAACAACTTGTTCTGTGCTGGGCAGCTGCCACAGTAGCTTTCTCAATATCTACTGAACATTGGCATCTTTCTCCTAATTTGTTGACAGCATGCCCTATATTCTGATAACTACAAAATTTCATTTCATAAAAAATGCTTTTTATATCAGTTTTCATTTTAGATTACCCATAGGTCCCATTTTTTTCCAGTAGCACAAATAATTAAGTTGATTATAATTCTAAATTCTGTAATATAAAAAGTAGTTTAATTTGTCACAAAATACATTTTACATGCTAAATGCAGAATATGATTAAACATGTGTTCAAAGAACTGCTCAAAACAGAGGCTGAATAAATAGCAGTGGAATATGATACAACAGCTCCTTCAGTTTAACTCAAGTCCACACAGGAAGCACTGGCATGCCCTTGACATAGGAGATGCTCAAGAAATTGAGGTTCTCCTTCCTTTTCCCCCTAGCATTCACTACTACAGGGAATCAGGGACAAAATTAATACAGAAAAGGCTTCTATTATCTACCAGTCATTCTTCCCTGGAAAACAAATGTGTGTGCCAAAGGAAATGACAAAGGCACAAACAGAATGAACGTTACATTACTCTCTTCCGCTTCCTGCCTTCTATCTTTTTCTCTTGACTATCTGGAAGGGCAGGTTCCAAAATCCACATTTTAAGATATAGCCATAACCTTCCAAGGTGGTCTATATTCCAAGGACAAGCCACCTTCCAAACCTGAAATGGATGAGTGAGTAGAGTCAAAGACTAATGGATAAGAAAAGGAAGGCACTACCACTTTTAATCCCAGCTACTTGTGAGGCTGAGGCGGGAGAATCACTTGAGCCCGGGAGGCAGAGGTTGCAGTGAGCAGAGATCGTGCCACTGCACTCCAGCCTGGGAGACAGAGCGAGACTGCGTCTCAAAAAACAAACAAACAAACAAACAAAAACAAAACAAAACATGTATTTGATTTTTTAAATCTCAAGTTTATAATGGAAATTTCTTAAACTGTACAGACAAAAAAAGTAGATTCTATGGGCATGAGGCAAATATTGAGGCTGTTATAAATACTCTAAAACTATATTGTACTGATGGTCACACAACTCTGTAAATTTCCTAAAAATGATTTAATGGTATACTTATAATATGTGCATTTTATGCTATGTAAATTATACCTCAGTAAAACCTTTTTAAAAGTACATCTTTTTCATCTTCTCACTCTCCTATTGCTGATATTTAAGAGTCAAGTTGTCAGAGGATTTGGCTAAATACTAGAAGATGCTGACCAAATTTTTCCTGGGTCAGCCAAAAGACTGTTAAATATGGCTAATACTCAGTGTAGGGTGTTGTCAAGAGAATGGGGAGGACTTTTTCTGATGAAAAGCTAATTAAGCATACCACTTTAAATATATCTAATTTTATGTCAGGGTAGAAATACTACTTATCTACTAAAAACATACTAAATTGGCACAAATAACATATGTTTTGCATGAATTAAGACAAGTTCTAACCTTAATAATTTTGCTTTAATATTTTCACAATCAATACTTTGGCATGCAAATGGAGTGCTGGGAGCTTGGTTTAGAAGTATTCAAGTATATTCCCCACGATATCATCTGCACTTTAAGCTTACGGATTCCCTTTGACCTCATGGACACAGCTCTCATTTGTATGGGACAAAGCATGAGCACCGGCAATTTCAGAGGCAATGGCTCTCTGTTCCCATACTTGAACTGGTCTTCCACCAACAGCAACCTGTAGAGTGAAGGTCTTCTTTCTTTTCAACTTCCTTTTGAGTCTGACAAGGCTGATGCCAAATACTCTTTTCCCACCTTGGAAATGAAAGCTCATATTTCAGGGGCAAAGCATGGAGTAGGTATTCTCTGTCACACTAGATACTGGAAGGGGCACAGAGTAAGTAAATTAGTCAAGGCACACACCCGACTGAGCACACCAGCATTTCAAGTGTGCCTCTTGCACCTTAAACTCCTTCTGCTTGTCAAGACTGTCTCTTATGTGAAAACCTTGAGAAATTAGTTGAGTTTTCTACTACTAGAAGAAGAGAAGGTCAAAAATATGAAATGCAACTTCATTTTGTTATAGAAGAAAGTAAATTAAATTTCAACCCCAAACTCTTTATTGCCAGAGTAGGAGTGGATATTGGGAAGAGACAAAGCTAACATTTACTTGGGATCAAGCAAAGTGAACTTGCCTCTCTCCTCCACAAACAAGAAAAATAGCATACAATAAAACATTTCCATTATAAGGAATAACAGTTACTGAAATGCTTTTAAAACAATTATTTGTTCTAACAGGTTGGTTGTGAGAAGAACCCAGTAAAGTAGATCTGCAGAGTTCTGCTATTATGGGCAAACAGCTTCATGATAAATTTTTTGTTACTTATATTTAAAATTATAAATTGCAAAAAAAAATTGCAAAAAATTAAAGTTGGCTAAACTTGACTAATGTGTGTATTACTGAATAAAATGTATGTTTTATGATGTAAGTATACTTACTATTTCTTCATATTGTTTTTGACAAAAGGACTTTTGATATTTAATGAGTGTGGAAAAGGAAGGAAAAAACCCACAATCGGTAGGTTAGCCTACCTATCCTAGTTTTTGAGATATAAAGTCATTGTTGGACACAGCTTCAAGGAAAATGTTTATAAATTCAACATCTGCAACTACCTATTAAGGAAAGTCATTTTAAAAACAAATGTGGTTGCTAACAAAAGATTCGGGTGGACCGCTGAATAAATGGAGATGGCACAACTGGTAAACATGGAAAGGTGGGCTGTCAGCACAACTTGTATATTCATTTTTATTTAAGGCCAGAATGCTCAACGGTGGGCATTATGTGGTGTATCTAAAGATTACCTAATTTTACCCCGAAGGCAGGAGGAGAGGTTTTATTTAGTTTTCTTCAAATATCACATGCTTAAAATTAGTATTCTCTGATTATTACTGTATTTGTTATTCACTGGAGACATCTGCATAAGTGATGACCACAAATGTTCTTTCTTTAAAAGCACCAGGGCATAAAGTGGCCCTATCACATCTAATTATGTTAATTCAAGTTTTCATTTAAGTAGGTATGCACGGTTTCCAAACAAAATTTTTTTCTTTAGGATTTGGGGGTGGGCTCATAAGCCCTTCTTGGCTTCCACCCTGGTCCCCAGATCTACACCCCTTTTCACAATGCAGTGGGCATGCCGGGTTGCAGGCTGCTCCTTAACTATGGAAGCAAATCAATAGCAGCTGAATGCCATCTGCTTCGGGCCGCAGAACAGAACCAAAGTGTAAGCCATGCATCTTCCCTTATTGAAAGGTTATTTTATGCAAGTAAACAATTCATCGTCTTCTTGCACGCTTGATGCTCATTTACCACTTTGATCAATAAAATATGCAAAACAACAAAAAAATTGAATCCTAAGAGTAGTTCTGATGCCAGCGTGATAGTTAATCAATACCCGGCCTCTGTTCATGAGGGCAAATGGTGGGGGTACTACTATTGTAACCTGTGAAATCCAGAGTGGTAGACGTAGCTCTTTCAGAAAAGACTGTTTTAGAAGGGATATATTACATTTACCCTGTAGATTACACAGAATACATTCTCATTGAATTAAATCAAAACAGTAACATCAACAGGCTTGAATGTTACTGATTCAAGGCAGTAGTTCCCAAAGCCTGAGAAAAAGTAATTTTGGTTTATATGCCTTTTAGAATTTCAAAGACAAATATTGGATGAGATCACTGACATGGGCCTTTGGACAGCAACCTTTTCAGCTCTTTCTCAGCTCTGCCTTATTAAGTCTTGGTTTTCAATGTATTCATGTTTCAGGTGAACTCAGTTTTTCTTCTAAAAACAAACTGCTGTGGGAATTTCTTGTGCACTGTGTTTCTTTCAGTCATACCACAAGCTGCCTTATTACATTAAACCTCTTGACAATTGATTCAAGCAGAATACTTTCTCCCAACAAAGAAAACTATATCATCTCACAGATGCTACTGTATAAAAGCCCTCAATTGAAGACTGTTTCCTAGAAAAACTGAAAACACTAAAAAAGCTGGGAACTTTTCCATTTTAACTGGATATCTCCAGCTGAACTGTGAATTCTAGGGTAGCACAGGAATAAAAATAAGATAAATTAGGTATCTTTCTAGAAAGTCTAACAAGAAGTTTGATAGAAAAAAATATACACTGCCATGTGAAATTAGAACTGCCCCTGAGAAGACGGCTTTTGTTTTAGCATGTTTTCAGATTTTCTGTATGCTATAAAGTGACAAGAGTTACTTATTAATCAAATACTCTTTACTTTTCCAGATAACTATTACAAAACAGTTCAAAACCTAATCTTGTTATTCTTTACCCTGGTCTACTAAATTTATCACACTTGTAAACACTTCTCTAAACATTAGATATAATTCGTGTTATTCAATGAACATATTTTGTCCTAGTTTTTCAAATGTATACCAAAGTGCATTGTTAAAGATTAAATAATACATGGGGAAAATGAGTAATGCTATTTGTTATATAGGAGAAAAGAAAATAAGTATGAAAAGTCTTACCAGGATATCTTCAATATGAAAAAAAATTGAAACATTCCACCAAATTCTTATCAATGTTTGTATATCATTTCACATCAAAGACTATTACAAATATCTTACAAAATATTTGGCTGAGACTAAAATTTTCCCCAAAGTTCTCCATTATGAAACAGGCTAAATTTTATGGTGATTGTGGGAAGTAATTTCCTTGTGATATTCCTATCATCATAAGAACTCAAACAATAGAACTCTCTATTTCCAGCTATTACTTTAAAATCATAATCTTAGAAGTATACCTAATTCCTCTACTCTGATGTTTAAACACTATATATTCTTAACAATTTAAATACTTATTTAAGTCAAATAATTGTGATGAAATTAACAGCAACAGCATGACTATAGAAGTGCAGTAGCTTTGAGTCAACCAGCAGCAAGGGTATAATTTAAAGGCAGAAATTTCCAGTGCATGCACCGTTAGCCACAGTGAACCTGTTACTGCTCTAAAGGGAATTGTTTGCCTCTTATTAGATTTTCTACAGCACAGCCATAAGTGATAAATGTACTGCTGTACTCACTGTCAAGTTAATCAATGCTGCCAAAGTTTTGTTGACCTAACAGTAATCCATAAAGTGAGCAGCATTTTCTCTATCCCTATGACATCTCAGTCCACAGAAGGGCTACGAATCCAAAAGTAGCTTCTTATGAGAAAGTGTATGTATTGGGAAGGGGTGGGGGTGGGTTGGAGCAAGAGAGGGTTGATAGATTGGGTGATTTTTAAAATTAGCAGGTATTATGGGTCCCCTGTTCCGATGAAAAAGCATTTAAGACCACAGCCACAAGTAAAAATTCACTTTTAATGTTTAAAACCCTAATAAATGAATAACTCTATGAATAAAAGATGGTTTCTTCCACAACCCCATTTCTTCACTTCAAAGGAAAACAAAGTACACCAACCCACACCTTCAAGAATCTCAAAGCAAAATAACCATTCCTAGTGTATGGTCTATGCCTGTCTACAGTGCAATGCACTACCAAATCCAGTACAGGGCACCAGTAATAAGAATGGTAATGTGGATAAGAAAAAAAAAATCCAAATTTTGCTCCACTGTAAATCAGAGAATGTGAAAGACATACCATTAGAAAAGGGAAAAGAAAGGAAACAACAGGAGAGGAAAAGCTGCCCTGCAAACAAACCGCTGCCATGCTCTCACAAGCAATCATAGACATATGAAATATGAATTGCAATTGATTTTTCTTCCTGGGGTCACTGTGCTCTGCGTTTTACGCACTCTAGGCATTTATTTGGGCAGCAAACTGACAAGTTTTTGTAGAATGCCCTCAGCAGTGTAATCTTTGCTCAATCACGGGGACTTCATCGTGGCTTCTCTTCCTTGACACTTGTCCCTCCCAAAAACTCACTGGCAAGGGATTCCTTGATAAAGACATGGAACAATACAATTACTGGTGTAAAGGGCTGGCAGAACCTGACCAGGGGATACTAGCAACCTTTTGTGTGCCAATGAAAAATAAATAGCATCAATCTGGAAGAGTGACTTTCATCCTTGTACTTCTACAGCAAATTCTCTTATTTGGCTAGTGATAATATGGCACAATTACTAAACTCATGTTATTTGTCTTGCTAAAAGAAGAATAACAACAGAAAGTTGTGGCTATGAGAATAAATAACACAGGTTTCTTACACTTAAACAGCACTTTAAACAACTCCAATCATAAAAAGATAAGATCTTTTTGCCTGTTTTTTTTTTTTTTTTTAATGACTGAGTGATTACAAGATTTCCCACATTTTGGTCTTCACGGACCTCCAAATTGTGAATGTTACTGATCAGAAGACAAACACTATATTAAAAAAAAGTGTCTCTGGAGAATTTCCCATATTTCTTCCTATATCAGCCATAGGTGTTGGACATCTTTCCTTATCAGAATACATACATTTAAAGCATTCTTTGGAATTTCCATGGAGCATTTTGTAAATCTTTCCACTATATGAATATTCCAATACATTTTTAACCAAATCCCCTCTTATTGGGCAATGTTAATAATTATATTGCAATGAAAATGCCTTACATACAGCACGGCCAAATTATGTAAGAATAATTGTAAGACAGATTCATAGAGAGGGAATTGTCAAGTTGGTTTCTCAAAAGGTTGCTACAATTTCAGTTCCCTTAAAGGTATATGGGAATGATTATTCCTTTGTACCCTTACCAATGATGGGCACAAATGTTTTGTTTTAATCTTTGCAGATCCAAAAGTTAATACCTTATCTCATTTAATCTACCATTTCTTGATTAATCAAGTATCTTTTCCCATTTACTGATCATTTATAATGATTTTTAAATGAATGAATTCTGCCAATTTTCTTATTAGATTGTCTTCCTCCTAATGATTTGTAAAAGCTCTTTGCATATCATAGGAATCAGATCTTTGTCATATGTCTTGAATATATTTTTTCAGTCTTTTTGTCTTAGGATTTGAATTTGTGGTGACATTTTTGCTGTACAAAATTTAAAAATTTTTATGCCGCTTAATTTCAAAAGTTAAATATATCAAGTAATACAGAAATATCCCTATCAATGTAGAGAATATAATACAATGAAATACTACATAATGAAATCATGCAGACATGACTCATTGAAATATAGGATTATGTTCCAAGCTATCAAAGAACAAAAAAAAAACCATAAATTTATTTTCAGCAAACAAAAAGAAGGATTAAAATAATATCAAATATCATCAAAACCAAGTATGTATCTGGCAGCCTTGGGACAACAATCAAGGAGGATTGAGCTAAAGTTAGGTGACACTGTGGGGAGCCCAGATGGGTGACATACAGGACTGATAATCTGGTGTGGAGAACTAAGACCAATACCATAAGAGCTATAACAGAAGGAAAAATGTGATGGGGTAATGGTCAACTAAAGTGCATTAAGGTTTAAGAATAGCACACCTGGATGTGGAGAATCAAGAAAAGTCTGAGCTGACATTGATTCCAGAGGGCCCAAAACATCATTGTGGTCCTCCAGTTAAAGTAGGGGCTTACGGAGGTCAGGTAATTAATGGAGTTTTAGGTCCACTGATTCCCCGGACTCATCCTGTGGTCATTTCCCCAATGCCAGAATGCAGAATTGGTATAGACATGATTAGCAGCTGGCAGCACCCACACATTGGCTCCCTGACTGGTAGGGTGAGGGCAATTATGGTGGGAAGGCCGAATGGAAGCCGTTAGAGCTGCCTCTACCTAGAAAAATAGTAATCAAAAACATCACATCCCTGGAGGGATTACAGAGATTAGTGCCACCATCAAGGACTTGAGAGATGCAGGGGTGATTTCCACCACATATCCATTCAACTCTCCTATTTGGCCTGTGCAGAAGACAGATGGATTTTGGAGAATGACAGTGTATTCGCATAAGCTTAGCCAAGTGGTAACTCCAACTGCAGCTGCTGTACCAGATGTGGTTTCATTGCCTGAGCAAATTAACACATTTCCTGGTACCTGGTATGCAGCCATTGATTTGGCAAATGCCTTTTTCTCCATTTCTGTCCATAAGGCCCACCAGAAGTAATTTGCTTTCAGCTGGCAAGGCCAGCAATACACCTTCACTGTCCTACCTCAGCGTACAACAACTCTCGATTTTGTGTCATAATCTTGTTCACAGAGATTTTGATCCATTTTCCCTTCCACAAGGTATCACACTGGTCCATAACACTGATAACATTATGCTGACTGGATCCTATAAGCAAGCAGTAGCAAGCACACTGGACTTATTGGTGAGACACTTGCATGCCAGAGGTTGAGAAATAAATCTGACTAAAATTCAGGTACCTTCTACCTCAGTGAAATTCCTAGGGGTCCAGTGGTGTGGGGCCTGTTGAGATACTCCTTGTAAGGTGAAGGATAAGTTGCTGCATTTGGCCCCTCCTACAACCAAGAAAGAGGCACAATGCCTAGTGGACCTATGTAGATTTTGGAGGCAACACATTACTCCAGCCCATTTATTGAGTGACCCAAAAGGCTGCCAGTTTCGAGTCCAGAACAGGAGAAGGCTCTGCAACAAGTCCAGGCTGTTGTGCAAGCTGCTCTGCCACTTGAGCCATATGACCCAGCAGATCCAATGGTGCTTGAGGTGTCAGTGGCAGATAGGGATACTTTGGCAGGCCCTCATAGGTGAATTACAGCAAAGGCCTCTAAGATTTTTGGAGCAAGGCCCTGCCATCATCTGCAGATAACTACTCTCCTTTTGAGAGACAGCTCTTGGCCTGTTACTTGGCTTTTGTAGAAACTGAACGCTTGACTATGGGTTGCCAACTTACCATGCAACCTGAACTGCCTATCACGAGCAGGATGCTTTTTGATCCATCTAGCCATAAAGTGGGTCATGCACAGCAGCTTTTCACCATTAAATGGAAGTGATATATACGTAATCAGGCTTGAGCAGGTCCTGAAGGCACAAGTAAGTTACATGAGGAAGTGGCTCAAATGCCCATGGTTCCCACTACTGCCACCCAGCCTTCTCCTCCCCAGCCTGCACCAATGGCTTCACAGGGAGTTCCCTATGATCAGTGGAAGAGATGACTAGGTCCTGGTTCACATATGGTTCTGCATGATATGCAGGCACCACCTGAAAGTGGACAGCTGCAGCACTACAGTCCCTTTCTAGGACAGCCCTGAAGGACAGTGGTGAAGGCAAATCTTCCCAGTGGGCAGAACTTTGAGCAGTGAACCTGGCTGTACACTTTGCATGGGAGGAGAAATGGTCTGATGTGTGATTATATACTGATTCACGGGCTATAGCCAATGGTTTGGCTTGATGGTCAGGGACTTGGAAGAAGCATGATTGGAAAATTGGTGACAAAGAAATCTGGGGAAGAGGTATGTGGATGGACCCCTCTGAGTGGTCAAAACCTGTGAAGATATTTCTATCCCATATGAGTGTTCACCAAAGGATGACCTCAGCAGAGGAGCATTTTAATAATCAAGTGGATAGGATGACTCGTTCTGTGGACACCACTCGGTCTCTTTCCTCAGCTATTCCTGTCATTGCCCAATGGGCCCATGAACAAAGTGGCCATGGTGTCAGGGATGGAGGTTATGCATGGGCTCAGCAACATGGACTTACACTCAGCAAGGCCGACCTAGCTATGGCCACCACTGAGTGTCCAATTTGCCAGCAGCAGAGACTATCACTGAGCCCGTGATATGGCACCATTCCTTGGGGTGATCAGCCAGCTACTTGGTGGCAGGTTGATTATACTGGACCTCTTCCATCATGGAAAAGGCAGAGGTTTGTCCTTACCAGAACAGACACTTACTCCAGATATGGGTTTGCCTAT
Organism: Homo sapiens; assembly: GCF_000001405.40. Classification (NCBI taxonomy): domain Eukaryota; kingdom Metazoa; phylum Chordata; class Mammalia; order Primates; family Hominidae; genus Homo; species Homo sapiens. The sequence continues at coordinate 122,972,711 of NC_000005.10, read as the reverse complement.
CCTGCACGCAATGCTTCTGCCAAGACTACCATCCATGGACTCACAGAATGCCTTATCCACAGTCATGGTATTTCACACAGCACTGCCTCTGATCAAGGCACTCACTTTACAGCTAAAGAAGTGCAGCAGTCAGCTCATGCTCCTGAAATTCACTGGTCTTACAATTTTCTCCATCATCCTGAAGCAGCTGGATTGACCGAACGATGTAACGGCCTTTTGAAGTCACAATTACAATGCCAGCTAGGTGACAATACTTTGCAGGGCTGGGGCAGCTCTCTAGGAGGCTGTGTATTCTTTGAATCAGCATCCAATATATGCTACTGCTTCTCTCATAGCCAGGATTCACGCGTCTAGGAATCAAGGGGTGGAAGTGGAAGTGGCATCATTTACCATCACCCCTAGTGACCCACTAGCAAAATGTTTGCTTTCTGTTCCCTCGACATTATGTTCTGCTAACCTAAAGGTGTCAGTTCCAGAGGGAGGAATGCTGCCACCAGGAGACACAACAATGATTCCATTAAACTGGAAGTTAAGATTGCCATCTGGACACTATGAGCTCTTCCTACCTCTAAGTCAACAGGCTAAGAAGGGAGTTACAGTGTTGGTTGGGGTGACTGACCAAGACTATCAAGATGGAATCAGTCTACTACTCCACAATGGAGAAAGGAAGAGTATGAGTGGAATACAAGAGATCCTTTTGGATGGTTCTTAATATTACCATGCCCTGTGATTTAAGGTGAATGGGAAACTACAACAGCCCAATCCAGGCAGGACTACAAATGGCCCAGACCCTTCAGGAATGAAGGTTTGGATCACTCCACCAGGTCAGGTAAAAAACCATGACCCACTGAGGTGCTGGCTGAGGGCAAAGGGAATACAGAATAGACAGTAGAAGAAGGTAGTCATCAATACCAGCTATGATCACATGACCAGTTGCATGAATGAGGACTGTAACTGTCACATTTCCTCCTTATTTTTAACAGAACATGTTTGTGCAAGTATACACTTAAGAAAATATCTTCATTTTATTTCCTTTCTTTTTCCCTTATCATGTGATATAAGATAAATGGATTTCTTATCAGCATTTAAATGTTAACTTTATGTAATAACATTTAGGTTAAGATTAGTGAGCTTCTGATTGCATGAAGAATAGCTGTATTACGTTACACATAATTATGACCTCATTATTGTCTTTATTTGAAGATTAAGTATGATTTCAGGAGATGTGTATGGGTTCAAGTTGACGAGGGGTGGGCTTGTGATGGTTAATACTGAGTGTCAATTTGACTGGGTTCAAGGATGCAAAGTATTGTTCCTGGGTGTGTCTGTGAGGGTGCTGCCAAAGGAGATTAACATTTGAGTCAGTGGACTGGGAGAGGCAGACCCACCTTCAATCTGGGTGGGCAGCATGTGATCATCTGCCAGCGCAACCAAGATAAAGCAGGCAGAAGAAGGTGACTTGCTGAGTCTTCCAGTCTTCATCTTTCTCCCATGCTGGATGCTTCCTGCCCTTAAACATCAGACTCCAAGTTCTTCAGCTTTTGGACTCTTAAAGTTACACCAGTGGTTTGCCAGGGGCTCTCAGGCCTTTGGCCAGAGACTGAAGGCTACACTGTCAGCTTCTCTGCATTTGAGGTTTTGGGACTTGGATTGGCTTCCTTGCTCCTTAGCTTGCAGAGAGCCTATCGTGAGACTTCACCTTGTGATTGTGTGAGTCAATTCATCTTAATAAACTGCTCTTCATACATACATCTATCCTATTAGTTCTGTCCCTCTAGAGAACCCTAACACAAGGGTGTACTGGAAATAAGCCTGTGGGGTGCCTTGGCAAACAGAGATGAGAAAAGAGGAGGGTACAGGTACAGGGTCTATAATCACACGGGCCAAGTCAAGAGGTTAGTTAGTAAACTAGTGTGGCTGACACATAAGATTTGTGCAGAATATGGCCAGGCGCAGTGGCTCATGCCTGTAATTCCAGCACTTTGGGAGGCCAAGACGGGCGGATCACGAGGTCAGGAGATGGAGGCCATCCTGGCTAACACGGTGAAACCCTGTCTCTACTAAAAATACAAAAAATTAGCCGGGCGGGGTGGCGGGCACCTGTAGTCCCAGCTACTCGGGAGGCTGAGGCAGGAGAATGGCGTGAACCCTGGTGGCGGGGCTTGCAGTGAGCCAAGATCATGACACTGCACTCCAGCCTGGGCGACAGAGCGAGACTCCGTCTCAAAAAAAAGATTTGTGCAGAATAAGGCTGGAATTCCGAATACCTGGCCTAAGAATATCACAATTTTGTAGTTGGCAAGGAGCCACGAAAGGTTTTCGGTAGGTAGTTATCACGATCAGAGATATATACCCCACAAGCAAGAGTATGCCGCATTCTAAACGGGAAAGGACTTTAAAAATAAAGTTTTTAGAAATAGAGCAGTTCATTTAATAAACTATAAACAAGTAGTCTAGGAAGAATATCTTCAAATTAAAAAGTTCAGTAGGTAGTTTGGTAGGTAGGCAACTAGATATCATGAAAAGGAATATCCACCCAGAAACTCTGAGAGTAAGCCAGAGGACCCAGAGCAAATGAGAAAACTGCCATGATGATCTTAGAGGAAAGGAAAAAAGCAGTAAACAACAACGGCAGCGGCGAGGACAAACAAGGAAGGCACTCTTTTGACTAATCACAAATAGCTTCCAGGGCACAGTCATGGGCCTGAGTTTAGTGAAGAGAGTAGTTTTTACAAAAGAACTAAGAAGGGCCCAGATTTTTCCAAAATAGTACAAGAGAGGCCCGTGGAGAAAGTCTTGAATAGGGGTAGGTGGGTGGGTGGTGCAGAGACAAAGAATAATAATGCCTGAAATAAGCAAGCCCACAAGCAGCACCCTGGGTGCGACGGTGCTGAATTCGGTAATGGATGTGGAATATAAAGAAGGTCTCACTGGGGCAAGAGGGATCCAGGATTAGTCTCCTATCGTGAATGTTTTAAAATAATAACAGAAACAGATGATCAGAGTTCCAACATCATATCCACACTGCTCTGATGTCTTTCCGGAATAATACTGTGGAATATCCTCTGATATTCCAGGTGTATGAGAGATAAAAAAAGAAATGTCAATTTATTTGTGTATCAGTTACATGAAAGGCACTCTGGAACAAGAGATGTTACGATTTCATCCTGAATCCTGCAAGGGTCGGGAAATAGCAAAAATGGAATACTAGCCACAATTCCCTCTCAGAACACCACCATCCTCTGTGGAAAAAGTAAAGTTTTTTTTTTGAAAACCAATATCTGTTGTCTAAATGGAGACAAGAAAAAGTAGAGAAGGCAAAACCAGGAAATGTTTTAGAAAGTGTTAGACTTTCTTAAGACCTTAACTCCATTGCCACAACTAGAATTCACTCTGGTTTCAGCTATGTGGAAGTGAGGCCCTTCATCTAGCCTGAAAATAACCCACCACTTACACCCCACAAGCAAGAGGTGGACACATTCTGAATGGGAAAGAACTTTTAAAACACAGATTTTTGAAAACAGAGCACCTTATGTAATAAATTATAAACAAGTTATAAATAAATTATAAACAAAAAGAATATCTTTAAATAAAAAGGTTCTACACAGTCTGTTACTACACTATTTTACTTAAAACCTAGAGTAGGAGGTTCCATTCAGGATGGAACAGTGTTAGACCAGTATTTTCCAAACGTTTTTTATCATACACTTCTCCAATGTAAAAGAACCCTAACATATTTAGGTTATTTATATTTAACATATTTAGCATATTTAGTGCATATTTAATTATACCTGATATCAAGATACTACTGTGCCAACTAGATACCGTATAAAACACATACAAAAAGATATTTTAAAATAATATGAAGATGAAGTAATAAACAAATTTTATTTTATTGTATCTATTACTGGTACAAAAAACCCTGCTGTTCTTATTCTAATATGAGTAGTGATAATATTTTAATTTGTGAGTACTGTGAATAGATATGCTCTATTAGGTTGCAACACAGTGATTGCTGTTGCTTGTGTTCAACAGTGACTGAAAATTCAGCTTATCTCATCAATACCTGGTTTTAATGACTGCCATTGTCAAAATATCTTATGAAGACAAGTAGACCCAACAACTGCACTTGCTAAATCACAATACTTATTCTTTCAATTCTGTCCACCTAAAATACAAAGATTTCCTGATGAGATTTGGTCAGGAAATTGCCCTTCTTGATGTCACACAGTTGTTCTTTACAGAACAATGGGAAAATGTTGCATTTAAAACAATTTGAGGTCAAAGACCCACCCAAACTCTTCCTATGAAACATTTTAAACAGGCTAAAAATTCTACTTCCAAGTTTTTTGGTTTTTGTGTTTTGAGATGGAGTCTCGCTCTGTTGCCCAGGCTGAAGTGCAGTGGCATGATCTCAGCTTGCTGCAATCTCCGCCTCCCAGGTTCAAGCCATTCTCCTGCCTCACCTTCCTGAATAGCTGGGATTATAGGCGTGCATGCCACCACGCCCGGCTAACTTTTGTATTTTTAGTAGAGATGGAGTTTCACCATGTTGGTTTTGAACTCCTGACCTCAGGTGATCTGCCTGCCTCGGCCTCCCAATCAAGTTTTAAGGGAGGTAGAGAGAATTTTATAGGTTACACACATTCATTCTGGCAACAACATCCCATAATAATAGACATTTTTAAAAACATCCATGTTCAAATTATTCTCTCCAAGATTTGTTTTCTTTCAAAAGTCACCTACTTTCCCACTTGGTGTCCGAAGGGCCTTTACTCTGAAGGGTCAGATTAAGGGAGGGCTGCAGAGAACTTTCAGGAGGACTTGCAGAAGCGACAGCGCAGGTGCTACTGCCATTCACGTGAGCTCGTGGTTTAATCTTCAACCGGTGGTTTCCCAGCAGGACTCCTGGTAAGCCATGTGTGCCTTTTGTGAGGTTTAGGTGAATGCAGATAATATAACTCATAAGTCCACCTATCAGGCCCCACAAATCGCAGTGGGCTCTAATGAACAAGTCAGGCCCCTGGTTGTGGGGATGCCCGTATCAAATGTGACCCCAGGCAGTCTGACATTTCAACTTGTGAAAGTACTGTTATCGGTCTAAATGGTATATTAATAAAGCTTAATCCACCTTTTTATCAGAGAAAAATAAACAGAATGGCAAGTTTCCTGGCTGCTTTCTGCTCCCCAGGGGATCATTGTACATGGTCCACCTTGGAGACACGCTAGTGAGAGGGCAGCACGTGCTGCCCCTCAGGTACCAGCTTCCCACAGGCGCTCATCAGATCGGCTCCCTTGAACACCAGGGTCTGAAAGAGGTTCAAGGCAATTTCAGTGTGGTTGCTACCACGTTGTCTACTGAGGAAAACTGATGTATTTTACAGATAGGCTTACACCTGTGGTTTTAAACAAAATAGCTCATATTTAGGCAGACCGACTTCCAATACCAGATGCTGCTGCTGAGCTAGTATGGTGGTGAGGGCTAGGAGATAATAAGGGTAAAGCACCTGCAGAGAGTCTGGCCCAGCACAGGTTCTTAAAAGACGTTTATTTTATGAATTAATGAATGCGTGAGTGGGTAAAAGATTCCATCAGAACTTTCTAGTCATAACACTCTGCATCATCTTTAAAATTTCTGCCTTGTATATTCCTAAGTAGCATTTTAAATCAGTCATGGTTTTAGTCAGTGAGATGGTTCCTGAAAGAATATTTTCAAATTTAATTTTCATGACTAAATACTTAAGACTGGGCATTAACCTCCAGACTCCTTGAATTCCTGGGGACATTCTGGGGTTTGAGGAAAATGAGGAAAAAACACACAAGCTAAATATAGCCCAGATCTGAGGAAAAAATGGTAGCTACTCTTTATTGTATGCCTGTTATATTTTAGGAATTAGATGATGCTTCATGTATTTTAGCTAATTTAGTCATCATTAACAACTCTATGTGGTATATCTTTTTTTCTCTCTAGTAAGGAAAGGAGACTAGTGCTCAGCAAGGTTAAGTAACTACCCTAGTTTATAGGGCAGAGTGGAGACTCAGGGCTCTGAATCCACATCTTCCTTATGCTGGGCCTTGCTTTTCCATTCAAGTCCTTACTATTGCCTATCTGCCCAAACTGCCACCAGCCTCTAGTCTAGGGGTCAATTACAGCCTAACAGCCAAATTAGGTCTGGCTGCTGCCTTTGTAAATAAAGTTATGTTTCAACACAGTCCATCTCTTTTCTTTATGTATCATCTATGGTAGCTTTTGCACTACAATGGCAGAGTGGAGTAATTGCAACACAGCCATATGGCTCACATGGCCTAAAATATTTACTATCGAATCTTTCACAGAAAAAGTTTGCTAACTTCAACCAACATGGCACATGTATACCTATGTATCAAACCTACACGTTGTGCACATGTACCCTAGAACTTAAAGTATAATAATAAAAAAAAGAAAAAGTTTGCTAACTTCTGCCTAGTCTAGACATTCTTGTGTTTGCAAGTCTATCCCTTCCTATTAGAGGGACAATATGTACTTCTTTTTAATTTAATCATTTCCTCTTTTCCAAATACAAGGGTCAACTCTGATTCAGAATATGGCAAATGTCCTTCTTATATAACTGTAGATTTTGGAAAAAAACAGTTTTTGGCACTAAAAATCATAGGAAATACGATAACATTTAATCAATTTTCCTTTTTGATATGCCAGAGGTACAAATGACACAGTTACCATGCCATAAACCGCAAGATTCATTAACAATGTTGGTTCACATTCCCTATTATAAGAAATCTAGAACTAATTGCTCTCCATTAATCTGGCTCCACTCTTTGATAGCTTATTTATCAGATTGGGAAAGATAGATTTAATAGCGCTTGCTTGAAACAGGTTCTTTAATTGGAAACATCACAGCATTTAGTTCACTTTGTACTCTAGTAATTAAGAACAATTTGGAAAAGTGTTGTTGATTTTTTTTACACCATTGTCTCCTTGATTAGATTTCCGAAGGTCCAGACAAAACAAATGACAACACTAGCTAGCACTATCGGTACAAATAAAAGCCCAACAGCCAAATTACTTACTATGAGAAATGTGAGCCATCCCCATCCATTTCGTCACTGTCTTACATTTATTTCCCCATATGCTTGTCTCTTGTATAGGTAAGTGGCAATTTCTCTTATAAAAGGCATCATTTTGCACCTACCTTTACACAATTATCTTTTCTCCAAATAAGCCAAATCAACAGAAGAAATTATTTTTCTTGATTAAGCACCCACATTTCTCTTGGGAGGGAACAAAACAAACAATTAATCTTTCCTTATTTGTTCTCAGAAGTCCCTGACTCTTTAAACTCAGGCTATCCAGGTACCTGTGGCAGCCAGTCGGCAGCAATTAGGCCTGAGTGGAAAATGAATGCACTCCAGGCTGAGGGCCTAATCTGCTGAGAGTCTGTGTGAGAGGGCAAGGTTACACCAGGAAAATTCCCTTGTTGTTGGAACACTGTTCAAAATTACTACCTGACTTCAGCATAATTAACCAGGCTTGGGAATTTATATGAACTAAGTAATTGGAAAGAATTAGCAAGAGATATGTACATTAATCTTTACCAGTTACACAGTGTTTAATGAAATTAAGGGTCCTGTGCTCACTCTTGACTTGCTTAGTTTGCACACTTTCTACTTCACCTGTAGAACAAGGAGAATATGCTACATGAAGATTAAAACAAAAAAACCAACACCTCCAACCAAACACAAGAAAAAAATTCTAGGAGAACTAGAAACAACCTAAAAAATTCAATAGCAGACTGTTAAATAAAATATAATGCATCCACAGTATAGGATATTATGGAGCCTTTGTTAGAATTGTTTTACAAAAGAATCCTATTACCAAAAAAATCTATTAGGAATACATGCTAAAGTATTCATGGATGAAAATATGATATTTGGCAGCTTCTTCAACATAATATGGAGGGAATAACTGAGGAATATAGAAAAGATTTCCTGAGTTGATCATTGTTGAAGCCGTATGATAGGAATCTGAGATTTTATTTTTATACTTTTTATATATTGAAAATTTCCATAATAAAAAAGTTAGTATTTAAAAACCTTATCTTACAAGGATATGTAATACATAGTAAATGCATATGGTACATTTTTAAGTTAAAAGAGGAATTTACAAAGCATTATAGATGATATAATATTTGAAAATATATTATTATAAACATGCACGAGAAAAAGACAAAGAAGGCATACTATAATTTTGACATTATGGGCCACTATTAATATTTATTAGTTAGGAGCTGGCCTGTGAATTGTGAGGTGTTTAACAGCATACCTCTACTTACTACATGCTAGTAGCACCCCATCCTCAGCTGTGACAACCACAAGTGTCTCTAGACGTTGCCAAATGTTCCCTGTGAGGCAAAAACTGTCCCTGATTCAGAACTATTGTTCTTTTTTTTTTTTTTTTTTTTTTTTTGAGATGGAGTCTTGTTCTTGTCGCCCAGGCTGGAGGGAGTGCAATGGCAGGATCTCGGCTCACTGCAACCTCCACCTCCTGGGTTCAAGCGATTCTCCTGCCTCAGCCTCCCAAGTAGCTGGGATTACAGGCGGCTGCCACCACGCCCAGCTAATTTTTGTATTTTTAAAGTAGAGACGGGGTTTCGCCACGTTGGCCAGGCTGCTCTCGAACTCCTGACCTTGTGATCTGCCCACCTCAGCCTCCCGAAGTCCTGGGATTACAGGCATGAGCCATCGCGCCCGGCCCAGAACTATTGTTCTAAGTGGATGAATTACAGAAAATTATTTTTGTTGTTTGTTTTCCAAAGATGTTGGATATGTGCATATATATGTATTACATAGTGAGAACAATAACAAAAAAGTTATTAAAATATATTAACCTGCAAGGAGAGAATTTTAATGTCTGTGAAGAAAGAGACTACTTACATTAGAAAGTACATGACTATGAAATAGACTTGTAGTGATCTTCCTTGGATTAAACTGGAGTCATCAAGCTAAAAGTGAAACACACTACAAAAGCTAGTTCTTTTAAAACTCATGATTCCATCACACACAAATCTGATAAAATACTAATCAAAAATATCTAAAGGATGTCTGCCTTCCTAAAATCTTCTCTGAATGGAAGATTGCAGTACTGAAAGAGAGTAGAGCCCACAGCCACCTTAAAAGGACTAATATTCACAGAAATATAATGCCAACTCAGGGATTATGTTTTCATCAGATAAAACCATCTACCTTTTAAGAGAAGTCTGAGTGTGAAGAAAAGGTAATATGTGGTCTTTCTGTCCATATAAATGAAATGACACCACCTGTTTCTAAAAGGGGCTTTGAGCTGGCTTTCTGGAAATTAGCACAGGTCTGTGCAACATCACCCCACATCCCACCAGTCTTCTTTCTAGAAGCAGCATGCAGCTGTGAGCCGCCAAACAGCATGGCCAGCTCTAGAGGAGAATTAATTAATTAATTAATTTTTGAGACAGTGTCTCACTCTGTCACCCAGGCTGGAGTGCAGTGGCACAATCTCGGCTCATTGCAACTTGTGCCTCCCAGGTTCAAGCGATTCTCCTGCCTCAGCCTCCTGAGTAGCTGGGACTACAGGCGTGTACCACCAGGTCTGGCTAATTAATGTATTTTTAGCAGAGACGAGGTTTCACTATGTTGGCCAGGCTGATCTCAAACTCCTGACTTCAAGTGATCCGCCCACCTTGGCCTCCCAAGGTGCTGGGATTACAGGCATGAGCCACCATGCCCAGCCTAGAGGAAAATTTAACCCAAAACATTCACCTTATTAATAGGGGGCTCTAGGTGAGGTCATTGAACTTAATGACTGCTGAAGGTATTTTTAAAAATCAGTATGCACTGTCAAACCAGGTGGTCAATATTGTATAATTCATAGGTTTAAAACTCCCAAAGTTTTATGTTTTAAGCCCAATCAAAGCTCTGGGGCCACAATCCACTAGAGTTAATATTTTTATTCAATTCCCTTCTCTCACACAAATCCCTCTCCATGAAATACCTATTTTTGATATTTCTAATTGCCATTACTGATGCCTCCTCCACTGGCCTATGCCACCTCTGAAGGATCATTACCCATAGCTTGGTAGGCTTGGCTTTCATCAGGCTTGTCTACCCAAGATGTGCAAGAATGCATTATCTGAATTTTTAAAATACTGGTTTATTTCCTAGAAAAGAGAGTGTACTGTTTTCCTTTAAAGAAATAATACGTATAGATGGTTTCAGAAATTTAAAACACTGCTCTGCACTAAAAATTATTTTAAGTGAAGTACATATCATTTAAAGGTGATATGTCATATTTAAAGTATATACCATATTTTGAGATCAATGGAAAGCATGTAAATCACTGGGAAAAATAAAATGTATTTGAAATTAAGTAGTACAATTCTCCATGGTTATAATGCAAGCCTTAAAAATATGAAAAGAAATATCATGCATTGTTCTAAGAAATTATTTGTAGCACTAAAATTATTTTAAATGAAGTACATATCATTTTGAGATAAATGGAAAGCATGTAAATCACTGGGAGAAATAAAATGTATTTGAAATTAAGTAGAACAATTATCCATAGTTATAATGCAGGCCTTAAAAACTATGAAAGGAAATGCCATACGTTGTTCTAAGAAATTATCTGTAGCCTTCATAAAGAGTTTTCAGCTTAGCACAAAAAAAGTCTTATAGAATTACCATAAAATCTACAAATCTATAGGTCACTGTCTACAAAAACTAAATTTACAAAACAAAAGCTTCTAAAGTTTTTTTCATTTTCATATTTTGTGAATACTTTCACCAATTATGATGACAAACTTGTCTGCTAAATCCTAAATAAGTAGTTAGGGTTTTTCTGTATGAAAAACCAACCACTGAAACTAGGTTACAGGATTTCTAACCAGGCACAACAGAAACATGTATGTACAACAGAATCTGAAAACACTTGCTAGCAATGATGGATTTAAGTTATTAACAGATCAAAAAGAGATGGATGGTGGTTTGCTTTTCTTAATCTATATCATCATCTAGATCTATTTAAAGATATGTGGCACACTAACAAACTTGGTTAAGGTTTCGATAAAATCAGTAAAAATAATCTGCCCCCGTTACATTGAGTCTGTATCGATCAATAAAATCACTTGTAGAAGGACGGTACTGTTAAGTACTGACAATCCCAGCCATTAATATTATTTAACACACTGTTCACAATCTTTAACAAGAACAAAGAACAGTTTGTCTCATGTTATAAGCAGGACCTTCATAGAAACTGTATTCTACAGGCTTCTATGGTGATTTTATAAAGTTCAAATTATACATCCCTCTTTTATCAACCCTCACCCCCTCCCAAATACATAGGTCTTGTTCTTTCCTTCAGATGCAGTTTAAAGGAAATCCTTGGTAAGAACCAAGACTGCCATGGCAAATCACTTCTTAATCTAAAACTTCTAAGAACCCTGAGTTGTCAGGGTTAGGGTGGCAATAAGGATAGACAGCATGGGGCTTCCCTGCTGCATTCCAACTTTACTCAGTTTCATCAGTGCCTTAACCTTGTCAGATGTGGATTAAAGGAGAAATTTTCAAAGAATCCTCAGCCAGAGTTGGATGGCTAGAAACAGATATGTTCATGTCTGACCATGTTTGACTTAAGACCACAAAAATGGAAGGTGGAAAAAAAGAAAGATAAACATATTTTGCATAAGAATTTTTTTACTTATATAGACATCCATAATTATATGAATGATGAGAAAACACCATTAAGAAGTAAAACTAACTTAAAAACAATAATAATTCTAAGATAGTAATTAGATACTGTTCTAAACTTAACCATTGTAGTTTTCATGACTCAAAATCCTAGCAGCCTTTTGAGTCTTTTGAAATGTAGTAGTTTGTGAGTCTTTTGAAATGTAGTAGTTTGTGATTTTGATGAGATGAGCAAGAGGGAACCCCTTCTCTGGTAAGTGAACCTGGAAAGCGCTGAAGACCTGAGTCTCAGTTGAGTTTAATCTGTTGCTCTCAGCTGAATTACGGCTTCTCTACAATTCTCATGAAGTGATTTAAACAAATAAGAACTTGGGGGTCTGCACAGGACTTAAAGAAAAGGCTCCCTAAAAGAATATTAACTGCTAGCACTATTTAAAGAAAGGAGAAAAAGGTGAAAATATGTACTTAAAAATGGCTTGTGGCCATAAAATAGAAATTTTAGGAAATTTAATAATAAAATGTCAAATTTATAAATAGTTTACAGTCACAAAAAACAAGTCCATGAGTACACTCTAGTATGGATGAAAATGTGGTTCACAAAATAGTTTAGGGACTAAAAATTTTGTAGTTTAGTGCTACAAACTAGCAGTTTTGTACTAGTATTCCAACTAGTACAACACTGCTTATCAAGTGACAAAGAGCACCAGAGAAAACATCACATGGTGATAAAAGACACTCCCTGCCTGACACTTAATGACCATTTGTCTCAGGAGGCAGATGGGATGTTGTTTAAACATTTTCATGAAGCAATAGTGATAAAGGCAGCAAAACAGCTACTGACTCAACAATTTTCAAAATAAAATACCAGTTTTTACTGCATCATGGGGAAGGAAATCAAGTTACTGCAGAATCTTTTCTTTAGGAAAGTGAAGAAGCTCACAGAAAAGAAAGATAACAGGTGGAAAACACAGCCCGTGTAGGGAGGGGAAGGCAGCCTACTTCGGAGGAAAATGTTTTCTTAAACAACAGGGGTGTTTGAAAAGGGTCAAAGGCAGACACAGAGACTCTATCATTCAGAGATTCTGCTATTCTTTAGTAAACCCCATGTCATTAAGCCTCTATGTAGAGTGAGCTGTTTTCCTTTCTCTTTCTTTTGCCTATCAAAACCTCTGCTCCTAACTCCTCGTGTGTGTCCATGTACTAAATTTTCCTGGCATGAGATAATGAACCCCGAGTATTTACCCCAGACAATGTAGCTGCTTCAGTTCCTTTACAGGTGTGTAACCTAAATTAATGCAATCAGTGTGATCAAAAAAATAAAAAAAAAACCCAAAAACAATGCCTTAAGAAATCTCAGTTGATAGTCTTCCCAAATGACCAGCAAAAGCAAATAAAAATTCTCTCAGTAAATTCAGTTCAATTCTAGCCACAAAAGCTGCATGAAGATAAAGATCCTAGGAAATTAGGCTGGGTATAGTGGCTCACACCTGTAATTCTAGCATTTTGGGAGGCCGAGGTGGGCAGATCGCTTGAGCCCAGGAGTTCTAGACCAGCACTGGCAACATAGCAAGACCTTGTCTTGTCTCTAATATATATATTATGTATTTTTTATTATATATATATAAAATAAAACATTTTGAAACCCCAAAGCTAGCAAAAGGAAGGAAATAAAGATTAGAGTAGAGATAAATGGAATACACGAAAAAAAAAAAAGAAAAATCGTATAACCTAAATGAAATGGACAAATGAGAATTTGCCCATTCTAGAAAGAAACACAAAATATACCAAGACTAAACCATGAAGAACTAGAAAATCTGAACAGGTCTCTAACTAGTAGGATATTTAATCTATAGTCAAAAATCTCCTGACACAGAAAAGCTCTGGACCTGATGGCTTCATTAAATTCTATCAAATATTTAAGGAACTGACACCAATCCTTTTCAAACTTTTCCAAAAAATTTAACAGGAGGAAATACACCCTAACGCATTCTAGGTAGCCAGCATTACCCTGATACCAAAGGCAGACAAAGACACCCCCAAAAAGAAAACTACAGACAAAAATTCCTGACGAGCACTGATGCAAAAGTCTTCAATAAAATACTGGAAATCAAATTCAGCAGCATATTAAAAAGACTATATTGGCCAGGTGGGGTGGCTCATGCCTATAATCCCAGCACTTTAGAAGGCTGAGGCAGGCAGATTGTTTGAGCTCAGGAGTCTGAGACCAGCCTGGGCAACATAGCAAGACCCCGTCTCTACTAAAAATACAAAAAAAATTTAAAAATTAAAAAATAAAAAGACTATAAAGTATGACCAAGTAGGGTTTATTCCTGGAATACAAGGATGGTTCTACATATAAGCATCAATCAATGTAATATACCACACTAACAGAAGAGAAACAAACCACATGATCATCTAATTGATGTGAAAAAAAAACTCTTGGTGGTCAGGCATGGTGGCTCACACGCCTGTAATCCCAGCCCTTTGGGAGGCCAAGGTGGGTGGATCACCTGAGATCAAGAGTTTGAGACCAGCTTGGCCAACATGGTGAAACCCCGTCTCTACTAAAAATACAAAAATTAGCCGGGTGTGATGGCAGGTGCCTGTAATCCCAGCTACTTGGGAGGCTGAGGCAGGAGAATCGCTTGAACCTGGGAGGTGGAGGTTGCAGTGAGCTGAGACCATGCCATTGCATTCCAGCCTGGGCAACAAGAGTGAAACTCTGTCTCAAAAAAAAAAATTTTTTTTTTGCAAAATTCAACACCCTTTCATGACAAAAAAATTCAAGAAAATTGGAATAGACAAAATTACCTCAACATAATAAATGTGATATATTTAAAACCCACAGTAAATATCATAATTAACAGTGAAAGACTGAAAGCTTTTCTTCTACAACCATGAACAAAACTATGATGCCTGTTTTCCCCATTTCTATTCAACATAGTACTCAAAGTTTAAGCCAGAGCAATTAGGCAAGAAAAAGAAATAAAGCTATCCTAATTGGAATGGAAGAAGTAAAATTATCTTTGTTTGCATGTGATATGATCTCACATGTAGAAAATCCTTAAGACTCTACAAAAAAACTGTTATAACTAACAGGCAAATTCAGCAAAGTAGTATGATACAAAATCAATACATAAAAATCAATTACATTTTGATATACTAACAATAAACAATCCAAAAAGGAAATTAAGAAACTATTTCCATTCACAATAGCATCAAAGAGAATAAAATACTTAGGAATTAACTTAACCAAGGAGGTGAAAGACTTATACAATGAAAACTACAAAACATGTCTGAAAGAAATTAAAGAAGACACAAATAAATGTAAAGATATCCCATGTTCATGGATTAGGAGACCTGAAATTGTTAAGATGTCACTATTACCCAAAGTGATCTACAGATTTAAGGCAATCCCTATTAAAATTCCAAAGAAGTTTTTTTATTTTTGCAGAAATATAAAAATCCATTCAAAAAATCATATGAAACTTCAAGGGGCCCTCAAATACCCAAAACAATCTTGAAAAAGAAAAACATAGCTGGAAGACTCGCACTTCCTGATTTCAAAACTTTCTCTAAAGCTATAGTAAATGAAAACAGGTGGTACTGGCATATGATAGACATATAGACCAATGTAATGGCATAAACAGTACAGAAATAAATCCTCATATATATGGTCCAACGGTTTTTTGAGAAGAGTGCCAAGATCATTCAAATGGGTAAAGATAATCTTTTCAACAAATTGTGCTAGGAAAACTGGATGTCCACATGCAAAAGAATGAAACTGGATCCTTACCTAACATCATATGCAAAAATTAACTCAAAATGGATCCAGAGCCTAAATGTAAGACCTAAACTATTAAACTCTTAGAAGACAGCACAAAGAAAAAGCTTTGTGACACTGGATTTGGCAATGATTTCTTGGGTATGACACCAAAGGCATGAAGGCAACAAAAGAAAAAACAGACAAATGGCACTTCATGAAAATTTAAAATTTTCTGCTATCAAAAAAGGCAATATATAAAATGGGAGAATATATTTGCAAATCATATTACATAATAAGGGAAGAATATCCAGAATATATAGAGAACTCTTAAAACTCAACAATGAAAAAAAAACCACCCAATTAAACAATGGCAAAGGACTTGAAGAGATATTTCTCCAAAAAAGACACACAAATGGCCAATAAGCACATGAAAAGATGCTCAACATCAGCGATCATTAGAAAAATGCAAATCAAAACTACAGGGAGATACCACCTCACACCCATCAGTACGACTAATATAAAAAACCCAGGGAACAACAGGTGCTCATGAGGAGGAGGAGACATTGGAACCCTTGCTCACTGTTGGTCGGAAATAAAACGGTACAGCCACTGTAGATAACAGTATGGTGGTTCCTCAAAAAATTAAGAATGGAATTACATGATCAAGCAATCCACTTCTGGGCATACACCTTAAAGAATCAAAAGCAGGATCTCTAAGAGATATTTGTACATCCATGTTCACAGCAGCATTATTCACAAAAACTAAAACATGGAAGCAACTCAGGTGCCCACTGATGTACAGCTAAAAAAAATATGGTGGCTGTGTATGTGTGTGTGTGTGTGTGTGTGTGTGTGTGTGTGTGTGTATATATTTTTTTTTTCCCAAGTGTTTTAAAGGTTTTATTTTTACAAATTACAGCAGATGGACAACTAAGCCTTCCCTGCAGAGACTGTGTTCCAAATCAGGCCTGGGACACTGTTCACTGCTCCCAGGAAGCGGCTGGCACCACATATAATAGAACGTCTGTGGCATTCTATTATAGCTGCAGAAAATAAACTAAGATACACAGTGATGAATTTTATCTTTCTTGGATTTTTGTTTTGCCTTATATATCGCAGACTTGGAGCTGAAAAGGTGGCAACCAGGAAATGCCCAGAGATAGAGAAAAAAAAAAGCTGCATCCAAAGCCTGTTCTGTCCAGCCATAGAACACAGAGAGGGGCAGCCTAGCAAGACGGAAAATTTGCAGACACTAACCATTCTACTCCAGCCAAACACCATGGAAGAAACTGTGGCCCTCACCTCTACTCATGGCAGCAGAGGCATAGTGGGAAGCCTAGACTTCCACCCTTATAAGGCTGTAATGAGGTGTCGATGAGAGGGTGGTAACAGAGACAGCCTCGTAAGGGACCAGGGCTTTCACCACTTGGTAATGTGCCCCCTCTTATGGTGTCAGCGGAAACCATGTGAGGAGCTTAGATTTCCAGGGCCAATGGCAGTAACGAGGTACTCCTCCCTTTCTCTTCTATGGTGGCATCAGATGAAATCTAGCAAAGAACTTTCTACATCTTAATGGTAATGAGGAGCAAGCCTTACCCTCCAGGTATCAACGAGGGCCAAGTGAGGAGCCTAATCTTCTACCTTAACCTGGGAAAAACAAGGTAATGTCTTCCACATCCCATCTTCCCCTGATGGAGCTGTTAGAGAAAGTCAGCTAAAATAGAAGGTATAAATAAGAGCCAGAGTCTCATAATTATAAAAATGTATAAGATTCAATCAGAATTATCCATTGTACCAAGAACCAGGAAGATCTCAAAGTGAATGAAAAAGCTAATCAATAGATTCCAACATTAGGATGACAGAGATGTAAAGATTATTGGACAATGATTTTAAAGCAGCCACAATAAAAACTTTTCAGTGAGTAATTATAAATACATTTGAAACAAAACAAAAGAGACTCAATGAAGACATATATAAAATCTCAGGAAGGAAATAAAAGATATAAAGAAGAACAAATGGGAATTTTACAACTAAAAAATATAATAACTGATACAAAAACCTTAAGTTAAGGGTTCAACAGTGGAATGCAAGGAATCAAGGAAAGAATCAGGAAACTGGGAGATAGAACAATAGAATTTACCCACCCTGACCATGGAGAAAAAAAAAAATAGGCTGAGAAAAATGAATAAGGTCTCAGGTCCCTGTGGGTCTATAATAAAAAATTTAGTATTCCTGTTATCAGAGGCCTGGAATAAGAGGAGAAAGAAGAAGGAGCTGAAAGTGTACTCAGTGAAATAATGGCTAAAACTTTTGAATCAGATAAGAGACATTAATCTACAGATTCAAGAAACCAGGATAATTCAAAAGGGGAAAAACTTAAATACACACCAAGACACATCAAAATTAAACTTCTGAAAACTAAAGACAAGAATAAAATATTGAAAACAGCCTTTTTAAAATAACACCTTAAATATAGGGGAAAAACAATATGACTGATTTTTTTTTAAAAATCAGAAACCACGAAGACAAGAAAGAAGTGTCACAATATTTTGCAAGTGCTGAAAGACAAGAACTGTCAACCCAGATTCCTATATCTAGCGTAAACAGAGTTAAAATATTGTAAGGCCCTTGTAATGTTCAAGAGGAAAGTAAAGATAACAGGTAACTATTAAAAAAACAAATATAAACAAATGGGGGAACAATAGAAAGAAAAAAAACAGTATTGGTCACCAATCCAAAAGCAGACAAAAAAAAAATCATAGAAAAAGATGGAGTGATAGCACCGATGGCTGAACTAACCCCAATTATATCAATAATGATAAGAAATTTAAGTGGGAAATTTTAACACATCTTTGTTCTTATAGATTGAGTGGCCAAGTTAAAATACAAGACATTTAAACAGAATGCTTTCATGTACTTCATAAATATATACACCTACTATGTACCCACAAAAATTAAAAATATAAACATTAATAAACAGAATACTTAACACTGATCTGATTATATGTATTTTATATATAAAACTATATATATATAGAGAGAGAGAAAGTTCACTGCATTTGAGAATTTAAGAATACACATTTTCAAGCACATATGGTCAATTTTAGTAACTGTTTCATGTACAACTGGAAAAGTCAAAGATACAATACTCTTTGACCCACTGTGGACTACTGACCCAACGGTACATATCATACTGTATAATTTAAAGAATGAATGAAGGGCAGGCTAGTCAAGTAATAGGGTCTTGTGAAGACAGTAACTCAGGGGCATCTACTATTATTTAACAAGCCAGCCTCACTCTAGCTTCGGAAGTGTTCTCTACAAATAAACTGTTTAAAAAAGGATTTGTATTATTAGCTTAGATTATCCTTAGTCTTGATTTCTGTGAGCTATTTCTCTTTAGCTCTTAATACTAACTATACATTTAATTACTGTTTACAAAAAGAAAAAAATATAAACAAGAACTATTATTCTCAAGTGATATAAGATGTACCTTTCTCAGAAAGATAAATTCCACGTTATTGTAATAAATGGAACAAGTAACGTATGCACAACTCCATGAAAAACCTTTGTCTAAATATTACGCCAGTTTACAAGTTAATGTTTCTACTGAAGAATGGAGGGATGTACCCACTAAACAACCCTCAAATGAAGAAGTGAAGCCATGACTGAAGCTCAACCTTGCCCATCGTTTGTTTTTTTTTTTCTGGAAGATTATGGATCTTGTCTCAAATGTACTGAAATATCACTGGCTATGTCTAGGCATTACAAGGATTCTGTCATTCTTTGTTCTTTATCCTCGGAGCACCTTTCCTATTTAAATGCTGATGGCTAGGCAAAGTAGCTCATGCCTGTAATCCTAGCACTCTGGGAGGCCAAGACGGGAGGATCATTTGAGGTCAGGAGTTTGAGACCAGCCTGGCCAACATGGCGAAACCCTGTTTCTATTAAAAATACAAAAATTAGCAGGGCATGGTGGCAGGTGCCTGTAATCCCAGCCACTTGGGAGGCTGAGGCAGGAGAATCACTTGAACCCATGAGGTGGAGGTTACAGTGAGCTGAGATTGTGCCACTGCACTCCAGCCTGGGTGACAGAGCAAGACTCTGTTTCCAAAAAAAAAAAGAAAGGAAAGGAAAGGAAAGGGAAGGAAAAAAGGAAGAAAGGAAGAAAGAAAGAAAGAAATCGCTTATATTGTGTAACCTGAGGAAGTTTTCAACTATTTTTCCTTCTATTATTCCCTTTCCTACTTGTGTATTGTACCTCCCATCCCCTTTCCTTCTGGGACTCCAGAAAGAAGTAGGATGTTAGACCTGGATTGGTCCTCTATGTCTTTTGTTTGACGTTTCTGTATCTGTGCTTTATGGAACAGTTTTCCAACTAGAGAGAGCATCTACTGAATGTTTTCAGTTGGATAACACACTTAATTCTAAGAACTCTCATGTGTTCTTGGATTGTTCCTTTTACACAGCATCCTATTGTAATCTTAAGGATGTAATACCACTCTGAAGCTCTCTGGATTTATTACATCAATTTTTGAGATATATTTTATGTCCCAAATTATCTCTTTCCTGAAGAGTCAGTATTTTAGTTCATCTTGGTCTTTTTGTTCATGCTACTTGTTTTCTTCAAATGCCTGATTATCATCAGATCACACTGAAGAAAGTAGCCCGGGTGGCTTGGGTAGGTTTCCTTTGCTAGTATGTCAGCAGCAGTGCTTGCACAGGCCCCTTGCCTGAGTGCAAACCGTATGAGTGGAGCGCGCAGTCAGGTGGGCTTTTCCCTGGGGTGAGTGCGAAGGGGGTTGTTAACTTGGGGGCCCTACTATCCACATTAGAAGACTTAGCTCTTCCCAGCCATTCTGTTTACTTTTTTGTTGTTGTATTGTTGTTTTTAAAAGAAAATTCTTTTTTTAAAAAATTCATCTGGTCACAAACATCAGGCTGCACGTATTCTGCATAGAATGAGTAGCCTAGGCATGTGTTCCATGCAGACATTGCTTGGATAGCCCTTATTTGAAATGCTTGGGACCACAAGTGTTTTGGATTTCAGATGTGTTCGATTATAGAATGTGTGCATATACATAATGAGATATCTTGGGAATGGGACACAAGTCTTCATATGAAATTCTTTATGTTTCTTATATATCATATACACATAGCTTGAAGGTAGTTTTAGTCAATATTTTAAATAATTTTGTGCATGAAACAGTTTATATTAAGTTCTTATGTAGAGAATTTTCCTCTTGTGGCGTCATGCCAGCACTCAAGGTTTCAAATTTCGGGGCATTCCGGATGAGGAACACTCAACCTGTGCCCTGAATGGATCTACTTGTTTTCAGCTTCCCTGCGCACCCCATGCTCTGCCTTACCCGCAGACTCTGAGCCTAGAAGCTCTCCAGCACTGCCTGCACAGGCTGCCTCCCGCCTCCACAACAGACCCACAGGACTGAGTTCGGACTGCTGCTTTTTGTGCTCTATCCACTCACATGCTCCCACCACATCCTATCTTCCCGAAGGTTGTTAACATTGTTCTTCCTTTGATGATCTTCTCTTTTCCTTGCCCATCTACTACTTAACTGTTGGAGTTTATTCATTCTTAAGTTTCTGTACTTTCATTTCAGTGGAGTCTCAGGGAAGACAGGAAGTCATCTCAAATCAGGAGGCAAAACTATCATATAAACTGTGTTTGATGGTCAAATCAATTTGGGAAACTGAAATTATTCTTAAGATTTCTGCTTTTCAGAAACTGGTAAACACTATGAGATGCTAAATTCCTTAATGGTCTAGCTCATAACTTCATTGGTAATTAAAATTTTTAGATGTAAAAGTAATTGTGTTAATGAGCAAATATTATTTTATATTTTTAAAATAAAAATAAAGGTAAGAAATATTTCTGGTCTTTAAGTCAAAAGTCAAGGAGATTTATGACTTTAAATTTTCTTTTCTTTTTCTTTTTTTTTTTTTTTTGAGACAGAGTCTCACTCTGTCGCCCAGGCTGGAGTGCAGTGGCGCAATCTCAGCTCACTGCAACTTCCATCTCCCGGGTTCACGCCATTCTCCTGCCTCAGCCTCCTGAGTAGCTGGGACTACAGGTGCCCGCCACCACGCCTGGCTAATTTTTTGTATTTTTAGTAGAGATGGGGTTTCACCGTGTTAGCCAGGATGGTCTTGAACTCCTGACCTCGTGATCCGCCCGCCTCGGCCTCCCAAAGTGCTGGGATTACAGGCGTGAGCCACCAAGCCCGGCCTGACTTTAAATTTTCTAGAAGCTTTATCTATCTAGGAAAGAGCCTTGAATTCCAGTCTCAGGAAAGTCCCCACTTTTTCATAACCCTGGGCAATTTACTCAAAATTTCTAAGCATTATCATTTTCTCTGATGGTAATTTGCTGGTTGCCCTCCACGCCCCAACCCACAGTGAGAATATTCCCTTTTCTTTTACCAAGAATACCCTGGTTATTCATTAGGGAAATCACCCCTTCTCCCTCATCTTCAGGAGCAGGCTTTGATTCACTTAACTCAGTGGGATGGTTGGCCGTGGTGAGGTTCAGAAGTGGGCATGCACACAAATATAAGCCAATGAGATCAGGAAAAACATCTGCAGGACTCCTAGTGAAAGACACTGCTTCTTTCTTCTGTGAAATCTTACTGAAAGAAAACCTTCTTTTCCTCTGTACTAGGCTATGTGCTAAGAGTAGGTGAGGTCTGGAACTGTTGCAGCCCTTTTGTACCACTATGGGGGCCAGATGAAGCCTGCACCATGGAAGCAGAGAGGAGCGACAGAGAAAATAACTACAGTAGCTTAATTTGGGCTATGGTTCAAGGTATCTCTGAAGCTAGATCTACCCTTCTGCCTCAAACATCATAGGTGCTTGATGAGTGCTTATCATTAAGCAAAACTATACAAACACACACACATACAACCTTTATTGGTAAATTAATATCAAATATTAACTTGCTTTTATCTTCAAGTTAAAACATCCTCCAAAGTAGATGAATTTCTAGTTTATATAATTTGGAAAAATAAAAGTTTAACAGAAAACTCTTTATTTGGCATAGACCTTTTACTGAGATGAAAACCAACTGATTTTCTTCCACTCATATAGAAAGGTACTGTTATACTTAATTCTACTTTTACAGGAGATCGATTTCCTCATTCATTAAACCTCAGGGAGTTTTCCTGGAGTATATTATTTAAGGGGAAAGAGGTAAGAAAACATAATAATAGTTAATTGATTTCTTATTCAATAAACAGAAAATGATTCTAGGAAATAAAATTAAGGTTCACTGTTCATCAGGTAGACTGCCATACTTCAAATTACTCAAATGCCAAATATAACTTCTGATGTCTCCCTGATTAATTATAGATTTTGATTCTAAGATACTATACGTACTTGGATATTCAGCTAGGGTTTTTCGTTTTTGTTTTAGAATTTGTTTCTAATCAAATCATTTGAAAATTTAAGTAGGAAAATAATAATGGTTCAGAAATGTACTTAAAAAATTAAAACTCACTTATGTAACCTTCATACTATTGTTTTTAATCTCCAGGCAAGTAACACTAAATAGACTTTGCTGTAATTGCTCAACTGTTAGACTCTGCAAATATGATCATATGGAAATCTCTAGAACGGCAGAAGTTTTTCAAGGTAAATTCACTGATTAGAACCTATCCATAAATTATTTACACTGTGGCAATTCATTAATTTGAATAATGTGCTTGCTTTTTTCCCCTTAAGATCTGAAATTTCTATTTGAAAATAAAGTGGTTTTTTCAAATACAATGTAAAATATTTTTAAGAAACCTACACTCAAAAATATACACTAGGAAAATTTCCTAATTTAGTTATTTTAAACTAAAATTACTTAAATTGAATAGAGATGCTAAAACATAAAAGAAAATATGTATTTATAAATTGTATCTTGAAGACTAATATGATATGTTTATTTTCAAGTTGAAGAAAGCCAAATAAATGCTAACTGTAGGCTTTTTTGCCTCTCATTTTCATTAGTTTTATTTCTTTCATTAATTTCATTTATTGGTGACCAGCAAAGGAATAAAAAACAGTTTTAAAAGTACAGATGCCAAAACAGGTTGGGTTTCCTTTGTTTAAAATCTCAGATAGAACAAAATTAATTTTGAAAATAGGTAATTTGACCTTTCTTGTTTTTAAGTTAGCCTCTTACTTAAATACAGCACAGAAAATGAAAGCATATGCATAGTTTTTGCTATTCAAGTTATTGATTTAAAAAATCATCTATCTACTTATCCAGGGAGTTGGGGGATGATAGTCAATTAGGCAGTAATAGTTTATGATTATCAGGTCTTTTCCTTTATCTGTTAGAGCCTTATGTAAAGCTATATGTCAAAGTTGAAAAATTTCTCCTGACTTAGAAAAATCCACAACACATGAAGAAAGGAGCCCATACTGGATGTTAGGAAACTAAAATTCCATTCCCAACTCTTTAACTAATATATTGCAGGAATGGGGGCAAGATTTTTAATTCCACTGGACCTCAGTTTGTCCATCTCTAAAATAAAAGAGCAGTGTGTGACCACCTTAGGAAATGTGTGGGGTTGTACTCACCCATGGTCCAGAATGTACTAGTTGCCCCTTGGATGGCAGGAAGAGTTGTTTTCTCTGACCCCCTCAAGAGCTGATCTGCCTGTTTATGCGTGGGAAATTGAGGCCAGAGGGATGATTGTGAAATAGCTGAAGGACCGGACTATGTAATGTCTAAGTTCCTTGTGAACTTAAGATGCTATGGCTTGGAGGTATTACCACTTTCTTAGGTTCATGGGCCAGATCAGGACCATACTACTGGCCCTTACCAAGACAGGTTAGTGGCAGGATGATACCTGCTGAGAAAGTGCTGGTGGCATCCACTCCCTGGGTTTCAGACTGGTCCTGAGCATGAATGGATTCTAGCTGGTGTAATGTAAGCAAGCAGAAGAAACAGTAATGCTGTCTTACTTCTAAGGAGACTTGAAATGATCAAGAAATGACACCTAGGCTAGGATTTGCATTTCATTTAAGATTAAGTGTTCAGGCTTATCTTTGCAACTTCCATCTACCTCCCATTGCCTGCAAATAGAATCAAGCGGAAAAGAAAACTAACTCCCTTAAACTCCTGGGGGAATTAAGTGACAACAAATTGACTATTAAATGCACAACAGGAAGCAAGCCATCTGAGCCCTTCGACCACATCTTTCAAGCCTTATTTCTGAGAATAGAAAATTCTAAGCTCAATTTGAGTGTCACTATAAACTCCTCTCTGTGCCAGATGATTTTATGCACATATTTATATCCGAAGTACAAACAACTTAAAATGTTTACACTGAGTAGTAATGGAAATCATGTGTCAAATACAATGAGGGGAACAGAGTAGAGCTTTCTTCAGAACTAAAGCTTGAAGATATACAATATCATGGAAAATCTGGCTTACAAATAAGAATGCATTGTTTACCTATTCCATTTAATTATAGAGAACATGCATTTTTACTCTTTGCATACAATTTCTGAAGTCTAATTTTTTGGAGGGGTTTGTTTTTTGCTCTGCAGTGTTGCCTGAAGCTATGGAAGGATCATAGCTCCTCAGTCTCAAAAACCATGGCCACACACATTCTTGTGATTTGTAATAATCCCCATTTCCTTTAAGCTCTCACCCCCAGAGAGAGACAGTGAAGGATTCTTCTACCAAGTTCAAAAGCAAAAGAGCAAAAACAGTAAAGAGAGCCTGCCTCAGATGTCTTCAGGGGCCTTCTGCATGTCAGCTTTCCTATTAGAGCACTGTAAAGACCAGGAAAACTACAAGGGCCAGGAACGGAATTCTGGCATCTTTCTACTGAGAGATAGTCCTCTGAATTTCTCACTAAGTACAAGCCTGAGGAGTCAGCCTCCCCTCATCTTCTCATCACTAGTGGTTCAGGGACAGCCATTCATAGAGCTCTGTAGAAGAAATGGCATACTAGCTCCACAGTCCTCAGTTTCCCTCCTCAACAGAATCCACCCTAGGGTTAATGCTTAAAGGGCCATGAAGATATCAAAGGGAGGACACAGTCATGGCTGCTGATTTGTTTGATGTAACGTGTCTTAGATGGGTCAATCATTAATTCATAGCTCTTAGGTGGGAGTCCAGCTCTTTTGTTTTAAGAGCCAAGATTCCCCTGCCCCCAGCCATGTTCACTCCATCATTCTCATGTGTCGCTTCTCCAGTGGTGCCAGGGAGGGACCATACTACTGGCCCTTACCAAGATGGGTTAGTGGCAGGATGGCACCTGCCACCTTACCAAGATGGGTTAGTGGCAGAATGGTACTGGCTGACCTCAGGGCCTGCCCACCCCAGCTCCTGCCCTGCACAGTGTTCTTTGGACTTAATGATGACTACACTGAGTACTCGCCTGGGGCCACTAGTTCTTTTTGTTTTAAAACTCAGAGAAGCTGATACTGCTCTACCTTCTCCTTTTGCTTCTTCTGTCACTTGGTAAAGAGACGGTCTTTGTCCTATTCTCACTTAGGCAGCTCTGCTTGCTCCTCTCAGCTGCAGAAAAGAGTGTCCCAGTGCATTCTTTCTAAATTGACATTCGAATTTTCAAAGAGGTTGGCACTTCATCATCGGCAATTTTTATACATTCCTTTTCAATTTGATTCCAAAGATACACTAGCCAGGCCCGCTGTGAGTTCAGTTTCTCTCACTACCCCAACCAGCCCCGCAAAACTCAAAACGTGAAGGCTGGGATTGCTATAAAGAAGCAAAAAAAAATCTTGAAGGAAAAGCAAAAAGCAAAAAACAAAATAATTTGTAGAGTTGAATTAAAAAACAGATCCTCTCCTCAACAGTTTTCACCTTTTTATTGAAATTTCACTTCCCCAATACATAGAACCAATTTTAAATAGAACCCTAATTAAAGTTACAAGAACCAACCAACAACATATCTGTAATTTTGGACTTCCTTTAATTTAGAATCTTTGGCTGCTTAACATATTTTACATTGCACTCACATGTCCTGAGAAAAAGTGGTAAGACATATGATTATTTATGTTATATAAAATGAGGATCTAAACATATCTTACCTGTAAGTATGTTTCCAAGCCTTGTCGTCGCTGTTCCAAGACTTTGGGGACCCAGTTCCTAACATGTTTAGAAGGGATTTCTGGAGTTTTTATACATTTCTTAAGCTATAAAGACAGAATAGGAAAAGAAAAAGAAAAAAAAAAACAGAGATGTCTGTTAATTATAGTGATATTATTTGGGGAAAAAAGGCCAATAAAAGAAAGTGAACTACTGCTATCTGCAATAAAAAATAGAGGAAAATATAATTACACTGCAATTTTGTCAAACAATTCTTTATTTAGGTATCTTGACTGTTCAGTTTTCAGAATAATGGTTTTCTGTTTTGGTAGGTATTATTGTTGATATTTCAGATTGAAATCCTTTTTCCTGAAAAATTAAAAGCCTAATAAATGAATAAAAATGAAAGTAAAGAAATTTAGTTACAAAAATCAATTAATACAACAAAATTTTACTTGGATGAAGGACTTTGCTGATAAGAAGTCTTTCTACATGTTTTTCATATAAAGAAATCAAAACAAAATGCAACTGTATATAAGTATTGTCCCTAGAAATGCCATTAACTAGACCACATCATTTGGAGAGAGAACTTAAAAACATAAAGGCCTAATCTTTTCAATGTTCCTAACAATTACTTTCCAACTCCATTCATGAAAACTGAATGATAGTTCTCAGCTAAGCCTTTTGGGACAGCAGTTTTAGGGGATAATATAAATAAACAAAAATTCTGTTGGAAGTTGCATTAGAGCTGTCTGTGGTAGGCAGAATAATCCTCCTTTCTCAAAAATAACCAAATCCTAATCCTGTGGATGTTACCTTATATGCCAAAAGGGACTTTGAAGATTTGGTTAAATTCATGGTCTTAAAATGGGAAGATTCTCCTGGATTATTGGGGTGGGCTCAATGTAATCACAAGGATCCTTATAAAAGGGAGGCAGCAGAATGAGTTGGAAAGAGACTAGGAGAAACAATGTCTCTGACTCTGACGATGGAGAAAGAGGCCACGAGCCAAGGTGACCTCTAGAAGCTGGAAAGAATGGTTTCTGCCCTAGATCCTCTAGAGCAAACGTCATCCTGCTGACACCTTGATTTTAGCCCAGTGAAACCCACTTTGGACTCCTCACATCAGGAAGTGTAAGACAATAAATTTATATTGTTTTAAGCCACTACATTTATGGTAATTTGTTATAGCAGCAATAGGAAACTAATGCACTGCCTCTTTAAGTGCAATGTGCTTAATTGCTAATTAAAAACTTGAAAAAAACCTACCAACGTTACTCCTTTACTACACATGCACAGAAACAGCATAGTAATGAATAAGAAAATTCATACAATTAAACCTGGGCAGCTAAACTATAGTAAAAAATTCTTTCCATATGTAAGAGTATATTCACCCTTAACCATTCTAGGCTGAAATTTGTTGTACATCACGAAGAAGGGGCCCATGTACTGGCTAGAGCAGAGCGGCCACCTTTGCCTCTGAGGTAGAAGTCTCGCACTGAGAATGGTAAAGCAGCAAGAGCCTGGGTCCCTGATGATCATGAAACTGCCACACCAGCACCAGACATTTTATGAAGGGAGGGTCCAAGTTGTATCTGTTAATGTCACCATTATTTTGGTTTTAGAGTCACTTACAGCCAAATCTAATCCCACATGAATAAGGGATGTGGCTAGCACTGCTAGCTGCTTAGCCAATATTCATTTCCTCCTTCTTTTTTTGGGGGAAAAAAAAAATCAATGTCATTCAGAGGGCTAAGATGCTGAGCTATAAACTGGTTTTCCAGGTTCCCTTTTAATTAGGGTGACCAGGTGACAGAGTTACCAATATGTGTACATGTCTACTGGGGTAGGGCTCTTGCTTTCCTAACAAAAAGCAACAGGCTCTTCTTGCCAGAAAATGCAGAAGCCATGCCTGGAAGAATAGGAGCTATGTTGTCACCAGAAGTGTGAAAGTCACATGCTAAGATGAGGACATTAAAGCAGGGAGACACAAGGAGCCTGGAACATGAATGTTGTGAGATGCGTGCATCACCTGGACTGCCTGTTTTTAGTTTTCCTGTAATGTGAGAATAAAAAATATCTTAAGAAATCTAATCAAGTTTCTACTACATGCAATCAAAGACATTCCTAATATAAAGGAATCACTTGTTCTATTTTAAGTCAGAGATGCTCAACAGGCATCCAAGTAGACATGCTGGGTAGGTAGTTGGGTACAAGTCTGTAAATGTGGGAGTCAGAATATATAGGTAATTAGAGCTGTGGAAATAGAGGAGATGACATTAGGAGTTAGGTACAGATAGAGAAAAAGGGCTGTGGGGGACAGAATCCTAAAATGGTCCCCTGGTGTAAATGCCTTGTATGATCCCCTCCTCTTGAGCATGAGTGGGACCTGTGACTATGTCAGGACAGTCACTCCATGATTACATTGTGTATTGTATGATGGTCCTAGCAGACTGCTGGCTTTCAAGTAAGGTGTCATGTGATGAGAGAGCCACATGGCTAGGACCTGAGGGTGGTCTTTAGGAGCTGAGGGCTGCCTCTGGTGTTCAGCCAGCAAGAAAAAAAAGGGACCTCAGTTCTGCAACTGCAAGCCACTGAATTCTGCCTGAATGAGCTTGGAAGAGGGCCCCGAGCCTCACGTGAGATGGAACAGCAGGGAGGAGAAGCAGGGCAATCACTGGGGGAAGAGGGGGAGTAGCTTCCATCAGGAAAGTGTTTCAAGAGGACAGGCATGATCAGGCTGTGCCAGATGATGGGAAGTCAGTAACGTGGGGTACAGAGAGAAGGGCAGTGGGGAAGTAGCAGCTCCTCTTCTAAGGCGTTCTACTAAAAGAGAAGGAAGGAGTACAACGGGATGAGCACAGGAGGGAAGCATGGGGCTGAAGGCAGGCTTTATTATGTGAAACAGAAACTACTGCGATAGGTTCATATAGTGATGAGACTGATTCAGTATTGAGGGGGAAACTGATAATGCAAGGGAGAGAGAAGGAGGGGAATTTAGAATTGCTTGCAGGGGAATAAATACATATTTAATCTCTATACTGTCCGAGGCAGTTCTCCATAATAACAAGGCCAAAATGCTAAATTATTCTGTGGTAATAAGCTTAAGTTTCACTTTAAACATAAAGAAACTTCCTTTTGAACTATTGAATCACAACATATATTTCAGAATAGAAAATCAACTCTATTATATGTCTCTCCTTTTAAAAAAAATTTAGAAGATCTAGCAACTGAAAATATTTTTCCTTTTTTATTTATGTCAGGAGTACTGAGGAAGCGTATGATCATAGCTGCTGGGATCCATGACAGCATTTGTAGGTGAGTAATGAATTGCTTTAGATGAGAGACAAACCCGAGACAATATGTTTCCAGTAGGGCTCAGCTGCTTACAAGATAAATACTCCTCTGTCACTTCATCCGATGATTAACGGTCCTGGCCCTGCTGTGTCCAGGCAAACTGCCTGTCTGATCCACGCAGATAAGTACCAGATTCCACGATACCACAAACACAATCTCCTTTTCCTGGTGTGACCACTCCCTTTTCCTTTTTTATACTGCTAGAAGAATTTACACAGAACTTATTCCACACAGACCTATCACTGCATACATTGGTTATAGTAACCATTTTCCACAAAGAAGCAGAAATACTTTTCCCAAGTACATGAATAAAAAGAATGAAAAAGAAAAGAAAAGTTAAAGAAGCGGGAAACACTTGGGGATAAAATCCCATCTTTCCCCCTGTATTGCCACCGCTACTTCCTCAGGGTTCCCTTTGAAGAGAATGTACAGGGTGCTGTGCTACTGGTTTGACCCCACATGGCAGGTTTTTGGTTCTTATTGTCTACTTCATGGAATTAAACACAGGAAAATGAAGTCTTTTATTCAAGCCAAAGGTAGTCAATAATAAAAAATGAAGACAGTTAATTTAAAAATGAACCAGCACCATATTTCACTGAAACCTTTGTGAATAAAAGGATGGGCTGTGACTAACAGAAAGCAGCTGGGAAGGCATGAAAATAAAATGTGCTTAGCAGTTTGCCACACTGAAAAGACTTTTCTGCCCATACATGCAATTTTTGGCCTAGGGAGGTAAAGCTCTTTTCAGGAACCACCATTTAAAATAGTAAAGTATTTGGCCATAGTGGGGTGTGGACAGGTGTAGCCAAGGCACACAGGAAAGCACTCATAAGCCTGAAGGCTCACCCTGTCACAGGAGCCTGTGCCTGGGCCATAACAAGGCTAGCATGGGGTTTTGTTTTCGTTTTGGTGCGGTCATGGTGTTCTTCCCACCTAGTACTAGCAGAGGAGCTACAAAGGTATCAGGGCAAGCAGAACCTGGGGTTAACAGAGAATGCAAACTCCCACAGTAGAAACTGATCCTCTAGTAATTCATAAATATGCATGTTCTCCAAATATACCATTTGCCAAATACTTATTTAATACCTAATATGTGCCCAAGACTCTACTAGACACTCTAACAGTGTGAAAGATATGAAAGACAGGACATGGTCCCTACTTTTAAAAAAGTACCTTCTAATTAGATAAAATTTAGGGATAACAGTTTTATCTCATATGTTTCCAAAATTTAAGCAGAAATCTGTATTCTAAATGGACAGGAGTTCTAAGAACAAAGAGATTAGGGAAGAAAGGGAGCTAACATGGAAAAAGGAGAACTTGCAATGTCTTGGTTTGAATAGATCAGAACACACAGGAAAAGACATTCGACATGGCAAAGATAGGTGGGTAGCCATTTTTACCTCATATAATGAGGTAATGGGAGATATTGGCTCAGCTGTCACTGAAGAGCTCTTAGGAGGAGTGAAAAATAAAGTCGGCCAGTAAAGGTGTTAGTAGTAGACAGAATAATGGTTCCCTCAAAGATGCCCAAGTCCTAATCCCCAGAATCTGTGAATGTATTCGCTTACATGGGAAAGGGGGCTTTGCAGATGTGATTAAATTAAGGATTCTGAAAAGGGGGGTTATCCTGGATTATCTGTGTGGGCTCAGTGTTATCATGAGAGGGAAGGACAAGGAAAAGGGGATTGAGTTTATGGTGTCATAGCATCTGGTACTTATCTGCATGAATCAGAAAGGCTGTTTACACAAGGTGTCAAGTCAGAGGAGAGGTGATGAAAGGAGATGTTATGATGGACACAAGCTGAAGTGGAGTGACTGCTAGCTTTGAAGATGAAAGAGGCCACGAGACGAGGAATGGTGGAAAAGGCAAGGAAACAGATTCTCTTCTAGAACCCAGAAAAGACTCAGCTACAGTCAGGTAATAAATTTTAAGGCTGGATGTAGTGGCTCACGCCTGTAATCCCAACACTTTGGGAGGCCAAGGCAGGTGGATGTCCTGAGGTCAAGAGTTCGAGACCAGCCTGGCCAACATGGTGAAACCCTGTTTCTACTAAAAATACAAAAAAATAGCTGAGCATGGTGGTACATGCCTGTAATCTTAGCTACTCGGGAGGCTGGGGAAGAAGAATCGTTTGAACCTGGGAGACGGAGGTTGCAGTGAGCTTAGATTGCACCACTGCACTCCAGCCTGGGTGATAAAGTGAGACTCTGTCTCAAATAATAATAATACATAAATTTTAAGCCACTGTATTTTTGGTGATTTGTTACAGCAGCAATAGGAAACTCATACAAGGTTTAAGATTATTAGCCTTGAGGGTCAATATCTATGATGTGGTGGACAACAGAGACCCGTTTCAGTGTATTTGAGTAAGAGAATGGAGGTAAAAATGGTGTTTTAGGAAAACTGGTCTGCAGCAGAGAATGGATAAGGATCTGAAATGGTTAAAGTAATACTGATATATAGTAGTAATACTCTGGACTGGGATGGTAGGAATAGAAAATGAAAAATTAGTCTGGGCGCGGTGGCTCATGCCTGTAACTCTAGCACTTTGGGAGGCAGAGGTGGGTGGATCACCTGAGGTCAGGAGTTCGAAACTAGCCTGGCCAACATGGCGAAACACTGTCTCTACTAAAAATACAAAAATTAGCCAGGCATGGTGGCAGGTGCCTGTAATCCCAGCTACTCGGGAGGCTGAGGCAGGAGAATTGCTTGAACCTGGGAGGTGGAGGTTGTGGTGAGCTGAGACTGACTGAGCCACTTCATTCCAGCCTGGGCAAAAGAGCGAGACTCTGTCTCAAAAAAAAAAAGAAAATGAAAATGAAAAATTAAGTAGTGTGTATTATAAGAATTTGGAAGATAATGCAAGGTAACAGAAAAGTAGGAACACACTTGAAGGTTTAAAACCTTGAGATGTGTGGTTCTAAGCTTTGTAACTTCAGTGTGTGTGATGGAGGTAGGTTAGGAAGGGTTGTGTCTAAGTGATAATCATACTATAGAAATTCTCAAACTTCAACAGGCATTAATCATCTGGGGTACTGCAGATTATTGGGCTCCATCACAAAGATTCTAATTCAGTACATCTAGGGTGTTGCCCAGCAATTTGCCCTTAGATAATCAAAGTTCACATTTTGAAAAATACAATCTACAAAAACTAAAAGAAAATGGAATCAAATACTCATCATAGCTCAAGAAGAAATGACTAATTTTAAGATAGAATCTGAAAGGGTAAAAACAGACACATCAGTAAACATAAAAATTTAAAACTTGCATACATTTAGAATAAATGTCATAACCAAAATTAAAAGGCCCTTGTTAAAAAATGCTTCCAGCAAATGGCTAATATTGTATTAATAGGCCACCCAAACTAATAAGCAAAAACAATCTAGACACTAGCAGATAAATGAGAAAGCACATAAATAGATAATTCTATTGAAAGAGGGGCTACAACTCCTAAACAAACCTAAGAAACACCTATTAAAACAAGGCAACATACATGCTTGCTAATAAACAAATCTAATTTTTGGAGGGGTAATATAGTTAAATATTTCAAGAGAATTAAGTAACAACAGATTTAACTACATTTAAAGGGAAAATATTTTATGTTAAACTCTAACATTCAAAGCATGTCACAAGATTCAAATATGGAAATCGAGGGTACCAAAACTGCAATAAAAGGGTAAGGTTGTTGATGTGGCAGCAGCAGTCAGTCAAGCCTGAGTACTCTGATTAAATTTTTGACCCATTTCAACCCTTCTTAGCACACAATCTTACAGTCAAAATTACAGATTTATGTTTATTTTTATACCCCATTGTTATTTGTATTTCATTGCCTTTTTTTTTTTTTTTTTTTTTTTTTTTTTTTTTGAGACGGAGTCTCGCTCTGTCGCCCAGGCTGGAGTGCAGTGGCGCGATCTCGGCTCACTGCAAGCTCCGCCTCCCGGGTTCACGCCATTCTCCTGCCTCAGCCTCCCAAGTAGCTGGGACTACAGGCGCCCGCCACTACGCCCGGCTAATTTTTTGTATTTTTAGTAGAGACGGGGTTTCACCGTGTTAGCCAGGATGGTCTCGATCTCCTGACCTCGTGATCCGCCCGCCTCGGCCTCCCAAAGTGCTGGGATTACAGGCGTGAGCCACCGCGCCCGGCCTTCATTGCCTTTTAAAGTTACCTTTTTGCCAAATCGAATACAATCACAAGGGGGCAAGTAAAGGAGACTTCTAGCAGCTGCTATCCCCTTGATAATACATAAAATTAGACAGTGTATCCCAAATAAAACTCTGCTCCACAAAGCTATTTTTATCTCTATGTCCCTGTAAAGTTGTCTCAAATATTTTAACAAGGCTGCCAACAATATTCAAAATTGAGAGATTTGTGAATTTCTATTCTATTAATGCTAGTAGACCTCATTATATAATTATAAGAATAGGTAAAATTATTAATAGAGCTGCAGAAACTGAGAGAAGAGAGAATCCTGGAAAATCTAGGATTTTTTTTGACCATGAATAGCTAAGAACTGTCCAAACTCACTGGGGAGAGGGTCCTCCTCTGCAGAAGAAAATAAACTCTACTAGAGCAGAGAACAGGGTGAACAAGCCTCGCCTCCAGAAGCACGGGCAGCCTCGTGCTCTGGGCAGGCTTAATTGGCAGTCACCCAGCTGTGCCTGGTGTGGAGCTGGTTCCTGAGTATCCGGAGAGTACAGCTGGGCTGTGCTAGGGTCATGGAGTCCTAGGTGTTGACTTGGGAGGTTAGCAAGGGGCCTGCATGTGACAGGCTGCCTCCTCTAGACTGGTCAACAGAGGCTGGGCAAGGCAGGGGGTGCTGGTTTTAATCCCACAGTAGGGACTTATTTCATCAGGTACCCAGAAGAAACCTCACTAGGATCTGTTTCCTCCCAAAACACATAAACAAAAACACACTTCCCTGGGAAGGAAGTGAGCCCCAGACTCCAGGTTTGTTTCTCTTTGGAGCACCCTGGGGTTGGTGCTTTTGTAAAGTCACTGGCAACATCTGGTCTAAATCTGTGTTCACCTGTACTGTTTATTTTCCAAGTCAACCTGGATTGAAAAAGTGCTAACCAGAGAACTAGATGTGGATTATCCCTTGCCGTCCTAACAGAAAAGTGTACCAATAACTTAGAGCTCCCCTTTAAAAGAAAAGAGAAGGAAACAGTCTCACTAATCTCTCACTAATATCCTGTTAACGTTTATAAGTTTATCCTGTTAACGGGATTTTTCTGGGCAATTTCATGAGGTATTTCTAGATATTAAAATAATTTCAGCATGCCAATAATAACTTATAATCTAGAAAAAATTAAATTTAGGTAGAAAATAAAGAAGCATTTACTCTTCTGTGCTTTAATAACCATTTCTCCCCAAAGCTCTTCCTTTTGCCTTTCTGTTTCGTTTATCTAAGACTTTTAAAGAAGTGTATCCTAGTGCTGAAACATCAGTTTTGTAAAGTGGCCCTTTACAATTCAAAAAAAGGCTAAGAGCCTCTTTTAACTTGTGTTCCCCTGTCTTTGAATATACAAGTACATGTATATGTTACTTTGAATACAGAAGTACATGTATATGATCTTTTCCAGGTACATGTAAGTATAAGTTGACTTTAATAAGTTACTTCCTGTAAGATAATCATTTGCTTTTTCTCCCCTGTCTGTAAGGAACATTAAGTGCATTTCATGGATAAAACAGAGTCTGGGTTTTATTCTTTCTGAACCTGTAACATCGAATGCAACATACTGCAAACAGCTTGCAGCCTGAGATTTTTACATGCAAATGATTTTAACAGAAAATCTACCTATTCAGAAAGCATACCTTTAAGGAACTGAATAACTTATTCCAAAAAGAAATTTACTTTATGATAAAAGAAAATGTATATACATACACAAGAAATATCAATGGTCTTAGAACCACAGAAAGGAGTGTTAGTTAACATTATACCATCTGCCACATAGAGAAAAGACAAAAAAACAGAAAACAAGTTACCTTTTTGTGCAAAGCATGAAATTCGCTGTATCTCTTTTCAACAAAATGTTTTCTTCCATTCATTAGCACTTCTATCTTAAACACCTGAGGAAAAAATTTAAAAGATTAATTATATTAGTTCAAAACCCTCAATTGTCTGATGTGGTAAGTTTGTGACCATGATATATTTCATCCCTTTAATTACAGTAGCTGATCCCCCAAAACCCAGAAGGCTCAGGACACCCTGGCCCAACAGCACTGATTAATGAGCACTCGAACCAAAGGCTCACTAACAAAGTGTGACATCCTCCAAAAACCTGTCTAAAAACAAGGGAAACTTAAATGCATAAAAAAAAACCTACCTAATTTTTTAATAAAATAATATTTCTTGCTTAAAATGATTTCACCAAGTGAATATGATAGCATTGAAACAATACTCTTTACCAGAGTATTACAAGAGGAATACTCTGGTAAAAAGCTCAGGCATGTGGTATTCCATTATGGGCATTTCAACGCAGGCAGTACTGTGTCATCTATAAGACAATCATGCAAACAGCAGTGCATTTTAGGTTAATTTCTTTCTAACCTGCATATTCATCTCTAGTCTCAGCTGGGCTTATTCTGCTGTTTGCAAAACAGGCAAAATGTAGTAAAGGCTCATTTTCCCTGCATGATACAAGTGACAGCTTGTGCTCCTAGCTCCACAAGGTTGAAAGGCCAGATGAAAAGGTTCTCTGGGTGCACTAATTAGTAGGCACTAACATGACATTTTCTTGATTCTTGGGTCAGTGGGTCAAGACTGGAAACAAGGGATGAGAAATATTGTGAAATGCTCATGAAAATACAATTTTAAGGTCGGATGGGGAGGGATGGTTAGCAGGATCTAAAGAGGAGCTCTGTCATTCCAAAAGTTTGTATTTGACTTGTGTTTTGCTAAGTGAGAGTTTATAAACACTAAGATGAAGGAATATTGTTTAATTACTTAATAAGCCTAATTTTCTATTTCAATCGCCCTTCTGAAAAAAATACAAAACTGTAGAGATCACATGACACTAAAAAGTATTAAAAGCATGCTTACTTTTAGTCTAAAAATAAAAACTACTTAAATTTGGCATATGACATACAAGGTCGCACATCTTCATTATGAAAATAGATTGCTATGGCTCTATATTTCTGTCTTACATGTAAGTATGACTATTTTAGAAATCCAGAAACATAAAATCTGTTTGCATTTTTGTGCTTCTTTGAATCAGAAACAAAATCTTCTGCTGCATGACTGAGTTTAAGAAACCTCTTTTTACTAAGTGGTAAATTTTTAACAATTTAATCAATATTTTATATTTTGTTTTTCAAGAAATACCCCTGAATAAATACTTTCCTTTGGTGAACTATTAGAAATATTTTCTTCTAAAACCATATGCATATGCTTCAAACTCTCAGATATTCTTAGATTTTTTTTAGGAAAAAAAAAATCTGTTTATTAATTCACCAGAGAAAATTATTCTTCTTCAAAGGTCTTGCCAGAAATAGAATCAGGAAAACACCTCAAGAAAACAAACAAGAGAAGCACAGCTTTAACTTGGGGGTTTGGTTAATAGGCTACAGAGCCCCTTTTTTACTATCAGTCCCAGATTGAAATCAGGACGATATGTAGCAATGAAAGTAGTTTCCATCTGCTGAGCTTTATGAAATAAATGAGGTTATGTTCTGGGTCTTATTGTTTGAGGCTTTATCACAAAACCACCACCTTAACTGGCACATTACCTACAGAATCTATAAAACAGGGAGACGGTTGAAAACTCGGCAAGGCTCTACCTACTTGCTCACCCCTCAAAGTGCCCCCCCTTGAAGGCCAGGGTAAGACAAATTACACAATGGCTGCTTCATGGAATGTCATCTCTTCTACTGACCAGATGGTTCCATTACCAAGTTCCACAGTTACTCTTCACAAGCACTAAATTCACAATGAAGGGTGGGGGAGGGTGGATGTTCCACCACAGCAAAGTTTGCGATAAACTTTAATTCTTATATTTTATAATGTTACAGTTGAAAAAACACACAATATGCCTAATACTATCAAGACTTTCTTCTAAATTCTGGGAAAACATCTTGGAAAGGAAGTTGTTCATCAGGATTTTCATGACAAAGTGAAGAAAGAAATGGAGTCAATTTAATAAATCCGGCCAGGCGCAATGGCTCACGCCTGTAATCCCAGCACTTTGCGAGGCCGAGGCAGGTGGATCATGAGGTCAGGAGTTTGAGACCAGTGTGGCCAAAATGGTGAAACCCCATTTCTACTAAAAATACAAAAATTAGCTGGGCATAGTGGTGTGTGCCTGTAGATCCAGCTGCTTGGGAGGCTGAGGCATGAGAATCGCTTGAACCTAGGAGGCAGAGGTTGCAGTGAGCCAAGATCGTGCCACTGAACTCTAGCCTGGGCAACCGAGCGAGACTCTGTTTCCAAAAAAAGAAAAATTTAATAAATCCTATTTTCCTGAATACCATGCCAGGTCATTTTTGTAAAGTCTTTCCAATTTTCCTACATATGTTGTCCCTGCTGCCTGGAAATATCTTTTCTTGCTTGGCTCTGCTGGTAAACTCCTAGTAGTGATTAGGCACCTCGTGAGGTGGCGGCCTCCAGGACGGCGCTGGGAAAGCACTCAGCACAGAATGCACCATTCATCTGTTTATTTATTCAACAGATATTTACTGAGGGCCTGCGAGCCAGGAAGCCCAGGGGTTGTTCTAGGCTCTGGGATTCAGCACTGAACAAGACAGACAAGAGGTCAGCCTTTATGGGGGCTGAGACGGGCGTATCACCTGAGGTCAGGAGTTCAAGACAAGCCTGGCCAATATGATGAAACCCTGTCTCTACTAAAAACACAAAAATTAGCTGGGTGTGGTGGTGCGTGCCTGTAATCCCAGCTACTTGGCAGGCTGAGGCAGGAGAATCGCTTGAACCCAGGAGGCGGAGGGTGTGGTGAGCAGAGATCGTGGAAAAAAAAAAAAGAAAAAAAGAGTTGAATGTGTTGCCTCTGGAATTTCAGACTGGCTGTGGGTGGACAAGGACTGTTTTCACTCCTATTGAAAAACAAACAAACAAACAACAAAAAAACCCCACACACTTTAAGGTGAAAACCAAGGTCTCTTCTGGCCAAGATAGAGTAACAGGAAGGAGATGTAGCCTCCCACTTGAAACTGGGCAAATTAAATAAGTGCACAAAATATGTGGAAAAAATGGCTCTCAAGACATTGGACATCGGGAAATGAAGGAAAGTGAGAGACAGGAAACAAGGCCATACCTACTATTACCTCAGCTTGCTGCCCAGAGAGAAGCTACGCAGGCCCAGGGAAGGGGACCCCACCCAGGCAGAGCCCTGTGATCCCCTGAGTTTAAGGAAAGGGAGCTGGGAGTATGGAGAACAGGGAGCTGCACCCTGGGTGAATGCCTGCAGCTGAGGAGGCCTCCCTCAAGTATTCAGGTGAAAACCAATCGGCACGTGAGATTGGGTAAACTACCCAAGGAGTGAGGAGGGCTCAGAGCTCACATGCAACTGGCAATGGTGCCTGTGTCCAAAAGCTGGGGCAGAAAACTTCATAATTCACGAGGCATTAGTTACAGTACTCTGAAGGTTCTTGACTCAGAAGCAGGGAAAATGAACTAGATTAAAAGCTGTTTTAGTCCAGTTTAACAACACTTCAAAGCCAGGTCTGAAGAGATCAAATTGTTTCCAGGTAACTTAACCACATGCCAGAACAAAGCTCAAGAATATTTTTAGGACTATAAAAATATCTAGAACCCAACAAGGTAAAATTAACAAAAGATAAATTACCAAAAATGTTGCCAGATTTCACCCCTCTAATGTACTAAGTTACACTGTTATGAATAGGAATGTCTGGCCCATCCTTGTCAACATAGTCCTACTTTGGCCAATCTGGTGCATAAAATGAGAATTTTTTTTTTTTTTTTTTTTTTTTTTGAGACAGAGTCTTGCTCTGTCGCCCCGGCTGGAGCGCAGTGGTGCAATCTTGGCTCACTGCAAGCTCCGCCCCCTGGGTTCACGCCATTCTCCTGCCTCAGCTTCCCAAGAAGCTGGGACTACAGGCGCCCGCCACCATGCCCAGCTAATTTTTTTGTATTTTTAGTAGAGATGGGGATTCACCGGTGGTCTCTATCTCCTGACCTTGTGATCCGCCTGCATAGGCCTCCCCAAGTGCTGGGATTACAGGCGTGAGCCACTGCACCCGGCTAAAATGAGAATTAATTGGGTATATTTTGACAAGTATGTATGGGGGCATAAGTTT
Organism: Homo sapiens; assembly: GCF_000001405.40. Classification (NCBI taxonomy): domain Eukaryota; kingdom Metazoa; phylum Chordata; class Mammalia; order Primates; family Hominidae; genus Homo; species Homo sapiens. The sequence continues at coordinate 122,932,533 of NC_000005.10, read as the reverse complement.
CCATTCCAAATATCTCACATAAAATTACATATAAGCCTGACCTACCTGTTTATTTTTATTTTATTTATTTATTTAGCTATGTTGCTGAAGCTGGACTCAAACTCCTGGGCTCAAGTGATCTTCCCATCTCAGCCTCCAGAGTAGGTGGGATTAGAGGCCCATGCCACTGCGCCTGGCTCTGACTTGCCTGTTTAGTTTTCTATTCCTAGAGACATCTTTCCTCAGAGTTTTCCAGAAATCCCCTCTGTATAAAGTAAGGGAAGCTGCATGTAATTAAATAAATGTATTAAGGATTCCATTCAGGTTTGCATAACAAAACAAAAATCATTCTGTTCATTTGACTAAATTTTTGCCACAGTTCTAGAAACATTATTAAGTCAATAGAATTCAAATTGAAAAGGAAAACAAATGCCATTACTTTAAAGAGAAGAATCTGATCCCCAAGTGTGGTTTTTATTACATGTCAGAGCCAACTTTTTTTCTTTTGTGGTAACATCTCTGAAATTATACTAGAAGTCAAGGATAAAATAGTTCAAAATGTGGGTTTATACCCCAATTTTCAGGAATATATCTAATAAATAAAATAAACTTAAGCTAAGGAAGGACTTAACTTATATTTCAAGTTGAATGGTCTCTCTCTTTCAGAAGCTCATACGTTACAAAGTGATCACTTCTAAAGCAAAAAAAAAAGAGAAAAAGAAAAAAGAAAAGAATTCTCTATAACAGATTAAAAGTATCTAATAAATAATTCAAGTGCTTGCCAAATACAGACGGGGGTTCTATATACAAATAAAGATTTAAGCCCAAGGTTCCAAGTAGTTTAGGTCAGTGTATCGTTACGCTGGGAATCTGAAATATACATGAAGGACAACTATCTGCTTAGAATATGACTTTTCATAAATATATATACATATACATGCATATATATGTATATTTAATACTTGTTCATTAGAACAAGATGCACCAAATATTAAAGCCAGGCTTGAAATCAACATTCTCCTTCTTTAGCAGGAATAAACATTCAAGATAATAAAAAAGGTTGTTATTCCACTATAAAAAGTTGAATCTCTAAAAGCGCCATTTCTTGTGTGCCTATTGTCAGGTGCTCAGCAGGGTATTAATTCAGGTACTTAGCAAGGTATTAATTCACAACACATATAGTTTTTATGAGGGTACAAAAATAAGAAAACATTTAATTGTAAAGAATTATTATGATATTCGATTTCTAAGTACATTTACATTTTTAAAAACTAGCACAAAAATTTGATTTGTTCCTACTTTGAGCCTGAAGTCACGTTTCCTCTATTTTAAGATGCCACATTGATAAAGCAAGAGAAATTACTAATTTAATCATACTATTTTGGGTAGGGGGGAAGAAGCGTTTTTCTCATATTTCAAAAATATCTAAATTTCAGAAATTTTAAAAAGTTTTTAAGAAAAACACATACTGCTACAAACCAACCACTACTTCAAAAAACAATTCTCTAAATATAGTAAGCCCTCACTTAATGTTGCAGATAGAGGTTTTTGGAAACTGGGACTTGAAGCACATATAACAAAATCAATTTTTTTCCTCATCAACTTTTTAACAAAACGACATGATTCAAGGACCTGCTGTATGTCATTTCACTTCAAGTTGCAGTTTCCAAGAACCTATTGATATTAGGTAAGAACTTACCATAATTGCCACAACAAAATACCTATGTAAGAGTTGGACGTGATTAAATGTATGTGTGTGTGTATTGATATGATTCTGCTTTCGAAAGAAAATTCATGATAGCAAAAAGAACGTCAGGAAGATCATGGATGAAAGAGAATAAATATCCAATCTACAATGAGAAGAATCCCTGATGAAAGAACAAAAAAATTAGAACAAGAGCAAAAATCAAAGACAAAAGAAATCCAACTTTCTTAAGCTGGAAAGATCAAAAGGGTTTATATATCCCAGGGAAAAACAAGACAAGGATGTCCACACCTACCCACCCTAGAATTTATTTTTAATTACAAGCATAACCAAAAACCACTTCTAATATACAGAAGCAAAAAGCAGAAACAAAGATCAGGATGACCCTAAACTTTTTCTCTGACATGCTAATTGCCAGAAAAAGTAGAGCAATGCCTGCGGAGTTTTATCAGAATATTATTTAATAGTCATCTAAATTATTATTCATGTATAAAGACAACAAAAAGTCAATCTCAGTTTGCGGGAAAACTCAAAAAACAAATAACCCAAACATCTTTTTTGAAAAACTTACTGAAGGTGTAGAACTGCCAATGGAAAGATAGATCAAAAGCAAAAGGCTGCTAGTCAAGAAAAGGCTGACAAAGTGCCCAGCAGGAAGCACACAAGGGCTTCTAGGCCACTTGGAGGCATCTTCTCACAGCCTGCTCTGTTGCTGTCCTCTCTAGAAAGATTTGTGGTCAAAGGTGCTTGGCACACAGAGAAACAAAGAAATCCATAGAAAACCTGTTCAAAATTTTGGCTCCAAATGTCTTCAAAGTTTGATAGTGTGTGAGCTTTAATGCAGAATTCCATGTCTAGTCAAATCTTCCACCAAGGGCAAGGGAAAATGTTATTTTCAGATATGCAGAAGCACAAATGGTTTATTATATACACATTCAGGAACCTTCTTTGAATATTAAAAAAAGAAAAAAAAAGGAATTCACAAAAGAAGCCAAGACTGTGGACCTAACCTAGAAACAAAGTAGAGAAAAAAAACCTAAAATGTAGCTTTGCGATCTTAAAAGTGTTCAAATTAGAATAAAAGCCAGAGAGCTCCAAGAAGAATGCCTTCATGGAAAAAAAAAAGATATGATTAATACCTATTATAATTTATAAGGTTTTAGTGATAGTGTCAAAGCATTTGTCTTTCTCTGTCAAGAAAAAAAGGGACTTAAATTTTTCAAGATAAATAAACAAAACTATATACAATGTAAAGGTGCAAATACAAAGCGGACCAAATGTACTATGATTTGGTGCAGTTTACAGAATAATAAGAAAAGAACGTCCATTTGGCATAACACTTGAAATATTTCACACTGAGCAGTACAGACTTAGTAATTTATAAGGCAACGTTGTCTCTAAAAAAAAAAGGCTATTGGAGCTATACTCAATATAAAATGCTTCTTTTTCCCCTCAAATGAACATTCCTTGGAACAGTTTTTTAATAAGAGAGGGCAAAATTTGCTCTCAGGGACCTGGGAAGCTTTTCCTAAAGAGCTGATGCTTCAGACTACAGGGAAAGCAGGCAAAGAGGAGGGACAAGCACTGTGGGCAGAGCATGTGCAAAAGCCCTGAAGCAGCAGGTGAGAGGCCGGAAGCAGCTGACTGTGGTACAGCCAGGCAGTGAAGAGACACCTCTGAAGGAGGCTGGAGAGGGAGCAAAAAGCTAACTCCACTCTTCTTCTCTGCAAGTATTAATGGTCTACCAAGTGCCAGGTTCAGAGCTAGTCATTGGAGATACAACAATGAACACAGACAAAAACCCCTAACAGACCTTACTTACATTTTAATGAGGGTGGAGGGTGGGACAATCACACAAATTAACAGATATTAGTGTCACAGAGAAAAATAAACCAGGGTAATAGGACAGAGAGGGCCTGGATGAGTATACGGCTATAATTTTGGGTGAGGTCTTGATGGTAAAATAATACTTGAGCAAGAACAGAAAACCATACAAGGTCTCTGCTCAAGTATTATTTTACCATCAAGACCTCACCCAAAATTATAGCCATATACTCATCACTTATCTCACAGTACTACAGATCAGAAGTCCAATGGGCTTGGTTGGTTTATCTGTTCAAGTCTCATGGGCTAAAATCAAGGTACTGGCAGGGGTGTGTGACTGCAGAGGTTCTAGGTGATAACAGGTTCCTGCAATAGGATCCCTGCAGTTGTGAGACTGAGGCCCCCACCTTTTTGCTAGCTGTTTCCAGCTCCTAGCAGCCACCTACATTCCTGGAATCATGAGCCGCTTTCTCCATCTTCAAGGCCTGCAACAGTAGCTCACGCCCCTCCCTTGTCATATTTCTCTAACCTACTCTTCTGCTTTCCCCTTCCACTTATAAGGACTCATATGATTCCACTTGGCCCACCCAGATAAGCCAGGAAAATCTCCCTTATCTCAAGGTCCTTAACTTTAAACTCTTTTACCAAGTCCCTTCTGCATGTAAGGTAACATATTCAGAGGTTCTGGGGATTATGGTGTGGACATTGTTGAAGATCCATTATTTCATTCACTACAGACCTGAATGACAGGAGGGAGTGAGTCCTGAGTCTACCTGGGATGGGAGGAGGTTGGTCCAGGCAGATGGAAGAGTGAATAGTCACAGAATCTAATTTAACTTTCAGCATTACCATTGTGTGCCAAGAGTTATCCAGAGAGAGAACAGTTAGAGGGAAGGTCTGAGTGGCAGTGGGAAGAGGTGAGTGAAAGTAGAACCAACAGGATAAGCTGATGACTGCATGTGGAAAAATGTAAAAATACATAAAAATGTTATGTAAAAGTACATAAAAATAAAAGGGAGAAAGTGAGAGAATGAAATGCAATGGTGAGGTTTTTGGTCTGAGCAACTGGAAGGATGGTGATGCCACCATCAACTGGCTGCGGACATCTGCATCAACTAGTCTGTGGTGGCAAGTTAAGAGCTCAGCACTAGCCACACTAAGTTTGAGATGCACATTAGACATGACGTGGAGATGCTTCAGAGGACTGAGTTGACAACTCTGGTCTTAACTAGAGATATAAATTTGGGCATTATTAGAGTGTGAATGAAGACTAGATCTGATCACCTAGAAACAGAAGTCAAATAGGGGCCTTTAGATCATATCAGGGTGTATGGTTTTATCATTTCAGCAACAAGAAGATTTTGCTTCACTTTAAATGCCTTTCTCTTCCAAATTAAACTTTTCTAACTCCTATACCTGTCTTTCAGATGACATGGTTTTCAGGTCTTACACTATACCTTCTAGAATAAAACACAGTCTGTCAATGTTCTCCCTAAGATGTTGAATCCAGGATTCAAGGAAATACTGGCATTCCCCAATTAATAAATGAATTGTGTCCCCAAAATCCCCTTTTCAGATGGTTTAAAACTCAGCACAAATTTTCCCACAGAAACAGTATAAAAGATAAATAGCCTACAAAAAACCTATTTAGTCCCAAATATGCACAAATTACAATATTGATATCATTAATTTAACCCATAAGATTTGCAGTATAACGCAGCGGTTAGGAGTTCTAGTTCTTGAATCAAACTCCTTGGATTTGAATCTTATGTCTTCCATTGCTCTCTTCTGGGCTCTGCTAATACTCTATGATTTGGAGCAAGTTGTTTAACCTGTACAAGCCTCAGTTTCCTCACCTATAACATGGAGTTTATAATGGCACCTATCACATAGGTTTGTTGCAAGGATTAAACGTAATTATCCATGCAAATCATTAAAACACTATCTGGCATTTAGCAAGAATCCAAACAATGCTACCTATTCATATTATTAACTTCTAACCATTGCTACAACTATTCCTTTATCAGTGGAGGGGAAGCTGTTGATAGGTAGGGAAAATGATCACGAGAGTAACAATGACCACATTCATACATCTCTACAGGAGAGAAGGTACTTCTCTCTCCATCACTAGAGGTGGTTGACCCTGTAATGCATGCATGCAGTGGGCTGCTGCACTCACCTCTGCCGATGCCCATTCATAGGCCTGGATTCCTGATGAGGCCTGATGAGCACACGGTCCAGTGGAACCCTGACCTCCCATGATTCTAGCTTAAGCTTCTGTATCTGCAATCTGCATTCACCTAAATGTTTTGGAAACCATATCTCACTGTTGGCTAATGATGCCTTTGGAATCAAACAAAACCCCCAAGTCTTCCCCAACAGTTCTTAAACAGGCAATTTTCAGATCTGAGGTTAGGCTTTATAATGACCTGTTAAATATTATCATGTTAATTTTGACTCTAATACTAGACAAGGCTGTTGAAACTTTTCTGGAAATTGATTCTGTCTTCCAAAACATGAGCCAGTGTTTTTGCCAAGCTTTGTGTCATGTGTAAATCTGAAGTGTCTTCCCTCTGTGTCTTCACCCAGGCCTCAGTTCTCACTCTACAACCTCCCTGCTGGTCTCCCTGCTTCACTCCTGCCCTGCAGCAATCTATATTTCACAGCAGCCAAAGTGGCCCTTTTCAATCCTCTAACAGATCCTTCCTCACTTCCTACTCCCTCTCACTCACCCTGGTCCAGCCACACCAGCTTCCTCACCGGCAACTATAATAGGCACGTTCCCTCACTGCCACCTATAACAGGCTTTTGAGTGCTTCTCCCTCTACCTAGAAAGCTTCTCCCTCATTCTGTTCAGTTGTTGTTCCAGGTCATGTTTTCAGAGAGGTGTTATCTACCCACCCCATCTAAAACAGCAACTAGCTCCCATAATTCTCTATCCCCAGACCTGGCTTTACTTTTCTTCTGTGCATTTACCATGGTCTGGTGTGTGCATGCACACACACACACACAAACATACACACTCACATACACACACCACACACATACAATGTTTGCTTGTTGGTTGGTTGGTTTATTGTCTGTTTGTCTAACAAATTATAAGCTCCATAATGATAGGAACTTCATCGGTTTTGTTCACTGTTAACATCCTCACTGCCTTAAACATTACCTTGCAACACAGCAGGTTGAATCCATGAAAAATAAGGAAGGAGCAGAAGAAAAGGTGAGCAGGTAATTGACAGCTGGACAACAAATTGGGAAGAATATGTATAAACTTCAGTCCAGCTCAGTAATCTAATAGTGGAAAGGTAAAATGAGTTATTTTTGTTAGAACAACCAATAAGTTAGACATAATAGAGGCAGACTGTGCAATATAAGATAGGGTTTCTTATAGAAAGGAAGTTGTAAATAGTCAAAGAAGACTGTTCATGAGGGCCCAAAAGCTATGAAAATAAAGACCAAGGCCTGACACAGTGGCTCACATCTCTAATCCCAGCAGTTTGGGAGGCCAAAGCAGGAGGATCACTTGAGCCCAGGAGTTCAAGACCAGCTGGGCAATATAGGGAGATCTCATTTCTACAAATAATAATTTTTAAAAATTAGCTGGGTATGGTGGCACGTGCCTGAGATCCAGCTACTTTGGAGGTTGAGTGAGCCCAGGGAGCTAGAGCCCAGGGGGTTCATCACTTGAGCCCAGGGGGTTGAGACTGCAGTAAGCCATGATCATGCCAGTTCACTCAGAAGGAAAGGAGAAGGGGGAGGGGAAGGAAGGAGGAGGAGGAGAAAAAGAAGAGGGAGGGAAGGGGGAGGGGAAGGAAATAGGAAGGGGGAAGAAGGATGGGAGGGGATGGGAGGGGGATGGGAGGGGATGGGAGGGGCAGGGGTAAGAATGGAGAAGGGGGAGGAAAGGGGAAGGGAAGAGAGAGGGAAGGAGGAGAGGGAAGAGGAGGGAAAAGGGAGAGGGGAGGGAGGAGGATGGGTAGAGAATGTGGGGAGAGAAGGAGAAGGGGAGGGGAAGACGAAGGGGAAAGAGGGGAGAAGGGTGAGGGAAGGGAAAGGGAAGAGTGGGGAGGGAAGGCCAGGCCTTTAATCAATAAGAAACTACCCGTCTTAATAATTAGTGCTATTCTGAGAAGCTACATGATATGGTAGAAAGAGCACCAGTCTGGACTTAGACACATCCAACACCCAGATCTGCTACTTCCTGGCTGTATTTCCTTACAGATGTTGCTTATCAACTCTGAGCCTTAGTTTCCTCATACGTAAAACAGAGATGATAACGCCTACTTTCTTAGGTCTGGTGATGGAGTAAATAAATACGACAAGGTATATAAAACCCTTAGCACCTAGCCTGGCACATAACTGGTGCTCAATGCATTCTGTTATCCTCCTGAATATAGTAGTCCCCCCTTAGCTGTGATCTCAGTTATTCATGGTCAAGTATGGTCTGAAAATATGAAATGAAAAATTCCAGAAATAAACAATTTGTAGGTTTTAAATTGCACACTGTACTGAGTAGAGTGGTGAAATCTTACACTGTCCCACGGTGTCTTGCCCGGTCCCAGCCAGCACACGAGCCCTCCCTTTTTCTGGCAGCTTTACGATGTCTGCACCCCCACCCATTAGTCACTTAACTAGCTGTAGGAGCTCAGTTATCAGATCGACTGTTGCAGTATTGCAGTGCTTGTGTTCAAGGAATTCTTATTTGACTTAATAATGGTCCAAGTCACAGGAGAAGTGATGTTGGTGTATTGCTATAATTTTTTATTTTATTATTATTGTAATAGTTATTCTTGTTAATCTCTTATTGTGCCTAACTTATAAATTAAACTTCATCACAGGTGTCTGTATATAGGAAAAAACATAGCACATATAAGGTTTAGTACTACCCATAGTTTCAGCCATCCACTGGGGGTCTTTGAACATAACACCTGAGGATAAGGGGGGACTACTGTATTATTTGCTTTCTCAGAAATCAAAATGGAATCCAAAGCAATTAATAGCCATCATTTCTTCAACACACCATGAAGTACTATGATATGCTATGCTTATTTCTAAAAATACCACATTCTCATTAAAAACCTATGTAATTCAAAAGATCAAAAAACTTTAAAAGTGTTTTCTGTCTCTCTCACACACATATGATGGATGAATGGATGAATCATTATTTTTTTAACCAAAAGAAGGGTAAAGCGTAAGCTCGGGTGGATGCGAATTTTCTTGTTTCATTCCTAATGAGTCAGGCTCCTTTCTATGAGCATCAGGAAGATGAGATCCAAGATTCACCTGTGTTCTTTCAAGGCTGAAATTATGGTCCTTTTTGGACCCCAGGAAGGGAAGGTTGCTTGGGAACAGCATCTGCCAGCTTCAAAGCTCTGCAGCTGGGCTCTGAAAGATGGGAAAACAAGAAGTGGAGAGGGACAACCTCTGTGTCCGTGAAAGAACGCAGGCCATTTCGTAAAGTCTACTACAATTAAAGACCCTCCTCATAGACAAAGGCCTTGTTCCTGTTTAAGAATGAAACTTTTTCTGTTCTATGAACAGATGTCAGAGAGCATCAATTCAGTTTTAAAATCCCCACTTACAAGAGGAAAGTAAGCTCCTAAAGATCACAGAATACTCAGCCTTCTTTCAAAACTCAGAATTTTAATTCTTCTTTTTTTTTTTAATTTTAATTTTTTTTTTTAGAGATGGGGTCTCACTCTGTCACCCAGGCTGCAGTGCAGTGGTGTAATCATACCTCATGGCAGCCTTGAGCTCCTGGGCTCAAGCTATACTCCCACCTCAGCTTCCCAATTAGCTGGGACTACAGGCACATGCCACCATGCCTGGCTAATATTTTTAGTTTTTATATTTTGGTAGAGATGAGGTCTTGATTTGTTGCCCAGGCTGGTCTAGAACTCTTGGCTTCAAGCGATCTGCTTGCCTTAGCCTCCGAAAATGCTGGGATTACAGGTACTGAGCTATGATGCCTGGCTTAATTCTTCTTCTAAAAAAATAAAGATAGATAGATAGATCAGGTATTTTACTTTCCCAGGATATGCATGGTTTAAAAATAGTTGCACTGTAAAAATGTGATTACTCCTTTATCCAAGTATTTTTGAGCACATACCATGTGCTAGACCCTATTCAAGGTGTCTGAAGTCTATCACTGAAGTAAAATGACAAAGAGTTCTGTCCTCATGAAATTACATTCCAGCAGGGGAGACAGAAAACAAATAATGAATATAAAAACTAAACTCACAAGTAGGTTTTAGAAAGCGATTACCTGGCATGGGGAAGGGGGAGAATAAAGCCGAGTAAAAGAAAGTAGGACCACTGGGGGAAAAATTGTAATTTTCAATAAACTGCTCAGAGAAGGCAGCATTGAGAGGATGGCAACTGCAGAATATGAAGTTATACCACGGAACCCAGGAATAGCCTTTATTGCTATTTTAAATTTAAGTTAACCTACTTAAAAAAAAAAAGACCAATGCCAGGCGAGGTGGCTCACACCTGTAATCCCAGCACTTTGGGAGGCTGAGGTGGGTGGATCACCTGATGTCAGGAGTTCGAGACCAGCGTGGCCAACATGGTGAAACCCCGTCTATACTAAAAATACAAAAATTAGCCGGGCATGATGGCACGTGCCTGTAATCCCAGCTACTCAGGAGGCTGAGGCAGGAGAATTGCTTGAATCTGGGGGGCAGAAGTTGCAGTGAGCTGAGATTGCACCATTGCACTCCAGCCTGGGTGACAGAGTGAGACCCTGTCTCAAAAAAACAAACAAACAAAAACCCCACAAAAACAAAAAAACCTGCCTGATACTTTAAATACTAAGCTTTAAATACTAAAGTTATCTGATGAAAAATTTACAACTATATTTCTGTATTAAACCAACTACTACCTCTTCTAGATACATATAACCAACATCAGTGTCAAAGATTTTCAGAGAGCAGTTAGGAATCTAACAAGGTCGGGCCTCAGCATGAATCACTGTCATTCTTAATGTAGAATCAGCATTTCTAAAACCATACATAAGGAGCCGCTAAAGAGAGAGAGAGAAAAAGGACATTCCAAGAGCTTCTTGTATTGATTTCTTTTACCCCAAACAAAGAGATTCTGCTAGTTACATGATATACCATAATCACGTAATTTGTTTGACTGCTTTAAAGAAAGAACAATGGATTCGAGAAAAGGTGTTGACTTGCAAAAATACAATCATTTTGCAAGCTTTTTTTTTTGTTACCATGGGTTGCTTTCCCTTAGTAATATAACATATGTGGTCTCTATAGAAAAACTGAAAACGCAAAGCTCTAATTCATGCCATTCTCAAGAGCCGGAACTAAATCTAAAGCATCCAACATCTGAAAACTCTTACATTGCTACCAATGTAGGAAGAATAAATCTTTTTTTCAAGCCTTACATCTAGGTTTCATGTATTAGACTTTCAAAACTAAATCCCCTACATCACCTGGATGTGAATTTTTTTTCTTTCTCTCCATAGTGTTTCTTTACAGAGACAGTACAGCTGTGGATCTTCTGCCAAGCATTTTTCCACAAGTCAGGACACATAGACTTAAAAGAAACTTTTTGAATAAGACCTTTTCTGGGCTTCTAAAAATGGTTCACAAGATAAGGAACTAACACCTCCAACCACGATTAGTGCCTTTATTTTCCAAATATTTGCTCTCTAGGTGACCAACCCCTCTATCCCTCACCGTGGCTTTGCCAAAGCTATCCTTTTACAAACTAAAATTCTCAGTGTCAAATATGGACACATAAGAAAATTTCAGAGAGGCAAGCTGCTGGGACCTCAGGGATAAATAGTACATCCAATTGAAACACAGCGGAGAGTAGGAAAGATATGCTTTTGTTAAAGTTAAAAAAAAAAAGCAGGCTACAGAGTCCATTTTTGTTTTATTTAGTAAATACATGTGCATAATAGTGATGTATGTGTGCGTATATGTATATATATATATTCTTTACCAAAAATGCTGAGAGAAAAAAATGCCAATATTGGCTGGGCATGGTGGCTCATGCCTGTAATCCTAGCACTTTGGGAGGCTGAGGCAGGAAAATCACTTGACGTTAGGAGTTTGAGACTAGCCTGTGCAGCATAGTGAGATACTGTCTCTACTAAAAAGAAAAAAAGTTAATGTTTAAGAGGGATTATGCACAATTTTTCCTATTTGCACATTTCATGTTTTCCCCTCAGTTTTTCTGCATTGAACATGTATATCTCATTTTTTAAATTTTTGAGTGAAAACATTCTATAATGAGAAAAAATATCTGTGAAGCACAAACCTGAGTTCCAGATCCCTCTTTGACACTTATTAGCCACACAGATAGGAAAATCACTTTTCAGCTCTATGGCTGTGCATCATCTATAACATCTGGGGATTTGATGGGGTTGACCAGATTGTTTTCTAGAGTCTTAGCATTCTACTTGCGTATAACAACTGTGTATTGCTTTGTCATGTATATTGCTCTGCAACTCCACTGTAAGATAGAGATGGTGCCATATACACATACTGTGTGCCACACTTTATATACTGTGCAGGATAAACAAATGCTAACTCATTCATATCGAACCATGCATGCTTACTGTACCATTCAAAATAATTATTTTCAGGATCAGATTCTGTTCAGTTAGTTGTCTTAGTCTGTATCTCTCTTACCAAACAGCAAATTCACTTCTCAAGGCAGGAAAACCCTATCCTCTACCTTACTTATGCTACCTTACTTCTCTATCCTTTGTGTAATTTCTGATGGTGAAATCAGAGAGCTCTAACAAATTTAAATTCCAAGTTAATCTGGCCAGACAACAGTTCTCAAAAAGGCTTCACCACATGCCCTCTGCTCATTTCACATGCCTTCTCATCCAACTGGCTTTTCCAAACTTTTCACACCTCTCTCTCCCTTGACCTGAAAAAGAAGGCAATCAAGCCTGTACATGACAATCTACCTGAATTTTCTACTTTCTAGATGTTTCCTCTTGCCTTGGAGAGACACATAAACTATCCCACCTCTAAACGTTGTAAACAAACACCTGCCCTCATTCTCAGGAAAGGATGAAGTTGCTCAACAGGCCACTATTAGAACAATTCAGCTATCCATGATAATGTGACAAATAAATTGGGCCCTTTTAAAGGCATTTTTCTAAAGTTGTTATAACCCTGTGCCTCCACAGTATGGGAAGAGTTTGTTGGGCCCTGATGCATGTGAACCGTGTAGCCAGCACCTGGTTTGGGAGGGGAGCTAGTGTATCAGCAGGCTACCTGGCCTGTCTCCTGGCTTACTGTGCAAAAACACACTGTCTCTCTGACAGGTGAATAAGAGGCATCAGTGTTGCTTATTTCAATTAATATCATTATATTTTAGTTTTAATTATTTTCCTAACATGTAAAAAATCCTGAGTTAATCCACCATTGGGATATTTTTAATATGCTTTCTGAAACGCAAAAAAAAAAAACTAAAATGACTAATTTTTCTGACCATGAAGTCAAAACACCACATCAACTACTACAGAAGCTACTATAATCTTCCTGCACACGTTTCTTTTTGACTGCAAGATATGACCCTAAATGAGTTTTGTACTTTTTTTAAATTCAAAGATATTCCCACTTCATTAACACAATTCTTTATATTCTACTTCTTTGCTAGTACCATGGAGAAATTCCAGGCTTTAAAAGATTCAAATGACTTGTATCTAAATCAGACCTGGACTCTCTCTTCCCAATATGCCGATTTACATGCAATCTCTTAGAGTTTCTCTGCTTCCATAAAATGCGGAAGCCACTGCCCATCAGGCCCAGGTTTGCCTCTTTGCACAAACAGTCCAAAACAGTTTTCCTGATCTGTTTCAACTTGAAGTGTTGTCAATATATGGATTGTCTTGCTTTCTAATTCAGTGAAAAATCTAGTTTTCCATTAGTCTCTGCCTTTCTAATTTTCGATACAGCTTTACTAAATGTAATTATTAAAGGCAGATTCAAGAAAGCAATTACTGAGCTACTGGTTTGTATCTCTGAAGTCTTAATAAGCGACAAAAAGTTGTAATTGCACTAAGAGCATAAAATAAATTTTCATACAGATTATATATATACACACTTAAATTTGTATATGGGGAGACATATTTAAGACAGTATGTAAGGAATCCCCCTCTTAAATCACGTTTTAGCCCTCACTTAAACTTTATTCAAAGGCAGTGCAGTATGTTGAAAGAGTAGAAAACTACATTTCATAAAGGCCACATTCTGTTCTTTCTTAGGATTCTGTGACTTTGGTAAACCATCTAACTTCTCTGCATCTCTTTTTTTGTTCTTTCCATCAATAAATATGAGAATGTTAAATTAGATCATCACCACATACTCTTTGAGCTCTAAAAGTCTATACATTATTTATTAAATTCCTAATCTATGCTAGGCTGTGTACTAGACACAGGACAGAGTAAGATATTTTACAAATTCTAATCCACAGCTTCAACAGGCTTCAACAGGCTTAAAACTTAGCAAAGAAGACAAGTAAATATGATTACTTATGAAGCAACACATAAAAGTGCTACCCAATGTTATAAAGCAAATTATCTTTCCAAAAGTCCTAAGGAAGAGCTGTACATGTAAATGGGGGACGCAACTCCCTTGGTAGTCATCCAAATTATATAATTTGGCCTTCAAACTACAGGCAAATAGGAGAGTATTCATTATATGGTCACTTAACAATGGTCTTGGGCAAAGAACAAACTCTGTGTATGGTGTCCACTGCCCTGTTATAAACTGAACTGTGCACCCCACCACCACCACCTCCCAATTCGTATGCTGAAGCTCTAACCCCAATATGACTCCTGACCTCAGGTGATCTGCCCACTTGGGCCTCCCAAATTTCTAGGATTACAGGTGGGAGCCACCAGGCCCAGCCTGTTGGCATTATTTTATTTATTTATTTATTTGTTTATTATTATTTTTGAGATGGAGTCTCGCTCTGTCGCCCAGGCTGGAGTGCAGTGGCACGATCTCAGCTCACTGCAAGCTCTGCCTCTCAGGTTCACGCCATTCTCCTGCCTCAGCCTCCTGAGTAGATGGGACTACAGGCGCCCACCACCATGCCCGGCTAATTTTTTGTATTTTTAGTAGAGACGGGGTTTCACCGTGTTAGCCAGGATGGTCTAGATCTCCTGACCTCGTGATCCGCCCACCTCGGCCTCCCAAAATGCTGGGATTACAGGTGTAAGCCACCGCACCCGGCCGGCATTATTTTAAATAGTGCCTACTATTTACCTTGAACACCATGAAGCTAGGGCACCCACTTATAATTCTATCTTACATTTACTTAGTTGACAGGTGAAGAATGCAGTTTTATGATTTCTGTGCTAACAGATTTTGGGCAGGGTCCTTACACAAAGGCCTAAAATTTTATGACGCACATCACCACCACCGTGGTTTGAAGATATAGCTGCAAACTTAAAACCAAACCACAGTGGCTTTCTTCAGATCCTCCGTCCTGAATGTTTGAAAACTGAATCTGAAGAAGGAGAGAAGCGAGGAACAGAACCAGGCAAGCAAACAACATGCTTATTCCTTTGGTTCCATAAAGAAGTGAAAAACCTGTATACTAGGTCCACACTGAATCATTTTTGGATGCCACATTTTAAGAAGTTCATTGTCAAATGAGATAGAGTATTTTCCATGGAGAAACCAGAGCAGGGCCAGAGGTCTTCCCCTTTGGCATTTCAGAAGCAAGGAGAGATGTTGAGGAGCAGTCTTTTTTTTCTTTCTTTTTTTTTTTTTTTGAGATGAAGTCTCACTCTGTCATCAGGCTGGAGTGCAGTGGCACAATCTCGGCTCACTGCAACCTCCACCTCCCGGGTTCAAGCTGTTCTCCTGCCTCAGCCTCTCGACTACAGGTGCACGCCAACACACCCGGCTAATTTTTGTATTTTTAGTAGAGACGGAGTTTCACCATGTTGGCCAGGATGGTCTCTATCTCTTGACCTCGTGATCCGTCCCCCTCAGCCTCTCAAAGTGTTGGGATTACAGGCGTGAGCCACCGCGCCCAGCCCAGTCTTTAAGTATTTTCAGCACAAATGAGTAGAAGGAATGTAGTGAGGTTTTCTAGATCTCAATAACAGAATTAAAGCCAGCTAGGAAGTTTTCTGAACAGTCTAGAGCTCAGAAAGAAGACCATGACAGAGTATGCCATGCAAGCATAAAGAGCCCACATCCCAAATCACACCCCCCGATAAGGCTGAATTGACAGTTTCCAAGCAGCTTATGTAAAGAAAGATTATCATTCAACCTAGTCTCTGGTCAGAGATTGTATTTTGGGAAAACAGACAACACACCACTGTTAAGTAAACAGCCTCTTCCTTTAAAGTGAGTCAGTAAGGGCAGGGGTGTCATCAGGTATGGAAGTAACAAACACAGAATTTGGGATGCAGAATGTTAAAAATAAAGGTCCCAAATGGACTGTTCAAGCTTAAAGTATTTGGTAAGGAAGCATCAGGATCAAGGCTCAGAATAAAAGCATCTAAGATAAAAAAAGCACAAAATATTATAAACACGAAATCCAAAATAGTCACTTTAAAGAATTAAGAAAAGTGAGAAACGTTCAACTTCTAGCTTTATGATGCCAACAGAACAAAGCAGGCCCCCCAGGATAAACCTTAAGAGGGGGCCAAGGAAATGTACCAGAAGGAACCAACTCCACAGAAGGGCTGGAAACAAAAAGCAGAGATCCAGGTCTCCCTGGAAACAGAGTCAAAAGCACATTTTCCTCATGCAATCAGAATGAAGAAGTCTCCTATGCAGACTCAGACTACTAATAATGAAACAAAAACCAGATACAGTGGAAAGTCTGTGTGTTTTGTCTTAATTCTGATATTAAGTGGCCATGCTATCTTGGATAGATCATTTACTCTCACTTCTAGCTCACGTTACTTTATTTATTCAGTGAAAAATTATTGATCACTTTTATGTGTAAACATGTGCTACAGGATGGGAATACAGTGAACTAAGGACACAATGAATCATCTTCGCCATGCTATGAGGGGAAGATAAACTACTGAGAGGGCATGAAACAGGAGAGCCCAGCCAGGGCTAAATCTCTGAGGAGGCCATGACGAAACAGGCCTGAAGCCTGGGGGGAGTTGACGGTGGATATGAGGACAAAACAAAGAGGAAAGGTCAGTTTAACAAAAGAAACAGATTACCTGAGGAACTGAGACTGTGGGACTGGAGCTCAAGGCACAGGAGGGCTCTGGAGCAGCTAAGGTAGGCAGAGGGCAGACCACACTGAGGGCCTCACAGGCCACACTAAAGACCAGCTTTTACCTTACAAGAAAGGAGAAGCCACTCAATGATTTTTAAGTGGGAGCTGATATGATCAGATGTGCACTATGAAAAAAAAATTTTTTTTTTAAACAGACAGGGTCTTGCTTTGTTACCCGGGCTAGAGTATGGTGACGTAATCATAGCTCACTGCAGCCTCCAACTCCTGAGCTCAAGCAATCCTCCCACCTCAGCCTACTGAGTAGCTGGGATTACAGGTGACACCACCAGGCCTGGCTAATTTATTTGCTCTTTTGTAGAGATGGGGACTTGCTATGTTGCCCAGGCTGGTCTCAAACTCCTGGGCTCAAGCAATCACCCTGTCTCAGCCTCCCAAGTTGCTGGGCTTACAGGAATGAACCACAGCACCTGGCCATGAAAAATCTTTCTGATTGCAAAATGATGGATTCTAGAGAGCTCAGGGTGAATAGGGAAGATGGAGTAGGAAGTTACTACAGCAGACCAGGGTGAGATGACAGGGCAATGGGAGGGAGAGTGATGATGGAGATGGAGATGAAAGTGGGCAAATTTTAAAAGATGATTAGGTGGTAGAGTCAACAGCACTTGGCAGTAAGTTGAGACCATTTCAGATTTCAGATTTTTCAGATTTGGGGCACTCAGCCACTAAGTATAATGCAAATATTCCAAAGTCTAAAAAAACCCTGAAATCTGAAACATTTCTGGTCCCAGACATTTTGGATCACGGACACTCAACGTGCATCTGTTAGTAGCACTTCCTCCCACCTCCACCTCAACTGGACCTAAGGAA
The DNA here is from genome assembly GCF_000001405.40 of Homo sapiens. Taxonomy (NCBI): domain Eukaryota; kingdom Metazoa; phylum Chordata; class Mammalia; order Primates; family Hominidae; genus Homo; species Homo sapiens. Next base: position 122,914,949 of record NC_000005.10, on the reverse strand, counting down.
AAGTGGTCAGGCATCATCCAACCCATAGCCTTCATTTTTAAAAGAGCCACATCCATACCTAAATTCCCTCTCTCAACTCACTCATCAAAGCCTGTCTTAGCTGGTTTTTTGAAAAAGGATCAACAAAATTGATAGACCGCTAGCAAGACTAATAAAGAAAAATAGAGAGAAGAATCAAATAGATGCAATAAAAAATGATAAAGGGGATATCACCACCGATCCCACAGAAATACAAACTACCATCAGAGAATACTACAAACACCTCTACGCAAATAAACTAGAAAATCTAGAAGAAATGGATAAATTCCTCGACACATACACTCTCCCAAGACTAAACCAGGAAGAAGTTGAATCTCTGAATAGACCAATAACAGGATCTGAAATTGTGGCAATAATCAATAGCTTACCAACCAAAAAGAGTCCAGGACCAGATGGATTCACAGCCGAATTCTACCAGAGGTACAAGGAGGAACTGGTACCATTCCTTCTGAAACTATTCCAATCAATAGAAAAAGAGGGAATCCTCCCTAACTCATTTTATGAGGCCAGCATCATCCTGATACCAAAGCCTGACAGAGACACAACAAGAAAAGAGAATTGTAGACCAATATCCTTGATGAACATTGATGCAAAAATCCTCAATAAAATACTGGCAAACCGAATCCAGCAACACATCAAAAAGCTTATCCATCATGATCAAGTGGGCTTCATCCCTGGGATGCAAGGCTGGTTCAATATATGCAAATCAATAAATGTATATCCAGCATATAAACAGAACCAAAGACAAAAACCACATGACCCTCTCCCTCTCCCTCTCCCTCTCCCCACGGTCTCCCTCTTCCTCTCTTTCCATGGTCTCCCTCTGATGCCAAGCCAAAGCTGGACTGTACTGCTGCCATCTCGGCTCACTGCAACCTCCCTGCCTGATTCTCCTGCCTCAGCCTGCCGAGTGCCTGCGATTGCAGGTGCGCGCCGCCACGCCTGACTGGTTTTAGTAATTTTTTGGTGGAGACGGGGTTTCCCTGTGTTGGCCGGGGTGGTCTCCAGCTCCTAACCGCGAGTGATCCGCCAGCCTCGGCCTCCCAAGGTGCCAGGATTGCAGACGGAGTCTCGTTCACTCAGTGCTCAATGGTGCCCAGGTTGGAGTGCAGTGGTGTGATCTTGGCTCGCTACAACCTCCACCTCCCAGCCGCCTGCCTTGGCCTCCCAAAGTGCCGAGATTGCAGCCTCTGCCCGGCCGCCATCCCATCTAGGAAGTGAGGAGAGTCTCTGCCCGGCTGCCCCGTCTGAGAAGTAAGGAGACCCTCTGCCTGGCAGCCGCCCCGTCTGAGAAGTGAGGAGACCCTCCGCCCGGCAGCCGCCCCATCTGAGAAGTGAGGAGCCCCTCCGCCCAGCAGCCGCCCTGTCTGAGAAGTGAGGAGCCCCTCCGCCAGGCAGCCACCACGTCTGGGAAGTGAGGAGCGTCTACGCCAGGCAGCCACCCCGTCCGGAAGGGAGGTGGGGGTCAGCCCCCCGCCCGGCCAGCCGCCCCGTCCGGGAGGGAGGTGGGGGGTCAGCCACCCGCCCAGCCAGCCGCCCCGTCCGGGAGGGAGGTGGGGGGTCAGCCCCCGCCCGGCCAGCCGCCCCGTCTGGGAGGGAGGTGGGGGGCGCCTCTGCCCGGCCGCCCCTACTGGGAAGTGAGGAGCCCCTCTGCCCGGCCACCACCCCATCTGGGAGGTGTACCCAACAGCTCATTGAGAACCGGCCATGATGACAATGGCGGTTTTGTGGAATAGAAAAGGGGGAAAGGTGGGGAAAAGATTGAGAAATCGGATGGTTGCTGTGTCTGTGTAGAAAGACGTAGATATGGGAGACTTTTCATTTTGTTCTGTACTAAGAAAAATTCTTCTGCCTTGGGATCCTGTTGATCTATGACCTTACCCCCAACCCTGTGCTCTCTGAAACATGTGCTGTGTCCACTCAGGGTTAAATGGATTAAGGGCGGTGCAAGATGTGCTTTGTTAAACAGATGCTTGAAGGCAGCATGCTCCTTAAGAGTCATCACCACTCCCTAATCTCAAGTACCCAGGGCCACAGGGTCCTCTGCCTAGGAAAACCAGAGACCTTTGTTCACTTGTTTATCTGCTGACCTTCCCTCCACTACTGTCCTAGACCCTGCCAAATCCCCCTCTGCTAGAAACACCCAAGAATGATCAATTAAAAAAAAAAAAAAAAACCCACATGATTATCTCAATAGATGCAGAAAAGGCCTTTGACAAAATTCAACAACGCTTCATGCTAAAACCTCTCAATAAATTAGGTATTGATGGGACGTATCTCAAAATAATAAGAGCTATCTATGACAAACCCACAGCCAATATCATACTGAATGGGCAAAACTGGAAGCATTCCCTTTCAAAACTGGCACAAGACAGGATGCCCTCTCTCACCACTCCTATTCAACATAGTGTTGGAAGTTCTGGCCAGGGCAATGAGGCAGGAGAAGGAAATAAAGGGTATTCAATTAGGAAAAGAGGAAGTCAAATTGTCCCGGTTTGCAGATGACATGATTGTATATCTAGAAAACCCCATTGTCTCAGCCCAAAATCTCCTTAAGCTCATAAGCAACTTCAGCAAAGTCTCAGGATACAAAATCAATGTACAAAAATCACAAGCATTCTTATACACCAATAACAGACAAACAGAGAGCCAAATCGTGAGTGAACTCCCATTCACAATTGCTTCAAAGAGAATAAAATACCTAGGAATCCAACTTACAAGGGACGTGAAGGACCTCTTCAAGGAGAACTACAAACCACTGCTCAAGGAAATAAAAGAGGATACAAACAAATGGAAGAACATTCCATGCTCATGGGTAGGAAGAATCAATATCGTGAAAATGGCCATACTGCCCAAGGTAATTTACAGATTCAATGCCATCCCCATCAAGCTACCAATGACTTTCTTCACAGAATTGGAAAAAACTACTTTAAAGTTCATATGGAACCAAAAAAGAGCCCGCATCGCCAAGTCAATCCTAAGCCAAAAGAACAAAGCTGGAAGCATCACGCTACCTGACTTCAAACTATACTACAAGGCTACAGTAAGCAAAACAGCATGGTACTGGTACCAAAACAGAGATATAGATCAATGGAACAGAACAGAGCCCTCAGAAATAACGCCGCTTATCTACAACTATCTGATCTTTGACAAACCTGAGAAAAACAAGCAATGGGGAAAGGATTCCCTATTTAATAAATGGTGCTGGGAAAACTGGCTAGCCATATGTAGAAAGCTGAAACTGGATCCCTTCCTTACACCTTATACAAAAATTAATTCAAGATGGATTAAAGACTTAAACGTTAGACCTAAAACCATAAAAACCCTAGAAGAAAACCTAGGCATTACCATTCAGGACATAGGCATGGGCAAAGACTTCATGTCTAAAACACCAAAAGCAATGGCAACAAAAGCCAAAATTGACAAATGGGATCTAATTAAACTAAAGAGCTTCTGCACAGCAAAAGAAACTACCATCAGAGTGAACAGGCAACCTACAAAACGGAAGAAAATTTTCACAACCTACTCATCTGACGAAGGGCTAATATCCAGAATCTACAATGAACTCAAACAAATTTACAAGAAAAAAACAAACAACCCCATCAAAAAGTGGGCAAAGGATATGAACAGACACATCTCAAAAGAAGACATTTATGCAGCCAAAAGACACATGAAAAAATGCTCATCATCACTGGCCATCAGAGAAATGCAAATCAAAACCACAATGAGATACCATCTCACTCCAGTTAGAATGGCAATCATTAAAAAGTCAGGAAACAACAAGTGCTGGAGAGGATGTGGAGAAATAGGAACACTTTTACACTGTTGGTGGGACTGTAAACTAGTTCAACCATTGTGGAAGTCACTGTGGCGATTCCTCAGGGATCTAGAACTACAAATACCATTTGACCCAGCCATCCCATTACTGGGTATATACCCAAAGGATTATAAATCATGCTGCTATAAAGACACATGCACACGTATGTTTATTGAGGCATTATTCACAATAGCAAAGACTTGGAACCAACCCAAATGTCCAACAACGATACACTGGATTAAGAAAATGTGGCACATATACACCATGGAATACTAAGCAGCCATAAAAAATGATGAGTTCATGTCCTTTGTAGGGACATGGATGAAATTGGAAATCATCATTCTCAGTAAACTATCGCAAGGACAAAAAACGAAACACCACATGTTCTCACTCATAGATGGGAATTGAACAATGAGAACACATGGACACAGGAAGGGGAACATCACACTCTGGGGACTGTTGTGGGGTGGGGGGAGGGGGGAGGGATAGCATTAGGAGATATACCTAATGCTAAATGACGAGTTAATGGGTGCAGCACACCAGCATGGCACATGTATACATATGTAACTAACCTGCACATTGTGCACATGTACCCTAAAACTTAAAGTATAATAATAATTAAAAAACAAAACAAAAAAAAGTCTGTCTTTCCTCAGGCTGGGCCTTGGAGGAGCAGTAGGGATGACCTTAATTTTGAACTATTCCCTATATTCTAATAACATTGGTCCTGAAATGAAGAGGAAAAGAATTTCAAAAGTAAAAATGAAAACAAAAGGCAGTAGAGAAGGGGGTGGCTGTGAACAGAGAATAGCCTGGGTTGTAGACCAAGGGATTAGCCTTGGAGAGCTGAGGTCTCAAGACGTCCTGACACACAGCAAAGCATACAAACCCTGAACACCACAGTGGTAGGATTAAAGTTCTAATGCAACTTTGTTCCATTGGATTTTTTTCAATTACATTTCCCCAAGTAAACTTTATCTCTGGTGATTGTCTTAACTTCCTAATCTTCTTCTTTTACCACTTTACTCCTAATAATAAAGTGATGGTTCACTATTTATAGAATAAACTGATATCTTTCTGCCTTGAACCTACAAGCTCTCAATCTACTCTGGCTTCAAAGTTGCATTCCTCATTAGTGAAAAGCATGCACTAGAAAGAATTATTCCATTAGGTAGTTTGTGAAAGATAACCACACCAGTGAAATGTAATCTTGTCATTACTACAAGATCTGCCTGTAGTAATGGCGCATTCCTTTGGTAAGTATTTATTAAGTACCTTCCCTGCATCAGACTCTGAGCTGGGGCTGAGTGGGCAGCAAAAGAGACACGGTCTCTGCCCCATGGAAACCTCAGGGATAGACAGTTTGGCCAATGGTAAGCACATGACTGACTTAAATGGGAGCTACAAAGAAACATAGACAGTGCCAAGAAGTCATCTTAATAGGTAAGCCTGGCAGTGATGAACCACCCTAGGGATTTAACACTGCCCTCTACTCTTCACGGCAGGCCAGGTTAAGGCAGCTGTCCTCACGGGTATACACATGCTTGGGTGCTTGTGCCTGTCAGTTACAGCTCTTTCCACTCTGATACTCAGACCCTGGACTTATCTTTGGAGACGGAAAACCTAGATTCAAATTCCAGCTTTCCCACATACTGGCTACATGACCTACGGTAAGGTTTTAAACTCTTTGAGCATCTGTTTTTTCACCTGTTAAATAAAGACAGTAACACTTTCTCCGTGAGGACTTAAGTTAACATTTATAAAGCAGAGTACGGTACCTGGCACAGATTAAGCAATAGGTACTATGTCTAAGTGTCCCTGAATCTTAGTCAATGACAATAAACTCATTTAAACTAGCATTTAATGAGATTTCAAAACCCCTCATTCTAACATATCTGAATGCCTTTTTCGCTTTGGTAATGAAGAGTCTAACTGGGGTACTCTGAGACTGCGAGTCCCTTGTTAATGTAACAATGCTGTACTTCTCATCAAGTATTCATATGTGGAATAAGTGCATGTCTTTTTATAACAGTATTTTGAATAGGTAATACAGTCATATGGTTTAAAAAGAAAAAAAAAGATACACAGTGAGGTCAGTCTCGCAATCACAACCTTTCTTAGAGCAAGTCCCACGCTTCACTCCCCGCTCAAGTGCTCACCGTAAGGTCCTTTCAGCCTTGCTATGTGCACATTTGAACAGTCAGTCTTAAGTCCTTCCCTTCAACACAAGAGGCAGCACAGGACATTCCGTTCCACCTCTTGCTTTTTCACTCAGCAGAGGACCCTGACGATCTTCCCCTATCAGGACATAGAAACAGTCCTCTTCTTCCTTTTACTGCTACATAATATTCTATTGCATGAATACTGTTATAATAAATGTCTTTAAGGCTACATTTCTTTCTTCACTGACAAACTTTACTAATTATAGTTCTGGCAGTCGGTGTTGGAAAAAATGGGTAGAAATACAATATTTTCATCTGCCTTAATTGTTCTTAGCCAAAAACTAACAGCAACTAATTATTTTTTATATTTTATACAGTCTATATAGTCACTATGCTACAGTTTACAAGAATAATTTTTCCCTTAAGTTATTTTAAAACATCTGCACTGTATTTTACACATAACAGGATAATTTTTCTTCGTGTTTATATGGGAAAAGTGCCGGCTGCTACAGTATCCAATCAGTTACCCCAAGGAGATGTCAGCTGTCAACCATGTCTATTGTAGTGATTTCCCTCTCCTCTCTCCCTTCCCTCTCTGGGTGAGCTGTCAAGTTTCTAGTTTCTGACGTGCATTTACATCACTCAATGACATCTGACAGCAGTGAAAGGCCACAGAAAACTGCTTATTGATCAGAGCAAAACTAGTTGACGGAACAGATGAGGTTGTATCACAGAAATGCAGCCACATTCAGGTGATGACATTTTGCTCCCCGTACACAAGAGCTTAATGGAATACAACTTCATTATATCGTGCCACTTGTGCTTACAGCACCAAACCCATCTCCTGACTGTTTTGTCTATGTGGTGATGAGGACAATCTATTTGTGCTGGTTTCAATGTATTACTAACCTGATTTGTTCGTGAACACTTGCAAACTACTTGTGAATCTGTCCTGACAAATATACCAGAAGACACTGAAGTCTCAATCTTACCAAAATCTAATTGTGCTGTCCTTAAAAGAAAATTAAAAAAAAAAAAAAATTACCATTCAGTGAGCTATAACTGCCCAGTTATACTTTTAAATTGAAATTTTATACCACGGTGTTAAGAAGTTTCAATAGATTTTTAATTCTTGTGCCATTATCAGGAAAATAAAAATTGATAACTTGAGATACAATTCAATTTTCCTTATAAACAGGAGAATTTAGGTGTTTCTAAGAACTAAGATACCAGATCAAGCCCCTCTGCATACAAATTGTTCCCTTCAGTTATAAAGATAACAATTTCAACTACTTCCCATTCATTGCCAGTGTAGATAAATGACCGCAAAGTATAAATTAGTACATGTCTGGAATAGAGATCATTAAGTCAGACAGACTCCTAATATTTTGCCATGTGACTTCTCAAACAGAAGAAAAGGAAAAGGCAGCAAATGGGACAGAATTACCAGCCCCGTGACTCCTAGGTGAAAGAATGCTAAAACTTTACCCTGAGGGCCGTCTGGCTTTTATCTCTACTCCTTAATTCCTCCCTTGAGGAGGGAGTGTTCCCCCATATTACAAATTCCCACACTACCTTCACAACTTGGCCCCATCTGCATCCTATCTGGACTTGATTTTTTTTAATAGACTTTTTACTTCAATATGATTTAAAGAAAACTTTACGTCACAAATAGATATGAGAAGCCAGTATCACTTGCTATAAATAGGTGAGTATAAAAATGAAATACTCATTTTAAAATTACATTTCTTGTTTAAGGTTTGGAGCCTGAAGTTACTCCTTCCTTAGAGAGATAAGCAAAGTAAAGCCAAGTTAAAGTTCTTGGAGAATTTTTTAGGGTGGTGGAGAAAATGACGTAGGATTAAAAGATAAGTGAAAAGGGAATAACGTTTTCCTTTTTGAGTCAATGTTATTCAATGTCTAGGCACCACTTAAATCATCTCCTGTGGCACTGGTGGCCTGTAGCCAAACCCAGAGAACACAAGCAGAGTAAGCTGCATGAGCAGGGGCTAGAGTCACGCTGCTGGGGCTCGAATCCTGCCCCTGTCACTTACTCTGTGGCCAACAAGTTACTTCACTTCTGTGTGCCTCACTGTCCTCTCAACTGTAAAAAGAAACACCATAGGCCAGGTGTGGTGGCTCATGCCTGTAATCCCAGCACTTTGGGAGTCCGAGGCGGGCGGATCACCTGAGGTCAGGGGTTCAAGACCAGCCTGGCCAACATGGTGAAACCCCATCTCTACTAAACATACAAAATTAACCAGGAATGGTGGTATGTGCCTGTAACCCTAGCTACTCAGGAGGCTGAGGCAGGAGAATCACTTGAACCTGGGAGGCGGAGGTTGCAGTGAGCCAAGATCGCACCGCTGCACTCTAGCCTGGGCAAAAAAGGGCAAAACTCCACTCAAAACAAAAGGAAATACCAACAGTACATAAACCCTAAAGAACTGCTCTGAGAAGTAAATGAGATTATGCATGTCAAGTTCAAAATACTTTCACTTCATACACTTTCTGTTCTAGGCCTACCTGGAAACAAAAAATTGATTCAAATCAGACCCACTATGCTGTACTCACAATTAATAAGGCACATGACAACTATTAAATACAATCTTGTAAGATGTTTGTACAATGACAGACAGGAGGGCAGCATGGTGGAACCCAGAGTGAGCCAGGTATGGGGTGCTAAGTGGAGAGATGACCACTGCCCTGGCTGTTCCCAGACAGCCCAGGTCTACTGCTGTTATCCCAGCACAAATCTCTATACTACCACCTTGTACTTTCAAAAACATTTCAGTTTGGATGCCAAGTTGTATGGTCACCCTAAGAATGCAGAGGAACACTTTACCTGCAGGTTCTGTGGTCTTAGAGCTCTCTGTATATACCTGAAGTGCTTGTGGTTGTTTTATTTGTATTTGTTGATATACACATCCTCCACCTGACTCTTAGCTGTTATTCTGTCTCCAGTGTCTATTTAAGACTTTACCACATAGTAGGTACTTAACTGTGGCTGAATGTTTAATCCTGAGACATCCACAACTCAATGGATTACTATAAACCTTGAAGGACTGAGTTCAACCAGGAAGGTAGTAAATGGTCAGGGTCAGGTAAAAATCATTTAAATTTGAGTTCCCAAGTAGTATCTCTAAATCTGCAACCTGTAATTATAAACCTACTCTTACAGATGGAAGTTATATCTGAGTTGGAAAGAGAGGAGGATCTTGAACTAGTGCTCAGGAAGTTTGGACAGATCTCCAATCAGGTGTTCCTAGGGTTATTACAGGCTGAATATCCTTTATCCAAATTGCTTGGGACCAGAAGTGCTGCAGATTTAGTATTTGTATTATACTTACTGGTTGAGCATCCGAAATTTGAAAATCTGAAATCCGAAATACTCCAGTGAACATTTCCTTTGAGCATCATGTTAGCACTCAAAAAGTTTTGAATTTGGGATGCTCAACCTGTATAAATTTTTTGGATGCAGTTAAGTAGTAAATTAGCCTGTATTTCCTAAGCCTCCTGAGTGAGTGGCTGAGGCAGGCCACCTGTGATCAATACAGTGAAGACCCAAAATCACAGCCTTCAGCTCAGGAGTGGTGGGACCTCTCAGGGTGCGCTGGCAGAATGAACCCAACTGTCAGATACTAATCGTCCCACATACCCCTTCCCTCCTCCCACCTCCCAATCTCCCACTTCACTCCACTCTCTACCCCTAGCTGATAACCTCAGGATGGAATCAGGATCCTTACCTACCCTCAACACCCCACCCACAAAACCTGTGAAGTCAAATATGCCTATTTAGTCTTGTTTCACATCTACACAGCTGGAGTGTGGGCTATAAAAACACAATACATTCTAACATACTTTCACTGAGGACATTAAGGACTTGAAGAACTTTTCTGAATGGACACATCTATGTTCTTACACACTTACTTAAAAAGTGTCCTGGGAAACAACACCCACACCAGGCCTGCTAGAAGCTGACTGTGTGTGGTGGCTCATGAGTGGGGAAATACGAGACGGCCGCTCCAAACAGGTCTGGAGCATCAGGCTGTCTTCCTTTCACATGGGTCTAAAGTGGTGGCATATTTTTTTCCCAGTTAAACTCCATGGAGTTTAAGTGAAAGCCAAAAGAACAATTAATCTCAGATTTATTATCAATGTGAAACGTTTAGCTTTCTTAGTTGACATGTTCCTTCGGTCACAGTTAACTTTAAGAGCATACTGAATAGAATAAGACATATTAAGCCGAATTATCTGATGATCATGTAAATTATTAATGAGTCTATAAAATACAGAAAAAGCTGTAACTGCAAGAAACATTTTTAAATACTGGGATCATGTAATTACAGATTTGTAGAAAAGGCTAGGCATTTAAAGAACTTAAAATAATTAAAAAATAATTTTTTTTAAAGACCAGATATAAACAAAGGAAAAAACAAAAGATAAAAAGGCCGGGAGTGGTGGCTCACACCTGTAATCCCAGCACTTTGGGAGGCAGAGGCCGGCGGATCACCTGAGGTCGGGAGTTTGAGACCAGCCTGGCCAACATGGAGAAACCCCGTCTCTACTAAAAATACAAAAATTAGCAGGGTGTGGCGGCACATGCCTGTAATCCCAGCTACTGGGGAGGCTGAGACAGGAGAATCCCTTGAACTCAGGGGGCAGAGGCCGTGGCGAGCCGAGATTGTGCCATTGCACTCCAGCCTGGGCAACAAGAGTGAAACTCCATCTCAAAAAAAAAGAAAACAAAAAAAAAAGACTAGGTATTCCACTGGGTAACTGCTTTACTTCAACAATCTATCATTCTCAAGCTTCTCTTGCTCTAGGGGCTAAAACGATGTTAAACTTAACCCACAGAACCCAAGAATTTATAAGAGCTGAAAAAAAATGTAAGGTCTCCTGTCCCTACTGTGCCATTTAACCGTAGGACCAATTAGACATAACATACATTTATGTTTTTAATATTAATATGCATTATATTTATGTATCTTTTAATGTAATTATTGAAACATATTGTGTACCTAGGAAGAGGCTTAGAACAAATCTGTAAATAGAGTATTTTAATTAGAAAGTAGTCCACCAATAAAAGGGCTTTGTTACATCATAAATGTAACAAAGCAGAAGCTTATCAAAAGTATAAAAATTTAAAAACATACCCTTCTCAAACAGATTCATGCAGTAATTATGCTTTAAATTACAGAAGCACAGAATAGATACACCACAGTAAACCAAAACTTAAGGTTAATTAGGAAACAAAACTCAACATTAAGCACATGGCCAAAAACTTCCCAGATTTTAAAACTCCATTCAACATGGGTCTTCATTCACGCAACAAAGATGAGCTGAGCAGTGTGCAGGTGCCCAGTCCACAGGAGATAATTAGATGCATAAAGCATGATTTGCAGGTCAGTCAGACTTCACAGACCAGCGGAGGGAAAGACCTGTTCACTGGCCAAAACACAGTGCAAAAGTTGGTATAGAAGAAACATAAACAGGGTACATTAAAAGTGCAGAGGAGGCGTGGCACTGTGGCTGGCTCAGGCCTGTAATCCTAACACCTTGAAAGGCTGAGGTGAGTGGATCACTTGAGCCCAGGAGTTCAAGACCAGCTTGGGCAACATGGAGAAACCCTGTCTCTATTTAAAAAAATACGAATATTAGCCAGATGTAGTGGCACATGCCTGTAGTCCCAGTGACTAGGGAGGCTGAGGTGGGAGGATCCTCTGAGCCTGGGGAGGTCAAGGCTGCAGTGAGCCACGATCGTGCCACTGCACTCCAGCCTGGGTGACAGACTAAGACGCTGTATCAAAAAAAAACAAACAAAAAAACGTACAAAGGAGAGTACAACCACCTCTGTCTGGGACATTTAGGCAATGATTCACAGAAATGCATGTTTCTGAGTGGGGTACTGAGTTCTCTGTATACAGGGTGAAAATGAGACTGAAGAGGCTGGGGACGTCTCAGGCCTAGGGAACAATAAGTAGCAAGATACAGATCCAGAATTGCAATGATATATTTGTGCAACAGTGGCAGACTAATATGAGTTGAAACTCAGTTGAGTCTGGGGGAAGACAGTCATCAAAAGGAGGGGAATTGAACTGGCTAAGAGAAGGTTAAAGAGGTAAGCTGGGACAAGACGGGGAAGGGGCTCTTTTTAACCATATGCATGATAAATACACCTGATAGCAATAACTTAAGCATGACAGGGTCACCCTGAGGATGACCCTGTATAGCAGACACACCTGAATGTGTGTACTGGGCTAGGGAATCCAGTACTGGCCAATAGGAAGATTCTGTTCCTTGTCTGTAAGGAACATCTGAGCCCCCATCCCCTCCCATAGAACATAAGTGTACAGAGAATCGAGGCCCTGAGTTTCATCTGGAATGAAGGTTGCCAGGTGGAGGTTGTTAGAGGGGAGGTGTTAAGTGGAAATGCTATATAAACTGCATGCTTTTTGCAAGTGGTTGTGGTTTTCCTGCCCAGCTCTCTGCCACTGGGCTGTGTGGTTATCTTCCCTGGTCCTCTTCCATTTCCCCTGTATGTAAACAATAAAACTCCATGTCTCCTTTGCTGGCTCTGCATCTCTTCTTCAGCCTCTTGAACCTGGTGCCATCCCAACTGGAGTTGAAAGGGGTTCAGCACTACACTACACCTACAAGTCTGACCTTCAGGCTATAGAGAGCCAAGAGGCAATAGAAATATTCAGAAAGGCAAACTCAGAAGAGGTATGGAGAGACACAGCAGGGTACAGCCTATGAGAAGAGTGAGTGGCACTGCCACCATGAGTACACAGGGAAGATGGGTGAACAAGGAGGAGTGTGAACAAGGGCCAGAGGCCACAGAGATTACTGGCAAAGAGCTGAATGCCCAGATGAAGGACAGACAATGACTGTTCTTATGTTTTAGGTTGGAAAACTGGGCAGATAGTGAAGCTCAGTCTTAGACTCAAAGATATATAAGACAAAAGAATATTGTTTGTTTATGGAAGAGAGAAAGATGGAACGGATATAATGCAATCAGTTTTGGGATATCCCAAAATTAGGATGTTCTACCACAGGATGTCCAGGGACAGACACCCATTAAGAAGCAAGTCAGAGCAGAATGATTCCAAATGGGCTGCTGTGGAGGAGGACCCTAGGACCAGGCATCTACCAGGCATCTCTGGTATTACCCCATGTCCAAGGTCAGGTAGAACATGTGTGTATGACACATCCAAGGGAGAGAATGGAGGGTCAAGATCCTGTAAGATCAATCTGTAAAGTCCAAGGGGCAATGACAGGAGACAAAAGTCAAGAGTGAGAGGCCAAGTAAACCTTCAATGGGAGCAGGCATATGGAACAAAGGGAGCAGAAAGGCAACAGTGTCCAGGACTTAGGCAATAAATGAGATGCCCAAATACCTCCTGCATACCAGCCCCGCTGGACCTGGCTGATCGTTCCTAAATTCCTAGAATATTTATTATATCTTTGTGTTTTGTCCCTAAACATACCCTAGTTTTCATTGTTGTTTAACTGCAATCTATTCACATAGCCTATAAATTCCAAGAAAGATACTGCATTTTATAAATCTTCTACATTCTCCTTATTGTCCCCCACAGTCAATGCATAAAGTAGAAACAAATAAATAATAAAAAGAAAACAAGCTATATTTCAAGAGATCCAAAACTTAGGTACAGTGCAATAGTTCTTCATCATAAATATGAGCAATATTTTGCTTTTTTTTTTTTTTTGAGATGGAGTTTTGCTCTTGTCACCCAGGCTGGAGTGCAATAGCACAATCTTGGCTCACTGCCACCTCCACCTTTCAGGTTCAAGCGATTCTACTACCTCAACCTCCTGAGTAGCTGGGATTACAGGCGTGCACCACCACACCCAGCTAATTTTTGTATTTTTAATAGAGACGGGGTTTCACCATGTTGGCCAGGCTGGTCTTGAATTCCTGACCTCAAGTGATCCACCTGCCTCGACCTCCCAAAGTGCTGGGATTACAGGCACGAGCCACCACACCTGGCCATATTTTGCCTTTCAAGACATATAAATCATTTTTCCCTCTGAAAAAGGAACATTACTTATAATGATAACTGAATAAATTATTGGCTCTTAGGTCTTTAAAAACATTTTATCCTTTCCCTGTTGTTTTATTTCTTTTTTCTTTCTTTTTTGAGACTGAAGTTTCACTCTGTCACCCAGGCTGGAGTGCAGTAGTGTGATCTCAGCTCACTGCAGGCTTGACCTCCCAGTCTGAAGCAATCCTCCCGCCTCAGCCTCCCAAGCAGCTGGGACTATAGGTGTGTGCCACCATACCTGGCTGATTTTTTATATTTTTTGTAGTGATGGGGTCTTACTACGTTGCCCAGGCTGGTCTCAAACTCCTAGCCTTAAGCAGATCCTCCTGTCTTGGCCTCCCAAAGCACTGGGATGACAGGTGTGAGCCATTCCACCAGGCCCTTAGTTATGTTTTCTATACCACACCATTTTTACATGGCCATATAGAATGAAAATTTGAATTTAATTTCCAATGCACAGACCTGCATGTTCTCTGTTCTTCATTTTTTTAAAAAAAACGTTTTAATAGTTCACATTTTAAAAATTGCTGCTACACACACTCTCAAAATTGTAACTATGTGAGGTGATAGATATGTTAATTCGCTTGATTGTGGTAATCATTTCACACTGTATATGTATTATCAAAAACATCACAGCCTGGGCAACACAGTGAGACCTCATCTCAAAAAAAAAAAGTAGCTGGGTGGGTGTGGTAGCACACACCTGTGGTCCCAGCTACTCAGGAGTCTGAGGCAGGAGTATCGCTTGAGCCTGAGAGTTCAAGGCAGCAGTGATCCCTGACCACGCCACTGCACTCCAGCCTGGGCAACAGAGCAAGACCCTGTCTCAAAAAACAAACAAAAAAAAACCCACACCATATTGCACATCTTAAATACACACAATATTTATTTGTCATTTATTCAGTAAAGCTGGAAAAAAGGGAGAGATCAAGATTTTTAAAATGGGTTCTACTAAAGTCCTTGGGTTTTCCACCTGTGAGTTAATCAGTCCTAATAAGAAAAACTTTCCCCAACTCTCCTTTAAGGGTTATCCCCACAAGAGCATACACTGCCTTGGGAGGTTAAGAGCTCACTGCATTCCTTCATCATTGTCAGATAAGCATCTAGCAAAGAGTCAAATTAAGTGCTGAAGGAACTTTTTACTATTCAACAGAGGGGGCCAGGCACAGTGCCTCGCGCCTGTAATTTCAGCACTTTGGGAGGCTGAGGCAGGCGTACTGCTTAAGCCCAGGATTTTGAGACCAGCCTGGGCAACATGGCAAAACCCCATCTCTACAAAAAATACAAAAATCAGCCAGGCATGGTGGTGTGTGCCTGTAGTCCCAGCTATTTGGGAGGCTAAGATGGGAGGACAGATGGAGCCTGCGAATTCGAGGATTCAGTGAGCTGTAATTGTGCCACTGCACTCTAACCTGGGCAACAGAAACTAACCTGTCTCAAAAAATAAATAAAAATAAAAATATTCAACAGAAGCATTACTGATAGACTGTATGTTGAACTAATTTTTTCTGGTGCAAATGGTATATTTCTATGGACTCCATAATAGCTGAAGACATGTTCACTCAAGCTACTGCTGCTACTACCTATGCCAACCCTCCCCTTAGAACATCTACTGCCAGAACCCTACCAACAGCAAGGGATTTACTAGTCTAGCTCCAAAGTCACCACGACTCGCAGCCAGGTGTATGTTGAAGACTATAGGAGTGAAAAGAGCAGAAGAGACTGTGTTCTTCAGGTGGGGCACAGATCTCACAGTGGAGGCTGTCAGGAGGTGGGGAAAGTTATTCCAGCAGGAATGGTAAACAGAAAGCTTCAAGCATCAAGGAAAAGAAGCTCTCAAAAATGGCCAGGACAGCCCACCACCAATAATGCATAAACACTGTAAGCCTCTAGACACCCTCCTGTGTGCACCCAAGGATGGGGACACTTTCAAGGTTCTCTGACTCCAGTTCCTAAACTCTGATTTGTGAAATGCCCCATCAACCACATTTGGCCTGCCGGCTTAGGAATAAGAAGCCATGTAGACCATTGATTCTCAATTCTGGCTGCATGTTAGTTACCTGCAGAATGCTTTGAAAATATTAATGCTCATGCCTTCAACTCAACCACATAGAAACTCTGGGTAGAAAACAGTATCAACAGAAGCATCTACCCATCATCAAGATTTAATGGATATTTTTCCATATTTATTTTGATTTCATTTTCTTTTTTTAAGAAACAAAATGTTATTGATTCAGCTAAAGCCCTACACTTAACCTATACAACAACACTTCTCCTTTCCCAGACCAAAGAACTCAAAGATGGAGAAAATCTGAGCTCTGCCTATACACAAACTCAGAGTGCTGCCATAGTGGCTGGAGCCCAGACCCTCTGACCCAAAGGCACATGGCTCACTGCACTGTCCCACACTGCCTGCAGGGCCTCAGATCTGGGAAAGGGTTTTTACTTTAAGCATTCTTAATTTTAAAAGTTATAAATGAAAAGGAATTTTGAGTAATCCCCAGTGCATTTTAATTGCTATCTGTATCATGTCTTGCAGACAATTTTCCCCTTGCCACCACATAGAACACATCTTCATTTTTATTACGTGTATCAGGGAAAATAGGGTTGAAGATGATTTAAGACTGACTCTGTAGGAGTGCATCTATGTCCTAAAGTTCCACACGGGCACACTCAGTCATCATGAATCTTCCTTAAGTCATTCTTCACAAAAGGAACATTCTTCTGAATGGAAAAACCACATGTAATTATTTCAGACAACAGATCACAATTCCAGCACCAACCCCGACACACATACATGCACACAAACAGTTTTCCAGAACATTGGTACAACCTAAATTTGTATTGCTCAACTGAAGAAAGCATTTTACAATACTGTTGATCTTAGTATCAAAGACCTGAAAATGAGTTAAGTGACCATCATGGTATTTTCCCCCAAGAAGCAACAGAAGACATAAAGTCAAATACTTTTACTTTTTTGAAGGGGTGAACAGGACAGGGAGCCCACAGAAAAAAGTCTCAGACATTTAAACAATTAAGTTCCACTAATATTACTGTAAACTTGAAACTGTAGGATTATACAAGATAGGAAACAGTTTCTTCTGTTACAGGAAAACTAAAAATTCTGAAGAGTAGCCTCATAAATGTATAGAGGACCTAAAAATACTGGTTAAAAAAGTCCTCAGCTGGCAAACGCGCATCTGTGTGCACACACACATATTCATTGCACGTTAATTTTTTTTTGTTTTTACAATATTCTTGTATTGTCACAAATAAGTATTTGGAGTGATAAAATCCCCACTCCATCCCCTGAAAAAGATTTCTGGCAGCATAGTTCTATCCTAGGAGAGTGACATATGTAAGTTCAAAATGATCCATTCTTTCCTTTAACATGTTAGTCTATATGCTGTCTTCTAATTCTTATGAATGCATCCAAAATAAGTATTTTCATATATACATAAGGGCTCATATAAGGTAGTAAGGTAGCAGAAATAGGGAGAGAAAAATTGATGTCATGTTTTCTTATGATAGCCTAAGAAAAAATTTAAAAATAAAAAAAAGAAGTGGTATAAACATTCTGGCTTACTGTTGGGAACTCTGTTTTAAAAAAAATTGCCATAATTTTGGAAATTCTTCTAATGACATCTTTGATTTCCATTTAATGTACACAGTGACACCTACTGGCATACTGATGAGGCAATGAAGACAAAATGTGAAAATTCATGCACAGGGAGAGGCCTCTGAAGTAGATACGTTTATATGTCTCCTGTGAAATGACACTTAAATATAATATTCTAAAACACTATATTGATTTAATACTAGAAAGAAGCAAGAGGAAAGCTCACATCTGCTTTTCAATTCTAAGTTACTGACACCGTGAGACTGACACACACACAAGGTTCAGAGGCTTGACTTCAGCGTTCAGTTCACATTTTCCAAAAGCCATAAGCATTTATGTTTGGTGGTTAGAGTTAAACCTCAGACCTTACTAAGATCAATGTTTGGCTGAAGGGAGTCACATAATGTGATAATTTTTAAAAATCACATAAACTAACAAGTAGTAGTTGGGAGGAGTTAGCTGCTTTATAAACAAGCTGTGGCCTATTATAAATAAGCTGTGGTCTATCACAGAAACAAGGCAAGACTTATAAGACTTTTTTTCCTGACCTAAGACTTTTTTTCCCGACAGTACATATGGTATTGTTGAATTTGGCCATGGAGAGAAATAAATTCAGGATGAAGCAGCTGCAAAAAATATGAGCAAGTGAGTAGAGCATCCATCAATCAACTGGTAACTATAGGTAATGTAACAATAGAAATAAAAGGGTCTGTGGCTTGACAGGACAGGAGGCTCCAGAGATGACAGGAATGGTGGCTGCCACCAAAGGCAACATGGTAGGACAGCATTCGCCAGCTGCAGCTAAGTCCAGCCAGACCAGAGAGAATGACATGAACATGTGCATGATAAATCCTGTCTGTTGGCAAAATTGAATTACCTTAAGAAGAGGATATGCAACTCACATGCCAAATCTGATCCACTACTGCTATGATTTCCAAGGTGGAGCCAACAGGAAAATATATGGGATCAATCATCAATGTCTGCCATAGGAATGGGGAAAGGGAATTACAACATGTGTGCCAAAGACCTGTGACCTCACCAACCTAAGATTAAAAACAAACAAACAAAACTCTGCTTCTATATGTTTGTTTGTTTGTTTGAGATGGAGCCTTGCTCTGTTGCCCAGGCTGGAGTGCAATGACTTGATCTCAGCTCACTGCAACCTCTGCCCCCCAGTTCAAGTGATTCTCCCACCTCAGCCTCTCGAGTAGCTGGGATCACAGGTGCATGCCACCACACCCAGATAATGTTTGTATTTTTAGTAGAGATGGGGTTTCACCATGTTGGCCAGGCTGGTCTTGAACTCCTGGCCTCAAGTGATTTGCCCACCTTGGCTGTCCAAAGTGCTGGGATTACAGGCATGAGCCACTGTGCCCGGCCTTGCTGCTATATTTCTGTATCATTTCTGTACTGCTGCATTTTTGTTTGTGTATTTAGTCTTTTCCTTTGTTTCCAAGTGAAATCTTTTGAAAACAGTCCTATTATGGCTCAAATAAGCAGAAATGGGGATTTTCTTAGGCTAGTTGAGGAACATGGTGAGGGTGGCAGGGACGACTGCTGACACAGGGCACGCTGGCCTGGAGAAGCAGCAGCTGCTGGCATGCGTGGACACACTTTGCAGACGTGTCCCCTGCGGGGGATGATAATTCATCACCCTCCAGCCCCCAGCCTAGGGGCCTCTCACACAACCCCATCCTTCCACCAGAAAAGAACACAGTGCCGATGTGCCTCTGCTTCCAATCACCAGGACCCAAGGTTGCCTACACCCTTGGTCCAAGATGTGGGATACAAAATGGTGTGGATTATCTCAGGGGGGCTGACTTCTAAATCTGAACAGCACTGAGCTTTCCACTGGTAAATTACTTTTTAACCCAGCTCTAATGTATTCCATTAGAGATGACATCATGTTAAAATAGAGACATGTTTTACCTAAAATTAATGAAAATGCATAAGTTAATCATGGAAAACCTAATGCTTACACCTATCCCCTAAGTTTATTTTTTCCTTTATACTTTTCCATCTTATAACTTTTCTATTATTAATACAAATATATATTAATTTTTTTAACCATGAATAGGCTGTGCAACCATGTATATTTTAAATGTGTAGGAGTGAACATTAAATATGAAGCTTTTTAAAAAGATTTACTGTTTTGGCTGAATAATACTAACAAGAAAAAGATTTCCCCAACCTATATTTTACCTTTAGAAAGTGCTCTGTTTAAAAAAAAAAAAAAAAGTACTGTTAAACTAAAATGAAGTGATTTACTGAAACTTAGCATTTGTAGCTCAATAAATTTATTAAGCATTTATTTACTGAGGAGTATTTAATTTAAAAGGTTTCTTTTTATTTTTACTTGGAAACTAGACTACAGCATAACAGTTACTTCCCATATATTTGTCTCACCCCACTTCTATGAGAATGTGCAGTCAACACTCAGAATTACTGGGAGCATCCAGATTATACTTACCTACTAGGTACTGCGCCACTTTTCTTCCTAGCCCTCTTCCTTCTAAAACCATCCCTTACCAGAAGCAGTAAGCACTTCAGGGGCAGAAAATATATCTTATTCTTCACCATATGACCTAGCAGTCCTAAGACAATGCCTTTTCTCTAGCAAATGCTCATTTAAAAAATTGGTAGAGAAAGCATTATTTATAAGAGAAAAACGCTGAAAAACAACCCCAATGCCTATCCAAAGGAGACTGACTGGATAAATGATGGTTCAGTCACACAAAGAAGTTCCATGGTGCCACTACCAATGAGGAGGATTCTTGTGAATTCATATGGAGTGATTTTTAGGATATACTGACCAAAAAAAATAATTGGGGAAAAAAAGATTATATATAATATGACATTATTTATGAAAGGAAAAAACAAGGGACATATATAACAAGAGATGGAGATATATTAGGGATAAAATAAGCGTGTGTGTATGTGTGTGCATGCACAAAAGAGAAACACAAGAAGTACAAACCAGAACCTAATAAAAATGATTACCTACAGACATGGGTGTAGAATGGAAGGGACCAAGACTTTTCCAAAAATATCTTTATATAGTTTTAAACCAAATAAATGTTCTATTTATTTATAAATTTACATTTAAATCAAGAGGTTTTGGAAAACCTCATAAAAAGAGCCTAACTGCATACTAAATTGATTACATAACAATACAGAACAAATAATTCAAGTTACTTTTTTTTTTTTTCGATTTGGAGTCTTGCTCTGTTGCACAGGCTGGAGTGCAATGGTATAATCTTGGCTCACAGCAACCGGGTTCAAGCGATTCTCCTGCCACAGCTTCCCAAGTAGCTGGGATTACAAAGCACCCATCACCAAGCCCAGCTAACTTTTTTGTATTTTTTAGTAGAGACAGGGTTTCAACATTTTTGGCCAGGCTGGTCTCGAACTCCTGAACTCAAGTGATCGCCCGCCTTGGCCTCGCAAAGTGCTGGGATTACAGGCGTGAGCCACTGCTCCTGGCTTCAAGTAACTTTTGAATGCAGAACTCTAACTGTACAAACCTAATGAAATATATTCTAAGACAAAATGTGCTGCATAAAAATCTTAAATTCTATTTAGTGAGTTTATTGTTAAAACAGTTTTGGGCTGAAATGCTAGAATTATTATGCATGAGGGAAAAAGAGATACAAAATGAAATGTCATAATTTAAAATATGTGTATATGCTCACACTTTACATATATAACTATGTGTATATATGTATATGTGTATGTATATATATACATATAAAATAAGCATATTTCTTAGTTGTATTTACTGAAAGAGTCTAAAAGCAATGATTAACCATAGCACACCTACCACGCAGATCTTGGTTTCTACATACCATTATCCAATAAAAGGAGGCAGGAGTCCTTGCAGAAATGTAGAATTGTGAAAGTACAAGGTGAACCTGCATATCTTATTGGACAAAACATAAGAAATGGTCATCAAAAAAAAAAATGGGGTCATGTCAAAAGGACACAAGAGCCGACTAGAAGGAGATCCCTTGTGACAAATTTGAAACAATTGGGCATTAAAAGAATGATGACAGTAATAGAAAACACTTTGAATTTTTTTTTTTTTTTAAGCCATGGGTCTATAGAAATACAAGAGAGTAAGGAGGAAAGAGAGAAGTTTCTCTTTGCAGAAGAATGCCAGCTAGTAAATTTAGAGGAAACGGGGCCGAGTGCAGCGGCTCATGCCTGTAATCCCAGCACTTTGGGAGGCCGAGGTGGGTGGATTACTTGAGGTCAGGAGTTCAAAACCAGCCTGGCAAACATGGTGAAACCCCATCTCTACTAAAAATACAAAAATTAGCTTGGCATGGTGGCACGTGCCTGTAATCCCAGCTACTAGGGAGACTGAGGCACAATAGCTTGAACCTGGGAGGCAGAGCTTGCAGTGAGCCGAGATCGAGCCACTGCATTCCAGCCTGGGTGACAGAGTGAGACTCCATCTCAGAAAAAAATAAAAATTAATTAATTAATTAATTAATAATAAAGGAAATGGGCTGGGCACGGTGGCTCACGCCTGTAATCCCAGCACTTTGGGAGGCCGAGGCAGACAGATCACTTGAGGCCAGGAGTTCAAGAGCAGCCTGGCCAACACGGTGAAACCCAGTCTTTTAAAAATACAAAAATTAACGGGGCATGGTGGTGGGCGCCTGTAGTCCCAGCTACTCGGGAGGCTAAGGAACAAGAATTGCTTGAACTTGGGAGGCAGAAGTTGCAGTAAGCCAGGATCACGCCACTGCACTCCAAAGCGAGACTCTGTCTCAATAAAAAAAAGTAAATAAATAAAATAAAAAATAAATAAATTTATTTAAAGGAAATGACAGGTAGAAAATGCAGCATTTTGCAACTATCAATGTAATACCTTATTCAGGCAAAGATCATTACTCTAGTTAACCACTGGGTCAAAAGGGTAAAATGTAATTTGGGAGTGAAAGTAAGATAACAACTAACTTTCTGAGGCTTCAACTAAAAAATATAAATAAAATGTGTGCACAGTGCATGTGTGTGTGTTATGTGTGTGGGTGTGGGTGTGTGTAGAGAAAGAGAGAGACTAAGGGAGAGAAAAAGAATATAAAACAAACAGCAAAAGGTTAACTGGTGAATCTGAATGAATATAAGATGTCCTTATACTGTGCTTTCAATATTCCTTTAGGTTTAAATTTTAATTTCTCAAAATTAATCATTGGTGGAAAAAACAAAAGAAATAAGTCTGCTGCATGGACTTCCCCATTTGTGAAGGTCCTCACGATGTTATAAATTCATGCCTTTGACCCTACACTCCCATATTCTTACCCTTACCATTCCTATTTCAATGAGAGAAGCAAACTTTTGGTCACTCAACAGTCTCCAACTTACACACATTTTATTCTCACATGTTTGCTCACAAGTCAATAACTAACATTCACAACACATTTCTTCACAGAAACATTAATTTTCCTGGCCAGCCCAAAAAGTCTATTCAAAGAATAATACAGCCGAACATAACAAGGGTTTGAAAAAGGTAAGTCTCTACATAAGTAAATCAGACCAGAGTCAATGTAATTTTTAATAAATCTGGAAGATCCAGTAATACTTCTCCAGAATCATGAGAGGCCTTCTTTGGGAGTATGTATTACTGCTTAAAGAGCAGGAAGTGTGGAAAGAAACAACTGAAAACTATGTGAGGTAATATGTAAGACTTATAATACTTATAAAAAATTGCAATTTACTTTAAAAAATGAATACATCATCACTGAAAAAAATTCAATAAAAGAAAATAAAACTCCCCCATTTTACCTCAATAAAACAGCATTTTCCCTAGATAACCATGATTACTTCAAGTGTATGTGCCAATAAAAATAAAACTGATATGGCATTTTTCCCACAAATAGTCTCATACTGTACATATCATTTGGTAACTTGCTTTTTTAATTTAACACTTAGCTTTAAAGAATTCTTAAAATTACCTGCCAATCGGTATTTTTAAAATAGAATACATTGATATTAGAATAAATAGGCACTTTAAAGTCAACATTCCTAAACCATTTCAACCAGAAAAATAAACTACTTAGGAAAAAAAACAAAAAACAAAAAAACACTAGGTAAAGTTTTCTACAGTCAAAAATACCTGATATGTAAGTCTTCCATTTGAAAAAGCAATTTCCAGAACAATAACTTCATATGATTCCATTTTTGTCTGGAAGGCTCTATGCCAAACTATTACCACCTGAGAGGTAAGACAGAAAAGAGGCTTTGGGTTTTCACTTCATACTCTTATATACTATTTAAATTTTACTTTAAAATCCTTGCAGAAAAATCTTGAAGGGATAAAAATTTTAATTAACAATTCCTGTTTCTGAAAAGGTACAAAAAAGGATTACAGTTAACGTTATTGCTCAACTACAGCTCATTTCCTGAAAGATATATTGGGTACTTCATTGTCAAGATAGGGCTATAAATTCATGCTTTAAAAGTTCCCTCTAGGCCGGGTGCGGTGGCTCATACTTGTACTTCCAGCCCTTTGGGAGGCTGAGACGGGCAGATCACTTGAGGTCAGAAGTTCGAGACCAGCCTGGCCAACAGGGTGAAACACTGTCTCTACTAAAAATACAAAAAATTAGACGGGTGTGGTGGCGGGCGCCTGTAATTCCAGCTACTTGGGAGTCAAAGGTGGAAGAATCGCTTGAACCTAGGAGGCGGAGGTTGTAGTGAGCTGAGATAGCACCACTGCATTCCAGCCTGGGCCACAGAGTGAGATTCCGTGTCAAAAAAAAAAAAAAAATCCCCTCTAAATGGAAATCTTTTCCTTACAGAGAAGGAATGATGGAGGTAGATAATCATCATTTTGCCAACAAGAGAGTAAAAACTTAGGCAAAAAACAATTAATGTCTGCTGAACCAGGACAGAAACATTTGATGAGGAACAGAATCCTTATATAATCTCAAAATGTCTTCCCAAGTGTTAGTTAATAATTATAAAAGGAAAAAAAACCATCATAGACAACAGAGAAAACATCAAAACCTAACCAGTGGTCAAAATTAGCATTATTAGTCGGGGGCAGACAGATACCATGTGCCTCTGAATGTGATACCCCAAGAAGGTTTTCCAGCCCCAAATGCGTCACCTAAATCTACCTACTATAAGGAACCATCAGACGAAGCCAAATTGAAGGACAGTCTATGGCCTGTCTCAACTGGCCTGTCTCTTTACAAAAATGACAATGCCATAGAGGACAAAGAAGGGCTGAGAGGCAGTTCCAGATTGAAGGAGACTAAAAAGACATGGCAAGTAAATATAATGTACTATTTGGATCTTGTACCAGCAAAAAAAAAAAAAATACTAACAAGGACATTATTGGGACAACTGACAAATTTGTAATACAGACTACAAAATACTGTTTCAATATTAAACTTCCTGATTTGACAATTTTACCGTGATTATGTTAAGAGATTTTTTGTCCTTAGGAATAATGAAAAAATGAAGGGAGAAGAGGTATAATGTATATATATACACATATATATATATACACATACATATATATATACATATATATACACATACATATACATATATATACACATATATATATACACATATATATACATATGTATGTGTATATATATATATGTGTATATATATATGTGTGTATATATATATACACATACACGGATTGAGTATCCCTTATCCGAAATGCCTGAGACAAAAAGGGTTTTAGTCTTTTTCCATTTTGGAATATCTGCATTATATGTATTGGTTGAGTATCCCTAATCTGAAAATCTGAAATCTGAAATGTTTCAATGAGCGTTTCCTTTGAGCCTCATGTTGGTACACAAAAAAGTTTTGAATTTTGGAGCACTTCAGATTTCAGATTTTCGAATGAGGGGTACTCAGCCTGTATACATCTATACAGATAGATAGATGAGTGTATATAGATATAGATATAGATACCTATAAAAAACAGAGAAGGGCAGGGGGAAATAATAAAGCAAAAGTGGAAAGATGTTAAAAATTGAGGAATGCTGAGAATTCTTTGTATTAGTTTTGCAACTTTCTGGTACACTTAAAATTATTTCAAAATAAAGTTATTTAAAAAGTTGTCCTGGCCAGGCACGGTAGCTCAATGCGTGTTATCCAGAACTTTGGGAGGCCAAGGCGGGCAGATCAATTGAGATCAGGAGTTCGAGACTAGCTGGGCCAACATGGCAAAACCCCATCTCTACCAAAAATACAAAAATTAGCCAGGCATGGTGATGCACGCCTGTAAATCCCAGCTACTCATGAGGCTGAGGCAGGAGAATTGCTTGAACCTGGGAGGCAGAGGCTGCAGTGAGCTGAGATCACGCCACTGCACTCCATTCTTGGCGACAGAGTGAGATTCTGTCTCAAAAAAACACAAAGTTATCCCATTACATCTATAACTTACAGAATTCCAAGACCAGAAGCAGGCAGAGGGGGCTGATAGTTCATTTCCTGTGGTGTAATGGGAATCAAAAGTCCATTTCTAGGGAATAGTGTTAGGGGAGCCAGGATCACCCACTGCTTGAAATGGGGATTCTTATGGCCACTTAGAGTTGTGGCTTAAATAAAGCTGCATATCGGAGGCAGCAGAAAGTAAGTAGCTGATGGAGCCAAGAAACCAGATATTGAGCAAAAATCCTGTTGGGTCATTCTGGATCTGCAATATTCTGAATATATTTGTCAGAATTTATGAAGTGCTTATTATGATCCAGATACTCTTCTGAGCAATAACTTATTGAAATCATCAAAATAACAGTTTTAGATACTATCATTATCCTCATTTGATAGGTGAGGAACTGAGGCACAGAAATGTTAAATAATATGCCCAAGACAACACACAAGTAACCAATAGCGCCAAGACTTGAACTCAGGCTGTCAGGTTTCAGAGCCTTCACTCTTAACTGTGCTATACTCTCTCCCTCCCTAACGGATAGGAACCTGGCCTGAACTAGGGACCAGGAGGATGCAACAAAACAGTGTGGAGGGAAGGTAGACTCACATTCCAAGTAAGCCTGCAGATTAAAATTATAAACCATAGAAGAACAGTCAACAAATAATCAAAAAAATGCAAATAATAGAACTGAAAAATGTAAAGAACACTTAATCTGCTCAAAAGGATAAGGAAAGGAAAAACACCCATTAGAATAGGATAAATCAAAAGCAAGTCAAATGAAACATATATAGGTAGACATGAAAAGAAACCAAATAAAAATCCTATATATTTATACAATATAGGCCGAGTGCGGTGGCTCACGCCTGTAATCCCAGCACTTTGGGAGGCTGAGGCCAGTGGATCACCTGAGGTCAGGAATTCGGACCAGCCTGACCAACATGGTGAAAACTCATCTTTACTGAAAATATAAAAATTAACTGGGCATGGTAACAGGTGCTTGTAATCCCAGATACTCCAGAGGCTGAAGCAGGAGAATCACTTGAATCCGGGAGGCAGAGGTTGCAGTGAGCCAAGATCACGCCATTGCACTCCAGCCTGGGCAACAAGAGCGAAACTCCATCTCAAAGAAAAAATACAGTGACTGAAATCAAGAACTCTGGTTCAGTTAAACAACCAATTAGACAAAGCTGAAGAGAAAACTGGTGAAGTGGAAGAGGAATCTTATAAAATTACCCAGAACATAGCAAGAGAGATAAGGGCATAAAAAATATGAAATCGAGTAATGAAAAGGCATAAAGGCTAGATTGAGAAGACTCTACATACATCTAAAAGTAGTTCTAAGAGCTGACAATTTCCCAGAATTCAATAAAGACCCGAGTCCTCAGATTTAAAAAGCACAGAGAATGGTGAAAAGGCTAAATAAAAATAGACTCTCTCCTGAATATACTGCTGCTGAAAATGCAGAACAGTAAAGATAGAGAAAAGTCTTTAAACTATTAGAGAGAAAATCAGATTACTCACAGATAAACGACAATTAGGCTGACAGCAGACTTCTTACCAGCAACAACAGATGCCAAAAATAATCAAGTAATATATTCAAAGTGTTGATAAAAGATGACTGTCAACTCAGACTTGTGAATGGAGCTAAACTCTCCACCCAGAGTATAGGTACAGTTAGGATAACTGTCTAACTTACTGACTTATCTACTTATTTTTATTTATTTTATTAATGATTATCACCCAGAGATCCTTGTTTCAATTAATAAACTATACTTTAGCAAATAAAATGTAAGCCCAGAGGGAAACAATGGGATGCAGGAAAAAACAGTAAGTACGGATATGAATAAATTATTTGTTAAAATAACTTTTTTTAAATTAAAAAAGCTGAACAAAAATTCTAGACATCCCCTATAAAAACAAAAGTGGGATGAGGGAGAACAGTAACTAAGGTGTGCTAAGGTTCTTGCCTTACTCAGGAGAAATATAAAAATAATGAATAATTTTTTTTTTTTTGAGTCAGAGTCTCGCTCTGTTGGCCAGGCTGGAGTGCAATGGCGTGATCTTGGCTCACTGCAACCTCCGCCTCCCGGGTTCAAGCAATTCTCCTGCCTCAGCCTCCTGAGTAGCTGGGATTACAGGCGCCTGCCACCACGCCTGGCTAATTTTTGTATTTTTAGTAGAGATGGGGTTTCACCATATTGGCCAGGCTGGTCTCTTGGCCAGGCTGGTCTCGAACTCCTGACCTCGTGATTCCCTGACCTAGGCCTCCCAAAGTGCTGGGATTACAGGCATGAGCCACTGCGCCCGGCCCGAATAATTTTAAATGTTATTAGAAACATATACAACAAATAATAAAAGTTACAATTTTTGTATTAAATATTCAAAAATGTATCGCTTCCAGAGTGGCTGGCAAGATACATGGAAAAGACAGATAAAGAACTATCCACCTAATAGAAGAGAGGAGAGAGAGAGACAGGAATTAAGTTTGATAAACAGAAAACACAAATTAAGATGACAGAAATGTACCAGTAATCAAATAGACAACTTTATTAAAATTCACATTCTCTTCTATAAAGTATTCCATAGGTATTTGCAAAGCAATTACTAAAAATGAATGTTTTCCCACTGTCAAGAATCAATTGTATGTCTTTAGTCTTCCACCTTAATTCATGTCTGAAGTGTCATCACGAAGCTGTAGCATCTCCTTGCACTCCCCCTCACCTACCACTAAACTCCTGGCACTTTGGAGTACAACCACTTGCTCTGAACCCTGTCCCTGTCCTCTAGCACAGGGGCCCTCAACCCCTGGGCCGCGGGGAAACGGTCTGTGGCCTGTTAGGAACCAGCCACACAGCAGGTCGGATCAGCGGGGGCATTAGATTCTCATAGGAGCATGAACCCTACTGTGAACTGTGCATGCAAGGGATCTAGGGTGCACACTCCTTATGAGAATCTAACTAATGCCTGATGATCTGAGGTGGAACAGTTTCATCTCATCCCCCCTCCCCCGACCACCTGTCCATGGTTGGGGACCACTGCACTAGCACACACTATACTTGGTTTTATTTCAGTACCTTTGCTCTTATTTTTCCCAAGCCCAGAATCCTCCAAACCTCCATCCTTATTCCAAATCCACTGATTCTTTAACCTTAACTGGCTGCTCATCTGGGAAAGTCAGGGCCCAAAGGAAAGGAGGAGCTGCTTGGTCCAGAGTTAAGCTGGCAGACTGAGAATAGGCTGTAGGCCTTTCCACCCCAAATTCCTTAGAAATGACCCCAAATTCCTTAGAGATATAAGAATGGGTGCTTTCAGTACACCAAAAACTGTCACAGATAGTAAGGCATTAGAAGGGGGGAAAGGAGGAAGCCACCATTCTCAAAGCATGTACAAAAGAAGATGATACAAAAGTGAGGAGGGGCTGCCAGGGATTCCAAACCCAGAGATGGAAGACCGTGGAACACAGGAGGGGCCTGGGGCATTGAACAGTGTGCTCCCCTACCCCCACCTCACCCTACCTCATTGGCTAGGCTGTGGGCAACAGGTTTCTGCTCTAGAGGGAACACAGAGAATGAGCTTGGGGAGGAGAGGCAGGGAGGCAAGCAGGAAGGAAGCAACATCCAAGAAAAATGGGAAGCCCCCAATACAGAGGACTGGCTTTGGACACACCCCCACCCCACCTACACACCCAGCCTCCTTTCTTCCTTCCATTCTCACAGAGGCAGGAAGCTTCCCTAACCCCATTCAAGGCCAGCCCTCTGACTCTGCTTTTAAAATAACAAGATTTGACTTGTTTACTTCTAAACTGTTTATACCACTCTCATTTCAACATGTTCTTTTCCATAATAGCGTGCTTCTGAAATGGCCAACGGGTCCCTAAGAATACACGTGCCAATTTGGTACAATGGTCCTAAGCAGAAATGTTCGTACAAATGCATTTTGTTTTCCACAATGGAGGCATTTTTCTGACCAGCTGTGCATAAATCTTGAGCTCTCCATTCAGAGACTACATACCTTCTGCTAGAACAGGGGCTTCTCAACAGAGAGAAGCTGAGACGCTCTCCACTCTCGGCAACCACAGAGCACCCCCACTCCTCGACACCTATTATTTCACCCCACACATCTGCTCGTCTGTCAGAACCTTTCTCCTAATCCCTACCTGACACACCTTACAGTCTCTATTGCTTATTCTCTATTATTAAAGTTTAAGGTGAGTCAACTGCAGTTGGAACTGTAATTATAGAGTACAGATTTTATTGAGAGAAATACATTTTTTTTTATGTGATAAAGAAACAGGCTGGGTGTGCTGGCTCATACCTGTAATCCCAGCACTTTGTGAGGCCGAGGTGGGTGGATCACTTGAGACCAGGAGTTCAAGAGCCTCCAGCCTGGCCAGCATGGTGAAACCCCACCTTTACTAAAAATACAAAAATTAGCCAGAGGTGGTGGCGCATTCCACCCAACTATTCGGGAGTCTGAGGCAAGAGAATCGCTTGAACCAGGGAGGCGGAGGTTGCAGTGAGCCAAGATTGCACCACTGCACTCTAGCCTAGGCAACAGCGAGACTCTGTCTGAAAAAAAAAAAAAAAAAAAAGAAAAAGAAACAATTGAGGGTAATTATTCAAGGCAGCAATAAGTAGAGGAAAAAAATCCAGAATTCAAATCAGACTAACTGATTCCTACAGGAACCAAAGGAAAAGTTAGAAAATGTGTTTCATATCTGAGACTTCCAAATTCTAACTTTGTGAGTAAAACTGGATATTTATATATTCAATTGAATAAATCAAATAGTGTTTGCTAAATCTGTTTCTTCCGAAGAACCAATGGAATTATCACAGAAAATAGTCACCAATCCACTCAAGCAAAGTTCTAATTTAACAGTCAATGATGTGGCGAGGAGTACTGGCTCATGCCTGTAATCCCAACACTTTGAGAGACTAAGGTGAGAGGATTGCTTGAGCCCAGGAGTTCAATACCAGCTGGGCAATAGATTGAGAACCCATCTCCACCAAAAATTTTAAAAAATTAGCCAGGTGTGGTGGCGCATGCGTGCCTGCAGTCCCAGCTATTCCGGAGGGTAAGGTGGGAGGATCTCTTGAGCCCAGGAGTTCAAGCTTGCAGTGAGCTATAATTTTGTGCCACTGCACTCCAGCCTGGGTGACAGATCAAGATACTGTCTCGAAAAACAAAAAAAAAGAATAAATAATGTGACAACCCTGAGTAATACATTTCTGACAGTTTTAGAAGCTTACTGGCTCCAAGATAGTAACATTAACACCTTAAGGTAATGCAGACATTAATAGAAGTTCATAGAGTTATGGCAAAAGCTAACCATCACTAAAGCAACCAACGAAAGAAGTTTAAAATTTGAAAAGAAAAGAATGTAATGGTAATAGTATCTAGGAAGATATGCCATTTGTTCATTTCTGTTCAATAAATTTAACTATAATCATATATTAATAAATACAGAAAATGCTATTAATAATTGTATAAACAAAGAAGAAAGCCCTTAAATATGCAGAAATATAACTCATAGGGGACAATTTTGGCTTTAGTAGAAGTGCCATTAGGAGCAGTGATGTGGAGTGATTCTCAACCTTTCTTGGAGTCACAGATCTGAAAATCTGAAGGCCTCTGTGGAAACATGCACACACATACTATAAGATTCTGCGTGTAATTTCAAGATTAGAAACCCGTGTTAAAGAACAGTTATCTCCTTCTAAACCACTGACAATAGCTAGTTAAATGATTCTGAACAAATCTCCCTAGCCACGCTGATTCATCCACTGGCTCACTGCAGTACCTTGCTCTGTTTCTACTTTTGCTTTCTCTGTGGCTCTTTCCCTTGATCTGCTCCACCCATTCCTCCACTCAAGCCATTCTGTCTCCCTGCCCAGCTTTCTCCAATTCCTCTCCTACTCCCATTTTTCCCTATATATGCTCCCACCCCCATGTCCTTAACTGGTCTGATATGAAAATAAATCATATAC
The DNA here is from genome assembly GCF_000001405.40 of Homo sapiens. NCBI lineage: Eukaryota > Metazoa > Chordata > Mammalia > Primates > Hominidae > Homo > Homo sapiens. Next base: position 122,882,855 of record NC_000005.10, on the reverse strand, counting down.
TTGGGTGACCTAATTAACTAAATTTTTATGTTATTATTCATAATTTAAAAGCCAGTGAGCTGAAAAATTGACATTTACAGACAGAGATTGAGAGATTAATTGTAAGATTAAAAAAAGGAAAGGAGGAAAAAACAGTGTTTTTCAAGGGAAAAAATTATTTTATATCTGGCCCTTAATTTTTATCTCTATATTTTTTCCCATAGGTCCATACTAGGAAAAAATGACTGTGTCCCCACCTGTGACAATCAGGATGTTTCAAGACACAGAGAGCCCCAAGCATTCACAGTGGGTCCAGAACACAGAACAAAGAGATGAGGGCAGGAGCTCTGTGCTGTGCCAAGGCCGGAAGGCCTAGAGGGCTCTCTATCCAGAATCTGGCTGACACTGAGATGCGACCAAGTCCAATCTCCAAGAGTTAGGGGGTGGTACATTTTACACAACTCTCCAAGTAGCCAGCACTGTCTATGGCTCTACCATATACTCTAAATCACAACAGAAAGACGCTGTAGGAAAAAAGGCTAACAAGGTATGTGGGAAGGAGTAGAGGCATCCTAATGCTAAATTCAGCCACAGTTGGCTAAAGTTCATCTATAAAATTCAAAATTCAGTGTGTGTGGTGGCTCATGCCTATAATACCAGCATTTTGGGAGGCTGGGGTGGGAGAATCTCTTGAGGCAAGGAGTCGGAGACCAGCCTGGGCAACAGAGTCAGACTCTGTCTCTATAAAAAACTTAAAAATTAGTTGGGCATGGTGGCAAGCACCTATATTCCTAGCTACTCCAGAGGTCAAGGTGAGAGGATCACTTGAGCCCAGGAGTTTGTCACATTGCTGCAGTCCAGCCTGAGTGACAGAGTGGGACCTTGTCTCAAAAAAAAAAAAAAAATCCAACAAACAAAATTCATAATCCTTGTACCACAGAAATTATCTGCAGGTGAATTGTTTCACAATTAGACAAATGTTAATGCTTTTAAGGCAAAGTCCATGGAACCAACACTATATGACATCTTTAATTTACTATATGTTTTTTCTATGTCAGGTTCTATGTATACAGATAGAAGTATAGATAAAGATACTTATATTTATCATAATTTTATATATACATATTTATTTAATATATATGTATACCTAATTATATAATTTTATGTATATATAATTTTATTCAATCCTCACAATAACCATATGATGTAATTATAATCCCTACTCAGTAGATGAGGAATCTGAAGCTTAGCAGAATTGATCAAACTGCCCAGAGTCAAGCACGCTAAGTCAGAAAGACAGAATATCAACACAGATCTCTCTGACTCTAAAGCCTGTGCTCTAAGCCTGAGATCCTGAGCTTCTCAAACTTAAATGTGCGTATGAATCCCCTGGTCCGATTTTGCAGGTCTGGGATAGGGCCTGACAATCTGCATTTCTAACACACTCTCACCAATGCTGCTGATCCATACCACATTTTGAACAGTAAGGGACCAAATAAACCATTATATTAGACTAACTTCATTCATACAGCTGTCACTTCTGAAAGTTGAGTAAGTATACTGTCAGTAATATATCTCTAAAAAGGCAACTATTTTAAAGATAAAATGAACAACATATTTCCATATATTAAACTGTGAAATGTTTTTTAAAAAAAATCATAAAACATAACTCCATATATCCTATAACAAATTTTTAATGAAATTAAATGATTCTCCAATTTTTCTGCACACACTCCTGCTGTCTTTGGCCAGAAGAGTCTCTCCTGTGTCCCATGTCCAAACCAGCTGCATCCTGAGTTTCTACAAGGAAACCATCAGAATCTATTAAAATTACTGCACACTGATAGCAGCAGGGACATGACAAATCGCAGGCCAAGAGTCAGATACCACAGAATGTGTTTCAGGGCTTTGGGGGCAGGCCCATTTGCAACCAAATGATATTGTGTGAGGCTGGCATGCTCAGTGCATGACAAACGGATGCAATTTCGGTGCTGTCTGTGGGCCAGGGGAGATTTCTCTGATGCTGGTTGTGGTTAGTTTACAGAATTGTGCAGAGTTCCCAGATTTGAATCACCTGGGGCTTGAAAGGGCTTCACTTGACAAGCTACAAATAATTACACCCTACTCCTTCTATTGTACTCTATTATTTTGCCCCCTTTATCTCTAGGATTTGAGCTTTTGTGAACAAGCAAGGTCGGCTTCTATTTTGACCACAACACAAAACATTGTTCTTTTCTGATATGATAAATAAAATGAAGCCTTGCAGACTAAACATTTTTATCAGGTCCATTTTCCACTTTTATAGGCAACAATCAACTTTGCACTCAGTTAGAAGGGTTGAGCTGGACATAAGCAGGCAGGCAGGTTCATGCATCCTCACTTAGTGATGTGATCCAGCTATCTGGTTATTGTAAAAGCTCATTTGAAAAATGGGGCATTGACTAACAGATAAAGGGCATGTGGGCAGTAGCTTTTACAAGGTTTCTGCTTCCTTGGCCTCCTCTCCTCCACCCTCAGCCCCATTCTAACCACCTCTTCATTCGGATAATCTTAATGAAAAAGTTTTTCAAATGTGGGATGCAATTAGACAAAGCTGCCTTATGTCACTGGCACACGTCTCCGAAACACCAGTATCTCAGATTCAATTTGGCTATTCCATTTATGAAATATTTTAAAGAGTATATCTCCCATTCTAAGGCAGCTCCTAAGGATAATATATTGATCACTGCTTCACATATTTTAATTTGGTAAATGTGAAACTTTATGTGTGGTATTTCTTCAAAGTAAACAGAAGGTTGGAGGAAGCAGTTTTCTGCTTAAACTCAGACTTCAACATTCCATAAACGAGTCCTGGTCCTTAAACATTTTTTTGAAAAAATCTACAATGGTAATTAACACTGACTCAAAGTACCCTAAACATTTTCTTTTAAAATTTAACTTACTTGTTAAGCCTTAACTGTGGGTCAAGTATTGTTCTAAGTCATCTACATTCAGTTTTTGCAACAACCCTATAACATAGCTATAAAATGTCATTTAATTAAAATTTGTTATTACTGGCTGAGCTTGGTGGCTTCATGCCTGTAATCTCAGCACTTTGGGAGGCCAAGGCAGGACGATCACTTGAGCCCAGGAGTTTAAGACCAGCCTGGACAACATAGTGAGACCCTGTCTCTATTAAATACATACATACATACATACATACAAAAATTGATTAAATTTGTTATTACATCCTCATTTCAGAGATAAGGAAACTGAGGCACAGAGAGGTTAAGTAACTCACTCAATGTCTCACAGCTTGTAAGTGGTAGAGAGGGAAACTGAGTCTGAAGAGTTTGATTCAGGCCCCTTCAATACTGCCTCTTAATTCCACAGTTCCATTTACTTAAGGACAGGGCAACCACAAGAACAATATTCCTCAACTGAGCTGAAACCAAGAGCCTGGAGAGAACTCATGTTGACAGTGTAGACAAAAAATAGTGAGACTGTATTCTCGACAGGGGCTAAAGTTTGCGATTTCAGCTCCTGAAACAGGATACCTTTATTCTTGCCTCACTACATGTTTTGCTGAAAGTTGGACCCCTTCCTATTCTCTAAATCTGCCTTGTCCAACATAGCATAGCACTCGCCACATGCTGCTGTCAAGCATTTGAAACATGGCTGGTCCAAATGGAGATACCCTGTAAGTATAAAAACACCAAGTTTCAAAAAATTACTACAAAAATAACAAGTGGTCTCATTAATAATGTTTACACAGATTACATGTTAGAATAATACTTTGGATTTATTGCATTAAATCAAATATATTATTACAATTCATTTCACTTTTTTAATAGGGCCACTAAAAATTTTTAAATCTCTTTGTAGCTCACATTTGTGGCTTGCATTATATTTCTTTTTTTTAATTTTTAATTTTTTTTTTTTTTGAGACAGAGTCTTGCTCTGTCTGGATCACAGTTCATTGCAGCCTTGACCTCCTGGGCTCAAACGATCTTCCTTCCTCAGCCTCTTGAGTAGTGGGGATTACAGCTGTGTACCACCACACTCGGCTAATTTTTTATTCTTATTTTGTAGAGATGGGGTCTTGCTTATGTTGCCCAGGCTGGTCTCAAACTGCTGGCCTCAAGTAATCCTCCCACCTTGGTTTCCAAAGCATTTGGGATTACAGGCGTAAGCCACCACAAACGGTGAGCATTATATTTCTACGGGACTGCTCTAAATTCATCCCTTGATGTTTTTCCTGACAGGGAAAACAACTCCAAGAACAGCAGTTCACCTCCTGGGAAGCTTCATTCCCACCTCCACTTCCACTCTTCTCCCTTCAAAACTCTCAGATTTTTATGCTATTGACTCCATTCCTTGACCTTGAAGTACTCACTGTCTTTGGTCTGATTTACAAAAAGCCTTGACCTGACCCTGCTTTTCCTTCTTGCTCTTATGACTTCTCTCCCTCTTTTCATAGTCAAAGCATCTGGCAGGGTCCTCACTCTCTCCCAGCTTTCTTAATCCGCTGTAATCTGACTTCCATTTCCCACTGGCCCCTTCTCCACCTCATTCTCCTGACCTCTCTGCCCTCTCTAGAACCGCCACTGGGTCTCCAGAACCACACAACAGGCCTCCATTGAGCTGAGCACCAACCAGACACTTGGAAGGGAGGAAAGAATCTTACCACTTCTGTGAACAAAACAAGGAAGTGGCACCAACCTTCCCACTCCATTTTCCCACCCCGGGTCCCAAAAAGGAGGTTCTCTCATTATCTAGGAATAATTTCACTCAAGGCAGATGTGGCTCACTGCAGCTGTACTGGACCCTCCCAGGTCAGCCATCATTCCCTTGTGTGGATTCCTCAACAACTTGCTCCCTCAACACCTTGCCAGTCCAGGAAAAGCCAGATTCAGGTTGAGTCTCAAGCATCATCTGAACAGAGTGGACATCCGGCATGTGTAGTGGCCATCTTTCAAAGCATGGCCTGAGGGCTCCTGTCCATAGGAGCAGGACCACCAAGAGAGGAGTCCAGTGAGGAATCATCATTCATTGGCCTATTGGCTTGAAGACTCCACCAATGGAGAAAGGAGCAAACTCAGGCAGAATCAAAACTCTCACCATTGGCTACCAGAAGGAAGTGAAACTAGAACTAGCTTGGAAAGAAAAAACACAAGTTAACCAACTTCGGGTAGGGGATGGGATAGGCTTCCTGTAGGCAGAAGATCATGAGACACAGAGCATGGGCACCCCGGTCCTCCTGAAGCTGGGGAGTGGGTGGGTTGGTTCAGAGGTGCTGAGTAGAGAGTGAGGCAGAGATGAGAGAGAGGATACTAAATTTTATTTTTTATTTATCTTTTTATTTCAGCTACCAACTACAGTTTTCTAAAGCCCAGATATTCTTTTCAGAATCTCTCATGTCCATCCCATGCCACTGTCCCAGTCCACACCTTCATCCTGGACCACAGCCATAGTCCCATACCTGATTTCAATTAACCTCTTTGGAAACATTCTGCATACCAAGGTAAGTTCAATCAGCCTGGTTTCCTCATTTTCATATCACTTTGCTGTTCAGAAACTTCTGTACAGCCTTGTTTTCTTCACACAGTTATTGAGTTTCAGAGTTTCTGGCCCTATCCCCACCTAATGCAGATCGGAGAAATACCCTTGGCAGCCCCACTGACACTGCTTGAGTAATGTCAGTGACAGGGCATTCTCTCATCTCCACCCCTCCCCTGAAAGCAACTCATACATTCTCCCTACCAGAATGTGCCCTCCTCTCCCCAGTGCCCATCAAAAGTCTAAGGGTTAACTTTGACAGCTTCAACAATGGCAGATGCCCACCCTCCAGGAGGACAAAGAACAAAGGTAGTCCTCCTCAGGGACCTCCTCAATGTGGCTCTGCCCCATGTATCCAAAATATTTCCACTCTCTAACCACCACTGACCTCCTGCACACAGGACACTGCTCCCTTTCTATCGTCCATGATATAATGTTCATTTTATCTTTCTAACTTTACTGAGGGTGCGTTCCTTGACAAAGCCCTGTCCTTTCCACACACTTATTTAAATCCTACCTAGTCTTCAAAATGCAGCTTAAGCACCATCTCTTGCAGGAGGTCTTCCGGGTACTGCACTCCACTCCTCATTGATCTCATTTTCAAAATCTCCATTCAAAACAAGCTATTACCATAGGGCATTCATTATAGATCAACAAGTATTGTGTGATTTTGTGCAGAGCTAAACTAAAAACTCCTTGAGGTATAGAATCATACTTGATAGTTGTCAATGGCCTGTAGTAAGCACAAAGCAGACACTCAAAACACTTCACTTACTGGGTTATATTAATTATGCTACTTTATAACATAAACATAAACGCTTTGCTTCAATGTTGAAACTTTGTTGAGAGTAAGATCACAAGAGGTTAAATGGCACTTTTTAATATCTCCAGCTATTTTTAATGAAACTATTCCTTAAAATGAACTATCTTACAGCATTACCAATATATTAATTAAGCAATTAATCAGTTCAAAATATGATGCCTTCAAAAACTAATATTTTTCATTTTTATACGCTGACATTAATGGCCAATGAAAATGAATACATCTCTAGGCAAAGGCTGCTTTTAAAAACCCTTCCAAATCTAAAAAATTGTAAAATATATACACTTTCAAAATGTCAGTACTGTGGCCAGCTCAAAAACCTACTGCCTACCCATATTCATCTAAGAAAATCACTTGAAGAAAAGCAATGGGGCCAGGCGCTGTGACTCATGCCTGTAATCCTAGCACTTTGGGAGGCCAAGGCAGGTGGATCACTTGAGGTCAGGAGTTTGAGACCAGCCTGGCCAACATGGCAAAACCCCGTCTCTACTAAAAATACAAAAATTAGCCAGACGTGGTGGCGGACACCTGTAATCCCAGCTGTAGCTACAGTTGCTGGAATTATAGGCGCCCGCCACCATGCAGGGCTAATAAGGCCACTTGGGCGGCTGAGGCAAGAGAATCGCTTGAACCTGAGAGCAGAGGTTGCAGTGAGCCAAGACTGCACCATTGCACTCCAGCCTGGGCGCTAAGAGCAAGACTGTGTCTCAAAAAAATAAATAAATAAGTGTTCCTCATGTTTTGCTTGCCATAAAGAGGACTACCATTCTCCTCCTGCTTTTCAGACCTAGGATGGTAACAACTATTTGTTAGTATTAGGTTGGTACAAAAGTAATTGTGGTTTCTGCCACTGAAAGTAATGGCTTTACTTTTGCACCAACTTGATACGTGCCTTGCACTGTGCTAGGAACTTTTCATTTATTATCTCCATTACATGTTTCTCCTGAAAATGTCTGATGATACCACTCCCCCGTACAAAGGAGTACACTGAAGCATGTGGAGGCAAGTTAAGGTGAGAACCCAAGTCTGGCTTACTTCTGTTCTGCTGCACTCCTAGACTGCATAAGCCCCAAGCAAATTATGGTAAAATATTAAAGGAAGATTTCTTTAAAAGTGTGTATTTGTATGGGCTATCCATAGACACACACATTTTCCCCATAAACATGAAATCTTAATATCTGAGTTCTGTGGAATTCTGGGTAATCTTTTTTTATGGCATCATATTTTCCATTTGTTGAAATTATATCATTAATCAGTTTTAATACAGTGTCTCTACTGGGCACATATAAGAAATAATTCTGAACAGTTCATGGATAAAATAACTTAGGTCAAATTCTAATTCACCTCTATAAACCCAAAATCCCTTTGCCATACTGAAATTTCTATCAAATGTTTACTTGAAAGCATTAGTTTTGTTTTTGTTTGCTTTAGTGGTATAAGAACAGGAGAGGGGCTTATGGTATGAACTGTATTCAGATCATAAATCATATCCCATATAAGCCTAACTCAAGCACCTCTTTATAGAAATTCAAAATAACAATTTTAATTTTGAGAAACAAATATCAACACTAGCTACTACTGAACCAATTATGTGTTAAGGGCTTGGCATCTATTATTTCATTTGATTAAAACAATTCCTATTGGTTATGAAGCAGTTACCATTATCTCCATTGAAGGAAGCCAAGACTCAGAGCATTTATGCAACTGGTTACCATTCAACACATGGTTAGCCCGTGGTAGGGCCAGGGGCCTGTCCAGGTTTCCTCAACTCCAGAGTTCACTCTTCAACTACACTGCTACTTCCTTCCTCCCAAAAAGCTCAAGAACCTCCTTCTAAAAAGGTCAAGTTGCAGAATAAACATAACCCTAGCTTCTTTCTGATTCATAACAGCTGGCCCTAATGCTGTGTAGCTCAGTACCAGAACAAGTAAAATATGCCGCACATCGATCAGCACTCAAGGGATACACATCAATGTTCCTACTTGAACAATCCCACCTATTTAATGCTCCCACCTTGGTTAGCCAATATGTTAGACAACAAGGAAGCATGCTTAGAGTCCCCTCTGCCAGGATATCTCACCCAGCTGCTTTCCTATCTTTCACACAGCTTTCTTGATTGTATCAGTATCTGTCCTTCTGGGCAGGGACCAACCCAAGGTTGTGAAAGCAGGCCCAGTAACATCAGCTGATCCTCACTTAGCTAAACGTAATCTGAGGTAGGCATTTCACATGCATTATTTCATTTAATCTTGGCAATGACTCTTTGGGGTTGCATACTAATTGTAACCCTTTTTTAAGATAAGGAAACTGAGGCTAATAATTTGTTCATATTTAATCTTGCTAACGTAACTGTATTTATATAGTAATATCTCCATGGAGCAATACAGGATGAGCTGATTTAACTACTGCTCCACTGTACACTGTGTTCACAAATAAAAAGAATCCTGGCTGGGTATGGTGGCTCACGCCAATAATCCCAGCATTGTGGGAGGCCAGGGCGGGTGGATCACATGAGGTCAGGAGTTCAAGACCAGGCTGGACAACATGGTGAAATCCCATCTCTACTAAAAATACACAAAAAAATTAGCCAGACGTGGTGGCCGGTGCCTGTAACCCCAGCTACTCAGGAGGCTGAGGCAGGAGAATCGCTTGAACTTGGGAGGTGGAAGTTGCAGTAAGCCGAGATTGCGCCATTGCACTCCAGCCTGGGTGACAAGAGTGAAACTCCATCTCAAAAAAAAAAAAAAAAAAAAAAGATTCCCTTTGAAAGATGAAAGAGAGTGCTGGCATTTCTTCAAAAGAAAACTACCGAAAGTGATGGCACCTCCAGGGCTCAGTACAGTGCCTGGTAAAATTCAGGCCTTCAAAAACCATTCGTTAAATAAATGAATCTAAGTAAATATTGGAGCTGATGAAATTGTGCCTCACACTCCACACCTCTGTGCCTTCACCCAGCCCTCATCTACTGCCACCTCTTACAGCTCCTGCCTGGCACTTCTGCCTGACTGTCCCTGCCAGCCCTCTCTTCAGGCCCTACCAAGGACCCAGCATGCAAACATGCTCACAGCAAATCACATAAACTCTGAGCTAAATTTCCAATTAAACAGACTGCCTGCCTCCCCACGCAGGCATTTAGAATTATCTAGGCCACAGAAAGATCAGCTTCATAGAATTTTTCTAGACCCAGAACTCACAGAAGAAGCAAACCCTGACTGCAAAAACAGCTTCAAAAACAAAACTCTGGACTGGGTATGGTCTCATGCCGGAAATCCCAGCACTTTGGTAGGCTGAGGTAGGCAGATTACTCAAGCCCGGGAGTTTGAGACCACCCAGGTCAACATGGCAAAACCCCGTCTCTAGAAAAAAATACAAAAAATAAAATTAGCCAGGCATGGTGGTGTGGTGCCTTTAGTCCCAGCTGCTCAGGAGACTGAGGCAGGTGGACCTATTAAGCCTGGAAGGTCGAGGTTGCAGTGAGCTATGATCGCACCACTGCACCCCAGCCAGGGTGACAGAACAAAACCCTGTCTCAAAAACCAAAAACCAAAAAACTAACCTCTGGGTTAAAATGATGTTCATTAAAACTGGCCTCATCTGAACCTGAACGAACACTGATAGGAGTCAAAATTCTACTTCTGCTTAGAGCAAAGCACTGAACAGTGAATGGGTCTCGGTGGGAACTGGCCCCATTCCACCGCCAGCTAGAGCTGTATACTGTGATACAGTCGGCCCTCAGTATCTGTGGGTTCTGCATCCACAGATTCAACCGACTGTGAATAGAAAACAAAAGGGAAAAAAAACTGAATGTATACAGACTTTCTTTTGTTCATTATTCCCCAAATAATATATAACAACCCTTTACATAGCATTTACATTGTATTAGGTATTTAAGTAGTCCAGAGATGATTTAAAGTACACAGGAGAATGTGCATAGTTTATATGCAAATACTAGGCCATTTTATATCAGGGACCTGAGCATTCACAGATTTTCATATCATCGTGGAGTCCTGGAACCAATCCCCCACGGATACTGAGGGATGGCCGTACTTACAAATTCAGGATTGGTTCTTTGGCCTATCCTAAAAAGAACTTTTTATAAACGGAGAAAGTAGGAAAACAATACAAGGTTTTCCCAGAGAATACCACTAGGAGCCTACAGCACAGAAAGGTAGTTGGAATATTCTGTGATCAATAAATAGCTGTTAATAATTGGTTTAACCAAAGAATCACCATTATTCATTTGTTCTTAAATATGAAGTGGCTGGGACACTAGAGATGTTATTCTCCAATTTAAAAGCGCTGCAGGGATCTTTTGATATACTGCTTTTATAAAAACTTAAAGCAGTGAATTAAATATGCAATCATTCAAAAGTGAGAAAAAAAGAAAAATTCTCATACTAGATGAAAGGAAGGTAAAATATATGATGATGTATTAACTCCAACTAGCAAAAATGTCTTTAGAAGTATCAGAAATAACAATAGCTGCTCCACATTGTGAGTTCTTTGTGCCTGGTATGATGATCCTTACAAGAAATCCTTACAGAAGATCCTTACGAGAAAAGGGAATAATTATTTTAAGGAATGCAGCTCAGGGAAGTTAAATGACTTGCACAAGTTCCCTGACTAGTCACGATGCCAGAATGTGGAATCAAGTCTATCTGGCTCCAAAACTTAACAATGACACTCCTTAGAACTTCCTCGAGCAGGATGAGGTCAGAAAAGCTTTTTTTGTTTGTTTGTTTTTTGAGACAGAGTTTCACTTTTGTCACCCAAGCTGGAGTGCAATGGCGTGATCTCCGCTCACTGCAACCTCCGCCTCCCACGTTCAAGTGATTCTCCTGCCTCAGCCTCCCGAGTAGCTGGGATTACAGGCGCATGTCACCACACCCGGCTAATTTTTTGTATTTTTAGTAGAGACGGGGGTTTCACCATGTTAGCCAGGCTGGTCTCGAACTCCTGACCTCAAGTGATCCACCCACCTCCGCCTCCCAAAGTGTTGGGATTACAGGCGTGAGCCACCGCGCCCAGCCAGAAAAGCTTTTCTTAAGTTCATTTGTTTATAAGCCACTCCTAGATGCACTTTTGCGGAATCAGAATGTGAACCAGCCCTTTAAAGCTTTAAAACAAAGCTGATGCTTCTCCTTTATGCTAAATATACACTCTACAGGGCATCTTTTCCACAACAGGGAAGCTATCTACCCTACAATCTGCAGGCTTAGCTACAAATTAAAATCACCTGGAGAGTTTTTAAACAGTACCAGAGCCTGAGCCCCTATTGCATGAGAATCTCTGGGGACAAAACTTGAAAATTTGTGTTTTTAAGTGTTCCCTGAGAACTACTGAACTAACTTATTAATAATATGTGCTGGGGCAAGTAATCTACCTTAATAAACTCCAAAAGCATCCTGGAGACATCTTCAGTGCAGTAGTTCTCACCTTCCACTGTTCATAACAATCACCCAGGGACCTTTAGAAAATTCTGATGCTCAATCCATACCCCAAGACCATCAGATTCTCTGAGGGTGGGCCCCAGGCATCAGTAGTTTGTAAAGCTCTCCAGGTGATGCTAGTGTGCAGCAAGGGATGAGCACCATGGTTTTAGCAGACAACGACGTGCACCAGAAGCCCAAACCCTCCTTTGCTGGTGTTCCAATGTGCCATCCACCAGCAGCACCACCACATCAACAGCCTTTTTCTCAAACTCCCTGCCTTCTCCCTTAGGGTCAGGCACCTGAAGTGGTGCTAACACCTGAAGTTTTTCCATGTCTCAGGCACTTCCCCCAACTCCCTGCACACGTGCATGCCCGCTTACAAGAAATGCTGCATGAGTCTCCCCTCTGTCCTAAAGAATCATTCCTATGATTGGATGATTCATTCCACATGCACACGCGTTTGTCATTCTTCCACCACTTTCCATTTTATTATCTCCACTTCCGTTTCTCTCTTATTAGCATTTTTAACTGTCACTACTTTTGCAGCCATGGACAATATGCTGTTCTGAATACACTAAACTTAGGTACAAAGCTGCAGGCTAAGGAACAACACTGAAACTAAGGGTCATTGGCTGAAACTAAGCTGACATCTCAGGCCCACTGCTATTCACTAGATGTGGGCAGGGTTGAGGTCTTTCTGTTCTGGAGAGCAGCTCTGTTTACATCTGTAGAAGTTCATCATACAAAGTTTTGAAGCAGCGGAGCTTCCTGCTGCTTTTTGATTACTTACAGCTCCTCGGGATGCAAAGCTCAAAAGATTATCCTAAATTTCCAAGGCACACATTTTGAATAACAACAAAGATCTTTAGGTTGATAGAGACTAAAAAGCTTTGTACATCTCCATTCTAAAGTTCTGAATTATATGAAAATTCTCACATGAGGCCTAGATGAAAAACATTCTATACTACAAGCAAAATGCTTTTTACTCAACAATATTTAAATCCAAAAGAAGCAGCATTCAGGGTGAAGACATTCTCCAAAAGGGCAAATCAGGTGTTGATTAAAGTTTCCCTAAAAGTTATACTACTTTGTACTACTAATGAATGGCTGACAAAGTTAATCCATGGCATCACCCTGCAAACAATCCTCCAACCATGTACAAACAACATCAGTAAAAAAAAAAAAACTCATAGCACTAAGAAATGCATTTGCCTGATAAAGTAGTTCTGTACTAGGTAAGACTTAGTCCATTACTGCTTTTTTCAATGCTATCTCAGATTATTTCTGCAAAACTATCAATGGAAAAAACACAGACAATGAATTCAGAGTCTACGATGGAAAAAGCAGATTTGATTTCCATACAAATTATGAGATAAAGCGTAGCAATAATATATTCCAATAATTTTTATGAAAAAGATCAAGATTTCTGACATTTTAAATAAGCTCACCACTAATATCCTAAGTTAATTTCAATCCTGTTCATAATCATTGGTATTTAAGAAGAAATTTCAGGATAATATTTAAAAGTTAATTAAAAGCAGCATAAGCATTCATGTCAGTCAAGCATGACCTCTGCTCTACAACACATTTAAATGCATGTCACCTTGACCTGTAACACAGCAATGTAAAAAATTTTGGTCAATATAAATCAAATGTACACTAATTTATTCAGCAGGTTTCCTGGTATCTGAATCAACGTCAGAAATCTAACCAGTATTTGTTATTCTGTTATTGACAAAAGGAAGCATATTTAAATGATAACAAGTACTCATGGGTGTCATTTGGAAGTTAAATTGTTCCCCAAGGACAGCCTCCATAAACAGCTACATTTAAAGGTCATTTACCACCAAATTATGAACAACTGTTGCATTTATTAGCTCAGGCTCAATAGTTTGGAAGCTGCAGTCATCAATTTCTACTGACAATGAGATCTAATTGTTCACCGATAATAAACAAGGAAAACAGAGCTTTTCTATAAACTTTTATCCTGCACTATATTCACATTTTAAAAATTTGGTTGCACACTTTCCACAGGTATGCATTTATTATTTCCAACTGCAAATAAATATCAGATAATAAAATGTAAAAACGTTTCTCATTTTATATTTATCTGAACAAAATGAAGAAAAACACTACGATGTTTATGAAGGAAGAGTACGTTTCACTTTTGGAAGGTGGTACAATAATTAATTTTATGTGTCTACTTGACTGAGCCATTGGGTGCCCAGATATTCAGTCAAACATTCTGGGTGTTTCTGTAAGAGTGTTTTTGGATGAGACGCAGATTTAATCCTATAGGCTGAGTGAAGAACATTATGATTCATAATGTGAGTGGACCTCTTTGAATCTCGGAGGCAACATATTCCTCATTTGGGTGTGTTACTCCTGCCCATTTATCAAGTGACTTGAAAAGATTCTAGTTTTGAGTGGGTCCCAGAATATGGATAGGCTCTGCAATAGGTCCAAGCTGCCATGCAAACTGCTCTGCCACTTCGGCCATATGATCCAGCAGATCCAATGGTGCCTGAAGTATCCGTGGCAGATACGGATGTTGTTTGGAGTCTCTGGCAGGTTGCTATAGGTTAAGTGCAATGCTGGTTCTTAGAATTTTGGAGCAAAGCCCTGCCTACCTCTATGAATAACCACTCTACTTTTGAGAAACAGCGCTTACCCTGCTACTGGGTCTTAGTAGTGACTGAATGCTTAACCATGGGCCACCAAGTTACCATGTGACCTAAGCTGGCCATCATGAACAGTGTGTTATCTGACCCATCAAGCTATAAAGTTGGGCATGATCAGCAGCACTCCATCATCAAATGGAAATAGTATATATGAGATGAACCCAAGCAGGCCCTAAAGGCACAAGTAAGTTACAGGAAGAGGTAGCCCACATGCCATAGTCCCTAATCCAGCTACACTGCCTTCTCTCTCCCAGTCTGCACCTATGGCCCCATGGAGAGTTCCCTATGATCATTCTGACAGAGGTTTACGATGGTTCTACATGATATACAGGTATTAACTGGAAGTGCACAGCTGCAGTACACTGTCCCTCTCTGGGATATCTTTGAAGCAAAGTGGTGAAGAGAAATCCTCCCTGTGGACAGAACTTCAAGCAGTACATTTGATTGTAAACTTTCCTTGGAAGGAGAAATGGCCAGACATGTGATTACACAACAATTCAGGGGCTGTGGCCAATGGTCTGAATGGATGGTCAGGGACTTGGAAGGAATACGACTTGGAAGACCATGTCTTCCAAGAATACCTACATGGAAGACCTCTCTAAACAGTAAATGACAAAAAACTGTGAAGGTATTTGTGTCTCATGTGAATGCCCACCAAAGGGTGATCTCAGCAGAGGAGGATTTTAATAATCATGAGGATTTGAATAAAATGACTCCTTCTGTGCCTACAAGTCAGCCTCTTTCCCCAGTCACCACTGTCATCACACAAATGGGCTCATAAAGTAGCCATGGTGGCAGGAATAGAGGTTATGCACAGGCTCAGAAATATGGACTTCCACTCACCAAAGCCAACCTGGCTACAGCCACTGCAGAGCACCCAATCTGCCAGGAGCAGAGATCAACACTGAGGCCCCAATATGGCACCATTCCATATTGGGAATGATCAGCCAGACACCTGACAGCAGGTTGACTACAATGGATTGCTTCCATCATGAAAGGGGCAGAGTTTTGTCCTTACTGGAATACACATTTACTCTGGATACAGACTTGCCTTCCCTGCACACAATGCTTCTGCCAGAACTATCATCCCTGGACTTACAGGATACTGTATCCACTGCCATGGAACTGATTTCATAGCAAATGAAGTGAGGCAATGGTCCCATGCTCATGGAATTCACTGGGCTTACCATATTCCCCATCATCCTGAAACAGCTGGCTTGGTAGAATGATGGAATGGCCTTTTGAAGACTCAGTTACAGTGCTAGCTAAGTTGCAATACTTTGCAGGGCTGGGTCAAGTTTCTTCCCAAGGCTATATATGCTCTCAATCAACATATAATATATAGTGCTGTTTCTCCCATAGCCAGGATTGATAGGTCCAGGAATCAAGGGGTAGAAATGGGAATAGCACCACTCACCATTACCCCCAGTGACCCACTAGCAAAATGTTTGCTTCCTGTCCCCAGGACTTTATGCTCTGCTGGCCTAGAGGTCATAGTTCCATAGTGAGGAATGCTTCCATCAGGAGACACAACAATGATTCTGATGAAATGAAAGCTAAGGCTGTTGCCTAGCCACTTTATGCTCATGTCTTTAAATCAACAGGCAAAAATGGGAGTTACTGTGCCATGTATTGCTCTGCTATGTACTGGCTGGGGTGACTGATCCTGCCTACCAAAAGGAAACTGGACTACTACTCCACAACAGAGGTAAGGATCTCCTGTCTGGAATATGGCAGATCCCTTCAAGCATAGTATTAATATTACTGTACCCTGTAATTAAAGTCAATGAAAAAAACTGCAGCAACCCAATTCAGGCAGGACTACTAATAGCCCAGACCCTTCAGGAATGAAGGTTTGAGTGACCTACCAGGTAAAGAAACACAACCGGCGGAGGTGCTTGCTGAAGGCAAATGGAATATGGAATGGGTAGAGGTATTTATAAATACCAGTTATGGCAGGGCGTGGTGGCTCACACCTGTAATCCCAGCACTTTGGCACGCTGAGGTGAGCAGATCACTTGAGTTCAGGAGCTCCAGACCAGCCTGGCCAATATGGTGAAACCCCAACTCTACTAAAAATACAAAAATTAGCCAGCATGGTGGCACTCACCTGTAATAACAGCTACTCAGGAGGCTGAGGCAGGAGAACTGCTTGAACCTGGGAGGTGGTGGTTGCAGTGAGCTGAGATCTCGCCACTGCACCCCAGCCTGGGTGACAGAGCAAGACTCTTGTTATTCATTCATTCATAAATAAACAATGCCAGCTATGACCACACAACCAGTGACAGAAATTAAGATTGAATTGTCATGAGTATTTCCTCCTTATTTTGTTACAAAAATATGTATGTATATACAGCAAACAAATATCTTTGTTTTCTTCTCTCTTAACCCCTTATCATGTAGCATATGATGTATTGACTTTATGTCATAATATTTATGTATTATTAACTTTATGTCATCATATTTAAATCATCAGATATCAAGAAGAGTAAACATCACTCAAGGATTCTACCTTCTCTTCTAGGGAAGGAGTTAGTGTATTTGGGGTTATAGGATGGATGTATCATGTGAGGTAGAATTATGAAATTGTTATTATCTTTATTTGGAGAATAAAGACAGTATTTGATCCCCAAATTAGAACTTCCAACTTGCAGTCTCACCAATAGTGTGTTAGAGAACCTGCCTCCTCTCACCTCCATCCTCATCATGACTGGTTTTTATCAATCTTTTCCATTTTGCCTATTGAATTAAAAAGCAAGCAAGTGGCTGGGCACGGTGGCTCATGCCTGTAATTCCAGTACTTTGGGAGGCCAAGGCGGGTGGATCACCTGAGGTCCAAAGTTCGAGACCAGCCTGGCCAACATGATGAAACCTCATCTCTACTACTCTACTAAAAATACAAAAATTAGCCGGGCATGGTGGTGTGCACCTGTAATCCCAGCTACTCAGGAGGCTGAGGCACGAGAATCACTTGAACCCGGGAGGCAGAGATTGCAGTGAGCCAAGATCGTGCCATTGCACTCTAGCCTGGGCAACAGAGCAAGATTCAGTCTCAAAAAATATAAATACATAAAAATAAATAAAAAGCAAGCAAACAAACAAATCTTATTTTACTTTGCCTTTCTTTAATTAAGTATGGTTTAAGGAAATGTGTATGAATACCAAGTTGATAGGGAGTAGGCTTTTCATGCTTAATTTTATGTGACAACTTCAGTGGGCCACAGGGTGCCCAGATATTTGGTCAAACATTTCAAACTAAGCACCTGTGAAATGGTACTTCAGAACCTGCTCTACCCACAGTCTTCTCCTTAGTAAACAATGCCATCATTCTGAAACTGCCTTTGCAAAAGTATGGCTGAGACAGTGAAAGAGATCTAACTTAACTGACTCCATCTTGCTTCCAACCTCCAAGCTGTCCTTGTTCATTCCTGAGTGCAGGCTGACCTAACCTTGGGAGGAACTTAGTCTACAGTTTATAGTTTAAAACAAAGACGATAACAGCCCTTTCCCAAAGCAAACCTCCTTCTTGCCTGGGGACTATACTGCCTTTGTAGGACTAAGAAATTAGCCACAAGATTAGAAATTATGGTTTAGGAGTCATGCAGCTGGAGGCTGCAAGATTCTGCCCTCCCTAAGCTGCTCCTAAGATCAGTGCTTAAGATATTTTGCAGACCCCGCACTTGATAGATCAGCTGGCACCACCCACATCGATAAACTGGCTCATCTGATCTTGTGGCCCCCACCCAGGAACTGACTCAGTGCAAGAAAACAGCTTTGACTCCCTATGACTTCGTCTCTGACATGACCAATCAGCACTCCTGGCTCACTGACGTCTCCCCACCCACTAAATTGTCCTTAAAACTCATCACTGAATGTTTGGGGAGATTGATTTGAGTAATAATAAAACTCTAGTTTCCTGCACAGCAGGCTCTTGTGAATTACTCTTTCTCTGTTGCGGTTCCCCTGTCTTGATAAATCGGCTCAGCCTAGGCAGCAGGAAAGGTGAACCCATTGGGCGGTTACAATTCTTCCCTTTTTTCAGGCTAAAAACCTTGGGAGTCACCCTTGTTCGTCACTTTTTCTCATGCCCCAAATCTAATCCATCAGTGGATCCTATGGCCTCAATCACCAAGAGCTATCAGGAATCCAACCATCTTCCAACACTTCCTTCTACAGAACTAACATGTTGTTCTAAGCCATCATCATCTTTTACTTGGGATACTATAGTAGCTTCCTGAGCTTCCTAACTGCAGCACTCTTCCTTATAGTTTATTCTCCACACTAAAATGGGAGTAATTCTTTTAAGACATGACTCATGTAACCAATAGGTAAGTTCCACAAAGGGAGGGATTTTCATTTACATTTTTTGCTACTGTGTCCTTGGCATCTAGAACAGTTCCTGGCACATGATTGGTGATCAATAAATACTGAATCATGTCGCTCCTCTGCCTCCTACTTCCCAAAGTAAAAGCCAACATGGGCTGGGAACAGTGCCACTGAATCACGTCGCTCCTCTGCCTCCTACTTCCCAAAGTAAAAGCCAACATGGGCTAGGTACGGTGCCTCATGCCTGTAATCCCAAAACTTTGGGAGGCCAAGGTGGGATGATCCCTTTAGCCTAGGGCTTTGAGACCAGCCTTGGCAACACAGTGAGACCCCACCTCTACAAAAAATAAAAAATTAGCCAGGTGTGATAGCATGCGTCCATGGTCCTAGCTGCTTGGGAGGCTGTGCCTCCTGAGCATCAAGTGATCCTGCTGGAGGATCACTTCAGCCTGGGGCATTAAGGCTGCAGCAAGTCATGATTGCACCACTGCACTCCAGCTTGGGCCACAAAGTAAGACCTTGTCTCCTCCCACCTCAAAAAAAAAAAAGAAAAAAGAAAAGCCAACGTCCTTATTGCTGCCTACCAGACCTATGCTCTGCCCTCCCACCCCACCATTCCATCTCCCATTATTTCCCCCACCACACTATATATGACCTTATCTCTTATCACTCTCTATTTTCCTACTGCATTCCAAACCCACTGGATCCTTTCTATTCCTAAAACACACTATGCACACTTCCACTTCATGTCCTTTGCACATACTGCTCCTTCTGCCTAAAAGACATTTCCCTTGGATAACCTCATGACTCACCCCCTCACCTCCTTCAGGTCCCGGTTCCAATGTTGCCTTCCCAGGGAAGGATTCTCTGATGATCCCCCAGCACTCTTTACCTCTCTTCCTTTCTTTTTCTCCATAGTGCTTACAACTATCTAAGATACTATATTTAATTTAATTATCATGTTTACTCTTACTCTCCCCCAACTAGAATGCAAGCTCCTTGAAGGTAGAGAATTTTGATTGTTTTGTTCATTACTGTATCCCCAGAGGGAGATTAGTATGCCTGCCACTTAATAGGTAGATAAATATTTGCTAAATAAGTAGATGACTTGTTTTCATTTTCTCTTGACATTGTAAACAATGCTACAATGAACTTTATATGTATATCTTTATGAATTTATGGATACAGACTAAAAAGTGGGAAGGTTGTTTCAAAGGGTATATAAATATCTTATCTAATATATACTGCCAAATTGACCTCCAAAATAGAGCTTCCAACTTTCAGTCTCACCAATAGTGTGTTAGAGAACCTGTCTCCTCTCACCTCCATCCTCAAAAGGACTGGTTTTTATCAATCTCTTCCATTTTGCCTATTGAATTAAAAAAAAAAAACATGCCTTGTTTTACATTGGGTTTCTTTAATTACTGGTGAAATTGACTATCTTTCCTTCCTTTCTCTTTTTTTTTTTTTTTTTTGAGACAGAGTCTTGCTCTGTTGCCCAGGCTGGAGTGCAGTGGCGCAATCTCGGCTCACTGCAAGCTCTGCCTCCTGGGTTCACGCCATTCTCCTGCCTCAGCCTCCCCAGTAGCTGGGACTACAGGCGCCGCCACCACGTACTTTTTTTTCGGAGAGACGGGGTTTCACCTTGTTAGCCAGGATGGTCTCGATCTCCTGACCTCGTGATCCGCCTGCCTCGGCCTCCCAAAGTGCTGGGATTACAGGCGCCAGCCACTGAGCCCAGCCTCTTTCTTTTTTTTCTTTTGTCACTTGTACCCCTGATGTTTCTCTCCCCTTAACAAAACCAAACAAAAAACCACTCCCTACTCATGGCTGCTTCCAGACCATACTTTTAGCTGGGGATCTTCAGTCCCACTGTAACCACTCAACCTAATTCTTTAAGCTCCAACCCCAGTACGTGTCCCTCCTTACCAACTATCCACACTTCTTACCCTTCTCCATACAATTCCCTGAGCCTAAAATGATTTCCCTCCCTTTCTCAAACTGGCAAACTTCCACTCAGCCTTCCAGAGTGAGCTTTCATGTCAGCGGCCCCTGCCCCGCAACACCAATGCAACCACTGGGAATGGGGGACACAGAATAAGTAACCACAAAAATGAATTTTTGCTCTACCTGTCTATGTAACCTCAATAATCAGATGAATTTCCATTAGCAAGAAATAGAGAAAAGGGTGAGGGTGTAAAGAGAGAAGCTTACAGTTTATAAAACAATCCCTACTAAGAAAAGGCAGCTGGTGAGATTCAATTCACCTACTGGCTCTTCCTTAGAATGAGAATTATAAAATCAATGAGAAGAGGGGACTAGCATATTTCAAATACCAACTCACTCTCCTCAAAAAAGAAAAAAAAAAGCAACTGAAAAGGGACACCATATTGGGCGTTTCAAATATACCCAATCTAATAATCAGAATTTAACCAGCAAATTACATGGGATCTGAGAGGGCTTTTAGCTTTGTGGAAGGTTTTCTGCTCCTTCTAAAGTTTCCAGGAAGGTTAAAAAAAAAATCCTCTGAGAGTTTTCCCAAATCAAATGAAATAGCAAATGAAGTGAGGCAATGGTCCCGTACTCATGAAATTCACTGCTTACCATATTCCCCATCATCCTGAAACAGCTGGCTTGGTAGAATGATGGAATGACCTTTTGAAGACTCAGTTACAGTGCTAGCTAAGTAGTAATACTTCGCAGGGCTGGGTCAAGTTTCTTTTTTTGGGAGGGGTGGTGGACAAAGTCTCGCTCTGTCACCCAGGCTGAAGTACAGTGGCAGGATCTCGGCTCACTGCCAACTCCACCTCCTAGGTTCAAGCAATTCTTGTGCCTCAGCCTCCCAAGTAGCTGGGATTACAGGGGCGCACCACCATGCCCAGCTAGTTTTTGTATTTTTAGTAGAGACAGGGTTTCACCACGTTCGCCAGGCTGGTCTCAAACTCCTGACCTCAAGTGATCTACCCATCTTGGCCTCCCAAAGTGCTGGGATTATAGGCGTCAGCCACTGCACCCAGCCTCAAGTTTCTTTCTCTTCCATTTATTTATTAGATTGGGAACATAAAGGAAGTGGTAAAAAGACCCCACCTGAGTGAAACTAAAATTAATTCTCAGTTACTATGAGATGACATTTTCCTACTATGATAGATAATTAAATAATTCAGCTTTTAAAAATTTTCTTGGCCGGGCGCAGTGGCTCATGCCTGTAATCCCAGCACTTTGGGAGGCCAAGGGAGGAGGATCACAAGGTCAGGAAATCGAGACCATCCTGGCTAACACAGTGAAACCCCATCTCTACTAAAAATACAAAAAATTAGCCATGCATGGTGGCAGGCGCCTGTAGTCCCAGCTACTAGGGAGGCTGAGGCAGGAGAATGGCGTGAACCCGGGAGGCAGAGCTTGCAGTGAGCTAAGACCATGCCACTGCACTCCAAGCCTGGGCAACAGAGCGAGACTGTGTCTCAACAACAACAATAAAAAAATTATTTCACTCTTTAAAAATTGTTAGAAATGTGGTATGCACCTCTCACTGTTAGTGCCCCTTCATCTCCTACAGGGCTAATCTGATTCTACAAATGGAATAAAAGATAGAGTAAGACTTCTTTCAATGTTTAGAGTGGCCCAAAAATAACAAACACAGCCTATGAGCTAGGACCATGAGCCAGGAACTTTGGGGAACTTACACACATAAAGCACATCAATGGTCAGTCTATGTCTTATGTTAATTATGAGGACTAAACTCTGATTTTTTTTTATCTTGCCCAAATTCCTATCTAAGCGGTCTGGGAGTCATGCCCACAGATGGGTTTTATTTAACCCTGTATATCATGATTTACTTTCCAACCTGACTCTGGCATAACATTAGGAGAGAAAGAAGAACATCAAAATATTTTACCCTGAAACACGTTTCTTTGCCATGTTTTGACGGCCCTGCAAAGCTGTTCTTTGTGGGGAAAACTTTGCATCTGTAAAGAATCTGTATTAACACAGCTAGAAGATCTTTTTCTTCCAGACCCTCCCAATCCTAAAGAGATTAACTAAGATCTGAATAGGAAACATTTGTCACCTATTGTCTCTAAGGGCAGCCACTATTAGACTTCAAAAGAACTTTGGTCTCTACAATCTTTATCTTAACCTGAACATTCCCTTTTTATCTATCCCAGGTTTTTAGGCAAACTCAACCAACTGTCAACCAGAAAATATTTAAATTCACTTATAGCCTAGAAGCTTTTGGCTTTGAGTTGTTTCACCTTTCTGGACAAACCAATGTATTTCTTAAATGTATTTGATGTCTCATGCCACTCTGAAATGTATAAAGCCAAGCTGCACCCTGACCACCTTGGACACATGTTCTCAAGACTTCCTGATGGCTGTGTCACGGGCCATGGTCACTCATATTTGGTTCAGAATAAATATCCTCAAATATTTTACAGAGTTCAACTCTTTTCATCGACAATTATTATTATTTATTATTTGAGATAGTGTCTTGCTCTGCCACCCAGGCTAGGGTGCAGTAGATTGATCATGGCTCACTGTAGCCTTAACCTCCTGGGGTCAAGCAATCCTCCCACCTCAGCCTCTCAAGTAGGGACCATAGGTACATACCACTATGCCCAGCTAATTTTTTAAATTATTTGTACGGTGAGTTCTCACTATGTTGCCCAGGCTACTCCTCAAATCCCTGGGCTCAAGGGATCTTCCCACCTTGGCCTTCCAAAGTGCTGGGATCACAGGCATGAGCTACCACACCCAGACAAATTTATTTTGTTGGGGGAACAGGATCTCCATATGTTGTGCAGTCTGGTCTCCAACTCCTGGGCTCAAGTCTGCTTTGGCCTCCTGAGTACCCGAGACTGAAGGCATGAGCCATTAACTTTTTCCTTTCCCTAAATCTCTTAAGGAAAGACTAAGATAAGCAGGTCTCATTCATTCATTTATTCAAGTGCCAATGATTACAATATCCAGGCAAATGATTACAATATCCAGGCATGATACCTAGAAATCAATGGCATTAAAACAGACAAGGTCAGGCTGGTCCTGGTTGCTCACACCTGTAATTCTAGCATTTTGGGAGGCCGAGGCAGGTGGATAGCTTAAGTCCAAGAGTTTGAGACTAGCCTGGGCAACATGGTGAAACCCTATCTGTACCAAAAATACAATAATTGGCCAGGCGTGGTGGTGGGCACCTGTATTCCCAGCTACTGAAATAGTGAGACATTTAAAATAATAAATACAGTTTTATAAACTTACTCACAGAAAGAAATGAAAATGATTTTTAACCATATAAAAAGATGTTCAACTTCATTCATAAGTCATAAAATCATGAATGACATTAAGAATTACATTGTGATACTATTGTTCACCTATCAGATTGGCACAAATCCAAGAGCCTGAGAACACTCAGTTGGCAAGCTTGTGAGGGAGGATATACACTCATAAACTGCTACAGTAATGCATAATACCACAGTCCCTATGGATGGGAATTTGACGACATCAGCTAACATTAAACATGCATGTAATTTTTGGTCCAGTAACCACTGCTAGAAATTTATTCTAAAGACTCATTGACAAAAATACAAAAAGACATGCACACAGGCTATTGATTGAAGACAAACAATGGAGAACAATTCAGATACAGGCTTTACCTTGTTTGACTATACTTTGCTTTAATGTGCTTTGCAGATACTGCATTTATTACAAATTAAAGTTTTGTTGTTATCCTGCATTGAGCAAGCCTATCGGCGGCATTTTTCCAATAGCATGTGCTCACTTTATGTCTCTGTGTCACAGTTTTGTAATTCTCCAAGTATTTCAAAAACTCTTCCATTATTATTTTATCTGTTATGGTGATCTGTGATCAGTGATCTTACAAGTTACTACTGTAATTGTTTTGGAGTTCCACAAGCTACACCCATAAAAAGATGGCAAACTCAATAAATGGTGCTGGCTATCCACAATAGCAAAGACATGGAATCAACCTAAATATCCATCAAAGGAAGACTAAATAAAGAAAAGGTCCTGTAATCCCAGCACTTTTGGAGGCCGAGGTGGGCGGATCATGAGGTCAGGAGTTCGAGACCAGCCTGACCAACATGGTGAAACCCCGTCTCTACTAAAAATACAAAAATTAGCCGGGCATCGTGGCACGTGCCTGTAATCCCAGCTACTCAGGAGGCTGAGGCAGGAGAATCGCTTGAACCCAGGAGGCGGAGGTTGCAGTGAGCCGAGATTATGCCACTGCACTCCAGCCTGGGTGACAGAGCAAGAATCCATCTCAAAAAAAGAAAAGGTGGTACATATACATCATGGAATATTATGCAGCCATAAAAAAGAATGAGAGAATGTCCTTTGCAGGAACATGGATGAAGCTGGAGGCCGTTATCCTTAGCAAACTAACGCAGGAAAAGAAAACCAAATACCACATGTTCTCACTTATAAGTGGGCGCTAAATGATGAGAAGACATGGACACATAGAGGGGAACAACAGACACTGGGGCCTACTGGAGGGTGAAGGACAAGAGGAGAAAGAGGATCAGAAAAAGTAACTATCAGGTACTAGGTTTAGTACCCGGATGATGAGATAATCTGTACACCAAACCACTGTGACATGAGTTTACCTATATAACAAACAGGCATATGTACCTCTGAACCTAAAAAAAAAAAAGTTAACAAATAAATAAATAAATGATGAAGGGATAAGTGGTAGCCATATGTAGAAGATTGAAACTGAACCTCTTCCTTACACCGTACACAAAAATAAACTCAGGCCAGGCACGGTGGCTCCTGCCTGTAATCCCAGCACTTTGGGAGGCTGAGGCAGGCAGATCACCTGAGGTCAGGAGTTGGAGACCAGCCTGACCAACATGGTGAAACCCTGTCTCTACTAAAAATACAAAAATTAGCCGGGCGTGGTGGTGTGCACCTGTAATCTCAGCTACTTGGGAGGCTGAGGCGGGAGCATTGCTTGAACCCGGGAGGCGGAGGTTGTGGTGAGCTGAGATCTTGCCATTGCACTCCAGCCTGGGCAATAAGAGCGAAACTCCGTCTCAAAAAAAAAAGAAAGAAAAATGCAAATCAAAACAACAATGACATATCATCTCACATCTTTCAGAATGGCTATTATTAAAAAGTCAACCATGAAGGAAAGATACTGAGGAGACCCCTGACCCAAAGGAAATAGACTGCAGCACCGAATGGAAGACTTTGGAGTCACGGAAACTTTTCTTTTGAGCTATTTACAGCTTTTAACCATTAAGTAACAGACCAGGTGCAGTAGCTCATGCCTGTATTCCCAGCACTTTGGGAGGCCAAGGTGGGCAGATCACTTGAGGTCAGGAGTTCAAAACCAGCCTGGCAAACATGGTGAAACCCCATCTCTACTAAAAATGCAAAAATTAGCCAGGCATGTTGGCGGGCACCTGTAATCCCAGCTACTAGGGAGGCTAAGGCATGAGAATTGTTTGAACCTGGGAGGCAGAGGTTGCAGTAAGCGGAGATGGCACCACTGCACTCCAGCCTGGATGACTCTGCCTCAAAAAAAAAAAAAAAAAAGACACAGAACTACCATTTGACCCAGCATTCCAATTATTGGTTATATACCCTAAGAAAATAAATCATTCTACCATAAAGCCACATACGCATATATGTTCATCACAGCACTATTCACAGTAGCAAAAACATGAAGTCAACCTAAATGCCCATCAACAGTAGACTGGATAAAGAAATCTCGGTACATATACGCCATGGAATACTGTGCAGCCATAAAGAAAAACAAGATCATGTCCTTTGTGGCAACATGGTTGGAGCTGGGGGCCATTAACCTAACAAACACACACAGAAACAGAAAACCAAATACTGTACATTCTCACTTGTAAGTGAGTTATAAGGGAGCTAAACAAAAGAGCACATGGATACAGAGGGGAACAACAGACACCAGGGATTACTTGCGAGTGGAGGGAGGCAGAAGGGAGAAGATCAAAAACCTACCTATTGGGTACTATGCCCATTACTTGGGTGATGAAATAATCTGTACGCCAAACTCCTATAACATGCAATTTACCCATATAACAAACCTGCACATGTACCCCCGAACCTAAAATAAGTAAATAAATAAAAGATGGCAAATTTAACTGACAAATGTTGTGTGTTTGGGCTGTTCCACAGACCAGCAATTCCCTGTCTCTCTCCCTCTCCTTAGGCCTCACTATTCCTTAGGACAAACAATATTGAAATTAGGTAAATTAATAACCCTACAATGGACTCCTCATGATAAAACTTTAATGGGTAAGAAGTTGCTTCTTAAGGAAGGGCAAAGAAAGTGGTTTCTTGAGATGGAATCTACTCCTAATGAAGATGCTGTGAACACTGTTGAAATGACAACAAAGGATATAGAACATTACACAGACTTAGCTGATAAAGCAGCAGCAGCATTTGACAGGGTTGATTGCAATTATTTTTTAATAGAGATTGGGTCTCATGAGGTTGCCCAGGCTAGTCTCAAACTCCTGGACTCAAGCAATCCTCCTGCCTTGGCCTCTCTAAGTGCTAGGATTACAAGTTAGAGCCACCATGCCCAGACACCTGAAACCAATTTTGGAAGAATTTCTGAGGGTAAAATACTATCAAACAGCATCACATGCTACAGAGAAATGTTTCAGGAAGTGTCAACTGATAGGGCAAACTTAATTGTCTTAGGAAATTGGCACAGTCGGCTGGGCGTGGTGGCTCATGCCTGTAATCCCAGCACTTTGGGAGGCTGAGGCGAGCAGATCACGAGGTCAGGAGTTCGAGACCAGCCTGGCCAACATGGTGAAACCGTCTCTACTAAAAATACAAAAATTAGGCGGGCATAGTGGCCTGCACCTGTAGTCCCAGCTACTTGGCAGGCTGAGGCAGGAGAAATTGTGGAACCCAGGAGGCAGAGGTTGTGGTGAGCCAAGATTGCACCACTGCACTCCAGCCTGAGCAACAGAGCGAGACTCTGCCTCAAAAAAAAAAAAGGAAAAGGAAAAGAAATTGGCACAGCCACCAACCTTTTGCAACCACCACCCTGATCAGTCAGCAGCCATCAACATCAAGGCAAACAAAGATTCCCACTCAGTGAAGGCTCAGATGATCATTAGAGTTTTTAGCAATAAAATACTTTTTAATTAAGGTATGTACATTTTTTTAGACATAATGCTACTGCACACTTAATAAACTATAGTGTAGTGTAAACATTTATATGCATTATTAAACCAAAAAATTAGTGTGACTTGCTTTATTAAGATAATCACTTTACTGCAGTGGTCTGGAACCAAACTCACAATATCTCTGAGGTATACCTGTACAGAAGAGAATGATACATCTTCATATATGTCCCTGTGCAGTGATCTCCAGGATATATCATTAAGTAAAAAAAGCAAGTTGAAATAAAATGTTTTAGTATACCACTGTTTAAGAAAAGGAGTGGAGACACAAATATATTAGTATGTGTTTATATTTTTTTCAATGGAAGGATAAGCCATAAGATTTTTTTTTTACATAAGTAACACTATGTTTTTTTTTTTGTTTTTTTTTTTTGTTTTTTTGAGACAGAGTCTCGCTCTGTTGCCCAGGCTGGAGTGCAGTGGCATGATCTCAGCTCACTGCAAGCTCCGCCTCCCGGGTTCACGCCATTCTCCTGCCTCAGCCTCCCAAGTAGCTGGGACTACAGGCACCCGCCACCACGCCCAGCTAATTTTTTGTATTTTTAGTAGAGACAGGGTTTCATTGTGTTAGCCAGGATGGTCTCGATCTCCTGACCTCGTGATCCACCCGCCTCAGCCTCCCAAAGTGCTGGGACTACAGGCGTGAGCTACTGCACCCGGCCTACACTATGATTATTTTTATATGCATCTTTTGATCCCATAAATCTGCTAGCAGTAAGGGCTTCTATATACAGAAGAAAAAATAATTCCCTTTCATCTGTGTAGTGCTGGGGACAGCCTCATACCACTTTTTTTTTTTTAAATAGTAATCGATGAGAGCAGAAGATAACAAAGTGAGGACAAAAGCAGATGCTGAATTTCAGTAGATAAACTCGATGCAGTGTGTTTGATTTAGAATTATGACTATGCTTTACACAAATACAAAACAAAATTAGTTTTTTAAGAATTCTTAAAAATACAAAATACAAGACTGGGTAGCTAGCTTGTGTTTTAAGTAGAGAACCAATCCAAGTGATTTTAAAACCAGTCATTTGATTGTACACTCCTAGTGGAACAGGCTGAAGAACAAAATAACTTATTTGGTTTATTTTCAAGTTCTTAAGGCAGGCACAGTGGCTTACGGCTGTAATGCCAGCATCTTGGGAGGCTGAAGCGGTAGGATCGCTTGAGACCAGGAGTTCAGGGCCTGCCTGGGCAACACTGCAAGACCCTCACCTGTACGAAAAAAATTTTTTAAAATACATAAATTTGAAAATAACATCTAAAAAAAAGTTAAAACATATTTCTAGCTCAATGAAAACAAGCTTGCTTGTGCCCCCAAATTTCTAAGCAACATATTTCCAAAATTCAATCCTCTTGTGCCTATTTTAATTCTTAAATGAATGTACCATTCTAAGTTTGTTAATGTTCAAGAAGAATGTTTTCAAACGGTATTTCTTGTCCTTAAGGGTAAGGAACATACCGCCGGGCGCGGTGGCTCACGCCTGTAATCCCAGCACTTTGGGAGGCCGAGGCGGGTGGATCACAAGGTCAGGAGATCGAGACCATCCTGGCTAACACGGTGAAACCCCGTCTCTACTAAAAAATACAAAACATTAGCAGGCCTTGGTGGCGGGTGCCTGTAGTCCCAGCTACTCGGGAGGCTGAGGCAGGAGAATGGCGTGAACCTGGGAAGCGGAGCTTGCAGTGAGCCGAGATCGTGCCACTGCATTCCAGCCTGGGCAACAGAGCGAAGAATCCGTCTCAAAAAAAAAAAAAAAAAAAAAAAAAAAAGGCTAAAGAACATATTTTACACATGCTTGATTTAATCATTCAACAAATATTTAATGTGGGCTTCTGCTATGAGCCTACCATGAATGAGGCACTGTGCCAGCTACGTCCTT
Source organism: Homo sapiens (assembly GCF_000001405.40). Lineage (NCBI taxonomy): Eukaryota > Metazoa > Chordata > Mammalia > Primates > Hominidae > Homo > Homo sapiens. The sequence goes on along the minus strand of NC_000005.10, from coordinate 122,853,005 downwards.
GTTACACAATGGCCTCCTTCATTGTACATGCTGGTAATGGATGACTGAAGGACATGGCGTGGAATTGTGGTCTTCCTGACATCCTGCTGCCCTTCTCCCACTGTGATGCCTGAGGGGTTTGGTGACAGGAATGGACTAACCCATTCCCAGTTCCAGAGATGCCTCCTATTTTAACTCCATCTGGTTAACCTACCCTCCTTGCCATGATGGTTGGTTAAGATAACCCTGGCCTCAGCAAATTGGCACTGGAATTCCTCTGCAATTCTGTGTTGAAAAATCAACTAGGGCTAATGAGAAAGAAACTGAAGGGAGACTTATTTGCTCAGGGGTTCTAGGGAGAAAAGTGTCCTTACTATTAAATGCGGCTGGGCATGGTGGCTCATGCCTACAATCCCAGCACTTTCAGAGGCTGAGGTGGGTGGATCACTTGAACGCAGAAGTTCGAGACCAGCCTGGGCAACATGGTGAAATTCTATCTCTAGCAAAAATACAAAATTTGCCGGACATGATGGCATGCACCTGTAGTCCCAGCTACTTGGGAGGCTGAGGTGGCGGAATCACCTGAGCCTGGGGAGGTCAAGACTGCAGTGAACTTTGATTGTACCACTGAACTCAGCCTGGGCGACAGAGTGAAACCCTCTGTCAAAAAAAAAAAAAGAAGCTATTCTGAAACAGAAGAGTCACTCTCAGGTAGCCAGGCTCCCTCACTCAGTGTCTCGGACTTGTTCTCAAAAATACAAAATAGTTCAGCAAACCACCACGGCACATGTTTACCTACGTAACAAAGCTGCACTTTCTGCACATGTATCCCGGAACTTGAAGTAAAATAAAATTTTTAAAAAAAGAAAAGAAAAAAAGAAATATATACATATATATATAGATATAGATATAGATAGATATGTGTGTGTGTATATATTTATACACACACACATATATAAAATAGCACTACAGTACCAATAAAATGCACACAAATCACTGTTAATTCCAAGGCAGGGTTTACATTGTGCTTATTTTAAAACCAACAAAAACAACCAGAAACTGGATGCTATTAAGGTATTGATAATTTTGCGGTAATATTTACATTTTGGTTATGCTTTTTAAAAGTTTTTACCTGTCAGGTATACACTGTAAAATTATGCAGATAAAATTGTTTTGAATTTGCTTAAAAATACTCCAGAATTTTTTTTTTAAAGACAGGGACTGAGGTGTAGTGAATGAAAGAATTATAAAATATTGAAGGTAATGGGTAAATGATAGTTTATTAAATTGTTCTATTTTTGTAGTTTAATCCATAAAAGCTTCAAAATAATAATGATCATAATAATATTTCACATTATGATCCTATATATAAGAAGCTGCCTTGTGTACTGAAGAGCATGCTACATTTCTAAGTGTTTATTAAGTAAATCAGTGATAGTATCCAGGTCCCAAGAAGATATATATGTCTACGCATAACACATGCAGTCACGCAGGTACTTAAAATGGACTTGAATCTAATTCAACGCTGTGATTTTTACAGCTATAAAAACTGAAGTCTAAGTCTGGGTGTGGTGGCTCATGCCTGTAATCCCAGCACTTTGGGAGGCTGAGGCATGTGGATCACTTGAGGTCAGGAGTTCAAAGACCAGCCTGGCCAACATGATGAAACTCCATCTCTACTAAAAATACAAAAAATTAGCCAGACATGGTGGCTCGTGCCTATAGGCCCAGCTACTTGGGAGGCTGAGGCAGGAGAACAGCTTGAACCCAGGAGGCAGAGGCTGCAGTAAGCCGAGATCACACCACTGCACTCCAGCCTGGGTGACGCAGGGAGATTTTGTCTCAAAAAATCAAAAACAAAACCAAAAAACTCAAGTCTAATACATTCATACTTTTGTATTGTGACCTAAGTAGTAATTCTAGTTTTGTTATTTTTGTCAACAATGTATCTTAAAATTCAAACTACAAGCCTACAGTGGCATCCAAGACCTATTATTCTCAGTTCTTAGAATGGACTGCTGTCCATCCTCAACTTGCAAGACCACTCAGGAGCATCTGGCACTTTCTTTCTTGTAAAGCATCTTCCACCCTCTCTCTTCCAGCCTCACACTCCTTGGTTTCTTTCTCCCTCTGGCTTCTGTGCTGGGACTTCTTTGCTTATTCAAGTTCTAAGGTTTTACCCTTGGCCCTCCCTCTTTCCTCACTCTTTCTCTGTGGGTTTTTTTTTTTTTTTTTTAACTTTTATGCTGAATGTCCCCTTAGAGCCATATTTCTAAGCCAGACTTAAATCCACCCTAGACTCCAAAATCAAATAGCTATACCCATCACCAAAAACTCAGTGGGTGCCCAAATGAAATATCTGCCCTGCTTCAGTTCTTATTTGCTTACTGGTACCTGCACCCACGGTAGTCACACTGCTGCTGTACATCTGGTCACCAGGTACTGGAGATATCTGCAGTCATCACTTCCTTTCCATGTTCAACGCTAAAGTCTTAGTTCTAGCCTTCATCCTCTCCTTTCTGATCATTTTTAAGTGTCTCTTAAATGATGAATACTCCAGAATCATCGCTACAGTCTGACTGTCTCCCCCAAATTCTCATGCTGAAATTCTAAACCCAATGTATTGGTATTAGATGGTAAGGCCTCTGGGAAGTGATGAGGTCATGGGCAGAGCCCTCATAACTGGGATTAGTAACCTTATAAAATAGGTCCCAGTGAGATCTTTGCCACTTCTACACAACAAGCAGGGATCACCTACAAACCTGGAAATGGACCCTCGCTAGACACTGAATCTGCTAGCACCTTGATCTTGGACTTCCCAGCCTCCAGAACTGTGAGAAATAAATTTCTGTGGTTTATAAACTACCCAGTTGATTGTATTTTGTTAAAGTAGCCTGAACTAAGATAGTCATCTTTCTAAATGCAAAGCTAATCATGTTACTTCCTTCCTTAAAATTCTCCTATGACTTCCCTGTCTGAAGGTCCACACTCCCTTATAGCTCTCAAGGGGAGTCAGCTGATCTCTCCCCACTATTCTTACTGCAATCACTTCGCACAATCCTGAAATTCCAGTCTGCAGCACAACCCTCCACCTAACTCTCTGAGCTGCTACACACCTCAAGATCACTGCTCTTCTGGTTTCTCTCCTCCTATGAAGATTACATCACTCATTATTCATTCAACAGACATGTACTGAATTCTGTATTAGGATACAACAGTGGAGATGGACACTACCTAGCCTCAAGGAGTTTATAGCTTGGGGATACTTGGGGAGTTTATAGCAGAGGATATTAAATAAGTAAGCCATTGGGTAGGGAATGGGACAGAATAATCTCCCCAGGAAGTAACATTTGGGTGCATCTGCATTTTCTTACACTACCATCTCCTACTTCTTCACAAACTTATTTAGAGGTGCCCCTCCCCCCCCCTTTTTTGGGGGCATATCTGAGTTTTAAAATGGCTTATAAGATTTTGTCCTGTATTTCCTCTTTCTAAAATTCACAATCCTAGCAAAAACCTAATTAGATTTCAAAGTCAGCATTTCCTAAGCACCCCCACCTCAGCACAGCCACCCTGCCAGGCCAAACTGACCTCTCCCTCCCTCAGGCCCCTGGATACAAGGCTCCAGCTGACATTGGGTCACCCTAACCTTTCCCGGCCTAGCTCTGAGCAGCTTCTATATGGGCTGAGAATCCCTAAGGGCAGGAACACCACCCTTCCATCTTTAAATCGCCACCAACACAGTACAGGCCCACAGTAAATAAAGCTTTACATGTTTAAAGGGCAAAAATTCATTCTTTAAAGGTAAATTACTTAGTACACTGAGAATAAATTTGTATAAACTTCTTGAATAACAATCGTGCAATATCTGTAAAAACTGTAAAGGGCTGGAAATACCACTTCTAGTTAAGGTTCTACAGAAATCCTAGTAGTGGGCATAAAAAATCATGTCCAAGGATTTCCTGGCCATCAGCAGATACCTGGGGAAAAAATTACGGCACATCCTACCGTGGTAGAGCCCATCTCCAGTAGTTAGAAAGAGGAGGCAGACCTCTCCATATCAATATTGAAAGATGTCTATAAATTGTAAGATGACAGCTATACTAAAATCTTGCCATTTATTTTTTTAAAAGAAAAAAAAGTATGTGCTCACAGCACAAGGAAAAAATTCTAAGATACACCCAGAAACTTTACTTCTGGGGGAATGAGACTAGAAGCAAAGAGGAGAAACCACCCATTTCTACCTTAAACTTCCTATTACTGAATTTGTTAGAATGTGATGTAATGTGTTTTAAATTTTATTTTTATTTTTTATTTTGAGATGGAGTGTTGCTCTGTCACCTAGACTGGAGTGCAGTGGCGCGATCTCGGCTCTCTGCAACCTCCGCCTCCGGGGCTCAAGAGATTCGCCTGTATCAGCCTCCCAAGTAGCTGGGATTACCCGCGCCCGCCACCACGCCTGGCTAATTTTTTTTTTTTTTTTTTAAGTAGAGATGGGATTTCACCATGTTGGCCAGGCTGGTCTCGCCTCCTGACCTCAAGTGATCCGCCCACCTCGGCCTCCCAAAGTGCTGGGATTACAGGCATGAGCCACCACGCCCCGGCCGTTTTAAATTTTAAACACAAACACAGGTCGGGCTCAGTGGCCCGCGCCTATAATCCCAGCACTTTGGGAGGTCAAGGTGGGAGGATCCCTTAAACCTAGGAGTTTGAGACTAGCCAGTGCAATATAGTGAGATCCCATCTCTACAAAAAATACAAAAATTAGCCAGTTGTGGTGATTTATGCCTGTGCTACTCAAGAGGCCAAGGGGGAAGGATCACTTGAGCCCAAGAGTCCAAGGCTGCTGTGAGCTAGGATTGCGCCACTGCACTCCAGCCTGGGTGACAGAGCAAGATCCTAGCTCTTAAAAACACACATTCACACAAACATAATCGCTAAAGTAAAAAGATATTTTTTACACGAAAGTGTACATTATTTTACAAGCTTCTTATTTAGGAAACTGAAATATTTTTTAAATTCTGGGGTTTTTTTTAAGCTGCTATATTCATAGCTTATTCACTGCTATATTCCCTACACCCAGAATACAGACACAGAGCAGGCACTCAGTAAATATTTGTTGAATGAAAAACCGCTGTACAATCATAAAACCAGTTGTGCAGAGGGGAAAAGTATCTAATAACTGCTTCACAAACTCACAGAAGCAAAAAAATCCCTTCAGAAGGTATTTTAGGGCTGGGTGTGGTGGCTCATGCCTGTTATCCCAGCACTTTGGGAGGCCTAGGCAGATGGTTTGCTTGAGCACAGGAGTTCAAGACTAGCCTGGGCAACATGGAGAAACCCTGTCTCTACAAAAAATTTAAAAATTATCCAGGAGTGGTGCCATGTGCCTGTAGTCCCAGCTACTCCAGGGGCTGAGGTGGAAGGATTACATGAGCCCAGGAGGCAGAGGTTGCAGTGAGCTGAGATCACCCCACTGCACTCCAGCCTGGGTGACAGAGGAAGACTGTCTCAAAAAAAAAAAGAGAGAGAGAGATTTTAACAGTTTAGCTCCCAATCTGGATGAGTTAGGATTTTTTTTAAGCAAATATTTAAAGAGCAAACTCTCATCACATAAGCAATCTTCAAACTCTCCCGAATTTGTCCAAAAAAGAGCTCCTTCCACATCAGTTTAATTCACAACCTGGAGTGTGGCACATGCCTGGTCATAAATACAAATAATAAAAAGATACATAAAGCTTTGGGAGAAAAGCACAGCTCGTCTAATAGAAGAAAATCAACAATGGGCAATGAGCCTTAATTATGGTCTATTTCAAAGTGCTTATTTCTGCAGGTAATTAACTTTTAGCTTGAACCGGTAAGATCAACTTCATCTTTTCTTTGAAAGCCAACGCCTCTAACAAGCAGCCTTTTTATCTTCAGATCCTAAATGAATGTCCCAAAGATGGTAAGCCCTCCATGACTGTTGATAGTGCTGATGGGAGAAGTGAGATACCTGGGAGAAGCAACAACAAGCAAGGTTTTAGGCTTAAGAGACTTGGATAAAATCTCCAAGAAAAAAAAAAAAAAGCCTTGAACAAACTCGAGGGTTTGTTTGTTTGTTTTTAAGGAAGATACAGACTATTTAACGAAATGTGAATGCACTGGAAAGGATTATTTATATAAATAACTACCACTATGGAACACAGCTCCCTCTCCCTGCATTTTCCTTCCCAAGGAAAGCACTTTAACAACTTGTTTCAGAACACTTGGATCCAGCAGTCTACTCAATTCTAAAAACCCACCGACTTCCTGGACTATTTTTTCAATCACTGTTTTTCATTCTAAATCTTCCTTTGAGAGGGTAATTTAGTCCCAACTAAGAAAACACAATGGCCCAAACAGACTGTCACCAAATACCAGTAATATTTAGAGGAGGGGAGAGGGGTTAAAATATTCTCCATCAAAGTAATGTAACTGGTGTTTAGCAAGTGTGTGATTGATGTAAATAAAATAACAAATCTTTCAGACTGCCCTGCAATCTTTCTTCAACCCTACAGGTTCTTTAACAACTGGAAGTAAATTCTTCCAAGGTGTACACACACTCAGACATTTCTCCCACTAGCAATGACTGTCCAGGAAAGAATGTTTTGAATTCATTGGGAAATCTCCACCAACAATTCACTTAGTAAACGTGTTGCTCAAAGGGCCCATGCCCTGGTCTCTGCCCTCCCCTTCACTCTTGAGAGCAGGGGTCCTGTTTCACACTTCTCGGTGACCACAGTCCTAGGTATGAAACAGGTGCTCAGCAAGTAATTTTGCCATTTCATGGAACTGCACAACTCAAAAAGAAAAATCTTTGGAAATCATCTAAAATCAATACACGTGTTTAGTTTGGCTAATAAACAGCTGCAAATTATGATTTAAAAAAAAAAAACAGGTTTTCCAGCTGAACTAATTGTACAGAACTTGGAAGCCAGCGTGAATCTGCCGCGAAGCTACTACTGTCTGGACTGAGGGGGCAGCTGTGCCAGAAAGGAACGCAGCCCATCCTGGGCTCCCGAAGGCGGGCGGCGGGGAGAATGGCTAGTGCCGCGTCCGAGGACTGCAGCTCGTCCGGGAGGAGAGGGTTGGACCCCGAGGGGCTAGGGGCGCCCGCAGCCGCCGTGCCCGGGAGGGGCGCCCGTTTCCTTGACAACCGCGCCAAGGGCGCAGCCCTTCCTCTGGGCCGGGGGAGGGGAGAGAAAACGAGGGGACCCCCTGCGCCAAGGCGGCGGCGGCCAAGGGTGTTTCCTGGGCGCAGCAGCCGCAGGCCTGGCTCGCGGGGCCCTGTCCGCCCGCGGCCCGCGCCTACCGTGTATCCCCGCTCCAGGTCGCTCTCTTCATAGCGAAAGGACGGGATGTAGACCTCCATGGCCGCGCCGGCCAGCCGGCTGAGGGCGAGTTGGGGGCAGGCTCACGGCCGCGGCCGCCGCTCCGCCCACGGCCGGGCCGCCCCGCCTCCCGCCCCGCTGCGCCCGCGGGGCCCCGAGGCTGCGGGCCGGACTCAGGTCTGCGGGCTGACCCGGCCGCTCCCGCGCCCTGGGCGTGCCGGGGGCCGGAAGCAGAGGGCGCAGGGCTCCAGGCGCCTGGGTTTCGGGCCTAACGGGCGGTGGAGATCAGCTGGGCCCGAAAGAGGCGGGGCCAGAAAACCTGAGTCTGCAGAAACGGGGTGTGCGCGCCAACGCGCTGGGCGCGGGGACTGGGCCGCACCCGGCGCTCCCTGCCCTGCGGACTCCGGCTGGAGCTTGATTTGCAGTTTGCTAGACGCCACCATTAAGAGATTGCCAGACAGCAAAGAATAGAAAGAGTGGCGCTTTTAACTTTTGTTTTGGTTGGTTGAATTTTTTTTTTCCCTCTCGGCTGGCATTAACAGCGGTGAACCAGCCGGCTTATACCAAGACTCTCCGAATTCCCTTCGATTCGAAGGTCAGCGTCTCCTGAGTTAGACGTCGAATCTGAGAATGGTGGTGTACCACAGAGCTCGAAAGTGAGCCCGAAAGTTGGCCGGTCACTAAGACAAACGCTCTGGCTTCACGCTGCAGTTCTAAAATGCCGCCTTTAACTGTGAAGTACTTTTTAACTGTGAGGGAAAAATAGAATACGGAAAAAAAAAGGACTGAACCCGTGCCTCGGACCAGGGTCTAGTAGGCTGAAGGTACCTAAAAGATTAAGTGTCCCGGCGGGGGAGGCTTGATTATCAAGTTAGTCAAGTAAACGTTGGGTTTCTTCTTTAGGTTAGCGCACCGAGCAGAATAGAAACGTGGACGTGACTTGTAGGTCACTGAGAAGTGACCTCAGCCATCCAGGAAAAAACCAGCCAGCGAGCTTTCTTGGACTGTAAACAATTGCACTTAACTCCGTTTGTCCTTGAGTGCAGAGGACATTTCAGCTTAGCAAACTCTAGACTTTATGATGGGACCCTGAGCCGTGCAACAGAGGGATAAGGCAGCTTCTCGTTTTAGGAACTTACCTGATGTGGACCCCTCTACATTAGTCTCATCTGAAGATCCGTCCTCCTAACCCAGCACTCACACATTTGCAGCTCCAGGATGTGCCCTTCTCTCAAAACTGTGCCTTAGCTGTGCCCTGTGACTACACACCTTTCTTTCACTTCTGGCCAGCACCTCCTGAGGTAACTAACCAGCTCTGCGGACGATAAGCTATCTGAGTTCAGAGCCCAGCTTGTAGGTTACCTTAAGCCTCTGGTGACTATACACTGTATGTATGATTTATTTATCTACCCTACCTACTAGGTTTTAGGGCAAGCATGCTTTTAAAAACTCGTCATCTCGTGGTTGGCATAGTACCCAGCACGTAACTTACGTAAGTACTCGTCTTTACAAAACTAGTGGAATGCAGCAGGTACTATGTTCGGTATCACATAATGTCTCATTTCATCTCTATAACAATCACATGGCCGGGCGCGGTGGCTCATGCCTGTCATCCCAGCACTTTGGGAGGCCGAGGTGGGTGTATCACCTGAAGTCAAGAGTTTGAGATCAGCCTGGCCAACATGATGAAACCCTGTCTCTACTAAAAATGCAAAAATTAGCCAGATTACAGGGTGGTTACTCACCCCTGTAATCCCAGCTACTTGAGAGGCTGAGTGGGAGAATTGCTTGAACCCATGAGGCGGAGGCTGCAGTAAGCCGAGATCACGCCACTGCACTCCAGCTTGGGTGACAGAGCAAGACCCTGTCTCAAAAAACAAAAACAAAACAAAAAACCAGTCACATGAGGAAGCGTTATGATAAGACACAACATGAGTTTCAAGGGCCTCCCACCTCAGCCTCCCAAGAATCAAGTTTTTAATATGCTTTCCATAATATCCTACAACCTGTTAGTAGCCTAAAATATATATTTTGGTAATGGCATGGCTCACCCATTTACCTGTTGGACTTAGGCAGAAATGTGTGATTCCATGAAGGTCTGATAAATGGTCCAAATGATATCCATTTGCTGTATTCCACTAATAGCTGTGTATAATTTACTTTTCCCTTGCTGAAAATGTATACAAACTATCAATGTGTGGGTGTGTTCTTGAGGGTCTATTAGCCCAGCCATAAATGGTAATTGTTACGATTTCAGTTATTATAGATGGCGTAATTCAGGCTCACGGAGAGTAAGTATGAAATTACTAGCTAATAATTAGAAGAACTAAATTTCTAACCAAATTCTCTGAGTCTTCCAGCCACCGAGGAAAGGGAGAATAGAGCACCAAAGTAAAAGAACATGGCAAATGTATTTTCCTGTTGTTCCTATGTTATCTTTTAATCCAACTCTACAGTCTGTAACAGGCCAGCTAAATATCTTTTCCTCAAAACATTAATAAAAATGCATGCTAAATACAAATATAAAACATTGAACAGTTAGTATCTATTAATAGAAGCAAACAATTTTCAGGAGCAAAATAACAAAATTCTGCTGGAATCTGGGCATAAAATTCTTACACTAAAAGTACATTTACTTAGTATTGGGTAGAAATATACTTCAACAAATTGAGATAAACTGCTTTAACACTAACATTTAGAAGTTTTGACTAAAATGTAAATCGAATATATTATACGTTCAGCATTCAGTTATAAGATTAATACATCATGACAAAGTAAGATTTATCCCAGAAATGTAAAGATGGCTAAACATTAGGACATCTTTTGATGTATTTCACAATATTGTCAGATTAAAAAATATCCCAATAGATTCTGGAAAAAATTAATGAAACAGTACAACTATTCACACAAATTCTTAGGCTAGAAGTAGCAAGAAATATCTTTAATTTGATAGATTAATGTCTTAGTCCCTTTTCTGCTGATGGAACAGGATATCACCGACTGGGTAATTTATAAAGAATAGAAGATTATTTGGCTCAGAACCTGGGAAGTCGAAGAACATGGCCCTGGCATCTGTGAAGGTCATCTCATAGCAGAAGGGCAAAAGAGCATATGAGAGAAAGAATTAAGGGGCTGGGTTCACTTCTTTAACAATCTGCTTTGAGAGAACATCAAGGGGGAAGGTTACGTTGAGAGAAATGAAGGCAAGAGAGAGGGGACAGGCATAAATTGGAGGATTTAGATGTGATGAGGTAAAAGCAGATTTTCTGTTAATGAAGGAGAGAAGAAATGAGAAAGTAGTGAAAGGAGGAAAGTTAAGTTTCAGAAATGCTGACATTAATTTTTAGTGTACTGGCAGTTTTTAAAAAAGAATTACTTCAATATGAGCAAAAATTTGGAAAGAAACGCTTCAGATACCTTTGCTATCTTAACTCAGAAACCTGTACAACAGGTCAGGCGCGGGTACAGTGGCTCATGGCTGTAATCCCAGCCTGGGCATCTCAGCAAGACCCTGTCTCAAAAAAAAAAAAAAAAATATGAGTTGCATTTAAAAAGACTGTTGTACAGATTTTTTTTTTTTTTTTTTTTTGAGATGAGGTCTTGCTGAGACGCCCAGGCTGGAGTGCAATGGCGTGATCTTAGTTCACTGCAACCTCCACCTCCTGGGTTCAAGCGATTCTTCTGCCTCGGACTACAGGCACGTGCCACCACGTCTGACTAATTTTTGTATTTTAGAGACAGAGTTTCACCATGTTGGCCAGGCTGGTCTTGAACTCCTGACCTCAAGTGATTCACCCCCACCGGCCTCCCAAAGTGCTGGGATTACAGCCATAAGCCACTGTGTCTGCGCCCGGACTGTTGTACAGGTTTCTGAGTTAAGATAGCAAATTGAAAATATATAACTAATTTCAACCTTCTAGCCCCAGTATAAACGCAAGTAATTTTTCCCTTTTTTTAAAAACCCACAGAGATAGAAAAAATAGGAGAGGAGAGAGCAAGACATTTGTCAGCTGAAAAGCAGATAGAAGGGAAGAAACATTTTTAGCAAACGAGAAATCCCAATCTTAAACCAACAGCAGGAAAAACAGAACCAACCTGATTTACACAGCACAATACTCAAAAGGCGCCACAAAAGGAACAATAGGTACCTCTAGAATGGAAGGTAATTGGCTAAAATAAGGAGTCTTGGTAAAAACTGAGAATCAGGAAGATCCATTGTTCCCTCTACATCTGGAGAATATTTCCTCTAGAGAGGGAAAAAGAAACAATCTTTGCATTAGAAGTTGACTGGCCCGCCGGGCGTGGTGGCTCACACCTGTAATCCCAGCACTTTGGGAGGCCAAGGCAGTTGGATCACCTGAGGTCGGGAGTTTGAGACCAGCCTGACCAACATGGAGAAACCCCATCTCTACTAAAAATGCAAAATTAGCCGGGTGTGGTGGTGCATGCCTGTAATCCCAGCTACTTGGGAGGCTGAGGCAGGAGAGTTGCTTGAACCTGGGAGGAGGAGGTTGCAGTGAGCAGAGATCATGCCATTGCACTCCAACCTGGGCAACAAGAGTGAAACTCCAAAGAAGTTGACTGGCCCAGCTGAGGGCAGGGATACTTTTATCAAAAATAATTGGAGTCTGAGGGTAAGTGATCCTACACATACTGAATAATGAATGCTGACACTCTATAAAGGCTGGCAGCAACACCTTTACCTGCTAGGCAGGCAACAGGAAATGTATTCTCTGCGGGAATCTAAATAGCTCAATAGGAAAAACTTCGAAGATACCAACATTGAAAGTCTCCTACAAATAGCCCAATGAGATCACTCTTCAGTGATGCTCTAAGTTGACAGGCCCCATAACTACTCCCAAAGCTTCCAGTCAGCTTTCAAATCCCACTGCTAATCATGAAGAGACATCTAACAAGTAACATATCTGAGGAAAGCATCTAACATGGAAGAGATACCAAAATAGAAAAACAATTTGGAAGAAACAAAAACCAGGAGGGGGGAAAAAACTTATAAAGTAAACTGTCACTAATATTTTCAGAGAGATACAGGAAGACATTGCATCTATGAAACAAGAACAGGAAGCTGTTAAAAACAGAAACAATCAGAAAACAGAAAAAGAACTCGTAGAAAGTAGAGCAAAATGACAGAGATGAAAAATAGGAGCAAAAATCAAATCCAGGTCATCCAATATTCAAACAATGGAAATTCCAGAAAGAGAAGACAGAGAATACAGAAGAAAGGAAATCATGGGTGAAATAACTCAAGAAAATTTCCACACCAGAATGTCATGTTTCCAGATTGAAAGTCCCCACACAGGATGAAAACAAACACATGCTATTAGAAATCTTTTTTTTTTTTTTTGAGACAGTGTCTCACTCTATCACCCAGGCTGGGGTGCAGTGGCACGATCTTGGCTCACCCGCAACCTCCACCTCCTGGGTTCAAGCAATTCTTGTGCTTCAGCCTCTAGAGTAGCTGGAATTACAAGCACATACCACCATGCTGGGCTCATTTTTTTTGTCTTTTTAGTAGAGACAGGGTTTTGCCATGTTGGCCAGGCTGGTCTTGAACTCCGGACCTCAAATGATCTGCCCACCTTGCCCTTCCAAAGTGCTGGGATTACAGGCGTGAGCCATGGCACCTGGCCACTGTTACAAATCTTTACATTATTTCAGAACACTGGAGATAAGATCCTATAGTCTTCAAGGAGAGGAAGAAAACAGCTCATTCATACACAAAAGATTAGACAAATCAGCGCTTTGGAATTCTCCACAGCAACACTGGAAGCTAGAAGATAATGAAGCAATGTCTTCAAAATTCCAAGAGAAAATTTTTCTAATCTATACTCAAATTATCTATAAAAATTAGGGTAAAGTCTTAAAAATAGGTTAGGTACGGTGGCCCACACCTGTAATCCCAGCAATTTAGGAGGCTGAGGTGGGTGGATCACCTGAGGTCAGTAATTTAAGATCAGCCTGGCCAACATGTTGAAACCCCAAAATCTCTACTAAAAATACAAATTTAGCTGGGCATGGTGGCTCGTGCCTGTAATCCCAGCTACTCAGGAGGCTGAGGCAGGAGAATCGCTTGAACCTGGGACGTGGAGGCTGCGGTGAGCCGAGATCATGCCACTGCACTCCAGCCTAGGTGACAGAGCAAGACTCCTTCTCAAAAAAAAAAAAAAATTGACTTTTGATGTATTTGTTTTTAAGAACCTACTCTGTATATTCACCAAAATGAGGGAATAAATCAAGAAAGAGGAAACTGTGGGGTATAGAAAACAAAAGATACAACCCAAAGGAGAAGCAAAGGAAATCTTTAGGATTACCACTGTGCAATGAGTTTAAAAAGGTAACTAGTACAGACTAAAGCAACATGACTCAAGAAGCAGGCGTTTTGAGGTCTGTCTTCACAATGTTGTCTGCTGTGTCTTCCTTTTAACCTAAAGGAACTACTGGAAAATATGCTTCACCAACACAAGAAAATATACCAAGAAAGAGGAAGGCCTGAGTCTCAGGATATAAGGAATACATGCCAGGAGAATGGTAAAGGCAATTCCAAATTTGAGAGCAAGAGGAGTCCAAGGATAACACTACAGCAAGTCCAGAAAGCACCAGCCCCATAGAGAAGTCCCCAGGAGAGAGGGCTCAAAGGAAAACATTTAGAATGGCTAGATTACCCAGTATGGGTGGTCTATGGGAAAATGTACTGAGACACTATTATGGGAAGACATGGGAAAAATTAGCAATAATAAAAAAAAAGCACCAACCACATGAAAAAAATCAAGGCATGTTTTACCTGAGGGAAAAATAGCAAGGTAATAGAAAACAAGGAGAGCCTGAGAAACTGTCACAACCAAGAGCAGAAGGAGTCATGACAACTCAGTGTATCCTGGATGTGGTATCCTGGAAGGGGTCCTGGAACAGAAAAAATGCATTAAGCAAAAACAAATGAAATCTGAGTAAACAACAGACTTTAGCTAATAATAATGTTTCAGTATTTATTTATTAGTAGTAACAGGTGTACTATACTAACATGTTGATAGAAGAAACGGTGCAGGGTATATGAGAACTCTATATGTATTACCTTCACATTTTTTCCGTAAATCTAAAACTTCTAAAACAGTTTATTTTTTAAAAAAGGAAGAAAATCACAATACACTTCAACTTTTAGCTTTGAATAATATTTGCATAGGCACAATAATGCAAACACTGATTTAACAAAAAGATTGCAATGTAACTACATTGAAAGGGTGGGGAAGAAATGTGTAAAGCAGAGAGATGGCAGAGTGAGAGAACCAAACTGATTTACCATAAAAAAGATAAGTAGGTAATGCCCAAAATTGATGATTGATAGCAATATATGCCTATTATTTAGAAATGTGAAGGTATATGATGGCAGGAGAAACAGCTAAGACTAGAAAGAGGTTGTCTCTGAGGAAAAGGATTAGGAAAACAGGACACGTGGGACAGAGAACCATTGTTTTTTATTTAGCCTTTTTTTTTTTTTTCTTTCCAGACAGGGTCTCACTTTGTCATCCAGGCTGGAGTGCAGTAGCATGAACACGGCTCACTGCAGCCTCAGCCTCCTGGGCTCAAGCAATCCTCCCAACCTCAACCTCCCTAGTAGTTGGGATTACAGGTGTGAGCCATCATGCCCAGCTAATTTTTTGTATTTTTTTGTAGAGACAGGGTTTTGCCATGTTGCTCAGGCTAGTCTCGAACTCTTGAGCTCAAGCCATCCACCCAATTTGGCCTTCCAAAGTGCTAGGATTAACAGGCATGAGCCACTGCACCTGGCTATTTAGCGTTTTCAATGCTAGTTTTCAGATTATGTGCATGTATTAATTTGATAAACATCAACTAAAATAAATCAAAAGGATGAAGTAGACTGTAATGCATTGACAAGCAAGAAAACTGCCAAATAATTGACAAATCAAAAAGCAAATTCTAGGCTGGGCACGGTGGCTCACACCTGTAATCCCAGCACTTTTGGAGGCCAACGTGGGCAGATCACCTGAGGTCAGGAGTTTGAGACCAGCCTGGCCAATATGGTGAAACCCCGTCTCTACAAAAAATACATAAATTAGCCGGCCATGGTGGCACGTGCCTGTAGTCCCAGCTACTCCGGAGGCTGAGGCAGGAGAATTGCTTGAACCCGGGAGGTGGAGGTTGTAGTGAGCCAAGATCATGCCACTGCACTCTAGCCTCAGCGACAGAGTGAGACTCCGTCTCAAAATAAAAATTAAATTAAAAGCAAATTCTAGGAATGCCACAGAAATAACCCTGATGGCATTACTAAATACAGGTTGGTTGCCATTTTGAAGTTATTCTCTTTTTCAAAACGTGCCAACATACTAAAAATTAACGTCTTCATTTCTGAAACTTAAGTTCCCTCCTTTGACTACTTTCTCAATTCTTCTCTCTCATTCTCTGGTAGAAAATCTGCTTTCACTTCATCACCGCATTGAAATCCTCTAATTTATGCTTGTCACCTTTCTCTTGCCTTCATTTCTCTCAATGCAACTTTCTCCCTAAATGTTCTCTGAAACCCACCAACAATCCCCAATACTGAAAAAAATCCATCAGTTTTAGGTCATACTTTCTGATGGCTTAAGAAATATATATTTTCTTCAGTTGGCTTCACTGTAAACTCATGATTTTCACTCATTTGAAAATTAGCACTCATCAATAGTCCTTTTACTCATCCCCTCCCTTTTTTTTCCTAAACATGTGCCATTCTTTTTTGGTATCTAATCTTCTTTGGCCTTTCTGCTGACATTACTCCCTGATGGCTTTCTTACTTTGCCAAAACAAAAAATGTCCTGCCTTTTTTTCATCTCCAAATACACTCATTCTTCCCTTTCCTTTTGTGCAGAGTAAGAAATATCCCCACTTCTTTCTGAGACTCTTTCCATCTACCTGACTTCTTTCTTCCCTTAGATATTAGTTTTACCCAGGATTTTTGAAATTTGCATGCAGATTTCAAAATGGATGGATAAATGAAAGAATAAATGAAACTTGCCATCTTAATTACGGTTTCCCTAAATTACCTCCTTTCCTACTTCCACTACAGTGGTTCAGGCCTTTACCATCACTTGGCTGGTTGACTGCTGCTGCATCGAATGTTCTTATAATTTTTTCACTCACCATCTTCCTTCCATGATTTACTATTTCCTCTGGCTTACAACATATTCAAGGTTCTTACATGTGTTTGGGTGGAAGTGAACTTTTCTTTCCCTAATAACCATATTTCTATTTCATCCTTGGTCTCCAGGCTTTTTAAAGGTTTCTCACATTTACTGATAACATTCATTTATCTATAGTAGAGTATCTCTGTAGTGGATGAAGTTCTAAACTTTTGTTGGCTGAATACAAATTGATTTTGACTGCCTGCTTTTTTCCCCTCCACCTCTGATGCTCAGCCCCAGGGCTCCCAGTGTGGATCTCCTAGGGCATACTATTCTGGGAAGGGCTCTTTTTGGTAAGCCTATTTAGACCATAGTCAAGCATAAACTCGTTGTTTTGAAGAAGCCCTAAAGACTGGTGAAATAATCGAAATGTGAGTACTTTGTTCAGACTGAGATGTTAAGTGTTCAGTAACATTTATTGGATATATGATAGCTAATATTTTATAAAGCACTTGCTATTGCTAAGAAATTCACATCATCTTAGTGTCCTTAAGGAGCATCTGAAGGGACACTTTCCATTATACAGATAAGGAAAGTAACTTTTAGAGATAAATAACTTGCTTAAAGTCAATATTGTAGGCTCTTGAGCCAGGATTCATACTGGTGGGCTGAATGTGTAACTGCATTCTTAATCATTCGATTACACTGTCTTGGCTGTAAAACACTGGTTTCTACAAGAAATAACATGGGCATAGTCATTCCTCAAGAGACATACAAATTAGTCAAGGCAGTAATGCCACACAACTATAATGCAAGATAGATCTCTATAATTGCAATCTAAAAGGAACAAAGTGTTACTGGAGTCCTACTGAGAGATCAAGAGACATTCCTTCTAGCTAGGGTACTTAAAAGGATGTGGACTTTAGATTTGGCTTTAAAGTTTAAGGGATGGACAAGATTTAAACAATTGCTGTTAAAAGGGAAAGGTTAATCAGAGAAGGGGTGTCACTAACAAAAACATGAACCAGGAAGGAAGAGAGCATGCTCATGAGACAGGAGCCTAATTTCATTAAAGCAAAAGGTGAGTGAAGTTAAGGGGTAAGAATCAAGACAGGAAAAATAGTTTGAGACCAAATTATGGAGCAAGCATCTGAACTTTATCTGCAGACTGTAAGGAGTCTATGAAGATTTCTGAGCATAGTACCATGACAAGAGTTATTTAGGAAGATCAATTTGGGAGCAGGTTGTAGGACTGGCAGAGTAGAGAGAGACTAAAAGAATAGTTTTGTTTGTTGTTTTTTGTTTTTTTGTTTTTTTTTTGAGACGTTGTCTAGCTCTCTTGCCAGGCTGGAGTGCAGTGGCACGATCTCGGCTCACTGCAACTTCCGCCTCCCAGGCTCAAGCGATTCTCCTGCCTCAGCCTTCTGAGTAGCTGGGATTACAGGCACGCGCCACCACACCCAGCTAATTTTTGTATTTTTAGTAGAGACGGAGTTTCACCATGTTGGCCAGGATGGTCTCGATCTCCTGACCTCGTGATCCACCTGCCTCGGCCTCCCAAAGTGCTGGGATTACAGGCGTGAGCCACCGCGCCCGGCAAGAATAGTTTTTATAGGAGACTCAAGATAGTCCCAGCCACAAGATCTTGACCCTGAGGAGACAGACAATGGAAATAAAATAAGGGCAGAGATTTCAAAAGTGGAATCAGTTCAAGTTGGTCTTAGTGAAATTATGACACCTAAGCAATATAACTCTAAAAACATAAGCATTTGGCTTTGTGTCTCAGTTACAGAAGGCTGGGACATATTTAAAACTACAATTTAGAAATTAAGTTTGGTTTAAAAGCCTGTTGCATTCACACACACACTTCTACACACAAATATACACACTGTATACACATATATAGTGAGAATATTTGAAATGAAGATCTAGAAAATAAGAGTAGGTTAAAATCAAGATAACTCGAGACTGACTATGGAAGCAGTAAGAAGGCAATTTAGTTTTGTTAAATTTTGTCTGACTTAGTTTTTATTAAAGTTACATGTATAAATTTAAAATAGAACTTTATTTTTTCTCAACTCTCTTAAAACGGTTTATCCCATTAACTGACCTTAATAAGAAAATGATTTTCTGTGTATTCACCTTGACTGGCTTCAGTTACAAAGTTTCCATTTTGCCCAGTTAAGAAATACTTAAAATTATTCAATCTTTAGAGAATTTTTTAAAAGTATGTGACAAGAAAGGAAGAAGAGCATTTTAAATTACTTCATGTGCATTAAAAAACTAGATAGTAAACTACAGCTTCCCTATCTTCTACAATCTTATCAGCGTCTGAAGCAACAGTTGGAAGAAATAAGTTCTCTGTATCCCAAAAGATTTCCTAGAATTCTAAATGTTAATAATTAAAACAGAAATCTTGAAATGCTTATCATACATTTTCAAAGAATGTTCACATATGGTTCACACATAAATTTAACAGGAATAATCAGTTCAATCATGATTTAAGCCCTGGATCTCCTAGTTTAGTTGTAAAATTGAGAAAGTTGTTCTAGACAGGTTATAAACTTCCTTCAAGCAATATAGTACTACAATTCATTTATTGTAGATATTGAACATCCACTACTTGCAAAACATTATGCTACAAAGTCTTGCACATAAATTATACCTGCCCTTGAGAGTAACAACTAGGAGTCGCTTTTATTCAGCTTTGATTTCTTCACTGGGTTCAGGATGATAAACTAGCTGTTGGACTTACTCTGCATTTTCATTTCCACAGTAAACTCATTTCATGTGTACAATGAAACTTGGAAAACTTTATTGTATCTGGGTAATAAAAAAGAGTACCAACAATGAAATAAAGGCATTTTGAGATTTATAAATGTAAAACAAGTTGAATAGTTGAATAGGCATTGTCTAAACCTATGCTGTCCATTATCATAGCCACTAGTCATCCACATGTGACAACTGATCAAATTGTAGCCGGTCTGAATGGAGATGTGATGAAAGTGTAAAATATACATCAGATATCAAAAAAAGAATGTAAAATATCTTATAACTTCAATATATTGGATTACATATTAAAATAATATTTTGGAGCTACTGGATTATTAAAATTGTTTTTTACTTTTTAACATTTGGCTGTAGAAAATTTTAAAATTATATATATGGCCCATATTATATTTATATTGTTCTATGCTCTTAAGGACCTTCTCCATAGATTACCATGACCTATCTTCATGGCCCTCATCAAAAATGCAGGAAAATGAACTATTACTCACATTTATCTTGTTGTAATTCCCTTTTATTGCTATTTCCATGTCTGACCCATTATCTACTTTCATTGTTACATGAAACCAAATCCTTCACTGTGAGGGTTAGGAATGATAATTATTTGATTCTGATTTTACATAAGGAAGTGTGTGTCGAAGGGAGGGTGGGTGATTCTATTGTCTCTTTTCTAATACTTTGAAACAGACTATGTCACTCACACATATAATCTACACGTTTCTTGACTAGTGAATATGATATGAAAATGCCTCCAAAGTCCCTGAGCCAGTGACTTGGACTTCCTTTTCACAGGTGTTATTTTCCCACCTAACTACCAGCAACCTCCCTTCCTTTAAAACAAAATGACTTTGACTGGCCTATCTGCAGTCACTATTATGGAATATCTGCTATCTCCCTGACTCTTGTTAACATGACTGCCCATGCAGGGAGCCATGACAAGAAAACTGAAGTAACATCCCTTATTTAAGGCAGAATAATGGAAGTCTCTATAATTCCCTTAAGACATTAAAATTAAGAGCATTTGTAAAGGAATATAACTTTCCTTCTCTACTCATCTGACTTCCTCCTTTAAAGAAAGCTGATTATGTTAAAAGGCTTATGTCATAGTTAAAGCCATTTATAAAACAATTTATATAACGACAAAGGACGCAATTACTTTTGAACCAACATTAATACAATGAATGCAGAAAACTTTACTAGATCTAGATAATAAAGAAAAAAGTTTAAGGAGTAGCAACAATGAAACAAAGGTATTTTGAGATT
This sequence comes from Homo sapiens, assembly GCF_000001405.40. Taxonomy (NCBI): domain Eukaryota; kingdom Metazoa; phylum Chordata; class Mammalia; order Primates; family Hominidae; genus Homo; species Homo sapiens. Next base: position 122,832,493 of record NC_000005.10, on the reverse strand, counting down.
AATATATTAGTATAAAGCTGAATACTTGAAAATAGTTCAGTAGAAAATACAATCAAGGAAATCTATGTGTTAGGCATATTTTTACACACATTTTGTCTTGTTTTACTTAATAGAAGTTCTTTGATTAGAATTGTTTTCCAACATATTTATATTGAAGTTTGATATTTTAAACAAAATATTTTAAAGTAGAAAGGCACTTCAGGAATCAAGACTTTTATGTACTTGTTTTATAGATAAGAGATTTAAGTGATATGCCCAAAGTCATACTAAATGAAACAAGACTGAACAAATGTATGCTGATCCCAAGTTCAGCTTGTTTCACAATATTTTGCTGCCTTGGTCTTTAACTTTTGATCTCATTAAGAAAACAAACAAACGCTAAACTCAGACCTATCCAATGAAAAGATTATATTATTAGCACTATTAATGTTCTTGTTTTACTTATTTGGGATGAAAGCATTTTTATCTGAACAGGAGAAGTGAAGATTGATGGGTGAAGTGTTGAAATAATTAAATCCTGTTTAAATACTGGTAGGTATCAGAGGCTCATATAATACTTGAAATTTCCAGCACACTCATCTTTTAGTAAATGTGGGCAAGGGAAATGGAAGTCTGGAAGGGAGTCTAGAGTTTAATCAAGGCTGAAAATATTTATTATTTTACTTGGAGGTACTGAATATTCTAATGTACCACATCTGAATGGAAGATTTTAATAATAACTTGAATAACCATCCTATGTGTAAACTATACCTTTGTTAAGTAATATACCTGTGGATATAACACTAGGACATCATTATAGTGAAACTATTCTTGGTAAGCCTATCTTTTGCTCAATATTAATGGAGCAACAAGATAGCATCTGATATATATTACTATGAATTATTCGTTTCTGAAAAGTATTCCCAGAAGCAACAAAAGATGATTGTACTATTTCTGCTTCAGTTTCTTTTTAGAAGAGCAAACTTTTGTTTTCCCTGTTCAACTCATCAAGTCTTCATTTTTTTTAGAGACAGGGTCTCACTATGTTGTCCAGGCTGGCTGTAGGTTAGTGGGTATTCACAGGCACGATCATAGTGTACTATAGCCTCAAACTCCTGGGCTCAAGAGATCCTCCTGCCTCAGCCTCCCAAGAAGCTGGGACTACAGGCATGTGAGTCACTGTGCCTGGCCCATCAAGCCCTTATTATTAACCTATTATGTATCAGCCACTCTTCTGGGCTGTGGGAGTATAAATATGAATAACACCTATAGAAGGCTTAACATTTCAACTAAAGCAGAAGCAAACACATGCTAAGGATACTTCGATATATAAATTGTATCCAGTGACTCACTAGAGATGACTTAGTTACACATACCATATCTTGTTCCTATGGAAGGGATATGTGGTGGTTAAGCTCAAGAAGAGGGGTGTTTGTAAGAATATTTTTTAAAAAACAAAAATAGCTCTGACACCAGTCATCTTTTTTTTTTTTTTTTTTTTTTTTGAGATGGAGTTTTGCTTTTGTTGCCTAGGCTGGCGTGCAACGGCATGATCTTGGCTCACTGCAACCTCCACCTTCCTGGTTCAAGCGATTCTTGTGCCTCAGCCTCCCAAGTAGCTGGGACCACAAGCACACCCCACCACACCAGGCGAATTTTTGTATTTTTAGTAGAGATGGAGTTTTACCATGTTGGCCAGGCTAGTCTTGAACTCCTGACCTCAGGTGATCCACCCACCTCAGCCTCCCAAAGTGCTAGGATTACAGGCGTGAGCCACCACACCCAGCCATGACTTAAATTTTCATCAGCATTAAGGATTAGATAACAGCTGTCTAAGTAGCATACAGAATGGGTAAAAACATTGCCCAAGGCAAACTAAATTTCAGTTTACTTCAAATTTGCTTTGTGTTGTGCTTGCTTATTCATCAAATCATGGTATATTTTAACATGGTACCATTCCTTGTCAACTGTGAGCACAGATGATATACTTTTAGTTTAAAAGAAAAAAAACCAAAAGACAAGAATAAATTAAATATATGCAAAGTACGAGATTCTGAAGATAACGAGAAGATGAACAAAATCCATGGGACTTGTAAAAGTATATAAATACATTTTTTTCCTAATTCTTAAATTGGGCACTTGTAATAGAGATGGTTAAAAACAAGCAAAGACAATTATTCTCTTCTTTACCCAAGACAATCAAGAGTCAAATGTTCTTTGATTTATGATGGTTTCATAAGAAAACTTAAGCTTCATTTAGTCATTTAATGAGTTCAGCTTTGTCAATTAAAATAATTAAGGAATCATGGCATCACCTATATACATCTAGAAGAAAAATTTCTTCCTATTAAAAATGCTTTGAAAAGATTCCTAATGTTTAAATACCCAAATAATTTGTTACTAATATTTCACAAGGAATATCATTTTATTACTGTAATCACAAAATCGTAATTTCTGTACAGGAATGTATAAGTGAACATTATTCAAAGCATTGGTAATTCACTTCATAAAGAGGGTAAACATACTACAGAACATATTGTAAAGAAAAAATATTGTAAAATTTTCTGGTCTTGCAGTGCACTATTTAGTGCAAGTATTTAAGACACAATAGTGTTCAATTCAGCAAAGTATTGCAGAATGTCATGCCACAGTCCACTTAATTCAAAGAGGGTCAGGACATGCAGCTTGTAATAAAATGTCAGAGTGTGTGTGTGTGTGTGTGTGTGTGTGTGTGTGTGTATATAAAACCACATGTAATTCATAAAATATATAGTGGTTTATTTAGATGGTTTTAAATGATTTCACTGTGGAATCCAGCATAACTGGAACAACATCCAAGGTCTTCTTAACGGCAACAATCTTATTGCTAGGCAATGGCTTTGGCTTCAGGTAGGAATGCTTCCCAGTATTTTATCAGCTGTGAATGATAATTAAAATATAAGTTATTCTCATTACCTTTTTGTCATTTATATGCATATATCCTGTACAGCATTAAAAAAAAATCTACATAAGCCGGGCTGGGTAGCTCACACCTATAATTCCAGCACTTTGGGAGGCTGAGATGGGTGGATCACCTGATGTCAGGAGTTCAAGACTAGCCTGGTCAACATGGTGAAACCCCGTCTCTACTAAAAATACAAAAATTAGCCTGGCAATGTGGCGCTTGCCTGTAATCCCAGCTACTGGGGAGGCTGAGGTACAAGAATAGCTTGAACCCAGGAGACAGAGGTTGCAGTGAGCCAAGATCACACCACTGCACTCCAACCTGGACAACAGAGCAAGACTCCATCTCAAAAACAAACAAACAAACAAACAAAAACAACATTAAAAAACCATACAAATAGCTAACAATGACTAATATTTACTAACGTCTGGGTTTTTTTTGTTTTGTTTTCTTGAGGTGGAGTTTCACTCTTATTGCCCAGACCGGAGTGCAATGGCATGACCTCGGCTCACTGCAACCTCCACCTCCCAGTTCAAGCGATTCCCTGCCTCAGCCTCCTGAGTAGCTGGGATTACAGGTGCGCCACCACGCCCAGCTAATTTTTTTGTATTTTTAGTAGAGATGGGGTTTCTCCATGTTAGCCAGGCTGGTCTTAAACTCCTGACCTCAGGTGATCCACCCGCCTCGGCCTCCCAATGTGCTGAGATTACAGGCATGAGCCGCTGCGCCCGGCCAATGTCTGGTTCTTAAAGGAATCATTTTAATTTCCTTATCTGAAGTCCGTCAATATATTTCATATATAAATTATTTAAAACATTAATTACTCCTGGCTACTTTTAGTTTTTGATGTAAAATAATGGAGTTCTTTTAATGTACAATTTTTTGTTTTATGCAAAATTTTACACAGAACAGTGTTACCATATATTAAAGCAAATAATACAACTACAATGACCTTTTCCAGCATAAAGTGACAGGATTTCCCAATTCAGAGCATATTGACAGTTTATGTTATTGCTAGACAAAAAAAAATGGGATATAAGGAGGAAGAAAAGAAAATACTGAACAAGAAAAAAAAAAGGACTGGATAGAATTAGCTGTCAGTCTTCCTTGAATAGTCCAGAGAACAGACTGAAATATCAACTGAAGTCATGTTTAAAACAATTCCTTTAAAAACAAGCTTATATGACTTATTTTCATATTTAAAAAAATTTAACTTTATGAGCTGTTTAAATAAAAATTAAACACAATTTGAAGACATCATACCACTTAATTCAAAAACAACCTATTATGTTTTACACAAATGACATTCTAGATCCACATATTTTAAAACTGGAAGGAAGAAATCCTTCAAGATATTAAATTACTTGACCTGTTACTCTAATTTACATTAAAATATACAGGAAAATTTTCTGTGATTATCTTTTTATTTAATATACCATTAAAATCCATGGTAAATGAGATAACTGCCACTTGCAGCATTCAACCACCACCAACCCCAAACAAAATAAAGCAAAAATGAAAACAGTACAGTTTTTTTTTTTAATTCTGAAAAAGTGTTTAGCTTAAGTTCTATTTGTTATGGAAGAGAAGAACTTACTATGAGAATTTACTCAAACAGGTCTGACCAACAAGGAAAACAAACTAGAAAGACAGTGAAAGGGGAAAGTTGCCCATGAGGTTTCTGATGGCCTAAAACTGGGAAAAGTCTATCTCTGCCTTAGTGTTAAGCAGAGGCAAAAAAAAAAAAAACACGTGAGATAGTTTCCGATTAGTTTACCCTTTTATCCTTTACCATCACTGGCTTTCTGTCTTCCATTTCTTATTCTTGAGTTTAAATGCCCAGTTCATTAATCATCTTTTTAAAATAAGAAAGTATACCAAAAACAAATTCTAGAAGTTTAAGTTATAAACAAAAATGGCTTACCTGTTGTTGTGTTTGAACTAGTGATTCTAAGTACTTGATGATAACGGTTTTAAAATCCTTCACTCGTTCTTTCTGTTGAAGTACATTTTAAAAAGTCCGTTAGTAGAAAGCTAAATTCAACTTTACCACAAAATTGCAGCAAAATGTGACCATGTTGTTAAGATAAATGCAAAATTATTATACATGCCTCAAATCTTCCCACTTCTTTTCGAATCGTTTTAGATATCTGTTCAAAATCTCTTTCCCCTTGTTGCACTTTCGCCTCCCACTAATAAAAACAAAGAAATATTTTATGCTTATCTCAAAAAAAAGTATAGTACTGTCAAGACCACTCACTTAATTTAATCACAATGCCTGAAAATCCTGAGAAAGCTCAATATTGGCAATGCACAATTTAGCATCAACAGAAATTGCATTTAACTGTCAACCAATAGAAATGCATGTTAGCTTAATTTCCTTTAATATTCCACAGATTTGCTCAATATTAAGATATTTCAATACTGTACTTAATAAACTACAATGTCCAAAGCTTAATTAAATATAACTAAGAGGAAAGATTTTGGGCATAAAATTCACCACAAAATAAATTATCAGTGCTATAGTGTAATTTTCTTAATTACTTTTTTATATCAATAATTATTTCAGAATATATCAATACTGTTAAATCCAAGGATATGTGTTCTTCAAAATTTATATGCTGATGGAAATATTTTAAATTAGGAAAATTACATGATAAACATTTTAAAAATATTTTTGTAATGGTAAAATGACCAGATTGGAAAAAAATGTGGAATTATGGTCTACTGAAGACCATCAATAAATATTAAATTCAGTACAGAAACAACAAAATGTTGTGATTAGTGAACAATGAAACAACTAAAATAACTGAAGATTTAAGCAATGAAATGATATTTTTCCCACTATGTAACCAAAACACTGGTACATACTCTTCAAAGGGCAGGTACATTTATTTTTAGTAACATAAAGGTTGTCCTACCTCTTCAATTTCCTTATTGAAGCATGGTAAGAAAAGTGTATAAATTATAATAAACTTATACAAATTCACTAAAATACCATATATAATACATATATATGGGGGATAATGTTGCCTGGACAGCTAAATGTGGGAGAGATCTAGCTCTAAAACCATTTTTAGACACAAAATAATAATCTGAAATAAAATTAACCATCTAATAAAAATGTGTAATTATTAATGTAAAGGTTAATTTTAGCTGTTTTCCTTGTATGCTTCTTTATCCATTCCATAAGTAATGAAGGGCTCTGGAGATTTTAATAATAATGATCAAAATGTTAAAGTAATTCTAACACAGTTCATAAAAATATGCAAAAATAGCTACGTGTTGAATGGTTTACAAAAAATTATGAAAAATTATGTATATATGAATGACTCATGCAAAACTTAAGTAAAGAGATTAAAGCATTTAGTAATCACCTCTCTTATTTCATTTTTAGCTTGCTGTATTTTATCTGGTTTGTTAGCAACCATCATTTTTGCTTCAGCTTCACGTTTTTTGAGCAAAGTAATTTGAGCATCTTCCCATTTCTGCCAGCACTTCATTCGATGGTCAAACACACCCTATAAGTGAATGACATAATGCTATTAAGTAAGAGTAACATTTAAAATACTTTCTTAACACTAGAAGTGTTATAATACTGAAAACAATAAAACCAAGTATTTAAGTTCTATTCTAATATACTAAGATACTGAAAGTAAGTATGCCAATATCAAAGAAAATAATCTCCATATTCATTTGCTTAAAACAAAAAAACCCTGTCACTGGATGAAACATGTTCAGAATAAAAACTACATTCAAAACCCATTTCATCACTAGCCTTTAGGGCTTTAAATATGGTTTATAAGATTTATAACAGCGTTTTATGCTTTGAAGATGTCTTTAATAGGAAAATGCTAGTGTCATACCTACACTGGAAATTTTCCCGCTAAATAATATTAGAAGCATATTAAGTATTAGAAACATGTCTGAAATTGAAAAGACAAAATGGGAAAAACTCATAAGATATGTGGTAGAAGAAATTACCATAGCAAATAAAAAAAGGCAAAGCAATCAAAACGTAAAATATAACAAAATGAATAAAAAGACAGTCTTAAGATGAAAAGGGCAAAAGATGAAGAGGACTATATATATTTTTTATATATACACTGCAGAACTAAAGAAATAGACAAAAAGATCCTAATACAATAAGTCAACCAAATCCATGACTTCTCTCAAGGAGTCTGGCAGAGCAAGGGCAAGTGAATAGAGAAAAGAAATGAAATATGGACAAATTAGTGTAATTAGAAGTCTCATGAAAAAAATGATGGATAGGATGGGAGAACCCACTAAGAATCCTCTTTCTGGCTTGATGTTAGAGAAATATTAAAATTATTTTAGTAATTACTAATCAAACATTCATGAAGTAAATGTTAATAAATTGGGTGAACCAGGAAGCACTAAACCCGAGTTATTTTAATTTATTCCAAATAAAAAACTTTTTGAACCATGAAGCAGTAAAAATACATGTTCCTATAGGGATCTGAAGAGAAAAATATGTAGGTAGTATATTTTTAAAAAGCAGGCTTTGGAGAAAATCAAATTTGGTTCTAATATTAGTTTTGTCACCGTATGACCATGGGTAAATTCACTGAACTTCTCCAAGCTGTAATGATCCCAAATACGAAAGGTGGGAAGTGATGTCTACATTTATGGATTAGAAATAACATAAGGAGTATATTATTGCATAGTGACTTAACCTAGTGGATGCTTAATAATCAGTAGGTACAGCCATTATGGATTACTTCTAAATAACATACACATGTAAATGTAGTTAACTGTTAAGCTTTCTATACCAAAGTGCAAAGGATAGGTTAGTATTATGGAAAAAATGTATAACTAAAAAGCATTTATATCATATGGCAATTTTTAAAAATGTGATAATAGCATTAAAAAATCCAATCAACCAGAAACCAAAGCATTTTTCCAAAGGAATTCTTAAGGATCGTGAACATTTTAAATTAACCAGGACAAAAGATATCCAGGGCAAACTGGCAGTCAAAGCACCTTATCTATGGGTATTTAAATCCACTTTGCTATATTTAATTTGTCTTCTCAGATAATTTTTCTTACATTATTAAGTGAATCTTACTGTCTCCTTTGTCTGCTTTTCTTATATTTAAAATACCACGTTTTTCCTAAAACATCCCTTATTAAAATCCAAAAGTAACATATCTAACACAAATAGATTCAGAAAAAGTCACTATCATTTAAAACAGCAGTGTTCAATGCTTTGGCTTCCCTGGGCCACAATGGAAGAAGAATTGTCTTGGGCCACACATAAAACATACTAACACTAACACTAAGTGATGAGCTTTAAAAAAAAAATGTCATCAGTGTTTTTTACAATTTTCTTTTTTTTTTTTTTTTTTGAGACAGAGTCTCGCTCTGTTGCCCAGGCTGGAGTGCAGTGGCGCGATCTCAGCTCACTGCGAGCTCCAACTCCCAGGTTCACGCCATTCTCCTGCCTCAGCCTCCTGAGTAGCTGGGACTACAGGCACCCGCCACCATGCCCAGCTAATTTATTTTTATTTTTAGAAGAGACGGGGTTTCACTGTGTTAGCCAGGATGGTCTCGATCTCCTGATCTCATGATCTGCCTGCCTCGGCCTCCCAAAGTGCTGGGATTACAGGCATGAGCCACCGCGCCCGGCCATGACATTTTAATAAAGTTTGTGAATTTGAGTTGGGCTGCATTCAAAGCTGTCCCCGGCCGCATGTTGGAAAGCTTAACACAAACAATCCCTCTCACTTCCTACACATACACACACACACACACACACACACACACACACGACCACATGTTGGAAAGCTTAAGACAATCCCTCTCACTTCCGACACACACACACACACACACCCACATACACACGACCACCAAAAAGTAATGTAAGATTTTAGACCTAGTCTTGCTTTAGGGGAACAGGGCCATATCTTTTCTTCATTTATAAATTCCTCTGTTCAGTAAAAATTTGATTCCTTAAAATATGTACCAATACAGGGAAAAAGCTAATGAACATGCCCTTTAATTCAATATTTGCTTAAGTTCTCAATGTATACATCAACCGGCTTTTCCATTGATATGCTAAATCTAAACTAATTTGGTCCCTGTCCAATTTATTATCTCATAGTATTCTAGAACCAGGACATGTTTATTGTGGTACAGATGTAGGAGCTATGATAAAGGTAAGACTACTAAAGTCAGGTTATTTCAGGAAAAAAAAATTAATCTTAAATATACAAATTAACTTTTTCTTCGTTTGTTTTCTTTCCTTTGTAACAAAATAACAGAAAATAAAAAAGAACCAGCACCAGTCAAACTTCTAACAATGCTATATTAAATCAATTAAATCGTAACAATGTGTCCCTTTGTATGTCAAGATACTAATCCACTCTAGTAGAACCATTATAAGAGGGATAAGTTTACACGGATCATCCATTTAGGACCTCCATTACTCTGCTAATTTATGGCATACATTTGTATGCAAGCTGCTCTCAGTTAGACAAGATTGCAGATGTCTAACAGTTTTTTTGGCCCATCAGGAAATTTGATGCTACAATTTTAATTATTATCATATTGTAATTCAGTTAATCTGAAAATATGCTGCCCAGCTTCATGGAGTTCTGAAGAGGTGCTGAGTATTTATAGCCAAAGAATAAAGCGTTTAAACCCCTTGGGGAATCCATCTTTTAGTTAAATACATTTTTTTAGTATGTTTTATAAATTGGGATCCCCTACAAAAATTATTTATGAAGAGTTCTAGTGCTAAAAACATTAAGAACCATTGCCCTCAATCTCTGACCCTACTCTAGTGGTTCAAAGAAGCCCAATACATGACAATGCTTGTAAGGATACAGCCAACTCTTATAGTTCTAAATTGCAGAGACCATGTACTATACAAAAGAGGAAAACAGGCGTTTCCTGACACAACGCCAGGCTTAGGCAATATTTTGAAATGGGTAAAATGTAGCTTTTTCTTTAGTGTTCCAATTCCTGATGTTTTTTGATCCTAACAATGGCTCTATATTAATCCCCAAAGTATTCCTAATTTGAAGAACTATCATCAGAAAAGTACGCTCGATATGGATAAAACCAAAGGTTAATTAATATTAAGCACCTATTCGAAATAGATAATAACCAAACAAAAACTGGGCAAAGGACATGAAGAGTTCATTCACAGAAAAAGAAATGTAGGGCTGGGTGCGGTGGCTCATGCCTGTAATCCCAGCGCTTTGGGACGCCGAGGTGAGTAGATCACGAGGTCAAGAGATAGGCCATCCTGGCAAGGTGAAACCCCGTCTCTACTAAAAATACAAAAATTAGCTGGCTGTGGTGGCACACGCCTATAGTCCCAGCTACTCGGGAGGCTGAGGCAGAATTGCTTGAACCTAGGAGGCGGAGGTTGTAGTGAGCCAAGATTGCACCACTGCACTCTAGCCTGGCGACAAAGCAAGACTCCATCTCAATAAAAAAGAAAGAAAAAGAAATGCAAATGGTTTATCATTTGTAAAGATGTCTTGATTCACACTAAGTAAATGGCAACTTACAAAACAAAAAACCTTCATTCTTGGGTGCTAGTAAAAAGAAACATGTAGGTTTAGGTAGGTTAGGGTACAAAGTAAAATCTTTTTGAACAGTAATTTGGCAATACTTATTGAAATTTAAAATGCATATACCCTCTGGTCAGCAATTCTACTTATAGAATCTTTATGTCCAAAGAGTTATCAAAACACTTGATTTTTTAAAAGACTAGACTATAATTCAAGGTATATCTAAATGTTATATGATGGAATGCTATACAACCATTAAAAAGACATCTACCGGCCAGGCGCAATGGCTCACGCCTGTAATCCCAGCACTTTGGGAGGCTGAGGCAGGCGGATCATGAGGTCAGGAGATCAAGACCATCCTGGCTAACACGGTGAAACCTCGTCTCTACTAAAAATACAAAAAAATTAGCCAGGCATGATGGTGGGCGCCTGTAGTCCCAGCTACTCGGAAGGCTGAGGCAGGAGAATGGCATGAACCCGGAGGCGGAGCCTGCAATGAGCCGAAATCACGCCACTGCACTCCAGCCTGGGCGACAGAGCGAGTCTCCGTCTGCGAAAAAAAAAAAAAAAGGACATCTACTTATGTTGATAGGGAGACCGCCCTATTAAGTGGAGTGGGTGTAAAAAGCAGACAAAGAACACTACACACAGTATATTCCTTTTTGAGAAAGGAAGGGAGGGAGAGAAGGGGATGGAAGGAATAAATGGACAGAGGGAGAATTAGCTTCATGTACATGCATAGCTAATTCTGTAAAGACACACAAGAACCTAACAGTTTATGACTGAGGTCAGAGACTACAGGTCTTAGTTCTGCAGGCAAATTTACCTTGCTGAGCTATTAGAACTATCATGTATGTGCATTATTTTTTCAAATACAAGTGAATTAGTTTAAAATAAAGAATAGGACAAAAACAAAAACCATAAAAATTACCTGTCACCTCCTTCCATAATATCTTAATTCCTTTGTGTAGTTGATCTGGGCTAGGTTTCAGTAGAAACTAATCTTAAAGAGCTTAATTTACCTGAAGGCAACTTCACCACAGCTCTTTAACTCTTTTAGTCAATGAATCATTAATTCAGTATTTCCACAAATGTGTTCCATATATGTAAATAGATATTTGGTGGAAAATAATTCTTGTTCAAATGAATTTAGAAGCCTCTGGATTAAAATTTGTTTTCTTTTTCACTCCTAACCAGTTCTGAGCTTTTAAAAGGCATTCTGAATCTCGCAAACAGGGATACTATATACATAACTTCCCAAACTTAGCTAACTGTAATCCATCTTTTGGTGCCAGTGTTCTATAGAAAATATTTTGGAAAACATGAATATAACTGTAATTTCAGGAAATACAGTAACACAGCAAAAAGACTTAGGGTATGAGGAAAGCTATTTTTGAGGGATCAATATCCATTACACAGGCAGGCCATCACTGCCAGGGGGTCTTTTTCCAGGTTAGCTCTTATTAGCAGATACGTATTCTTTTTTTTTTTTATTTGAGATGGAGTCTCTGTCGCCAGGCTGGAGTGCAGTTGCGCAATCCCAGCTCACTGCAACCTCTGACTCCCCGGTTCAGGTGATTCTCCTGCCTCAGCCTCCTGAGTAGCTAGGATTACAGGCATACGCCACCATGTCCAGCTGATTTTTGTATTTTTAGTAGAGCCGGGGTTTCACCATGTTGGCCAGGATGGTCTTGATCTCCTGACCTCGTGATCCACCCGCCTCGGCCTCCCAAGGTGCTGGGATTACAGGCGTGAGCCACAGTGCCCGGCCCAGATATGTATTCTTACAGACACTGCCCAACTCCCCTTTTTTGACCCACGGGTTTGTTGGAAGTGTCACACTTTTTTACAACAGGTCTCATGCTATTGGGTGCTCTGGTAAGAAGTGAGAGTAGGTGGGACAAATCTGTAAACTGGATCTCTGTACATCACAAGCTGCCTATATATAATGAAGTATATATACTCTGACAATTGCTATGTATATTAACATTTCTAAATACTGAGAAATTAATCACCAACAGCATTAGGAACATTTAAAACGGTAAAATACAAGTAAAATTGGTAATTTTACCAAATAAAAGAAAGCACCATTCTGAAGTGCTAAGAATGCTCTAGTAATAAATGTCACCAGTTGCTTAAGAACAGAACCATCAATAAATATGCTCATTGTAGATGAGTATTAACTTGATCACAGACTTTAGCTGAAAAAATTTTGCATAAGAAAGAAACAAGATCTCATTAACTTTCTAGATGTTTAAATTCAAGGTAAAAAGTAAATACCCAGTACCCCTCAAACCCCATGATAACTAATATCCATAACAAAAATTCAAAGATCTTAAAGTATCTTCTGAAACATGATACACTGGGTAACGTTCAGTTCAGTTTAACTGTCTGAAAACTGCAGATATCTGCAGAATACTAATTTTTACTAACTGGATTACTTTCTCAACTATTCAGAAATTGGACTATTATATAAGTATTACCATTCAATAACACAATTTATGATCTAATCTAGTCCCATCTCATCTATAAACACATGGTGACTACATATTTGAGGATACAAAGTCTGATTACATCCAAATTTATGATAAAGCCCCCATTAAACATATTCACTGCAATAATCGTTTCTGGTTTTATCCTATTTATTACACAGTCAGCTTTACTAATGATAATAGAGTCCGGTGAGTAGTTTCAGTTAGTGCTAGAACGAGCAAACAAATGCTATTAGTTAGTTCCAAACTTGTATAAGCAAATACATAAGTAAATGTATAAATGTTTTCTATCTTATCTGTCATTCCTTAGACCTGTTAAAAACATTAATTCTATCTATTGTACTGTGCAAGTCATAGGGAAGAAAGTATTAAGTTATGTATACTTATCTTGAAGCCATTTTATTCATGCTAGTATAGGAGGAATTTAGACATGTAAATACATAATTAATAGGAAACAAAATACTTTTTAAAGTACACGACACAAGTGAGAAGCATGCAAGAAAGGGCTTACTTTCACTGCAGCAATAAGACGAATGTAGTCACTAAGTAGTTCTGAAAACATATAAAAGTCAGCAAAAGCTTGTTCTTGATGTAACTGGTCTATCTTCTCCTCAACCTCTGCAAGCTGAGACAAAGCTCTAGATAAAGCAGTATGATCCTCAGAATTACCTAACATGGCAGCACTTTTAGCAAAGGCAGCTGTGTTGGCTGAAAGTTCTGAAATTTAAAAAAAAGTATGCAATTTTAGTGTTCACTCATAAAATTTTAAAATATTGTATTGATTTTTCCACTTTTCTCTAAATTTTACTTATGCACAAGTTGCTCAAATAATATTTTAAATTAATTAATATGAAACAATTAGTCGTTAAAATGCCTCAGGCATAAATGCCAAGTGCTCGGAGATCTACTGAAAACACAGACAAATCACTGCTTATATTCCAAAGGGATGAACTATGTTTAAATCATTTAATATAAAAATCTGCCTCCTGTTTTTTCTCCCACAGTGTTCACTGTTTCTCTGCCCATTCCTAAAAATGAAATATATTTTTAATATGAGAAGAACTGGTAATACTCACAATTGATTTATACCACATTTCTGGCCTTTAAACATTTGTCATTGAAAATAATGTCTATAATTTTAATGAGAATATTATTTAGCTAACAGGAGCAAAGGTAAAATTATATACACAATTAACATAAATTTTACTGTTAGTTTCTTTGTTGTACAACAATCTCAGTAAAATATTAGAATTTCTAAAAAGATTTAGAATGTGATCATTTCAGATATTTCAAATAAAGAAAAGTAGATGTTTACAGGCTGAATACTGTCAATGACTAACAATTACACTGCGTGGAAACTGCTCCGTTGCTCTACATTATGTAAAGTTCTCCAAAAAAGCCCATTCCCTAAGAGATATATATAATTCAAATGGCAAAAGCTGTTACAAACTACTTTCAATAATAAATGTATTAATAAGTTTCTATAATTATTTTAATAAAATGTATTGCTGGTAATGTTACATATTATTTGCTTATTAAATGTCTTAGACAATTGATATTTACATTGTTGGATTCTTTAAAAAACCAAAAAACTATAATTTCACTGTGGATTAAAATATTACAACTCAAATTTTCTATGAATTTTTAGCAAAACCTCCAGGTTTTTCAATATTGCAGTTCAAAAATGAAGAAAATACTTCAAAGGGTTTTACAGGAAATAGACACACAAAACAAATACTTTCCAAAAAATTTTCAAAAAGCAATTTTCAAATCTCAAGTTTTTTTATTATAATCAAAGTTACTAATTGATAAGACCTCTTCATCCATTTAACTGTAACTATACTTAACAAAAAGTTAATCAAGTGACCAAGTTTTAATCCAAAATTCAAATATAGTTTTCTTTGTTCTTTTTTTTAGCTCACATCTGTACCAGTTAACAAATAATTTTCTAAGCTCGTTATTTTTCTACTTCTAAACTAGATAGTAAAGCAAAATAGAACAAAAAAAATTTACATAATAAAGTTGAACTAGAAAACATTGTCTTAAATGATTGTTTTCTCTCTTCTGCAATAACTTCAGAATATTTATTTTCATAAAATTTAAATAAAATATTTTCATTAGTTTTATGGTGCTAACTACGTAAGTAGTAAGGCAAACAAACCTTTTCTATGACAGACCAAGGCTTCAACACTGACATGAAGTTTCCTAAGTTGCTGATCCAGATTCTCAAATTGCTGCTGCTTTTCTTCAAACCACTAAGAAAAAAATGAAAAATGGAGCTAATTTAGGAAGAACAAACCATTGTAAATTAGGTTACCAATAGCAAGCTAAATTCCTTGTTTTAAAGCAACAAATTAACCTTATAACCATGGTGGCCAACTGATGTGGCTGAGAACTAAACTCAATAAGCAAATTAATATCCTATTTTCCACTTGTACAGCTTTAAAATGCAATTGTTGGGCTCATTAATTCATCTCATTATTCAAGCCGAAAAATCAGCTCTTACTGCATCCGATTCATTCATCTTGATTGTCATTTTGTTGACAGCGTCGGCAGCCTTGTTCACCATCCTCAATATTCCTGCTCCACTCAGAGCCTGTGTATTAACTGCTCTAGGCAGCTGGAATTGAATGACAAATAAGGGCAAACAAACCGGTTAAAAGCCTGGAGGTTTAACTAGGCACAAAAGTGATCCCCCCTCCTCCCCCCTCCCCCCCACATACAAATTTTAAAAAAGAGGTTGTATTTTCTTCACTCTCATACATTTCAATAGTGAGATCTAATTTCTCAAATATACTACTTGTACATTCTCAAAGGAAAACTTAAAAAATAGACTTTCCATTTGCTTTTCTTCTGCACGTTTACATTTAGATGGAACAAACACCCTGTTTGTCAAAATATATTAAGAAATTGCCAAGTACCCTAACACTGGCCACCTGTTTGCTAACAGAAATAAACCGTTTATAAGGAAAGAAGAAAGTCTTGAGAAAAATCTCCTTATGCTCAGTTAGCTTTGTGTAATTTTGAGTTTTTTAAAAATTCTGCAACTCAAGTAATTTAAAGAAAAAAATGCAAACTAGAACTCAAATTGCTCTTAGGAGCCAAAAATATACCAAACATTTCAAATAAAAAGAGCATCATGTTTAGAATTTAGGCTCTTTCAAGTCACAAATTTGCATTTCAAAACCTTAATAAGGATACCAAAATGTAGACAAGCAAATACACATTCAACTTTCTCTTTCTCTAAAATGAAGTCTGAATAAACTTATTTCAACATGATGCCTGAGGAACAACTTAGGGCATTCAGAGTTAGACTACTTATAAATCACTCTCTTAAATCTTGTTTTAAGTATTCAAGAAAGGGACTAATCACCCTACAAGTATCAAAGCAAAGATATTTTGCTACTAATTTAGCAGGGTAATTAAAGCACTAAGCAAAACATAATAATAATAATTGCTTTATTCCATCTATTAACTCAATTATTTACTATATATAGTCATATACATTACAATGACAAATAACGAGAACATTCATATACAAACATTTAATATAGAAATAATACCTCTGAACTTTCCAAGAACTGCCTTAAATCAGGATCCTGTAGTAAAGTTGGATGTTTTACTGTTCTTTGAAGATACCTAGATTTAAGAGTAAAATTGCTCCTTTATCAGTAGCATCTTGAATTACAGTTCAACAAAATGATAAAAAAATAGAAATACTAGGAAAAAAAAGTGTCCTCACTACCTCGTATTAGACTACTCTCACTGTAATTACTTAGAATCTTACAGCAATTTAATAATTAAAAAGGTTTTTGTTCATCTTTTGAAAATTGATATACTATCCAGTTTTCATAATTACGTAAAAAGAGAAATGGCAAGGGGTGGGAGTGGGGAGAGGTTAAATAACTTACCAAACTTCTCATTGCAAAGTATTATGTTGCAAAGGGGTATGTGAGTTTGTTGCATCATTTTATCTTTGGGTGGAGTCATGTTCTCAACTATAATTTTAGAGTTCTAAGAAACATATTAATATTACTATATATATTCCACTCAACCAAGTTTTAAACTGCTATTATCATCAGAATGGGGAAGAGTCTACCAATACTTTTTTGCGTGTCAGCATATTTAAATGATCACAATTAGCTTTAGTCCTCACTTGACAAGAACTAAATTTTCTTCAGTATTTTCCCCATACCTCTTCAAAGGTATTTATTCAGTATTTCTATTTTTAAGGTTTTGCTGTTTTTGGTAAATGTCTTATCTAATTTGATACCATACAAAATCAAATAAACGAATACCACATAAAATGAATAAAAATGAAAAAGTTAGAAATACCACTATGAAATCAATTTCCCTTTATTAGAAAAGCTCACATGTGCCTGTCACCCATAATAAATTACCAATCATGACTTCATAAAAGGAAATAAGGTCAACTATTTGATGATTCTCGATTACTCATCTAATCCCATTAAAAACAACTGCTATCGGC
Source organism: Homo sapiens (assembly GCF_000001405.40). NCBI lineage: Eukaryota > Metazoa > Chordata > Mammalia > Primates > Hominidae > Homo > Homo sapiens. Next base: position 122,815,045 of record NC_000005.10, on the reverse strand, counting down.
TGGGCGCGGTGGCTCACGCCTGTAATCCCAGCACTTTGGGAGGCCGAGGCGGGTGGATCACGAGGTCAGGAGTTCAAGACCAGCCTGGCCAAGATGGTGAAACCCCATCTCTACTAAAAATACAAAAAATTAGCCGGGCGCAGTGGCAGGTGCCTGTAGTCCCAGCTACTCAGGAGGCCGAGGAAGGAGAATCATTTGAACCTGGAGGGTGGAGGTTGGAGTGAGCCGAGATCCTGCCACTGCACTCCAGTCTGGGTGACAGAGTGAAACTCCGTCTCAAAAAACAAAAAAAAACCTGCTATCTTTCCCCAAGTTAATAACCATATGCAGTAATATTTCAGTTATAATATTTTTCCTCGCAATAACATATTTATTTTATTTCTTTAGAATAAATGTAGTCAGTAATTTCTTCTACCTTTTTATAAGATTATAAAATATGCCTAAAATTAAGGTTTCCAAAAAAGTGATAATCTTCTCTAAAGTCAAATTCTATACATTGATAAAAATGACTATTTTATCAGTATCAAAATGTTAACTTCTGTTTTTATATATTTAAATAAAATATACAGCATACTAAACTTCGTTTTAAGTCAGTAGCCCACATAAGAAGTCATTATACTAGAACCAGAGCATTTAACAGGTATCTTCGATACAATCTATGCTGGGTTTAAAAAAATTTTTGCTACCTATATTATGAAGCCAAAAAAGGGATGCAGCAAGAACACTAATCCTGCAGGTTTAAGAAATGTTGGTATTTCCCCACTTGAATTTGACTTACAATTTTAACACTGAAGTTCTCTCACAATATATCAGATAAGTTATTTCGTTGTTTAGACTGAGTACTACTTGAAGGCAGTTTGCATAAGTTGCTCATCTCAGTGCATACAACAGCTAGGTAATAGCAGGCACTCAGATACTTGTAAAAAACAAACAAAAACCCAAGAAGGACAAAACATCTAGTACTTAACCTCTAAGAAATATTCTGGCAGGGTGAGGTGGCTCATGCCTGTAATCCCTGCACTTTGGCAGGCAGATCACGAGGTCAGGAGTTCGAGACCAGCCTGACCAACATGGTGAAACCCCATCTCCACTAAAAATACAAAAATTAGCTGGGGGTGGTGGCATGCACCTGTAGTCCCAGCTACTCAGGAAGCTGAGGCAGGAGAATTGCTTGAACCCAGGAGACGGAGGTTGCAGTGAGCCGAGATTGCACCATTGCACTCTAGCCTGGGTGACAGAGCGAGACTCCGTCTCAGAAAAAAAAAAAAAAAAAAAAAAGGAAATATTCTAATATTTCAAACCTAAGTGGAAATACCTTGTATAATTTATATTCTAAAACAGCTTTCCAAAGTGAGTTCTGTAGAATACTAGTCTCACGTACTATTCCATGAAAAAGACTGATTCCATATCAAGAAAGTTTGAAATATATATATATTCCTGTCTTTTAAAATTCATATCAAACAGCATTTTATTAAGTGTTGTGAGAACTCCTACAGAAAATAACCCTAGTTTAACTTTGTTAAATCCTATGTTGACAAAACTCAATTGACTATAGATCTTTTTCATTCTACTACATATTAGCATTCTGAAGAATCAATTTTGAAAAATGATATTCCAGAAAAAGGGAATAAAACTTTCCTTCTCAAGGGCAACATAAAATAAAGCTAATACATATACTAAATACATATACTAAAAAATACATGTATGCATTTTTTAGTTTATATATATGTTTCTCATATATAAGCTTATATGCTTTTATATATATGTTTACATAATGTTGAAATTAAGAACAGAAACATAAAATGGATTTTAAAACAATAAATATTTATAAACATATGCCAATTCGGAATTAAGACCAGAGATGGTTGTAATACAAAGGAAAGACACGGGACAAAAAGGGTAAATGAGTGTAGGAAGAAGACAGGAAAAGAGGTATGGGGAGAAATAGAAACACTGAAAAAAGTCAGAAATAAAAGACAATGGAATTGATCAATATCACATCCAATAAGAGGTGCTCAGTAATTGTTCTTCAAATTTACTTCAAGTTACTGATGAAAAATCACTCAAGGCTTTCAAATTCTTATTTACTTACCAGAAACAAAACAAAATAAAGCAGGTTATATAAAACGCTTGAGAGCAACAGAGTTACAAATATTTATCTTGCTTGAAACTAAAACACAAATGCACATAATGGGAGAATAAAAAGGTAGAAAGAGCCTGGGTCTTGGATAACATTCACTTGTTCATTCAGCAAATACTTACTGAGCTCTTACTACCTATTAAGCACTGTTTTGAGTACTTGGAACACATCAGTGAGCAAAAGGGACTAAGATTCTTTCCCTGGTGAAGCTTACATTTTAGTACAAGATAGACAATAAACTATAAACATAATAAACATACAAATGATAAAGCATGTGACAAGGTGGCAAAAGCTATGGGAAAAAAAGACAGAACAATGGGGTAAATGGGACCAAGTATTTAAGATGTGGTTGGTGGCAATATAAATAGAATAGGTCAGAAGAAAGCCAATGACTGGAATAGGCTTCACTTGAAAGATGTTATTTGAACATACGAACTTGAACAAGGAAATGAGTTAGCTATGCAGATACCTAGGAACAAAGCATTCTAGGCAGAGGGAGCAGGCAGTTGAAAAGACTAAGGTAGGAAAATGCCTAGGGTGTTTGAGAAGCAGCAAAAGGTTAGTCTGGCCTAAAGCAGAGTGAGTGATCACGGAGGATATGAGATCAAATGGGTAACAGAGTGAGGCGTGCAGGTCATATAAAGTCTTGTAGTCCATTAAAAGGACTCTGGCTTTTATTGAGTAAAATGGGGGCATGGGGCCAGCGTGGGGAGGGGTTAAAATGATCTGATTTATATTTTAGAATGACTACTGTAAAGTTCTGTATTAAAGTAGAAGTGCCAAGAATGGAATCAGGGACACCAATTAGGAGGCTACTGCAGTTAATTAACACCTTTGGACTCAGTCAGTAGACTGGTGAGAAAAGGTTGTATTATCAGATATCAGAAAGAAGCAATAGAATTTCCTAATGAATTAGATAATCCTGAACAGCTGCCTACTCCAAACTCTTTGATTTGAAAGAGTGGATTAATTAATCTACATTAACTGTTTAGGCCAGTTGGATTTTTAGATGCTTGAAATGAACACAATCCTGACACACTACATTTTATTTATTTATTTATTTATTTATTTATTTATTTAGAGACGGAGTCTCACTCTGTCGACAGGCTGGAACGCAGTGGCACAATCTTGGCTCACTGCAACCTCTGCCTCCTGGGTTCAAGCCTCTTGCCTCAGCCTCCCAAGTAGCTGTGACTACAGGCACGCGCCACCACACCCAGCCAATTTTTTGTATTTTTAGTAGAGACAGGGTTTCACCATGTTGGCCAGGATGGTCTTGATCTCTTGACCTCGTGATCCACCCACCTCAGCCTCCCAAAGTGCTGGGATTACAGGTGTGAGCCACCGCGCCCAGCCTCACACTTACACTTTAAAGACAAATGCATGTAAGTAATTTACCTAAGGTCACACAGAAAGTGTGTAGTATTAGCACAGGTTTCAACTGAAAAGGAATTATAAATCTTATACACTTATTATTATGCTCTAAATTTCTCATTTTGTATTTGCAGATGTGTATCCTTACCTATAAAATACACTCAATATGATCTAAAGATCTGAAGCACTCTCAAGAAAACCAAGCAAGTGATGTTAGGGCTACTCTTAATAGAAGCAGTCTCTGCTTAGTTTACTGAGTGTGGCACAGGGGAATACTTGGGTATTTAACCACTCCTTTTCTCTTCCTAACCTTTAATACCAGATATTTATCCTTTCATTCAAGGTAGTCATCTGGATTATCTAAGTTTGAACGAATACGTAAATATCATACTATTGAATAAAATAATACGAAGAAAAATGCTTCCCTAACCCACCAGATCCAACTGGGTTGGGTATCCCACAGATGGTACCTGTTTGATGTTTAAAGTTTAAGAAATATCACAGAAAAATCACTTTAGAAAAGCTGGCTATATGAAAGGGCAAGAAAAATGCAGTTTTAGAATCCTGTACAGATTAAAAAATAAATGTGTACAGGAAAATTAGCTTGCACAGAAGAATTAAGATTAGATTAAAAGAAACCATTCCAGTTCCTTTGCTTCTACACCTTTATGCCTATATTTTCTTCAGTGATTTTTTTCTAATTGAAAATGAACTTTTCCCTCATACTATACTGTTTCTTTCTTTTTTTCACTATTGCAAATTCCACTATGGTACCATTTAACAAGTAGCATTTATCAGTAAAGAAAGTGTCTTTATACAAACAGGGTCAAGTTTCAATATCCCTTAAAACTCTCCTCAACATTTCATAGTACATGAAGGTATGGTAAGTACTATGCAATGCAGCCAAGTTGGAAGAAACGTAAAGGTAGAATCAAATTATATGTCCTTGGTACAGTAAATCTTCATTAAGTTCCTTATCAAGCATGCCATCTGAAATACTTCAAATTTACTCATAGAAAAATAAGACTTGAAAGGTCTCTCAAAGGGTCATGGTTACATTTTCAGGAAAGACTAAGCGAAATCAAGGCAGACCATTATCTACCTTTATTCTTTTTTTTTTTTTTTTTTTTTTAATTGATCATTCTTGGGTGTTTCTCGCAGAGGGGGATTTGGCAGGGTCATAGGACAATAGTGGAGGGAAGGTCAGTAGATAAACAAGTGAACAAAGGTCTCTGGTTTTCCTAGGCAGAGGACCCTGCGGCCTTCCGCAGTGTTTGTGTCCCTGGGTACTTAAGATGAGGGAGTGGTGATGACTCTTAACGAGCATGCTGCCTTCAAGCATCTGTTTAACAAAGCACATCTTGCACCGCCCTTAATCCATTTAACCCTGAGTGGACACAGCACATGTTTCAGAGAGCACAGGGTTGGGGATAAGGTCACAGATCGACAGGATCCCAAGGCAGAAGAATTTTTCTTAGTACAGAACAAAATGAAAAGTCTCCCATGTCTACTTCTATCCACACAGACCCGGCAACCATCCGATTTACCTTTATTCTTAAAAATATTCAGTCTATGACCTCTCCTACAATAAAATCAATTCAAATGCCTAACCTAAACTTCTCTTGATGCAATTTAAATCCTTTTTCTGGGTAACTGCAGATTCTCAGACATAATCCCATCTTTAAGCCTTCTCTAAGATTTTAAACTACATATTCTTTAGCTTTTCTTAAATTGTTCAAATCTAACTTCACTGTACCATTTTTCTTGAAATTTAAACAATTTACTACTGAAAACTAGAAATAAGTTGCCTTGAAATAGTTTAAAAAAAAATTTGTGACCTAGAGAAATAGATACCACCCCCAAGACCTGTGCTATTCACCCTAACCACTGATTTTAAGCCAGAGAAAAATAAAGAGCAAGCAAACAAAAAAACCAGTGAAATTAGAAAGTTTCAAGCCTAGGTAATTACCAACTTGTGTCTTAAATGCTGGGCTTTAAGATAATTTATATTTGTTTTCTCACTTTGTCAGCATAGCAAGGAAGGAATAATTCTAAGATTATGGAAGTGTGGTTCTTCCCATCCTCCCATCTGTCCCCCTTTTAGTCTGCTTCAAGGAAGACAAGTCTTCAAAGCTATAGGAAATGTGTAGAGTCAAGTACTCTAAAGGAAAACAGAGCATATATATTAGTCTTTAAGTATAGCTGTCCCTCAGTACCAGTGGGGGACTGGTTCCAGGACATCCTATGGATACCAAAATCTGCAAATGTTCAAATCCCTGATAGAAAATGGCGTAGTGTTTGCATAATAACCTATGGACAGCCTCTCATATACTTTAAGTCATCTCTAGACTTATAATACCTAATATAATGGAAATACTATGAAAACAGTTGTTAAGCTGTATTGTTTAGACAATAATGACCAAAAATGTCTGCACATGTTTAGTATAGATGTAATTATTTTTTTCAAATATTTTCCATCCATAGTTAGTTGAATCCACAAATAAGGCACCCACAGATATGGAGGGTCAACTGTATATAGTCAACTCAAGCAAAGACTAATACTTTTGTACATTCAAGTAAAAATCAATTATACAAACACAAGGGGGGCACAAACTGTACTTCTCACTGTATTTAATAATGTTCTTACTAAGTAAAAACTCATCAGAAAAGTTAATTTAGATGAACTATAATTAGCTATACTATCCAACACAGTACATGAGTGTGGTATAACTTCCCAGAAACCTAAATAAGACCAAAGTGGGATTATTTGCATCCAAAAATTTTTATTTTTCCCCCCATTCACAACTTCCATGTTTTCCAAGTTTAGCAGTTTCTTAGTAACTCTTGGTGACTACCTATGATACAATTCTATCCCCAGCTAACTCATGTCTTTATATGTTTTCTATTATATGCTCCTGCTTGTAGCATATAATAGAAAAACAAGTGTTATTTTGTTAGACTATTGATGAGGATTACTAAAAATTATACAGAACAATTATACAGTACTTTGTTGAAAGAAGTAATTTTCTTAAAAAAGTTTAAAGCAGTCTTAAAAGCCACCAAGTGGTACTTTGGAAAAAATTTAATCATTAAAACACAGTTTTGCCATATAATGGAATTACATTTATATTAAGGTACAAACATGAGAGTAATAAAATATAGCTGTCTAGAATTACCTTTCAAGAGCTGCTCTCCGTTTTTCTACAAACTCAGTGGATGATGAGTCTTCTTTACCCACTTTGACCTTGGTCATCCCTTTGAAGAAGTTGAATGAGATTCATGATGACTTTATATTGCTGTGAAAGTCTTTCATAATCATTTCTTCATAATTTAAAATACACTCAAAATTTGAACTTAACAGCCCTAAACTTGTAACTGGTATCTTATCTAAAAAGCAAAAACGTTTTGAGGAATTAAATCTCATGATACGTTAACATCTTTACTTGGTAAATACTTAAAACATGAGAGAACAGATAAAATGTTTATAGTTTTCTGACCCATACTGCTTTTGTTTACAGAAAAGCTTACATCAAAAAGATCCCTTATCTGTTGTATTTTATACTCCTGGTAAATTAAAATGTGTTTCTAACCCGATATACATAATGGAATTTCAAATCAATAAATTTAAGCTCAATTAACATTTTCATTTCTCATGAGCAATAATTAAAATTCTTTACTTTGGGATGACAAAAATAAAAGTAAATGTAATCCATGAATTTGTTATGTTTTCCCTCCTGCAGATTCTAAGAGCATGTTCTTATTTACTTATCACAGCTGGTTTTACAATGATTGAAAGAAAAAGCTCTTTCACAGAGTCATTTATAACTTCAGATTTAAAAAATAAGTCATGTTAATTACTTCTGTAAGGGCAATTTAATTTCAGGCTGCAGATTTTTCTCTTTTATTCTCCTGTTCTTTTTCCTTTCAAAAATGTATTCTGTGGAAACAAGGTATTGATATATGCTACAACATGAAATAACCTTGAACATATGATGCTAAGTGGAAGGAATTTGTCACACACAAAAAAATCATCTACTGCATGATCCTTTTTACATGAAATGTCCAGAATAGGTAAATACTTAGAGAAAGAAAGTAAATTAGTGACTGCCTAGGGCTGGGGAAAATGAGGACATTAGGGGATGATGGCTAAGGGATCCCAGATTCCATTTTGGGGTAATAAAAATATTCTAAAATTGACTGTGGTAATGTATGCACAACTCTTAATATATTAAAAGCCAGTGAACTGGATACCCTTTTTTTTTTCTTTTTCGAAACACGGTCTCACTCTGTCACCTAGGCTGGAGTGCAGTGGCATGATCACGGTTCACTGCAGCCCCTATATCCCAGGCTCAAGCAATCCTGAGTAGCTGGGACCACCAGCACGCACCACCACACCCAGCTAATTTTTTGTAGAGACAAGATTTTGCTGTGTTGCCCAGGCTGGTCTCAAACCCCTGAGCTCAAGCAATCCAACTGCCTCAGCCTCCCAAAGTGCTAGGATTACAGGCATGTGCTACCACACCCGACCTAGACACTTTAAATGGATGAATTATATGGTATGTAAATTATATTCCAATAAAGCCTTTTAAAAATGGATTATGTAAAACCATACAATTCTTCAGTTTGGTACATCTTCAGTTTGGCACATTAATTAACTTATTAATCACCTATTAATGTTTTATTTAAAATTCCAATGGAATACAATGGCTTCAAAAGGAAAATAAGACACCTAAAACTACAACTACCTCTGACTGAACTACCGGAATTGGGATGTGAATTGTTTCACAAACTCTATTTCCCTGAAAAAAAATCTCACCACTGGGTAGTTCTTCACTGAAGTTAAAAACCTTCTATCCATTCTACTTTTTAGAGGTTAATTGTTAAGGGACATTGTGACCAATAAATAAATAAATAAATAAATAAATAAATAAAACCCCAAACAACCTACCGTAACTAGTTAACTTTTAATACTTTTCAACTTTGTTGTTCTAACAGTTTAAATGGAATAGTCTTCTTAGGTCAACTAAGGTCCTACCAAAGTAGAGAGTTACGTGCTAATGAAGACTCTCCCTTCAGTGGCAGTTATAAAGCTTCCCAGCAAACAGGAGAAGTTATGACTCTTTTTCCATGCTCCCTGCTATAAGTGTAAGTTACCTGAAAACCACCAGCTATGTAATTAGAAGTTCAAAGATTAATTTGTCACCCACCTTTAATAATTATTCAAGACTTCACCATACTTTGAAGAAATTGTTTTGCTTGGCTTCATATTACTATTTGACTACATTTATTTTTTTCCTGATAATTTCTCTATATATAAACTGTATTATCTGTAGTTGCCTGAAATCCTTTTTGGAATGGTGGGCTGTGTGTGTGTGTGTGTGTGTGTGTGCGCGCGCGTGTGTATATATATACACACACGCACACACACACACACACATAAAAGTTTTAAACAGGCCAGGCGCGGTGGCTCACGCCTGTAATCCCAGCATTTTGGGAGGCTGAGACGGGCGAATCATGAGCTCAGGAGATCGAGACCATCCTGGCTAACATGGTGAAACCCCATCTCTACTAAAAATACAAAACATTAGCTGTGCGTGGTGGCGGGCGCCTGTAGTCCCAGCTACTCAGGAGGCTGAGGCAGGAGAATAGCATGAACCCGGGAGACAGAGCTTGCAGTGAGCCAAGATAGCACCACTGCACTCCAGCCTGGGCAACAGAGCAAGACTCCATCTCAAGAAAAAGCAAAAAAGTTTTAAACAATTTAATCCACATTAAATGTATTTCAGTTGGGTGTGGTGACTCATGCCTGTAATTTCAACACTTTGGATTGAACCATCCCTGATTCAACACTTTGGATTGAACCGTCCCTATAGAACCATCCCTACAGATTTCAACACTTTGGATTGAACCATCCCTACAAAGGGGTCTTGAAAGACCAAAAAGTTAAAGAACCACTAAACTCAATTTTTGAATTTAAAAAAAGAAAGAATATAACAAATTCATCTAAATACATTAGGTTCTGAAACTGTAAAGGGTACCAATAACATTGCTTTATAAACCTAATGTTTAAAAAAGTAAAAACAATAATTTAAAAATCAGCAAAATTTGGCTGAGCATGGTGGCTCCAGTCTGTAATCCCACCACTTTGGGAGGCCAGATGAGAGGACTGCTTGGGGCCAGGAGTTTGAGACCAGCTTGGGGGAAAAAATAAATCAGCAAAATTCTTTTTTTTTTTTTTTTTGAGATGGAGTCTCGCTCTTCTGCCCAGCCTGGAGTGCAATGGCACAATCTTGGCTCACTGCAACCTCTGCCTCCCCAGTTCAAGCAATTCTCCCATCTCAGCCTCCCAAGTAGCTGGGATTACAGGCAGGAGCCACCATGCCTGGCTAATTTTTGTATTTTTGTAGAGACAGGGTTTCACCGTGTTGGCCAGGCTGGTCTCGAACTCCTGACCTCAGGTGATCCGCCCATCTCGGTCTCCCAAAGTGCCGAGATTACAGGCATGAGCCACCATGATGGAGCCGAGCTCACACCACTGCACTCCAGCCTGGGCAGCAAAGCGAGACTCCGTCTCAAAAAACAAAAAAACTTTCAGATTAATCTAAGTATAAAGAAAAGTAATGGTAGTGCTCACTTCAGCAGCACATATACTAAAACTGTGAACAATACAGAGAAGATAATTACTTTAAAGGAAAAAAAAGAAAAAGGTAAATAAAAACCTATGACTGAAAAAGCATTGAATAAAATACTACAAAATTTTGAGATGACAGATGTCTTTTAATGGTAGGCCTATGGAGGTTTCCTCCTCTTTTGTAATTTTCTGCAGTTTCTTAACTAAGTCTTTATTGCTTATGGAAGTACAAATGTGGCCGGGCACAGTGGCTCACGTCTAATCCCAGCACTTTGGGACGCCAAAGCAGGCAGATCACAAGGTCAGGAGTTCAAGACCAGACAGGCCAATATGGTGAAACCCCGTCTATACTAAGGATACAAAAAGGATTAGCCAGGCATGGTGGTGTGTGCCTGCAGTCCTAGCTACTCGGAAGGCTGGGGCAGGGGAATCACTTAAACCCAGGAGGCGGAGGTTGCAGTGAGCCAAGATTGCACCACTGCACTCCAGCCTGGATGACAGAGTGAGACTCCATCTCAAAAAAAAAAAAAAAAAAGTAGAAATGTTTTTAAACTTTAAATTGAGGTACGAAATGAACTAAGATGAATTTAAATAGCTCTTATATGAGCCAAGGCTAGTGAGGGTCTAACACCTCCATCCCTTAGAAAAATGTTAACATATTAATAATATTAAGTATTCTCTGATTGTGACTCAGTAAAATGGTAATCTAGTGACCCTAAAAGGTTAGGGCTTCCAACTGCTTTTAACTTCATAAATTTCAACCCAATTTTTTTTTTGAGACGGAGTCTCACTCTGTTGCCCAGGCGTGATCTCAGCTCACTGCAACCTCCGCCTTCTGAGTTCAAGTGATTCTCCTGCCTCAGCCCACCGAGTAGCTGGAATTACAGGCACGTGCCACCATGCCTGGCTACTTTTTGTATTTTACTAGAGACAGGGGTTTCACCATGTTGGCTAGGCTGGTCTTGAACTCCTAACCTCAAGTGATCTTCCTACCCTGGCCTCCCTAAGTGCTGGAATTACAGGTGTGAGCCACCACACACGGCCTCTACCCAATATTTAACATTACTGTATTACATAAACAAAAATCCTCAAGTGTTAGAAAATAAAACTATTACCAATACATTCTTCAATCCATGCATGATTAGTATAAATGAAATACTTAAATTCAGTTATGTCTACACATTATAAAATGTTGACAGTGAATGACTAAGAAATCCACAAATCTATACAGTTAAAACTGAACTAGTAACAGTAACAAAAATTAATTTTTGAAAAATTTGTGCTTACCTACTATACTCTTTTCTGGAGCTGGTGGCACAATATAACCAACATGTAAATATTTGCTTGCTAATTTGCTGTGCAAACCAAGAAAGTCGCTGAATCTTCTTTTCACTGAAAATTCACTCTTACTGAACATGGAAAGAGATGTCTACAAGTGAAGAAGAGGTGTTTCAAATTTTGAATAGCAAGCAATTATTCCACAAGTTAATGTTATACATAATTGTGAACACATACATGTATCTACTTTGCAAAAGAATGCAGAGTATCTAACTAATGTGGTATATAGGTTTCTAACTAAAAAAAAAACCTAAACCATAGATGTATTTTACAGAATCTTAATAGGACAAAAAAGTATTTGCATTATTCTATCTTAACTGGTCTTATTCACTCTATTTACGCTAATAATTCTTAAATCTTTACATCTGGCCCAGATATCTTACAAAGCTTCAGTCCAATATATCCAAATACCCCTCCACTTAAATCTCACCAGCACTTCAAACTTACCCTATTTCCCCCTGCTGGAACATAAGTTCTATAAGATGCCACCCTTGTCTGTATTGTTTACTACTATACCCCAGGGCTTGCAACAAAGCTTGACACCATGGTAGGTGTTTAATGAATATTTATCCAATGAATTAACAACTGTCATCCTCATCCTCACTGTGTTCCTGCCCGTGTTGCCTTTCTCCATGGATCACTCTCACAGCTGCAAAGTCCCTCTAGTCAATAACCTAGGCATCCTTCTCCTTCCTCACCCATTACATCCAAGTCCTGTCAATTCTACCGCCTACATAACTCAAGAAGCCACTTATTTTGCTCATCTCCAGAACCATTTTCTTAGTATAAAGTATTACTGCTTACAGCTAGAACTGCTGTGACAGACATGCTCTTTTAATATTTAAAGGCATACAATCCTTTAATCATTGCAGTGTCCCTTTAACTGGAAATCCTGACCTCTACTTTGACCCTCCCAATTCATACTGAGGCCAAAGAAATATTTCTAAAACAAAAACCTACTTGTGCCACACTCTTCTTTGAACTTCTTTAATGGCTCTCCATTATACTCAGCATGAAGCCAAACTCCTTAAAATGTGGCTGCTCATAATACACAAAGGCTTACTGCCAAACGTTTCAATCATGCATCACTTCTTGGAGATTCTAGAAAGCACAATGCTTTCTTCACTTTTGGCTTTTGCACAAGCAAATTCCTCACCTGGCACAAGCATTCTTCTTCTTCCCCCCCTCCTCCCCATCATTTCCCTCACCTATGTCTTGGCTTAGGCATCCAGAGGTCTAAATCAGGTCCCATCCTGCATACTCTCACTGAACACTACATATCAAACCACTCACAACTCATTGCACCTACTTCTTGGCAATCTTTATTAGGTGGTAACCTTTATAAAGACAGGGATCACTTCTACCTTAATCATAGCCATATCCTCATACTACACATAATGAGGGCTCGATAGTTTTTTTAAAAGCACAAAAAGCTCACCTTTGTTGTTACTCTATATGCCATATAGGCATTCATGCCATCACCTGCAAAAAAAGTCAAACACTACTATTAAAATCACATGCATAAAAATAAAACTCATTTAATACTATATTGATGTATGAAGAAAAACCATACAAAACCAACAAACTAATAAAAAGTAAATACAAAATATAATAAGTATTGACTCACCAACTTTTTCTGGATCTGATACACCAATTTCTATGTCAAAAATGTCTCCATTTGCTTCTTCTTCAATCTAGAAAGTATAAATTATTTTTTGGCATTAAAAATTATAATTTAAATTATTGTCATGACACTAATTTTTATCATCTATTTTCTGTAAGAGTCACTGTCACAACAAATAATTTAGCCACCCAGCACTTCATTTTTGAAAAACAATAAAAACTTTCACATTTCCTGACTTTATAAATAAAACACACACACACACACACACACACACACACACACACACGAAAAAGACCATTTGGAGAAGTAACAATTTTTTTTTTTTTTTTTTTTAAAGATAGAGTCTTGCTCTGCTGCCCAGGCAGGAGTGCAGTGGCTCAATCTCAGCTCACTGCAACCTCCACCTCCTGGGTTCAAGCAATTCTCATGCCTTGGCCTCTCAAGTAGCTGGGATTACAGGTGTCTGCCACCACACCCAGGTGATTTTTGTATTTTTACTAGAGACGGGGTTTCACCATGTTGGCCAGGCTGGTTTTGAACTCCTGACCTCAGGTGATCTGCCCACCTCGGTCTCCCAAAGTGCTGGGATTACAGGCGTGAACCACTGCGCCCAGCCCAAAATCTCATGTTAATTCCTCAGATGTAGAAAAAATGTTTTCGTCTTTTTGTACAAATATTGTGGAATTTTTTGTTCTATATACTGAATCTTCAGATTCAGATTATTAAAAAATTACCTCCTTAATTAATTTTAATACTAGCATTTTTCAAAGTTCTCTCTCTACCCTTTAATACCAAGGAGGTAGGTAGTCATTACTTTTACCAGTAGAACCTTACTTACCAGCAGAAGTGATTATACTGAAAAGCAACTTTAGTATCAAGATTTCTCTAATTATCTAATAAACACGTTCTTCTGGACGCGAAGGAAAGCACTATAAACCTCAGTGAAAAAGCAGTAAGTGGGAAAAATGACAACCCTATGTCGAGACTTCAGAGAAGCCCTTGTAAATGCCATTAAAAATAAGCAATCCAAACATTAGCTCTGCAGGAAAGCTTTGTTATTCTCAAGCACAAAGTTCAGAGATTATTCAACTTTGCAAAATTTTCAAGGCAATTATTAATAGTCTAACACTATCTAAATGCAAAGTGTTTTGAACCATAATTGTTTTATTTCAAGGTTGTCTTCTTGTACAGATATTTTTAAAGTAAAACTTTTAAAAATCATTACATAAAAAGTATATAAATTTTAAGTGTACAGTTCAATAAACCTTTACAAAGTGAACACGTTTGTAATCAGAACCTAAATCAGAAATAAGCATCATCACTACAGCTCAGGAGGCCCTCTTTTGCTTCCCCTCCAGTTACTACCCATTCTTTACCTGCCAACATAACCACTACCCTGACATCTAGCCCTGTACTTTACTTTTATCTGTTTTTAAAGTTCATATATTAGAATTATGTAAGTATTCTTTTATGTCTTACTTATTTCCCTTAATATTATGTTTGCGAGATTGTTTATATTTTTTATGTGGTTGTTACTTAATCATGGTCATTTTAACGACATATTTCCATGAATGACTTTTAAATACATAATTTTGCCATTAAAATAATCTCTGTATAATTTTTCTTTTCCAAATTCACCTTGTCAGAAATTACTGCCAAATCATGAGAATGTACCTTTAACTGATATACATCCTCCCTTCTTTTTCAATATCAACCTTTAAGTATTAACAGTATTTATTACAAATTTTATCAAATAAATTTACTCAAAATATCACTTTATTGTGATTAAGTTTTCAAAGCACTTTTATATATCATCTGACCAACAGAGAAACCCTAGGAAATGCACACTATTATCATAAAATCAGAAATGACAAACTCCTTCACTTAACAAGGTAAATGATATGCCCAGGTCACTGGGTAGAGTGGGGAAGATAGAAGCCAGATCCCATAACTAATTTAGTCCAATATTCTTTTCCCAAAATGTCTAAAAGGCTTTGATTAGAAATGACTAACAGCAGAGTGATGTTGGGTGGGGAAAAAAGGTATATATTTACATATTAATTTAGAATACATTTTCCTGTACCTCTTCCCTGGATCTATCAAAGATCACGGGAGCAGACATACTCTTTGATTCAATTCTAGGAGCAATGAGTGTAGTAGGAGTGACAGGTGTGACTGCAGGAGAAGGTTCCGAGGATAGGATAGGTTCCCTTTCAGGGCTGTCCAAAGAAACTTCTTCTGTGGCTTCTAGACATAGATTAAACAAGTTAGTTAAGAACACTGGCAAGCAAACCCCCAATATTCTACATAGCAGTTAATGGATTATAAAAAATATTTTTATATTACCCACAAATATAAAAATAATGTCATTTAAAAATAATTATCACAAAGGAATTTTATGCATCCTTATTTATCACAACTTTAAAACTAACTGTAACTTTGTTGATTTTAGAAAGAATCCTATTAAGTTAGCTTAATTATACTAGTGGTAGGGATCAGGCTGAAAGAAAAGCAATGATGCAGATGATTCCACATTCATGTTTGGATTTGTAACAACTTATACTTGTGGTAACTTACCTTTCAAATATTTATTTACACTAATATTATGATTATTTTATACATATAAAGACAAATTTTATGGTGGAAGTCTGTCCACAACTATTTTAACTTGGATTAAAAACTGGTTAGGAAAAGCTACAAAGTTAGTAATATAAAGCAATTAATTGGTAAAGATTACTGGATATTAATTAGTTGGATACACAAATATGACACAAAACAAATAGGTGTTTAGGTTTTAAATTAAAATGCCCACTCACTTGAAAAATCTAATACTAATAATTTTAAAAAATCAAACCAAATCAATAAACTGAATGTCTACAGGCTACATAACATTGTGCTAAGTGCAACAGAAAAACACACAAAAATGTAAAATATCATACCTGCCCTCAGAGAGTTTATAATTTAGTTGGGGAAAACAAGACAAAAGCATGTGGGATGTTAAATAATAATAAAAGACTTAAATAATACCCAGGCAAACAATGAAAAGAATGTTACAAGACATTTAATTGCTACATGAGCTACAGAACAAACACTACAATTTGAGTTGAGCTGGGAGACAAAAATCAGGAACAGTTTACAAAATGGATCTGAGAAGACTGAAATGGGTAGAGAAAAAATGAAGAAAGAATTCCATGATAATGGAATAATAGCATATGCAAAAAGCAGAGCCAGGAAAGGGAAAATCACAAGTGGTGGCCATAATGTAAACTACAACTTTGCTAGTCTGTAGAACTGATACTAGGAAAGGAAGGCAGGACCTCAAGGAAAACACAGGACCAGGCCAGTGGTTTCTAACCTGAGGTCCTTAGATTCTTAGAGGTTCAAGATGGTGGTAATGATAGTCAGTGAACCATTTTAATTTTAATACCTCAAGGTATAGCAGTAATAGCATATTTACCTGAAATAAGGTTATACACGTCAACATTTTATCAAGCTATTCTTACTGGTTATCTCATGTTGATGAGATCCTTACTTGGTATAGATGATCTCTTCACTTTTTCATATTAAAAGCGAAAATGATCAATAACTAAAAATCTTTCAAACTGTGGTAACCAGAGGAAGGAAAATGGACTATATATGTTGAAACAGGCTATAGATAAGCCTACCGTAACAAAATAAAAGCTTATATGCAATTCAGGCTGTGATGATTGCTGGTATTTATTACTCTTTTTGTAAAGAAATGAAACCAATGAGTAATATGATAAAGTAAAAAAAAAGCAGTATATCAAAGCTACAAGTGTGAGATATTTACAACAATAAGCAAAACAACAAGCACCAAACAAAACAAAAACCCCAGAATCTGAAAGAGGCACTGTTCTTTGGCAACAGACTCACAGGCAAAATATTGTGAGAGATAGTAACTTTATTAAGAAATCAGTACAGATAAAGTCATTTAAACTTTTTAATCACATTTTACTTTACTGATACTGAGTTTTGTGTTATTTACACTAACAGGCTGCTTCATTCAAAAATTGTAGGATTTAGATTCAACATATATATATAATCTGTCTTAAATTTTCTTCATGACACCTTTTAGCTTAAGTAAACCAATATATTACAAATTCATAAGGTTTAATTTAAAGCAGACCTAAAGGTTCAGGAAGATGCTTCATAGGTGCTAACTGTAAAGATTAATTTTTCCTTGGAGACATACTTTGAGACATGTATGAACTGATTATGTCAATGTCACTACAGCAATATCTATATTCTCTCCTCTGGTATAGGAGGGACAAATCGAGTATAGGTTTCTCATTACTGGACAATAGTTTTCACCATCCCAGTAACATACGCTGCTCCCTATTATAGTTTCCTAGAACCATACTCCTCCATAGAAGGAGGAATGCTACACCTGTTAAAATGTATTATAAATAAGAACCAAGTGTAATACTCATTCATTCATACAAAAATGATCAGATTAGGTCTTCAGTCACTTAATGATGTCATTATGAAATACAGCTGAGTTTAAGATGAAAGCTAAAGCATAAAAAATGTTTCTATTTTTGGGTTAACAAAGGAGACAGATGACTATGTTTATTGTTCTTTAGTTCCCATCTCTCTCTTTTTTTAAAACAAACACTGATATTCACCATATTTGATTCACAGAATTTAGTATAGACTGCTAGGTAGAATAAAACACTATGAAGATTTTTCTGGCTGGGCTCAGTGGCTCACGCCTGTAATCCCAATACTTTGGGAGACCCAGGTGGGAGGACTGTTTGAGGCCAGGAGTTCAAGACCAGCCTGGGCAACATAGCAAGATCCCATCTCAACAAAACATGAATAAATTAGCCAGGTATAGTGGCACATGTCTGAAGTCTTAGCTACTTGAGAAGCAAGGGTTGGAGAATTATTTGTGCCCAAGAGTTCAAAGCTGCTGTGAGCTATGATGGCATGGCTATACTCCAGCTTGGGTGACAGAGTGAGACCTGTCTAAAAACTGTTTTTAATTTTTTTTCTAACCAAGCTAAGTGGGCAAATATCATTGTATAGTCCTCACTTGGCTAACTCTTTGATCAGCTGTGCATACTGTTAAGAAAAAAAAAACCTTGCATGTACACAAACACACACAGACACAGTTCTGTTGTTACAGTAAGGTTTAAACATACTCATCTACATAGAAATCTGAGACTATAGGGTGAAGGAGTCTTTAAAAAAATGGATAATTTAAAACCTCTATGTATGACCCTATACCATTAAAGGAATACACAGAATTTTAGATTAGTACTTGTTAAGTAGAGAAAGAACTTGTGTCATCTTTTAGCATAAGATACAAATACCATGAAACAACTTTGAAAGATTGCCTGGAAAAAAGTCCATGAAAGGACACAATAACAAATACTGAAATATTACAACTTTGGTTAACGGTGATTTTGACTCTAAGTTGTTAGGTGGCTTAAAATTTTAAAGAGAAGATGATTGGTATTTGGTATCATATTTTTAATTTTGTGACATAATAAAATATGTGAATTCATCTCCAGTGACAACTTCTCATGGAATGAATCAAGGTGTAAATTATATGGAGTTTTGTGATGGAGGATTGCTGTCTTCAAACATGTTTGTACAAAAACACAGAATGGTTTGAATATTGAACCACTATGAAAGATGAGAACATAATTATTCATTTTTTATCTTTTTTTCTTTTTCCTTTTTCATGTGAGATGGGTAATGTGCCAATACTGTAGCAAGGTTTGAGGGAGGCAATCTCAAAGATTAGAGATTAATGTGAAGTCCCAACCTCATGAGTTAAAAATGTTTAGTGTGAAAATCCCAAGCTTATGAGCCACAAAAGAATCCATCCATATTAAGTTTTAACTCAATGAAAGCCAGTTCAGGTAAATTAGGCTATTAAACACACAAAATAAAATTTACCATTTTCATTTTTTGTGTCATTAATTTTAAGGAAGATGTTGCTTTTTAATATTAAAACATTAATTTTAATTTTAAAGCAGATAATTGTTAAACAGAGTCCTTCTTAAGTTAGGATGAACTACACCAAATCCTGCCCCTGTATCAAAAACAAATTCCTTAAGCATCAATTTATTCACCTAAAAGTGGGTCAAATGGAACAGATGGTAAATAGTACAGCAATTTATTAAAACAGCTTTCAAACATAAATATAGAATAATTTTTAAATCCATAGTTTAATTTTGCTTTGGGACAACTTCTAAGCAATAAAAAGGTATAATCACTGCTATTTCTCAAAGTATGAACATCACAATGATTAGTCTTTTGCATCTAAATACTGCCCCCAATCAAATTATAATATACAATTTATTCTCAAATGCTTACAGCCAGAAAGAACCACATTTTTGCTTCTCTGGACAGTCCACATTTTTCATAGAGTGATGTGACTGGAAATTCCCCATCCTTCTAAGTTGTTACAAGAGCTGCCACTAACACTTTACACAGAATTTCAGTTTTGTTTTAGATATTTTCTATCTAATAGAAAATATACTGCAATTGACCATTATTAAAAAATAAATACATGACAATTACCTGCAAAAAGATCTTCTCTGTCATCATCTAATACAACTTCTGTGGGTTTTGGGCCATTGGAGTTTGCACTAATATCTTCTGCAGGAAGACTAGCTGGTTCTGGAGATGATGGACTTGACTGTTAAAAAAGAACAATAATAGGTAATGGATTGGCATGTTTACCTGTTGTAATTCTGTCACCATGTACTACAGAAATAGAACATTCTCTTGAAAAGAATGGAGGAAAGAACAAGAACAGCTATTTATATATCCTCCTCTGAGAGTAAGAATGAACTAATAACACACTTTTAACTCATCATCTTTCTTAACAAAAAGTCACTTAAGATTTAAAAAAGAAAACCTTTTTTTTCTTTTTATTTTTGAGACAGGGTCTCACTCTATGGCCCAGGCTGGAGTGTAGCGATGTGAGCTTGGTTCACTGCAGCCTTGACCTCCCAGGCTCAAATGATCCTTCCACCTCAGCCTCCAGGGTAGCTGGGACTAAAAATGCACGTCACCACACCTGGTTATTTATTTATTTATTTATTTTTTGTAGAGATGGGGTTTCACCATGTTGCCCAGCTTGAACTCCTGAGTTCAAGTGATCCTCCCACTTCAGCCTCCCAAAGTGCTGGGATTACAGGTGTGTGCCAACACCCCTGGCCAGAAAACCTTTTCTAGTCATCCTTTTTGGAGGTACTAGTTTGTCATACTGAGTTATAATTAACAAAAACCAAATTTAATATTTTACAGTCATATACAATAGAACCAAAACGACATCATGTCCTTGATTTTCAAAAATCCCTAATTTTGTTTTTGTTATTGCCATGTTTGTTTGTTTGTTTTTCCTGGTGGGGGCAGATATGCCCAAACACCAAAATTCCACGTGACTCAACAGATCCTGAAAACATGTTGCATGTCCAAGAAGTTCAAAGCACTGTTTTACTGTAAGAGGAAAACTTACTACTAGTTGAATTAAGACCAATTATTCTAAAATTTCTATCGCTTCAAACTAAAAATGTGACCTCTCAAGACATTTATATTTCATCTAAGCTAATGACTATTCTTGTTTTTTTTGTTTGTTTGTTTGTTTTGAGACACAGTCTCATTCTATTGCCCAGGCTGGAGTGCAATGGTGCAATCTTGGCTCACTGCAACCTCCACCTCCTGGGTTCAAGTGATTCTCCTGCCTCAGCCTCCCAAATAACTGGGATTACAGGCATGCACCACCATGCCCGGCTAATTTTTGTATTTTTAGTAGAGACAGGGTTTCACCATGTTGGTCAGGCTGGTCTCGAACTCCTGACCTCAGGTGATCCACCCGCCTCAGCCTCCCAAAGTGCTGGGATCACAGGAATGAGCCACTCTTGTACTTCTTTAACCCTAACGTATAATGAGTAACACAATGAAACCTAGATTGTGTAGCTTTTATCTTTATTATGGTTTTCGTATTACAATAGTTAAAACCAGGTCTTTTTTTTTTTTTTTGGGGGGACAGAATTTTGCTCTTCTTGCCCAGGCTGGAGTGCAATGGCGTGATCTCAGCTCACTGCAACCTCTGCTTCCCGGGTTCAAGCGATTCTTCTGCCTCAGCCTCCTGAGTAGCTGGGATTACAGGTGTCTGCCATCACGCCCAGCTAATTTTTTTTTGTATTTTTAGTAGAGATGGGGTTCACCATGTTGGCCAGGCTGGTCTCGAACTCCTGACCTCAGGTGATCCGCCCGCCTTGGCCTCCCAAAGTGCTGGGATTATAGGCGTGAGCCACTGTGCCTGGCCAAAACTAGGTCTTTTAAAAACCTTTTTATTGAAGTATAACACAAAAAAACTGTATATATCAAAAGTGTACAGCTAGATAGTTTCAAAAACTCAACATACCTATGCAAATGCACTTGGATCATGAAAGACCATTACCATCAAACCTAGAAGTTCCACTTATGCTCCCTCCCATTCTTTACCATGCGGGCTTCTACCAGTATGGATCAATTATTCCTATTTTTGCTCTTCATAAAATAGAGCCATATGGTACTTATTTTTTGTGTTTGGTTTTTGGCCCTAATGTTACTATGTATGTAAGATTCTTCCATATTGTTCTGTGTAGTAGTAGACCACTCATTATCATAAGTGTATAATATTTCATTGTGTGAATACCATACTTGAACCACTCTAGTGTTAATAAGCACTTAGATGTTTATCAATTTTTTACTATTAATACTATCAATAGTGCTGCTATGAATTTTCTAGTTCATCTTTTAGTGAACATGTAAACAAATGTTTGTATAAACCTAAGAATGGAATAGCTGGCTCACAGGGTAGATGAATGTTCAGCTTTAGAAGTTATTAGTAAACTATCTTCTAAAGTGGTTGTATAATTTTACACTCCCACCAGCAGCATATGAAACTTTGTTGCTCCAATTCTTTGCCAACATTTTGATATATTCCATTTTTTTCACTTTCGCTACTCTAGCATGTAGAGTATGTATCATTGTGTTCTGAATTTGCATTTCCATGATAAGTAATGATGGTGAGCAATTTTTCATATGTTTAAAGGGAATTTAGATATCCTTTTGTGAAGAGTCTCTTCAAATATTTTGTTCATTTTTCTATTGTTCCTATTGATTTGCAGAAGTTCCTTATATATTCTGGATAAAAATTCTTTGTCAGATATGTATTAATAATTCAGTCTCCCAATCTTTGGCTTACCTTTTTACTTTCTTAATGGTAGATTTTGCAATGGAATTTCTTAATTAAAGGCAAATTGTATCAATATTTTCTTGTATAGTTACTAAGCAATTTTTTTTTTTTTTTTGAGATGAAGTTTCACTCTTGTTGCCCAGGCTGGGGTGCAATGGCACGATCTCGGCTCACTGTAACCTCCACCTCCCGGGTTCAAGCGATTCTCCTGCCTCAGCCTCCCAAGTAGCCGGGACCACAGGCACCCGCCACCACACCCAGCTAATTTTTTTTGTATTTTTAGTAGAGAAGGGGTTTCACCATGTTGGTGAGGCTGATCTTGAAATCCTGACCTCAGGTGATCCACCCGCCTCAGCCTCCCAAAGTGTTGGGATTACAGGCGTGAGCCACTGCGCCCAACAGTTACTAAGCATTTTGTAGGATCAATAGTCTTTTGATGCCACTCCTAATTAATAAGATTTTCTCATCAGCTTTTTAAGTAAACTACCCTCAATGGCACAAAAATCTCTTTAGAACATTCAAAAGTAGTTTCAAACTCTTATAGGAAAATTTAAAGAGGCTTTCTTTTCTCTCGAGAACTAATTCTTAAAGTCCCAAATTCTCACAAAAGTGGGCCTCTCTTTAACTTAGCAACTTTCACTTGAAGGAATTTAAAGAACAAGTTTGTGTATTATTTCCTCTGAAAGTACTCCTGACAACCTTAACTGTAACTCTAGAAGAGTCTGATTGGGTGATTGGCCTATATACTTCCATAGAGTACCTACTTGTGTCATAATTTCTCTTACCACATTATAAGTATTATCTGTTTTATAGACTGCACGCTGTACATAGAAAGGAAGAGTATCTCATCTTGTTCACTACTCTTTACTCAGTATCTAGCAGTAAAACACTCAATGACTATCATTTAACTGAGTTTTAAGAAAATAATGATGGATATGTCAAAGAATTAACCACAAGTTTGTCAATCAGATGTTCTATATTACTATAAAAATTGAGGGCCAGGCGCGGTGGCTTACGCCTGTAATCCCAGCACTCTGGGAGGCCAAGGCAGGCAGATCACCTGAGGTCAGGAGTTCGAGACCAGCCTGACCAACATGGAAAAATCTCGTCTCTACTAAAAATACAACATTAGGCTGGGCGCAGTGGCCCATGCCTATAATCCCAGCACTTTGGGAGGCCAAGGCAGGCGTACCACTTGAGGTCAAGAGTTCGAGACCAGCCTGGCCAATGTGGTGAAACCCCGTCTCTACTAAAAATACAAAAATTAGCCGGGCGTGGTGGCAGGCGCCTGTAATCCCAGCTACCCAGGAGGCTGAGGCAGGAGAATCTTTGGAACCCGGGAGGCAGAGGCTGCAGTGAGCTGATACTGCACCACTACACTCCAGCCTGGGCGACAGGGCAAGACTCCATCTCAAAAAAAAAGTAGCCGGGCATGGTGGCGCATGTCTGTAATCCCAGCTATTCAGGAGGCTGAGGCAAGAGAATTGCTTGAACCTGGGAGGCAGAGGTTGTGGTGAGCCAAGATCATGCCATCGCACTCTAGCCTGGGCAACAAGAACAAAACTCCTCTCAAAAAAAAAAAAAAAAAAAAAATTGAAATAGCCTATAGTGCATCCACCTAAAAATATGGCAGAGTGGCTCCAATATCTATTAATGATAAAAAACTTTCAGTAAGCTAGTAATAGAGGATATCTTGATAAAGAATATCTACAAAAAGCCTACAACTAACATCATACTTAATGGTGAGAAATTTGAAGCTTCCCCAGTAAGATCAGGAACAAGACAAGGTTGTCCCCTTTTACCACTTCTTTTCAACATCATACTGAAAGTTCTAGCTGCATGCAAAAAGACAAGAAAAGGAAGTAAAAGGCAGAAAGACTGGGAAGAAGGAACAACTGCTTTTCTTGGTAGGTGACCCAATTCAGAAATCCAGATATTTTCCCAAAGTCCTACTTCTCTCTTACCACCCAAATCTTCCATAACTAGCCAATTCCCCTATCTTCTACCCTTTCTCTCACTTATATGTATTTCTGCTGCGACAACCCAAAACCATTTTTTTTCTGCCCAACCAAAGTGAACTGTCTTACTATCTTCCTCCCCCACTTCTGACATTAGGTTATAAATGACTGTGGCTTCCATCTTGGTTGGTCTTGTGCTTACCCTTTCTCTTTGACCACTCATTGGGAAAAATGGGTTGTCAGATGCTGAGCAGTCTATAGAGAGGTCACGTGGCAAGGATATGAAGGTTCCTCTTAATGGCCATGAGAGTGAGCTTAGAAGTGGATCCTCCTCGGCCAGGCACGGTGGCTCACGCCTGTAATCTCAGCACTTTGGGAGGCTGAGGTGGGTGGATCACCTGAGGTCAGAAGTTCAAGACCAGCCTGGCCAACATGGAGAAACCCCGTCTCTATTAAATATACAAAAAAATTAGCCAGGCATAGTGGCGCATACCTGTAGTCCCAGCTACTTGGGAGGCTGAAGCAGGAGGATAGCTTGAACCCAGGAGGCGGAGGTTGCAGTGAGCTGAGATCGCACCACTGCACTCCAACCTGGGCAACAGAGTAAGACTCTTTGAGAAAAAGAAAAAGTGGATCCTCCTCAGCTGTCAGATGACTGCAGCACTGGCTGAAATCCTGACTACAATTGTATGAGAGACCTTGGATGAGAATACCTAGCTAGCTAAGCTGCTCTTGGATTTCCAACCCTTAAAAACTGTGATATAATGTTTATTATTTTAAGTTGCTAATGCGTTACACAGCAACAGATAACTCATACAAGTGGTAAGCCAACTAGAGCCTCTCTCTCTGATTATAACTAAAGCCTATAGATAAAATTAAAAAGGTACTTGAGGAATCTAAAAAGTAAACAAATTCTGACAGATCATAAAAGGTAGAGAGTCTATTCCTTTCCTCTTTTCTCTAATAGTTTTGTCCTGAAAGTGGGCCTCAGTCACAGACCTGTGCAATGGTATAGAGACAGAGACAGCTAAACTCTGGTAGAAATCTCATCTTTATGGCCAGATGAATCAGACAAAGGGGTCATATGAGCTAAGGAGTATGTGTATATGAATAAATCCCTGTTTTTTTCCCCCTCTTTTCTCTTGCAGATTTGCTGAAAGCAAGTCCCAGGCATGGAGCTGCACTACAGGAGCTACAGCACGGGTAGATAAAACGCCAAAAGAAACCTCATCTTTCGGGCTAGAGGAAGAGTGTGTGTGTGTGTGTGTGTGTGTGTGTGTCCGTGTGTGTCTGTGTGTGTGTGTGTGTGTGTATGTGTGTGTGTGGTGGGGAAGGTGGGGCGGTCTTGTAAACTGAAGAATGTGGGGAAAATCCCAGAGAAAAAACTGGAGAAGGGGATCCCCTAATTCTGTGAATGAATGTGTGCAAATCTCAGGGTCAACCCTGAGCAGCACATGTGTAGCCAAACAGCACAGCAATTCTCACAGACTGGAAAACTCAATTGATACTTAGGTCACTGTCAAAGTCCCAGACTAAGACCTGAGTGGTGCCTGCATGAGACAGACCTGAAGAGGCAAAAGCTTTGAAAACTGAACTGAGATTAGAACCACTGCCCACAGAAGGCAAAACAGAAATTTGGAATCTGAACCTAAGCAAATTGATTGCCTGACCAAACAAAAAAATAAACAAAAAATCCCAATAGTCTCCAGAGGATTATAACAGGATGCAGAGCCTACACAATATAACATTTGGGATGTTTAAGATATAGTCCAAAATTATTTGTCATAAAGAGTCCAAAAAATGTGACCAAATAAGAGAAAAGACAGTCAACAGATGTCAACCTAGAAATAACCCAGATGTTGAATGCATTATTTTTTAAAACTTTTAAAAGCATTTCTAACTATGTTGTATGAAGTAAAGGTAAACATATTTGAAGTGAATGAAATGACAGCTCTCAGCAAAGAAACAGAAGCTGCTGCAAAAAAAGAAAGCTGCTACAAAAAGAAGAAAGAAAACAAAATGTTAGAACTGAAAAAAAAATTACCTGAAACAAAACATTCACATAAGCTCAATAACAGAATGAGCTGTTACCAAAGAGAATAATGGGTTGTTATTGCTATTGAAGAGCAAAGTGTTAGTGCAACTGAAAATAAATCCATAGAAAATATCTGATCTGAATAACAAAGATAACTTCTCCTGAGAAAAGAAGTTGAAAAAATGAACAAAGCCTCAAGGACCTATGGGACAATACCAAAATGTTCCAGAAGGAAGGATGAAAGATTGCTGCAGAAGTATTTAAAGAAACAGTAGCTGAAATTTCCAGAATTTGGTGAACGATATAAACTTACAGATTCAAGAAGCCTGGCAAACCTCATTGAGGATAAAATCAAAGAATACTATGCCTACACACATTAGATTCAAACTGCTGAAAATGGAAGCTATAGGGAAAAAATATAAGCAGCTAGAGAAAAACAACGTATTTTTACAGGGGAATACCAATTCAAACAACTGTGGATTTCTCATCAGAAACCACAAAGGCTACAAAACAGTGGAATAACACTCTGAAAGTGTTGAAAGACCTATTGATGCAGAAACCTATGAACAGTGAAAATATCCTCCAGGATTGAAGGTGAAATAAAGTTTTCAGATGAAGTACAAATTAAGAATATTCATCACCAACAGATCTGCTCAAAAAGAAATGCTGAAGGAAATTCTTTATGCTAAAAAGAAAAATTACAAGAGCAAACCTTGGGTAAAGGAAAAGCAACAAAAATGGTAAATATCTGAATAAATAAAACAGATTATTTTTTCCTCTTAAGTTCTTTAAAATAGACATGACTGTTGAAGTAAAGATTATAATACAGTATACAGCTATAATACATGTAAACTATTTGCAACATATAATGTATTCTTATCATAACTGAAAGTTCATATTGCTAATACCTTGGGTACTCGTAGTTTTAACACCAGAAACAAGGAAAGAAAAACAAACATGTTTATATAACAAAAACAACCTTTTCACCTCATAGTCCAGAGCCCAAGAGTGGACCGCACAATGGGAATGATGTGGGGCAGTGGGCAACTCAAGTAGAGGCTGCTGGGGAGCAGTCATATCACTATGGAGAGGCTATGAGGAATCCACTTCCTTCAGGTGTCCAACCATCAGCAGCTTGGAGTACCCCGCTCAACTGCCAGGGAGCTATCACTCTTTTTCTTTCTTTCTTTTTTTTTTGGGGGGGGACAGTCTTGCTCTGTCCCCCAGGCTGGTGTGCAGTGGTGCAATCTTGGCTCACTGCAACCTCTGCCTCTCAGGTTCAAGCAATTCTCCTACCTCAGCCTCCCAAATAGCTGGAACTACAGGCATGCACCACCATGTCTAGCTAATTTTTTTATTTTTTGTAGAGACAGGGCTTCACCATGTTGGCTAGGCTGGTCTCGAACTCCTGACCTCAAGTGATCCACCTGCTTTGGCCTCCCAAAGTGCTAGGATTACAGGCGTGAGCCACCACACCCAGCCAAGGGAGCTGTTAATCTTTAAAGGTTGCAAAAACCTACTTATCTTTGTCCTGCCTCTCCATGCCTCTTCCAGGTTCCTACTAAATAGGAAAAGAGCTATTTTCTAGTGGATGGAAAGGAGTGTGGACAGTGACTGCCAAATGAGAAAGTTATGGTGGAAAAGAATACTGATGGCTTCTCTGCCTGTGACACAGGTTCTTCATGATCAGAACTACAGTTGTCCAAGATATACAACTGAGTAGACATCTGTATTCTTAATAAATGAATATTCCTTTATTCCCCCACACCATCACCTGGTAGTATGCAGGATAAAAAATTTTAAGATTTTTTTGCTAGTATCTCTTCAATTAAAAAGTGGCACTTTGGATTCCAAACAAGATCAACAAGGACCACTAAAGCCTCCCTCCCCAACAGACTGACACTAAAAGTTCTGGATAGAATACAAAAAGCAACAATATAAAAATAAAAAATAGCAGGCCGACTAAGGAGGGAGCCAAAATGTAAAAAATGGCCCGTCCTTACAAGGATCCATTTTGCCATTTTTTTTTTTATTCTGTCTTAACTTTTCCTGAGGATGGTGCCAACTGCAAAACTATGCTATTGGTGTGCGCAGCAATGACTTCCAAGCGTAAAGGAGGGAAGGTAAATGAACCTATGTGGTTGTAAAGCTTGGCATTTTACGTGAAGTATAATATTAACTCAGGTATGTATATTTTAAGCTGCAGAGCAACCACTAAAATATATATTTAAATATAATGATATTAAACAAATACATAGTAGATAAAATGAAATACTAATAAACATAAAGTAATCCACAAGAAAGGAGAAAAGGAAAAAAACTGAAGAGAAAAACAGTAAGCAAATAAAACGGTAGATCTAATCTAGCCACATCAATAATTAAATAAATAGCCTAAATATACCCATTAGGAAACAGAGATGGCTAGACTGGATATAAAAATAACTACACACATGTTGCCTAAAAAAAACCTGCTTGAAAGACAAATTAGTTAAAAGTAAAACAATAAAAAAGATATGTCATGCAGACAATCTACAAGAAAGCTGTTGTGCTAAACATCAGAGGGTGTAAACTTCAGAATAAGAAATATTATCATCAATAAAAAGGGACATTATATGATAAAAGGGTCAATTTACCAAGAAGACAAAACAATCCTAAGCATCTATGTAACAAAATAGCTTCAAAATACATAAAGGAAAACCTAAGTGAACTAAAACAAGAAATAAAAATTAAAAATATACAATTATCTTGGAGACTTCAACACTTTTCTCTCAGTAATTGATAAAACAAGTAAATAGGTAACAGGGAAAGACAGAAAAATATCAACCAACTTGACCTAACATTTGTACGACACTCCACCCAACAAAACAGACTATATATACATTCTTTTCAAAAGTGCACACAGAACACTTAGCATAATAGAACATGTTCTGGGCCATAAAACAAACTTTAACAAATTAAAAAAATGGAAAGCATAAAACATTCTCTTACCATTACCAAATGAAACCAGAAATCAGTAATAGCTATCTGGAATATCCTCAAATTTTGGAAATTAAATAATGTACTTCTAAATAACTCATAGATCAAATAAGAGGTCACAAGAGAAACTAGAAATTATTTTAAATTGAATGAAAACAAAACCACATTTATCAAAATTTGTGGAATGCAGCCAAAGTCATGCTTAGAGGGAAATACATAGCTAAACAGCAAGAGTAGGGAGAAAAGTCTCAAATCAATGATCCAAGCTTCTACTTTAATAAGAAACTAGAAAACCAGGCTCGGTGCAGTGGCTCACACTTGTAATTCCAGCATTTTGGGAGGCCAAGGTAAGTGGCTCACTTGGGGCCAGGAGTTCAAGAGCAGCCTGGGCAACATAGTGTGACTCCCTGTCTCTACAAAAAAAATAAAAATAAAAATAAAAACTAAAATTAACAACAACAACAAAAAAAAACTAGAAGAGCAAATTAAACACAAAGCAAGCAGAAGAAAGAAAACAGAGCAGAAATCAATGAAATTCACAACAGAAACAACAGGAGGAAAAAAATCAATGAAAGCAAAAGGTAATTGTTTGAGAAGATCCTAAGAGGATATCAAACCTCTACCAAATCAAAATACATAAATAAACAGAAGATGTAAATTACCAGTATCAGGAAAAAAAAGAAAAGTTTACCATCCACAGACTCCACAAACATGTTAACAGGATGATAAGTACTACAAAAAACAGTATGCCCATAAATTTCACAACTGAGACTGAATGGATAAATTCCTTAAAAGATACATACTTCCAAAGTTCACCATGAAGCAGTCCTGTATTTAAAAAATTGAATTTGTCGTTAAAAGCCTTCCAACAAACAAAACTACAATTCAGATGACTTCATTAGTAAATTCTATCAACATTTAGGGAAGACGTAAGACTAATTCCACACAACCTCTTCAAGAATATGAAATAAGAGGAAACACTCGCCAAATCACTTAACGAAGCTAGCATTTCTCATATGAAAACCAAAGATACATGAAAAAGAAAACACAAATATCTGTCGTGAACACAGACACAAAAGCCTAAACAAAATCTAGCAAATTGCATCCAGCAATATATAAAAAGGATAAATACATTATGATTGTGTGGGGTTTATCCCAAGAATGCAACGCTGATTCAACTTTTTTGAATCAGTTTGAAAATCATTCTGAGGGTGGGGCTTAAAAAAAAAGAAAAAAAAATCAATATAATCTAACTTATCAATAAACTAAAGAAGAAAACTATATGATTATCATAATGAATGCAGAAAAAGCATTTGTCAAAATTAACATCCGTTCATGGATAAAAACTCAGAAAACTAGAAACAGAGGAGAACTTCATTTGATTAAGCTCATTAAAAAAAACAAAAAACCTTACAGATAACATCTTATATCCTGAGATCATGAAAAAGGAAAGAATATTCACTATCACCACTTTTATTCAATATTATACTGGTGGTCCTACCCAGCCATTAGGACAAGAGAAAAAAAAAAAAGGTATAAAGACTGAGAGAAGGAAATAAAACTCCAATCACAAACAATATGATTATCTACACAGAAAATCATCGGACTCTACAAAAACCTACTAAACCTAGTAAGTGTTTAGAACAGTTGCTATCATACAGGGTCAACATGCAACCAAAGGGGAAATATAAAAAGTAATAAAAGAAATAAAAGCACTAAAAACTATGAAATACTCAGCATACAGATCTAGCACATAACAAAATATGTGCTAGATCTGTATGCTGAAAGCTACAAACATTAGTGAAAGAAAATCAAGATCTAACTAAATAAATAGAGAGATTATGCTTATAGCTTGAAGGCTCAATATTGTTAATGGGTTAATTCTCCTGAAACTAATTTCTGAATTCAACACAATCCCAATTAAAATCTCAGCAGGATTTTTCAGTAGAAATCAACAAATTGATTCTAAAATTATAAGAAAAAGCAAAAGAACTAGAATAGCCAAGGCAATTTTTAAAATAACAAAGTTAGAGGAGTCATTCGACTTGATTTCAAGATTCAGATTAAATAATCAAGACAGTGTAGACTGGGAAAGGATTCTCAATAGATCAATGAAACAAAACAGAAATAGGTCAACCCACATATATATGGTCAGTTCATTTCTGAAAAAGACAGCCCAATAAAGAAAGGCTAGACTTTCAACAAATGGTGCTGGAATAACTAAGTATCTGTATTTTAAAAAAAGAATGTCAACCCATATCTCACACAAAAATTAACTCAACATGAATCCTAAATGTACAATGTAAAATTCCAAATTCTTTTGGAAGAAACTATAAGCAAAATCTTTGTGACCATGGGTTAAAGTTAGCAAAGGATTTCATATATGTGACATCTAAAATACTATCAATAAAAAAAGAAAAGATAGCTTTCCTTTAAATGTTAATGTTAAACATCTGCTCTGAGAAAGATACGGTTAATCAAACAAAAAAACAAGTCACTGGGCAGGCGCGGTGGCTCACGCCTATAATCCCAGCAGTCTGGGAGGCCGAGATGGGTGGATCACGAGGTCAAGAGATCGAGACCATCCTGGCTAACATTATGAAACCTTGTCTCTGCTAAAAATACAAAAAAAAAAAAAAATTAGCTGGGCATGGTGGCACGTGTGTGTAGTCCCAGCTATTCAGGAGGTTGAGGCAGGAGAATCGCTTGAACTGGGGAGGTGGAGGTTGCAGTGAGCCGAGATCACGCCACTGCACTCCAACCTAGTGACAGAGCGAGACTCCATCTCAACAAAAACAAAAAACAAAAACAAAGAAACAAAACAAAAAACACAAGTCACCGACTGGGAAAAAAAATATTCACAACATAAATAATTCTCAAAATTCAATATTTTAAATGAGCAAAACAGGTCAGGTGCAATAGCTCACGCCTGTAATCCCAACACTTTGGGAGGCCAAGGCAGGCAGATCACTTCAGGTCAGGAGTTCAAGACCAGCCTGGCTAACATGGCGAAACCCTATCTCTACTAAAAATACAAAAATTAGCTGGGCATGGTGGTGGGCACCTGTAATCCCAGCTACTAGGGAGGCTGAGGCAGGAGAATCGCTTGAACTGGGGAGGTGGAGGTTGCAGTGAGCAGAGATTGTGCCAACTGCTCTCTAGCCTGGGCAGCAGAGTGAGACTCCATCTCAAATAAAATAAAATAGGCCGGGCGTGATGGCTCACGCCTGTAATCTCAGCACTTTGGGAGGCTGAGAAGGGCGAACTGCCTGAGGTTAGGAGTTCGAGAACAACCTGGATAACATGGTGAAACCTTGTCTCTACTAAAAATACAAAAATTAGCTGGGCGTGGGGGTAGGTGCCTGTAATCCCAGCTATTCAGGAGGCCGAGGCAGGAGAATCTTTTGAACCCGGGAGGTGGAGGTTGCAGTGAACCGAGATCACACCACCGCACTCCAAGCCTGGGCAACAGAGCAAGACTCTGTCTCAAATAAAATAAAATAAAAAAATAAGCAAAAGATGTAAAAGGACACATAACCAAAAAAGATAATATTCAGATGGTATGTACATAAAAAGATACTCAGCAACATTAGGCATTAGTGAATATATATTAAAGGGATGAGGTAACACTAAACACCTCTTAGAATGGCTAAAAATCAGTGTTGTGCTGGTAAATGTTTAGCAATCAGATCTGCAGAGGAGAAGATCCAGATTTTTAGCTTTTGCTGATTTCTGTGGTAGAGTTGCGAAGACACGTACCTTCCACCATACAGACACAACAGACATAATTAATCTCAAGAGCATAGGTAATAGTGAAATGTAGTAAAGGAATTAGAAAGCAAGGAGCTTTATATATTTATTATTTTTACATATTTATAACATTAATAAAAATTTTATAAAATTATGTATAATCTTTACATAGGTATATATTTAATTTTAAATTCATTGCATTTAATTTTTAATAATGGCTGTTTATTAACTAGTTCATAAAATTCCTAAAAATGTAACATACAGTTCTTGCTAGCAAGACCAGCCTTCAGCTCACCACTGCCTAAAATTAAAATTGATAATAACAAGTGCTGACAAGGATATGGAAAAACTGTCATTCTTAGTCATTATTGATGCAATGCAAAATGGTACAGCCACTTTTGAAAATAGTTTGGCAGTTTATTTAAAATTAAGCTTATATTTACCACACAACCCAGCCACCCTACTTTGTAGGTATGTACGCTGCAAAACTGAAAACTCATGCTCACACAAAAGCCTGTAAATACATGTTTATATTGCTTTATTCATAAATACCCCAAACTGGAAACAACTGAAATGTCCTTCAGCTGATCAACAAACTGTTACATACAAACAATGGAATACTAAATCAATAATAAACAAGTCATTAACAATTGATACATAGAACAAACTTAATGACTCTCAAATGCTTTATGTTAAGTTAAAGAAAGTCAAACTCTAAAAGTTTCATAATCTATGATTCCACCTATATGACATTCTAGAAAAGACAAAACTTTAGGCAGAAAACAGATCAGTGGTTGCCAGAGGCTGGGAAGAGGCTAAGAAAATCTCTTCAAGAAAAGCTGAGCATCCCTGTCGCAAGCAACTTCATAAAATAACTTATTTTTATAGGATCTAAAAATAATTCATTCAAAACTCCTTAAATTTAATGGTTTCAAGAGAAAGTGGTCAACTTGAATCACGCTTCTTCATAAATCTCTTTCTACTAATTTTCCATGCTTAATGCATTTAAATACCTGTTCACAAATTTTTCCCTCTGAAACATAGATAATTCGTAATGAAATTTTCAAAAAATTCACACATTTAAAGTTGGAGGCCCAAGGATTAGAAAACAGAATTAAGAAAACAAGGCTGTGCGTGGTGGCTCAGGCCTGTAATCCCAGCACTCTAGGGGGCCGAGGTGGACAGATCACAAGGTCAGGAGTTCGAGACCTGCTTGGTCAACATGGTGAAACCTCGTCTCCACTAAAAATACAAAAATTAGCCGGGCATGGTGGCGTGCACCTGTAATCCCAGCTACGTGGAAGGCTGAGGCAGGAGAATCGCTTGAACCTGGGAGGCAGAGGCTGCAGTGAGCTGAGGTTGCGCCACTGCACTCCAGCCTGGGACAGCGCAAGACTCTGTCTCAAAAAAAAAAAAAGAAAAGAAAAGAAAAGAAAACAAGTTATATATACTTTTATTACCTGTTATGTTAGAACAGCAGATACTAAACTTGCTCGCAGTTCCTCTTTATCAAAAGTGTCTCCTGTCTTATTCTACTTTCTCTTGATAATTCTCAACCACTTTCAGGGCCTCAAAGATCATCTCTATGCAATCAAGTCACCCCAGTCTTCTATACTATTTCTATTTTAATTACACATATATCACCTGTTTCTGTACCTTGTGCAGATTTTTAATTACACATATATCACCTGGTATGGCAGGTATTTATTCACACGATTGTATTTATTATATTGACTTCTGTTGGTTCATACACTCCACTAGAGGAAGACTAGATTTCCACAAAGATCCCGGTTTAGTGTTTTCAATAAGTTTAAGATAGACTCCCAAAGCTACATCTCTAGCCCATCCAGCAGTCCTAGCTGCCTAATGCTATCTTCACTGATATAACATAACCTCAAGTGAAATAAACTTATTATTCCCTCCCCTAAGAATCATCTGAAGGGAGGCATTATAAGACTTCTGAATATTATCTTTTAATCTGTTATTACATAAGTTCTCTTTTCTCCTTTATTATTTGCACTTTCTTTCTTTAGGCCTTTAACCTCAGACTGTTTAAAGTGCCTCCAACTTGAAACAACACAAACTGGGGCCTGTAAGGGGAGGACAGGAGAGCATTAGGGAAAAGACCTAATGCATGCTGGGCTTAATACCTAGGTGATGGGTTGATAGGAGCAGCAAACCACCATGGCACACATTTACCTATTAACAAACCTGCGAATCCTCCACATGTACCCCAGAACTTGAAAAAATAAAATAATTTTTTAAAAAAGTGCCTCCAACTCATCCCATTTTGGGAAACCAGTCTGGCAACTCTTCAAATGATTAAACATGGAGTTACCACATAACCCAGCAATTCCACTTGTACACGAATGTTAACGGCATTATTCACAATAGCTGAATACTCATGGTCATATTCATAACCACCTAAATGTCCATCAACAAATGGTTAAACAAACTGTGGTACAGCCATACTATAGAATATTATTTGGTCATAAAAAGGAATGAAGTATTGATACGTGCTACAGACCTAGAAACCATTGTACTAAAGGAAAAAAGCCCGTCACAAAAGACCATGTATTATACGATCCATTCATATAAAGTCTAGAATAGGGAAATCTAGAGACAGAAAGTAGATTAGTGGTTGCTTACAGTTGAGGGCAGAGGGGATGAGGGAATTAAGGCGTGGGATGATAGCTAAAGGGTACAGGGTATCTTTCTGAGGTGATGAAAACGCTCTAAAACTGAGGTGATGTTGGGCATATCTGTGAATACACTAGAAACCATTAAATTGTACATACTAAATGGGTAAATTATATGATATATAAATCATATCTCAACACAGATGTTTTTAAAAAAGAACCAGGTAGTTAATATAAATTCCTGACCTTTTTTTTAAAACGTACTATCTACTACTCCATGCAAAACTGTATTTAAAGGTCAAGCACCATTAAGCTTAGGGTTGCACCATTTAAGGAATAAAACAGTATTCATAAACAAGTTAAAGCCTTGCCTCTCAGGTACCATAGAAGAACAGGCTTTTGCCAGATTTTTTTCCCTTCTCATTCCCTTCTCTGTCTCCATCCCTTTTTTGTTTCACAGTCACAAAAGAAACATACAGTAGGAGTTTGAAATGTTTTATTTACTGATATAGCTTTATGTGGCTGTTATTAATTTTGAAAGGGGAGGAGTTTAATATTGGGTTAAAAAATATACACATAAGAAAAAAATTCTCAACATCACTAATCATCAAGGAAATGCAAATCAAAACCACAATAAGATATTATCTGACTGCAGTCAGAATAGCTATTAAAAAGTCAAAAAATAGGGCATGGTGGTGCACGCCTGTAGTCCCAGCTACTCAGGAGGCTGAGGCAGGAGAACTGCTTGAACCTGGGAGGTGGAGACTGCAGTGAGCCAAGATCAAACCACTGCACTCCACCCTGGGTGACAGAGCGAGACTCTGTCTCAAAAAAATAAAAACAAAAATAAATAAAAAGTCAAAAAATAACAAATGCTAGCAAAGATGTGGAGAAAGGAGTTATCTTATACACTGCTGCTGATGGGAACGTAATTAGTATAGCCATTATGGAAAACAGTATGGAGTTTACTCAGAAAACTGAAAATACAACTACCGGATGATTCAGCAATCCCACTACTGGGTAAATATCCAAAGGAAAGGAAATAAATATGTTGGCGATATCTGTGCCCCCATGTTTACTGCAGCACTATTCACAATAGACAAGATTTGGAAGCAATCTAGATATCCACCAACAGATGAATGAATCAAGAGCATGTGGTATATATGCATGATGGAATACTATTCAACTATAAAAAGGAATGAAATCCTGTCATTTGCAACAACATGGATGAGCTTGGAGGACATTATGTTAAGTAAAATAAGCCAGGCACAGAAAGACAAATACTGCATGTTCCTACTCATATGTAAAAGTTAAAAAAGTTCATCTAACAGAAGTAGAAAGTAGACTAGTGATTACAAGAGTCTGGGAAGAGGCCAATAGTCAAAAATGGGTTAACATACAATATTACAGCCAAATAGGAGGAATAAATTCTAGTGTTCTAGAACACCATACATTGACTAAAATTAACAATTTATTGTATATTTTCAAAGGGCTAGATGAGCAGATTTTGAATGTTCCAACACAAAGAACTGATAAACGTTTGAGGTAATGGATAAGCTAATTATCCTGATTTGATCATTACACATTGTACACAGGTACTGAAACATCACACTGTACTCCATAAGTATGTACATTATGTGTCAATTAAAAATAATAAAAGTAAAAATATACACATAAGTGTACAGATATAGTAATGCATAGGCATTACAAGCTTAACAATTATGCCATTGAAGCTTTCTATAATTTGATTTTCACTTAAATTTCAATTGATCCCCCTGCAAATTAAATGCTCTTAAATGAAAAAGTTCCTATATGAATAATATAATAAACTCTGACTTACTTTAAGTTAAAAGACATTAATTTATATGACTGACTTTTGATTTTATGGTTTAAGTAGTATATATTTTCTTAGGTAATAACTATTCAAGCCTGATGATCTATATCAGAATCACGTAGGGCCTTGCAACTCAATGTTGTCTATGGACCAGAAGCACTGATATCAGGAAAGCGTGTTAAAAATGCAGAATACTGGGTTCTACCCAGTCCTACAGAATCCGAATTTGCACTTCAACAAGATCCCTATTTACAAAGATTGCAAAACACGGATCTAGAACACTTATTAAACATGAAGTTTCCAGTGAGGCACAGGCATCTGCATTTTAAAGATGAATACTGTGGATACTCCAGCACACCACAGTTTGAGAAGCACTGTTTAAAAGAAAAGTGAAGTACTGAAAGAACATTCCTTTAAAGCAGTTTTGGTATACTAGGAAATACTGCTATATATCCTTCCCAAATTTAAAAAGAAAAAAAAAATCTGACTTTACAAATCTCATAGCCACACCACCTTCTGAAAATTAGTAACCTAAATGAGTACATTAAATAAGGTGCTGAGATGAATAATCAAAAACAAATGTGTTTACAACTTTTACAGTGCGTTAACCAAGATAAATTATTCATGATCAAACTTTGCAGACTTACTGAAAAAAGGTTGTAACACTCTGTTTTTTAAAGTTTTATTCACATGGGAAATACAGATTATAGTTCTTTCTACTCAACTCTAAACGACCCCCAACAGAATGCTTAGCCTTCACAGTATTCTAGTTCACACTAGGGTCAATCAAGTTTGTTCTGATTCTCGCTGGTAGAAAAACTGTATCCTCCAAAAGGAATACAGGTCTTAGGATCCTG
Organism: Homo sapiens; assembly: GCF_000001405.40. Taxonomy (NCBI): domain Eukaryota; kingdom Metazoa; phylum Chordata; class Mammalia; order Primates; family Hominidae; genus Homo; species Homo sapiens. Next base: position 122,776,663 of record NC_000005.10, on the reverse strand, counting down.
CAGACACTTTCAACACATGTACATGTTAAAGTAGCTGTATAGTAAGTAGAAAGGGCTAAAAGGATACTAATCCCCGAAAATATATTCTGCAAGATAATTTTTATTAATTTTAGGAGGTGCTGGTTTTAACTCAGGCAAACATTTACTATTAGGTTTGTGCAAAAGTAATTGCGGCTTTTGGCTATTAAAAGGGATGGCAAAAACCACAATTACTTTTGCACCAACCTAATAAATACACATGTTCAAGATTTTGTGAGAGACACAAAGATGATCAGGAAATTAACACTAAGCTGCAGAAAACCTATAACCTGAGGGGAGGTGGGGTTTGGGTGGGACACTGCATATACAATTAGCAGAATGTGATCAGTGCTGAAAACTGTTTCCGGGTTTCCAGTTTCAGGTAACTGAATTTCAGATAATGGATATTTTACAGTAATTTCCAATTGATTTGGTGCAGAGTTAAACAAGCCAAGAAAGCTTATTGAAAATACTTTAAAAGCAAGTATAGCCCACAGTAAACAATCCTCTGGGAAATTTCATACATTTTAATTCACATACACACACTTAAAATTAGGCTGTGAGGTGTGGGTGCTCTCATCAAACGCAAAGCAATTCAAATGGAACTGGATATAAGGAGGGCCCAATACAGTTAAGTTTATAGAGGGTGCTTCCTTTGACAAAAACAGGAACACACAGCTTCAGAGATCGCTGATCAAGCGAGAAAAGAGGAAAAAGGAGTGGAGATCTGTTTCTATTTCTCCCTTGGTAACTTCGAAAACACACACACACACAACAGCAGTTTCCTGGACTAATCCTGCCTTCAGCTTTACATTTTATAAATACTATGACCTTTTAAAAGTCTAGGAACTAAAGACAAACAAAAAGAGGCAAATGCATTTACCTATTTAACAGTCCAAATCAGAAGCAGCTCCCTCAAGAGGAACCAGCAGTCCGTGAAGGGCCATTCCTGGGAAAGTGCACCCATTCGTTCCCCACAGACCCTCGGCCCCTCAGCGCTCACTTCATTGCGCTCCCCTGGCAGCGGCACACCCTCCCTCTGGAAAGGAAAAGCGAGCACCCCTTCAAAAGAGCTCGGTGGAGGTTTACTGGGATGCAGAGCAAGCCCTTCTCCGGCTTGAAGAGGAGGACGTGCAAGAGACACCGAGGAAGGCCAGCTGAGCTGGGAAAGCGCCGCTGCAATGCTCGGTTCGGTTCTGGCCCCTCTGAGGATTAGGTCGGCACCCGCGGGCCGCAGGCTGCTCTCCTGAGGAGGCCCTGCGCTCAGCCCAAGCACATCCCTCTGACAGGCACCGGAGGTGGGGCTCGCGTCACAGGTGTCACCCCAAGACGGTCCTTGCAAACACGGGGGATGGGGAGGGACAAGTCGGGGCAGGGGAAAGGTGAGACGCGCGGCAGCTACGCAGCGCAGCACCCGCAGCGACGCGGTCTCACCTCTAGGGTGGAGACAGTGCTGGTGAACAGGTCCTCTCCGTCCTCCAGATCCTCAAAGTCGGTGGGCTTCCCGTCCCCCAGCGGAGGAGGTTCCCTCTCGGCCGCCATCTTCGCTCACCCGAACGACTGCGCGAGCTGGGCCTCGCGGACCCGTCACGTGAGCACGCACGGCTGGGCCCGCGCCGACCCGCCAGCCTCCCCGCCCCCGGCCGGCCTCTCAAGGCCCCGCCCAGCCGCGCTCGGCCCCGCCCCCGGCCTCTTGACGGCGCCCACCCGGAGGGCGCTGCGCTCGCCCCGCCCCTTTGTCCCGCCTCCTCCCAGAAAGTCTGGGACGTGGCCCTCTTTTCGCCACCGACTTGCTGACCCGACTTATGTGGCAGAATCTTGGACTTTATTACCACATCACCTTCTTGGCGGGACTAGGCTAAATAATTTCTGTTGGCACTACCAGTTTTTAAATCTTCTGTAGGAAGTGGTAGAGCCTGGGCACCAGTCTCTGGGCTTGGATTGCACGCAGGCTGAGGCGAGATGGAGTATTGGTGAGCGAGAGACACGTACTGTCTCTTAGATCTCTCTAGAACTGTCCAATAGAATTTTCTGACATGATGGAAATGTTCCCTATCTGTGCTGTCCAATACAGTAGCTACTGGCAACCTGTGACCCCTGAACACTTGAAATGTGGCCGGTGTGTGGAACTGAGTTTTAAAATTTTATTTAATTTTAATTAATTTAAATCTAATTAGCCACATGTGGCCAGTGGTTACCTATTTAGTGATTGCAGCTCTAGATAACGAAAGGACTCTGAATAATTTCTCGTCTGCGATTCACTCCAATTTTATCATAAGCCACATAATTCTTTTCTCAATAAGTCAAAAGGTCTAGAAAAATGATAGGAAAATCAATGGATGATTCTTAAGAGCACATAGTCACATTCCCTGGCCTGCAAATCCACCACCTTATGGAAAGTCTGGAGTCTGTCATGGATCAAAAACTTCAACCTCTTATGAAAGCTCCCAGCTTGACTTGAGGTGATTATTATACACATCCTTAATTTTTACATGTGTCTCTATTTATTGCTTACTACTTTCTGTCTTATGCTATGGTCATATATATTCCCAGCTTATCTTTTTTAGTGGACACCTGAAATAGGTGAAATATAGGTCCTGATGCTTGTTACAGAGACCCACATTAAAAGTGGTTTGAAAAATGAACAAGTTTAATTAATTGTCCCTTATGTAGGACTAGGGCTGGTGTGAAGGTTCTATGAGATCATTCAGGGACATGGGCCCCTTCTGTTGTTCTGCCCTCCCTAGGATGTAGTCTCTTCCTCATGGTTCAAGTCAGCTCACCACCGCAGTTACATCACATTCCAGCCAGCAGAAAAAGAGTGAAAGGAAAACAATAATGTCACCTTCCTTTTAAGGGCACAGTTCAGAAGTTGCACACACCACTTTTGTCCACATTCCTTTGACCAGCTCGTTAGCTACATGGCCATGTCTAGCTACAGAAGACATTAGGAAATGAAGTTGTTATTTCTACCGCTAAAAATTAGGGGTTCACTTACCCTAGAAGAAAGTAGGGAACTAGTGGTCTCTGCTAGTGCATTCATGGTTTTCATGGTAGCATACCTGAACTTTCTTCTCAGCTGTGAGTTTTCTCCACCTCAGGGAGGGAATACATCACCTAGGTTTAAACCAAATACAGCATCAACTCCTTAGTCTCAGTGATTTGTGGGGGATCAGAATCAAGTGCCTTTTCCCTAAACTCTCAGAAGCTTTGATTGTCTTTCTTTCCTTAGTCAGCCTAAACTCTATGAGCCAGAACTGCAATAATTGTCTTGCTATTTTTCTCAGCTCATCTTCTTCCTTGGTTCCTTGATTTTCTGTTTCATCTTCTCTGAAATCCCAAATTCAGCCATCAATTTCTCTAATCTTATATCCAGATTGCTAAAGTATTTGCATAATGAATCCCAACCTCAGATTGAAGATCCTATAAGTCCATTATTTCCAATTCTGAGTTCTACACTGCCTAAATATCATTAGTTGTTTCGTTTCCAATTCCTTCAACTATTCTTCCCAGCATAGGTGCTAAAAAGTCATTTTCTCCTCAAGTATACCACCATCTTTTTCTCTTCATTTTCATCAAATGATTTAGCCTCCTCATTCAATGACAAAATAAAATCACTGAGTGAATCACTTCACTTTCAAGTACGATTGAAATTATCTTCTCTTTGTGCTCCCACCAGTTGTTGTGTATATTTTAACACCTACCATGTTGTGCTGTGGTCACAGACACTGTTCTATCACCCCAATGGACTGAAGGATCGTTGATGTCAGGGAGCATTCATTATTTGAGGATGGATCCTGAGTAGCCAGCCCTGTATAAGTTATTTATTGCAGTAAAACAAATTACATAAACACATAGCAGCTTGTAACCATAAATATTTATTTTCTCATGGTTTTTGTGGATCAAGAATCCTCACAGTTCAAGTCAGCTCACCACAACAATTACACTGCATTCCAGCCAGCAGAAAAGGAGTCAAAGGGAAACATGATGTTACCTTCCTTTTAAGGGCACATTCCAGAAGTTGCACACACCACTTACGTCCACATCCCTTTGACCAGCTCATTAGTTATACAACTTAACTGGGTGCCCCTGACTCAGGGTCTCTCAGAAGGCTGCAATCAAGGTATTGACCAGGTAGGCAGTCATCTCAAGACTCAACTGGAGAGGACCTGCTTCCTCTCACTAGCAAGCTCACTAGCATAGCTGGTGGCAGGCCTCAAGTTATTTCTGGCTATTGGCCTGAAACCTGAGTTCCTTGCCATATAAGCCTCTTCGTAAGGCTTCCTACACAACATGTCAGCTTGCTTCTCCCAGAGCAAAGACCTTTGAGAAAGACAGAAGGAGACAGCTCTAAGAGAGGGTAAGAGGGAGTTAATAAGAAAAGAAGCCAGAGTGTTTTTGTAACCTAATCTCATAAGTAACATCTCTTTACTTTAGCTGTATTCTATTCATTGGAAGCCCACACTCAAAGGAAGGAGTAAAACAAGAGTGTGAATAACAGGAGGCAGGGTTTTGGGGGGACATTTTAAAAGTTGCCACAAGGCCCCATAGTGCATTGCATTCATTAAGATAGACACCCTATTAACACCCTCAATGAAAGAATGAATGAAATGAAGCTCAGAAGAGCGAGCTAAGTGGAAGATATAGATTTGGTAGCTGGAGCCACTGTTACATGAGAAGGCCCAGGTAGTCTGGGAATCACAACCCTAAGGATGATTTACAGTTGTAGACCTGTAATCTCAGGTACTTGAGAGGCTGAAGCAGGAGGATCCCTTGAATCCAGGAGTTTGAGACCAGGCTGGGTAACACAGAGAGACCCTGTCTCAAAAAAAAAAAAAAAAGACAGAGAAAGAAGGAAGGAAGGTAAGAAGCAAGGAAGGAAGGAAGGAGAAAGATCATAAATAAACCTGAAGAGCAGCAGTCAGAGAGATAGGAAGCAATCTATGAGAGAGGGCTGTAAAGAAAGTAAAAGGACAAAGAAGAAAGCATTTGTGGTATCACATACCTTGGGTAGATTAATAAGATGATAACTGAAAAGGTGAATGGTTAATGGAAATAAAAAAAAAAGGGTGTAGAAAGTTGTGATGGTTAATTTTATGTCAGCTTGGCTGTACTATGGTGCCCAGATATTTGGTCAAACATTATAGTGTTTGTTTCTGTGAAGATGTTTTTTGGATAAGATTAACATTGAAATTGGAAAACTTTGAGTAAAACAGATTACCCTCCATCATGTGGCTGGGTCTCATCTAATTAATTGAAGGCCATAGTAGAACAAAGACTGGCCTCCTCTGAGCAAGAAAAAAATTCTGCCGGCAGACTGCCTGTGGACTCCAATTGTAACTTTTCTCTGAGTCTCTAGCCTGCTAGCCTACATCATCAGATTTTAAATTCACTGAGCCTCCACAATTGCATAAACCGATTGCTTAAAATAAATCTCTCTCTATAAATATATACATCCTGTTGGTGCTGTTTCTCTGGAGAACCCTAACTAATGCACTAGTATAAATTATTATCATTTCAAGGAATATAAATGAAAAGAATGACAGAATAGGTCAATAACTTGTGGAAGACACAGGTTTATTTTTGTATGTTTGTTTTATTTTAATGGGAAAGATTTGAACTTGCTTATATTAATATATAAGGGAAAGAGGTCAAAAGGGAGCAAGAGGTTGAAAATGCAATATAGAGAGAGATAATCAAAAGGATGAGATCTGAAATGCAGGAATGGGATAAAGGGCAAGTAGATAAATTTGTCTTAAAAAGGAGAAAGGATTCTTCTTCCTCTGAGAGCGGAGAAATGGAGGTGAGAGTTTGTGTTAGTCAGCCATTGTTACATAACTAACCATCCCAAAATGTAGTGGTTGAAAACAACCACTACTTATTATTTCTCATGAGTCTGCAGATTAAGTAGGCAGTTCTACTGAACCAGATTTGGCAACTCTTATCTTCAGGCTTGTTCATGCTCTGTGGTCAGCTGATAGATTGGCTGAGACTGGCTGGACTAGGACGGTCTTGGCTAGGACAATTCAGCTCTGTTCGATGTGCTCTCATCCTCCAGCAGGTTGGCTTGGGCTTCTGTTCAAGGTCCTAGCAGAGCTCCAAACAGAAGGCAGAAATAGGCAAGCACTTCTTCAAGCCTCCACAAAAGGAAGTTACAGGGGCAAGCACAGGATCAGAATGGGAAGGGACTACAAAATTGTAGGGCAAAGGGTGTGGAAAAGGGAGGTGGTTAATTGGGGCAATGAATGCAATCAGTGTACCTCAGTGGATGTATTTATAGACTTGTTTGTAAATATAGGGGTAAGAAATGGAAAAAGTCAATACCCAAAAGCAGTATTTTTGGGGGGTAGGGGGGAAGTTAATTAGTAAGAGAAAAGAAATTAATGTCAGCATAAGTGGCATGAGGAAGAGCGTTTTCAGTAGATTGTGCGTAGAATTGGAGAGAACATTTGCTAGGGACATATAAGGGATTGACAAGTAGTATTGAAAGCCCAAATGAGGTGGAGACAGTATGATAGAAATAATCTCTGCATTTATAGATTTTCTCCAGTAGCCTAGCAATGTTAGTGTAGGAGTGGAGGTGGATAATTGGACTGATTCAATGTTAGGCTTTTTAAGGATGATCTTGGTGGAGAACAAGGGAACTAAGGATTTTGAAGCCTCAGTAGGAGTGACCAGAAATATGTGGTTTCCAATGACAAGGAGGGATAGCAGGTGTCATATATTTCAAAGAAGGAGGATTTTTTTTCAAGAGTATTGATGGATTAGCCAGGTGTGGTGGCACGCACCTCTAGTCCCAGCTACTTGGGAGGCTAAGGCAGGAGGATCCCTTGAGTCCAGGAGATTGAGGCTGCAATAAGCTATGATTGTGCCGCTGCACTTCAGTCTAGGCAAAACAGCAAGACTCCATCTCTTAAGAAAAAAAAGTGACGGTATAAAAGTGATATTTGGAACCCAACACAAGCTGTATTTAGGGGACAGAGTGACCTATTACTCAAGGCAGAAGGGTTGAGGGAACTTTCTGTGAAAAATTAGAAAATATATAGAAAGTGAAGGGAGGGGCCTTATCTTTGAATATAGCTCCTGGTGAGTGAGGTTACATATAGGATGGCAGCCTTGAACAAATAAGAATTTATTATGATCTTTGCAATGGTATTGGGAAAAATAATCATTTGATTGCTTAAATAAGTATGATTGGTTATCATTAAGTGAAAATGTTTTAAGATTCTTATTAGAAAATAATGAAAGTCTTCACAATTGATTGAAAGAAAGCAAAGGAGAGAAGGAAAGGTGAAAGGAAGGGAGGAAGAGAGGGCAAGAAGAAAAGAGGGCTGGATGAAGGGAGGGAGGGATGGAGAGAGGGAAGGAGGGAGATAGATGGCCAAGTATAATGTTGTTGTTGTTTTTCTTCACAGGCCATAAATGCAAACAAATAAATTCCTATTACTATAAAAGTGTGGGCCAACCCTTAATCAGTGACATTACTAAGAACTGTGAAATGTTTACACATTTGACCCTTCAACAGCATGGGTTTGAACTTTGTGGATCCACTTAATTTTGGATTTTCTTCTGCCTCTGCTACCCCGAGACAGCAAGACCAACTCCTCTTCTTCCTCCTCCTCCTCTACCTATCCAACATGACGATGATGAGGATGAAGAACTTTATGACAATCTACTTGCACTTAATAAATAGTAAATATATTTTCTCTTCTTTACAATTTTCTTAATAACATTTTCTTTTCTCTAGCTTACTTGATTGTAAGAATACAATATATAATACATATACAAAATGTGTGTTAATCACCTGTTACGTTATTGATAAGGCTTCTGGTCAGCAGGAGGCAATTCGTAGTTAAGTTTTTGGGGAGTCACAACTTATATGCTAATTTTGTATTGTGGGGGAGGGAGGTCAGGGCTCCTAATCCCTGCACTGTCCAAGTATCCATTGTATAGCGCAACTCCTATGTCTCAGTGCCTGAATGGCAGTGGAGTGCTTCAGACTAATGCATCCTTTGATAATAACTGTTTCTTCTTCTTCTTCTTCTTCTTCTTTTTCTTCTTCTTCTTCTTCTTCTTCTTCTTCTTCTTCTTCTTCTTCTTCTTCTTCTTCTTCTTCTTCTTCTTCTTCTCCTTCTCCTTCTCCTTCTCCTTCTCCTTCTCCTTCTCCTTCTCCTTCTCCTTCTCCTTCTCCTTCTCCTTCTTCTTCTTCCTTTTTTTGAGACAGAGTTTTGCTTTTGTTACCCAGTCTGGAGTGCAATGGCACGATCTTGGCTCACTGCAACCTCTGCCTCCTGGGTTCAAGCTGATTCTCCTGTCTCAGCCTCCTGAGTGGCTGCGATTACAGGTGCCCGCCACCACACCTGTTTGATTTTCGTATTTTTAGTAGAGACGGGGTTTCCCCATGTTGGCCAGGCTGGCCTCGAACTCCTGACCTCAGGTGATCCACCCACCTTGGCCTCCCAAAGTGTTGGAATTACAGGCGTGAGCCACCATGCCTGGCCACATTTCTTGAACACCATAAAGGGGGACATGCACATCATAGGAACACTTCAACAAATGAGGAAACAAGAAAACCCTGATCTCCCTCCATTAAAAAAAAAACAAAAAAACTCATACTGTAAACTGCCCCTGTGCTTCTGTCACCCCCAGATTCCCCAGAAACAAAAGCTTCACCCTACAACTCTGAGCCTATGTTTTCCTACTGCCCACCTGCTCCCCTCTTCCCTGGCCAGAAGTGTCCAGTGGTGCGCCGCTACAGTCACCGCCAACTGTGCAGCAACACAGGACCCACACTCAGAAGCGCGTCGTGCTTGGCTTAATGCTCTGCTGTAACCAACTTGAAATTCTTAATAACTACGAACACGGGGACCCACGTTTTCATTTTGCACTGGGCCTTGCAAATTATGGAGCTGGTCCTGACTCCCATCTGCCAGTCATGACAGCACCAGAGGACACCAGGAACGTTGAGTGATGCATCATCCTAGGGCAGGGGAAGACTTGCTGGTGTTCCACTCACTGCTTTTCCCCAAGAGAATTGATGGGGTGACTTTGGTCTTTGCCACCAATACCTCTCACTCTCTACTTCTGGGAGGAGCAGGAATGAATGTTATAGACGTTTACATATTAATAATTTTTGTCCCATCACACATCCTTTTGAGGACAGTAAGTCAAGTTCAGACATAAATTATGATATGTATGTGTATATGGTTAACTTTACAAGGACTAGCACATGTAAAGAAAGGCTTAAAACAATTTTCTGTCAACCAAAACATTAGCAACAAAATAAGGAAAAGGAGACTCAGTATTTCCAAGAGATACGTTTTAGAAGTATGGAATTCTAGGGACAGATTCATTTACTTGAGTGAGTTAAAATGAGAATGGAAACTATTAAACATTGAGAAAAGACCTAAGGAAATAAGATACAGTGTTAGGGGCTAGGTAAAGAAACTGGATCAAAACCAAAACAAAATGAAGCAAAACTAAAGAGTAGTTTACTGCAACCTCTTTTTTTCAATTCTAGTCATGAACCCTGTCTCCTACATCAGAGACTTTCTTGTTCCAGTGAAAGATTATATCTTTCTGTCCTTCATCACCCTTGACATGGTACCTTATACACTGTAGTCCTCAATCAATATTTGTTGTTTGGTTGAAAATAGTAAATCTCAAAGAGAAACAGAGTCCGTTGTTTTAGATCAAAGGAAGCAAACTGTCAGCCTGTAGGCTTGACACAGATGGCTTTTATTTGGCCAGCACTGTTTTTTTATATTTTAATCAACTGGCAATATTTAAGAATCAAGAAATCTCACATAAAAATTTAGATTTCTGGCTTCTCTTTAAATCTGGCTGCATGTAGCCCATATCTCTGCGAGCATATGCTCTCCAGTATACCACGGCCCCCTGTTCACCCTGTGTCCATCCAACATGAATGCATTTTCCTCTCCTGTGGCAAAGACTGGGTTGATTCCCCAAATCCATTCCTACCCCATTCTTACTTCAGGTTTTGGCAGGCATCATGGCAACCCAGAACAAAGGGAACTCTTCCTCCTTCCTTACAGCCAGGGGTAGCCATGTGAATAAGTATGGCCTGCCTATTTAATGCAAACGGAGTTATATGTGTAACTTCTGGAAAATGTCTTTAAAAAAGGAAGGCCTGCCCTTCCCACACTTTCTCCTTCTGCAGGCTGGAATCCAAATGTAATTGCTAGAGCTCCAGCAGCTATCTTGGACCATAAAGTAAAACTGGGACTGGTATAGCAATAAAGTAGGCAGGGCCTGAGTCCCTGGTTCTGAGAATCTGCTGCAGCAGCCCAGAGATGCCTGCCTTAGGCTTTTACATGAGATAGAAGCAAACTGTGATCTTCTTTAAGCCATTGTTTGAGAACTTCTGTCACATGCAGCCAAATCTAATCCTAAATAATACAACTACAAATCACTGCTGAGAAGCAGCATTCTTCTTTATCACAGTTGCTATTATCAAAATGTAAATACTATAAAAAAATCAAAGTCTTTGGAAAGAAGAGTGTATTCAGTCCATTCCATAGCTTAAAACTGGTAGTTGTGCATTCCATGAGTGTAAATGGGTTGGGGTTCCTCTATCTCTGGTAATATTGTGTGGTGGAGAAGCATGCAGGCTTTGGAGTTTCTGTGACTCAGTCTCATCATCTATAAGATGAGGATAATAAAAATAGTAACTTTCTTAATGGATTCTTGGGAAAATTAGACAACATAATGTGCATAACCAACATGAAAATCTCAATCCTTAAATTCTGGGCAGATGAGACAGAATGGTGGCCTGGAGGTGGTAAGGCATATGGAGCTAGAGGTTCATTTTACTTTCTGCTTAATCTGCTCTTCCTACACCATAAGCTATTCTTTTTTTTTTTTTTTTTGAGACAAAGTCTCACTCTGTTGCCCAGGCTGGATGCAGTGGCGGGATCTTGGCTCACCACTGCAAACTCTGCCTTCCAGTTTCAAGTGATTCTCCTGTCTCAGCCTCCCGAGTAGCTGGGATTATAGGCGTGTGCCACCATGCCCAGCTAATTTTTGTATTTTTAGTAGAAATGGGGTTTCATCATGTTGGCCAGGCTGGTCTGGAACTCCTGACCTCAAGTGATTTGCCCGCTTCGGCCTCGCAAAGTGTTGGGATTACAGGCGTGAGCCACTGCACCCAGCCCCACCATGAACTATTAAAATGGGTGGAAATAACAGTGGTATGTTTTTATGTGATCGTGAAAGAGCTCAGTATTTCAGTATTGTCATTTCAAGCCAGCATGTATAGGATCTATTGGAAAGTTAAGACTAACAAGGGAATCTCAGATCCTACTGTTCTTATATCACACATGAAATCATCTCGAAAATCAGTGAGCCTGATGGCATCTGAATGGGCATTATGTTTCTTTCAAGGCATCATTACTAGACAAATAAAATTTCAAAATAGCTCTGAGTTTACCAAGAAACTTAATTTCTGGTATTGGAGTGAGCTCCTTGTCAGAACAGGGTTCATGAAACAAGAATAATGAACATAGATATTTCTCCTAGTAAAAGAATCATTTCCATACATTTGCATACCTTAAAAAAAAAGCCAATGCACTAGCAAACTAGAAACAGAGAAAAATTGTATCCATTGGAAAGAATTTTTATAAAATTATTTTTTAAAGTTCCCTAAGGCAATATCTAATCCTTTCATAAAATAATATCCAGCAAAGCCTAAAACTTAAAAAAAAATTATCACTTGGAAGTAAATATAGGTATTCGAGGAAATAAAGAAGATGGTATAATTTTAAGGAGATGGTATAATTTTAAGGAATATTTTTAAAATGGTTTTATTTTTGCAAATATGGAATAAATGGAAAATATTTGCATAAGTGGGAAATGAATGTTATACATAGAGTCAATATATTATTTACATAGATTTAGACTTCGACTTTTTATTTTTATTTTTCGTAGAGATGGGGTCTTGCTCTACCACCCAGGCTGGTCTTGAACTTTTGGCCTCAAGTGATCTTCCTGCCTTGGCTTCCCAAAAATGCTGAGATTACAGGTGTGAGCCACCATGACTGGCCTAGATTGTGATATTTTTGTTCATTATTATTTATAGTGTCCGTAGTGAGAACATCTTATTCTTTAGTATGTTTTTGTATTAAAGTTGTCATTTTACCAATGAAGAAATAGCCTTGACATGTTCCCTAGGTGCCCTCCATATTTAAGGGCATATTCTAATTAAATAATCTTTATATTTAATTATGACATAATGTTTAATGAATAAATTACACAAAAGAGGCCTAAAATGATCTGAGAAATTATATTGTAATTGGTAGAGATTATACTAACAATTTTTTCCCAAATTTTAAAAACTCTATTAAGGTGCAATTATGGGCATATTCTTTTATTACAGTTATCAGTTTGCTTTTATGAGAATTTCCTAGGATAACCACTTTGGATGGGGCTGGGGCATGCCCCTCCAGACAAATACTAATTGTAATGACTCTCCCTTAAAATGTTTTAAACCATATCCTTTAGATAGAAAACAGGCTAATGGAAGTCAATTAAATGCAGCATTTTAAGTACCAATGTTCTGTTTAAAATGTTACTGTGTGATATGTTTTTAAAAGGGAGAGTCCCCTTTGCCTGGCAGCCTTTCCCTGATGCCTGATTTCTCTTGATGTGACTGGGCAGTGCCTCTAGTTTCCTGCCCCTGTCAATAAGAGGACTACATCTAGCCAGCCCAATGGGAGGAGGGTCCAATAATCATCTCTCTGGGACAGCATAACACAGTAGAGCACATACCCAGTTGGCTATCAGTTAATTCATGTTGACCTTTTTTTTTTTTTTTTTTCCTTGAGACAGAGTCTCACTCTGTTGCCCAGGCTGGAGTGCAGTGGCACGATCTCAGCTCGCTGCAACCTCCACCTCCTAAGTTCAAGCAATTCTCCTGCCTCAGCCTCCTGCATAGCTGGGATTACAAGCGTGTGCCACAATGCCAGCTAATTATTATTATTATTGTATTTTTAGTAGAGATGAGGCTTCACCATGTTGGCCAGGCTGGTCTTGAACTACTGACCTCAGGTAATCCGCCCACCTCAGCCTCCCACAGTGCTGGGATTATAGGCATGAGCCACCACGCCCGGCCCATGTTGACCTTTTTGTTATGGCATGGTCAAGCTCAATTTTCCTGAAGACTTGTTGGCTGTAGGAACGCTTCCACCCATCCATCTCTTCCATTTGCCCAGGGTGGTGAGAGAAACTAACCCTTAGCCTTCTCTTAGTTAAGGATTCTTTTGTTTCTCTCCCATTTGTTCATGAGAGCATGGGCAGATGACAATCAATTTGTTTATGCTTTTTCCACACTCCATGGGACTATGTCTTTGTGTAGAAGTCAACTTATGGTGAGCAATGATTCTCAAACTTTAGTGTGCATCAGAATCCCCTGCAGGGCTTGAGAAAACACAGATTTCTGGGCTCTATCCTCAGCTTTTCTGGTTCAAATTATCTGGGTGGGATAAGGCCAAGAATGTACTTTTCTTAAAAGGTCTACATAAGATTGATGCTATGGATTCTTACTGTGTTATTCAAATAGGTGCTCTTGGATAAGACTCAAAGCCTAAAGCTCCAGATGGAGACTTGACTTTATTCGTAGTGGGAGTGAACAGCTAACCTCATGATTTGCCTCTTTAAGTATTTAAAATTTAATAATTTAATTTCCAAACATAATTAAACTCTATGCATACAAATTAGAAAATGCAGACACTTCTCCAGACACACATACCCCCACCCATAATCTTGCTATTAAGGAATAATCACTGCTCATATATACATTCTCTCAGTCTTTTCTATCTACCTATGTATCTTATTATCTATTTCAAATGCTATTCTAATATACATATTGTTGTACAGCCTGACTTTTTTCATTTAAGAATATATTGTTAACATCCTCTTGTGTCAATAGTTTTCTACAGATGAATATTTATCACCTGTGGAATTTTCCTTCATGAGGCTCCACCATGATTATTTAAATCTGAAAGGGTGAAAGGGGATGGAATTCAGCATACAGGTGAGGGATTGGCTTTAGGTTGCCAGAGAAACATTTCTCCCACTTTCCACTGTAACAAGAAGAAAGGCTGTGTGCAGATGAAAGTAGATTGTAAAGACTTATCTCTGCATGTGTGTGTGTGTGTTGTGTTTGTGTTTGTTTTGTTTTTTTGTTGTTCTTTTGCTTTGACCACAAGGTAAAAAGAAGCATGAGGATAGCAAAAGAGATTTTCCTCCGGAGATCTGAAAGCAAAAAGCAGTCAAATCTCCTTTTCTATGTGCACATTCAGAGGAAAATATGGCAGCAGCTTGAATGGAATTTTGTGGATAAACCTAATCAAGAGCCTAGGAGTCATCTTAAAAAAAAAAAAAAAAAAAAGGAAGGCCTACTCAAGACGGGAAATTCAACTTGATTTAAAATGTCAAAATAGGCCACACATGGTGGCTCACGCTCGTAATCCTAGCACTTTGGGAGACCAAAGCAGGGCAACAGCTTGAGCCCAGTAGTTCGAGATCAGCCTGGGCAACATAGTGAAACCCTGTCTCTACAAAAAAATTTTAAAAATTAGCTAGGCATGGTGGCGCATGCCTGTGGTCCCAGATACTCAGGAAGCTGAGGTGGGAGGATCACTTGAGCCTGGGAGGTTGAGGCTGCAGTTAGCCATGATTGTGCCACTGCACTCCAGACTGGGTGACAGAGCAAGACCCTGTCACAAAAAAAAAAAAAAAAAAAAATATATATATATATATATATATATATATATATATATACACATATATATACACACACACACATATACACATATATACACATATATGTGTATATATGTGTGTATATATGTATATGTATGTGTATATATATAAAAATAGATTTTGTAAATGTCAGAATACGAAATTACAACAATTTAAAGGTCTTAATTGGCTTTAGTCATCATTCTAGAAATGGGCAACACTCATTCTAGAAAACAGAAGAAGTTTCCCCATGAGCTGTGAGTAGAGGAGCTTGGTTTTATAGACAGAGAAGGGCCTTGAAAGCAAAAACAAAGAAAGAACAGCAGATTGGTTGTTTCAAAGTTATAGCCCTTGTAAGGCAGGAACAGGAAGACAGAACAATAGAAAAATAACTGACTGACTAACGTTGGTTACTTCTGATTATTTATTTATTTATTTTGGTAAGGATTAAAGCAGAGGGAATTTCATTTTTATGTCCACTGAAACTGGCCTGTGTGGGAAATTTGGCCTGATCTTTCTCTACCAATTTCTCAGAAGGCCAGATAACAACTCAGTTTCAGTTTGGTGACATGGAACTTTGACCTGATGACTCTTTTGGTTTTTAGTTTCATCTGATGGAGCCTGGTATAGGAGCTCAGTCCAAAAAATGGCCTCCTACAATTTCTATTTAACAAAAGTGAGCAGTTATTTAGGAGGTTAGAGTGAGTGATACAATGTAATGGTATCTAGGAATTTGCATTTTGCTGTATTCTTATATAGTATTTAGAAATAATCCTATTTTAAAATAAGCTTCATAAATTTAATAAATTTGTATAAAATCCTGTGGAGTGGAAAAGCATTCTATATATTTTTACTCAGATTAGCACTTGTATGAGAAATGCCAGTTCTCTATTCTAGCTCTAACTCCATCCAAGCTCTTTGCTCTAAGTACCCCATTATTTGTAGTTTGCTCTGTCTCTCCTCAATAAAGAAAGGTGATCAGGCATTAGATCTCTCCCTGCTAATAAGGAATTTGAAATATTGCTGCAATTGCTACTTAATCGAGATTTGAAGCTCTGAGCATTCTGGCTGTGCTCTTGGCTGGCAGCCATGTTGTTGGGCCCCATAACACGTCTGAGGAGATGGCAGGATTGCTTGGCCTCAATGCTCAGGACTCTCAGGCACCTGTGTTCTCCTTCACCTTTCCTAAAAAGAGAAATTCACCTTCATCCCCACTAGCCAGTTTTCTGTGTCATTCCTGCAGCCATTTCCAGAGAACTGGGCTCTGATTTATCTCTTCCACATAGTTGTTTTTTTTTTTTTTTTTTTTCCCACCTACTTTCTCTGCTCTATAGGACCTTCCACTATCTCCAGGGCAAATCCCTGAAACTATACCTCTTATCTGATCCTAGATCAGGCCCTCCTACTCACTACTCTTTCATTAGATTTCCAATTACCTATCTGCCTTGAAATCTCTCCAACCACTCCCACATTACCCTGGGATATTTTGCTAAATGGATCAGGAGGCTGTACCTAAATTTCAGGCCAAATGCCCATTAGGAAATATCTTCAGGAGCATAAATGTAGAGATGCAAACTCACGAAGTATCTTCAGGAGCATAAATGTAGAGATGCAAACTCACGAAGAGCAAAGACACAAGACACATCAGAACAGTGAAGCATCACACAGCAAATAGAAGCCACTGCATCACCATGACCAGGAGATCTATCCAGAAAGATTGTGAACAGTGCAGTGATGTATGGGACACAACAGTGATGTATGTTCTTGAGTTGCATCAGAGATGAAGATTAAAATGTCTGTATTTATGCAAAATTCAGTCTATTCAAGTTAATGTTAAATGAAAAGGGAAAATTTCCAGCTGAATGAGGAAAGTCTACGGCAATAAAATGTCCTCACCCTCTGTTTTCTTAACATCCTGTATCCCAGGTGAATTCTTTCTGTAGATAATATCTACATTACTTGCTTATTTGACTGCACAGTGAATAGTTTCAAGTGTAAACCTGTGAGACAAGCAGTCACATGGTTAAAGGTGTTAAATGATAACGTAATTCTTTAATGACATTAGGTTTGTCAAATGTAGCAATAAAAAATAAAAATCAACCAACAGATATTCACGCAAAAAGCAAAACCGGTTTCTATGTTTATGAATACTACTCTGTAAGTAAATGTGTTTATTTCTTAACAAAAGGTGTGTATTTGATCTGTAGAAATGTGGAAAGCATCATAAATCACAATAATTACATACCACTAATTTAAAATGATATAGATGTAATCAATTAAGTGGAAAAGGCTACCTACCTCACAGCAGGTGCTTAGGATAAACCGATAAATAAAATGTATGGTTCTTGCCCTCAAAGAATTTACAATATGAAATTTATGATACGTGAAAACATAAACAGAAGTATAACAATGTTGAAAGAGCTGGAGAGTCCCCTTAATGAGCTAAAGGCTTCTCCAGAGACGTTTTGGAAAAAGCAATGATGGTGGGGGGTGGAAGGATTAGCCAGCAAAGGACTTAAGGGTGACGGAGAGAAAAGATGAACATAAATTCGTGTTAGCAGTAAAAGATACTAGATAAGCAGGCAAAAGGAAGTTAATATGTAGTAATCTAAGAGTCACAAGGCCCAGAGGTTTCAAGAATAGGAATTTATAGAGCTTGAAGGTCAAGTTACAAGGCCAAAGAAGAGGGACAACCTTTCTGTGGTATTTGCTGATATCCAGAAAATGCTACATTTCTTTTTTTTTTTTTTTTTTGAGACGGAGTCTCGCTCTGTCACCCAGGCTGGAGTGCAGTGGTGCGATCTCGGCTCACTGCAAGCTCCGCCTTCCGATTTCACGCCATTCTCCTGCCTCAGCCTCCTGAGTAGCTGGGACTACAGGTGCCCGCCACCACGTCTGGCTGATTTTTTGAATATTTAGTAGAGACGGGGTTTCACCGTGTTAGCCAGGATGGTCTGGATCTGCTGACCTCGTGATCTGCCCGCCTCGGCCTCCCAAAGTGCTGGGATTACAGGCGTGAGCCACTGCGCCCGGTCCAGAAAATTTTACATTTCTAATAATGTCACCGCCTCATTAAGGTCTGTAATTACAGTCCAGAAGAACAGCTATGACTGATGAGATTGTTTAATCAGAATTTTATAATGAATATGTTGATGACATAATTTCATTTTAAAAATATTCAATTTTTTTTTTTTGAGACAGAGTCTTGTTCTGTCACCAGGTTGGAGTGCAGTGGCGCAATCTTGGCTCATTGCAACCTCCGCCTCCCGGGTTCAATCGATTCCCCTACCTCAGTCTCCCAAGTAGCTGGGACTACAGGCACGCGCCACCATGCCCAGCTAATTTTTTTTGTATTTTTAGTACAGACGGGGTTTTACCATGTTAGCCAGGATGGTCTCAATCTCTTGACCTTGTGATCCACCCGCCTCGGCCTCCCAAAGTGCTGGGATTACAGACGTGAGCCACCGCACCCGGTGCTTTTTATTTATTTATTTATTTTTTTATTTTTTTTTTTTTTTATTTTTTTTTTTGACAGAGTCTTGCTCTGTCACCCAGGCTGGAGTGCAGTGACACTATCTCGGCTCACTGCAACCTCCTCCTCCCACGTTCAAGCGATTCTTGTGCCTCAGCCTCTCAAGTAGCTGGGACCACAGGCGTGCGCCACCATGCCCGGCTAATAAATTTTTTTTTTTTTTTTGACACAAGGTCTTGCTGTGTCATCCTGGCTGGAGTGCAGTGGCATGATCATAGTGCATTGCAACCTCTAACTCCTCAGCCTCCTGAGTAGCTGGCACTATAGGTGTGTGCGACCACACCTGGCTGATTTTTTTCTTTTTAAGTAGAGACAAAGTCTTGCTATGTTACCCAGGCTGATCTCAAACTCCTGGGCTCGAGTCATTCTCCCACCTCTGCTTCCCAAAGTGCTAGGATTACAGGCATATGCCACTGTGCTCTGCCCAAATTTTCCCTTTTTATAAGGAAACCAGTCATGTTGAATTAGGAGCCACCCTAATTAGCTCATTTTAACTTTATTACCTCTGTAAAGATCCTGTCTCCAAATAGTGTCACATTGTGAGGAACTGGGGTTAGGACTTCAACACATGAACTTTTGGAAGAATATAATTCAGCCCATAACACTGTATTTACCCACTTGGTTTCATATGTACTTCACAATTGCATGAAGACAGGGAAAAAACTCAACACATTCTGAAGTAGAAAGCTGATTGTACTGTCATTGTGTTAAAATATTGGGCATAATTTACGTGAAAGTTGAGAAGCAATTTCAGAATGAATCTCCTTTCTTTGCAAGGAATGCCACATTCTTGGTTTTCACTGTGCAGCTGACATGGCCTATACCGAGGCCCAAAAGAACTTCTCCACTCTGTGGAGAAACACTTTTTCATATGAAGAAGTGCAATGCAGAGGATGCTGTGTTTCTCGGCAAAAGAACAAAGCAAACTCATTATGATACTTCTGCTCAATCTTGCATGAATATTTCTTCTTTCCCAGGCAGAAATTAATGTAATTGTCCATCTACACCTCCTATCCCCAAAGCAGTTGAGAAGCCACGCAGATATTCAGTAGACTGTTAAGTCTGTTAACAGCAGGAATTGTTCTGCAGAGCTAGGTACAAAATGCCACCAAAATTTAATTTGTGGTAAATTTAACGGCTTACCAAGGTTGTGTGAAGAGTTACTAATCGAGATTCACATTTTTTCAACTTCTTTCACTAGGCATTCACAGACTTCTCTGTGGGGGAGTTGGCGGATTTCTAGGTAGGACAAATGCTAGGCATGGCCAGGATAACCATGGTGGTTCGAGTGAAAGAGCTCCCAGAAGCTAGGGCACAGTGTCACGAAGCACAGCTCGCTCTTCTTCTTTTGTATCCCTTTACTAACAAAACACCGAGGCAGAGAGGAAAATAAAAGTGACACTGCTTCTTCAAAATCTGTTTTATAGTTAGGGGCTCAAGGTGCCAAACCCAAATAGCCTGGTTTACATACAAAGGGCTATTTATGTAATTAATATTAAAAGTATCTTTATTAAAAGTGGGAAATAAGGCCCAATTTTTGAGTCTTCATGATGACAAGTAGCCAGTTTATCTGTTTCTATTATTTTCAGCCAGTGACTTGACTGACTTCACCAAACAGATCAGATGTTTGGGGCCGCATGAGCACAGCCCCACATGAAACACTGTTTAAAAGTCTTTATATAAAGCCAAATCAGAGGGTTATGAAGATAAACAATTCTTATGAAAAATTGACAGAACATTCCATTTAATTACAAAGACCCAAATTCAAAATCTTAGGGCTGTTGATGCAATTCAAGGGAAGTAAGTAGGTGCTGGAGCAGCCAAATGATTCATTTCCTCCCTCATGACATGAGGGGCTGAAACCTTCTTTCATCAGCATTGGTGAAAAAAAAAGAGGATGTAGAAATCCTTTTCTTTGGTTGCTGAGCTGCTGAGTAGCTGAATGTAACTGTGTAGAATTCTATAACTCAGCATAAATTCGATACTCAATGACTTCTTAGAAACAATGATAGGAAATAACCCATCATCTCTTCTCCATATTTTTTCTCTATTTCATTTACTTTTAAGGAATAAACTTTCCTTAAGAAGCATGTGGTTACATTCTCCTTTAACTCAAGTCTTTGCTGCCTGGGGGTTCTGAAGTCCTTCATCCTTCACCCTTTCCTATAATATCCAAATAACTTCGCCCAAGCCTCCATCCCACTCACAGCAGTCAGAGCCCTCTCTAATAAACCAAGGATATTTTGGAGAGGGGAGTGCTCTCTGCAACTGCATCAAATTACATTGCTGCCTGCATCAATGCTTACATTGCTGGTGCTTCCTTACATCACTCTTGGCTATCCAGTTGTCCTCTTATGCTTCAAACATAACCATATTATACTTCTGCTGAAGGATGGATGACAACAATACAGAGTAATTACAACACAAAATGTCACACATTCCTGTCCGAAAATTCCTCAGCTTCTTTCATCATATAAAATTTCTTTTTGTACAAGGTTCTGGGCTCTGCCTGCCACCATATGACTTGGGCCTCTCTGTCTTCTAGGTTATTCCAAACTCCCTTCCTTCAGCTGCCACTAAGCCACCAACGGCCAATTCTCTTGATATAGTGTCTATCAAATTGGGCATGACTTGTCACTCACCAGTATGAGATAAGTTGTTCTGAGTGTGTTTCTAGTTCTAGATCTCAAACCCTGGCCAAAATGTCTTATTGGTATGCATTTTCATCTAGCGAAGAAAATATTTCCCCAAACTTGCTCTAGAAAGCAAATCTCAAAATTATGTTTGTTTGACATAATTTTTCTTTAGTGGGCAGGTGTATTTTTAGCTCAGGGAAGATTTGGAATTAAATGTAAAAATGATGAAGTAAATCAAAACCATGTTATTAAATTTTTTTGTTAAGGAATAATCTATACTTAGATGTTTATAATGTCTTAGGTATTTTGGCCTATTAGAAGGGTCCCATGATTCCAATTTAAAATGAGTAGCCGGACCGGGTGCGGTGGCTCACGCCTGTAATCCCAGCACTTTGGGAGGCTGAGGCAGGCAGATCACCTGAGGTAGGAAGTTCAAGACCAGCCTGACCAACATGGAGAAACCCTGTCTCCACTAAAAATACAAAATTAGATGGGCGTGGTGGTGCATGCCTGTAATCCCAGCTACTAGGGAGGCTGAGGCAGGATAATCACTTGAACTCGGGAGGTGGAGGTTGTAGTGAGCCGAGATCGTGCCATTGCACTCCAGCCTGGGCAATAAGAGTGAAACTCTGTCTCAAAATAATAATAATAATAAATAAAATGAGTAGCCAGGCGCAGTGGCTCACACCTGTAATCCCAGCACTTTGGGAGGCCGAGGCAGGCAGATCATGAGGTAAGGAGTTCGAGACCAGCCTGACCAACATGGTGAAACCCCGTCTCTACTAAAAATACAAATATTAGCCGAGCATGTTGGCGTGCGCCTGTAATCCCAGCTACTCAGGAGGCTGAGGCAGGAGAACCGCTTGAACCTGGAAGGTGGAGGTTGCAGTGAGCCAAGATCACCCCACTGCACTCCAGCCTGGGAGACAGAGCGAGACTCCATCTTAAAATAAATAAATAAATAAATAAACAAATAAATAAAATGAGTAATTGGGTAATGGTTTTTTAATTGTGATTTTAAGTTAAAATCTCACTAAGTTCATGGAGTATTAGAACAATTAAGAGAATTTAAGATTAACCTTATCTATAAATTTAACTCAGCTGATTTATAAGAATCACTTGACTAAGCAGTGAGGAATTTCTTTGTGAGGTGATGAAAATGTCCTAAAATTGATTGCGATAATGGTTACATATCTTTGGAAATATAGTAAAGTCAGTTAATTATGTACTTTGAGTTGTACACCTTAATTTTATACTTTAAATGGATGAATTGTATGGCATGTGAATCATATCTCAACGAAACTGTTAAAAAATAATTACTTGATACAGAGATTTTTGAGTCAATTGTAATACTAAAAGTTAAAAAAAGTAATATACTTTTAAGTTCAGTTTAAAAATATTTTAAAGCATTAGATTAACTAATATATAAAAGCTCCCTTAAAAGTGAGTGTTAAAATTCACTAAATAGAACATAGAATTTATGAATTATAATTAAAAGCTTAAGGAAAAACTAGGTTTTTAAATTTTAACTTTAACAAATAATATAAAATAAAATATCTCGTGCAGCTTAGAACTCTCCTATGTAATGAAGGATCAGATTTATGCTATATAGTTAGTCACTACAATATACATTAGCAGTACTGGGATTATTGCTTGATGGATTCATAAAAATTCCAGCAAAGTTTCCCCTAAATTAGCAAAATTGGTGTTGAAAATCTAGTAGTTCTGATATTAGAGTCAAACCTCTAACTAGATCCATCTCTGGTCAGTTACAGTTTACAGGAGAAAACAGAGAAAGAAAAGTACCTACCTTCTATGATTATTGTGTGGATTAAATATGATAGTACATATAAATTCTGAGTTACTGGCACAGAGAAGGTACTGAATAAATTTTGTTTATTATTATTAGCTAGTCAGTGACACAGAACATAGTGGGTAAATGCATAGGCTGGACACTTGATATTCTTGTTATTTTTGGCCCCTTAGCATCCATTCCCCTTTCTCTAGCCTTAATTTCCTTTCCCAGGAGTTACCTATTTCTCAATATGCAATCCCTTGTATATCAAAGTGCTTGTCCTCATGGGAAGGCAAGTAAGCCAAGCTAGACTGACTGGATTCCCACCCCCTACCTCTGGAGGATTTGATTCTTGAGTAAGGTGGTACAGGAGAAAATATTTTCTCATCTAAGATACAGGCTGTGTTAGTCCACAGGCAAGCATCGCATGGTGAGCCTGGGGCCACAGCTGGTCAGGGGACAGAGAAGACAAGCTGGGACCTGCTGGGCACCTCTGCATCTGTTTCTTACTGTGTCTGACAATCTCCCAAGAGTCATTGTTGTTGCTTGCTCTGCCTTCCAAATCTTAAACAAGCTCTTTGCCCAACTCTAATTTGGAACAATACAGAGAAGGGAATTCTGTGAAAGAGAGCGTCCAATAAGATGACAACTGCGCATTCCAGCACAGTTTTAAAGAAAATAAATGGAGATGGTATACACGAACACATCAGCACAGGGCCTGGCCTATTGTTAGTATTTACTAAAAGCTCATTTATTTATCACAGTTTTCGTAAATCAAGTGACCTGTGCTAATAGTGTTTAGACTTGAAGTCATTGTTTATGACCATTTCAGACATGTGAATTGCTGACAACATATTGTTAGAATGAATAATATTGCTAGTTCACCATATCTCTTCCCAGGACCATGTTTAGGAACTGTTTATGTGGATACGATAAGAGTTAATTTGGTTAAACATCAAAAACAATAAATACAAGTCCATTTCTTGTATTTAGATTTCTTTTGACTAGCCTTGTAATTGTATCTTCAGCTTTAGAAATAAGAATGATCTTTATCTCATTTCCCTATCAAACTTTTGACTTGTATTGATAAGCTCAATTTCTTTTTCTTTCTTTCTCGTTCTTTCTTCCTTCCTTCCTTTCTTTCTTTTTCTTTCTTTCTTTCTTTCTTTCTTTCTTTCTTTCTTCCTTTCTTTCTTTCTCTCTTTCCTTCCTTCCTTCCTTCCTTCCCTTCTTCCCTTCTTCCTCTCTTTCTCTCCTTCCTTCCTTCCTCTCTTCTTTTCTTTTCTTTCTTTCTCCCTGACAGAGTCTCATTCTCTTCCCTAGGCTGAAGTACAGTGGCACAATTTCCGTTCACTGCAGCCTTGACCTCCCAAGCTCAAGCAATCCTACCACCTCAGCCTCCCAAGTAGCTGGGACTACAGGTATGTGCAACTATGCTTGACTAATTTTTGTATTTTTTATAGAGAAAGGGTTTCACCATGTTGTCCAGCTTGGTCTTGAACTCCTGAGCTCAAGAGATCCCACCCCCTTGACCTCCCAAAGTGCTGGGATTACAGGCATGCACCACCATGCCCGGCCCAACCAATATATTTTTCTTTCTTTCTTTCTTTTTTTTTTTTTTGAAACAGAGTCATGCTCTGTCACCCAAGCTGGAGTGCAGTGGCACAATCTTGGCTCACTGCATCCTCAGCCTCCCGGGTTCAAGCATTTCTCCTGCCTCAGCCTCCCGAGTGGCTGGGATTACAGGCTCTCGCCACCACACCCAGCTAATTTTTGTAATTTTTAGTAGAGACAGGGTTTCACCATGTTGGCCAGGGTGGCCTCGAACTCCTGACCATAGGTGATCCACTCACCTTGGCCTCCCAAAGTGCTGGGATTACAGGCATGAGCCACCGTGCCCGGCCCCAATATCTTTTTCTTATGATATACTTTCTTCAACCTGATTTCTTTCTTTCAGCTTTCTAGCATAGAGTTCATTGATTAAACTATGCTAATTTATTACTTGTATTCTTTTTGCCTGTACTTTTCTTACAAAGGAGGTAGCTTATTAGCTCTTAAAAGACTGTCTGTAATTGTAACAGAAGGAATGCTAAGCTGAGATTTTGAAGATAATTTAGTAAAAGAGCTATTTACAGAGGTGTAGGTAGGGCTAAGGGAACCAGCAAGGACTGTTGAGGCATCCAGGGACTAGCAACAATGGAATGTTATCACTGCCCCGCCTGAAGGGACCAGGGGAGGAAATGGCCTGTTACGTGCTGATGTGCTGACGCAAGCAAGAGGGATTGCCCATAGGAGCTGTAGTTATAAAGCAACAGAGTCACCATGGGAACTTTCTGCTGGAACAGGACAGGAATGAAAGAAGAAATGATCCACCTTTTTTTTTTTTTTTGCCCGCTGATCTCCTGCCATTGCCTCTCACTGGGTGAACACAATTAGCCAGAGGGCAAGAGAGGGTGGATGATGCAGTCTCTAGAGGGCAACTCCCCTGGGGAGCAGAAGACTCATACATGTGCATTTGTATTCGTGTGAGTGCTAAGTGAGTTCTGTGAATGTCCTCTGGGACGGTGTCAGAGAGACCCCGGGATAGGGAGTAAGAGGTACTCAAAACAGGCTGAGGTGAGGTGCTGTTGCTGACAGGCTGAGCATGAAGGTGGTAGAACTTGCTACTGGTCACCAAAGCTGTGACAGGATTAAGAGGCAAGGAAAAGAGGCTAAGAAGTGGTGCACAGGAGGTGTCTCATACAATTCTCTAACAGCTCTCTCTAATCATGAGCTATGGTCTTTCTTTCCAACTAGGTGACTATAAATGGTGTTAGTAGAGAGATCATGTTTGTTTTGTTTTATTAGTGTATATCCCATTTGTCTTTTGATGATTTCTTGCACTGGGTGAAAACTACAAAAACAAAAAACAAAAAAACAAAAACAAAAACTTAGAAAAAGACTGTTTTCTATTAGAATAGTCTTAACCTTTTCACCATAAAATCATTCTTAGTAGAATAGTAGTCAATTAGCAGGTAATACACATTTGTTGTATCTCCGGTTATTAAAGAGTTAATCTCAGCAACAGAAAGGGGGAAATAAAAGAAGCAATGGACAGGATTTTTCCACAACTGATTAATGAATTGAAAAGTTGAAAGTTATTCTTTAAATAATTTTTAGCCAAACCAGTAGTGTTTTACATATTTATTAATCCAATAAATGTTTATGAAGCAGCTTTTAGGTTTTTTTAAAAAGATCATTTTATTTTACATTGGAGAAGCTTCTAGTCATTTTGCTTTCTTGATACAGTTCTGCTTATCTCTTTATATTTTTCCCTAAGTTTTGTGATCTAATTCCTTGATTTTCTGCCATATTCAACCTGCTTTTAACAGTCTGTATTTGTAGGCAGAAAAGCATCAACGGTTAAGAAACCAGACTCTGGCTGGGTGCGGTGGCTCACGCCTGTAATCCCAGCACTTTGGGAGGCCAAGGCGGGTGGATCACAAGGTCAGGAGATCAAGACCATCCTGGCTAACACGGTGAAACCCTGTCTCTACTAAAAATACAAAAAAAATTGGCCAGGCATGGTGGCGGGAGCCTGTAGTCCCAGCTACTTGGGAGACTGAGGCAGGAGAATGGCGTGAACCCGGGAGGCAGAGCTTGCAGTGAGCCGAGATCATGCCACTGCACTCCAGCCTGGGCAAGAGAGTGAGACTCTGTCTCAAAACAAACAACAAAAAAAAGAACAGGCTCTGAGCCAGGCTACTTTGGATTGAATTCAGGGTAAACCACTTCCTAGTGTGTATCTTGGGCAAGATATTTAACATAATAAATGGTTCAATTTATCATTTACAGCCTGAGGAGAAAATGGAGAACATGGCTTGCCTAACCTATAAGGATGTTGAAAGGATTAAGTGAGCTAACAAATGTTAAGTGCTCAGTGCATTGACTGGCACGTGGAAAACACTAAATAAATGGTTGATGCTATTATAATGAGACTTTCAGGTCAGCATTGATGACTTCAATTTGCTCCCTTTTAATTTATCATGTCAATACATGTTTGAAAATAAAAATATGGAAAACATGCTGGGCGTGGTGGCTCACACCTGTAATCCCAGCACTTTGGGAGGCCAAGGTGGGTGGATCACCTCATATTGGGAGTTTGAGGCCAGCCTGACCATCATGGAGAAACCCCATCTCTACTAAAAATACAAAAATATTAGCCAGGTATGGTGGCGCATGCCTGTAATCCCAGCTGAGGCAGGAGAATCACTTGAACCCAGGAGGCGGAGGTTGCGGTGAGCCGAGATCATGCCATTGCACTCCAGCCTGGGCAACAAGAGCGAAACTCTGTCTTGGAAAAAAAAAAAAAAATCTGGAAAACAGAGGGGATAAAAACCTCACTCCAAATCATAACATCTAGGAAAAATTACTGTTAATAGTTTAGTGTGCAGTGCCTTATGCTCATAATCCCAACATTTTGGAAGGCCAAAGTGGGAGGATTGCTTGAGCCCAGGAGTTGGAGACCAGCTTGGGCAACATAGTGAGACCCAGCTTTTACAAAAAATAAAATTATTATAACTGGGCATAGTGGTGTGTGCCTGTAGTCCCAGCTACTCAGGGTAAGGTGGGAGAATTTCTTGAGTTCAGGAGGTTGAGGAAGCAGTGAGCTGTGATCATGCCACTGCATTCTAACCTGGGTGACAGAGCGAGACCCTGTCTGAAAAACAAACAACAACAACAAAACAGTTTGGTGTTATTCATATGTAATAAAAAGTTACTAGAGGCCGGCACGGTGGCCCACGCCTGCCTGTAATCCCAGCACTTTGGGACGCTGAGGCACGTGGATCACTTGAGGTCAGGAGTTTGAGACCAGCCTGGCCAACAAGGCTAGACCCCCGTGTCTACTAAAAATACAAAAATTAGCAGGCCGTGGTGCCGTTCGCCTATGATCCCAGCTACTCGGGAGGCTGAGGCAGGAGAATCGCTTGAACCCTGGAGGTGGAACCTGCAGTGAGCTGAGATCATGCCACTTCACTCCAGCCTGGGCAACAGAGAGAGACTCCATCTCAATTAAAAAAAAAAGGAGTCATTAGAGGGTTTCCATGCTGCTTTGTTTCCATACTATTAAATTTAGTATTATTACATCATGAACATTTTTACAAATAAATATTATTTCACACAATTATGTTTAATGACTATTCAATATTCTAAATAATAACTAAACAGCATAATTTTTTGGGGGGTGGGGAACAGGTTCTTGCTCTGTTGTCCAGGCTGGAGTGCAGAGGCACAATCACTGCTCACTGAAGCCTTGACCTCCCAGGCTCAAGCAATCCACCCGAGTAGCCAGGACTACAGGTGTGTGCCATAATGCCCGGCTGATGTTTAAATTTTTTTTTGTAGAGACGAGGTTTCACTATGTTGCCCAGGCTGGTCTTGAACTCCTGGGCTCAAGGGATCCTACCACCTTTGCTTTCCAAACTTGGGATTACAGGTATGAGCCACCGTGTCTGGCCTAGCATGATTATTTTTAATGATTATCTATACAGACACACAATTTTCTCTCCTAGCTAGGTCTCTGATTTTTGAACATTTAGACTGTATTCAATTTTTCCCTGTTATAGACTATTGTGGTGAGCAGCTACTTAATGAATAGTTTTGCATCCATGTTTACCTATTTTTTTTTCAGGATAACTTTCAAGAAACTGGGTTGTTCTTTCAGGCTATCAAAAATTGATATTTTATATTTTAAAATTATTACCCATTATTAAAATGCCTTTCATATGAGGCATATCCTACTAGTAACACCATGTAAACCCCATAAGGGCAGGAATTTTGGTCTATTTCATTCACAATTGTATACAAAGTACATAGAAAAGTGTGGATTAAAAAATGCTTTTCAGTGAAGAAAACAAACGAAATATTGTGAGTACATAATAATATGAACTAAAATGAGTGAGATAATCATGAAGACCGCTGCTAACAATACAAAAAGAGAAAAAAGTGAACAAGCATTTTTAAAACATTATTTTTAGAAAACAACAACATCTTAATTGTTTCAGAAATGTCTTCCTACATTCTCATAGGGCAATTAAGAATATTGCTGGTTGGGCACAGTGGCTCATGCCTGTAATCCTAGCACTTTGGGAGGCCAAGGCAAGTGGATCACCAGAGGTCAGGAGTTTGAGAGCAGCCTGACCAATACGGTGAAACCCCGTCTCTACTAAAAATACAAAAATTAGCCGGGCGTGGTGGCATGGGCCTGTAATCCCAGCTACTTGGGAGGCTGAGGCAGGAAAATCGCTTGAACTCGAGAGGCAGAGGTTGCAGCAAGGCGAGATCACGCCACTGCACTCCAGCCTGAGCAACAGAGTGAGACTTTGTCTCAAAAAAAAAAAAAAAAAGAAAGAAAGAAAGAAAAAAGAATATTGCTAACCTCTCTTTGCCTGCTGCCATCCACATAAGATGTGACTTGCTCCCCCTTGCCTTCCGCCACGATTGTGAGGACTCCCCAGCCATGTGGAGCTGCCACTCTGGCTACAATATGAAGAGCAGATTGTGGGAGCCATAGCAAGATTAGTTAAGAGACACCAGCAATAGTCCAGGAAGAAAGGATGGACCCTTCCCTAGGATGTGGAGAGAAGCTGATGGATTTGAAACACATTTTGGAGGTTTCTGCCAGTGCCATTGAACCCTGACCCTTTATGCAATATCCAGGGTGATCTGAGGCTCCCAGCCACCCCTAGCTCCAGGGTCCACACATGTCGTGGCTCCCACTGAACCCCAGAGAAGACAGAAACTCAAAGGAGACCAGAGAGTTTCTGCAAGCTGGAAAGATGTCGAATGGACACTGAGGTGGGGAGTGCTAGAAGATGGGAACAGACACCTGCAAGTTTTTGCCACCAGCACCAACTTGTAGATTCAAGTTTGAGCCCTCATTTGCAAATGTCTGTGTAAAAGACTCAATCTCCCATCACCTCAACGGGACATGACTTGGCTGGCAGGACAAAGCATCCTGAGGAGAAAAGTAGCTTGCCCAGGACTTCACAGGAAACTTACAGGAGCCCTAAGTGGGCCACACTGCTCAGAGGGAGGAGGACTATGTGGAGAGCAGGGATCCCACAGCCACACCAAGGCAACTGCAGAGGCACTCTATGTGCTGGAACAGCTGAACCACAAGAGGAGTTCCCTGAAGCTCTTGCCTCTGGCCAAAACTGCTCAAATGACAGGTAATGCATTCCCAACTCCCTCTTTCCTTTTCTTACACATACAGGTGTGTGTGGGTGTAGATACAAATGTAGATATATAGTATATAAAATCCCACAACACAACAGAGTATAACATAAGAGATAATACCATACAATATAATATCCTTATATGCCAACATTGAGATCAAGACTCTTGAGACCAAGTTTTTGACAACATTCTATTTTACCAACTCCAGCTCGCTGGAAGTCAGTTCAGAGCAGAGTTGCTCTGAGAGCTCTGCCCCTACCATTATTCTCTGAGGAGACACCACTTGTACTTCCAAATGTTGTGGGTAGATTTTTTGCTCAATTCACAGAACCAGAACCTTCCAGGTTACATGTACAGCCAATAATCAGCAGGCTCCCCAGGCTGGGCAAACAGTTCATCCCAGATCACGTCTTTTGTCCAGCAAAAGCCGGCTCACACTTGCAGATGGCAGAAGAGTCTCCTCTAAGTGCCACAGGCCCTTCTGCCTCCCTTTTTTGACCCCCTATTTGCCTTCTCATTTTCTCCTGCTGCTAATGTTATAAAGAATGAGCTGATCTCCGCAGTCTCACTTCCATCCATGCCTAGATGTTGACCCCTAACTCTCCTCATATAATAAAAAGATAAAATTCTGCCAGAAAAGAATATTGCTAAAAATTTAATTGTGACTAATATATTCATTATAATTAAAGATTTAGAAATGCTATATTTCTACTCCTGTAGTAGATGCATTGCATGCCTGCCCAATGGCCATTTCCCCTTCCTCCATCTTTGTAAAATCCTCATTTTGTTCAAGTGTCCTTCTTTCCCACCTGGCCACATATTCTGCATCTTGGCAGGTGTGGGAATGTGGTAATCCTGATTGCTCTAAACCACCAATAGCAGTTTCATCACCATTGACAATGATTGGTTCAGGAAAAGCATGTGACACACTTCTGGCCAATGAGACCTGTGGAGAAGTTTCATGGATGTGTGAATGGTGGATTCTGGGAAAATTTTCCGTGATCTTAAAAGGAAACTCGGACTTTCCCTTCTGTCTCTGAATGTTCTATTAATTCCTGGAATTATCCATTGGCAGGGGTTGGGGAGTTAGTCTGAGGATGAGACTGATATACTGAAGAGGCAGAGCAGAAACATGAAAAGAACCAGAATCCTTGGAAATATCATTGGGCTGCTGAATTTACCAGCCCTGAACCCACCCTGCCTCATGACTTCTTACCATGTGAAAATGTTTCTTCGTATTGTTTTAACAAAGTAAGACAAACCTTTCTGTTCCTAGCAGCTGAAAGCATTGTAATCAATATAATGTGCTACTGACATTATCTCAAATATTTTGGTGTAAGCCACGTGTGTAGTACATTTACAGTCATTTGATAATTATTAGAGTGTGCCTTTAAATAACAACACAGGCATGTAGCTACATA
Organism: Homo sapiens; assembly: GCF_000001405.40. NCBI lineage: Eukaryota > Metazoa > Chordata > Mammalia > Primates > Hominidae > Homo > Homo sapiens. The sequence continues at coordinate 122,745,283 of NC_000005.10, read as the reverse complement.
TTTCGTGTATATGCCATATAGTCATATGCCGTGTTGGTCAGTTGGTATGTTGACCAGAAGGTGCCAACACAGTCCTCTAGATGGGAGACATAGGCGGGAGGCATGGGAATGGCTGAATACTGAACTCTCAGAGCAATAAAACAGTTCCTCCAGCAATATGCCTTGTGGTAAAATACTACAAGGTATGAATTCCTGGACTGGGCCTCATGGCACAACACAGGTTAAAAACATTTATAAAACACTTATGATATGCCAGGCACTAGCCTTAACTTTGAGAACTCAAAGCTAAATAAAACACTGCCCCACTTCTGGGAGAAAAATATGATTATTTCATAGTAATTTTAATTTTTATCATGTTTCCAGGAATGAAAAAATGAGCTTTGTTTAATGCATGTTGATGCTGTTATACAGTTTCTTTCTTTCTTTACAATCTTTAAGGGATTATAAATAAATTATGCTACTTTAAAACCCTAGAAAGAGAACTAAAGACATGTGTGAAAGGCTCGAGGATAAGTCCTTATTTATGAAAACTGCCATATATATATATATATATTTTTTTTTTTCTGCAGTTCTATGCTACAATGCTACTTTTGAAAGGACCAAAGGATTCATCTTGTTTTGGATTCATAGCTCATCCCACTAGAGAGGTAAACTTGTAGTTAATATCCTAATACATTTTTTAGCATGTATTTTATGAGAAAGGTGAAATATTATAATATTTTTGATGGCTTATCAATAAGATACACATTTAGTTTTACTACTTTCCAGGTTATTAGGCTGTTGAGTAAAAGCAATATTGCTAGATAAAGGAGGTATCCATTTGATAACAGGCATGTAGAATGCAAATTGGTCTTTAAGATATATGTTCCTAGGTGCCCTGTCTGATTTCTTTAAGTTGACATTTAAAAACTTAAGTTCCAAAGTTCTTGGGCATCATTCTCCTTCTTTTATTGATCTTCCTTTAAACCTATCACTGACCAACATTTAAAGACAACACATAAATCATACATATAAAGTTATAAGGTTACCAGAGTAATGTAATAAGTAATAAGATAAACCTGTCAGCTGGGTGCCCTGGCTCATGCCTGTAATCCCAGGACTTTGGGAGCCCAAGGTGGGTGGATCACCAGGTCAGGAGTTTGAGATCAGCTTGGCCAACGTGGTAAAACCCCGTCTCTACTAAAAATACAAAAATTAGCCGGGCGCGGTGGCAGACAACTGTAATCCCAGCTACTTAGGAGGCTGAGGCAGGAGAATTGCTTGAACCCAGGAGGCGGAGGTTGCAGTGAGCTGAGATTGTGCCACTGCACTCCAGGCTGGGCGACAGAGCAAGACTCCATCTCAAAACAAAACAAAACAACAACAACAAAAAAGATAAACCTGTGAGACCCTGGTCAAAGCCCTCTTTGAGGGAGGAGTTTGCCAGTGACCTGTGCCATACTGTGAAGCCCAGTCTAGGAATTCACACCCCGTAGTATTTCACCACAAGGCATGTTGCTGTAGGAACAGTTTTATTCCTGAGAGTTCAGTGCACCATTCCCATGCCTCTCACCTATGTCTCCCATGAGGAGGACTGTGTTGGCACCTTCTGGTCAGCATACCAACTGACCAATGAATATTTCAGAGGTCTTTCAGGGTTTTACCCTTCAACCCTACCCCCAATCTCCCACATGACTTAGCGGAAGATTCTTGCCTTCCAGGCTGATTCTTGATTCGTTAGACTCAAGACCCGTTGCAGTAATTACAGTAAAACTGATCACTCCCACAGAGATGACAGATTAACTCCCATGAGAGGTCATCTTAAGCTGGCTGTTACAAAGGTTGCAGCTACACCTTAAGCTGGCTGTTACAAAGGTCTCAGCTGCTCAGAAGACTGAGGTGGGAGGATGACTTCAGCCTGGGAGGTGGAGGTTGCAGTGAGCTGAGATTGCACCACTCTACTCCAGCCTGGGTGAGAGAACACAGACCCTGTCTCAAAATAAAGGCAAAAAAAAAAAAAAAAAAAAAAAGCAGCAGCCAAGTAAATTTATTAAGTGCCTAATTATTTAATGTGAGAAGTCTGGTGATAAGCAGCCCTTTTTATTTAACAAAGTATTGTCTTCACTTTTCCATATATTACATGAAAGATCTTACAAAACCTTTTTGCTCTTCTGCTATTGTCTATAAACTTGTTCCCTGTTTCCAAGGAACAGGGAGTGAATGTAAGTTATAGGCCATTAGTTCTTTAGCTCCCTTATTATTTTATAGATTGTGAATTTATTTCCTATATCTGTAATGCTCACTTGCTTCATTTAGAAAATCTGTATGTAAATGTTTTATTGAAAAATAATCATAATTACAGTTATTAAAATTTTTCATCTAAATGCTTACATAATTCATTTATTCTTCTATTTAACAAATATTTACAGATATTTACTGTGTGTTAGACATTTTTCTGGGCATGAGACACCGAGCAGTGAATAAATATGAAAAAAAAAATCCCTATCCTCATGAAGCTCACATTTAAGTAGGACAAGACTGATGCTAAATAAAACAAATAAGTAAAATATACAGAATGTTAGTGGCATGGAGAAGAAATAATGCAGAAGAGAAGGATACTGAATGCTGGAGGCAGGGCTGCAATTTTAGACTGAACAATCATAAAAGAGGTGGTGGCTTTGTAATGTGTAACTTGACTAGGCTGAATGATGTCTCTCCTGTGTGTTTTTTTGCGCAATATTTGGAGGGAAGACGTGAAACAGCCACCATGTTGTTTTTTATGTTTAGAAAGTCAGGACAGGTAATGCTGTGGCCCTTTTACTGGCTCACTTCATTAATATAGCACAGAAGCTGGGCCTGCAACTGTTCACCTTCCCCGGCATCCTCCTGCAGCTTCTCTGACTCCTGGGTCAGGTGTGTGTTTAGTTCTGTGATGAAGGGAGCTGGCTTCTTATGTAGGATAGCCCCATCATCTGGTTGGAGGCAATGAGAACTGATAGGGGGTCCAGCGTGCCCTGTTGGATTCCGGCCCACTGACCAGGCTCTCTTCAACTTTATATCCATCTCTCCTTCCTACTCTCTAATCTATAGACTTCAAACTCCAGCATGAAATGCAAAGAAAACAGCCTTACAGAGTCTGGTTAATGAGCTCCTACAATTGATTAAGTCAAATCCATGTAACAAATTCATTTTCTCTCTCTCCTTCTCTTTTCAACTAATTCTGCTTCTTTGATTGAAACATGTCTAAAACAGAAGTCCTGTCTGAAAATGTGATATCTGAACAAAGATCTAAAGGAGGTGAGCTGTGCATATCTAAAGGAGCAAGCTATACAGATAGAGATCTGGCAGAGAACAGCAAAGGCAGAGGCCCTAAAGCAGGAGCATGCCTGGTGCGGTTGAAGAATAGCAAGGAAGCCAGTGAGGTGAGATCACAATCAGGGTGGGGAGAGGAGCTGGTGATTAGTTCAGGGGGTGGGGGGTGGCAACTATAGACTGCATAGATCTTTGGCCATTGAGTGCATTGAGTTTTACTGTGAGTAAGATGGGGAGCTATTAGAGGATTTTGGAGCAGAGGAGTGAACGATTTGGCTGACATTTTAGCAGAATGCCTATGACAGCTGTGTGGAGAATCAACTGCAAAGTGGAAAGAATGGAAGCTGAGGGAACAGTTGAGAGGCTATTTTAGGATTCAGGCAAAGATAGTGATGGTTTGGAGCAGTGGGAGCATTGGTGGTGATAGGTGTTGGGTTTGGAATATTATTCCAAGGTAGAGTTGACAGAATTTGCTGATGAAAATTTTGAAGAATTTAAGGTAAAGAGAAGAATGAAGGATGATTCTTGGTTTTTGGCCTGAGCAGCAAGGTGAATAGTAGGATGGAGGAATGGCCATGGAGGAAGATTTGTGAAAGAAAATTGAAGATTTTGTTTTAGATATAATTTTGAAACATTTATTTTACACTCCAATGAATGGTCTAGAGTTCAGATGAGGAAAGAGTCAGGGTGGAGAAACACAATTGTGAGATGTTACAATGAAATTTAGACCACGGGCACACTGAGATTACCTAGGGACCCAGTGACCCTGACAAGAGCTGTTTCAGTAGAGTTGTGAGGGTTAAAGCCTACCTGGCGTGTATTCGAGACAAAATGGGAGAAGAGGAATTGAAGGTAGCAAACCTAGACAATACTATTGAGTTTTCCTGCCACCAATGTGAATTTATATCCCCAGTCCAAGTATATTTGAAATACCGCCAGTCATTTGTATCTTACAGATACATTCATGAGGAAGGAATATTTTATTTTTGTTCATATGTATATCTTTCCCACTAGCCAACCAGCACCCAGAGGGAAGAATCTGTATTTTTCTCATCTTTCTATTCTTGCCAAACACAATGCACGAGCTAGATATTTATTGAATAATAAACACCTTTAATTAAGTGCTTCTCTGAGTTAAATGCTTTGTCTATATAAGGTTCTTGGAAATATTTAAGAGTTCAACTGGGCATGGTTTTCAAATGATCATAGCAGTCAAAAAATACATTAGCATCTAAGGACTAGGGGGAAAGGCTGTTCATATTCTTCATAATTGTTGTTAGTCATGGACTGAAAATAGGTAATGGCTTTTTTTTTTTTTTTTTTGAGACAAAGTCTCGCTCTCTCGCCCAGGCCAGGGTGCAGTGGCTTGATCTCAGCTCACAGCAACCTCCGCCTCCAGGGTTCAAACGATTTTCTTGCCTCAGCCTCCCAAGTAGCTGGGATTACAGGCGGCCACCATGATGCCCAGCTAACTTTTGTATTTTTAGTAGAGATGGGGGTTTCACCATGTTGGCCAGTTTGGTCTCCTGACCTGAAGTGATCCACCCACTTCAGCCTCTCACAGTGCTGGGATTACAGGCATGAGCCACGGCGCCCAGTTGGTAATGGCTCTTTTTTTTTTTTTTTTTTTTTTTTGAGACGGAGTCTCATTCTGTCACCCAGGCTGGAGTGCAGTGGCACGATCTTGGCTCACTGCAACCTCCGCCTCCTTGGTTCAAGCAGTTCTCCTGTCTCAGCCTCCTGAGTAGCTGGGATTACAGGCACCCACCACCACTCCCAGCTAATTTTTGTATTTTTAGTAGAGATGGGGTTTCACCATGTTGGTCATGCTGGTCTCAAACTCCAGACCTCTTGATCCGCCCACCTCGGCCTCCCAAAGTGCTGGGATTACAGGTGTGAGCCACCACGCCCAGCCGGTAATGGCTCTTTCTAAAGAATTATGCAGTTTTGCACTGGAATAAGGAAGCAGAAGGAAAGTCAGAAATGAATTCAGAAAGTAAAGGAGAGGATGCTAGATTGCATAATCCTTTTGAAAGTAAGTTGCTGGGCACAGTGGCTCACGCCTGTAATCCCAGCACTTTAAGAGGCTGAGGCGGGTGGATCACCTGAGGTCAGGAGTTCTAGACCAGCCTGGCCAACATGGTGAAACCCTGTCTCTGCTAAAAATACAAAAATTAGCCAGGCGTGGTGGTGCATGCCTCTAATTCCAGCTACTCAGGAGGCTGAGGCAGGAGAATCGCTTGAACCCAGGAGGTAGAGGTTGCAGTAAGCTGAGACCGCGCCATTGCACTCCAGCCTGGGCAACAAGAGACAAGAGCAAAACTCCATCTCAAGAAAAGAAAGAAAGAAAGAAAGAACGAAAGAAAGAAAGAAAGGAAGGAAGGAAGGAAAGAAAGAATTTTTCTAATCATATATTTAACCTATTTTTATCTTGATGCACTGTAAAAAAAATGCTTATAAGTATCGCTTGCATTTCTGGCAGTTTATTGACTTAATCAAAGGTTTAAGGATTTTAAGAAGCATAAAAACAATTTTCTAGAAAAAACAGTTTTCTAGAAGAATAAACAGTTTTCTAGAAAAAAAATGGTAATAATTATTAGAGGAGAGACCCAAATAGACTCCATATTAAGATGGGTAAAGAATGCTGAGGAAACCGAAAAACTTAAATAAAGGGAATATCAGGACATTATAGGGCCAAAGAAATAATAGCATTGCTATAAGGAATGTAAATCTGTCTAACATAGAAGTTTTTTGTTACAATTGTTAACACTGCAATGCTATGTATTGGAGATGCTACAGACTGAATTGTGTCTCCTCAAAATTCAAATGTTGAAGCCCCAGTGTGACTGTATTTGGATACAGAGCCTTCAGGAGGTAGTTATGAGTAGGTAAGTTCATGAAGATGGAGCCCTAATCCTAATGGTTTGGTGTCTTTATAAGAGGAGGAAAAGAGCTCTCTCTCTCTGTCTGCCATGTGAGGAGAAGGCAAGAAGGCTGACTGCAAGCCAGGAAGAGAGCCCTAGCTAGAAACTGAACTCTGCGTGACTTAAGCAAATTAATTTTCTCCCAATTCTGGAGGCTGGAAAGTCCAAGGTAAAAATTTTGGCAGTCTACGGTATTTTGTTATGGCAGCCTAAGTAAACTAAGACAGGAAGGAAACAACAGTTAAAAATGGAAAAACGTAGTACTATTTTATTAATACATGAAAAAACCCAGACCCCTTAGAATGAAATATGTACATAATGCTAGGTACATTCAGTTTTCTTTAATCCTCAGTAGAATTCATTGAGATAGGATTATGATTCCCATTTTAGTGAAGTTCAGTGAAATTAAGTAATTTATTCAAGGTTATGCAGCTAGTAAGTGGAAGAGTCAGGTTTTGTACTTAGCTCAGTTTGATATCAAAGGCCATGTTCTTATCTATCATTTATTAATTCTTCAAAAAGTACTTGAGTCTCTGCTATGTGGCAGGTCCTGAAATGGATGTAGACATTCTTTCAACTTGTTCCCTGCCCTCAAGGGGCTTACAACCTTAGGTTCTAGGATTTGAGCCAGGATTAATTATCCTGAAAGCCTAGGCCAGGTGTAGTGGTAGCAACTACCTCAGGGCTGGAGGGCATGGAGCCAAGAAGGAAACATTTCAGATAACCAGATGGAAACATCAGATAGGTAAGATTTGAAGTGAAAGGTGACTATTGGAATCTGAAACATTCTTGTGTGTTCTAGAACAATACTTCTTACAATATAGTGTGCATATGAATCACCTGGAGATCTTGTTAAAATATAGTTTCTGATTCAGTAGGTTTTGAGTAGGCCCTGAGTCTGCATTTCTTTCTTTCTTTTTTTTTGCTTTGAGACAGAGTCTTGCTCTGTCACCCAGGCTGGAGTGCAGTGACATGATCTCAGCTCACTGCAACCTCCGCCTCCCAGGTTCAAGCAATTCTCCTGCCTCAGCCTCCTGAGTAGCTGGGTTTACAGGTGCGCACCACCATGCCAGGCAAATTTTTGTATTTTTAGTAGAGACGGGGTTTTATCATGTTGGCCAGGCTGGTCTCCAATTCCTGATCTCATGATCTGCCCCCCTCGGCCTCCCAAAGTGCTGGGATTACAGGAGTGAGCCACCGTGCCCGGCCGAGTATACATTTCTTAAAGAAAACACCTCCCAGGTAGCATGGTAGCTGCTGGTCCAGGGGCCACATTAAAAGCTCAAGAAGTTAGAAAGCAGCAGTAATACTTGTTTTTTTGGGCACCTCCACCCTTCAGCCCAGAGAGAGCACAGATAGAGACACCACATAATGTGGTGTCACATAATCTAGCCACACATAATATGTGTGGTAGATATGGCCACACATAATCTAGCTCACTGTGGGGTAAGGAAACAGGGGCCTTTGGTAAGAAAATACAGGTTCTTTTAAAAAAACTGTTCTTTATTGAGCACCCTGGTATAATTAAATCGGGTTTTATGGTTCTATATAGCCCCAAGTGATCAGTTTGACATAATTTTGAATTTTACAACTTGTGCTTTGATTTCCATAGGGGTTCATATTTTTAACTTCTTTATTTGAAATCATTGTGACATCCTTGTCGTAGAAGGTATAGAAAGAAATTAAAACAAATTTCCCAAACCAAAGCATTATATATACAGTAAGGTATTTTTATATGTTCTGAACAGTCATGTAATTAACTTTATTTCAGTTGTGGACACTGAAACTTGATAACATTTCCTCTTCCTTCACTCCCATATTTAATGACAAATTATATCTGAGGCTGACCAACAAGATGATTTGTTTTTTCTGAGCCATGAATAGCTAGGAAACTCCATTCTATTTTGGGATAAAATACAATCTTTTAGTAGCAAGAATTTGATAAAACAATTTCTGTGATGATTTCTTCTGAGGCTTTCCAATCCCTTAGACAATACTTTATTCTTCTCCATGAATAATTTGGAGCCTTTTAATTGCTAATGTTTCCATCCAGGAAAGCCTGAGAAGATATAAACATTTTAAACAACCTTCTAAAGTTGGCTCTGAGTCCTTTTGTTCAACTCAAATACACGTACTTTTACAATGGGAGGATTTAAAATAGTTATAAAAATCAAAGCCTTTCTTTGTCTTCTTTTGTAATCCCTGCTCTATCCTCATGATACTTATCACTTCATATTTATACGGTAACTTTCTCCAACTTTCCCAGCATGTATCATATGCTTTAAAAGACTGTCGAAATATTCCTATGGCAAAGATAGATTAAAAGGAACAGCAAAAACAACTTTTATCCTCTTTCCCTGCCCTGGCCTCTTCAGCACCGTCACAAACAAACCTTAAACTCTAAACAGAACAGAAAACTTTTATGAAGTTAAGGAAATTGGAGTTGGAACAGTAACAGATTTACTAAAAGGCAAAAATAAAGTGTTGCTCCAGGAAGGGAAGTTACACAGGAAATAGTGGGGATCTGACAAGAAGCAACTGCAGATTATTGTAGGCTGTGGCCAAACACCAGTTTAGGATTTTTCCTTCCTTTCTAGTTTTGCTGCCACTTCCCCAGAAGAGACCACTATCACCAATTTGTGCAGACTTTTGCAATTTACTCCCACTTGACCGCCTTACCTCCCCCATCATTCCCTTGCATCGCAGTTCATCTTCTCTCCTGCCACAGACTCTAAGTTCATGAAAGCGTAGAACCACAGCTGCAGACCTGCCTCATCCCCAAACACAGCTAACCACCTTGCAGTTCCTCTAGGTACCTCTGCGTAATGCTAACTGCTGTGACTAACCCCAAACTTTCTATGGCTTAACATTGTGGAGATTTTAAAAACATATTCAGAACTGGAAAGAGTGGTAAAATGAACTCCCTTTACCCTGTCAGTCAGCGATGACAATTTTTAAATTTTTGTCAGTCTCGTATCATCTATTCCCAACTATTTGTTATTTTTGTTGAATTATTTTAAAAGAAATCTCAGACATCACAGCATTTCAGCTGTAAATACTTCAGCATATAAGAAATAAGGATATTAAACACACCCACCCACAATGCCATTATCCTCCTGAACATGCCTAACAATTTCTTAATATAAGCTAATATCCAGTCCTTGACATTTTCACAACTGTACAGAAGAAGTATTTTCCAATTGGTTTGTTTGAATCATTATCATTTGGTTGTTACATCTCTTAAATCTCTTTCACTCTGTAACTGTTCCCCACCTTCCCCTACCCCTGTATCATTTATTGGCTGAGGAAATCAGATCTTGCTCTTTAAATAGTCCCACATCATGGAAGAGACTGGTTGCTTCCCTGTGGTGTTGTTTAATTTGTTCCTCTATCCATTCCTCTTGCCTTCCATTTGCTATAACTAATGGGTAGTTAGACCTACAGGCTGGATTAGATCCTGGAATTGTTTTACAGAGGACAGGGCAAGAATACTTCACAGGATTACTTCCTATTTGCGGTAGCCAGCCTCCAAGATGGCCCCAGTAATCTTCACTTTCTCATATTCATGTCCTTGTGTAGTCCCTTACCACAATGACTAGGAGGAATGACTTGTGAACCAATAGGACATAGCAGAAATAATGACATGGGACTTAGGAGGCCAAGTCATAAAAGACATGTGACTTCTTCCTCTCTCCCTGTTGGATCACTCAATCTGGGGGAAGCCAATCAAGACAGCTGCAAACTCAAGCAGCCTTATGGAGAAGGTCACGGGGTTGAGGCCCCCTGCTGACAGCCATATGGGTGAGCCATCTTGGAAATGGATCCTGCAACCCTAGTCAAAGCCCTCAGATGACAATAACCTTAGCTGACACCTAAACTGCAACCTCATGAGATTCCTTGAGCTAGAACCACCAGCTAAACTGCTCCAGAATTCCTAATACAGAGAAATTGTGGGTGTCGATAAATGTTTACTGTTGTTTCAAACCACTCAGTTTTGGAGTAATTTATTATGCAGCAATAGATAAAACATTTACCAGTTTATCACATACAGTTTGCTTGACATACTTTTAATAATGCTAAGATTGATCAATATGTTCAGGTATTATCAACCTGATCTATCCATTATAAAGTTCCCCATGAACATTTCACCTAGTGGTATTAGTACCCATTGATGTTTCATTGACTAGATTTATTGTTTCGTTGGGGGTTCTGTTACCATTTCTTCTGCCTTTATTAGTTGAGATTCTTCTGTAAAGCACTTTGGGAGGCCGAGGCAGGCAGAGCACGAGGACAGGAGATCGAGACCATCTTGGCTAACGTGGTGAAACCCCGTCTCTACTAAAAATGCAAAAAATTAGCCGGGCATGGTGACAGTCGTCTGTAGTCCCAGCTACTTGGGAGGCTGAGGCAGGAGAATGGCATGAACCCAGGAGGCGGAGTTTGCAGCGAGCCGAGATTGCGCCATTGCACTCCAACCTGGGCAACACAGAGAGACTCCATCTCAAAAAAAAGAAAAGAAAAAAAAGTTCTCTAATCAACTACATGGATACACTGAAATGCCATTTGTGTAGGAAAACCATGATAAATGTCCTGCTTAGAAGTTTCTTAATAATAAATGTAGAAAAATGACAAGGAACTAATTATTTGATATTAAAAACTGCTTAAAACTTGGAAGTTTTATATAGCTTGAATTGAAAGACGTTTTGAAGGCCGGGCGCTGTGGCTGAAGCCTGTAATCCCAACACTTTGGGAGGCCGAGGCAGGTGGATCACCTGAGGTCAGGAGTTTGAGGCCAGCCTGGCCAACATGGTGTAAACCCCGTCTCTACTAAAAATACAAAAAATTAGCTGGGCGCGGTGGCGCGCGCGCCTGTTGTCCCAGCTACTCAGGAGGCTGAGGCAGGAAAATCGCTTGAACTTGGGAGGTGGAGGTTGCAGTGAGCCAAGATCGCGCTATAGCACTCCAGCCTGGGTGACAGAGGGAGACTTAGTCACACACACACACAAAAAGACGTTTTGAAATTTGTAATTTTTATATTCCCTTCACTGACTGTCCTAAATGAATTGAAAACCAGTGTTTTCAAATCAGAACTTTTTAAATTAAAAATGACAGGGGAGTGGGTGAGGGGCGGTTGGGCGCAGTGGCTCACGCCTGTAAACCCAGCACTTTGGGAGGCCGAGGTGGGCAGATCACCTGAGGTCAGGAATTCAAGACCAACCTGGCCAACATGGTGAAACTCTATCTCTACAAAAATACAAAAATTAGCCGGGCATGATGGTGGATGCCTATAATCCCAACTACTCTGGAGGCTGAGGCCGGAGAATTGCTTGAACCCAGGAGATGGAGATTGCAGTGAGCTGAGATCACGCCACTGCACTCCAGTCTGAGTGACAGGGTGAGACTCTGTCTCAAAAACAAACAAACAACAAACATAATAAAATAAAAATAAAAATGATAGGGGGATGAAGGAAGAGGCACTTATGCTGCTAAATTGCTAATCTGTCCTGTTTTACAAGGATGTAACCGGCTGTTTTGATGTTCAGTAGTAGATGAGATGTGAGATTCAAAGAAAATGTTGCCAGGTTGTGGTTGCTAGTGAGTGTGGACTTTTACTGGAGGAACAGGTCTAATATGACTACCAGCATTTTCTGTTCCATTCAGCTTTAAAGAGTCTCCTGGGCAAAGTGTTCTGCAGAGCAGCAAACATTACTGCCTTCGTAGTTCTTATTATAATCAATTTAACATGATTTTATATAATCACTTCTGGGCTATAAAATGCTATAATTCCCAACACTATAAGGCCGTCTGAAACCGTGGCTAAAAATATACACAATAATTGTTCACAATTCCAGAAATAATTCCCCAACCAGATCTGGTTGTGAGGATGGATTTTTTTTTTCCTCTCCTCAAATATATCACCTACCACAGATTGTGTTTTCTAAATAAGTGAATCTGCTGAAATATTTTATTTCTTAGGATCAAGAATAGTTAAATGTCAGTATTTTGCTTTAAATGGTTTCCAACCATTTCCTCAGGGAAAGCTTTAATGTACATTAAAATTTTATTTCCCATTTTGTGAAAACATATTTGGGGAAAGGAAACCTGGAGTTCTCACATTTTAAATGCTCATCACAGAAGTGTATATCCTTAATACATAATTACCTTTTGTACCAGTTACCACCATCATTTAGTTTACCCTTAGATTTTGCACTCCATTCCATTAAGTGCCACCCGCCAAACATTTACTGAACATTTTCTTTTCTTTTCTTTTCTTTTTTTTGTGACGGAGTCTCGCTCTGTCACCCATGCTGGAGTGCAGTGACACAATCTTGGCTCACTGCAACCTCCACCTCGTGGGTTCAAGCAATTCTCTGCCACAGCCTCCCGAGTAGCTGGGATTATAAGCACCCACTACAATGTCCGGCTAATTTTTTTGTATTTTTCTTTTTTAGTAGAGACAGGGATTCACCATCTTGACCAGGCTACTCTTGAGCTCCTGACCTCGTGATCCACCCGCCTTGGCCTCCCAAAGTGCTGGGCTTACAGGCGTGAGCCACCATGCCTGGCCCATTTATTGAACATTTTCTAGGGACAAAGCTTTATATACTCATAACATACAAGCTGTTAGGGTTATAAGTGAAAAGAATGAGAATGTAATACCCAGTGTTCATGCAAAGCGGCCAGTAAGTTTCATTTTATGAGCAGACTTTGATTGATTGATTGATAGGGACTTCCAGGAGTGCTCTATGGAGAATAAACTTAGGATCATATTAAGGTCAGCTGGCGTGACTTCCACCATCAAAATAATATCGTCCATGATCTAGAGAGTGGGAATTGGTAGTAAATTGCAAATTTTAACCTAAAAATTATGAGAAAATGTAGGAGAAAAGGTCATTATTTCTAAATTGCTTCAGAGAGAAAGTAGCTATGAATCAGGCTTTGGAAAAGGAGAATTTAGATATTAGAGAATGAAGAGGGGAAGGGACATTCCAGGCACTAGGAATTGGGAAGATCAAGATATAGAAGTAAGCAATCCAGATAAGCCAATGGATGAGGCTACAGCAAAGTCTGCATGGATGGATGTTGTGGGAGACAAAGTTGAAAAAAACACACAGAGAATGAAAGAGAACAAAATCATTATCTCATTAGGTATCAAAGTGGCTGGGCTGAATATTTTTTATACTTGCATATCAGACCATCTTATAAACCTAAATGACTTTACTTCTCATTTACACATATACAAACAATACTCAAAATGTCTTTTACTACTCTTGTGCACTATTGGAATGTAAATTAGTTTAGCCATTATGGAAGACAGTATGAGGTTTTCTCAAATAACTAAAAATAGAACTATCCATATGATCCCAGCAATCCCACTACTGGGTATTTATCTGAAGGAAATAAAATCAGTATATGAAAGAGATGCCTGCACTTCCATGTTTATTGTAGCACAATTCACAGTAGCAAAGATCTGGAATCAGCCTAAGGGTCCAGGATGGACAAATGGATAAAGAAAATGTGATGATACACACATATATATATATATGATATATATGTGATGATATATATTATATATACTATGGAATACTATTCTGCCATAATAAGAATAAAATCCTGTCATTTGCAGCAACATGGATGGCACTGGAAGTCACTATGTTAAGTGAAATAAGCCAGGCACAGAAAGACAAATACCATGTTCTCACTCACACGCAGGAGCTAAAAAATTTGATCTTGTGGAGGGAGAGATAATGATAATTATCAGAGGCTGGGAAGGGTGTGTGTGTGTGGCAAGGGGAGATGAAGAGAGGTTGGTTAACGGATACAAACCTACAGTTAGATAGAAGGAATAATTTCTAATGTTAGTTAGCAGAGTAGGGTGACTAGTTATCAACAATGTATTGCATATCTCAAAATAGCTAGAAGAGAGGTCTTGAAATGTTCTCAACACATAGAAATCATAAATGCTCGAAGTAATGGATATCCTAAATATTCTGACATTCTATGCTTATAATGAAATAGCACATATACCCCGTAAATTTATAAAATATCATGTAACAATAAAAAAAGTCTCGTACTAACATCTGATACCAGTTTATTATAGTGGACACTATTGCCTAACAAACATTCACACTTTCTAATACATTAAATTTCCCTTGGGAAACTACCCCGCTATGTTCTGCCATATTTGTATGCGTGTGACTGTTTCCTCAGTGTCCGGGAGAAACTGGGAGAACCAATTAGCATATCCCATTCTTCTGGTTAAGTAATGGGGTTGATGATGGGCATCTAACCCAATCAGAGACAGGGAGACATGGGGAGACCTTGGCTGGGCTCCTGAGTAAGAAGAGCATTCACATTTCCACAGAATCCAGTGATGTAAGGACATGAGGCTTGACACTGCTACTGTCACAATGGGAGACAGCCTCAGGATGAAGCCAACACTCAGAGAATGACAAAATCAAAACTTGGAGATTAACTGACCTCATATAGCATTGCATAAGCCCCTGAATCAAGTTATGCCTGAAGCTTAGTCCTTGAGCCTTCAACTACATGAACCAATATATTTCTCTAATTAACCAGGCAAGTTTGAGTTGGATTTTCCATCATTTACTACAGAGTGCTAACTGGTAGAGTTATTTTATACCTTCACAGTTTTCTTTTCTTTTTTTTTTTTTTTTTGGAGCCCAACAGAATAATTTGTATCCTTATTAGCTCACTCCTGCAGCCCGTAGGGAAACAGACCAGTTACTCTGTCACCCAGTGACTTTTTTATCTTTGTATATTGATAGGTTTCCCCAAGTGTTCTTGGAAGTCCTTTTTACTTTCCTAATAATGAAAGCCTAGTTTCAAATCCTCTTTTTGTTTTATTTTTGATTCACACTGTATCAATTCTCCTTATTTGGTAAAATTGCAATAAGAACACAAAAATTCAATTGAGACTTGGTTTACAGGGAAATACATTCATGTTTGCTTCATATTTGAGCAATATTTATAAACACTCAATATTTGGTGCAAAGGTCTTTATTATATGGAAGGATAACCACTGCTAATGATCTGGATGATGTCCTTCCAGACTTATTACCGTAAGGCTTATATACATGAAACAAAAATGGGACCATGTTGTAGATACCACACAGCACCATAAAA
The DNA here is from genome assembly GCF_000001405.40 of Homo sapiens. NCBI lineage: Eukaryota > Metazoa > Chordata > Mammalia > Primates > Hominidae > Homo > Homo sapiens. The sequence goes on along the minus strand of NC_000005.10, from coordinate 122,729,921 downwards.
CACACATTTTATATTTTATGTTTATCTTTTTAGAAACAAATAGCACCTTGTGATATATTTTCCCTGCTATCTCTTCTGACTCACAGCTACACTTCTGGGAGTATCACAGAGATTTGAGTCAAAAGGCTACTTGGTTCATTATATTCTAAAGTTAAACATGCTTGCACCTAATCTATGTTTGGATTGGTAGGCCAGAGGGAGTTTCTCTAAGATTTGAAATATCTCTCACTGGTTTCACTCAGGAGAAACGGACTTTCTTTAAATCATCAATCTTTAAAAACATCAAGAAATGGTGGTCTTCAACAAATGAGGAGGAATGAAGGAGAATGATCCTATTTTCCAGTGAATTATCACTTTACTTTGGAGACTTTGTGGGAAGACTTACTACGAAAGTTCCTTTTGAAGAACTGAAGTGATCTTATCCCTGCCTGAAAATGTAACTCTCCTTCTCTAGTAATATAATGACCAGAGAAGAGTGTTATTTCAGCTGATTAAAATAGCTTTGTTGTAAAACTTCATTGCTCAATACAATTATTTCCAGGATAACTACTTTCACTGCCACTAATTTAAAAGGGCATTTATGGTTCCACTGAAAAAAGATACTTAAACATAGAAAATTAAATCTGTGAAACATCTTCAAGTAAGTTAAAACAAGAGGCTTAGGCATTCATAAAAATGTTTGACAGCCTACTAAAAAGTTGTTAATTTTGCCATTGTGTACTATTAACTTTTTAAGTAGTCATTATTTTTAAGAATGATATGTTTGGATTTTAATGTGTTGACATTGAAATAATGGTGTGTGTAAGAACCTCTTCTTGGAGAAAGAAAGAGAAGTGGTGGTCAACAATGTCACCACTGAGAATGAGGACAGAGAAATGACCACGTGGGGTTTGATGCAAAGAGAGCACTTGAAACCCCTGGGAGAGCAGATTCAGGGGGTGGCAAGGAGACAAGTGATGTCCAGGAAGCCTGCGGGGGGGAATGGCTGGTGACATTTTGACCATGAAGGTTTTCACAGCGAAAAATGTCATACCACAGCCAAGGAATTGAACTTTTTGGGTCACTTGGAAAGATTAATTATCCTGAGCTTAATTTTATTGTTCTAGTTGTCTATCACGGAGGAACAAATCAACCCCAAACACGGTGGTTTTTGAACTATAATTCATTTTGCTCATAAATGTGCGATTTGGAAAGGGCTCTGTGTTAGTTTTCTATTATGTGACAAATTATCACAAATTTAGTGGCTTAAAACAACACACATTTGTTATCTTACAGTTTTGTAGGCAAGCAATCCAACACAGTTCTCACTGAGCTAAAATCAAGGTGTCAGCAGGGGTGTGTATCTTTCTGGAAGATCCAGGGGTAGAATCTGTTTTCTTGCCTTTTCCAGCTTCTAGAGGATGCCTGTATTCCTTGGCTCACAGTCTCTTCCTCCATCTTCAAAGCCAGCAACAGCTGGTCAGGTTGTTTTCCCACTGAATCACTCTAACCTTCTCTCCTGCTTCTCTTTTCCTCTTTTAAGGACCTTTTTATTGCATTGGGCCCATCTGGATATCCCAGGATAATCTCCCTACTTCAAGGTCAGCTGATTAGCAATTCTATCTGCAACTTGAATTCACCCTTGCCATGTAATGTAACATATTCATAGGTTCTCGGAATTAGTATATGTACATCTTCCCATTATTCTGCCTACCACAGGCTCATTGGGGATAATGGCTCCTCTCTATGCCACACAGCATCATCTGGGGCAGCTGGAGTGGGGCTGGAACATCGACTTCCATGACAGCCCATCTATGTGGCTGGCAGGTTGGTGAGCTCAGTTCCTCTCTGTGTGGGCATCTCTAGAGGGCTGCTTTGGCTTTTTCACAATGTGATGGCTGGCTTTGAAGAGCTATTATTCCAAAGGACATTAACTGGAAGATGGCTGTGTCTTAAGTCCTGGGCCTGGAAATTGACACAGTGTCACTTCCGATATATTCAGTTAGTTAACGTAGTCACACAGCCCATCTAGACTCAAGGGGAAGGAGCATCGCGCCCCAATTCTCAATGGAAAAAGTGTCAAAGAATTTGTAGACACCTTTGCCAGGCATGGTGGCTCATGCCTGTAATCCCAGCACTTTGGGAGGCCGAGGAGGGCAGATCACGAGGTCAAGAGATTGAGACCATCCTGGCGAACATGGTGAAAACCCATCTCTACTAAAACTACAAAAATTAGCTGGGCATGGTGGCGCATGCCTGTAGTCCCAGCTACTCGGGAGGCTGAGGCAGGAGAATCACTTAAACCTGGCAGGTGGAGGTTGCACTGAGCCGAGATCATGCCATTGCACTCCAGCCTGGGGACAGAGACTCTGTCTCAAAAAAAAAAAAAAAGAATTTGTAGACACCTTTAATTCTTCATATTGCCCACTGGTAAAAAAGGGATAATCTTTACTTGCAGTATTGCTGGCAGAATTAGAAATGATGTGTGTAGAGTGACTCATAACATTCCTACCGCATGTATAACAATGCACGGAAGAAAACAATTCTCAAGTGTCCGTAGAATGAATATGTGTGAATACATGAATACTGTGGTTCTTAATATTCGTGGGTTTGGATGAAGATTATAGTTCCTTTCCCCAGAAAACTGTACACATGCACTATGTATACCTTTTGACACATTTCAGGGGATTCCCAGACAAGGTTAAGATCCTTAGGACTAAGATACCAAGTAACAGTGGATTAAAACACTGCAGGGCTATTGTGCATGTGCTGTGAGACATAATTTGGATTTGTTTCCTTTTTAGATATGGGGCTGGGAAGAGTTTTTATACTTGCTTCCAAGATAGCCTGCTTTGCATTTTTTTTTTATTTAGTTAGGCATGTGGGGAAAAGATATTCCATTATAAGTGCTTGCCTCTGTTGTTTTATCTTTATTTTTTATTTTTGCTCATATTGCTCACATAAAGGAAATGCAATAATCTTTAAGAAAGAAAGGGGCTGAATATTTTCATTCTTCTTGCCAAAGCTCTTAATCTTTTGTAATACTGAATAATTGCACTTTCATGCAATTGATCTTTATTTCAAAAGTTTTTTTTTACTTAAAAAAGATTTATTTTTCCTAATGATCAAAATCTGAGAATTTAAATAATACAGAAATAAAATAGAAAAGGAAAGTCTTTATTATATGGAAGGATAACCACTGCTAATGATCTGGATGATGTCCTTCCAGACTTATTACCATAAGACTTATATACATGAAACAAAAATGGGACCATGTTGTAGATACCATGCAGCACCTTTTGCCCTTAAATATATTGGGCACACCTTTCTATGCTAGTGCTTATCGGTCTACTTCAGACTCTGGTGGCTGGATAATCTTCCATTATGTGATGTATCAGAATATATTTTATCAAATTATAAAACCTCCATTAGAAGATTTATGTGATGTATATAGCTATAATAGCCCACTGAACCACGAGAAAAGGAGTTTATTTTGTTTTTCCTTCCCTTCCTTGCCCCTCACTTCATTCTCATACTGGTTTCACTGACTCTACTGGGAAACACGCCTTGATGATTTCCCCCTTGATCATTTATTTGTTTTGATACTACCACAATCTACAGTGGAAAGAACTCTGAGAGTCCAGAGACCTGGCATCTAAATCTGCTGCTCCATGCTTAACTGCAGTTTCCTCACTTCTCAGCACTGGTTCCTCAACTGCATAAGAGAAGTGGATTAGATGGCCTCTGATTGCTTTTGCCCATCTCTAGTTGGATTTATTGAGTTGACCATATGCTAAGCATTGCACCAGGAGCTTTCTAGGTTGCCCTTATACCAATTGCATCAGGTAGATAATATAATTCCCATTTCTTACACAGAGAGAATGAAGGCAAGGAGAATGTAAGAACTCAGAAGGCAAGAAGAGAAGCTGGCATTAGAATGCGGTTGAACAAGAGAAAGAGTTGGAGATGCTGAGTTCTGGAGGCAGATCTACCTAAGGTAAAGGCCTGGAGTCTACCAGCATTTGAGAGTTTATGGTACAGTTTCACATGTATTCTTTTTTTTTTTTTTGAAATGGAGTCTCGCTCTGTCACCCAGGCTGGAGTGCAGCGGCGCGATCTTGGCTCGCTGCAAGCTCCACCTCCCGGGTTCACGCCATTCTCCTACCTCAGCCTCCTGAGTAGCTGTTACTACAGGCGCCCACCACCACGCCCGGCTAATTTTTTTGTATTTTTAGTAGAGTCGGGGTTTCACCATGTTAGCCAGGATGGTCTGGATCTCCTGACCTCGTGATCCACCCTCCTCGGTCTCCCAAAGTGCTGGGATTACAGGTGTGAGCCACCACGCCCGGCTTCACATGTATTCTTTCAATTGTGCTTCCCCATGTAGATAAGAAAATAACTTTTATTTTATTTATTTTTATTTATTTATTTTTTTCGAGATGGAGTCTCACTCTGTCGCCCAGGCTGGAGTGCAGTGGCGCGATCTCGGTTCACTGCAACCTCAGCCTCCCGGGTTCAAGCAATTCTCCTGCCTCAGCCTCCTGAGTAGCTGGGACTACAGGCGCCCGCCACCACGCCCGGCTATTTTTTTGTATTTTTAGTAGAGACAGGGTTTCACCGTGTTAGCCAGGATGGTCTCGATCTCCTGACCTCGTTATCTGTCTGCCTCGGCCTTCCAAAGTGCTAGAATTACAGGCGTGAGCCACTGCGCACGGCCTTATTTTTAAAATTTAATTAATTAATTAATTAATTAATTAAATTAAATTTAATTTTTTTTTTGAGACAGAGTCTTGCTCTGGTTCCCCGGGCTGGAGTGCAGTGGTGCTACCTCAGCTCACTACAGCCTCCGTCTCTAGGGTTCAAGCGATTTTATGCCTCAGCCTCTGGAGTAGATGGGATTACAGGCGTGTGCTACCACGCCCAGCTAATTTTTGTATTTTTAGTAGAGATGCGGTTTCACCCTGTTGGCCAGGCTGGTCTCGAACTCCTGGCCTCAAGTGATCTGCCCGTCTAGGCCTCCCAAAGTGCTGGGATTACAAGCGTGAGCCACCACACTCGGCCTTTGTTCCCATTTAATTTATTAATTTATTTATTTTTATTTTATGATTTTATTTTATTTTTTTTGAGAGGGAGTTTCGCTCTTGTTGCCCAGGCTGGAGTGCAATGGTGCGATCTTGGCTCACTGCAACCTCCGCCTCCCCGGTTGAAGTGATTCTCCTGCCTCAGCCTCCCTCGTAGCTGGGATTACAGGCAACTGCCACCACGCCCAGCTAATTTTTGAGCTGTTTATTCTCATTTTAAACATAATAAAACAGAGAGGTTTAGAGGCTTGTACGAGACCATATAGATAGGAAGTAGTATTAGAGAGAATTAATTTCTTGGTTAGTAGATAACAAATTGGGCCTTCTGATTCAGTTCTATTGACCATTGAGAATTCATATAGCATTACTTACCTTTCCTGTGCTAATTTTCCAGTTAATGTAGATGAGGGAAAAGATCCCGAAACCCAAAATTGAGAAGCAGCCATTGGGAAGAAAATATTTTTAGAAATCAATATACAACATCTGCATAGATATTTCCATCTTACAGTCTTAAAATTAACTTAAAGTTTTATTGACATTTTCCAAAAATGTACTCATCTTTTAATAATAGTATACTTAGGAAACTGGCAATGAGCATCCTTTAAAATGAGTAATGGACTCTGTCAAGCAGGCAAACATTTGCCAAGGGAATAAGAAGAAAAAGATATTTACCAATCCTGTGAGTCTCTAGTTTTAGTTCTGTTTGTGAACAAGTAACAGGCCGTTAAGTCCCTAAGGGGATCGTCTTCCTTCCTGGGTATTTAAGGTATTCCAAATCACCTTAGTTAAACAAACTCCATAGTCAAGTAAAACTCATTGTTTCTAGTGCAAGACTTTAATAGTTGCTCCTTAATTTCATTTCCATAGTTGCATTTCAAAAGAAAACTTAAAACTATATAAAGCACATGGGAATTTCCCATCTGATAGGAAGATCAAATGGGGATGTACTTAACTCATTGCCCTCAAGTGTCCCTGCTGGGCATTGGAATGAGTCTTGCTTAGAAAACAAGCAAGAGATCTCCTAAGGCTTAGGATCCATTCCATCTCTACATATAAACACTGTGGCTACTTGGAATAGGTTTTGTGATCTCACTTTTAAACTTGTACTTTCGTCCTAACCAGTTCTGGTTTCAATTACACATTTGGCTCAGCTCTGAATCAGCTTCCACCACGCCTCTCTCTCTTGGTAATAGTCCTGCTTGCCTCTTCCTCCTTTCCCCCTTCACTGGTCATTGTAGAGACTCTTTCTTTGCCCTGGGTTTCACACTATTTTCTCCAAACTCAATAAAGTACTCTTTGTCATTTCCAAGTGTATTTTTTCGTTTCCCTGTGCTTTGTATGACAGAAAGAAAAAGACAATCACTCTTTGTCCCCTCAAAGAAGGGAGAATTTGCTGTTTGCCCAGGTAATTCTTGGTTTTAGGGCCATGCTGGACCCTTTTTGTATATGGGGCCACCTCAGTTTAGAAGCAGAAAGTATCTGGTAAGTATCTGGACTGAGTATCTGATAGATTCTTTCACATGCAATTCCAGTGAGGAAATGTCTAGGGTTTTCATATCAACATATATTTGCAATATTCTCCCAAATGGTCATGGACTTGGAGAGTGTTCTGGGTGTGAGAGAAGGCATAGTCCTCCCTAAATCTTGAGTAGGTTCCTTTCTCTTGGCTTTCTCCAGGGTGACTGCATTTCCTGTTCTCTTTAGTTACACCTGGTTTAAGTATTAGTTAAGGTAGAGGTTTCGGCCTCTGAGGTGTATACTCAAAATAATTGAGACTTTTTCTTTTATTCTTAAATAACATTCAAGAATAAGTTGTCTGGGGATAATTGTGGTTTCATAATGTTTGGACCCATGTTTCATCCATCTCATTGCTCTGCCATTTCCCACATGCAGCTTCTACCTATAGCCAGATATGACTGCTCTCACTGTTGCACATGTCTGTCCACATCACAGCCAGTAGGAAGGAAGAAAAGAGGGAAGCAGAGATCATTTCCTTTACTTTAAGGACAAAAGAATGAATTTCAACATTACTACTGCTTAGATTTTATTGGCCAAGACTTAGTCAAATGACCAAAGTTGGCTGCAAAGGAGACAGATGGCCATGTGCTCAGATAAATTTTGGGATTCTATTTCTAAAGGAAGATGGGGAGAATAGATATTGAAGGATAATTAACAATTCTCTGCCACAGTCAGTGCCTTTAACTACATCAATATCTGTGCACACGCTTTTTCTCACAAATGAAGCATATTTATTTCCTTTCCTATCAAAGAGGAGATAACTCAAAGGTCCTATGTAATTACCACATCTTGAGCAAAGTCTATGTGTAATGCTCTCATTTTGTCTGGGTATGTTTCCTTGTGGCCTAGCAACCTATGAACTAAAAAATAAGTTATCTCTCCTTCACAGCATAATAACCACAGTTAAGACTCCATTTGGAAAAGGAAAGAGGCTGTTACTGGTCCAGATGAACAGAAACTGCTAGGACCCCTTCCCTGGGAATAGATCTTCACACGGCAACATCTTGTTCTGTTTTTTAGGAGGAACTCTCTGTTCATCGTCTTCCATGGCCTCATCTGTGATGGACACTGGAGAATAAACCTTTCTTAAAGGCTGCATAGCATTGTACCCCATTTTCCTGCTGGTGTAGGTGTGCAGTTATGTGGAATATTATTTATTTACTCCTCTAGATTATTTATTTTTCTCCTTCTCTACCCTAATCTTTTTTTCTGGGAGACTGACAAGATTACCTCAATAGAACTTCCTTGTTCTGTTCTCAATTGGGTTCAGCAAATGGGGAGCGCTGGAGGAAGATCAGAGGAAGGGAAGAATGAGAAAGGTTGGGGTATTTCTTCCCGTGGCTCTCTCCTTCACAGGGTTGCCCTAGGCTTGTGGTGTCCCTCAAGCAAAGGTCTTGTTGCCTGTCAGGCATCTCTTTTTGTCTGCTAGTTTCAGAAACTGTTTTCTCTCCTCACTAAAGGATGGTAATAGCACCCCACTGTTCCAAGCTGAAGGGGTGACCTACTCTTCCTTTCCGTCAGCTACTTCTTCTCACCATGTACAAATAATTCCTTAATTAAACTCTCCTCAAATTACAGAATTTAAGTCTTTCCTAATGGGACTCTGACTAATACAGGAGCAGAAGCCAAAAAACAACAGGACTATAATTTCCTTGGAAATAAAATATCCCCCTCCTTGCCCTCCCCAGTTAAATTTTCTGGTTTACTTGCATCATTAGTTTCAGGTACAAGGAACCACAAACATAGATCTGACCCTAATACAGTTTTGAAACTAAAGTATCTGACCTATTTATTGCCCTCTGTGCTCTGTCCATTTGCCCTCTCAATTTTAATGTAGCCATGTTCAGGCCATTTAAAACAATGGACTGAGTGGGAGGCCACAGCCATCATCTGATATTTGGACGGAGTTGGCACTCACTGACTGTCAGGGACTTTATCAAAAGTGCTCGAAAAAGGTTTGCAGTCCACATTCTCCTCCTCCTCCTCTCTTTCTCTCTCTCTTTCTTTCTTTCTTTCTTTCTTTCCTTCTCTCTTTCTCTTTTTCTTTCTTTCTTTTCTTCTTTCTCTCCTTCCTTCCTTCCTTCCTTCCTTCCTTCCTTCCTTCCTTCATTCCTTCCTTCCTTCCTTTCCTTCTCCATTTTATGGGGGGCCACATTCTAATTTCCACTTACAGCTGCTCTTGAGAGCTACCTTTTATTCTTGCTTGTGTTCGGTAAAGAAGAATTGGCTTTTTTGGCTGGGCACGGTGGCTCACACCTGTAACCCCAGCACTTTAGGAGGCTGAGGCAGGAGGATTGCTTGAAGCCAGGAGTTTGAAATCAGCCTGAGCAATATGGTAAGAATCTGTCTCTACCCCCAAAATTAGCGAGATATGGTGGCCCAAGGCTGAGGTAGAAGGATCGCTTGAGCCCAGGAGGCTGGGGGTGCAGTGAGCTGTGTTTGCACCACTGCCTGGGTGACAGAGTGACACCCTATCTCCAAAAAACAAAACAAACAAAAAACCAAAAATACTTTTTTTAAACCTTTGAGCACCCAAATTACTGCACTTTCACTCAAGTTATATTTCAGGCAAGACAGAAAATGCCTCTTTTCATAAAATAGAATTCTCCTCCCTTAGGGGAGACTATTTCAGACTTTATCTCTTTTGTAAGATTTTGCTTCAAGTGGCAAGAAGCAGCCAACACACACCAAGATCCTGAATTTTTCCAACTAGTTGCCTTAGAGTCACAGACTCTGACAGTTTATGGCTTACTGTCCAATGTATGGCAGGTAACAGTTTAGCCAAAGTTTCATTATGACATAATAAGAGTCACCAGCTTTCCACCCTGGCTTATCTGAATATTTGCTGTTTCCTGTTCAATTGCTGTATTAATATTACATATGTCTTTTGTTGCGGAAGTCTCCCTTCCAGATACTGCTTCTATATTAGTTAGATATAGGTTTAACTGTTATAAAAAGATCCCCAAATACTAGTGGCTGAAGAAAAACAGAAGTTAATTTCTTTCTCATGTTTCAACCTAAGTGTAAGCTGACCATACCTAACATGGCAGCTCCATGATGTCAAGGCTGTAGCTTGTCGTCTTTAATGTGTGACCTCTTTAGCATGTGACTTCCATGTTTTTTGCATAAGATGACTTCTCTAGCTTTTGCTAGAATGTCCATGTCTCAGTCATGAGGAAGAAGAAAAAAGGAAAGTGGTGGGCATGACCCATTTCTTTAAGAATATAACTGGGGAGTTACAAATGTCACTTACTCATCTCATTGGCCAGACCATGGTGACACCGTCACACCTGGCTTTAGAGAAGCTTGGAAAGTATAGCTCTACTACTCTGGGTGGCTATGTTACAGGAAAGGAGTCCTGATCCAGACCCCAAGAGAGGGCTCTTGGATCTCGCTCAAGAAAGAATTCAGGGTGAGTTGACACTGCCAAGTGAAAGCAAGTTTATTAAGAAAGTAAAGAAATAAAAGAATGGCTACTCCATAGACAGAGCAGCCCTGAAGGCTGCTGGTTGCCCATTTTTACGGTCATTTCTTGATGATATGTTAAACAAGGGGTTGATTATTTATGCCTCCCCTTTTTAGTCCATATAGGATAACTTCCTGACATTGCCATGGCATTTGTAAACTGTCATGGTGCTGGTGGGAGGGTAGCAGTGAGGACGACCAGAGTTCACTCTTGTCGCCATTTTGGTTTTGGTGGGTTTTGGCCATCTTCTTCACTGCAACATGTGTTATCAGCAAGGTCTTTATGACCTGTATTTTGTGCTGACCTCTTATCCTGTGACTGAGAATGCCTTAACTGCCTGGGAATGCAGCCCAGTAGGTTTCAGCCTCATTTTATCCAGCTCCTACTTAAGATGGAGTTGCTCTGGTTCACCTACTTCTGACAAATTTTGGGGCTTTACTAATTAAGAAAGAAGAGGAGCCGGCGTGGTGGATCATGCCTGTAATCCCAGCACTTCGGGAGGATGAGGTGGGTGGATCACCTGAGGTCAGGAGTTCACGACCAGCCTGGCCAACATGGTGAAACCCTGTCTCTACTAAAAATACAACAATTAGCCAGGCATGATGGCTGGTGCCTGTAATCCCAGCTATTTGGGAGGCTGAGGCAGAAGAACCCAGGAGGCAGAGGTTGCAGTGAGCTGAGACCACACTATTGCACTCCAGCCTGGGCAACAAGAGTGAAACTCCGTCTCAAAAAAAAAAAAAAAGGAGAATGAATATTGGAAAGAGTCAGCAATCTTTGTCACATTAAACCTGAATCTAAATCATATTTCTCTAAAAAGTCTGATGTCTGTAACCCTACAATAATGAGTTATGTTGGCTCCTCAGTTTTCTTCATTGGGTCTGAAATATTTTATCCCCCAGAAAACTCAGACTAGAGATCTAGCTAGCCTTTTGGAACTCTCTGAATGTTGAAAAAACTCCCTTAAAAAAAGACTTTTGTTACTCTCTACCAAGAATCACATAATTCAATATTTTGTTAAAATGGTAGGTGGAGTTCTCCAGTCTCCAAGGGAACTTTATTTCTGATGTATGTGGAACTATAATAACAAGGAGACCAGAAGTTAGATGGGGAAATTACATCTGAGTTTGCCTCAGCCAAAGTTTAAAAATGGTCCTGTAAGCCTTTTAAATTTTTTTCAAATAACTTACTTTCTGGCAAGTATCTCCAAGTAGTAGAATCAGAAAGAGACTTGAAAAAGCCCAGGACTGACTCTAGAGTTAAAAATATTCTGCTTAACTCTCTCCCTTTCTGCATAAACAGAAAATGGTTATTTGAAGAAGTGATTGACTCCAGGGCGAGAGCAAGAAAAGTACAATAAGAATTTAAAACATCTTCCACAGCCGGAAAGTAAGAAGTATTCAAAAGGTGATGTGGAGTCTTACCAAAAGGATATGGGAGCTAACTGGGAAAAGTACTCGATGGCCAAATCTGGAAAAATTGAGCAAAAAAAATTTATTTAGGTAATTGATTATAAACCATAAAATAAACATTCACGAGTCTATATTGATATAAATAAATAATAAGTAAACAAACAAAAACAGGAATGAGTAGACAGTTATTTTTTTTTCTTTTTCTTTCTTTCTTTTTTTTTTTGAGACAGCGTCTCACTCTGTTACCCACGCTGGAGTGCAGTGGCACGATCTCAGCTCACTGCAACCTCCCCTCCACCTCCCAGGTTCAAGCAATTATCCCTGCCTCAGCCTCCTGAGTAGCTGGGATTACAGGTGCCTGCCATCATGCTCTGCTAATTTTTGTATTTGTAGTAGAGACAGGGTTTCACCATGTTAGCCAGGCTGGTCTTAAACTCCTGATCTCTGGTGATCTGCCTGCTTCAGCCTCTCAAAGTGCTGCTGAGATTTCAGGCATGAGCCACTGTGCCCAGCCGACAGTTTTTTCTTATTTTAAAATCTCAATTAATAAATATTGAAGCAGGCCTGGTGTGGTGGCTCATGCTTGTAATCCCAGCACTTTGGGAGACTGAGGTGGGTGGATCGCTTCAGCTCACAAGTTTGAGACCAGCCTGGGCAACATGGCAAAATCCCATCTCTACGAAAAATACAAAAATTAGCTGGGCGTGGTGGCATGCACTAGTAGTCTCCGCTACTTGGGAGGCTGAGGTGGGGAGGATAACCTGAGCCTGGGAAGTCAAGGCTGCAGTAAGCTGTGATTGTGCCATTGCACTCCAGCCTGGGTGATGGAGTGAGACCCTGCCAAAAAAAAAAAAAAAAAAAAAGTAGAAACAATGAGGAAATAGAAACTCATTGTTTGACAAACACCTCAGTAATAGATACTATAGGTAAGATTTATTAATGGATGCTTAAAATGAATGAGTGAAAGTGATGAGAAAAAGGATATTCACAGAAGCTCAAAGTATCTTTCCATGAAATACTCATTAGTTACAGTGAGAAATTATTACAGAGGGGAAACTTGGTAGACTTGACTTTAAACAAGAAATCAAAGTTATCATCAGTAATGAGACACATTGGCATCACGTTCTTTTAGATAAGATGCACTGAGAAGGGCTCAACAGAACTGTGGGCATTCTTTTTTGTAATTTTCCTATATATATTTCTATCTTACAGCCAGACATTCTTGCCAAAAATGTATAAACTGCATTTACTCATGAGGGAACATCAGACAAACTAAGGTTAAGAGATATTTTACAAAAAAAACTAGCCAATACTCTTAAAAAATGTAAAGGTCAAGAAAGATAGAGAAAGGCTACAGAAGTGTCCAGACTGAGGAGACAAAGGAGATATGACAACTATGTGCAGTGTCAGATTCTGGATTGGATCCTGGACCAGAAAAAAGGGTATTAGTGGGACAACTGGTGAAATTTGAATAAATACTGTACACTAGTTAATAGTATAGTATCAATGTTAATTTCCTGGGTTTGAAATTTTACTGTGGTTAGGAGAGATATTAACATTTAGGGAAGCTGGGTAGAGGGTATATGTGAAGTCTTTGTACTACTTATATAAATTTTTTCTATTTTAAGTCTAAAACTATCTCAAAATAAGCTTCTTTCTCCTCCCTTCCCCTCCCCTCCCCTTCCCTGCCCTCTCGTCTCCTCTCCTCTCGTCTCCTTTCCTTTCCTTTCTTTCCTTGACTGAGTCTCACTCTGTAGCCCAGGCTGGAGTGCAGTGGCATGATCTTGGCTCACTGCAACCTCCCCGTCCCCAGTTCAAGTGACTCTCCTGCCTCAGCCTCCTGAGTAGCTGGGATTACAGGTGCCCACCATCACATCCGGCTAATTTTTGTATTTTTCGTAGAGACAGGGTTTCACCACGTTGACCAGGTTGGTCTCAAATTCCTGATCTCAGGCGATCCGCCCTCCTTGGCCTCCCGAAGTGCTGGGATTACAGGTGTGAGCCCCCATGCGCCACCCAAAATAAGCATTTTTCTCAAAACAAATAAAATGCTGATAAGGCTTGGGAGGTAATCACAGGTATTGAGTAGGTTCTTCCTTCCCTCATATGTAACTGAGTTGGATTTTGAAAGCATTCTGATTGCGTTCATATGCTTTATTAGCAAAACTTATATATTGCTAACTTCTTATCCATCCTTCCTTGGAATTTTATTTTTCTTGACTCTATGTTGTAGTTTAGCAACCCGAACTGTATGCAGTATTCCATATATGATAATACTGGAATGAGCTACTGTTTTGTATTCAATACCTTATTCTGACAAAGCATGGCTTTACCTTTGGCTACAGCACCATACTGGCTCTATACTTTTAGGGAACTATGGTGTTTTTAAGATCCAGCTTCAGTCAGGCACAGTGACTAATTCCTGTAATCCCAGTACTTTGAGAGGTTGAGGCAGGAGGATAGCTTGAGGCCAGCTCTTGGAGACCAGCCCGATCAACATAAGTGAGACCCTGTCTCCTCAAAAAAAAAATAAAAAAAAATCAGTCTCCTGATTATGACAAAAGAAGAGCATAAAAATTGTGTTAGGGAGGGCTTGGATTATCTGTGCCCCACCAACACGCCATGGATTACCCCAATTTACATGAATTCTCCTGCCTTAAATTTTTTTTAATCTTAAAAAATTTTTATAGATGTAGGGGGTACATTTGCAGGTATGTTACCTGAATATATTGTGTTATGGCGGAGTTTGGGCTTCCAGTGTATCCATCACCTGAATAGTGAACACTGTACCCAGTAGATAATTTTTTAACCCTCACTTGTTTCCCACCCTTTCTCCTCTTGGAGTCCCCTATGTCTATTATTTCCCTCTATACATCCAGGTGTACCCATTGTTTAGCTGCCTCTTATAAGGGAGAACATGATTTTTTTGTTTTTTACTTTTTTGTTCACTAACAGTGATTTCTCTGCAGTGCAGGAAGTGGTTGAATCTGGCATCTCAGACATGGTTGGAGCTATCTATTTAATAATGGGCTGGAAACTTAATTGCATGGGAGTTGAAGAGCTTCCTGGAAAAGTACTCCTGTGAGTCCTTGCTTGATCCTCAGACAAATCAGCATTTCTGACAGTAGAGTGGAGCAATCTTACAGAAGGCTGTTGGCAAAATTTAATGAAAGTTCTTCCAGAAGAGAGTTCCTATGGGTGAAGTTCCAGACATGTGAGCATGACTCAGGATACGAGTTCTAGGGAGGAGGACAGACAAATCTGAGTGCCATATGCTGTCAGTCATCAGGATTTGTCTTTCAGCAAAGCCCCTTTAGCAGAGCAAGAAGATTTTGAGTGAAATGACTAAGAGCTGCCCTACTGAATTATGTCATATATATTTAACACCATGGTATTGGAGTCCTTGCAATAATGTTACACAAAAATGTAGGGAGCCCCTCTTCTGCAGTTTGAAAGCTAAGGGCTAGAGGGTCACTAGGTAGAATTACAGAATCTGGTCCAGGAATGAGGAAGATCATGACACCCAGGAGAACACTGTATATTTGAGGTTAAATAAAATGCATCTTTTTTCCATGTTGCTTATCTCTTCAGCATCGCTATTACCATACTCAGATATGGTTCTTGATTACAAAATAATGTTTATTTTCCTTCAGTCAAGCCTATGTTCAGTAATTCTATTAGATTGTTTAGTTTGGATGTTAAATTTCTGCAGTCCTTATTAAAAGTTTAAAAATGAAGCAATAAGACTTTTACTTTTTAATATATTACCTTTCTTTACCATTTACTGCCTATGATAGTTATTTCTGCCATTAACTGACATATTTCTTTAAGTTTTTCAAGACTTGTGGGTATATGCCATCTCTAAAACATACTAATGTAATAAATTAAATAGGATTAGAACCTCATGTAATTTACAATTTGATCTAATATCTCTGACTTCAAAACAGTTTGTGAATATAATTTTGCTTAAGGCTCCTTAAGTGGCTTTCTGTTTTCTCTTTTTAATATATTATGCGAGAGTGACTCTTATATTCTATACATTTAAATATATTATCTTTAATCTTTTGAGGCATTAGTATACCCATTTTTTTAAATGAAAAAAAAATACTGAGATCCAAAGAGTTTACATAAACCTAGAAAAGTGTGACTTTGAACTTTGTCTACAAACTTTAGAGTTTGCAGTTCTTCCCGTATGCCATGATTCTTAAATCTTCAGGTAATCCCAGAAAATCTCCAACAGATTCTAGCTGCCTTTTGCTCTCTGATGCATATAAGTAACTTCTAGAAAATTGAATAGGAGTCCCATTCCCTCTAGAATCAAATTTCTTTGAACATCAATCAAAAAGGAGCAAAATGAGAAGAAAGTATACTCACTAGCTTTTTTTTTTTTTTTTTGGATAATTGATTAATTTTCTATAAATCTCTGGCCTAATTTGGAGTCAGGCCTTTTCAAATTACTTTTGGTTTGGCATATGCTTATTTTAATGTTTTATTTTTTATTTATTTTTTGAGATGAGCTCTTACTATATTGCCCAGGCTGATCTTGAACTCCTGGGCTCAAGTGATCCTCCCATCTCAGCCTCCTGAGTAGCTAGGGTTGCAGGCATGTGCCATTGTGCCTGGCTCATTTTCATGCTTTTAAAAAAAGTTCTAAGGAGCCACTTCTAGATCTCAGTTTAAGAAACTACATCCTGGCTGGGTGCAGTGGCTCACACCTGTAATCCCAGCACTTTGGGAGGTCAAGGTGGGCAGATCACTTGAGGTCAGGAGTTTGAGACCAACCTGGCCAACATGGTGAAACCCAGTCTCTACCAAAAAATACAAAAATTAGCCAGGCATGGTGGCATGTGCCTGTAGTCCCAGGTACTCGGAGTCTGAGGTGGGAGAATCACTTGGACCCAGGAGCCGAAGGTTACAGTGAGCTGAGATTGTGCCACTGCACTCCAGTCTGAGTGATGAAGTGAGACCATGTCTCAAAATAAATAAATAAATAAATACATTTTAAAAATAAAAAAATAAAAAAAAAACTACACCCTCTTTGACATCCAATAAATAGTACTTTTTGAATCTCTACATACTGCCTGGGAATGGGAAAATTTAAGCTATTAGACTAAACTTCAAAATAGTTACAAATCAACAAATTTTGCTTCTTTTACAATGTAATCTTTATAGCAGCTTTGGCTTCTATTCAGTTGGCTTGGTAATGCAAGGAATTATGGACTTAAGTAATTGTATCCGTAGTGGGGAGAGCATTTCCTATCAGGAAATAGTGCTTTTCATTCATGTATTAGGAGTTACTGTGCCACATGGAGCATAGATATTTATGGAATTTAATTTTGTTAAATAATTTTTTCCAATGTTCGTATAGTATCTTTCTGTTTTATTCAATCTCTGCGCATCCTAGAAGAGAAATATTCATAGCATTTAAGGTAAAGAGGGATCTTAAAATAATTTGGAGCAGAAATTAATTCTTATCTAGAAGTTTTCAGTAATTAGCAACATAATCACTGTTTCACATTTCAAACAATGCAATATGATCATTATACACAGGGCGTAGCATAATTTTTTCTTTTAAAATGCCCAGTTTTCTCTCTTTTTATTTTCTTACCCATGGTAAGAAGTTAGAAATATATATATATATATAAAATTATATATAGAAATATATATATAAAATTATATATATAGAAATATATATATAAAATTATATATATATAGAAATATATATATATATCATGTAAGAAGTAAATAGTATACACACACACACACACACACACACACACACACACACACACACACACTATAGTATATATATATATATTTCGCCAGGCTGGAATGCAGTGGTGCGATCACGGCTTACTGCAACCTCCGCCTCCTAGGTTCAAGCAATTCCCCTGCCTCAGCCTCCCGAGTATCTGGGACTACAGGTGCACACCAACCTGCCCAGGTATTTTTGTATTTTTAGTGGAGACAGGGTTTCACCATGTTGGCCAGGATGGTCTCGATCTCCTGACCTTGGGATCTGCCTGCCTCAGCCTCCCAAAGTGCTGGGATTACAGGCATGAGCCACTGTGCCTGCCCCCAAGTTATATAGTTTCTTTAAGGGAGCAAGCCCTATGTAGATCTCTGCAAAAAAGAGAAATTATTTCCATTAATTTGGCGAGACATGGGTATCACCAGATCTTTGAGAGCTCAGCATGTGGTTTCTAACTCACTTTCCTAAACACTGCTTAGAGAGTCATGTAAGAAGTAAATAGTATATACATATACACATATGCACACATACTTACTATAGTATATATAGTAATATATACTGTAGTAATAGTATATATTACTACATATACTATTATATAATATGGTAATAGTATATATTACTACATATACTATTGTATACTATACTAATAGTATATATTACTGCATATACTATTGTATACTATACTAACAGTATATATTACCACATATACTATTGTATACTATACTAACAATATATATTACTACATATACTATTGTATACTATACTAATAGTATATATTACTATACATAGTATTATATACTACATAATAGTATATAATATATTCTACTACTATATATACTATACTATAGTATACTATATACTATAGTGTGTATATATAATAGTATATATACTATTATAAACTATATATACTATATATACTATACTAATAGTATGTTATATACTATTACTATATATACTATAGAGTATATATAGTAAACATACTATATTATAGTATACTATATAGCATATATAGTGTATATATATCTCAATATACAGTATATGCTATATCTGTAGTATATAGTGTGTGTGTATATATATATATAAGCAAATTCATGACATCTCAAATCTATAGCACCAGACTCTAACAATTAACAATTCAGATATTTTGTTTTTATCTCAGTAAATTTGCTTTTATTGGTTGGTAATCTGTTACCAAAAGGGACATTTTGTTAACTATTTTTTTATTTTATTTTATTACTATTATATTTTAAGTTTTAGGGTACATGTGCACAATGTGCAGGTTAGTTACATATGTATACATGTGCCATGCTGGTGTGCTGCACCCATTAACTCGTCATTTAGCATTAGGTATATCTCCTAAAGCTATCCCTCCCCCCACCCCCACCCCACAACGGTCCCCAGAGTATGATGTTCCCCTTCCTATGTCCATGTGTTCTCATTGTTCAATTCCCACCTATGAGTGAGAATATGCGGTGTTTGGTTTTTTGTTCTTGGGATAGTTTGCTGAGAATGATGATTTCCAATTTCATCCATGTCCCTACAAAGGACATGAACTCATCATTTTTATGGCTGCACAGTATTCCATGGTGTATATTTGTCACATTTTCTTAATCCAGTCTATCATTGTTGGACATTTGGGTTGTTTCCAAGTCTTTGCTATTGTGAATAGTGCCGCAATAAACGTAACTATACTACAAGGCTACAGTAACCAAAACAGCATGGTACTGGTACCAAAACAGAGATATAGATCAATGGAACAGAACAGAGCCCTCAGAAATAACACCACATATCTACAACTATCTGATCTTTGACAAACCTGAGAAAAGCAATGGGGAAAGGATTCCCTATTTAATAAATGGTGCTGGGAAAACTGGCTAGCCATATGTAGAAAGCTGAAACTGGATCCCTTCCTTACACCTTATACAAAAATTAATTCAAGATGGATTAAAGACTTAAACGTTAGACCTAAAACCATAAAAACCCTAGAAGAAAACCTAGGCATTACCATTCCGGACATAGGCATGGGCAAGGACTTCATGTCTAAAACACCAAAAGCAATGGCAACAAAAGCCAAAATTGACAAATGGGATCTAATTAAACTAAAGAGCTTCTGCACAGCAAAAGAAATTACCATCAGAGTGAACAGGCAACCTACAAAATGGGAGAAAATTTTTGCAACCTACTCATCTGACAAAGAGCTAATATCCAGAATCTACAATGAACTCAAACAAATTTACAAGAAAAAAACAAACAACCCCATCAAAAAGTGGGCAAAGGACATGAACAGACACTTCTCAAAAGAAGACATTTATGCAGCCAAAAAACACATGAAAAAATGCTCACCATCACTGGCCATCAGAGAAATGCAAATCAAAACCACAATGAGATACCATCTCACACCAGTTAGAATGGCGATCATTAAAAAGTCAGGAAACAACAGGTGCTGGAGAAGATGTGGAGAAATAGGAACACTTTTACACTGTTGGTAGGACTGTAAACTAGTTCAACCCTTGTGGAAGTCAGTGTGGCGATTCCTCAGGGATCTAGAACTAGAAATACCATTTGACCCAGCTATCCCATTACTGGGTATATACACAAAGGACTATAAATCATGCTGCTATAAAGACACATTTTGTTAACTATTACTATTGTATTCAATACCATTGTATTCACTGTATCTGATATTTTCTGCCTTGGCTTGTTTTCTAACATCTGTCAAAAGCAAAAATGCTGTAGTAACATTTGACTGGGACATTAGAAGCTGGAGTTAAAGTACTGAAATATCTTAGGTCTTTTTTGGAGACAAATACTGTGGAACATTTTTCCTGTGCTTTATTTTGTATTTACAGCTACAGCTTAAACTAGAAAATAGAAAGAAAATGTCTAAAACAAAACAAATCAAAAAATGAGTCCAAAAGAAAATAATTTATATTTACCTTAGAAATTGCTAATTTCCTTTTAGGATTTCACCAGTTTTTATGGTGCTTAGATGATTTTAACTGTCCTTTAGAGAAACAGATAAAGCTCTTAGAGAAAAAAGATCAATTTGCCTCTCCTACATTTTAATTGCTAGTGTTAATAATTAAGGCAATATGTTCATTGTTAGAGATTATTCAGGTGCCACAGCCCTTGGGGTTTCTTTTAGAAATTAAGAACAATATTGTGATGTTATAAACAGGATTTTATTTTAATATGTACAGTGTTAATATTTTTTAATCAATACTATTTTTATGATCCATTATGTAAAAATGAGTGCTTCACTCTTTTGATTACAATCAATTCTATTGTGATAATACTGTTATTTACGGAAACTTTATAGAGTCCAGTGCTACAACAAAGGTCGTGTTTTGTTTTCTACTTATAATAGAATCTTAGAGTTGGAAAGGACTTTAGAGATCACCCTACTTTCCTTCTTAGTGTTGAATCTCTTCTATAGAGTCCCAGGTCGATTATGACTGATGGTTTCACTGAATACCTCCAAAAAGCACTCTGCTTTTTCTGGAAGCTCCTTGCCACTCAGAGAGCACTAGCTTTTGCCGGTCCTCCACATCTCCTTTTCTCCCCGTCTCCACAAACACACAAACAAAACACTACTTTGTCGCTTCTACATGTTGGTCTTCTTTCTGTCTTCCAGTCTAGAGCATTTACGATGAACTCAAATCAATACTAATACAGCCTAAACTTTGACAGATTTTGGGTAAGTGCTTTGACATCTTTTTGAATTTTCAAAGATTCTAGGCAGGTGGGAAATTGGAATTGTGCTTATAGTTAATGAGTAAGTCAAAATGAAAGAAGTCAGGAGGGATAAACTATAAAATCAAGCTCATGAATCTAATAACATCCTTTGCTGTTTGCTATAGGAATACTTTTCCTTTAAATGTAATTAAATGGGAGGTGTAGAACTTTCAAGTCAGAAATGACCATAGATTTGGAGTTCAAATTCCTCTTTCTGGCCAGGTGTGGTGGCTCACGCTTGTAATCCCAGCACTTTGGGAGGCTGAGGCGGGTGGATCACGAGGTCAGGAGATCGAGACCAGCCTGGCCAACATGGTGAAATCCCGTCTCTACTAAAAACACCAAAATTAGCTGGGCATGGTGGCACGTGCCTGTCATCCTAGCTATTCGGGAAGCTGAGTCGGGAGAATCGCTTGAACCCAGGAGGCGGAGCTTGCAGTGAGCCGAGATTGCACCACTGCACACCAGCCTGGGCGACAGAGCGAGACTCTGTCTCAAAAAAAAAAAAAAAAAAAATTCCTCTTTCTATGGTTGGAATAACTGTATCCCAAGTATTTTTTAATATTCCTCAAGTGTCCATGGACTACTGGGGGTCTCAGTGGCATATTAAATTTTCCACAGACAGTGTGAAGCCTTCAGAGGGAAAAATGGAACAATTTTGTTCATATATATTTTGTAAATTTTGAAATTTAACATTTTCACAGGAATCTTTTGTATCTCAATAAGTATGATATTCTTAAAAATGTGCATGTATGACAAGAATTGTGTTAGTCAGTTCATCAAGTGAGGCATATTTACACACAATGTGCTTGTTATCCATGTGCTGAATTTGTCTTTTTATAGTTATTATATATTGTCATATGTTCAATTCATAAAAATGAATAAATGGATCAAAAGTGACAAACACAGCCATACAAAGGCTCCACATCTGTGTCACTATAAAATGTGACTCATGGCCTGAGACAAATAAATTAGTAACTGTGATGATTTCACACAGGCAGTAGGAATAAAAGAGGGTGAATCAGAAGTAAAAAAAGGCTGGATACAGTGGCCTGTGATGCCAGCACTTTGGGAGGCCAACTTGGGAGGACTGCTGGAGGCCAGAAGTTTGAGACCAGCCTGGGCAACATAATGAAACCTCATATCTACAAAAAATAAAAAAAAAAATTAACTGGGTGTGGTGATGTATGCCTGTAGTCCCAGCTACTCCAGAGGTTGAGGCGGGAGGAATACTTGAGCCCAGGAGTTTGAGGTTACAGTTAGTCATGATTCTGCTACTACACTCCAACCTGAGCCTGGGTGACAGAGTGAGACCCTGTCATAAAAAAAAAAAAAAAAAAGTAAAAAATTTAAATATTTGAATATTAGATTTAATCAGACTGGCAGTCCATTTGCTCCTAATTCCTGGTACATTGTCAATTATGAAACTTTTATATAGTGGCATAAAGCCATTGATGTAGTTCAAGAAAAATAGCGATTTTGTTGGTATACCAATAGAAAATTCCAAGAACAATGGTAAAATAATGTTTCCAGGACAAAATTGCTAGTTTAAGAAGAGGGCAGATATACAAATGCTTTATTGAAAGCTTCAACCCTTATAGAAAAATAAGTACAAATTACACTACTATTAAAGTTTTAAATGCACTTATGATAGTAAAGATAATTATTATGATCAGAAGTAAAGCAGAAAGAACAATTGACAGAATCCCTTTGTCAGCTGGGCATGGTGGCTCACACCTGTAATTCCAGCACTTTGGGAGGCCGAGGCAGGTGGATCACCTGAGGTGAGGAGTTCAAAACTAGCCTGGCCAACATGGTGAAACCCCGTCTCTACTAAAAATAAAAAAAATTAGCCGGGCATGGTGGCATGCACCTGTAATCCCAGTTACTCAGGAGGCTGAGGCAGGAGAATCGCTTGAACCCAGGAGGTGGAGGTTGCAGGGAACTGAGATTACACCACTGCACTCCAGCCTACAGAGTAAGACTCTGTCTCAGAAAATAAAAGAAAAAAAAGAATCTCTTTGTCAACCGATAAGGTTGGATATTGTATCAGCAGCATATAATATGGAAGAACAATTACTGTCTGGAGAGTGCTAGCGGATATTTCACTCTATGGTTAAGTGAAATTTATTTCAGTATATGTGAGGGACATAAAAGAAGGGAGAAGTGTATGAGGTTGCTTGTTTTGTTTATACTGAAATACCAAGCTTCAGAGAAAGTTTTTTTCCATTGACATGACAATGACTATAAATGTTATCATGGAGATTGGAAAAGGCTCATTGGTTTAGTACCCACAGAATTTTATGTGTAGCAGGGAAGAGCATCTCAAAGTTAATCAGAGAATCCACACATTGATTTCGTCACAGAAAAGAGTAGGTGGTTGATTTAATGTTCAGGAAAATTGAAAAAAATTGCAAATATAACTAAATGATGACCACTGAAATTGCATACTTTCAGAAATATATAGAGAAATGAGTAGGAAGGAAAAGTCTGCTTTTCTGGGGAAGGATGCTCACACACATTTTAAAAAAGGATTTGACTCTTTCCTAGAGACTGATGACTTTCTGTACTTATCAGAGACAGAAATCAATGACATATTACTAGGCATATTTAAAAATCATGTCGAACATCTATGACAGAACATGAAAAGGGTAGATTATAGAAGAAAGCTGTGGCCAGTGCTGTTAATTGCCTACCCAATAGTTATTCTTTCCTTTCCCCTCACTTATAGAGCCATCATTTGTTCAGGGCAGCCCCAGGAGATGCATAGCAACTGTTGGAGGTGGAAGGACATACACAGATTGTATACAACAAAATTGTCCTAACCATTTGCCCTTGTCCTGGATCTAAGATAATGATAGTCATTCCATTCCCCTTTGCTTGCAGATAGCGGTGGCCATGTGACACTGCTCTGGCAATGAGACATAGGGTGAGGTATTTGGGGCCTCTGGGAAAGCCTAAGGATGAAAAGCTAATGTACTGAGGATAATAGAAGAAAGATATAGAGTCTGCATTCTTGATAATACCCCTGAGCCACTGAACCAAGCCAGAACAACCTCTGGAAGAACTGCTTGTTATATGAGAAAAATAAACCACTCTTTGTTTCAGCCAGCCTTACTGAGTATTTATTACTTGCAGCCAAAACCCTTTTTTAACAGATACATAAGTGTACCAATTATTTAGGAGGAAAATACTTGCCCAACTGTCTAAATAGAGCAGCTATTATCTATTAATATTGATGTTGTTACTCCCAGATTTTTCTGTATGTGTCATGGTACGTAAAATTAGGTTCATCCCATATCGACATACAGTGGGCAGCTGGGGAGCTGAGACTTCTAATAGTGTATCTGGCATTGCTATGTTGTAAGTGGAGAAAGCAAGTCAATATGAAGTAATTTTGTCATAAGGTCAGAATCATTTGAGTAATCTTCCTTTTTTATTATAAGTAAGGCAGGATATTTACATTGCTCTACCCAAAGTTTGTAACAACACATTTTTTTCTGTCTTAGGATGTCTCTCCATCCTGACAATTCCAGAATGCAGAGCATGTGGAGTGAGTGTACTGCTTTGCTAAGAGTTCCAGACATTCTCTGACAGGGGAGTTATCAAGGCCCCAACTTTTTTTCCTGAGACTCAAGTTAGGGAAATCTGTTGGGATGGACTGAGGTAGCTCAGACCAAAGCCCAGTTGTAAGGAAAGGTAACAAAGCCAGTGGAATAAACTGACTAGATGCTTAAAATTGGCAGAAGCAATGCCTGAGGCCAGAATTAAGAAGAAAACAAAGGGGGATGGTGGTAGAACCTGACCTTCCCAGTCCTCCTGGGAGCTCATGTATACCTGGGGCAATAGCTGTGTAAATGAATCAAAATTTCTGTAACCTTGAGAACCCTGGCCAGGTTGGTGTGGAGCCATTTTGATCTGAAAAAACACTAAAGAATGAGTATTTCTTCTCAAGAACGAACACCACAAAGGTAGGAGTCTTACAAAGGGAATCTACCGAGTGACTCCCTTTGTGGATTGTTAAAATGCTTTTCTATCCATATAGGCCTAAAGTTTTTGATATAAGTTCATCTGCTAGCTAGTTATAAGACTTTGGATAATTTGATGAACTACTCTGGGTCTCTTTTTCTTCAAGCGTAAAATGCTGACTCACTAAAGTTTCTCCTGAAGTTTTGAAATGAGGAATGAGATACATTTAATGTATGATTTTTTTTATTGAAAAGTCTAAAATACAACAGTAAGATTGAGCTGTTAATTTGGTTAGCATACACTAAGTTGCCATTTAGGACTGAATGGCACAGAACTGCAAATGCCTACATTTAATATTTTTAAAAGTTCACAGCATAAACTAGTGTTTAAATTTTGCTTTTGTTTGGTGAGAAATAGCTTGATTTGACATATTCCATACAGCCTATCTTTTAAAAGTATTTACTTTTTTTTTTTAAAGAAGAATCTTTCCTGGTCGTAGATTTATGGTTATCAATTAAATGTTATAGCACAGTTTGTATCTCATTTCATTCATTCCTGTACACACTCCCTCTAGTGGCTCAAGCTACTTATTTACTGAACATTCCAGAGCCACTTAGTTTCTAGCTGTCCTGTACTGATGCTTAAATTTGTTCTCTCATAGCCTTTCCTCATCTATTCAGAACCTCATCTATTCAGAACCTCATCTACTCAGAATTTAAAAACATTATTTAAGAAGAGACAAGGAAAAAAAGATGGAGGGATGATTTTTGTGCCATTTCAGGGTGACAGAAAAGGAAACAAGGTAATCAATAAATTCAGCTGAAATTTATCGATCTGTATCTGTAAAGCACTAAGCTAGATAAAGAGCAGTAGGATGGGCTCTGTCCTCAGGGAGCTGACAGTCTAGGTGGGGCTTTGTTTTGCCTATCATTTTTTCTTCTGTGTGGCATGTAGCTTATGGGCCATTGGGAGAGATGTGGGGCTGGCCTGGTAGGGTTTCACACTGGCACCATGGTCATGGGTTTTTGTAGCTGGCTTCCATCCTCACTAGCATCCTCTGAGATGTTTTTGATCCCAGAGGGTTTCTAGTCCCATGGTCTATGCTGCCCTCCACAGCGGAGTCCTTTCAGCATGCCCATGAGACCCCTGGGGATTTTCTGGCCTTACTCTCAGTATTTCCTTATCCCTCTGGGGAAAGCGGAATGAGGAGCTGGGAAACTTCCTGTTGCTTTACTGTGACACTCTGGGGCCATAAAAAATTTTGTTGGGGGCCTGTGTCATCCTGTGATGGCTTCATTTCCAGTTCACTGCTCTTTGCATATTCAGCCTTGATGGGTTCCATACCTCCTTCCAAAGGGCTCCCATACTTAACTATCTTGCATTTCCCTCTGGATTTTCTTTCAACTCTGAGGACCAAATTGAGGCAAGGGGTGAAGAATCACACAAACTTTCTGCGAAGACTTTTGACTAAAAGACCCAAATTCGTGTCTGTTTCTAGTTCCTTCTTGAAACTTCCCTCTTGCCCCCTTGGAGCAGTGCTAGTGTCAACTCTCATGGCCTGGATAGGAGAGGGTCATAGGAAAAACATATCAGTTACTTCCTTCCTTGTCCCAAGACAATGGATGTTCCAGTAGGAGGGATGTTAGCTTTGTCAAAGCTGCACAAAGGTTAAGAAGAATGAGAGGGGAAAGTGGGAAATGATGTTTCATTTTGAGATTATGAAGCCATCAGAATCCTTAAGAAATGAGTCGCCAGCCACTGGGGATGGAGGAGGAGTGGCAAGAAGGCAGCGGGTATAAGCAGTGGGCAAGGAGAACCACATTTATTGAACACTTATTATGAACTGAGTAAGCATTGTTTTAGGTGCTTGGATGAATTAACTAATTTAGTCATAAAAACAAACCTATTCCCTCCCGCCTATGTTACAGATGAAAAAGCTGAGGCACAGACAGGTTCAGTGATTTGTCCAAGGACACACAGCTGGCAAAGGGAAAGGGAAGCCTGATTCCTGAACCCTACCTGCTGCTGCAGTGTGTGTGGACCTGGTGGCAAAAGATCAGAGTACTAGCTCAAGAGGAGAGAAGAACCCAGAGATGTATTTTAGAATAAGAATACTTGAAGAACTGTAGAGAGTGGAGAAGGAACTGGTGGGGTGGGAACAAAACCTACATTAATAAATATTCATTAACTTACTAACACACAAGAGATAAATAAAAGAAGATATGATAGAAACATCAGGCATGAGACAAGACCAAGGAAGGAAGTAAGCCTGGGTATGGTGTGAAGATGCCTCTCACTCTGAGACAGCTACAAGGACACATTTGAGTGAAGGTGCTGAGCAGCTCTGGGCTTTGAGGAGGGTGTCGGGACAGCAGAAGAGGGAGGAGGCTAGGAACCACGCATGAGATGGCTGATCTCAATGTTTACTGATCAAATGGGTTGAGAGTGAGAAAACTGAGAATCTTAAGGCTATAAAAGCTTTCTGCAGTAGCTTCTTTAAAAATTTTTAATAATATTTTTATTTCTAGAGAAGGTGTCTCACTATGTTGCCCAGGCTGGATTTGAACTCCTGGGCTTACGTGATCCTCTGGTCTCAGCCTTCTGGGGAGCTGGAGTTATAGGTGCGCGCCACCATGCCTAGCTCTGGAGTAGCTTCTGTGAGAAATGCATTAAGGTGTCAAACAGAAAGCAGGGGAAAAAAATGGCTAAGTCATGTGGAAGTTTTTCTTCTTCTTCTACTATGTCCTAGACACCAAACTACGTATACTATATATACATTGTTTCCTATTAGCCTTGCATAATAAAGATTATTACCCTGATTTAACTGAGGAGGAAAGTGACAAGCAGAGAATTTAAGTAATTTGCTCATGGTTACTCAGCTGGTAAGTGGTGGAACTCATACTCAAATTTAGAGGTTATGACACTCAGGGGACTTTCCAGCCCAGCACAGGCAGCTGTGGCATAAGGCACCAAGAGAAGACACTTGAGGCTGTGAGGATGGATGAGATGGCCAGAGGCAGCCTGTAAGAGGCTGGAGATGAGGGCCTGCCTGTCGCCAGAACCCGGGAGTATCTTCTACCCAACAGCAGAGTAGAATGAGCCTGCAGTAGGCCCCATCAACACACTTTGTGTCTTTCTCATGATCGTCTTGGCAACTTAAGAGCAGAAAAAATAGATAAGAGGCAGCAGAGTTGGGGACTGATGTGGAGACAATGGCTAGGAGGGTAAGGCATCCTGGAGGGGATTCCTGGCAACTTCAAGTCCTCTTGAAGTGTAGTAATGTGTTGTATTACTTCAGGTCAGTTGACATTCAGCACCTGATATGATTTGGCTGTGTCTCCGCCCAAAATCTCATCCTGAATTATAATCCTTATAATCCCCACAATTCCCACGTGTCCAGGGAGAAACAGGTGGAGGTAACTGAATCATGGGAGCAGTTTACCCCTTGCTGTTCTCATGATAGTGAGTTCTTATGAGATCCAGTGTTTTTTATAACTATTTGGTAGTTAGTTCCTTCTGCATTCATTCTCTTTCCTGCCACCTTGTGAGGAAGGTGCTTGCTTCCCCTTTGCCTTCTGCCATGATTGTAAGTTTCCTGAGGCCTTTCCAAGCCATCCTGACCTGTGAGTCGATTAAGCCTCTTTCCTTTATAAATTACCCAGTCTCTGGCAGTTTTTTATAGCAGTGTGAAAACAGATTAATATAGCACCTTTGAACTTTAAACCTTTGGTCCAAATTTTTTCATTGTGTAAAGAAAAGTCTCGATGCTTTTGATTCCTTTCTCTGAATTTTTTCAACCTCCTTTAATATCACACCACAGAGTGGGACAGCATAGGTTTATTAGCCGTGTACATTCTTAGTGGCAAAGTCTGCATCTTTGCCACTAAGTGGTTGGGAGTATGTTTTTCTAAAAATTCTGTTGTTGATGTCTATTTTCTTCTCACGGACATGTAGATGAATAAATTCTCACCCTTTATTTTGCCTTTCTAAACAAAATAAAATATGATATCTGTTCAAAAACATTTAATAAGGAAAAGGAAAAGCCAGTTTGAAAAAAAGGTCAGCAAGATGCAGGAAAATGTGATATTTGCTGAAAGCTCCTGTCAGAAGAGTGTGAATAATGTAGATGAGCCAAGAGAAATAAGATACAATTAAGATGAAATTTATTTCCCCAAGTTTGCAAAAATGTGAGTTTATGAATCCTGAGAGGTAGGAGGCCAAATGAGATCTAATTGTGTCTTATTTAACTTGGCCTTTTGCGTGGATAATCCTTGGCTTTCTCTGCAAATATCACACTTTTGTCAAACTAACCGGACTCCAATATGTTTTTCTTTGTGTAAATGCAAAGTATTTTTTATCATTCAATAGTAACTCAACTAATAAAGTTTTCAACTTTAACTGGAGACTATGCTCTAATGGAAACCATATTATCAGTGGAAAGAGTCCCATTACTTATGATCATATTCTAGTTCAAATAGTTCACACAGCAGGACATCTAAAGAGGCCCAAAAAAATAGTCCAAGAAATATTACTTTTGCAAATATTCACACACTCAATTCAAATATAATGTAAAAATAAGAGACTAGGTTATCCAGATAAATAGATGTTTATGATTAGGAAAGAAAGTTTGAAATATTATCATTCACAAATATCTTCACTAAAGGGATATGAGAGGTGGGCAAAGAGTTGAAGTAAAGAAAAATCCCAAGCAGACATAGCTCTCAAGCTAATTGTCTTAGGGTTTATATTGAAATATATAATATTTGCTGAAGAAGGTATAACTTCCTAATTTTATTTTTTTTATCAGGGTGTCCATGAAATTCTTGAGGCCTTGGCTCAAGGTGACCAAGATTCTAGTCTAAACTGGGCCATCAACTCACAGAGTGCACTTAGGCAAATTGCTTGTTCTCTCTGGACTCCATTCCCTACCTGAAAATGAATGTTTTGAACTAGATGATTGTCAGGTTCTTTTCCAGCTCTAACCACATATAACTTGATTTGAGTTTGAGCCTTGGTGAATAATCTGAAGTTGAGTTAAAGTTGAAAGGAAAATATGGTTTCTTGATGTGTTTAGTTTTGTTCTTTTTTAGCTTTAAAAAATCTTTAGGAGAAGATCATTCCCTTAAGATACCAATGTGTCATGTCCTAGGAGAGCTGGAATTGACCTGGATCCTTGTGGGAAATACTTCAGTGATGGATGGAAGCAGAGGGAGAAAGGACCAAAATGAAGCCAGGAGGGACAAGATGGCTGGAATGTTTGGTTCTGAGGATTCATGATTGTCCTTAACTCACACGGACTGAACTCTCGCTTGCCTGTCTTCCTGGGGCTTGTGTAAGAACATCCTGCAGAAAAGTATTAACAACGCGAGTGATCTTCACTGTGTTTAACGATTCATTGATTGTAAAAGATGTTTTACCTGGGATAACAATGAGTGTGTATTCCTGGAGCCTAAACTCACTGACCTGGAAGGGGGCCCCGAGAAGTGTGCTAAGTGGACAAAGGAAGCCTGGCTAGAGTTTATAGTTTTCTAACTAGATAATTGAGTGAACTAAAAGGTCTTTTATTATCCTTATGTGGATTACGTACTTTGCAGGATATGCATAGTCATTATTAAAACCATGTGTACTCCTGTCTCACTTCTGAGCACCTTCTCTGAAATCAGTCCATATATGCTCAGGAATGCAAACCACACTCATTTCAGAGTCAGTGTCAACAAACATAATTAAGGAGGCAAATTTACTTCATAAGTTTTCTAATGCCTTCTGCATTAAATAGAAATGACTTTTGGCTGCTCCCATCTATTCATGTGTATAATTGTTAAGTTCAGATCTGATTTTCCTGGAAGAACAAGTTTGAATCTCAACAGGCTTGATCTAGTCTCCCATCTCCATGTTCCCCATAGTGACAGGTAATTCATGGAAATTACTGTCTCAGCATTTTAAATAAACCTCCTTTAAGCTGAAATCAAGATGATCTCATATAGAAAAGAGTGTAGGTAAAACTCATATTTAAGAAATGGTACAGAGTGAGCAGAAATTCTCACAGAATTTTTGAGTCAGAAATATTTTTGTTATACGGGAAAAAGGGACTTGCAGTTGTGCTCTTGATTATAAAAAGAAAGGAAATCAAATAGCTTTGAAATGTTCCATTAAAACCTTATTTTAATATATTCTTGCCACAATGTAAGGACCTATGTAAACTAAGTAAAATTTCATGACTCACACTGAGTTGCATTTTGTATCATTTTCTTGTCTTCATTGCTATTTCTTTTCTTTTCTTTTTTTTTTTTTTTTCTCGAGACAGAGTCTCACTTTGTTGCCAGGCTGGAGTGCAGTAGCGTGATCTCAGCTGACTGCAATCTCCACCTCCCAGGTTCAAGCAATTCTCCTGCCTCAGCCTCCCGAGTAGCTGGGATTACAGGCATGTGCCACCATGCCCAGCTAATTTTTGTATTCTTAGTAGAGACGGGGTTTCACCATGTTGGCCAGGCTGGTCTCGAATTCTTGACCTCGTAATCCACCCACATCAGCTTCCCAGAGTGCTAGGAATACAGGCGTGAGCCATGGCGCCTGGCCCCATTGCTATTTCTTAAACCTGGAAATGCCCCTACTTATTTCATGCTACTACAAAAATGTGTCCATAGTACTAATGCTTTCCTGTGGCCAGAGACATTTTAGGTATTTCTAAATACCTAAATATTTCTAATATATTCTAAAATATTCTACCTAATATAGTCTAAAATATTCTTTTAGAAAATATTAATAAATTGATAAAATATGAAAGTGAAACCTATGGCAGTAATTTTTATGAAACAGTATTTTAGGATAATTTAAGAATATTGCATAACTCTCTTAATAGTCATTTATTATTCTTGTTCATTCTATTGTAGGTATAAAAATTCAACGAGTATGTCAATGTCCTTTATATTTTACTTTAAAGGTATTAAAATATTTACAGTTAATTTTTTATTACACAAGCAGGAAATGAATACATTCTTAAGGTAAAAATTAAAACTCTGATGATATAGATACAATCCTTTTTGACTAGCACCTAGAAACTAGGTCTCCTTCCTAGATGATGTTTACACTACTATCTGCTTAGCGTACATCCTCCCAGATCATTATCTGTACATATATAATTCCTGGTAAAATATAGAGTATTTTGAGATATCTTTAATATAACTGGTGTGAAATGGCTGTTATACTATAGCTTGTTTTTCACTTAATATGTCTTGAGGAGTTTTCAGTGTTAGTACATATAATAAACTTAATTATTTTAAACTGTTGCTTGGTACTTTATGATACAGCTGTTACAAAATTTATTTTCCATTCTAATTTTGGTAGATATTTAGGTTGCTTTCATTTTTTTACGATGACAAAGAATTCTGCAATGAATTGTTATATGTCTCTTTACAACTGTGAAGTCTGAGCAGTATCCTAAATGATTTTGCATTCTTCTGTGTAGCTTTGACACCAGCTAATTCTAAGTTCCTTAATGATATAGTTTGGCTGTGTCCCCACCCACATCTCATCTTGAATTGTGGCTCCCATAATTCCCATGTGTTGTGAAAGGGACCCGGTGGGAGATAAATGAATCATAAGAGCAGTTTCCCCTATACTGTTTTTGTGGTAGTGAATAAGTCTCATGAGATCTGATGGTTTTATAGAGTCCTGCCAATGAGATGTAGACAGAAGTCTACTGAGACTGGCTTCTTTTCACCAACAAAAAGACAAAGCCCTTCAAGGAGAAGTCTTTAGGCCTAATTGCCTCATTTTTGCCTGGAACATGGATGTGATTTCTGGAGGCGCACCAGCCACTGCAGGGCCCTGTTCATAAAGGTATGCCAAGGGTGCAGACTAGGGAGAGAGAAAGTTTCTGGTGAGGTTGGTCTTGGTGGCTCCAGCCTGGGCAACAGAACAAGACTCTGTCACACAAAAAAAGAAATTTCTGGTGGACATTGGTACATCCACCCTGAAGAGCTGATTTTTTGTGGTATTTTCTATTATTTGTTACAGAAAGCAATCCGTATATACTGAATATGTTACTTCCCCTTTTCTCTCTTCCTCCTCCCCTCCCTTCCTTCCTTCTTCCCCCACTTCTCTCTTTTTCTTATTTATTTATTTATTTATTTATTTATTTATTTATTTATTTATTTATTTGAGACGCAATCTCACTCTGTCACCCAAGCTGGAGTGCAGTGGCATGGTCTCGGCTCACTGCAACCTCCGCCTCCTGGGTTCAAGTGATTCTCTTGCCTCAGCCTCCTGGGTAGCTGGGATTACAGGCTCTTGCCACCACACATGGCTAATTTTTTTTATTTTTAGTAGAGTCAGGGTTTCACCGTGTTGGCCAGGCTGGTTTCGAACTTCTAATCTCAAGTAATCCTCCTGCCTCGGCCTCCCAAAGTGTTGGGGTTACACGCATGAGCCACCATGCTCAGCCCCTCTTTTGCTTATTTTTTTTGACGTCAGACAAGGCAATGGCAACCTGAGATCAATCCAAAAGTTAATATTTGGTTTTAACTCTGTGCTTAAAATGCAGCAAATATTTCTTTCTTTCTTTCTTTCTTTTTTTTTTTGAGACAGAGTCTCAAGTCTCGCTCTTTCTCCCAGGCTGGAGTGAAGCAGCGAAATCTTGGCTCATGGCAAACTCCACCCCCGGGGTTCAAGTGATTCTCCTGCCTCAGCCTCATGAGTAGCTGGAATTACAGGCGCCCCCCACCATGCCTGGTTAATTTTTGTATTTTTAATAGAGGCGGGGTTTCGCCATGTTGGCCAGGCTGGTCTCTAACTCCTGACCTCAGGTGATCCACCTGCCTTGGCCTCCCAAAGTGCTGGGATTACAGGTGTGAGCCACCGTGCCCAGCCAAAGTGCAGCAAGTATTTCGGCGGGGAGGGGGCAAAGGATGGTAGTGTGGTGGGGGATGAAAGAAACTGCTGCTGTTCTCCTTTTTTTCTTTGCAGGCCCTAGGGATTATAATCCTTATCTCTCCAGCCATCTTCATATAATAATTTTAACAGGGAGGCCAATTATTTACTTTTAAGATCTAGGAATGGAAGTTAAGAAATGAGTTCTAGGCCAGGCGTGGTGGCTCACACCTGTAATTCCAGCATTTCTGGGAGGCTGAGGTGCACAGATCTCCTGAGCTCAAGAGTTTGAGACCAGCCTGGGCGACATGGCAAAAACCCCGTCTCTACAAATAATATAAAAATTAGCTGGCATGATGGTGCGTGTCTGTAGTCCTAGCTACTTGGGAGGCTGAAGCCAGAGGATCACTTGAGTCTGGGAGGTCGAGGCTGCAGTGACCTGAGATTGCACCATTGCATTTTAACCTGGATGACAGAGCGCGACCCTGTTTCAAAAAAAAAAAAAAAAAAAAAAAGAGAGAGAGAGAGAATCCTCCGTCTGGTTGGTAGTGCATCTTTCCTCAAATAGTGAGTAGCTGTTTGGTTACTTTGTGATAAACATGAAAAACAAAAACAACCTCCCCTTCTGAGAGAATTTCTGTCAAATGAGTTCTAAAGGCTTCTTTCTTGGAGGCAGAAATTCTGTATGAGAAGAAGTCATTTGAGTTTGTAGTTAACTTGGTTCCTGTGTGTGTGTGTGTGTTTCTGTTTGTGAAGCTGTACTCATAAACCATGCAAGGACACTGAGGTGAGGATTGAGAGAAAAGAAGCAGCTAGAACTCATGGGGATGGGAGCTGATTCCTCTATGCCTTCAAGGCAGTTATCCTTGTGTGTTTCTGACAAGGAAAACTCCATGCTCCAACAGAAGGGAATGGCACTGTGCCTGGTTTCTCTTCTTTGGTTTACGTGATTAGAGGTTCTCGGTTTCTGGAGATGGAATCTGGACATTCCACTAGACATACTTCTGGGCAGCCATTTTTGTACCTCTCTCTACACTGTGCATTTCCTCTAGGCTATCACAGACCAGTGTTCAGGCTGACAAGCATGCGGGCTGTTTACCTCAAGAGACTGATTGGGTTCTGGACCAAGTGTGTGGTCAGCTACTTGAATGAATACACTCTCATTCTCTGGCTTTTCCTCGTGCTTGTCTTGGTTAAGGAAAATGTCTAAGAAGACACAGTACAGAAAATGCTTTGGTTTTCTCATGCGTAAAAATTCTTTCTTATTTTGCACTTCAGACAACACATATTCATGTTTTTTCTACATAAGTTGTGGATATTGGGACAAAAAGGAAAAAGAAAAAATAGGCCTAAGCAGAATGTAATAATAATGCTAGCAAAATACCAGCACTATTATTTGAGCTTGCAGGTTGTACCCTGCGTAACTCTAGGGTGTGGCATTCACATAGCTTTTCATGTGACCAATGTTCCTTAGAGCTATGCAACCCAGTGGCCCTGCAATCACTTCAATAGCATTTACTATGTGTTATGCACTATACTAAGAATATTGTACCTAATTAATCTTTACCACAATCAGGCTGGGCGCGGTGGCTCACGCCTGTAATCCCAGCACTTTGGGAGGCTGAGGCAGGTGGATCACCTGAGGTTGGGAGTTCAAGACCAGCCTGACCAACATGGAGAAACTCTGTCTTTACTAATAATACAAAATTAGCCAGGCGTGGTGGTGCATGCCTGTAATCCCAGTTACTCGGGAGGCTGAGGCAGAAGAATCGCTTGAATGAGGGGGGTGGAGATTGTGGTGAGCTGAGATTGCACCATCGCACTCTAGCCTGGGCAACAAGAGCAAAACTCCGTCTCAAAACAAAAAAACAAAAAGCTTTACCACAATCCTAATATCCTCATTTTACAAATAAGGTAACTGAGGTGCAATGAAGTACAAGGTCAAAGAAGTGGCAGAACTGAGATTTGAGACCACATTTGGTTTCAGAGTTGGGGCTCATAACCACCACGTCATACTGCCCCTAAACTACTTAGATTAGACCCAGAGAAACATTCTGCACTCACTTATTCATCACTTCAAGATGATTTTTCAGTTGTTCAGGGCATTGTGCTAGGTGCTGGAGTAAAATGGCTCAACAACCTAGTTATGGGCCCAAAATAAGAACATTGCAGGATTGCCTTTTCCTGAGGTTTTGAAGCAGTGTGTTGTCATGAATTTTTGAGGGGACCTCAAGAAAGGAGATGGTCTGGCTGATTGTCAGGGTCCTTCTGAGGCACAGGAGCTATGCTGGGATATGATTCATGAAACACTGAATGCCCCACACTGCAAGCTCTTTCTGTCCTGGATTCCAAATTGAAAAAGCATGACTCTTACCTACTTCCTTGTCCATGTCTTCCTCCTCCTCCTCTTCTAGTAGTGTCTCTCTCTCCTTCTCCTTCTCCCAATTGTCTGTGCCCATGTATTTTCATCTTGTTGCCTGAATGGGAACTCAGAAGAATAACCCGTATCTTCCCTATTAGAGAAATGTGTTAATTCAATCATCTCATTAAATTTATAAGAAACAATGCTAAATGAGATATATAAACATTTTACTTCTAAAGGTAGAGACTCCAGTTGTATTTTATTAGGCAAATTGAATGACCTAAACTCACTTTTTTTATGGTCAAGTAAGTCAGATATGAGCCAAATGAACTCACAGAGGAGGCAGTGTAGGAAAAGAATGGAAACATTTAAAGAGGCAAAAATCCATCTGTAATCACCATGTTCCTTGTGTTATAGTCACAGGCCAAAGAACTTCTCAGTGAACATATTTTTCCCCTTACGTTGATCTATGTTGACAGCCACCCATGGACGCTAATTTCTTAAGGGTAGACTGTGGCTTGAAAGAGGTGGAGGCAACCATGTACTATATTTCACTGAAGCACATTTGCCATGAAAATAACTGTTATTGCTGTTGCCACTCAATGGTCAATGCCTTACAGTATGAAGAGGGGGAGTTACATAAATTATGTTTATACCAGGTTCCTTGAAACTGACAAGGTGGAGGTGGGGGGTGGTGGGGAAACCCAGGTTAAATTATCCCCATGTTCAGTAGTTGTTGTTAGGGGGAAAAAGCTGAAATGGCAGTGCACATCAGGGTGCAAATGTAAGCAATCTTTCACCCAGTCTGTTAATAAAGAGCAAGGTTTTCTTGCTGGTGCCCCAGTAAGCCATGCCTCATAAGCATTGTGGTTTCCAAAATTATTTCAAGTTAGGCACTGCTACAAGTAAAATATGCTGCTGGCTGTGAAATAATGAGAGGGATAATAAATATATAAAACTTGGAATCTCCCAATGAAAAATGAAAGAGATTTTATGAACCCAACCAGTCAACTCAGATGAAAAACCCCCAGTGTGCTCACCATGATTAATGCCCTGGCCTTCCATGGGAGAAGCTCAGATTCAATTTCCTATTCTGATATCTTGTTCTGGAGGCAGCTATAGTTGGGATCATTACAGAGATAGTGAGTTCATCTAGTGCTGGTAAATGTGTGGCTCGAAGGTCCTGGTGGGAGAGATTGAAAGGTCAAAGCTGTGGTGTGTCGGTGTGTACCCAAGAATAATGACCATGTGTCTCTACAGAGCCTGGTGCAAATATTAGAAGGGACACTTAGTGGCAGTAATATTGAACTTTGATATATCAATACAGACTACTCTCGTTAATTATCCTTCTGCTTATCATGACCCTGGGTGGTAGTTGAATGGGTCTTACAAGATCATCTAACAGACGAGGAAACAGAGGCTTAGGGAGTTATGCCTAAGGTCACATGATTGGTAAGTGGTGGGGCCTAGAGGAAAAGCTCGATTCTACTGCCAGTGCAGAGTGCTTTCCATTAATCTCTTTAGTGTTACTGTTTCCCTAACCTGCTGTTAAACACACAAGCACATGCACACACACACTTACACATACACTCTGTGGGGTACTAACAAACCAGGCATCCTGTCTAAATTAATTTATTTCATGAGATCATTTCTCCACACTCCATTTCACATTGCCTGTGGAGACATAAACTTAGTCTTGAGTAAAAGAATGAGGACTTTGGTCCCTAATTTGGCCCTAAATGTCATGCAGAATATGTTTTCTTAACTCAATGTGAGCCCTGGAAGGCTTATTTGCTTGACTTTCAAACGCTGCCACAGCCAGAAGACACATCACGCTAACAGGTTTTACAGGGAAGGCTGAGTTCTGATGGAAAATTTAAGCCCGGGAGGACGTTGCTGCCCAGGAAAGATTTGGGGGATGCCTAAGTTTTAGGAAAAATTCCTCCTCAGCTGGAAATTTTGGCCCATGGGTTCCCAAGCAAGCTTAATTTTGCAGACATTAGATTTTACGAATTACTGTAAGGGTTGGTACAACCTTGTCTCAATTTTTTTAAGTAAAGGAATGTCTCTTAATTAATCATTAAGTTAAAAAATGGAATAAAGCCAGAGGAAAATTACATGTTTGTCTTATTCTAGATAACATTTTAAGTTCTTTGACCTGCTGAGTCCACAGAAACATGTCTGTGACACCAAGAAGTAAAATAAATTGCCGGGTCATCGCACCTTGCCCATATCAGACCTCCTTTCACATTCAATAAATGATGTGTGATTAGAGGTGGGCCATTAACATCCCGAGGGAGGATATTTTAGGAGATCTTTTTCTCTCTCTTCTGAACATTGGGGCTGTAGCTGAGCGCCACAGTATTCTAATCTACCTGTCATCTCATTTCAAGCGGGATGTTCTGATGGCTTCTGAATGTACATTCAGAGGTCTTTGTCTGAAACTAGCTTCCTTGCCATCATTCCCGGTAGCCACTGTGAATTTAATAATATGCTTTGCGATACACAATGGAACACCTTATTCCCACACAGAGGTTCCTGCAGTTTTCACACAGACATGTTTTGAGAAAAAGACTTAAAAGACCCCTTTAAAAAAGCAAATACACGACACGTTAAAGTGACAATAATCATCTTTAGTGTTCCCAAGAATCACCTGACACCTGAAGAGCATGTAAAGGCCCTGACTATGAGCCCCCACCCCCCAATTCATTAGGTCAGTTATAGGCAGAGAATTTGCATTACTTTAGTTTTATGAAATAGAAGACATGTCTTGGAATCTGCAATTTTAACAAGCATCTTGGTGATTCTCATACATTTTAGCCTAAAGATGAAGAATGTTTTTCTTGAAGATAGTTTTTCTCTATTTTAAATCTTTGGATTTGCCCTTGACCATTAACGTCTGTTAATGTTCTAATGAAGAAACTGGAGTGAAAATTAATGCTATCAGAAGAAAAACACTGAATAAGCTTTATTATGAATTAATAGTATGTTTTTAAGTTTAATAACCAGATAAAGTTAATTAGGGATGTAGTCTCTTCTTTTGATATTTCTGATATTAGCAGATCTATAGCCAGAAAGATAACTTTTCTGAAACCCATAAAAATCTTAGAGAAAGGGCCCTAACTTATGTTGGACAAGATCCTCATTTTCTCATGTTATTATTTTCCCACCCAATTATTTCTCTATCAAGAATATAAAATGTTATAAAAAATTGAAAATGGGATTCAGGAGAACTCATCCTTTCATTTTTGCTCATGACTTCCTCTCTTCATTTTGTTGAGGTTGTGGGAGAGCTGCCAAGAAATCCACACTGGTTAACAAATGGCTAATTGACAGTCACCCATCTGTTGATGCGATTTTGGCTGTTTTCAGATAGAGTCAATGGTCATTAAGTTTTGTCTCCCCTCATGGGGGAAAGGTGTGACATACTGATTACCTGTCAGGGTTAGAAAGATTTCTGACTTGTTACTTATGCAGACTAAACAAATCTTTCTTTAGGTTAGTGGCCCTGTCCCACATCTAGTTTCTATCTAAATCCATAAAGTTTAATTATTTTTATAATATCAAGCAAGTATTGCATTTTTTTGTTGTTAGAAAAATGCAGCTGTGCCTGGAGAGGTATTGCAATTTTTAACAGTAGTGGCATATACCTTGTGGTTCATATTTTGAAATATTGCAGAAATAAGTAAATGGCAAGTCATGATTTCCCCTTCTAATTTTAAGCATTTTACTCCGTCTGCATCCTGTGTTTTCTCATATGCCTTTTGATCTCTCTAGTATATAACATACACAAAAGCATTTTCAGGGTGAGAGGGGAAAGATGCAAGAGTGATACTGTAATCTCTTCATGGTTGAGAGCCTTGACTGGATATGGCCCAGAGAGATTAGTTTTGAAGCAAGACACAGTTAGTGACAACCAAGCTTTGAGGCTTTGCATGAACATAACTTTTCCTTTTGGACAGTGTCTCTGTGGCAATGTGGAATATCAGTGTGGCTGTGTGCTCCATTCTTGTTTCACTTCTCTACCTTTTTTTTTTTCTTTTTTTTTTTTTTGAGACAGTCTCACTCTGTTGCCCAGGCTGGAGTGCAGTGGCATGATCTCAGCTCACTGCAACCTCCGCCTCTCAGGTTCAAGGGATTCTCCCGCCTCAGCTTCCCGAGTAGCTAGGATTACAGGCATGCACCATGGTGCCCACCTATTTTTTTGTATTTTTAGTAGAGACCGGGTTTCACCATGTTGGCCAGGCTGGTCTCGAACTCCTCACCTCAAGTTATCTGCCAGCCTCGGCCTCCAAAAGTGCTGGAATTACAGGCGTGAGCCAGTGCGCCCAGCCTCACTACCTTCTTGTACTTAACTAATGACTACTTCTTCTCCTTGTGAAGTTGAAGTTGGCCTCATGTTAAGGCTGTGATCCATATGTAATCAGTCTACTTTTCAGCAATTTTCTGTCTTTAGGAATGGACATATAGGTCTTATCTAAGTCTTTGTTGTTTTTGAGATGGAGTTTCGCTCTTGTTGCCCAGGCTGGAGTGCAATGGCGCAATCTCAGCTCACCACAACCTCTGCCTCCTGGGTTCAAGCGATTCTCCTACCTCAGACCCCCAAGTAGCTGGGATTACAGGCATGCGCCACTACGCCCAGCTAATTTTGTATTTTTAGTAGAGATGGGGTTTCTCCATGTTGGTCAGACTAGTCTCAAACTCCTGACCTCAGGTGATCTACCCGCCTCAGCCTCCCAAAGTGCTGAGATTACAGGTGTGAGCCACCGTGCCCGGCCTTATCTAAGTCTTTAGAGTGATTTAGGTTAATTAAAAACATTTAGGATGATTACTTCTGAGACAAAGTAAGCAAAATCTGCCACGTATAAACACTAAATTATCTTATAACCATAAATTCAATGGGTTTATTGTGTGCATACTATATACTAGGAACTGTGCTAAATACTGGGGATATCATGTTTAGCAAATCAGATATGGTTTTTGTTTCCATGTAACTTAGATTATAATAGGAGAGATGGGTATTAATCAAATGATCATACAAATAAATATAGTTTTAACGTGATGAGTGTCAGGCTGGTTCAGGAAGATTTCTTTAAAGAAGAGATGTTCGAATTGATATTTGAAGGAAGGGTGAGTTAATTCGGTGAAGGAGAAAAGAAAACCAGTTCAGGCAGGACAAAGAGAATGATGGTGCTTTTTTTTAATTAAAAAAAAAAAAGAAATACCGGGGCCAGGTGTGGTATCTCATGCCTGTAATCTCAGCACTTTGGGAGGCAAAGGTCAGAGGATTGCTTGAGTCCAGGAGTTTGAGACCAGCCTAGGCAACATAGAAAAACCCTGTCTCTACAAAGAAATTAGCCAGGTATGGTGGCATGTGCTTATAGTCCCAGATGTCAGGGAGGCCGAGATGGGAGGATCCGTAGAGCCCAGGGGTTTGAGCCTAAAGTAAGCTATAATAATATCACTGTGCTCCAGCCTGGGTAAAAGAGCTGGAGCCTGTCTCTTATTTAAAAAAAAAAGAAAGAAAGAAAGAAAAAAAGGAATACTGTGGAGTGCCTAGTTTTGGTTGGAGAGGATTATCAGTTAAATTTCAAACATGTAGAATTGGAAATACCATGGGGATACTTAAGAAATGTGACCTGGGCAGATTTCTAGATTGTTAAAATAAATTTGTGATTCCATATGAATTTTAGGATTATTTCTGCTACTTCTGTGAAAAACGCCATTGGAATTTTGATAGGGATTGCATTAAATTTGTAGATTGCTTTGGGTGGTATGGACATTTTAACAATATTAACTCTTTCAGCCTATGAACATGGGATATCTATTTATTGAGGTGCCTTCTTCAATTTCTTTCATCAGAGTTTTATAGTTTTCAATGTATAGGTCTTTCACCTCCCTGGTTAAATTTATTCCTATTTTATTTTGGGGATGCTATTGTAAATGGGATTGTTTTCTTGATTTCTTTTTTGGATGGTTCATTGCTAGTGTATAGAAAGGCTACTGATTTTTGAACGTGGATTTCATGTCCTGTAACTATACTGAATTTATTTATTAGTTCTAACCGTTTTTATGGAGTCTTTGGGGTTTTCTATATATTAGATTATGTCATCTGTAAGCAGAGACAACTTAACTTTTTCCTTTCCAATTTTAGATGCCTTTTCTTTCTTTTTCTTGCCTAATTGCTCTGGCTAGGACTACACTACTATGCCTAGTACTATACTGAATGGAAGTGGTGAGAGTGGGCACCCTTTTCTTGTTCCTGATTCAATATTTTTTTTTCAAAGTGAAAGTAAGTTTATTAAGAAAATAAAGGAATAAAAGAACGGCTACTCTATAGACAGAGCAGCCCTGATTCAACATGTTGAATGAATTCTTGAACATTACAGCTAAAGTCATCAGGATGACAGGAAGACTTACGTTGCAGAGCCAGGTGGTGAACCAGAGCCAAGGCTTTGGTGATGGAGGAAGAATGACAAGGGAGGTTGATGAGAATGGCAAAGACAGAAGCAGAGAATTAATGAGCCAAACACCACCAGCCTCAGGATTTTTTTTTTTTTTTAAATAAGACTGGAGGAGCACTAGTCTGAGTGAAGTGTTCTTACCTGAGATCCAGGCTTTATTTAGAGCCAATGGTAAAGGGTACTGGGAGAAGAGATTTAGGATTTGTGAGTGTTTACTGGTTCTGAAGTGTCATTCATTGAGAAGAAAGTAGAATAGGTACTATTGTCTCTATTATTTTCTCTTTTAACAGATGAAGAAACAGAGGCTTGGAAAGAAAAAATGATTTCTCAAGTCTACTGAGCTAATAGATAGTGAAGCCAGGACAAGAATCTAGGTCATCTGATTTCTAGCCCAATTCTCTTCCCATTCTTTCATGAAGCATCAAAGCAAAGTTATTAAGCAGCAAAGCCAAGTTTTCTAAGTCTATCTGTCTTCTAGTTTGTTCAAAGACATTTGTTGTTTCATTTGTTCTGATTAAAGTTTGTGATTACAAAGTTTGTTTTGTTAACTATAAGCCCTTTTATTTATTTTTAAAATTTTATTATTTTATTTTATTTTTTTATTTTTATTTATATATATTTTTTTATTATACTTTAAGTTCTAGGGTACATGTGCACAACGTGCAGGTTTGTTACATATATATATATACATGTGCCATGTTGGTGTGCTGCACCCATTAACTCATCATTTACATTAGGTATATCCCCTAATGCTATCCCTCCCCCCTCCCCTGACCCCGAAACAGGCCCCAGTGTGTGATGTTCCCCTTCCTGTGTCCATGTGTTCTCATTGTTCAATTCCCACCTATGAGTGAGAACATGCAGTGTTTGGTTTTTTGTCCTTGCGATAGTTTGCTGAGAATGATGGTTTCCAGCTTCATCCATGTCCCTACAAAGGACATGAACTCATCATTTTTTTATGGCTGCATAGTATTCCATGGTGTATATGTGCCACATTTTCTTAATCCAGTCTATCATTGTTGGACATTTGGCTTGGTTCCAAGTCTTTGCTATTGTGAGTAGTGCCGCAATAAACATACGTGTGCATGTGTCTTTATAGCAGCATGATTTATATTCCTTTGGGTATATACCGAGTAATGGGATGGCTGGGTCAAATGATATTTCTGGTTCTAGATCCCTGAGGAATCGCCACACCGACTTCCACAATGGTTGAACTAGTTTACAGTCC
This sequence comes from Homo sapiens, assembly GCF_000001405.40. Classification (NCBI taxonomy): domain Eukaryota; kingdom Metazoa; phylum Chordata; class Mammalia; order Primates; family Hominidae; genus Homo; species Homo sapiens. Next base: position 122,686,087 of record NC_000005.10, on the reverse strand, counting down.
CACCAACAGTGTAAAAGTGTTTGTATTTCTCCACATCCTCTCCAGCACCTGTTGTTTCCTGACTTTTTAATGATTGCCATTCTGACTGGTATGAGATGATATCTCATTGTGGTTTTGATTTGCATTTCTCTGATGGTCAGTGATGATGAGCATTTTTTCATGTGTCTGTTGGCTACATAAATGTCTTCTTTTGAGAAGTGTCTGTTCATATCCTTTGCCCACTTGTTGATGGGGTTGTTTTTTTCTTGTAAATTTGATTGAGTTCATTGTAGATTCTGGATAGTAGCCCTTTGTCAGATGAGTAGATTATGAAAATTTTCTCCCATTCTGCAGGTTGCCTGTTCACTCTGATGGTAGTTTCTTTTGCTGTGCAGAAGCTCTTGAGTTTAATTAGATCCCATTTGTCAATTCTGGCTTTTGTTGCCTTTGCTTTTGGTATTTTAGACATGAAGTCCTTGCCCATGCCTATGTCCTGAATGGTATTGCCTGGGTTTTCTTCTAGGGTTTTTATGGTTTTAGGTCTAATATTTAAGTCTTTAATCCATCTTGAATTAATTTTTGTATAAGGTGTAAGGAAGGGATCCAGTTTCAGCTTTCTACATATGGCTAGCCAGTTTTCCCAGCACCATTTATTAAATAGGGAATCCTTTCCCCATTGCTTGTTTTTGTCAGGTCTGTCAAAGATCAGATAGTTGTAGATGTGTGGTATTATTTCTGAGGGCTCTGTTCTGTTCCATTGGTCTATATCTCTGTTTTGGTACCAGTACCACGCTGTTTTGGTTACTGTAGCCTTGTAGTATAGTTTGAAGTCAGGTAGCGTGATGCCTCCAGCTTTGTTCTTTTGGCTTAGGATTGACCTGGCAATGTGGGCTCTTTTTTGATTCCATATGAACTTTAAAGTAGTTTTTTCTAATTCTGTGAAGAAAGTCATTGGTAGCTTGATGGGGATGGCATTGAATCTATAAATTACCTGGGGCAGTGTGGCCATTTTCACGACATTGATTCTTCCTATCCATGAGCATAGAATATTCTTCCATTTGTTTGTATCCTCTTTTATTTCATTGAGCAGTGGCTTGTAGTTCTCCTTGAAGAGGTCCTTCACGTCCCTTGTAAGTTGGATTCCTAGGTATTTTATTCTCTTTGAAGCAATTGTGAACGGGACTTCACTCATGATTTGGCTCTCTGTTTGTCTGTTATTGGTGTATAAGAATGCTTGTGATTTTTGCACATTGATTTTGTATCCTGAGACTTTACTGAAGTTGCTTATCAGCTTAAGGAGATTTTGGGCTGAGACGATGGGGTTTTCTATATGTACAATCATGTCATCTGCAAACAGGGACAATTTGGCTTCCCCTTTTCCTAATTGAATACCCTTTATTTCTTTCTCCTGCCTGATTGCCCTGGCCAGAACTTCCAACACTATGTTGAATAGGAGTGGTGAGAGAGGGCATCCCTGTCTTGTGCCAGTTTTGAAAGGGAATGCTTCCAGTTTTTGCCCATTCAGTATGATATTGGCTGTGGGTTTGTCATAAATTGCTCTTATTATTTTGAGATACATCTCATCAATACCTAATTTATTGAGAGTTTTTAGCATGAAGGGAAGCCCTTTTTATAAATGTTTTGAGTGGCCCCAAATGATTTTCTGAATTCTGGCATCATTTGTCTCAAACAAGCAAATTAGAAACCCGGAACTATAATACCTATGAGGTATGTCTTGGATAAGGAAGGGAAATGAACAATGAGGCTAATATTTTCCCACTGAAAGGCACTTAAATTCTTGTTTTAGGAGTTCATGTGAGAACATGCGCTTAATGAATACTTTTGATGTAGCACACTCTCCCATCTCCCCAAATGAAGAGTAAACCAAATTGTGGAGAAAACATAGGTAACTTAACTATTTTCTTAAGATAATTTATGCCTTATTTTTTTCTATCTCCAATTACTACATTTGAAATCGGTGCTTTCATTAGTGTCAATTTTATTTTACTAAAATGTATTTGGGAAGGCTATGTACATGCAAAATTTAGCATTAGACTTTTCTTTCTACACCTAAGTATATCTGGAAGGGTCAATAAACTGGAAAATTTTAGAATGGATTTATCCCTGATTCAAATCCTTAAGGTGTGTGTGTGTGTGTGTGTGTGTGTGTATGTGTCCCAAAGTGCATGTTTTAGTACAGTGAAAACCACCATCTGTGAAGATGTTTCCTACCTATTGATAATTAGTCATGAGTTACCTGCATTTTTGTATGCCAAGTAGGTCTAGGCCTGTTTGAAGTGCTGATAGAATCAGTTCTTATTCACAGAGGCAGTTGGTTTGTTGGAACTATTTAAATGATTCAACTGCTTCCACAGTAAATGCATTACTGTGTGATTATGTTTAATATGCTCCTGACATTCATCAAACAAGATAGCATATCACACTTTGAGAAAGAATACTCTGGACAGTCTTTCAAACTTAATTCTCCAACTGGAATGGAAATAAGAAACTACAATTGATACAAAGAAAGTATTGAATTGGAAAGATTTCGGAAAAATCTTCTTTATGGCTTGCTGGGCAAACCGGTAGTCTAACATTCTGGGAAAAGAATTACGTAGCTCATTAGAGGTTCAGTTCTATACTCATTGTTCACTTGTAACTTGGAATATTAGAATCTATGTTGCATCCAGTATTGAACATGAAACAGGTAAAATAAATAGAACAAAGCATTTGATTAAAAAATATCCCCACTGCCTGTTTTTAATTTAAACTGGTGATCTGGAAGCAATAAATATTTTAACTTTTACTTTATAAAAGTAAGTTCATTTCCTCTCTTTTAAAGGGCTGAACCAAGTGGATAACTTATTTTTTTAATGTTTTAAAGATTTTTCAATGTGCTGTTTCCTTTTTTTCCTCCCTTCAAATTTTAAGTTCCAGGGTACATGTGCAGTACGTGCAGTTTTGTTACATAGGTAAACATGTGCTGTGGTGGTTTGCTACACAGAACCTCCCATCACCTGGGTATTAACTTCAGCATCCATTAGCTATTCTTTCTGATGCTCTCCCTCCCCCACCCCCAACAGGCTCCAGTGTGTGTTGTTTCCCCCAATGTGTCCATGTGCTCTCGTCGTTCAGCTCCCACTTACAGTGAGAACATGCGCTGTTTGGTTTTCTGCTAATGCGTCCATTTGCTGAGGATAATGGCTTCCAGCTCCATCCATGTCCCTGGAAAGGACATGATCTTGTTCCTTTTTATGGCTGCATAGTATTTCATGGTGTACACGTACCCAAGTGGATAATTTAAAAACAGTAAGTTTGTAATTGGCAAGATGATAAGATAAAATAAAAAGAACAAAATCAACACTATAAAAGATGTAAGAGGTCCAATATGCAGGAGTTACTGTAGTGTGTGTAGGGTGAGTGTGACACTAAGCATATTTATAGAACTTAGTTTGAATTGATTTTATTGTTTTACAACAAATATCTACCCTTACTGCTGAAAACTATTTAAAATTATATATATGCATATTTATCATATAAGGTACATATTTAATTCCTTTATTAACATTAATGCATACCATTATACAAAACAAATACCCATGGTGCTTTTTATATAACCTGATTAAAAGTTGGTGTGTGTGTGTGTGTGTGTGTGTGTGTGTGTGTGTGTCTGTGTGTGTGTGGTGTGGTTTTAAAAATTCATTGATTTATTTGTATGCTGTATCTAGAGGTATAAAAAATGTTGGGTAACCTCAGTTATTTTTAATTTTAGTAACTTTTAAAATGTATTTTTTGTTCTTTTTTTCTTAGTAACATTATTGGCATTTACAGGATTTTTAGTTTTTCCCTTTTTTCTCCTTAGTATTTTTTTAATTTATAAACATTCATATGCTATACTATTCTAATGTTGGCTATAATTTAACTTGTCATTCACTTCTTTGACTCTAGTTTCCTAATTGAATTTAGCAGAGGCTATAAAAGATGAGATTTACTCTGCTTAGCACTCTTCAGAAAAGTAGATATTGTAACTTCCTTTAATAATTTATATCTTTGTTTAACAATTCTTACTCTCAGTAAATTCTTTGTATTTCTTAACTAAATCTCAAATGGCAATCAACCCTGTTCATATATTAATTGTCTTCTCTAATTGTTTTGGTTTGTTTTCTTTTGTGGGTTCTGACCAAGGTAATCCTATAATGAAATGTGGAAATAAATAGTCCAAATGCACACAGAAGAATCACCCTCCAGTTCTTCAGTGTTCTTTTTCTCCTTGGCATATTACAAACATGGAGTTTAAGAGGGTGAGATCTGAGGTCAAGGAGACTATATTTCCATTCCTAGCTTAGTCTCTTACCAGGTGGTGATGTGATTTTGTTTAGTCTCAGTTTTCCCCTCTCAGAAATGGTGGGAATAATGATGACACTCTAATTTGGATGCGGTAAGGATTATATGACATAATGTTTAACATACTACTTGGCACTATATAAGTGCTCAGAATAAATTATACACCAATTTTAGTCCAGATATTGAAACACCTACAATACATAATATTAAACATTTATTTTAGTTTGATGAAATATCTGAGCAGAAAAATAAGAAGTTCTTATTTAACATGTCTATGTGTGAATAAATTGAATGTGGGGAATTTGAACGTGTTAGCTCATTTTCAAATAAAGCCTTTGTAAATAACTAGGACTTACACAGTAAAACAATACCCCAAGTGAAAAATTACACTCCATATATAAACTATATATTGCACAAGTTACCCAGAAGTGATGTATAAAGATATTTAATATCCTGGAGCTTATTCAACTACAACTGTGATGCTATACACAAGTTGAGTTCTTAGTCCTGGGTAATAGTACTTTCATTTATATAGCATTTTACAAGGCCCTTTTACATACCTTAGCACATTTTATCTTCACAAAAATCTTGCAAGACAGGCAGAACATGTGTTATTACCCTTACTTTGCAAGAGGAGAAAACTGAATTTGGAGAAGGAAAGTAACTTGCTTAAAAGCCACAGAGTTTCTGACAGGGTAAGAATTCCTTTTCTGCCACTAGTTCTGGGATTTCCCCCCTCATGGTGCCTCTCTGCCAGCCTCAGTACTGACAAGGTTCAGAGGTGAGTGTAAGAGATCAGAGAAGGGAAGGTGTTTGTACTTATTTTTGCCATCTACCAGGCCCTGTATTTGTAAAAGGTCGTTGGCCAAACAACTCTGGCACTAGTTTCCTGTTCCTCGGGACTCTACCTGTATACTTAAATGTCTCAAGATGGCACCATGAGACTGACACATGAGTGCTCAGAGGTGAGAAAGAGGGGGCTAGATAGAGTTTCCAACATGAGGAAGGAAGAGGACAAGGTTTGGAGAAGGGGAGATGACAGTAGGGAGAACATGTTTATAGTGCTCTTTCTAGCCATGAAAGAACCTCCATGCCTCCCAATTCTGAGGCATCTGCTATTTGCTAAGGCGGATAGCCAGTAACAATGATCTACTACTTCTTGGAGAGCTGATTTTTTCTAGGATCAGTGGGAGTGAACAATTTTTTTTTTTTTTTTTTTTTTTAAAGAAGAGAGATTTACTTCTTACAGTTCTGAAGGCCGGGAAGTCTTCCAGCCTCAGATGGAAGACGGAGGGGCCACAACTGGCCAGGGCCTTAATATTTCATCCTCCCATGGCAGAAGGAAGGGAGAAGAGGAGGGAAGAGAGAGAGAGAGAGAAAGAAAGAAAGAGAGAGAGAGAGAGGGACGGGTGGGGATGGGGATAAAGGTTTGGAGAAGAAGAGGGCTGAACTCATCCTTTTATCGGGAACCCACTTCTTAGATAACTAACCCACTCCCACAATAATGGCATTAATCCATTCATGAGGGCTCTGCCTAGTACCTCTTAAAGGTCCCACCTCTCAGTGCTGTTGCTCTGGGGATTAAGTTTCCAACGCATGAGCTGTGGGGGACACATTCATACCACAGCAAGCTCTATTCACAACATCTATTTCTTGTGGAGTCGGATTTGGTATTCTGTGTCTTCCTAGGAATTTGTCCATTTCATTTATCTAACTTGTTTGCATTCAATTATTCATATTATTTCTTTCTAATAATTTTTATTTCTATAAGATTGGTAATAAAATCTTGACTTTTGTTTCTGATTCTAGTAATTTGAGTCTTTTGGGGGTGGTGGGCAATCTAGCTAAATGTTTGCCATTTTGTTGATCTTTTCAAAGAACCAGGTTTGATTTCATAATTTTTTTCTTTATTGCTTTTCTATTCTCTATTTCATTTATTTCTGCTCTAGGCTTTCCTTCTTTCTGCTTTCTTTGGACTGTTATTATCAATTATTGAGTGTGTTGTATGAATATACCACATTATGACTATGTATTGGTGAAGTTTTCTTAAGAACTTCAATTTTTGTTAAAATTTGCCTCATATATTTTGGGTATATGTTGTTAAGTATATACAGGTTTGGAGTTATCATATATTTCAGGTTAATTGTTCCTTTTCTTGTTGCCTAATAAACTTTATTTCTAAAAAACTGTTTTGGCCAGGCAAGGTGGCTCACACCTGCAATCTCAGCCCTTTGGGAGGCTGAGGTGGGAGGATCACTTGAGCTCAGGAGTTTGAGGCCAGCCTGAGCAACATGGCAAAACCCCGTCTCTACTAAAAATACAAAAACTAGCCGGGCATGGTGGCTCACACCTGTAGTCCCAGCCACCTGGGAGGCTAAGGCAGGAGAATTGTTTGAACCCTGGAGGCGAAGGTTGCAGTGAGCCAAGATTGCACTACTGCACTCCAGCCTGGGCGACAGAGCAAGGCTCTATCTCAATAAAAAAGTTTTGCCTTAAAGTTTAATTTGACAAATATTAATAAAACTATGCCAGCTTCCTTCCTGTATAAAACTTATTGATCTGAGACCTTTTTAAAAAACATATATAAGTATTTGAAGCTACAAATTTCCTTCTAAGCATTGATTTAGCTTCATCCCATGTTTTGGTTTGTTGTGCTTCTGTTTTTATTTTTTTTCAGTTAGAAGTGTTTTCCAATTTTACTTATGATTTCTTCTATTTATTTATTTATTTATTTATTTATTTATTTATTTATTGAGATGGTATCACTGTGTTGCTTAAACTGGAGTGCAGTGGCACAGTTACTGCTCACTGCAGCCTCGACCTCTGTGGCTCAGGGGATAGATTCTCTCACCTCAGCTTCTTGAGTAGCTGGGAGCGTGGGCTCTGGCTGCCATGCCCAGCTAATTTTCCATTTTCTGCAGAGTCAGGGTTTTGCCATGTTGCTCAGACTGTGATTTCCCCTTTAACCATTGGTTATTTAGGAATGTGTTGTTTAATATCCACATATGTGTGAATTTCCCAAATTTTCTTCCACTATTGATTTCTAATTTCATTCCATCGTGTTTGGAGAACACACTGCATAATTTCAATCCTTGTGATTCTCCTGCCTCAGCCTCCTGAGTAGCTGGGACCACAGGCATGTGCCACCACTCCCAGCTAATTTATTTGGTATTTTTAGTAGAGACGGGGTTTCACCATTCTGGCCAGGATGGTCTTGGTCTCCTGACCCCATGATCCACCTGCCTTGGACTCCCAAAGTGCCAGGACCACAGGTGTGAGCCACTGCACCCAGCATATTCAAAACATTTTCTATGTCTTTTTTTAAGTTTTGAAGTTTTCTCCACAGAGGTATTAATTTTCTTTGTGAATTCCTAGCTACTTTTCTATTTTTTTATTGAGAGGTACTTACCTTATGTTTATTACTGGTGTTCAGAAATAATATTAATTTTGTAGATTGATCATGTGGCTGGAAAATGTGCTAAAATGTCATTCTAAAAGTTTGGCTATTTATTTTGTTAATTTTGTGAGTTTCTCATCTCACCTTCAAAAATCTGTTTTTATTTCTTCCTGTGCTAGTTTTTACACCTCTTATTATGTCTGGACCATTGTACTATATATATATTTTTTTCATTGTACTATATTCAAACTAGTGGTGATAGTAATTTCCCCTCAAATTTGGACTGAAAGTCCCCTTTAAAAAAATCCCAAATTCAGCTGGGGCAACATGGCGAAACCCCTTCTCCACTAAAAATACAAAAATTAGCCAGGCATGGTGGCGCTCATCTGTAGTCCCAGCCACTTAGAAGGCTGAGGTGGGAGGATTGTTAGAGACCAGGAGGCAGAGGCTGCAGTGAGCCAAGATGGTGCCACTGCACACTCCAGCCTGGAGGCAGAGTGCTGTCTCAAAAAAAAAAAAAAAAAAAAAAAAAAAAAACCCTAAAAATTGGAAACAAAATGTAAGTTTATAACTTTCTCTCATTAAAAGTGGATGATAGTGTATACTCACTTCGGCAACACATATACTAAAATCGGAATGATACAGACAGAAAAGTGGATGATGGCTTCTCTGGTTTCCTTGAAAAAAAAATTCTTTTAAACTGGATAACCCAGCTGGGTGCGATGGTTCACTCCTGTATTCCTAGCACTTTGGGAGGCTGAGGCAGGTGGATGATGTTAAGTCCAGGAGTTCGAGACCAGCCAGGGCAACATGGCAAAATTTTGCCTTTACAAAAAATACAAAAATTGGCCGGGCTGGGTGGCTCATGCCTGCAATCCCACACCCTGGGAGGTCAAGGCAGGTGGATCACTGGAGGTCAGGAGTTCGAGACCAGCCTGGGCAACACGGTGAAACCCTGTCTCCACCAAAAACACAAAAATTAGCCGGGCATGGTGTCATGCACCTGTAATCCCAGCCGCTCAGGGGGCTGAGGCAGGAGAATCGCCTGAACCTTGGGAGGTGGAGGTTGCAGTGAGCCGAGATCCCGCCACTGCACTCCAGCCTGGGTGACAGTGTGAAACTCTGTCTCAAAAAACAAACAAACAAAAAAACAAAAAATTAGTCGAGTGTGGTGGCGGGCACCTGTAGTCCCAGCTACTCAGGAGGCTGAGGTGGGAGAATCACCTGAGCCCAGGAGGTCAAGGCTCTGGTGAGCCATGATTGTTCCACTGCATTCCAGCCTGGGTGACAGAGAGAGACCTAGTTTTTTAAAAATAAAGTGGATAACTCCCAAAACCACTGTTCTACTTTTAGAAAATCAGGATAATTTTGGGAAGGGAATTTGGGAGTCTCATTGGCCATGTAAGGGACTAGGAAGGCTTCTCAGGAAGAATTGTGGGGCTGATTGCATAGTGCCCAGCTCTACTTGGAAAAATCTTTTTGCAACATTTCCATGGAAATCAGAGACACAGCCCCAGATGTTTGCGTTAAAATGAGACAAAGGAGAAAAAAGTCATGTACAAGAGGCAAGAAGACCTCTTTTCTAAATGGTCCATATTTATTAGTACTCTGGTCAGAGAAATCCAAAGTCTACCATATTGGAGGTCTTCTGGAATTCCAGGCTGTCTGTTAGACTGTAGGCTTCAAAGCTTTGGCTTGTCATACTGGGTCAGGTTTGTGTGGGAGATAGGCCTACAGCTGGACCAGCAAAGGTGCTCAGAGAGGAACCCTGTCCTCCTACCTGGTACCTTGTGGGTGAGAGATACTGATACAGACAGTGGAAAGAAGAGCTGGATATCTCATTCTCATCAGGAAGATTGTACAGTTCTATGATTTGGGATATGTCACAGGCATCAGAGTACAAAGCAGGAACTGAGGCCACCAGCCTCTCCCATTGAGTATCTTGCATTTGGAAGTCACCTGTGGGACTCTCAGTGAAGGTGGAGTTCCAGGCCCAATTGGAAGGGTCTAAGGGCTGAGGAGAAAGGGAGCTGTAGAAATCTGAAACCACAGGAGAAAAAGCATAAGGACTTGGGGATGTTCTAGGGGAGGTGGGCACATTCTTCTTGGATGAAAGGATCTGGTTTGCTTGCTTTGCTGATTGCTGCTGCTGCTGCTGCTGCTGCTGCTGCTTCAATCTGAATTGCCAGTTCCTGAACCAAGCCTTTACCTGTTGACTCCAGTAGGTTGCGTTTCAAAGCTAGTTTCTCCTGAAGATTTCTATCTGGGAACATAGTCTGGCTAAACAGAGCTTCTAGCTCTTCATACTGTTGGTGGGTGAATGAAGTACGTTCTTGATGCCTTCTCCATATTGCTGTAGTCCCAGCTACTCGGGAGGCTGAGGTGGGAAGATCACTTGAACCTGGGAGGTTGAGGCTGCAGTGAGTGGAGACCATGCCACTGCACTCCAGCTTGGATGACAGACTGAAACTGGGACTAGCTGAATCCTGTGGTGGTATCACCTTCATGTTGGAATCATTCCTGTTGATGAAAGGGTCTGGCTGGAAATTCTCTGGGGCCATTCTGTTCATCATGGTTTTTGAAATCTGTCATGAATCCCCTTAGACTAACCATTTTCAGTCCTGCATGGTGTGTCTCTCTCTGGAAATGCAGTTTCCTTAGTGTGTCCAAAAATTTTTAAATAACATCCGTATCCAACTCAACAATAAAAGAACAAATAACCCAATTAAACAATGGGCAAATGTGTGGATAGACATTTCTTCTAAGAAGGTAGATAAATGGCCAATAAGCACATGAAAAAGATGCTCAATAAATATCATTAGTCACTAGGGAAATGCAAATCAAACCCACAACCAGATACCACTTCACACTCACCAGGATAGCTAAAATAAAAAAGACAGACAATAACAAGTGTTGGTGAGGGTGTGGAAAAATTGGGATACTCGTGCTTTGCTTGTGGGAATGTAAAATGATGCAACGGCTTTGGGAAACAGTTTGGCACTTCCCCCTAAAGTTAAACAGAGTTACCATTCGATCCTGCAATTCCACTTCTGGATATATACCCAAGAGAATTGGAAACATATGTTCACACAAAAACTTGTATACTAATAATGTATACATTATATCTATACAATGGAATATCATTCAGCCATAAAAAGGAAAGAAGTATGAATACATGATACAACAGGAATGAACCTTGAAAACACTATGCTCAGTAGACACAAAAGGCCATATATTACATGATTCCACTTATATGACATGTCTGAAATAGACAAATCCATAGAGACAGAAAGTAGGTTAGTGGTTGCCAGGGGCTGGAGGGAAAGGGGAAGGGAAGTGTCTAATGGATATGAGGCTTATTTTTGAGCTGATAAAAATGTTCTGGAATTAGATAGTGATGGTTGTACAACTTTGTGAATGTACTGAATGCACCAAACTGCACATTTTAAAAGAGTGAATTTTATGGTATCTGGATCAGTGTATACCTCAGTAAAAAATCCTTATCCAAGATGATGATAACACCTAACATTTATTAAAGGATAGTGTAAGAAATTGTGCTATAAGTTTGATGAATTATTTTATTTAATTCTCTTAACAGTCACAGGGGTATGTGACTCTTATTATTTCTACCTTACAGAGGAGGAAACTGAGGCTTACACAGAGTTACTAATTTGTCCAAGTCACATGGGGTTTAATGCCAGACTTCAGTTTTGGTTTGATACCAGACTCTGGTTTTTACCACTATGTGCTAGAGCCTCTGTAATAAGCATGACTAGACTTTGAATAATTTCCTGTTCTCTCTGTATTTAGGTCACTGGGTTCACCTTTGGTGTTTTTGGACCTTTTGATATTTTATTCCTTCAGGATTCTATAATTGGATGCTCTAGTGACCAGGAATAGGAATAGATCTGTCTGGCGGTCCACCCCTCATCTCTCACTTCAATAAAGGACTTTGTTGAAGGCCACCTCCATCCCCTGTTTGCTCAAACATAATTCACTTGGAGCAGCTCTTTGGATACTTCAATCTAAATGAAAACCCTCCTTTTAGAGGTTCTCGCTGAACTGTATCCTTCTTTTTTATAGCACCTATTACAGTCAAGTAAAAATTTGATTAATAGTGGTCTTCCTCAATAGCCTACAAACTTCATGAATCAGGGACCAATATAGTTTGAATATTTGTTGCCTCCAAATCTCATGTTGAAATTTTGAGCCCCAATGTTGAAGGTGAGCCCTAGTGGGAGGTGTTTGGGTCATGGAGGCTGATCTTTCATGAAAAGCCTTGTGCTGTCCTCATGGTAATGAGTGTGTTCTCAGTCTGTTAGTTACCAGGAGATTTGACTGTTAAAAAAGAGCCTGACACCTTCTCTCCTCCCTCTTTCTCCCTCTCTCATCATACGACACATGGGCTCCCCTTTGTCTTCCACCATGAGTAGAAGCAGTCTGAGGTCCTTACAGGAAGCAGATGCTGGCATCATGCTTCTTCAATAAATTAGCCTCAGGTGTTCCTTTATCACAATGCAAATAAACTGAGGCAGGAACATGTCTGCTTTGCTCACTATTGTACACTCAGAAAGTAGCCCTGAGCACACAGTAAGTACTCAATAAGTATCAACTGAATGACTAAACACCAGCACAGTGTGAAGATACCTGCAATTTTCACACTTCTCTACTGTCCTCTACTATACAGGGTTCCTTTTTAGAAATGTCTATGTTATTCCTCTGGCTTCTGGATCCAGTGCTTAAGCTCAGCATGGGAGTGCTTCAAGGCCACTGCTGGCTTGCACTGTCGGAAAGTGACGCACTAGTGGAAGGCTTTGGCTTCGGTTCTAACCTCAGAGACTTCTCTAAATGTTTCCCATGTGTTGTGCTCCTCCACTCTGACTGGGATTTTGGCTATCACCTAATTCCTTGCCTCCACTAGCCCTTATGACTGTTCATAATAACATTTCCCATGAGCTCCCCCATGATGCTAAAAAATTTTACACCTGGCAAATCTATCACCACCACCTAAGTGGTTAAGCATGTACACGGCAATATTCCCAGAATAGAAGCAAAATGAACAATCCCGAACTGTTAATTTCCCTAGGTTATACAGCAAATAAGTGATAGAAGCAGAACGAGAAACTTACTAGATGCTGAACTTTTTAAGGGATCTGTTTTGTATATTTGTTTTCCTTACTATGCCCGGCACAGTCCCTGGCACTATTAGGAACTCATTCAATATTTCTTAAATAGAACCCAAAATTCTTTCTGGAGGGGACTCACACTCTGTTCTGCTTCAACAGATTCTCAACCCCCTCAGTATATCTCCCCTCAACTACTCTTTCTAAGTTTTTATAAGTTTTTAGATGTTATTGGAGCACCCAAATTCCAAAGATACCTAACCAAACCCACCAAAAGAGCCCCACTTTCTCATTTTTTATGTCACTATTGTTGGTACCACCATTGTTTTATCCACCCAAGTTTGAAATCCAGTTTTTAAAATTCCTCAATCTCTCTTATTCCACAACGAGTGGTCAAGTCCTATACATTCTCCTTGTATAAAACCTTTGTGGTTTTTTTTCATTTTCCACTGCCACTAGCCCAATTTAGACTCTCATTATCTTTCAACTAGAGTTACTGTGATAACAGCTTCTGACTTGCCCCACCTCTGAGCTCTCTCAACTGTGCTAGAGAATGGATATTGTTTCTGAAATAATTCTTCTCACTCCGATAGGCTTTTCTCAAAAACTTTCAACAACTCCCTATACTATTTTGTCCAAATTCAAATCCTATGGAATCCAAAGTCCTTCAAAAGTGATTACAACTTACTTTTCTGTCTTGATCTCTGCCTTCTAGGAGCACAATTCTCTGGGCAAACCAAAAGGTCCTCCTCAGCATTCCCTGGGCATTCCCTAATTCCCTGCTTCATGCTACCTATGACTTATTCCTTATGCTAAAATGTCTATATCATGGCCTGAACATCTCAAATGAAAGCTCTTCCCAGAATTTTTTCTTGATTCCTGACCCCAAATGAGATCTTGTAATCTTTTGACTTTGGAATGAGGAGTCAAATTTTTGTCACTCTTCTGTGGCATATCTACTGTGTGTTATAATTTGTGGTGTGGATGGCATCTCCCCTAGGAGACAATCAAGTCAGATCCATGACTTATACAATTTTGTAAGTACCGTGTACCACCAAGCTAGTGCCTTTTAAATAGTAGGCAATTGTGGAATTTAAATAACTTGCTTTTCTTCATCATCCATTTCTTCTATTTACATACTAAAAATCATTTCTTTATATTCAGCATCTTACAAAGCTGATAAAGTCATGTATCTAAAGCTCATTGCTCAGTTCCTTCATATACTCCACGGATATAAAACTGCTTAATAAACAGACAACATACAGAATGGGAGAAAACTTTTGAATCTGTGCATCTGACAAACGTCTAATATCCAACATCTATAAAGAACTTAAACAAATTTACAAGAAAAAAACAAAAAACTCCATTAAAAAGTAGGCAAAGGACATGAACAGACACTTTTCTAAAGAAGACATACATGTGGCCAGCAAGTATATGAAAAAAAGCCCCACATCACTGATCTTTAGAGAAATGCAAATCAAAACCACAATGAAATACCATCTAACATCAGTCAGAATGACTATTATTAAAAAGTAAAAAAATAGCCAGGCACGGTGGCTCATGCCTGTAATCCCAGCACTTTGGGAGGCCGAGGCGGGTGGATCACGAGGTCAGCAGATGGCGACCATCCTGGCTAACATGGTGAAACCCCGTCTCTACTAAAAATACAAAAAACTAGCCGGGCGAGGTGGCAGGCGCCTGTAGTCTCAGCTACTCGGGAAGCTGAGGCAGGAGAATGGCGTGAACCCAGGAGGCGGAGCTGGCAGTGAGCCGAGATCGCGCCACTGCACTCTAGCCTGGGCGACAGAGCGAGATTTTGTCTCAAAACAAACAAAAAAACAAACAAACAAAAAAACAAAAAAATAACGGATGCTGGTGAGGTTGTGGAGTAAAAAGAAACACTTGCACACTGTTGGTGGGAGTTTAAATTCATTCAGCCATTGTGGAAGACAGTGTGGCAATTTCTCAGAGACCTAAACACAGAAATACCATATGGCCCAGCAATCCCATTACTGGGTATAAACCTGAAGCAATAGAAATCATTCTATTATAAAGACACATGCATGCCTACGTTCGTTGCAGCACTATTCACAATAGAAAAGACATGGAATCAACCTAAATTCCCATCAATGATAGACTGGATAAAGAAAATGTGGTACATATACACCATAGAATACTATGTAGCCATAAAAAAGAATGAGATCATGTCCTTTGCAGGGACATGGATGGAGCTGGAGACCATTATCCTTAGCAAACTAACACTGGAACAGAAAACCAAACAGCACATGTTCTCACTTACAACTGGGAGCTAAAAGGTGAGAACACATGGACACATAGACAGGAACAACACACACTCTGGCCTTTCAGAGGGTGGAAGGTGAGAGGAGGGAGAAGATCAGGAAAAATAACTAATGAG
The DNA here is from genome assembly GCF_000001405.40 of Homo sapiens. NCBI lineage: Eukaryota > Metazoa > Chordata > Mammalia > Primates > Hominidae > Homo > Homo sapiens. Next base: position 122,670,828 of record NC_000005.10, on the reverse strand, counting down.
TACTAGGGTTAATACCTGGATGATGAAATAATCTGTACAACAAACCCCCATGACACAAATATACCTATGTAACAAATCTGCACATGTACCTCTGAACTTAAAATAAAAGTTAAGAAGGCCAGGCGCGGTGGCTCATGCCTGTAATCCCAGCACTTTGGGAGGCCGAGGCAGGTGGATCACGGGGTCAGGAGATTGAGATCATCCTGGCTAACATGGTGAAACTCTGTCTCTACTAAAAATACAAAAAATTAACCAGGCATGGTTGCAGGCGCCTGTAGTCCCAGCTACTCAGGAGGCTGAGGCAAGAGAATGGCGTGAACCCAGGAGGCGGAGCTTGCAGTGAGCCCAGATCGTGCCACTGCAGTCCAGCCTGGGTGACAGAGCAAGACTCCATCTCAAAAAAAAAAAAAAAAAAAAATTAAATTAAAAAAAAGTTAAAAAACTGTTTACTTTTATGCAGCCAAGAAACATGAAAAAAAGCACATTGTCACTGGTCATTAGAGAAATGCAAATCAAAACCACAATGAGATACCATCTCACTCCAGTTAGAATGGCGATCATTAAAAAGTCTGGAAACAACAGATGCTGGCGAGGATGCAGAGAAATAGGAACGCTTTTCACTGTTGGTGGGAGTGTAAATTAGTTCAACCATTGTGGAAGACAGTGTGGCAATTCCTCGAGGATCTAGAACCAGAAATACCATTTGACCCAGCCATCCCATTACTGGGTATATACCCAAAGGATTATAAATCATTCTATTATAAAGACACATGCACACATATGTTTACTGCAGCACTATTTACAATAGCAAAGACATTTGGAACCAACCCAAATGTCCATCAATGATAGACTGCATAAAGAAAGTGTGGCACATATATACCATGGAATACTATGCAGCCATAAAAAAGAATGAGTTCATGTCCTTTGTAAGGACATGGATGAAGCTGGAAACCATCATCCTCAGCAAACTAACACAGGAACAGAAAAGCAAACACTGCATGTTCTCACTCATAAGTGGAAGCTGAACAATGAGAACACATGGACACAGGGAGGGGAATATCAGACACCAGGGCCTGTCCGGAGGTAGGAGGCAGGGGAGGAGAGCATTAACACAAATACCTAATGCATGCAGAACTTAAAACCTAGATGATGGGTTGATAGGTGCAGCAAACCACTGTGGCACATGTATACCTATGTAATGAACCTGCAGGTTCTGCACATGTATCCCAGAACAAACATGCTATGGAAAAAACAAACAAACAAACATGCTATGGAAACAAACAAACAAACAAACGTGCTATGGAAAAAAAAATAAAAACAAAAATATCAACTGTTGAAGGCATAGCATAGAATGACTAAAAACTTTAGATGGTTGGCCTGGCGCCGTGGCTCATGCCTGTAATCCCAGCATTTTGGGAGGCTGAGGAGGGCAGATCACCTGAGGTCAGGAGTTCGAGACCAGCCTGCCCAACATGGCAAAACCCCATCTCTACTAAAAATACAAAAAATTAGCCAGGCATGGTAGCGGACGCCTGTAATCCCAGCTACTTGGGAGGCTGAGGCAGGAGGATCACTTGAACCTGGGAGGTGGCAGTTGCAGTGAGCCGAGATCACCTCATTGCACTCCAGCCTGGGCGACAAGAGTAAAACTCCATCTCAAAAACAAAAACAAAAACAAAAAAACAAACTTTAGATAGTTATTCCTAGTTTCAATTAATTTTGAAGAGAAAAATAATGAGAGGAAAACTTAAAATATAACACAGGCACAATGGAGGAGCTAAAAGACTAGTCCTAGCCTACCCCATGGAATGCAAATTTCTGGCTCCTAAAATACAGTTATCTTTTTGGCTGGTTTTGAGTGGCAGTGACTGGCATTAGTGGGATTCTTCTCTCTTGGGGATGAAAAATGAAGTTTGAAAGAATGTTCATTACCATCAGGGTATGTGTTGACCAAACTAATTTTTCATCTGCCAAAATGTGTATACTGGCTTCTGTCTCATCTAGAGACCTCTGGAACTGAAAGTAATTGATCAAATTAGCCCAGCTATAATCCCCTACTAGTTCTGTTATGATTGTAGCTTGTTAACCTTAGTATACTGTTTATTTAAACCATGTGGATGACATCATGAAAACCACCCCCATTTCATCGAAGCAGGATGCAGACTATAAAAAACAATTTGGTTTCTAACCACTCTGAGATAGAGTCTTTTTTCTTTTCTTTCCTATATTAAAAGATAAAACGTAAAACCTCAGTTCTCAGCCATTTGATTTTCACTCCAGCTGGCCCTCCCCCAGTGAAATGGAAGCATTTTCATGCCATTCAGAATCAAGCAAACTAAAAATATCAAACAAGTTTGCTTCAGTCCTGGAAAAGGAGAATTGATGACAGAAACTGTTCTTTTGATTTTCCTCCTATCCTTCATTTGCCAAGTTCACTTTTCCATGCTGTATAATGGTTTCCCGCACCACAGCCTGGCAGATAATGCCCAGCAAGGTCCTTATGCTGGAAGTAGCTACAAGACTACCATGCTGTTTCCCTTAGGCTGTGATTATTCTCCTCAGTGTTCTTCTTGTATTCCTGTACAAGCGCTGATACGTTTTGATAAGAAAAACTGGTGCATATGTGTACCATTCTCACCTTTTGAGGCATGCTAAGCTCCTTGGCTCCTATGGTGTTTCTGCTGTCACAGTTCTAACATCATTCCACAGACACAGCTTTCTTCTGAGTAAAATTATTAGCATCTATGAAGGCTAATTTAAAAATGTTAGTAAGAGACAAATTGGCAGTTCACAAGTAAGCCATTGCTTTACTGGGGGCATAAATATGAGCCAACACTCCAAAAGAAGAAATGAAATTCAAAAAAGTAATGGAATAAACGACCGATTTACTCTGTAGGCACAGGCAATCTTTAATGCTTTTTCAGCCTCCATTTCCTTAACATCTTGGATAATAAACCTACCCTTCAGATTGTGAGAATTCATTTGACCAACTGACTTTCCATGTACTAGTAATCTTTGTTTTAGGTACTACAAGCAGTTGAAAAATGTAGAAAGTCATGATCATTGTCCATAAGAAATTGATAATCTAGTTCAGCACTTCCAAAACTGTATTCTTTGGAACATTTGTTCTAAGACATACTCTGTGAAAAAAGAATTCCATGTAGAGAGAAGTTTGACTTCCTTCTTGGAAAGACACAACATATTAAAGTCCCTGAAAAATTCCGAAGTAAAGAAATGAGTTAAATTTGCTTAATCCAGAGTTTACCAAATTTATTTGATCATGAATCCCTTTTTAAATGTAATACCTATAAACATCTCATGGAAAACATTTTGGGGAATGCTGGAATGCTGACTCAGTAGCTTGTTTACAGGGATTTCACACTTATTTCCTTTGTATCACCAGAGACATAACCACAGTAACTTCTTAGAAATATTTGTCTAAATGAATATACTGTCTAACCCAGGTAGTTAGAGCAGTACCTCCCAAATTCCAGTCCATAGATGGATATGTGCTGTCTTGCATTAATATTTCTTGAGGAAATATATATATATTATACATATGTAATATATATCATAAGTATATATATTATATGTGTTAAACTGTTATAAATACATCCTAGGTTTTGGTCCTGGAGTTTTCAACTCTATAGGTTTGGGGTTGGACCTGAGAATCTGCATTGAAAATTTCCCAGGGGATTATTAGTCATGGCTAGTTTAGGAATCATTGGTTGGTATATATATATAAAAATAAGACCAGAGCTTAACATTTGGTCTCCCTTAACTAAAGTTTTCTATTCCATGGTCACAAACTAAATTCTAGCCTTGAAAACACATGTCCTTTGTAATCCATCACAGATGTGAATGAGCCTGGTCGAGTCCAAAGCACTGGGCCTGAAGGTTGGTCAATAAAGTTATCTTCACGTATAGAAAAAAGAGTAGTATACTTTTGTTTTTCAGATTTAGCACAAACCTGTGATTTTGAAGAATGTGGAAGAGTTTTGAAATATTTCTGAAACTGAGAGGGTTTTTTGGACTGGTCTTTAAGATTGTTGCAATGATATTCCTGACCATATGAATCCTCCCCATACTATAAGAACGTGGCCTTAAAATTTGGAAGGTTGGTCTGGAAGTTTGATATGACCATGAACTCAAACCTTGGGTGATAAGGCAGAGAAGATGATTTTTTTTCTACATCAGCATTGTAGATACTATACATCAGCAATAAAAATTCCTGTAAGATCATAAACTTTATAGTCTCCCATGACAAAAAAAAAAGTTCTATATAGAAATATATACTGAAATGCTCTCTGTATTTTATACCCCAAATATCTGAGATCAGTCTTTTTGGTCCTCTTCTTACAAAATTCAGTTTATAAATAGCTCTGTTTCATGGTTATTTTTCATGTGTTGCTGACAACAGGGTTAATTGAGGGACAGTTTCTCCCCTGAAACAATCTGAAGTAAGATCTTTTAGGTGATGAAATCAGCCAAAGCAAGTGGTACTAACTTAGGAGATTTTGAAGAGCCTTTGATGTTATTTTCTGAGGATAAACAATCAGGAGAGCTATAAGGATTGCACATTAGTTTTTTGTTTTAAAAGAACTCTCTTTTTAAAAAATCACTGTGTGCCTCCTTCTTCCCCTCTGCCTCTTCCCCACTGTCCTTCTTCCTCTTGACACTAATTTGTGAAGCTGGTAAAAAACTTTAAAGATTTAGTAGCAGGCTATACTTTCACTTTTTTTGCTTAATAACCCAGTTTGATCTTCATGATGAGGTTATATTATGGAATGGAGCCTTTACAATGGTTTCCTCTGATTGGTTACAGAATTTTATACATCTCTGCAATTTAATGCTATGTAGTGATTAAAATGATTACACAATTCTATATTAATTTACATGAAAAAATTTTAAAAAAGGTAAAAAAAGATGCTCAAGGTAATTTGTTAAGTGAAAAAGCAGGATGCCAAACAATATGATTCCATATGTGTATATTCCATATATTTAATGTATAAATTCAAAATAGAAATAATAGCTATAGTTAACATGAGACCATGTGCCAGGCACTGTTCCAAGCACTTGTATATATATATTAACCTATTTAATTCTCATAACCACCCATTAAAAGTTCTTCTCTACTAATTCCCTCCTCCCTTCTCTTCAGAAACTGAATCACAAAGCCACTTGCTTAGGGGCACAGAACTAGTAACTGGCAAATCTGGGATTTGAACCCTGGGCACTATGGTTTCACCAGCCTGCCCACTTAACCTTTTGGCTATAAGACATGTACAAAACACTCATCCTATTTGAGAATGGTATAGTATGGGTTGTTTTCATTTCTTTATACCTTTATGGTTTGTTACAATGTCTTTTTCAGCCTGTATGACTTTCAAATTAGAAAAACAAAATTTTGGATGAAAATGAAGAACTCTTCCCTCACTAAAGAGCACAGTAATAAATGCAACAGAGCCTCAAATGACATCATGCTATTTAGTGATCAGTCTAGTAATTTAAAAACAAAACTCTTCAAGGATTACATATTTTCTTAACATTACTGATAAGGATATAAAAACTCTGCAATGTAGTGAGTTCTGTAGTGAAAGATGAGTCAGTGGCAAAAAATTGGCAATATAATCCAGTATATTAATGGCTTGCAGATCCTATAATCCAGTATATCCAGTTTTAAAAATGAATGGTGCATAATGGATAATACTAGTTAAACTATACAGAATGGATAGTTAAACTATACAGAATAGATAATATAATTTTTGTATGGTGGTATCTTGGTATCTGTGGGAGATTGGTTCCAGGACCCTGCTGGATACCAAAATCCAGGGATGTGCAAATCCCTCATATAAAATGGTATACTACTTGCATACAACCTACATACATCCTCCCAAATACTTTAAATCATATCCAGATTACTTGTAATACCTAATGGAATGCAAATATTATGTAAATAGTTGCTATACTGTATTATTTAGGGAATAATGACAAGAAAACAAGTCTGTGTATGTTCAGTACAGATGCAACCACCAACTTTTTCCTGTCTGGATATTTTTGATCTGCAGTTGGTTTGATCCATGGATGTGGAACCCACTGATATGGAGAGCCAACTGCATTTATTGTGTTAAAAGATACTAGGGTGCAAGTCTACTAGGTGAACATGCCCATGTGCTGCTCACAACCTGGATACCTAAAACCACTGCCCTCCACTTGGTCTGCTTGGTGGGTTCCCAGTGCTCTAGCTGGTATCTTTTCAGTGGATGAGGAGGAAAGGTCTTAAAGGGTAGTATTCTGATCGGTAATCTTTACGTCCAACTCTTCTAAGAAGTTTTTATAAAACACCCAAAAAAATTCATATTGTCATGCTTCATGATTGCTAAGTAATGTAGAAAAACAACAGTCCCATCAGTGTGATGGCTTTGCTATTTTATAAATTATGTCATTTGTGAATCAGAAAAATCCTCCTCTTCTGTATATTATAATGTAGCTTTGTTTTGTGTTAATCAATTAGATGTAGAAGAAACCTCAGGGAAGTATAATTTATTTTATTATTTTGGATAATCCAACAACTTAGTTCTTTAACTGATATCACATTACCATGGACCACACTGGGAAGTCTCCAGGATCCTTGTGATACTACAATTGAAGCAGTGTTTGTTGAATAAATACCATATGTATTTCCAGCAGAACTGTGCTAGAAGTGTTGGGAAAGGAAAAGAAACATAAATACCTGTCACTCCTGTCACTCACATTGATTTCTTGTGTTCTACAGATTAAGGGAAAGTTAGACATTGCAATTTAGAAATTGAGTATTTCCAATAGAGAGGAGGGAATTGTTAGGGCAATAATTAATAATTTGAAGGTTCAGTAGTCAACAGTTTGACTTGTAGGGTCATGTTTTTTGCTGCTCCTAAAATTGGGGAATTGGGGAAAAGAATATCAATAAGATAAAGTTGAGATCTTTTTCTGATTATAAAGATAATACATACACTGCCAAAAAGTTAAACTATACAGAACGGTAGCAAGAAAAAAATTATATAAAATCTCATTGCCCAGAGACAACTAATGTTCTTATTTTAGCATAACTCTAAACTTTTGTTACACACATTTCTTACAAAAAAAGGACCAAAACTGTTTCAAAACTTAGTTTCTCAATAATATACCTTAAAATTTTTGTTAATAAATGTAATTCTACATTTTCATTTTAAATAGTTGCTCATTTCATTATTTGAGAGTGCCATAGTAAATTATTTAATTTATCCTGTTTTTTTAGAGATTTGGGTTTTTTCAAGTTTTATGGAATCTTACATACAATACCACCACACACACACACACACACACACACGCATATTTATGTTTATATTTACATAACATGTATAAGTATGTATTTTTGATCATTAATTTGATGATTTCCTTAGGATTAATTCCTGGAATTGGAATTGTCGCATCAAAGGGTAGGCATATTTATGTCTTGACACAATATTGCCAAATTGCCCTCCAGAAAGGTATAGTCAGTTTATACCCTGACTCACAAAATGGGAGTGCTTGTATTGAGACCAATATCACCAATACTATGTATGAGGGGATTCAAAATTTCATGGAGGCTGAGTGTGGTGGCTCACATCTGTAATCCCAAGATTTTGGGAGGCCAAGGTGGGAGGATTGCTTGAGCCCAGGAGTTCGGGACCAGCCTGGACAACATAGTGGGACTCCCATCTCAATATTTTAAAAAAGTTCATGGAAAGATGGAATTAAAAGATAAAAATAAAAATATATAAACTTTAGTTCTCAACATAAGCTCCATCAAGTTCAAGACAATTTTGTAAGCAATGATACCAGTCATTTAGTCCATCCCTAAAGAAGTGAGTGACCTTGGAATTTAATCATGTCAAAACAGTTTTTTTCACATTATCAACTGAAGAAAAAAGGGTGCCCTTTACAGATATTTTAAGATTAGGAAACAAAAAGAAGTCATGAGGAGCCAAATAGAAGAGTAAGGCAGATGTCTAATGATTTTCCATCGAAATTCTTACAAAATTGTCTTTGTTTGACAAGAGGAATGAGCAGAGCAGAGAAGACCTCTTCTGGTAAAGCTTTCTTGGGTGTTTTTCTGCTAAAACTTTGGCTAACTTTCTCAAAACACTCTCATAATAGGCAGATGTTACTGTTCTTTGGTCCTCCAGAAAGTCAACGAGCAAAATGCTTTGCGCCTTCCAAAAAACTGTTGCCATGTGATATGGCTTGGCTCTGTGTCCTCGCCCAAATCTCATGTCGAATTGTAATCCCCATGTGTTGGGAGAGGGGCCTGGTGGGAGGTGATTGAATCATGGGGGCAGTTTTCCCCTTCCTGTTCTCATGATAGTGAGTTCTCATGAGATCTGGTTGTTTGAAAGTGTGTGGCACCTCCCTCTTCTCTCTCTCTAGTGCTCCTCCATGATAACACATGCTTACTTCCCCTTCACCTTCCACCATGATTGTAAGTTTCTTGAGGCCTCCCAGCCATGCTTCCTGTACAGTCTGTGGAACTGTAAGTCAATTAAACCTCTTTTTTCATAAATTACCCAGTCTCAGGTAGTTCTTTATAGCAGTGTGAGAACAGACTAATATGCCATGACCTTTGCTCTTGACTGGTCCACTTTTGCTTTGACCAGATCACTTCCACTTTTTGGTAGCCATTGCTTTGATTGTACTGTCTCTTTAGGATTGTACTGGTAAAGCCATGTTCCATCTGCTGTTACAATTCTTTGAAGAAATGCTTCAGGATCTTGATCCCACTTGTTTAAAATTGTCATTGAAAGCTCTGCTGTTGTCTGCAGCTGATCTGGTGCAACAGTTTTGGCACCCATCCAGTAGAAAGTTTGCTCAACTTTAATTTTTCAGTCAGAATTGTGTCAGCTGAACCAATTGAGATATCTATGGTGTTGAATATTGTTTCTGCTGTTAATTGTTGGTCCTCCTCAATTAGGGCAGCAAAAAGATTAATTTTTTCCCCTCAAATTGATGTGGATTGTCTGTGGGCTTCATCTTCTCACCATTTCATCCCATCAGTGATTTCCCCATTCTTCCTCCCAAGCTTCACCATAAATTTGATGTTTGTTCTGGCTTCAATTTTAGCAGAAATCATGTTGTTCTGATACTGGGTGTTTTCAAACTGATATCTTATCCTTCTTAGTGCTTCAAACCACATCCTGTTCAGGAATGTTACAAGTTAGTATGAGGGCAAAAAATTTGAAATCCATGTATAGTTTCTTTATAATATGCATTTTCCATGAGCTTTTTGAACTCTCCTCATATTACCAGTTTAAAAACACGTGGGACTTTTCTAGGTCAAAAGTTTCTCTCCTCTTTTAAAATTTGCTTTCTGTCAATTACAAGTAAGGTTGAATATCTTTTTACATGTTTAATGGACATTTTAATTCTTTCTTTTGTGACTTGCCCACTCAGGGCCTTTGCCCACATTTTAATTTAGATATTAATCTTTTTATTATAGATTTTAAATTATTATTTATATATTTATTATATTACTTTTCTGTTTGTCATATATGTCATGGATTTTTTCCAGTTCATTTTGTATCTTTACTTATGTGTTCTTCTTTTTCTATACAGAACTTTTAAATTTATAATTTTTAAAAATTTAAATAAAAGTTTTTCTAGGGAGTCCCTGCTTGTTGCTAATTTTCTTTGTTGATTTAATTTACAGAAAACAAATCTAATATAAGCCTATTAATAAAATCTGGGAATACTTATAAGTTGAATAATAAATATACTCAGTACTTTATCATTGAAAGCAGATAATACTTTCTAAATTTTTAGCTGTTAATTAAAATTCGAACTAGAATGTTTTCCCCATTAATGTGTGTACTATAAGACACATATACTTCTTTTACTTTTCTAATTTGATTATAATTTAGTGTCTCTATACCTGGGTCTTTATACCTATTTCTATATATCTTTACATTTTAGGCACTTGTGAAGAGTAGCACTTCTGTGGAAACACATAAACAGACATTTAGCAACTTGGCAATTTGTATATTTGCATGTTCTCACACAAATACACACACACACACACACACACACACACACACACACACACACACACATATTAGAGCTCAGCTTTGTCAGAGAGCATTTATTGAGCTCACAGAATGTATGTAGGAAAATATCACTGTCCTAATGTGGTTAATAGAAATGGAAGTTTGTTACAAATAGTTACTGCTAACAGAACTCACATTTGTACTTTTTAAAAAAGTGTCATGAGTCTGACCTTTTTATTTTGGTAATTGAAAGGTAGCAGGAAGGACAATAATTCAGCTGTGGGACAATGTAAGGGGTTTTGGTGAATACTTGCCAAATACCATTTTATATAGACCTACTTGTAAAGCAAATAGTGACCTTGTTGCAAAACCCAGCTCCATGTGTTCAGTCAAATTTCCTCTGAAAAAAATCATGAAGTGAGCTGCTACCCACAATTCAACCTGGTTAAATGTTACCTTTGTCTTTTAACAAAAATGTAAAACCCATGGGCCCAATTCACTCTACTTGGCTCTGTATAAAGGGTGAGTTAAATAGTAATAATTAGGGACAGACTGGAAACACTTGAAAAAATTAAACTAGGGATTAACTCAGGTGCTAAAAGTTGCTGAAGTTCTTTTTGACCTTGTCTTGTAAACATTATCTGTTTTGGTAACCTTGATTGCTTTGCAAAGTTGACTGGTTAACATAACATCTCCCTGTGAGGTAGGTTCCTAAGCATTCAATCAAATATGAGACTAAGAGATAGGAGTAATAGTGTGCTTAATATTTGAATTATTACTTCAGGACTTGTTACATAGACTCTTTAAAAGAAAAAGTGTTTTCACACTCACATTTCTGATCCAGTTGGGGGCCATACTTTTATTGCTACATGGACTTTCAAAGACTCCAAGCTCATTTCGATTGCTGGTGCAAGGGTATAATATATCGTAGTAATTTGGCATTTGTTTATTATTATTGTCACTGAATCTGCACATTTGAAATTTATTTTTAGTTAATGAATGCTGTTGTACATGAGTGGGTCTCTCAGAAGCCAATAGGATACACCAAGACCCCAGTGTCAATTAAGAGTTGAGTAATAGTTTCTGTACTTTATTTATGTTTTCTTTTTGGCAAGTTTATAGATTTTTGAGCAAATTTTTTCAGCATTCTAAGATGTAACCCTTTTGAGGGTATATACAAGATCCCCACAACTTGTAAATTTAAAACATAAATATAAATAGAATATAAACAATTTTTTGGTATAGCTTTACTAGAGTGCAGAATGATAGAATCTTTTTACTTTACCATAAGTTGATGTATTAAAATTTTAAAAACGAAGTATGATCTGTCAGACAACAGAGTCTGAATTTAAGGAATTTGAAGAAGGCAATGATTCTGTATCAATAACCCTTTTAGTGGGTATGACTTTAGAAGACATTAGCTTTTCAATAGTACCTAGAGGAATTGTGCACAGTGAAGACTATACACTTGGTTATTATATTTAAATTGGACCATACAGTTTTTAAGAGTATACAATGACATTACCCATAATGTTTCTAGCACATTGCCTTTCTAGTCTATAACAAGGGTCTGAGACATGTTACTGTATTAAGTTAATGACCCAGGCTTCCCTGATATTGGCACTCCCAGGAATTATCCCTATTTTACAGATGAAGAAATCAAGTTTTAGAAACATTAAAGAACTTTCCCAGCTCACATAGTAAGTGCTAAAACTGGGCTTTAAACCCAGGCTTGCTGAACACTGTGATAGTCAACAGGGTTTGCCAAATCTTGGTGCGTTTACCTCTGGTAGTACACATGAAATTATTTTAGATGGAACACAATCACATCTTTAAAAATGTAATATGTGTGTATTTTTAAAAACCATCCTCTCCATCCATTTTTTAATTCTGTGTTTTGTTTCTGTTGTATAGTACCTGGAAAATCCTTATTCACATACAAAAAATGTTTGCCTTACAAATGAAAGAAGATATTTGCAGTATCCCTGAAGCATCTTTTAAAAACTTTCTCTTTTATTTTCTATTTTTAAAATAGAAGCTTTATTGAGATCCAATTCACATATCATCAGGCTCACCCTTTTAAAGGTGTGGATTTTGGTGGTTTTTAGTATATTCACAAAACTGACCATTGATTATTACTATCTAATCTCAGAACATTTTTATCACCTCAAAAAGAAACCCCATAGGAATTCAGCAGTCACTCCTCATTCTTCTCTCCCTATATCTTCTGACAACCATGAATCTATTTCCTGTTTCTATGGATTTACCTATTTTGAATATTTTTTATAAACGAAATTGTGCAATATGTGGCCTTTTGTGTCTGGCTTCTTTCACTTTGCGTGTTTTCAAGGTTCATCCATTTTGTATGATGTATGAGTATTTTGATCCCTTTTATGGTCAAATAATTTTCCATTATTTGGAAATTTATTTGTATGGATGTGTCACATTTTGTTTATCCATTCGGCAGTTGGTGGACATTTGGGTTGTTTACACTTCTTGGCTATTATGAATCATGCTGCTATGAACATCCATGTACAAGTATCTGAGTCCTTATTTTCAAACTTTTGGGCAACATTTCTAGGAGTGAGATTGCTGGCTGATACAATAACTCTTTGTTTAATTTTTTTAGGAACCACCAAACTGTTTTCCATGGTAGCTACAGCACTTTTTTTTTTTTTTTTTTTTTTTTTGAGACTGAGTTTCGCTCTTTTTGCCCAGGCTGGAGTGCAATGGCGCAATCTCTGCTCACCAGAACCTCCGCCTCCTGAGTTCAAGTGATTCTCCTGCCTCAGCCTCCCTAGTAGCTGGGATCACAGGCATGCGCCACCACCCTGGCTAATTTTGTATTTTTAGTAGAGATGGGGTTTCTCCATGTTGGTCAGGCTGGTCTCGAACTCCCGATCTCAGGTGGTCCACCAGCCTCAGCCTCCCAAAGTGCTGGGATTACAGGCGTGAGCCACCACGCACGGCCGAGCTACAGCATCTTACATCCCCACTGACAGAGTGTGAGGGTTCCAATTTCTCCCTATCCTCACCAACACTAGTTATTTTCCATTTTATTGATTGTAGCCATCCTAGTGGGTGTGATGTGATATATGTATTTATTTTAATGTATATTTGAAAATATAATTACCTTATTAAGCTCATGGTAATATTTGTTGTCCTTTTATGGAAGCAATAAGACTCCTTAAGTATACTTTTACTTAAGGAGAAAAAAGTCACTTAAAGAAAATTAGCAGATAAATAATGTGTAGATGAGATGTGGACACTGCAAAATTTGTGAAGGTGTCATCTTGGGCAAATTACTAGATTTCTGTGAACCTCAATTTCTTGTGGCAATAAAAGAGGACATTGGACTGCTGTGAGGATTAAATGGGCTAGTATTCATAAAGTACTCGGAAGAGTACCTGTAAAAGTATGTGCTAAATAAGTAGAGAAGGTGGTGTTGAATAAGCCAAGTTTGAGAAACTCTTGCATAACTTACAGTACAGCTCTTTATTGGCAGTGACTGACTTTTTCTATAGGAGGTATTCAATGTTTAAGTAATAAAATGGATGGCCAAATGAATGTAATTGTGTTGAATTTCCCTGTCCACTCTGAGCTTGCAATGATAAAAGATGCTGTAGAAATGAAGAATTTTCTTGGAGTGGGGATGGCCTGGTAACACAGGCATAAGAGAGTCACTGCTGTTATTCTACTGCAGAAAAACCCAAGCTACTCTCCAGCACCAGCCACCATTAAAGACTCTAGTGCTGATGCTGGGAGGTATGAAAAACACCCATCCTTCTCCTCCTGGCTTCTTGGCTTCTTTCTTGTTTGTTTTTTCTTTTTCAAATAATTTTAAAATTAATAGGTGTGGTTAGATTTCAGTTCTCTTTCTTTTAGGCCATAACAAAAAGGCAAATATGCTATGACGATAAATGGTGATATTTCATGAAGTCTTTATAATGGGATTTGCACTAGATATTGTTCTCATGAAAAATCACAGTTGCAGTCAACAGTAGCCACCTGACTGCCACTTGACATTTTGGGAAGTGAAACATTATCAACAACTCCCTTCTCTTATCAAATCCATTCTCTCACACTTGGATTTTAGAGTTTAAACATTCATAAATTAAATAGCCAAATAAAAGTGATTATTTTACATTAGATCAAACACAAAGAACTTTCTTGAGTAAAGCAACAGAGCTAATGAAAAAAAATTTCACTAAAATGAAAAAAACACTTGAATTTTCATTTACAGAATTATGAGCAGTGTAATGTTCTCTGCTCAGCAGTGCCACTGTTTTATGCATCCTTACAGTTAATAACTTATTCAAGGTATTAAATCTGTCACATTCCTTTTACTTGGGTCTGTGTTGAAGAATTTACAGCAGGAGACCCAGAACTGACCCAGCAATTCGAAAACATAACATAGATATGAATCCAATTATTCCCCATCTAAACGCTGACATTTATGCCCTGCATCGATATGTGACATCTGAACCAGCCATATTTAATATCTGACTCATCAAAGCCAATCCAGAAGCACAAGCAAAAGGATTATTTCACACCCACTTTCAGAATAGAGTTCACAAACAAAAGGAAAAGAGAGCGTGTCAGCCTGCTCTATGTAATTTAGATATTGACATAAAACATATTTTTAAAAGTTGGTTAAAGAACCGAATATGTGCTCCCCATGGTGTGCTGGTCTTTTTCCCTTTTGTGACTACATTTGCACTGAAAAAGAAAGAGTTGCTTGTACAAGTTCATGAAACAAAACAAATCACTTCTGTAGCAGGACTGTATCGGTGGGTTGCTGCTCAGGTCTAAGGGTTCTTGCCAAATGCTCCTATCATTTCTGTTTTTATTCTTTGTAAAATCAGCAACTGGAGCCGCTTAAAACGTTTTTCATATAAAAACTCAACTGGATTAAACAGTGGCCTTGCAAAGAGAAGGGAGGGGTGGGGGGGATTGCTTTGAAAAAAATTTGACTGAAAATTCCGGGATTGTGGTATAAATAAAAATTATGTTAAAAATATGGATTATAAAATTAGGTATTTTATTTTATCCCTCTACAATGGAGAGGAAGGGAGATATATTCTAGAACCAGCTGAAAAGTGATAAATGAAAAGATTGTGAATCAGTGCTTCAAGCAATGAGGATGGGAGCCTTTTTCTTGTCCTCAGTGTTGAAGAAAGCAAAAGGAACCAGGAGATTAAGAGGTTAAGAGACTAAGATTCAGGACAGAGTGAGTGAGTGTGCATCCTCAAAACACAGGTAAAGATTAAAGTAAAAGTCAAGGCTTGGGAAGCAGCTAGTCATAAAACCTTTCTTACATTTGATCAAAATTAGGTTCTATGTGGAGAAAAAAGTTTGAAGAGTTTTTTGACTTCTAATGGATTTTATGTGAGAATAAAGGGACAGATTATCTATTAATCCCCAAGGAAAATTTTTTTAAGCCAACTTTTTATGTTGTATGAATTAGACTTTGCCTTTTTATTGTTATTATTTTATGAGAGACACATTCTCTCATGGTCACGAAAGGGATCAATACAAAGCAACACCATAAAGCAATCCAGTATCTCCAGAACTTGAAGTAAAAACAAAAGAGAAAAATTCGATGTCAAAACTCAAGATGGCAGTAAGAATGACCCTCTTCCACTAACACACAGACTATATTTATATGATGTGGGTATTTTAATCCATGGAAAAATGTGGCCTGGAAAAACACATACCAAAATCTTAGCAGTGATTATATTTTAGGGAATATAAATAATCTCCTCGACTAGCGGATTATCTTTACTTTGCATTTGCCTCTGTCAAAGCCGAATGGCTTTCACTGATTCTGAATTGTTTTTTATGCAAATTTCTTGGTGTATAAATGTATACTACATGGGTTAAACAAGCGAGAACCTCACACGTATGTGTGGTGCAGCTTCTCAAGAGTGGATCTTTTTTCTCTCCTAGCTGTTAGTGTATAGCAAGTTTCTTTACTGTTTCTCTAGACAGTAATTAGAAATTTTCTGTTTCTTGTTTCATGAACAGAGAAGTTTGTCTTTATTTCCTGGATTTCAGTAGATATCTCATTCCAGCTTCCATTTGCATAGCCGTAAACCATGGATTCTCTGTCAGGTACAAGCTTTAAAGCTCCAGGATCTAGCCCAATTAAGAGCTCTGATTGGTTTAGATATTTCTATAAATTTTCTGCAACTGCTCAGCTTCTGACTCTGAATTCCCTTTTTATATCTGTTACCTGGAGTATTTTTTGTTTGTTTGTTTTCAAACTGTCTGATAAAAAGTGTTTTGCAATATTCTATACAGTTGGTTAGAAGTCCACAGTGTATTTGTTGATGATTTGAACAACCCTGGAAGCCAGGTAGAGTTTGCTGATAATTACTACCTGACTTCCTGTAGGTAATGTGAACATTAAAAATAGGGATATTAGTGATTCTAAGAGTGAATGGACTCAAGGAAGGTCAGGAAAACCCCAGTTTACAGGCAGTCAATTCTTTTACTTTACCTACCTTGTCTTTTATCTGGAAAACCAGACTATAATTTTTTCTCTTCCTTTTTTTTTTTTTTTAATTGCATTGAACTCTTTACCCCTGAAGGAATTTTTTCTCCTCAAATGTTTCCTGGTAAGTATGTCTGTTAATTTAAATCGGCAATTATGATCAACAAGCTAATATGCAACATTAGTCACGATCTGTCTAGCATTTAATTTGGTGAAGAACAAAGGAAGAAGGCAGTGCTGACACCTTAAGACCTTCAGAAAACAAAACTTTGAGACGGTAGGGCAGAAACGTGTGCTTGTTTCCATGAGGCTGCACAACATCCCTATCTGAAACTCCAATAATCTCCACTGAATGTTAAAGGGTTTTGTTTTTTTTTTTTTTGTAAGCAGGATTGTATTTTACTCATTCTTGTATTTCCCAGTGGCATCTGGTGTATATCTTATGCTCTACATACTTGTTGACTTGGATCTCAGATAAACAAGTTTCCCATCAAAGCTGGAAACATTTTTCCTCTACGGTTATGATCTTTATATGTAGATAGCCATTTTTGGTAGTGAATGCTTTAGTACACATTTGTTCTTCATCAGTGGAATTCCAGCTCTACACTGTTATGTCCCAAACAGGAAAGTCTTGTTTTGGATAGTAGGAGGAGGAACCAGTTAATGTAATGTAATGTAATGTAATGTAATGTAATGTAATGTAATGTAATGTAATGTAATGTAATGTAATAGATGATATATTTACCTTATGTTTTTGTCATCTTTAGCTGCCTAGCATCCATTTTCCTTTTCCTAATTACATGAAATTTGTGGGGGTGAACTCCTCCCTCTGTTCTTAAAATTGTGATTTTGGTGGGATATAGTTGACTTAAACCAGTCAGCTTAATCTATCCTTGGGCCACTATGACTAATTACAAATGAGTTTGTAATCCAGTCAGAGGTAGTGAGAGGGAAGAAAACATTTGCAGGGGTTTACATTGGAAACTTGCCACATTGGAAGGACCAGCAATTCACTGAGACAGGAACAGGCATATCTAAGATGAGTTTGCCTTTCTTTCAGTACCACTGTCTGGGAGTTAACCCTGTTTAGTTAACTGGTATTGAATCACACATAATATTGCATCAGATCAGGGGACTCCCTTTAAAGAAAAGGAGGTGCAGGCAATGGGCATCCACCGGAACTATCTCATTTCACACCACCTAGAACCTGCTGGCCTGATAGAGTGTTAGAATGGCCTGGTTAAGGGAAAACTGAAGGGCCAGCTTAGAAGCAATACTTTACGAGAATTCAGTGCCATCCTTCAGGACACATAGATACTTTGAATCAAAGATATTTTTATGGTACCCATCCTCAATGGGATAATTATGTGAGTTTGAGAACCAAGGGTGGAAACAGAAGTAGTTCTACTTATATCACTCTCAGTGGTACGATTCAGAGGTTTTACTAGATTCACAAAGTTGCACAGCCATCACCATTAATTACAGAACATTGTCATCACCCAAAAGAAGAAACTGTGTACCCACTGGTAATTACTCCTCAAACCTCCTGCTCTCATCCCCTGGCAATCGCTAATGTGCTTTCTATCTGTAAATTTCTTTATTCTGGTTATTTCATTTAAATGGAAACATACAATATGTGATCTAGCTTCTTTCACTTAGCATAATATTTCCAAAGTTTATCCATGTTGAAGCATGTATCAATACTTCATTCCTTTCCATGGTGGAATAACAGTGAATTATACAAATATACCATATTTTGTTTATTTACCTATCAGTTGATGAATATTCAGGTTGTTCCCACTTCGGGCAATTAAATAATGCTGCTATGAACATTAATGTAAAGTTTTTGTGAGGACATATGTTTTCAATTCTTTTGGTATATACCTAGGAATGGAATTGCTGGGTCATGTGGTAACTTTATGTTTAGCTTTTTGAGGAACTGTTTTCTAAACAGACAAATGTTATAAAACATTTTATTTATTTATTTATTTATTTATTTGTAATTGACTTGGACCTTAATTACATTGTGGTCAGACAATGTTATCTGTTCTTTAAATCTTGTTGTTTTATGATCTTGCATAGATATTATTTTCATGTATGTTATATGTCTACTTGAGAAGAATGTGTGTTTTCTAATTGTTGCAAAAAAAGGTCTCTATGTATTCACTAATTCATGACCTTATTCATTACTGATATTTATTCTGCTTGATTATTAGGAACTGGGAGGGATTGTGGATTTGTCAGCTTCTCCGTAGGTTGCATCAGTTTTGCTTTATATATTTGGGGCTGTTTTTTATTAGATGTACATAATTTTATAATGCAATGTATTTCTGGTGAATTTAACCTTTTATTAAGATGTTGTGTCTTAAAACCTATTGCAACTACCATTCAAATAGCTATTCCAGCTTCCTTTTTGCTAATAGCTGTCTGGGATATAATTTTTCATCCCTTTACGTTCAACCTTTCTAAACTCTTATGCTTAGATGTTTTCTTCTTTACAGTATATAGCTGGACTTAAAAATGTTATCTCATAATTTCCACCTTTTAACTAATGAGTTTAATCTATTTACATTTTTGTTGAACTTTTGTTAGTTTATTTTTGTATTATTCTGTATTTTTATCTCTCATGCTTTGGTCTTGTACACTGTAAATTTATTCTATTCTTTTGATTATTATCCTTGAGATATTATCATGCATGCTTAACTTAATGTTATCAGAGTTTGAAGTTAAATAATATCTTAACTTCTCTCCTAAAATATGCAAGGATCCTAGAATGTTTTAACTTTCATCACTCCTCTTCTGACCTATATGCTATTATTTTCCAGTACTTTAATTCTGTGTGTATTATTATTATTTTATATAATGTTTGTCCTTATAGATATGTTTGCCTTTTTGAAAAATTATTTCTCCCCACATCTCAAACTATCATTCTGGAATGATTCTTTATCTTGAAATATATCCTTTAGAAGTTATTTTGGCTGGTTCCTTGGTGGAAATCTACTTCCTTTGGGTGAAAAAGAATCTTTATTTTACCCTCGTTCTCTTAAAAGAGAGTTCTTCTGGGTATACATTTTTTATTCCATTATTTTTGTTGAGATAACTGTGTAATTCTCATTGTCGTGCCTTTGTAGATAGCCTGTTAGATCTCATTTTGTTTCCTATTTTGCATTCTCTTTATTCTCTCCTTTTGGGATTCTGATTAGATGTATGCAGACTTTCTCATTTTATCTTCCGCTTCACTTAATGTTTTTCAAAAATATTTTTCCATCTCGTCATTTTGCACTATACGCTAGGTATTTTTTTGACGTACATTCTGGTTTACTATTTCTCTCTTAAAATGTCTTATCTGGCCTTTAATTGTGGATTAGTTTTTTAATTTTAATAATGCCATTTAAAAAAATGTCTAAAAGCTGCATTTATTTCTTTTCAAATCTGTTGGGATTTTTCCTGTTGGGATTGTCTTTTATGTGATGCATCCTCAATTTTTCAAAATATTACCTACAAGGCAGGTCTGTATTTTTCTATCTGACCATTTTAATAACTGCAGTAGTTGAGAAGAGGGTCTAAAATAATTGGTTTTGTTCACTGTCTCTCAGACATAATGGATTGCTTTCTTTTGTGTTTGAGCTATTGGATTGTGAATTCACGTCTTGATTTTATTCAATGGGAGTCACTGTTCGCAAGTTGATAACTAAGGAAGCTTTCTTCCAGAGAAGATTCACTTTGCCTCTGCCAGTAGCCAGAAGTAGCCATTAACTGTGGGACCTTGTCAACTACTCTCGATGCTCACAGCTCAATGGGGAAAATCCTAGGATCCCTTCCGACGTAACTGCTAGACCAGACTTATTTTGCCAAGACTAATTTTCCAGATGGCACCACTACCATTGATAACTGCTTAGAAGCATAGTAATCTCTCCCCATAGCCTATTGTTTTGGCACCACCGCCAATCCTAGCTAATTCTATTTTTTTTTTCGGAAGGGGAAGTATTTTTTTTTTTTTTTTGAGACGGAGTCTCACTCTGTGTCCTAGGCTGGAGTGCCGTGGCGCGATCTCGGTTCACTGCAAGCTCCGCCTCCCGGGTTCCGGCCATTCTCCCGCCTCAGTCTCCCGAGTAGCTGGGACTACAGGCGCCCGCCACCACGACCGGCTATTTTTTTTTGTATTTTTAGTAGAGACGGGGTTTCACCGTGTTAGCCAGGATGGTCTCGATCTCCTGACCTCGTGATCCGCCCGCCTTGGCCTCCCAAAGTGCTGGGATTACAGGCGTGAGCCACCGTGCCTGGCCTGGAAGGCGAAGTATCTTTACACAGAAGTGGTGTCTTAAACCAGGAGTTAATTGCTCTGTAGTTGAAGGGTCTTCCAAAGCACCTAGGCAATTTCAATGTCAGAAAAAGTAGAACTGACATTGTTGAGATTTTATAAAAACAAATCCCTATAATCACGGAGGCATTCCGTCCCTATGTATTCTTAAGTGATGCAGAACATTGACTAAGCTAACACTTTTAAAATTGAGCCTCTCTAACAAGAAGTTTTCTCCTAAGAAAATATCTATTTCTGGCTGGGTAGGTTTTTTTGTTTGTTTGTTTTTTTAGAAGTTAATCACAAATATGACAAAAAAGATAATAGAAATTGCATTCTTGTTTTTTGTTTGTTTGTTTGTTTGTTTTAGACAGGGTCTCACTCTCGTCACCCAGGCTGGAGTGCAGTGGTACGACCTTGGCTTACTTCGGCCTCCACCTCCCAGATTCAAGTGAGTCTTCTGCCTCAGCCTCCTGAGTAGATGGAACTACAGGCATGCACCACCACAGCCAGCTAATTTTTGTATTTTTAGGAGAGACAGGGTTTCACTGTGTCGGCCAGGCTGGCCGCGAACTCCTGACCTCAAGAGATAAGCCCACCTCAGCTTCCCAAAGTGCTGGGATTACAGGAGTGAGCCACAGCACCTGGCTGAGGAATTGCATTCTTTATCAGTGGAATCACAACCATTCATCATTTAGCTATCTTATCCTCCTTAAAACATTAGTCTTTGTGTAATTGCAAACCATTAATGGGAAGAGCACTTCAGCTTTATCTTTTTGAGGTCTTTCACCACATTTTGTTAACATTATAATAAGACATATTTGATTAGGGCTGCCAACTTCCAGGATTTATGAGAAGTGGTTACAGAAAATAAAGAAGAAATATGGAGGTGTCTTTACTTAACATTAATTCATTTAACATTTAGTGAGTACCCACTTCATAATGGAATAGTAGTAGGGATTACAATGGCGAGTAGAAAGATGGTTACTATATCCTTGGAGCTTGCAGTTTTTGTTTTGTGTGTGGGAAGGACCAGATAAAGCATTGATCAAATAATCACACAAATAAGTGAAAAATTTTAACCAGGTTAACTGCCATGAAAAAGAGAGACATGGTGCAAAAGACAGACATGGTGCAAAAGACAGACATGGTGCAGTGTGTGTACAGAAAACTTGCTGTAGTCAGGGAGGCTGGGAAAGGCTTCCCTGAGAAAGTGACCACTGAACTGGCAGCTGAAGGATGAATAGGAGCTTACCAAACGAAGTGAAGTGGTAAGTGAAACACCAGGCAGAGAAACCACCAATAAGCAGGAGCATGGCATATATAAGGAACTGAAAGAACTTAGTGTCTGGCGCCAACAATGCCATCGTGCAGTGAGATGAGGCTGGAGAGTTGGTCCAGACCGAGCCACATGAAGGAGTTTTGAATTTTTCTTAAGAGTAATCGAAAATCATGCAGATGTCTAAACCCATTAATGTGTGTGCATTTGTATTTAGAAAGCATGCAGAAAGGATTTCAGGATGCAAAAGTGGGTGCAGGTAGGAAAGTTAGGATGCTATTGCAGTCGTGAAGGTGCTTGTCCTAGTTACCTTAGACTAGGATGTCCTGTTAACTATCAACTTTGCTTCAAAAAGTATATGCCTCCTGAATCAGGTTTTTAGGCTCTTTTAACTGATCAAATGTTTCAAAGTGTGCAAAATCACACTTTGCACAAATTTTCATAGCGAAAATATCGTATCTAAGAGAAGTTATGCTATGTCTGATCCAGGTGCATCAAATTTCCGTTTTTTAATTGCTGTCTAATTATGCTGTCTCCATTGATTGCATTCACTTTCTAACAACCATGCACTAGGCTCTTTCATTATCCTTTGTAGACTTCACTCGTATGCTTGTCTTACAATTGCTTTCACATCTGCCAAGGAAAAATTCTCACTACTCAGTTCACTCCTGGTTGTTCTAAAGGACCATGGAAGTTTTATCTGCAACAGGTGTATGGATCAAGTGTGTAAGTGGATAAGATCATGTATCTTTGACTTGAAGATTTTTTTTATTAATACATAATAATTGCACATAATAATTATGGGGTACATGTAATATTTTGGGGGCATGCATACAATATGTAGTGATCAAATCAGGATGCTTATAATATCCACCACCTCTAATGTTTATCATATCTTTGTGTTGGGAATATTTCAAATCTTCTCTCCTAGCTATTGTGAATCTACAATAAATTATCGTTAACTATAGTCACTCTACTGTGCTATCAAATACTAAAACTTAGTTTTTCTATCTAACTGCATTCTGTATCCATTAATCAAACTGTCTTCATTTCCTTCTCCCCTTACCCTTCACAGCATCTGGTAACTATCATTCTACTCTCTACGTCCATGGGATTCACTTTTTTAGCTCCCACATATGAATGAGAACATGTGATATTCATTTTTCTGTGCCTGGCTTATTTCACTTAACATAATGCCTTCCAACGCCATCCATATTCTTGCAAATGACAGAATTTCATTCTTTTTTACAGCTAAATAGTATTCTATTTTTTTTATATATATATGTATATATATATATATATATATAATGTTTTCTTTATCCAAGCGTTTGTTGATGGACACAGGTTGATTCCCTATCTTGGCTATTGTAAATAGTGCTGCAATAAACATGGGTGTGCAGATATCTCTTCAATATACTGATTTCCTTTCTTTTGGATACATACCCAGCAGTGGGATTGCTGGATCATGTGGTAGACCTATTTCTAGTTTTCTGAGGAATCTCCATATTGTTCTCCATAGTAGTTATACTAATTTACATTCCCATAAGCATTGTACTAGCATTCCCCTGTCTCTGCATCCTCACCAGCATTTGCTATTTATAGTCTTTTTGACAGTAGTCATTATAACAGGTGTGAGATGCTATCTCTTTGTGGTTTTGTGTTTCCCTGATCATTAGTAATGTTGATAATTTTTTTGATATGCCCGTTGGCCATTTATATGTCTTCTTTTGAGAAATGTCTATTCAGGTCATTTGCCTATTTTGAAGTCAGATTATTTGCTATTATGTTGTTTTGAATTCTGTATGTATTCTGGTTATTGATCTCTTGTTGAATGGATAATTTGCAAATATTTATTTCCATTCTACAGGTTGACGCTTCACTCTGTTGACTGTTTACTTTGCCATGCAGAAGCTTTTTAGCTTGATACCATCTCATTTGTCTATATTTGGTTTTGTTGCCTCTGCTTTCAAGGTCTTATCCAAAAAATCATCTCCCAGACCAGTGTCCTGAAGTATTTCCCCAGTGCTTTATTCTGGTAATTTCATAGTGTCAGATCTTACATTTAAGTCTTTAACCCATTTTGGTTTGACTTTTATATATGGTGAGAGATAGGGGTCTAGTTTCATTTTTCTACATATGAATATCAAGTTTTGCCAGCACCATTTATTAAACAGTCTGTCTCTCCTTCACTGAATGTTCTTGGCACCTTTGTTGAAAATTAGTTGGCTGTAAATATGTAGATTTATTTCTGGATTTTCTATTCTGTTCTATTGGTCTATGTCTCTGTTTTTACGTCAGTACCATGCTGTTGTGGTTACTGTCTGTAACTTTGTAGTATATTTTAAAGTCAGGCAGTGTGATGCCTTCAGCTTTATTCTTTTTTGCTTAGGATTGTCTTGGTTCTTCAGAGTCTTCTGTAGTTCCATATGAATTTTAGGATTAAAAAAATTTCTGTGAAGAATTCATCGGTATTTTGATAGAGATTGCATTGAATCTAAGGATCACTTTTGGTAGTGTGGTTATTTTCAAATATTACTTCTCATCCATGAATATGTTTTCATCTCTTTGTGATTTCTTCATTTTTTCATCAGTGTTTTATTGTTTTCCTTGTAGAGGTCTTTCACCTCCTTGATTAAATTTATTCCTAGGTATTTTTTAAGGCTATCTTGTAAATGGGATTACTTTCTTGATTTCTTTTTCCACCAGTTGGTTGTTTG
The DNA here is from genome assembly GCF_000001405.40 of Homo sapiens. Classification (NCBI taxonomy): domain Eukaryota; kingdom Metazoa; phylum Chordata; class Mammalia; order Primates; family Hominidae; genus Homo; species Homo sapiens. The sequence goes on along the minus strand of NC_000005.10, from coordinate 122,645,999 downwards.
TGTAAGGAAATGCTACTGATTTTTGATATTAATTTTGTATTCCGTAACTTTACTGAATTTGTTTAATCAGTTCCAAATGTCTTTTGGTGGAGCTTTTAGGGTTTTTTTATATGTAAGATCATGCCATTGGCAGGTAGGAAAAATTTTATTTTCTCCTTTTCAATTTGGATGTCCTTTATTTCTTTCTGTTGCCTAATTGTTCTAGCTAGGAATTCTAGTTCTATGTTGAATAAGAATGGTGAATGTGGGCATCCTTGTCTTGTTCCAGGAAAAGGTCAAAGCTTCGGTACAAAGTTAGCTGTGGGTTTGTCATATACGGCCTTTAATGTCTTGTGATATGCTCCTTTTATACCTAGTTTGTTGAAGGTTCTTATCATGAAGCGATGTTGAATTTTATCAAATGCTTTTTCTGCATCTGTTGAGATGATCAGACGGGTTTTGTTCTTCATTCTGTTGATGTGATATATTGTGTTTATTGATTTGCATATGTTAAACCATCTTTGCAAACCTGGGATAAATCCCACTTGATCATGGTATCATGGTTTACAGTCTTTTCTATGTACAGTTTGATTTGCTTTGCTAGTATTTTGCTGATAATTTTTGCATCTATGTTCATCAGGTATTTTGGCCTGCAGTTTTTTTTTTTTTGTCCTTGTCTGGTTTTGGTATCAGGGTAATGCTGGCCTCATGGAATGAGTATAGAATGAGTTTCGAATAATTCCTTCCTCTTCAATTTTCAAGAAGAGTTTGAGAAGAATTGGTATTAGTTCTTTAAATATTTGGTAGAATTCAGCAGGAAAGTAATCATAGTTCTCTTAAATATATTTAATTTCTCTTAAATACATTACTTGTCACTTGATGGTCCTTTTGTACTTATCTCAGGAATAAAATGCAGCACATTTTCATGAACTTATGACACTTCTTTCCTAGGTCGTGCCATTCACAAGAAAACACAGAGTGTGGTCATTACCCCAATGGCTATTATTTGCTGATTAATATGAAATGTGTACCTCATTGCTCTGTTTCTGTGCTATTCCATGCCTATTATAACTTTTTGTTTTAGTAACAAATCATAGTGTAATCTTTTTGAAGAAATTTTAAAGTTAACATGAGAAATCTCAACAGTACATGTAACTCATGTGAAGTGCTGATAATATGAGCAGCAATGACCATGTTTGTGCATCTATAGGTAATGACTGCCATATCATGGCTATCACCTGGCCAACAGGGATTTTAAGATCACATTGATTTTTTTTTTTAAATAATAAGGTTTAATTTTTTTTTTTTTTTTGAGACAGTTTCTCTCTTGTTGCCCAGGCTGGAGTGCAATGGCACAATCTCAGCTCACTGCAACTTCCACCTCCCAGGTTCAAACGATTCTTCTGTCTCAGCCTCCCAAGCAGCTGGGATTACAGACACCCACCACCATGCCTGGCTAATTGTTTTTTTTTGTATTTAGTAGAGATGGGGTTTCACCATGTTGGCCAGGCTGGTCTTGAGCTCTTGAGATGCGCCCGCCTCAGCCTCTCAAAGTGTTGGAATTACAGGCATGAGCCACCATGCCCAGCAATAAGGTTTAGTTTTTAGAGCAATTTTAGGTTCACAGTAAACTTGAGCAGAAAGTACAGAGTCTTCCTATCTACCCCACGTCCCCCACACAAACTGCCCAACTAGCAATATCTTGCACAAGGGTTAGGATATTTGTTATAATCAATGAACCTGCACTGACACATCATTACCATCCAGAGTGCATAGTTTACAATAGGGCTCACCCTTGGTGGTGTGTATTCTATGGGTTTGAACAAGTATATGACATGTATCCACTGTTATACTATCATACAGAATAGTTTTACTGCCCCAAAAGTCCTCTGTATTCTGCCTATTCATCCCTCTCTACCCACTGATATCTGGGAACCACTAATCATTTTACTGTCTCCATAGTTTTGCTTTATTCAGAATGTCATGTAGTTGGAATTATATAGTATGTAGCCTTTTCAGACAGGCTGCTTTTATTTAAGTTCTATCATAGTAATATGCATTAAGTTTCCTCTGTATCTTTTCATTTGATGGCTCATTTCTTTTTAGCGCCAAATAATATTCCATCATCTGGATATATCATAGTTTATTTATCCATTTACCTACTGAAGGACATCTTAGTTGCTTCAAAGTTTTGGCAATTATGAGTAAAGCTGCAGCAAACATCCATGTGCAGGTTTTTGTGAGAACGTAAGTTTTCAACTCCTTTGGGTAAATACCAACAAGTATGATTGTTGGATCATCTGGTAGGAGTATGTCTAGTTTTGTAAGGAACTCCTAGACTGTATTCCAAAGTGGCTGTACTGCTTTGCATTCCCATCAGCAATGAATGAGAGTTTGTGTTGCTCCACATTGTCAATAGCATTTGGTGTTGACAGTGTTTTGAATTTTGGCCATTCTAATAGGTACATAGTGGTAACTCATTGTTGTTTTAATTTGCAATTCCCTAATGACAGATGATGTTGAACATCTTTGTAAATGTTTATTCACCATCTTCCTATGATTTTTGGTTATGGTGTCTGTTTAGGTCTTTTGCCCATTTTTAAATTGGGTTGTTCATTTTCTTATTGTTAAGTTTTAAGAGTTCTTTGTATATTTTAAATAATAGCCCTTTATCAGATATGTATTTTGCAAATATTTTCTCCCACTCTGTGGCTTGTCTTCTCATTCTCTTGAAGATCCCACTGATTTTAAGCCATAATTTCAAATATGTAAAATGTGAAAGAGATATTCACTTTAGAATCAGTGAAATATAGTAATTCATGCAAAAGTCTTTTTCAACTTTTATTTTAGATTCAGGGGGTATATGTGCAGGTTTGTTACATGTGCAAAAGTCTTAATGAATCAGCAATGGCAACCAAGAGGGAGGCTGTAGGCTTTGGTTTATTATGGAAACTAGATGACACAAGGCTGAATATAATATTAATAGCAATTTGATCCCCTAAATCATTAATATGGAATGATGAGTCGTATGTAATAGGAAGAAATGTAATAGGAATAAACATAAAATCCTGTACTTAGGCTCAAACAAAACAAAACAACTCTAAAAGTATAAGATAGAGCAGAATTGATTTACATTTTTATATAAATGTGTTTGTATGAAAAGACTGTTGTTAAAAATTGGCTATAGGCCGGGTGCAGTGGCTCACACCTATAATTCCAGCACTTCCAGATGCTGAGGCGGGTGGGCGATTTGAGGTCAGGAGTTCGAGACCAGCTTGGCCAACATGGTGAGACCCCGTCTCTACTAAAAATACAAAAATTAGCCGAGCATAGTGGTGTGCACCTGTAATCCCAGCTACTTGGGAGTCTGAGGTAGGAGAATCAGGTGAACCCGGGAGGCGGAGGTTGCAGTGAGCCAAGATCACACCACTGCACTCCAGCCTGGGTGACAGAGTGAGAGTCCGTCTCAAAAAAAAAAAAAAAAAATGCTATAAATTCAACAACGTGAGGTGACTGCCAAAAAGAAAAAAAATACAGAAGACTTGAATCTCATGTTGTTATCAAAAGTGACAAAAAGACAAAATTCTCATCAAGTCAAAGGTATCTTGAAAATCTGAAATTTCCCATAAGGACAGCAGTAAGGATGAGTGACACTCATCCTTATGCTTATGAATGACACTCCTAAGTGTCATAAGTGACACTCATAAGCATAAGGGTGAGTGACACTTTGCCCTCACCATCAAAACTGTTCAATTTGTGAAACGTGAATGCCCCATTCACATTGCTCATTTCATGTTTACTCTGGAGCATGTGTTCACTGAGTGAGCAGTATCCTTTTCAATTTATTTTTGGTGAAACACATAGTAGAATTAGTATAAATTAAATGCAAGTATATATATAATGTAGCTGCACTGTAATTTTAGATTTGGTTAATAGAAGAATAACTTGCACAGGGCAGGTGAAGGTCCTACTCTCTTCTATGCCAGTCATTCTACATCTGGAACATCCTGTTCAATCCTGTTCATCCCATTCAGTTGTATGACATAACTACAAAGAGTTGCTGACAAATGTGTAGAGGGCAGTGTCTTTAACAAGGAATTGTCCTGGTGACATAACAACTTGTTCTATTGGGAAGAGGGATGCTTAGCTTGGAAAAGGCAGCTTGGAAGCTGTCTTCAAATATTTGAAAAGCTGTCATGTTAAAGATGGATTAGATTTAAGGTGCATCCCCCTTAAGTCAAGACGATACTCCACGTGTCGTCAACTAGTATGGAGCACAGTGGGCAGATAATCTCCCGTTTTCTTGGGGACTGAAAATGTAACTAAAGATTGCAGTTGTTTTTTGGTAGATACATCACATGATTGACTCCTGTTGCATATTCAGTCCACAAAAAGAACAGTTTTTTTTCCAAAGATGTGTTTTCAAGACGGATCTACTTAATCCTGTGCATGGAAAATTAAATTTTGCACCTTAATGAAGACTTTATATTTCTCCCGATTAAATGAAGTTTTATTAGCTTTGCTCTTCAGTTTTAGTTTAATGAGGTTTACTCATGTGTGTGTGGGGAGGGGAGGGGGGCGGGCAATACTAATTGTCTGTGTTTGCTTTCCTGTTCAGCTTTTTTAAATCCACAAACAAGGTATAATTGTTCTATGCTTTTCATCCAAGATGTTAAAGAGAAATGTTGGACAAGATGGGACTGTCTTGATAAATTTCCTGTTGCTTATAACAGAATACTTAAAATTGGGTAATTTATAAAGAAAACGTATTTATTTTTTATAGTTATGGATGCTCACATGTGCAAAGTTAAAGGGCCACATCTGGTGAGGGCTTTCTTGCTGGTGAGGATTCTCTGAAGAGTATTGAGGCAGCAGAGGACATCACATGGTAAGGAGGCCTAAGTGTGCTAACTGAGGTCTCTTTTCTCCTTCTTATAGAGCCACCAGTCCCACTCCCATGATAACCCGTTAATCCACTAATCTGTGCATGGATTAATCCATTCATGAGGGCAGGGCCCTCATGGCCCAAATAACTCTTAAAAGTCCCACCTCTCAATATTTCCACCTTCAGGATTAAATTTCAACATGAGTTTTGGAGGTGACAAATATTTAAACCATGGCATTTCTAAGTGCAAAATAATAAAGGACTCCACTGCAAGCTCCCTCTAATTTGATGCAATCCATAAATTAATATTATTCTCTATTTTGTCTATTAGAATAGAATAAAATTAAGATATACCATTTTTATGACTTTTCCTTAAAAAAACAGTGAAAGTATGGTCAAAAAATTAAATTAGCCTTGTTTGCTATGAATTATTCATAGTATAATTACATTTGCTAATTGTATTTCCCAAATGCTTCCGAGTTATTTAAATATCTTAAAATTGTATTTTGTTTCTAGATATTGGTATCAAATTAATTTGATGGTTTTTAATTTCTGGAATATATTTTTATCTTTCTTTAGAAAATTGGTTAATTTTTCCATTTCTCTCTCTTCTGGTATCTTTGCATTTTCTGTGATTCTTCAAGCATCGCTAGCGAACTTTGCATGAATGCACCTTCAGGGCCCTTCAGTTACTGCAGCTATGGTAATTTGTAATAATTAATCAAAACAGCTTAATTATTACAGTGATCACACATGGAAGTTAACTTGTAAAGTCAGTATGTGAAATGAAAATTGAGTAAAGACAAAAGTGCTCTTGAAATCCCCTTAAATTGCTGATACAGAATATGATTTGGGTATACAATGCCATATATATTATATATATATGATATGAATAGATATATAGTGTACATAGTATAAAATAAAGAGCCTCTATGAAAAAAATACAGTGCAGTCACTATGAGGGCACACAGAGCTGAGACTCATGGAGGGGCAACAGACTCAAAGGCTTCATGTCAGGCAAACTGTGGAGCTTGATGTGAACTCAGTGAATCAATGTGGGCAAGTTTGCCTACTATTAATATCTCTGACTCAGAGTTCGTATAGCTGCGTTCCCATGAATAAACCACTCCTTAATGCAATTTCAGTGTAATGTGTCCTCCATTTTGGGCTTTATTTCTCCCTCAAACCTGCCTTATTTTGGTCTGATGGAACAGCACATACAATAAGTCTTAAAAGGTAGAAAATGAGAATATTTGGTTAACTTAAGTCCTTAAAGAATCCTGCCTGTCATGTGTGTCAGATTTTATTTTCCATTGCATTTTTTTCCCCTTGAATCTGTGGAGAATTATTTCACAAAGACTTTCTCTTTCTGGTATCATGTTGGTCTCTTCTTTGACATCATCTAACCTGTTATTCACACTCCAAGTCCTTTCTATTAAGAAGGCATTTCCTCTAGCAGGAAGAGAACATGAAAGAAGAACCTGTATCCCCAGTCTCTTAAAGTTCCTGGTGGTAGGGGTAAGGGGTATGAAACAAAAATCCTGAAATTTGGTTTAGAGGAAATAACTGAATGCTGGAAATTTCCAAAAAGATTCAGAATGAGACAGCCTTGTATTCTCGTTTGTACACATTTTTCTTTGATCTTTGGGCAAAGAAAAGTGACATCTTGAGAGACTACACAAATAATTCACACAAACACTCCCTACTTCCCATCCCCCACCAAGCTATTGAGAATAGTATTTAAAACCAAACCAAACCTAAGCTGTTTGCATTTCCCCTATTCCCTGCTCCCATGTGTTGTGCACTCAATTCTCAGGCAGAGATGAAACAAAGAATGTACACTGTGTGCCATGCACACTGTCCCTGAGATGCAAAACAATATTATATAAAGCAAAACCTGGACGCTACTAGTAACACTATACCAAGCTCAGTGCGGACTTAAGATACATTTGATCTCCACTGGCAAATAAGATACAGCGAGATTATAGCTGGTTGTAGCTGGGGGTGATGGGGATCGGGTGGCTATGGCAGAGGTGAGCCGGAACACATATGGGTAAACCATCACTTCTAAAGGGTCAGTACGGCAGGAAAGAGATAATAGAGAAAAACCTTCTGTGAAGTATTTCATTTTTGTGATTCTTTAACAATTTACAGAAGCAGTGGCACATAAGGGAAGTTTCCTTCTCTTTGGGGAATCATAAATAAAATAGTGGTGTAATCAAGGACAGAAGAAAAAAGAGACTTCAGGTATTTAATTCTTATTTACCTCCTTCTCCATTATGTATGACTCCTGGGCAGGCAGGAGGGTTACAGAAAACAATAACTCAGCCTAACCCTGTCCGCCAGAGCCTTCCAAGTTCTGAGCCTGCTGCTCTAATTTATTGCTTTCTACTCAGTGAATAGAGAAGGGTTTGAAAAGGTCTTCAGGGAGAAAAAAAAAAGGGGGTGAGGTTTCTGCTGGATTTGCTATCAGGGAAAAAAAAGTGGTGAGGTTTCTGCTGGATTTGCTATCAGGGCTTGTTCATCTCTCTGATCAATAGTCCTCACTGTAGTTTAGGTCTCCACCATGGTCTCCAGAGAGCCTGAGCGTCTGCTGGGGAACTTCCAGAAGCTTCTGTCTGAGGTGAGGGCTGGGAGTGAGGAATACAGATGTTTTGACTGGCTTCTCTGCAGCCTTGGGGGTGTCAGGAGCATCAAGACAACCCTGTGATTGTGGAGAGGCCCCTTTTTGCCCACTCCCTAGCCAGGAATCCTGGCTGTAACTGTCAATTTCTTTACACCTATAACCACTCAAGCCACAGTCAATGCAGAATGAATGCTATGTGCTGTTATTTTAGCAGAATTCACTGACCATGCTAGGGAAGAATATTATGTGGTGAAAGGAAAGTTTAGCCAAGTGGGTTCTGCAGAAAAGGACAAAAAATTGGAGACAAAGATCTCCAGAAAGTAAAGATGGACAAGCTCTCTGGGCAGGTTGTCAGGCCCACTCTCCTGAACTTCAGTTCTAAATTCTTCCCCATGGGAAAATAGCCCATTAGTCCCAATGTATTCTTTTTGAAATGCTTCAGAAACAAATTTCTAAGCATTATTCTCCATAGAATTCCTTACTAAAAAACACACAATGCAAAGATACCATAACTTATATTTGTAACCTTTGACTGAAAAGCAGTGATGACTTATTATAGAAGCAATTGCCAGAGGTTCCTCCTCGGCCATTTCACTCATATTACCAATAAGTTTTCAAACCATAATTTGGTAAGTATTATTAAAATAAAATACAGGCCGGACATGGTGGCTGACACCTTTAATCCCAGCTCTTTGGGAGGCTGAGGCAGGTGGATCACCTGAGGTCAGGAGTTTGAGACCAGCCTGGCCAACATGGTGAAACCCTGTCTCTACTAAAAACACAAACATTAGATAGGCATGGTGGTGCATGCCTGTAATCCCAGCTATTCAGGAGGCCAAGGCAGGAGAATCACTTGAACTGGGGAGGCGGAGGTTGCAGTGAGCAGAGATCGTTCCAGTGCGCTCCAGCCTGGGTGACAGAGTGAGACCCCATCTCAAAAAAAAAAAAATAAAAACCAAAAAAACAATATTTTGGGATTTAGTCACATTTTCTAAATTCTCTCAATATTACTTAATGTCTTGTTACAGCAAAAGATTGTATTTTTTCATAGACTCATCACTATTCAGATTGTATTCCTGTACAAAAAGTGCTGGATTGTTACTTGCCTGAGGTAATTCAGTGGCAGGAATAAGTTTTAGAAGGTATATTTCAGCATTAAAAGTAAGGCATAAATATGAATCAATAAAAAAAAAAACTGTAAGAATGTGGAGGGCTTTGAAAAAAATTTAAAAACATTGGCCAGATGTGTTGATGTGCTCCTGCAGTGTCAGCTACTTGGGAGGCTGAGGTGAGGGGATTACTTGAGCCCAGGAGTCTGAGGCTGCAGTCAGCCATGATCATGACACAGCACCCTAGCCTGGGTGACAGAGTGAGACCCTGACTCAGAAAAGCAAAACAACAACAACAATAACAAAAACCAAAAAAACAATGTGGATGGCTTTGAAAACCGTAATGTTTTAATTTGTTTTAATCACAGTCAGTGATGGGGAAAAGTGATCATTAATCTTGTGGTCAAAGTTTCAGTTTTTGACATAGCCATAGATGACCCCAAGTCATTAGAAAAACAGATCATACAGGTGGCGGAGCCAAGATGGCTGATAGGAACGGCTCCAGTCTACAGCTCCCAGCGTGAGCGATGCAGAATACGAATGATTTCTGCATCACCAACTGAGGTACCAGGTTCATCTCACTGGGAATTGACAGACAGTGGGTGCAGGACAGTGGGTGCAGCACACTGAGTGTGAGCTGAAGCAGGGCGAGACATCGCCTCACCTGGGAAGTGCAAGGGGTCAGGGAATTCCCTTTTCTAGCCAAGGAAAGGGGTGACAGATGGCATCTGGAAAATTGGGTCACTCCCACCCTAATACTGTGCTTTTCCAATGGTCTTAGCAAACGACACACCAGGAGATTATATCCCGTGTCTGGTTCGGAGGGTCCTACGCCCATGGAGCCTCGCTCATTGCTAGCAAAGCAGTCTGAGATCAAACTGCAAGGCTGCAGTGAGGCTGGGGGAGGGGCGCCCACCATTGCCAAGGCTTGATTAGGTAAACAAAGCCACTGGGAATCTCGAACTGGGTGGAGCCCACCAGAGCTCAAAGAGGCCTGCCTGCCTCAGTAGACTCCACCTCTGGGGGCAGGGCATCCCAAAACAAAAGGCAGCAGAAACCTCTGCAGACTTAAATGTCCCTGTCTGACAGCTTTGAAGAGAGTAGTGGTTCTCCCAGCACGCAGCTTCAGATCTGAGAACGGACAGACTGCTTCCTCAAGTGGGTCCCTGACCCCTGAGTAGCCTAACTGTGAGGCACCCCCCAGTAGGGGCAGACTGACACCTCACACAGCCGGGTACTCCTCTGAGACAAAACTTCCAGAGAAACGATCAGGCAGCAACATTTGTTGTTCAGCAATATTCACTGTTCTGCAGCCTCCGCTGCTCATAACCAGGCCAACAGGGTATGAAGTGGACATCTAGCAAATTCCAACAGACCTGCACCTAATGGTCCTGACTGTTAGAAAGAAAACTAACAAACAGAAAGGACATCCACACCAAAACCCCATCTGTACGTCACCATCATCAAAGACTAAAGGTAGGTAAAATCACAAAGATGAGGAAGAAACAGAGCAGAAAAACTGAAAATTCTAAAAATCAGAGCGCCTTTCCTCCTCTAAAGGAACGCAGCTCCTTGCCAGCAATGGAATAAAGCTGGATGGAGAATGACTGACGAGTTGAGAGAAGAAGGCTTCAGACGATCAAATTACTCTGAGCTAAAGGAGGAAGTTCGAACCCATGGCAAAGAAATTAAAAACCTTGAAAAAAGATTAGACTAATGGCTAACTAGACTAACCAATGCAGAGAAGTCCTTAAAGGACCTGATGGAGCTGAAAACCATGGCACAAGAACTATGTGATGAATGTACAAGCTTCAGTAGCTGATTTGATCAACTGGAAGAAAGGGTATTAGTGATGGAAGATCAAATGAATGAAATGAAGCGAGAAGAGAAGTTTAGAGAAAAAAGAATAAAAAGAAATGAACAAAGCCTCCAAGAAATATGGGACTATGTGAAAAGACCAAATCTATGTCTGATTGGCGCACCTGAAAGTGACGGAGAGAATGGAACCAAGTTGGAAAACACTTTTTGGGATATTACCTAGGAGAACTTCCCCAATCTAGCAAGGCAGGCCAACATTGAAATTCAGGAAATACAGAGAACACCACAAAGATACTCCTTGAGAAGAGCAACTCAAAGACACATAACTGTCAGATTCACCAAGGTTGAAATGAAGGAAAAAATGTTAAGGGCAGCCAGAGAGAAAGGTTGGGTTACCCATGAAGGGAAGCCCATTAGACGAACAGCGGATCTCTCAGCATAAATTCTACAAGCCAGAAGAGAGGGGGGGCCAATATTCAACATTCTTAAAGAAAAGAATTTTCAACCCAGAATTTCATATCCCGCCAAACTAAGCTTCATAAATGAAGGAGAAATAAAATACTTTACAGACAAGCAGATGCTGAGAGATTTTGTCACCACCAGGCCTGCCCTACAAGAGCTCCTGAAGGAAATACTAAACATGGAAAGCAACAACTGGTACCAGCCACTGCAAAAACATGCCAAATTGTAAAGAGCATCAATGCTAGGAAGAAACTGCATCAACTAATGAGCAAAATATCCGGCTAACATCATAATGACAGGATCAAATTCACACATAACAATATTAATCTTAAATGTAAAGGGGCTAAATGCTCCAATTAAAAGACACAGACTGGCAAATTGGATAAAGGGTCAAGACCCATCAGTGTGCTGTATTCAGGAAACCCATCTCACAGAGACACACATAGGCTCAAAATAAAGGGATGGAGGAAGATCTACCAAGCAAATGGAAAACAAAAAAGGCAGGGGTTGCAATCCTAGTCTCTGATAAATCAGACTTTAAACCAACAAAGATCAAAAGAGACAAAGAAGGCCATTACATAATGGTAAAGGGATCAATTCAACAAGAAGAGCTAACTATCCTAAATATATATGCACCCAATACAGGAGCACCCAGTTTCATAAAGCAAGTCCTTAGAGACTTACAAAGAGACTTAGACTTCCACACAATAAAAATGGGAGACTTTAACACTCCACTGTCAACATTAGACAGATGAACGAGACAGAAATTCAACAAGGATATCCAGGAATTGAACTCAGCTCTGCAACAAGTGGACCTAATAGACACCTACAGAACTCTCCACCCCAGATCAACAGAATATACATTCTTTTCAGCACCACACCAGACCTATTCCAAAATTGAGCACATAGTTGGAAGTAAAGCACTCCTCAGCAAATGTAAAAGAACAGAAATTATAGCAAACTGTCTCTCAGACCACAGTGCAATCAAACTAGAACTCAGGATTAAGAAACTCATTCAAAACTGCTCAACTACATGGAAACTGAACAACCTGTTCCTGAATGACTACTGGGTACATAACGAAATGAAGGCAGAAATAAAGATGTTCTTTGAAACCAACGAGAACAAAGACACAACATACCAGAATCTCTGGGACACATTTAAAGCAGTATGCAGAGGGAAATTTATAGCACTAAATGCCCACAAGAGAAAGCAGAAAAGATCTAAAATTGACACCCTAACATCACAATTAAAAGAACTAGAGAAGCAAGAGCAAATACATTGAAAAGCTAGCAGAAGGCAAGAAATACCTAAGATCAGAGCAGAACTGAAGGAGATAGAAACATAAAAAACCCTTCAAAAAATCAGTGAATCCAGGAGCTGGTTTTTTGAAAAGATCAACAAAATTGATAGACTGCTAGCAAGACTAATAAAGAAGAAAAGAGAGAAGAATCAAATAGATGCAATAAAAAATGATAAAGGGGATATCACCACTGATCCCACAGAAATACAAACTACCATCAGAGAATACTGTAAACACCTCTATGCAAATAAACTAGAAAATCTAGAAGAAATGGATAAATTCCTGGACACATACACCCTCCCAAGACTAAACAAGGAAGAAGTTGAATCTCTGAATAGACCAATAACAAGCTCTGAAATTGAGGCAATAATTAATAGCTTACCAACCAAAAAAAGTCCAGGACCAGATGGATTCATAGCCGAATTCTACCAGAGGTACAAGGAGGAGCTGGTACCATTCCTTCTGAAACTATCCCAATCAATAGAAAAAGAGGGAATCCTCCCTAACTCATGTTATGAGGCCAGCATCATCCTGATACCAAAGCCTGGCAGAGACACAACAAAAAAAGAGAATTTTAGACCAATATCCCTGATGAACATCCATGCAAAAATCCTCAATAAAATACTGGCAAACTGAATCCAGCAGCACAACAAAAAGCTCATCCACCATGATCAAGTGGGCTTCATCCCTAGGATGCAAGGCTGGTTCAACATACAGAAATCAATAAATGGAATCCAGCATATAAACAGAACCAATGACAGAAACCACATGATTATCTCAATAGATGCAGAAAAGGCCTTTGACAAAATTCAACAACGCTTCATGCTAAAAACTCTCAATAAATTAGGTATTGATGGGACGTATCTCAAAATAATAAGAGCTATCTATGACAAACCCACAGCCAATATCATACTGAATGGGCAAAAGCTGGAAGCATTCCCTTTGAAAACTGGCACAAGACAGGGATGCCCTCTCTCACCTCTCCTATTCAACATAGTGTTGGAAGTTCTGGCCAGGGCAATCAGGCAGGAGAAGGAAATAAAGGGTATTCAATTAGGAAAAGAGGAAGTCAAATTGTCCCTGTTTGCAGACGACATGATTGTATATCTAGAAAACTCCATTGTCTCAGCCCAAAATCTCCTTAAGCTGATAAGCAACTTCAGCAAAGTCTCAGGATACAAAATCAATGTGTAAAAATCACAAGCATTCTTATACACCAGTGACAGAGAGCCAAATCATGAGTGAACTCCCATTCACAATTGCTTCAAAGAGAATAAAATACCTAGGAATCCAACTTTCGAGAGACGTGAGGGACCTCTTCAAGGAGAACTACAAACCACTGCTCAAGGAAATAAAAGAGGATAAAAACAAATGGAAGAACATTCCATGCTCATGGGTTGGAAGAATCAATATCATGAAAATGGCCATACTGCCCAAGGTAATTTATAGATTCAATGCCATCTCCATCAAGCTACCAATGACTTTCTTCACAGAATTGGAAAAAACTACTTTAAAGTTCATACGGAACTAAAAAAGAGCCCACATTGCCAAGTCAATCCTAGGCCCAAAGAAGAAAGCTGGAGGCATCATGCTACCTGACTTCAAACTACACTACAAGGCTACAGTAACCAAAACAGCATGGTACTGGTACCAAAACAGAGATATAGATCAATGGAACAGAACAGAGCCCTCAGAAGTAATGCCACATATCTACAACCATCTGATCTTTGGCAAACCTGATAAAAACAAGAAATGGGGAAAGGATTCCCTATTTAATAAATGGTGCTGGGAAAACTGGCTAGCCATATGTAGAAAGCTGAAACTGGATCCCTTCCTTATACCTTATACAAAAATTAATTCAAGATGGATTAAAGACTTAAATGTTAGACCTAAAACCATAAAAACCCTAGAAGAAAACCTAGGCATTACCATTCAGGACATAGGCATGGGCAAGGACTTCATGTCTAAAACACCAAAAGCAAAGGCAACAAAAGCCAAAATTGACAAATGGGATCTAATTAAACTCAAGAGCTTCTGCACAGCAAAAGAAACTACCATCAGAGTGAACAGGCAACCTACAGAATGGGAGAAAATTTTCACAACCTACTCATCTGACAAAGGGCTACTATCCAGAATCTACAATGAACTCAAACAAATTTACAAGAAAAAAACAACCCCATCAACAAGTGGGCAAAGGATATGAACAGACACTTCTCAAAAGAAGACATTTATGTAGCCAACAGACACATGAAAAAATGCTCATCATCACTGGCCATCAGAGAAATGCAAATCAAAACCACAATGAGATACCATCTCACACCAGTTAGAATGGTGATCATTAAAAAGTCAGGAAACAACAGGTGCTGGAGAGGATGTGGAGAAATACGAACACTTTTACACTGTTGGTGGGACTGTAAACTAGTTCAACCATTGTGGAAGTCAGTGTGGCGGCTCCTCAGGGATCTAGAACTAGAAATACCATTTGACCCAGCCATCCCATTACTGGGTATATACCCAAATGACTATAAATCATGCTGCTATAAAGACACATGCACACGGATGTTTATTGCGGCACTATTCACAATAGCAAAGACTTGGAACCAACCCAAATGTCCAAGAAGGATAGACTGGATTAAGAAAATGTGGCACATATATACCATGGAATACTATGCAGCCATAAAAAATGATGAGTTCATGTCCTTTGTAGGGACATGGATGAAGCTGGAAACCATCATTCTCAGAAAACTATCGCAAGGACAAAAAAACAAAACACCGCATGTTCTCACTCATAGGTGGGAATTGAACAATGAGAACACATGGACACAGGAAGGGAAACATCACACACCGGGGCCTGTTTTGGGGTGGCAGGATGGGGGAGGCATAGCTTTAGGAGATATACCTAATGTAAACGACGAGTTTGGAAGCAACTATATCCAGACACTTGTGATTGGACAAAACAACAGCTATCTGAATATGAATATGGCAGATTGGCTGTTACTCCTGTGGGACTAGGAGCAGGAGTGCTGGGATAAGCGTGAGGCAGGTGAGGCATTTCAGATGCAAAGTATAAGTGTATGATAGGACCCCAAAACCCTCTATCTCCTTAAGTTTTGTGCCTTAGGCATCTCACTTGCCTCCCCAACTCCTAGCTCTGAAAAATAAGATTAGTTATATGAGTTAGGTGTATTGTATATGTTGAAGAATATTTGTATATAAGAGATCTAAACACTAAAATGAAAGCACAGCCTTGGAAATTGTAATTATTTTACTTTATCCTGCACTTATGTTAATTTTTTTCTCCACCATGTACAAAAAGTGCTCATGTTACACAAATTAAATATTTAAGAAATGTAAAATCATGCTGTTTTGGGAGAGTTGATGCAGAACTAATAGTAGGAAAATGACTTTATGACATGGCTGCATGATCTTTCTTATGAAGAGCTATTTTTGCTGGCATTTCTGTAATCACCACATATTGTGGTTAGACAGCAAGTTGATTTCAAATCACACTTTTATAGGTAGAAAGCGATTTTATTTGCTTTATAAGTTCTTACCATAATAGTATAAGCAAGTTGGCAGCTTAAGAAATCAATTTTGAAGTGACTGAAAATTTCTTCCTTAATGTCATACAATGTTGGGATATAAATTGATCAGGAATCTCGCCAATGTCTTTCCAATGGTCTAAGAAGAAAAAAGTAAGATATGCACTATTTAATAGTGAAGGATTGATGGAAAATCTTTGAGGAGCTTTTGAAGGTGAAAAAAAGTCTTCTTGCAAATGGCTGATTTTGTAGTCACCAACTGCACCCACAGCTATATGCCAGAGCTGTATTGGCACAAGTGACTTATATCCATAAATTTTCTTTCATCAGCACAATTACTACAATTGTCCTTGGAGTACAAAAGATGCAGGCCCAAGTTTACAGATGCTCTCAGCATTTTTCTTCCATTTTCTGATTTTCTTTATGTGCATACTTAGCCTTAAACCAAGGATTACCTACTTTTCTTTGGAGCAACAAAGATGTTTTCTATGTAAGGCTTTTTTTTTTTTTTTTTTTAAATTTTAGGCTCAGCCCAATTAAAATAGACACTTCTAACGGTACTTTCTTAAAATAAATAATAAGTTGGTAATTACCAAAGTTTTAAGGTGACTTACTTGAGTATCAGTTTGCTAATTTCATTTTCATTAAATTTGCAGACAAATATTTTCTGCTTCCTTCAAAGCCACAAACAACTATGACTACATTTAATTCAACCCAAAGCAAATTACAAATATTGTAACTACGTATAAGCAAACTGTTTCAATGTCAAAGGTTCAATACAAGGAGGAAAGCAATGTGCTGATTACAGCAATAATTCAAATTTCCAAGTATGCTTGCCATCTCTTTTCTGCAGACAGATTTCTTCCGAGTCACCGGTGGGAGCTTCCCAGGGAGATGCGGCTTTATTCCCTCATGGCAGACAGGAGGAGGATGCTGAGCGGGAGCTGATGCCACCTGGCAGCAATGGTGGCACAGACTGCTGGAGAGGCACAGATTGGAACCCAAGCCTCATCAGACGGCAGCTGTGACAGCGGCATATTTCAAAAATGTATTGCAAATTTCACACAAGGGGTCTTTAAAAAAATTTGAAAGTCTCCTTGGCTTTCACAGACTTTTAATTAAGAGAGAACTCCTCTTCTTTGAAAATCAAAACACTTTTTGCCTATTTTATGTATCTAAAGGTAGATGGGAACTTACAGCCACATTTAAAAAATTTGCAGTTGATTATGTGGTTTTCAAATTTAATAACCTACTATGAATAATTAACTCAACAAGAAGAAAAGGGCACATTGGCACCTCACAATTAAAAGAGTAAGAGTGAAATTATGCTACCTTTGAAGACTTTATTTATTTATTTATTTATTTATTTATTTATTTATTTAGATGGAGTTTCACTCTTGTTGCCCAGGCTGGAGTGCAGTGGCACGACCTCGGCTCACTGCAACCTCCGTCTCCCTAGTTCAAGCGATTCTCCTGCCTCAGCCTCTCAAGTAACTGGGATTACAGGCATGCACCACCACACCCAACTAATTTTGTATTTTTTAGGAGAGATGGGGTGTCACCATGTTGGTTAACTGGTCTCAAACTCCTGACCTCAGGGTGATCCACCTGCCTTGGCTTCCCCACGTGATAGGATTACAGGCGTGAGCCACTGCACCCGGCCTGAAGACATTCTGTATTCGAATGTTCAGCCTCTACTTGCCATGTTAGCAAATGAAAGGGTAGTGATCATGGAAGAAGTTTATCTTTTGGGATCTCACATGCAAACTTGAGAACTTCTTTCTTGCTAACTGCAGAAGAAAAGGTCCAGGTTCTATTTCCTTAGTTAGCCTCTTTCAGAGAGGGTTTCTGGATCCAGATTAAGCCACAATTGAGAAGGATCAATGCATATAGCTCTTCAGACCATAGAATCACAGATGAGAGCAGAAACTAAGAAGCATCCATCTCTATTTCTCTCTGCCTCTGTGTAAATATCTCCGAAAGAGGAACATCAATCATGGGCTCTGAAGCTTACTAGAGATAAGAATATCTACCTCATTTGCTCTAGTGACTTTGTTCTTGGTGGGTCCAGGTTGTGTGGAACCTGAAGTTTTCACAATTATGGGGTTCTTTTTTAAGCAAAATACTACAGAATTACCAATAAGAAATCAAGTTCAGGGATTTAAGATTCTAGAGCTGGCCGGGCGCGGTGGCTCACGCCTGTAATCCCAGCACTTTGGGAGGCCGAGGCGGGCGGATCACGAGGTCAGGAGATCGAGACCATCCCGGCTAAAACGGTGAAACCCCGTCTCTACTAAAAATACAAAAAATTAGCCGGGCGTAGTGGCGGGCGCCTGTAGTCCCAGCTACTTGGGAGGCTGAGGCAGGAGAATGGCGTGAACCCGGGAGGCGGAGCTTGCAGTGAGCCGAGATCCCGCCACTGCACTCCAGCCTGGGCGACAGAGCGAGACTCCGTCTCAAAAAAAAAAAAAAAAAAAAAAAAAAAAAAAAAAAAAAAAAAGATTCTAGAGCTAAGCTTCATTAGCTTCGTGGTGAGTCCACCTCAGGGTCTTATACATCCGTGCAAGTTCCACTTCTGACAGGTAGTGCAGTGGGCCAGGTTCAGTCTCCACATGAAGAGTGTGGAGAGGGTTTTGTCTGCGTAAGATTCCTATGGGTTTCAGAAGGACAATATGGCTTCTTCACCACAGAAATCTAAACCCCATGAAGTCAACTTTTAGGGATGTGTAGAGTAGCTGGTAAAATATGAATGACTAGACTTTTATTTCTTTCCATACAGTCTGCACAAAATGCTGTTTTGAACAGTCAGTAAAGCCAAAGAAATGGATCATTTTGAAAGGCCATTTGACCCTTTTTTTTTAATCAGTTATATGACCGCATATTTTATCCCTTTCTCATGTACTTACCAGCCCTTCCAACCTGAAAGGGTGATTCTCAATTTTAGCTATAAGGCTGTGAATTCAGTTTGAAGCAGATGGTTAAGCTTGATCATTACAGGTTGACAGTATATCTACAATTGACTTCAATGGCCTTTGTAAAAGAGTGCCATCTCCACACAGAAACTACAGGAGCCCAGCATCACATGAGGGAGTCATCTCCCAGTGAGTGATGATAAGTCTGTTCAGGGCACGACACACTCAAATGCTATCTTAATCCATTCAAAATCACTGTATCTAATTTAAAAAAAAATTTATTTTTATTTTTAGCTAGCCTTGACTCCTAGTTCAAGGTGATGGAAATATTTCCCAAAATTGGTAGATATAAAGTATATTAAACTTCAGTCAGGATGGGGTCAGTACCAGGGCATTATGTATAGGAAGAAAGAGTTCTTTCTATTCACCACATTTAATCGGTTCCCTTGATGCCTCAGTGGAATTTGACAGGTCTGTGTTTTCAATTCTTTCTTCCACACTTCCTGCCTCTTTGCTTTCTCTTAGGGAGCTCTTTACACAAATCTCTCTTCATCTTTTGCTCTCAGTTTAAAAATAACTATTCAATAAAATGTGTGTACACATTCTTTTTCTTTAGTATATATATTTAAAAGAGTAAAAACCCCACAAGAATTATATCATTGCTCTGAACATTATTCACTAAGTACTATATTTTAATGCTTTACGGTAGAGATGAGCGATATCAGTTGGCCCAATTCAAAAACGGGATCAGGGCCATAGGATGTTAAGAGAAATTAAATTGGCATTCATAATTTACAGAATGCTGTCAGAAATAAATTCTGGCTAATCTTGGAAGCTGGCCAATGTTGAGAATCCAGCAATCTACTGATACTTACCAGTCCTGGAACAGTACAGAAACGAAGCTGTACTTCACCAAAATTCATGATTGGACTTAAAGGCCAGGAAGACAAAAGAAGGACAAGGTCGCTTTAAATCTATAGACTCCCTCTTACCTCACAGAATTGTTATGAGAATTAATTGAGATTATCTACATGACTACTTTTATAGATGATAAATCCTTGTTTAAAATTTTAGACATTATTTTTGCCTGAGGCTGAGACATATTCAAAGGGCTACAGGAGAAGGTGAGGGGAAGAACTGTCCTTAAACTTGAATCCCATTGTAATATTGATGTATTAAAATAAAAGTTGACTTGCCTGTGGGCAGGATCAATTAGAAAACTTCTGCCGTGGTGGATTTTCTTTTTTTTCGAGATGGAGTCTTGCTCTGTCACCCAGGCTGGACTGCAATGGTACTATCTTGGATCATTACAATCTCTGCCTCCTGGGTTCAAGTTATTCTCCCCCTTAAGTCTCCCAAGTAGCTGGGATTACAGGCACCCACCACCATGCCCAGCTAATTTTTGTATTTTTGTAGAGATGGGGTTTTACCACATTGGCCAGGCTGGTCTTGAACTCCTAACCTCAGGTGACTTACCCACCTCGGCCTCCCAAAGTGCTGGGATTACAGGTGTGAGCCACTGTGCCCAGCCTTGCTGTGGTGGGTTTTAATGTTGAATAAGATGCAGGGTGAATTAAGCAGTGAGTTTTACAATCTGCTTTGGTGTGGATCTCACATATGAATTTCACATGATGAATTCCTTGATCCAAATAGACATTAAGGGCTTACAGCATGTATTATACTAGCACAGGGATAAGCATATAGCAGGGACACAGATGTATTTGCTTTTTTTAATTTAAAAAAAAATTTTTTTTTTTTTGAGTTGGGGTTTCACTCTTGTTGCCCAGGCTGGAGTGCAATGGCATGATTTGGGCTTGTTGTAATCTCTGGCTCCCAGGTTCAAGTGATTCTCCTGTCTCAGCCTCCCGAGTAGCTGGGATTATAGGGGCCCGCCAACACGACCAGCTAATTTTTTGTATTTTTTTTAGTAGAGATGGGGTTTCACCATGTTGGCTAGGCTCATCTTGAACTCCTGACCTCAGGTGATCTGCCCGAGTTGGCCTCCCAAAGTGCTGGGATTACAGGCATGAGCCATCACACACAGCCAGATGTGTTTGTTAAGCAAATGAATACATATGTGTAGTCCTTCTTGTCCTACTGTCTAATAGGAAGTACTCCAAGAGAAATCCAAACAATTAGAACTAAAGGAAATAATTTACCTTAAAGGCAGATTTTTCCCCAATGAGAGACTGCAGTACAATACTTAGCTTGGTTGAGGTAAGGGACATAGAAAGGGCTTTTGATGTCATCTATCATCCATTCACTCAATAAATACTGAACAACTGTCATATCCCAGACTCTAAGCTATATTCGGGAAATACAAAGATGAATGAGGCATGATTCCTATCTTTTGTTACCCACTTGCCTGTTTTTGCTGCAACCATTGCTACCACTGTGAGGAAGGCAGTCGGAAAGGAACATGCAAATTACTATGAGCGCACAGAGAAAGCAGGTGCCTCGAGCGGTGCCAGACCCTATTGGGGCTTTTAACTAAAGTCTTATGCAATGGACACTTTCAACAGGGTAGATAATTAAAGGTATCAGGTATGATGGAGGGCTTGACATCAGATGTGGGCCTAATTGTAAAGAGAAAACATGTTTATGTTACACACATATATGTACACACACACACACAGACACTATGTGAGAAATGATGGGGCACAAACAAAGACAGAGAGATTAACCATTTCAGATTCATTTTCTGCCTTTCCATCTATGGGTAGACAGCAGGGCTAGAGAGTGATGCTCTACACTTTCCGACTATGTGCAGGCATATCTCATTAAAGGATCTTAAATTCTACTTAGCATCTGTGAAAGAAAAAATTATTCCATAATGTTTGTTAAAGCATGGTAACAAAGACTTTATTCAGGATCATCAAGATAAGCACAGGGATTACTGCAACCAGGTCTTGAAGTGGGAGAGAGGGATTGGGCTCAACTCCAAATACAGAATGGGCAAGTGGGAATTTATAGCTAAGGAGCAATTGAAGGTGTTAGGCCTCTGAGCCCAAGCTAAGGCATCGCATCCCCTGTGACCTGCACATATACACCCAGATGGCCTGAAGTAACTGAAGCATCACAAAAGAAGTGAAAATGGCCTGTTCCTGCCTTAACTGATGACATTCCACCACAGAAGAAGTGAAAATGGCTGGTCCTTGCCTTAAGTGATGACATTACCTTGTGAAATTCCTTTTCCTGGTTCATCCTGGCTCAAAAAAGCTCCCCCACTGAGCACCTTGTGATCCCCACTCCTGCCCACCAGAGAACAACCCCACTTTGACTGTAATTTTCCTTTACCTACCCAAATCTTATAAAATGGCCCCACCCCTATCTCCCTTCACTGACTCTCTTTTCAGACTCAGCCCGCCTGCACCCAGGTGATTAAAAAGCTTTATTCCTCACACAAAGCCTGTTTGGTGGTCTCTTCACACGAACGCGAGTAAAATTTGGTGCCGTGACTCGGATTGGGGGACCTCCCCTGGGAGATCAATCCCCTGTCCTCCTGCTCTTTGCTCCGTGAGAAAGATCCACCTACGACCTCAGGTCCTCAGACCAACCTGCCCAAGGAACATCTCACCAATTTTAAATCTGGTAAGCAGCCTCTTTTTACTCTCTTCTCCAACCTCTCTCACTATCCCTCAACCTCTTTCTCCTTTCAGTCTTGGCACCACACTTCAATCTCTCCCTTCTCTTAATTTCAGTTCCTTTCCTTTTCTGGTAGAGACAAAGGAGACGTGTTTTATCCGCGGACCCAAAACTCCGGCGCCGGTCATGGACTTGGGAAGGCAGCCTTACCTTGGTGTTTAATCATTGCAGGGATGCCTGCCTGATTATTCACCCACGTTTCAGAGGTGTCTGACCATGCAGGGACGCCTGCCTTGGTCCTTCACCCTTAGTGGCAACTACCGCTTTTCTGGAGGGCAAGAACCCCCGACCCCTTCTTTCCATGTCTCTACTCTCTCTTTTCTCTGGGCTTGCCTCCTTCACTATGGGCAGCCTTCCACCTCCATTCCTCCTTCTTCTCCCTTAGCCTGTGTTCTCAAGAACTTAAAACCTCTTCAACTCACAGCTGACCTAAAACCTAAACACCTTATTTTCTTCTATAATGCCGCTTCACCCCAGTACAAACTTGACAGTGGTTCCAAATAGCCAGAAAACTGCACTTCTGATTTTTCCATCCTACAAGATCTAGATAATTGTTGTCATAAAATAGGCAAACGGTCTGAGGTGCCTGACATCCAGGCATTCTTTTACACATTGTTCCCTCCTTACTCTCTGTTCCCAATGCGACTTGTCCCAGATCCTCCTTCTTTCCCTCCCGCCTGTCCTCTCAGTCCCAACCCCAAGTGTCGCTGAGTCTTTCTAATCTTCCTTTTCTATATACCCATCTGACCTCTCCCCTCCTCCCCAGGCTGCTCCTCGCCAGGTCCCAATTCTTCCTCAGCCTCTGCTCCCCCACCCTATAATCCTTTTATCACCTCCCCTCCTCACACCCAGTCTGGCTTACAATTTCGTTCCGTGACTAGCCCTCCCCCACCTGCCCAGCAATTTCCTCTTAAAAAGGTGGCTGGAGCTAAAGGCATAGTCAAGGTTAATGCTCCTTTTTCTTTATCCAACCTCTCCCAAATCAGTTAGTGTTTAGGCTCTTTCAACAAATATGAAAAACCCAGCCCAGTTCATTGCTCGTTCGGCAGCAACCCTGAGACGCTTTACAGCCCTAGACCCTGAAAGGTCAGAAGGCCATCTTATTCTCAATATGCATTTTATTTTATTACCCAATCTGCTCCCAACATTAAATAAAGCTCCAAAAATTAAATTCCAGCCCTCAAACCCCACAACAGGACTTAATTAACCTCACCTTCAAGGTGTACAATAATAAAGTAGAGGCAGCCAAGTAGCAATGTATTTCTGAGTTGCAATTCCTTGCCTCCACTGTGAGACAAACCCCAGCCATATCTCCAGCACACAAGAACTCCAAATGCCTGAACCATAGCTGCCAGGGGTTCCTCCAGAACCTCCTCCCCCAGGAGCTTGCTACAAGTGCTGGAAATCTGGCCACTGGGCCAAGGAATGCCCACAGACCAGGATTCCTCCTAAGCCATGTCCCATCTGTGCAGGACCCCATTGAAAATCGGACTGTTCAACTCACCTGGCAGCCACTCCCGGGGTCCCTGGAATTCTGGCCCAAGGCTCTCTGACTCCTTCCCAGATTTTCTTGGCTTAGCGGCTGAAGACTGACACTGCCCGATCGCCTTGGAAGCCCCTAGACCATCACGGGCGCCAAGCTTCAGGTAACTCTCACAGTGGAGGGTAAGTCCATCCATCCTCTTCTTAATCAATACAGAGGCTACCCACTCCACATTACCTTCTTTTCAAAGGCCTGTTTCCCTTGCCTCCATAACTGTTGTGGGTATTGACGGCCGGGCTTCTGAACTTCTTAAAACTCCCCAACTCTGGTGCCAACTTAGACAATAATCTTTCAGCACTCCTTTTAGTTATCCCCACCTGCCCAGTTCCCTTATTAGGCTGAGATATTTTAACTAAATTATCTGCTTCCCTGACTATTCTTGGGCTACAGCCACATCTCACTGCCGCCCTTCTTCCCAACCCAAAGCCTCCCTTGCGTCTTCCTCTCGTATCCCCCCCTCCTTAACCCACAAGTATAGGACATCTCTACTCCCTCCCTGGCAACCAATCACATGCCCATTACCATCCCATTAAAACCTAATCACCCTTACCCCGCTCAATGCCAATATCCCATCCTACAGCATGCTTTAAAAGGATTAAAGCCTGTTATCACTCGCCTGCTACAGCATAGCCTTTTAAAGCCTGTAAACTCCCCTTGCAGTTACCCCATTTCACCTGTCCTAAAACCAGACAAAGCTTACAGGTTAGTTCAGAATCTGCGTCTTATCAACCAAATTGTTTTGCCTATCCACCCTGTGGTGCCAAACCCATATATTCTCCTATCCTCAATACCTCCCTCCATAATCCATTATTCTGTTCTGGATCTCAAACATGCTTTCTTTACTATTCCTTTGCACCCTTCATTCCAGCCTCTCTTTGCTTTCACTTGGACTGACCCGACAGCCATCAGGCTCAGCAAATTACCTAGGCTGTACTGCTGCAAAGCTTCACAGACAGCCCCCATTACTTCAGTCAAGCCCAAATTTCTTCCTCATCTGTTACCTATCTCAGCATAATTATCATAAAAACACATGTGCTCTCTCTGCTGATCATGTCCGGCTAATCTCCCAAACCCCAATCCCTTCTACAAAACAACAACTCCTTTCCTTCCTAGGCATGGTTAGTGTGGTCAGAATTCTTACACAACAGCCAGAACCGCGCCCTATAGCTTTCTGTCCAAACAACTTGACCTTACTATTTCAGCCTAGCCCTCATGTCTGTGTGCAGCCGCTGCTGCTGCCTTAATACTTTTAGAGGCCCTCAAAATCACAAACTATGCTCAACTCACTCTCTACAGTTCTCATAACTTCCAAAATCTATTTTCTTCCTCATACCTGGTGCATATACTTTCTGCTTCCCAGCTCCTTCAGCTGTACTCACTCTTTGTTGAGTCTCCCACAGTTACCATTGTTCCTGGCCCGGACTTCAATCCGGCCTCCCACACCTGACCCTCATGACTGTATCTCTCTGATCCACCTGACATTCACTCCATTTCCCCATATTTCCTTCTTCCCTGTTCCTCACCCTGATCATATTTGGTTTATTGATGGCAGTTCCACCAGGCCTAATCACCACACACCAGCAAAGGCAGGCTATGCTATAGTACAAGCCACTACCCGCCTCTTAGAACCTCTCATTTCCTTTCCACTGTGGAAATCTATCCTCAAAGAAATCACTTCTCAATGATCGATCTGCTATTCTACTACCCCTCAGGGATTGTTCAGGCCCCGTCCCTTTCCTACACATCAATCTCAGGGATTTGCCCCCACCCAGGACTGGCAAATTGACTATACTCACATGCCCCAAGTCAGAAAACTAAAATACCTCTTAGTCTGGGTTGACACTTTCACTGGATGGGTAGAGGCCTTTCCCACAGGGTCTGAGAAAGCCACCGCAGTCATTTCTTCCCTTCTGTCAGACAGACATAATTCCTCGGTTTGGCCTTCCCACCTCTATACAGTCTGATAATGGATCGGCCTTTACTAGTCAAATCACCCAAGCAGTTTCTCAGGCTCTTGGTATTCAGTGGAACCTTCATATCCCTTACCGTCCTCCATCTTCAGGAAAGGTAGAACAGACTAATGTTGTTTTAAAGACACACCTCACCAAGCTCAGCCTCCAACTTCAAAAGGATTAGGCAGTACTTTTACCTCTTGCCCTTCTTAGAATTAGAGCCTGTCCTCGAGATGCTACAGGGTACGGTCCATTTGAACATTTATATGGATGCACTTTCTTGCTCAGCCCCAACCTCATCCCAGACACCAGCCCTCTAGGCAACTATCTTCCAGTCCTCCAGGAGGCTAGACAGGAAATTCACCAGGCTGCTAATCTCTTGCCTACTCCAGATTCCCAGCAATATGAAGACACCCTAGCTGGACGATCAGTTCTTGTTAAGAATCTGACCCCTCAAACTCTACTACCTCGAAGGACCGGACCCTACTTAGTCATCTGTAGTACCCCAACTGCCGTCTGCCTGCAGGATCCTCCCCACTGGGTTTACCATTCCAGAATAAAGCTGTGTCCATCGGACAGCCAGCCTAATCCCTCCTCTTCCTCCTGGAAGTCGCAAGCACTCTCCCCTACTTCCCTTAAACTCACTCGTATTTCTGAAGAACAGTAGTAACCCTTATGAGCCTAACACATCCCTTCATTCTATTAGGTCTGTTCATCCTTACCCTACTTTTTGCAACAGGGCTTTACAAAGTCACCCCCACTACTAGGACCGAGCCCCAAAAACTAGTCATCCCTACTATCTTCTGTCTAGTCATACTCCTATTCTCCATTCTTAACTACTTATAAATGCCCTACTCTTGTTTACACTGCTGGTTTACACTGTTTCTTCAAGCCATCACAGCTGATATTTCTTAGTGCTATCCCCAAAACACCACTCTTAACTCTCTCTTAGAGCAGATAGATGATCTTTGCTGGCAGGGGACTCTCCAATACTTTCACCCTGATGAAGTTCTATTCTTTACTTTTATACTGACTCTTTTCGTCATTCCCATTCTTATGCCACCCTCTACCTCTCCCCAGCTCTCTCCACCACACTATCAACCTTACCCATTCTCTCCTAGCTGTTTCTAATCCCTCCTCATCGAACAACTGCTAGCTTTGCATTTCCCTTTCTTCCAGCGTCTACACAGCTGTCCCCGCCTTACATGCAGACTGGGCAACATCTCCTGTCTCCTTACACCTCCGAACTTCCTTTAACAGCCCTCACCTTTACCCTCCTGAAGAACTCATTTACTTTCTAGACAGGTGCAGCAAGACCTCCCCAGACATTTCACATCAGCAAGCTGCTGACCTCCTCCACACTTACTTAAAAAACCTTTCTCCTTATATCAACTCTACTCCCCCTATATTTGGACCTCTCACAACACAAACTACTATTCCTATGGCCGCTCCTTTATGTGTCTCTCGGCAAAGACACACTGGAATTCCCCTAGGTAACCTTTCACCTTCTTGATGTTCCTTTACTCTTCATCTCCAGAGCCCAACTACACACATCACTAAAACTGTTGGAGCCTTCCAGCTCCATATTACAGACAAGCCCTCTATCAATACTGGCAAACTTAAAAACATTAGCAGTAATTATTGCTTAGGAAGACACTTACCCTGTATTTCACTCCATCCTTAGCTACCTTCCGCTTGCTCGTCAGACTCTCCTCCCAGGCCCTCTTCTTGTTTACTTATACCCAGCCCCAAAAATAACAGTGAAAGGTTGCTCGTAGATACTCAACATTTTCTCATACACCATGAAAATCAAACCTTCCCCTCTATGCAGTTACCCCATCAGTCCCCATTACAACCTCTGACGGCTGCCGCCCTAGCTGGATCCCTAGGAGTCTGGGTACAAGACATCCCTTTCAGCACTCCTTCTCATCTTTTTACTTTGCAACTCCAGTTTTGCCTCGCACAAGGTCTCTTCTTCCTCTGTGGATCCTCTACCTACATGTGTCTACCTGTTGATTGGACAGGCACATGCACACTAGTTTTCCTTGCTCCCAAAATTCAATTTGCAAATGGGACCGAAGAGCTCCCTGTTCCCCTCATGACACTGACATGACAAAAAAGAGTTATTCCATTAATTCCCTTGCTTGTCGGTTTAGGACTTTCTGCCTCCACTATTGCTCTCAGTACTGGAATAGCAGGCATTTCAACCTCTGTCATGACCTTCTGTAGCCTCTCTAATGACTTCTCTGCTAGCATCACAGACATATCGCAAACTTTATCAGTCCCTACAGGCCCAAGTTGACTCTTTAGCTACAGTTGTCCTCCAAAACCGCTGAGGCCTTGATTTACTCACTGCTGAAAAAGGAGGACTCTGTATATTCTTAAATGAAGAGTGTTGTTTTTACCTAAATCAATCCAGCCTGGTGTATGACAACATAAAAAAACTCAAGGATAGAGCCCAAAAACTTGCCAACCAAGCAAGTAATTACACTGAACCTCATTGGGCACTCTGTAATTGGATGTCCTGGGTCCTCCCAATTCTTAGTCCTTTAATACCTATTTTTCTCCTTTTATTCAGACCTTGTATCTTCTGTTTAGTTTCTCAATTCATCCAAAACCGTATCCGGGGCATCACCAATCATTCTATACGACAAATGTTTCTTCTAACAACCCCACAATATCACCCCTTACCACAAAATCTTCCTTCAGCTTAATCTCTCCCACTCTAGGTTCCCACGGCGCCCCTAATCCTGCTCGAAGCAGCCCTGAGAAACACCGCCCATTATCTCTCCATGCCACCCCCTCAAAAAAAATTTCTTTCTGCTGCCCCAACACTTCAATACTATTTTATGTTATTTTTCTTATTAATATAAGAAGGCAGGAATGTCAGGCCTCTGAGCCCAAGCTAAGCCATCGCATCCCCTGTGACCTGCATGTGTATGCCCAGATGGCGTGAAGTAACTGAAGAATCACAAAAGAAGTGAAAATGGCCTGTTCCTGCCTTAACTGACATTCCACCACAAAAGAAATGAAAATGGCTGGTCCTTGCCTTAAGTGATGACATTACCTTGTGAAATTCCTTTTCCTGGCTCATCCTGGCTCAAAAAAGCTCCCCCACTGAGTACCTTGTGACCCCCCACTCCTGCCCACCAGAGAACAACCCCACTTTGACTGTAATTTTCCTTTACCTACCCAAATCTTATAAAATGGCCCCACCCCATCTCCCTTCACTGACTCTCTTTTCGGACTCAGCCTGCATGCAGCCAGGTGATTAAAAAGCTTTATTGCTCACACAAAGCCTATTTGGTGGTCTCTTCATGCGAACGCGAGTGAAAGAAGGGTCAGTGGATGGAAAATTACTAGTAGGAAACAACAGAGCTAAGGAAGATTCTGGCTAAACTGATCCAACAGGATCCTTGTTGAAGACGGGCCAGGCCAATCAGATATTTCATGGGGGATGGTAGAGGATGAGGAACCCAATCAAATATGAGAGTGATAAGATATTGAGAGTGAGAGTGGGAGTGGGAGGGTTTCTTATTAAATTGACCTAGTAGAGATTGCTAAAACTAGATTTTATTAGGAAGTATACAGACGGGCCTAGAAGAATATTCAGAGCCTAAGTTTGGCCAAGCAAAGAATGTTTGTCATATTCTTGTCTACATCTAAATGAGCATGTAAAGTCTCATATGTGGTAGGCATTTCATTGTTTATACCACACACCTTCATTCTGTTCCATGGACTCGGCAGTCTTGAAACTGTATTGAGCAAGTTAGGGGTCTGTGTGTGTGTGTGTGTGTATATATATATATATATATATATATAGATTGGGATTATTTTTTAAACCACAGATAGTGAATCATTGGGTCTTGAAATCAACTTAGTGGATCAAACCCAGAAATTTAAAATTCAAATAAAATAAACTGGAAAAATTTGGAGTACCGTGCGTATTGTAAGTATAATCATTATTTTTGGGTAAAACTTTGGTCTTGGTTTTATGATTATTTGTGTGTGTGTGTGTGTGTGTTTACAGTGTTTGTTACTGAATAGCATGAAGTATTTCTTACTGTGTCAAGGTAAAAACAAATTGAAAGCCCTTGGTGTCAATTCTCCTGATAAAGTCTCAGAACAGGTCTCAGGCTTGGCTTTGACTGGTGTCTGGCTTCATGGTCTGGCAATGACAAAGGCATGCCACAATTGCTGCTGCAGGCTGTGAGCTAAGTGTTATATGATAGAAAACCTGAGCTGAAAGTCATGTGTCTGGGGCACTATGCAGCCATTCTAATCACAACACTGAGAGCCCTTGAGAGTTAGCTTTGATATTCTAGAATTTTTCAAGGAGAGTAGGGTTGCTGTCTTAGCCCATTTGTACTGATATGACAACAGAATGTCACAGACTGTATAATTTATAATAACCAGAAATTTATTTGTTTACAGTTCTGGAGGCTGGGATGTCCAATATCAAGGTGCTGGTATCTGGCAAGGGCCTTCTTGCTACATCATAACATTGCAGAAATCATCACATGGCAGAAGGGAAAAGAGGGTGATAGAGAGCAAGAGGGGTTGAAGGGATTCCTGAAGTAACGACATTACTTCATTCATGAGGGTGGAACTCTCATGATCTAAGCGCCTCTTAAAGTGCCCACCTCCCAATACTGTTGCAATGGCAATTAAATTTCAACATGAATTTTTGGAGAAAACAAGCATTCAAACCATAGCAGTGGCCTTGGCTTTTGAGAATTATATTTTAATCAGGGACTGACATGTGTGCATAGTAATGCATTGGTACTTTTGTTCAGTTTCTTCTTTGCCATGCTGTGATGAGGCAGGTTGGTTCTGAAGCCTGGCTCCCAGCTGCACTGGAAGCCCTCTGGAGTCACTCAGTGGCAAAACCCTGCAGGAGTCACATTTTCCATTTGGCTCATGCTCCCTGTCCCAGTCAGTCCCAGATTATGTGTCCTTGGGTTAATGAATTGGACTAGAGTTATCCCCTTAGTGGGTGAGTTGAAGTGGAGCCAAATGGGACAATGATGTACTCCATCCACGAATGTTCATGAGTTCAGACTCAGGCACCTACCTATTTATGTGTAAAGACCTAGGTTTAATGGGAGGACCAAACCAAAAAATGTTCTTTATTCTCTAGCTTAGCAGTTACCACTTCGTGTTTCTTTTTTTTTTCTTTTTCTTTTTCTTTTTTTGGGTGCAGGCTGTGGGGGTGGTGGGGGGTGGGGGAAGTTCTTACTCTTGTAGCCCAGGCTGGAGTGCACTGTCATGATCACAGCTCACTGCAGCCTTGACTTTCTGAGCTCAGGTGATTTTTCCCACATCAGCCTCCTGGGTAGCTGGGACCACAAATGCACACCACCACACCTAGTTAATTTTTTTGGTATGTTTTTAGTAGAGACAGTGTTTCACCAGGTTTCCCAGGCTGCCCTGTGTGTTTCTTTGATTTTTTTTTTTGTTAGAAACTATGATGAATGATTTTATCCTAGTATATGTGATGGAATGGATAGCACAAAGGTGAAAGAAAGAAGATAACATAAGTTCCCCACCTCCCTCCCAACAATTTTTGCCCTTAGGAAGGTAGAATCCTTTAATACAGGCACCCATCGCACATTCCTTTGAGTAACTGATAATTCCAGAGACATTAAGAGGCTCTCAGAGTCTCTCATTATTATGCTTTACTGTACTATGTCATGTAAGCACTTCAAACCTACTTTTAGAAAATAGATTTGATAGATCTAAAAAAGACTTCTTTCTCCTACTCAGACTGTTCCAAGGCACCCCAATAGTGCATTGAATTACTAAATTACTCAAAAGTGCTGAGCTTAGTGGGGGTAGATTCAAATGTGAGGTCTCTGTAAAAATTATGGAAATATGAGACTCTAATAGTTAGAAATAGAATACTTTGTGAGTGCTTCATGTAGGAGAGTTTCCTTTTATATCTGTGAATGCAGTTCATGTGTTTTGGTGAACTGGATCTGGCCTTGTAACTGTCCTCTTTCAGGTTGTTCCTTTCTGAAGGCAACACCTTGGTCTTATTTGACTTTATAATCCCAGTACAATTATTGATACTAAATAATTGTTTGGTGAATAAATGTTACATCCACTCCAAGAGAAAAAAAATTTTGATTAGTCAATATATGTTAAGACAAAAAGTATAACCCTCATAAGCCTCCATGTAATTAAAAGTTTAACAATCTCTCCACTTGAGTATCTTTCCTTTGGGTAAAATATAATTAATATTATTATCATAATAATATCTGAGATAATGAGTATCTCAGTGCATTGTTGGGATGTGATTTGTTCTCTTTTTTTAATTTGTAAAAGAATACAGCTTTTCAAGATGTAACAAATGATATAGAGAAAGAAAAAAAAATCTACCCAAAGAAGCAAAGCTTTAACTTCTTAGTAATTTGTGTATATGTATGTGTTTGTGTGTGTATTTGTGTATGCGTGTGCATAGGAAAGGGTAAGGAAAAAAATTCAACAAATGGCTGAAAAGAGAGATAAATAAGGAGACAGACAATGTCTCATTTACATCAAGCTGTGAGACCAGATATTTTTTATTTATTCCTTGGAATGAGAGTACAGGTCTTGTTTATTTACATTTGTTCTCAGTTTGAAAGACAGCCCAAGAGGTAAAATAAAATGAGAGTGCCTCAAATGCCTTCTAAATTTCCCCTTAAATTGAATTTCTTGTTTTATCAAGGAACAATACTTGCACTGATGTTAGGCAGACAGCTAAAAGGTCAACAAGTTCCCTTGGTTGCCTTTTGTCAAGGGTTTTTGACTTGTCTGTGAATAAAGATCTCCCAGGAGGAAGGCAGACCTGAATTTCCTGTCATCTAGAAGACAGCAATGAATTTGAAAATGTTACAAAAAGCATAAGGGACTTCAGGCACACCTTCAGACCCACTGCAGTGCCAATCGCTGCCCATGTAAACATGTACACAGAAATGTTTTGGATTTGTTCTGTCAACTTTTGGTTGTGAAACAAATTGTTCAACAGCAGCCCACCTTGAATACCGAATGAATCCGAGAGGTTTTTTTGTTGTTGTTGTTACTGCCTCATGCCTAATCAGAAGACACCATGTTCTCTGCTCACTCACGGTGTAAGAACATGCTCTGTGAGGGGGAGCTGAGGGCTACAGGACTGGCGGAACTCCATTTTCCTTATCACATTTCTGTTACTTGACCCTCTGCAGATCTTCTTCATGTATTTTTCAGTGTCTGAGATTTCTGTAGGCAAGTTAGCAGGTAAGTCTTCACTACCAACATCTAGACATAAATAAATAGGTCTCTCCTGATAAGTGTTAGTCATTTTTTGAGATAAATTGTTTTTCTCCAAAACAGACCCAACAAAAAATACTTACCCCCTAAATTTTTTAATGAACATTTGTTCTTAGAAAAGGGGAGATTTTTGTCACTCTTTTTTAAGCTGGGAATTTATTGTTTTCTGCCCTGAGCCCCATTTTGGTAACTGGAAACACTCTCCAGGATAGGAGAGTAGAGTGGCAGCACATTTTCCTTCAGGCCAAGCTTGTCCAATCCCTGGCCCATGGGCTGCATGTGGCCCAGGATCACTTTGAAGTGGTTCAACACAAGTTTGTAAATTTTCTTTCTTTCTTTTTTATTTTGAGACAGAGTTTTACTTTGTTGCCCAGGCTGGAGTGCAGTGGTGAGATCTAGGCTCCTTGCAACCTGTGCTTCCTGTGTTCAAGCAATTCTCCTGTCTCAGCCTCCCAAGTAGCTGGGATTACAGGCACACACCACCACACCCGGCTAATTTTTGTATTTTTAGTAGAGACGGGGTTTCACCATGTTGGCCGGGCTGGTCTTGAACTCCTGACCTCAAGTGATCCATCCACCTCGGCCTCCCAAAGTCCTGTGATTACAGGCATGAGCCACCGTGCCCGGCCTGTAAACTTTCTTAAAACATTATAAGATCTATCATTAGTGTTAGTGTATGTTATGTGTGGCCCAAGACAATTCTTCTTCCAGTGTGGCCCAGGGAAGCCAAAAGATTGGACAATCCTGCTTTAGGCTATCAAGAAAGCACATGGCTCATTCCCTGAAATGTTTTCAGTATAACTGCAAGTGGAGTAAAGAGAATTTTAATTTCGTATGTCAAATGTCACTGAGCAAAATATACGCATTCACACAATTTGCCAAACATTTATTGAGTGCCTTTGTTACTGGAAAGGGGTCTTGTCCCAGACACCACAAGTGGGTTTTTAGATCATGCACAGGAAATAATTCAGGGTGAGTCACAGACTATTGTAAAGTTAAAATAGTTTATTAGAAACTACTGGGTAGGGTGTCTTCAGAAAGCAAGAGGAGGAACGCTCCTACCTCAAACTTAATGCTTGTTTATTACATAGTGTATTAGGGCTAAGCATAGTATACTTTATCATAAAGGCTTGTGATCAGCTTGTGACAGACTATTAGTATTATTATTCTTTTGTGTAATTATTAATTTCAGCAAGAATTTATGTGTGTACTGTTATCTTTAAAGTGAAACCTGCTTTCAAACTAAGAATGTCTTTTTCTGTTAACTTGTTCCCTCAACCATAAACATCTTGTGATCAAGAATGCCTAGCGTCCTGGGAATGTAACCCAGCAGGTCGAACCTTATCCAGTTCCAATGCCTTTGACACCTTCTTGTAAAATAAGTTGAACTGATGTTGTAGAGAATAAAAGTAAAAACAATGGCAACTAGTATAATTTGAGTTGCTAAGAACTTTGTATACAGTCTCTTTTAATTCTCAGAAAAAAATAAAAAGAATTTTCTATGAGGAAATTGAAGCTTAGAAAGATTGCTTACATATTCCATGGTCATGTAGGTAGAAAGCAACAGAGCTATGATTTGAATCTAGGACTTTCTAAATAAAAACCCTGTATGAATTAGTTAAGGTTCTTATTACAAAAAAAGATTTCGTATTTATTTAATTTTATTTTATTTTGTTTAGACAAAGTCTCACTGTGTCACTCAGGCTGGAATGCGGTGGCACGATCTCTGCTCACTGCAACCTCCGCTTTCTGGGTTCAAGCGATTCTCTTGCCTCAGCCTCCCAAGTAGCTGGAATTACAGGCATGCATTACCCTCCATGGCTAATTTTTGTACTTTTAGTGGAGATGGGGTTTCACCATGTTGGCCAGGTTGGTCTCAAACTCCTGATTTCAAGTGATCTGCCTGCCTCGGCCTCTCAATGTGCTGGGATTACAGGCGTGAGCTACCACGCCCGGCCTTTAAGATTTAGTAATTTTAAGTTCCTGTTTTAACATGGCTCATATTGAGTTTCCAAGAATAGCAAGTTATACTATATATTACTGATTCAACATCATACATAAGCCTCAAATTCTTCCCTCTTCAGGTTTCCTGACAGGATTTTTTTCATTTCCAATTAAAAAAAAATACTCTGGTAGTTTGAGAATTGTAAACAATTCTCAAAACAACTAGAGTATTATAAAGCTCATTTCAAAGAACAAACAAACAGAAATAGCCAAGAAGTTAAAAAATGCGGTAATGATGGAATTGTCTTCTTGGATAATGAAACATATTATAAAGCTATGCTAAATAAAATTTATGGGAAGCCATTGTTTTGGGCTGAGCTTCTGAAGAAGGCCCCAACAGACAAACCATAATGGAGTTACTCATGTTAAGTGCTATAAAGTCAAACTGAAACTTAAACAAACAAACAAAAAAAGAAAAAACTGCAAACAGGACAGTTTTTACAAAACAAGCAAACATACAAACAAACAACCTCAGGAGATTAAGATTAACCAGTTGGGAAGGACTCAGTCAGCCTAAGCTGGCATGAGAAGGATGTCCCCTCTGCTTTATCCCTAGAAGAAAAGTAATCTGAAGTAACCTGATGTTAACTCATCCACTTTTTTGTATTATGCTGTTTCCTTGTTCCTGTTGAAGCCACCTTACAAAAACCAATTATTTTGCCATGCTCAATGAACCTTTTTCTTTTTTTAAGATGGAATGTTGACCAATTCATGAATCACTAATGAAAGTCAATTAGATCATTAAACTAAATTGCTTGAAATTTTGTTTTCTAACATCTATACTAGTTGTTAGCTATACTAAAATCTATACTAGTTTTGAGTATTTATAATATTAGACTAACCAGTGGAAAAAGCCCAGAAACAGCCTCAAGAATAAACAAAATCTTAGGGCATGTGAAATGTGACATTTCAAATCAGCAAAGGAATATCCAGTTTATGCTAAAACAGTTTTTTTCACTAATTGGACAAAATTAAATTAAATCTTTACCTCACATTTTATGCCAAAATTGATCCCAGATGGATTCAAGGAGTTTTCTTTAATTTCCTTCAATAATATTGTAAAACTTCTGTGCACAGGACATTTATTATATCTTTCACTATGTCTGTTTTAACGTATTTAGGAA